>NC_000003.12:38760000-40010000 GCF_000001405.40 Homo sapiens | reverse complement strand
ATCATTCCTTAAAGGAGAAAGGAAAATCATCTTTACTGAGAAAATGTTGCATGGAGAGCACAGACTTTGGCAACAGAAAGACCTGGCAAGTTATTTCAACTCGCTGACCTCAGTTGCCATGTCTGCAATATGAGGCCAATAACGCCTACTTTGTAGAATTGCTGGAGGCAGTGGAAATAAAGTATGCATTCACAGAACCTATACATCACAGTCACGGGATAAAATCACTGTTTTATCATTGCATTAGTAATAGCATCAGAGTGACCATTTAATGGAACCACTGGGAAATGAAGCCTCTATCTAACACATAGCATCCCCAGTAAGGTGAGGGGTTTCTGATTCCAGGAGGCAGCCCTGTTTATCCAGAAGACATGTATGCCCTTGAAGCCCATCTCAGATTGCTTTTCAGCAGGGCTGCTCAGGAAGTCCTGAGCCTCCACATTAAAAAGTAGCAGTTGGGGCCAGGCGTGGTGGCTCATACCTGTAATCCCAGCACTTTGGGAGGCCGAGGCCGAGGCGGGCGGATCATGAGGTCAGGAGATCAAGACCATCCTGGCTAACACAGTGAAACCCCGTCTCCACTAAAAATACAAAAAATTAGCCAGGTGTGGTGGCAGGTGCCTGGAGTCCCAGCTACTCGGGAGGCTGAGGTAGGAGAATCGCTTGAACCCGGGAGGCGGAGCTTGCAGGGAGCCGAGATCACACCACTGCACTCCAGCCTGGGTGACAGAGTGAGACTCCGTCTCAAAAAAAAAAAAAAAAAGAAGTAGCAGTTTGTCATCCCTCCACTGTGGTGACCGTGCCTAGGAGAGGGCGCCAGCAATGGCAGGGTCTGGCAGTCTCCACATTTGGCCCATACAGTTCTGTTCTCCCTGCTGCTGTCACAACCCCAACCTTGCTGGAAGTCTCACTCCAGCAGGGAACACTCTGTGTTGCTATTTCTCTTCCTCCCCTGCCCATCCATTTGTCTTGGCTTCTGTGACAGTAAGTCCTGTCACCTCAACCTCAGGCCTGGAGCAAGGGCAGGCAGGAGAAGCTTTGAACAAGGAAATAGGAAGCACACAGGGAGCAGACGGACTCAGTGGTGCACCTGCTGGAAACATCACGCAGTGTCTGCATCCCTAAGGCTACCTAGGTCCTGTCTGGGCACAAGGAAATGAGAAGACAAGAGGCAAATCTGCAGAGAACCTGAAATTCTTTTGACTTCGTGTTCTTTCAGCAATATCACTCTTGGGGGCTGATTGGAATAAGCATATTTTCTGGTTCAGGAACCATCAGGCTTCCTGAGGTCGAGTGGCCATGTGGAGACTGTGATGTAAGGAGTCCTGCAGGGTCTTGCTATAATTACCAATATTGCTGAAGTGCTGTTCTCCCTCGGCTGTGTCTTCCAGTTCATGTACCCCTGTGTCTGAGCTGGCTCTTGATTCTGGAATCACAGAGTGACTGCAATATACTCTCTTCCTTCTACCACACTCTCCTGTTTCCCTGGAGAGGAAACTGAGACAAAGCAGGGACTTACAGCCTGGCTAAGCCAGAGAAATACCCTAAAGTTTAATACAGAAAATACCATTTTGGAAAAAAATGGATAGCATTAGTTTAACAGGCTTCATTTTAAAATATGTTAAACGTCTTTCCTGAAGCTTATATCTAAATTTATCCATTGCTTTAAATTCATACTGAATAAATAAATACATAGCTTATTGAAATTTCTGTCCTTTGCTTGTTTAAATGGATCCTACATAATTTATGTGGTCCTTTATTAAATAAACATATATGGAAATGCTACCTTGTACCATATAATATTCTAAGTGCAGAGAAGTTCAGAGCCAAGAAAAGACAAAACCATGGGAGTCAAGTGCTATGAAGCATGAAGTCTCTACCCCAGGGTCTTCCCCAGAGGAACTGGGAGGGCCACTGAACTCAGCAAAAGACAGCCAGTTGTGTCTGCAAAGGCATTTTTAGATAATCTGTGTGATGGTTAATTTTGTATGTTAATTTGGCTAGGCCACAGTACCCAGATATGTGGGTAGAAAGGTCTGGGTGTTCTTGTCAAGGTGTTTTTCAGACAAGATTAACATTTAAACCTATAGACTTTGATTAAGGCAGATCACCCTGCATAATGTGGATGAGCCTCATCCAATCAAAGGACTTAAGAAAAAGACTGACCTCCCTGAAGAAGAGGGAATTCTGCCAGCAGAACACCTTTGGACTGAAGTGCAACTCTTCCCTAGCTCTCAAGCCTTGTGACCATTCGGCAGATTTTGATATGCCAGTTTTCATAATCATCTAAGCCAACTCCTTAAAATCAGTCAATCTTGCACACACATACACACATCCTAGTGGTTTTGTTTCTCTGGAGAACCCACTGTAGTCTGCTCTGGGCCAGGAGCCACATTAGATACTCGGCACACAATGCCAGCATATGCAAAAGAAGAAACTGAGGTTCATGGAGGTTAAGTCAATCTTGTCTCATCACAATGTCTGTGAGGAATGGAGGGAGTTTGAATCAAGACTGTGCACACTGATGAGGAGAGGACACCTGAGCTAAGGCCAGAAGCATTCACGTATGTTGGCGTTTCTATTCCCTTTCCTCCCATAACTTCCTCATTGGATCGCCTGTTTTAGAAAGGATTCTCCATGTGTGGTTTTTTTTTTTTAACATATATTTAAACTAATGCAAAGTCAGAGGACAGCCTGCTCTGTAGCTCACAGGAGAATGATGATGGCCAAGTCCTAGGACATGAATGGTCCTCTGACAACTGATCAGAATTTTGAAACGGCTTTCTCCATGGCTGGATGCATTAGCCTGTACAGAATTCTGACAAAAATGAGGCTGCCTCTGTCTTCAAGTGACACTGATGACTAAACCAATATAAGTTACTTCTCCAAAGACTAAACCAATATCAGTTATTTCTCCAAGTAAAGACATTTCCCCCCAGCATTTGCTGAGGCCATCACACACATGCAATGATCACTTAGCTGGGCATGGTAGTGAACACCTGTAGTCATAACTGCTCTGGAGGCTGAGGTGGGAGGATTGCCCGAGCCCAGCAGCTCAAGACTATGGTCCCATGATTGTGCCACTGCACCCCAGCCAGGGCAACAGAGCAAGACCCAGCCTCTTAAAAAAAATAAGCCCTCACAACAACATGTCCCATTTAATTTAGCTGCTTAAGGGAACACATCCACAGCAGTTTTCCATTCAGCTCAACAACTTTGTGTCTTAACAGTGGTCAAAGTAAGTGCAAATGCTAGAAGACGAATACTGCAAATACAGAATTTTCTGGAGTAAGTATTAGTCTTTATAATTACAGGGCAGCATAATCAACATTTAACATGAAAACTCCCAGGAAGAGAAGGTGCTCAATCACAGATTCCTGAAGTGAGAATATAGGCATCTGAGGCTCGGTTAATGGTCCCTCCACCACTCATCTGCTCAAGCCAGAAACAGGACGTTTTCTTGATTATGCCCCTGACCTGCCATAGTCCATCCAGGTCTACATATTCTAGCCCCTAAATATAACATATCTGGAATCCATCATTGCTGTCACTCCTCTAATTCAACACTACCTCACTGCCCTGGGGACCACCACAGCAGCCTCCTTTTTTTTTGAGACAGAGTCTTGCTCTGTCACCCAGGCTGGAGTACAGTGGCGCAGTCTCGGCTTACTGCAAGCTCTGCCACAACAGCCTCCTTCTAAGCTGGGTACTAAACTTCCCTCTCTCCTTCTATTTTCCTTCTCTAAACTACGGCAAGAAGGACCTTTCCTGAATGAAATTTGATGGGGTCACCCACCTGCTTAGCATGCTTTCACAGACCCTAGTTTTTCTCTGGGTGTAATAGGAACTCACATGGCCTGGATGCCTCCAAGTTCATCTGATTCTTTAACCATATGCACCTTCTTTCTTTTCTTTGAAAATGCCAAATTCTTCTCTTCTTTGAGACCTTCCCTCATGATCCCTCCTCATGGAAGCTCCTTGTACCAATATTAACTCAGCTAAATTCCATTCGGCCACCTCCATTTCTCCATGAAAGGCCTTCCCTTGTCTATCAGGTCAAATTAAATCCCCCTGTGACTCTCAAAGCACCTGAATTTTCTCCTTAATAGACTTTTTGCAATTTCTAATTATATATATGTGTGCATGCATTATATATCTTGCATATTTTATTTAATGTATTTTCCACATTATAGACCCAGTTACAAAGGAGATTTGCAAAGTATTACATGATATTATATATATGGTGTTGCAAAATACATTATAGACAAGATACTCAAAAGACGGGCATGACATGGTTCCAATACAACTGGCATGCTAAAAGGAAGACTGTTATCCATGAGAAGCAACACAGCTAATACTTCTATTATTAAATATTTCCATTTGGTGCCAATGAAATCAAACTGCATTGTTCCAAATCATCTGCCTATGAAATCTATTTTCCATGTTTCAATACTTTCATCTGTATTATTTTGAAAACTATGATTGTTTTGGCTTATTAATTTTGTGCACACACTTTTACCTTGGAACAAGTGACACAAGTATAATGGCCAATAAAGCCAGAGAATGGACCTAATTAATTGTAGAAATAATGCCTGATGGCATATCTATGCCTGAGACATATACATGGGTTATTTCATACATTTAACAAATACTGACTTAGAACTGACTTTCTCACAGCACTCTGCCAGGTACTATGAGTTACAGGAGTGAGTTAGTAAGACAGGAGCCTATGATATGCAGGAGCAGGTGAACACAAGACACACAAAGTGTGGAAATTAGGCAATAGCAAAGAATAGCAATCAATCTAGGTGCCCATCAGTGGTGGATTGGATAAAGTAAGTAAATGTGGTACATAAACACCACAGAATACTATTCAGCCATAAAAAAGGAATTAAATCACTTCCTTTGCAGCAACCTGGATGCAGCTGGAGGCCATTATTCTAAGCAAATTAAGGCAGAATCAGAAAACCAAATATGGCATGTTGTCACTAGTAAGTGGGAGCTAAATATTAAGTATGGACATGAAGATGGGACACTGGGGACTCCAAAAGGGGGATAGGAGGGAGGGGGCAAGGGTTGAAGAACTTCTCATCAGGTACTATGTTTACTAACTGGGTGATGGGATCAATAGAAACCCAAACCTCAGCATCACAAAATATACCCTTGTAACACACCTGCACATGTATCTCTTGGAAACGGCATTCACAGCAACCTGGATGGAATTGGAGACCATTATTCTAAGTGAAGTAACTCAGGAATGAAAAACCATATATTACATCTTCTGACTTATAAGTGGGAGCTAAGCTATGAGGATGCAAAGGCATAATAATAATACAGTGGACTTTGGGGACTCAGAAGGAAAGGTGGGAGTTGGGGTGAGGGATAAAAGACTACACATGGGGTACAGTGTATACTGCTCGGGTGACAGGTGCACCAAAATCTCAGAAATCACCACTAAAAACCTAATTCATGTAACCAAACACCACCTGTTCCCTAAAAACCTATGGAAATAAAAAATAAAAATAAAATTAAAAATACAAAGTGGAAATTAGGAAGGAGCAGGATATGTACTACCTGAGTGGGCCTGACATGGTATGGCCCGGGCTCAATGGCCCACACCTGATCACTGTCCCCCTAGCACAGCCCCACTTTTGTCCTGTCTCAGCATCACAGCAGAGGGTGGAAACCCTTCCTGGGCATCACAGATTTCTTTCTGGCAAGGTTTCTGGCTTATGACTCTAAGTTCTATCAAATGCACCCTCTTTAATATTTCTCTGGTTCCTTGGACTAGTGTAAGCCCCTCAGGTAAAAGGTAAAAAATGTAATGCTTTAAGAGTTCTTTGGAAGAGAAGACATCAGGGTGCTCAGTGGAAGGTTCAGGAACTCAGTCAGACATGCCTGTGCTGAAATCCACTAGATTGAAACATGTTCATAGACACCTAGAGTTTTCAAGGGGCAGGGGCCCAGGAGAGCTATCAACTCTCTGAACTTGTCTAGAAGTTTTTCATAGTAAAAAAGTCAGAAAAGACAGATGGCAGGTGGGCATAGCAGGAAATTAATAAACTTGACAGTCAGATAGGCTCAGGCTGAATCTGCTGTGTAGGACTTACCTGGCCCTGAGCAAATTATTCAGGTATAAACCTCTTAGAGTCTTAGTTGGGTGTTGGGAAAACAGTACGATTTATACTATGTGGCCAGAGGTGATAGTATAAGCTTTTCGGAAACAAAAGCAAGAATACAAACATCCCAATACTAAATGAATGTGGATCTGAACTGGTTGGTGAAGCATCTTCATTCATATTCAGAGTGCCGAAAGACTTGAGGAGAAAGAATATATATACAGCTAGCCACAGAAGTATAGAATCTCTAAAAATTGCAATGGAGAAAAGGTGCATTAAGGGAAGCTGATCATTTTTTTTCTTCTCACCCTACAACACTTCATCCAGAGCTGTCATTATAGGTATGCCCTTTCCAGCCTATTGGATTTCTAATACCTGGAGCTGGCCAATTTCCCAGCTCTGGTCTTCAGCTCTAATGTTGTTCTGAACCAGTGAAATCCTATTTCACAAGACTCAACCCACATACAAGTAGATCTTCAGTGTCCCTTCATTTCTGGGAATCCCCAAAGGGGGTCTTCTTCACAAATCTGTTTTCTTTCTAGAGCTCCAATCTCACCTGAGCATGTCCACTCCCTAAAAATCCCTTGAAGACACCTCACAGGGGGCCACTCAGAGAGAGGCCACCGATTCCCACACAGAGCCAGCCAAAAGTGCTGGCTCTCTGTATCTACATATCCACATTTATAGATATCTATATATGTATTTATATCTATCTGTATTTATATCTATAGATGTCTAGATATATATAGATATACAGATATAAATAGACATAAATACATATATAGATATCTACAAATGTATGTATAGATTCTATATATGTATTTATATCTGTCTCTATATCTATAGATATATAGATATCTACATATGTATTTATACATGTATATATACCTATAGATGTCTAGATACATATAGATATAGCTTTAGATACACACATATAGCTATAGATATCTATATATGTCTATATATGCATACTTGTATGTGTCTATCTAAAGCTTTAGAGAGATATATAGACACTTATATATTTGTATAAAGATTGTGTGAGTGTATATATACATATACTAAAACTATAGATATAGCAATACCTACATATCTATTTATATCTATACCTATATGTACATATATGTGTATCATATTTATTTTAATAGCATGTATGTGTCTGTGTGTGATTACTGGCTTTGGTCTCCCTCTACCATCCTTAAACATACCTCGGGCTGCTCATCTGATCTCAGCTCTGCCTTTCCTTATGTCTCTGAGGCAGAAAGGGAGGGCTATGCTGTGTTTATGAGCAGATCTTGGGAGTGGCAGAGTTACAGGAGTCTGGTCTCAATATTTTCTTTTTTTTTTTTTAGACAGAGTCTTGCTCTTGTTGCCCAGGCTGGAGTGCAATGGTGCGATCTCAGCTCAATACAACCTCCGCCTCCTGGGTTCAAGCGATTCTCCTGCCTCAGCCTCCCAAGGAGCTGGGATTACAGGCACACGCCACTATGCCCAGCTAATTTTTGTATTTTTAGTAGAGATGGGGTTTCACCATGTTGGCCAGGCTGGTCTCGAACTCCTGACCTCAGGTGATCCACCCACCTCAGCTTCCCAAAGTGCTAGGTTTACAGGTATGAGCCACCACGCTCAGCCTCAATATGACTGTTTTAAAATAAAATTTAAAATAAGGCAGAGGGACTGCTCTACATCATGAGTTAATTCCCCATGTGTTCATACACCTTAAGTTCTCAACTAGTCTTTTAGTCAACATTGATCAAAGGCCTTTTGCATGCCTGACCTCACACCAAAAGGATAAGGCACAACTTGCACCCTTGAGGAGGAACTGACATGCCAGCCACAAACTGCAATACTTCTAGAGTGCAAGGCTGTGATCCCCAGCAATATGTTGTGTGAATTCTGAGGACCTGGTATCACCTTCCATGGGGCTTCTGAAACCAGAAATCTAGCATTCTGGTGATTCCTCTCTTTCTCTCACCCACGATGTCTAACCAGTCACCAGAGTCTATTGAATCTATCCTGAAATATCTTTTGAATCTGCCTGTTCCTCCCCATTGCCACTATCACTATCCCGGTTCAAGCTGCCATCATCTCTTATTGCAATCAGCTCTTCCCTGGTCCATTCTAGTTTTGCTGCCTGTCTAGTCACAGGGACATCCAGAATGATCTTTCAGGAATGCTAATATAAGTCACTTCCAGGCTTACACCCTTGCAATGTATGGCCTTCTCACCCCTCTAATCCCAGCACCTGGCCCAGTGCCTAACACTCAGAGGTGCTTTGAAGTGATTGTTGACTGACTGACTGATGGAATTCAGTTACTATTATGTGGTTCTCTAACTCGAAAGGTGAAAGACTTGAATGATTCCTACCATTTCTTTATGAGACAGAACTGCATGATAACAGTAAAATAATCCCTACCCTGTCTCAGTATCACCAGCAGCTGTACTTACCAGTGAGGGAAACTCGAGGGCCTGAGAAATAAATCTTTCCATATGGAGCATGCTGAGCTGTCTCTTGTTTTATAGAACTGTCTCCAAAAGTTTCCACATCCTTTGCCATTTAAGAAACTGTCTCATGGCTCTGTTTATTGAGCACACACTTTCCCATTTGCAAGTCTGCAGGCAACCACTTTCACCATTTTTGCCAAATGTATATATCAACTTTATTACTAATTTTAATATCTCTTCTTTTCATTTCACCTAAATATCTTGAATATCATCATTTTGACTAATTCTAAGCATTTATATCCATGAAGCATTAGGATAGTTATGCTTGTTAAATTTTTTCTAATATACATTAAAACAAAAATATAACTATCAATATCAAAAAATGTTCAGCTGTGCACCACCCACATTCATCTGGTCCACCAGCAGCAGTCCACTGTCACACTTTGGGAAACACCAATACAAAGAATTCATGAGAGTTATCATTGAAATGCAGAAGAAAACATGTTTTCCCAGGTATTCAAATCCAGGGTAGGAGAAAGGAGAAGGTAACCTAGCATGTTTCTAATCTAAGAACATTTTAGGAAAAATGAACAAGTGTGTATAACTTCTATCTATTAAACCTCACAGAATACTAGAGTCTTGGTGGCTGTGGGCTTCCCAGGGCCATCTGTCAGAATGACCAGCGAATGGGGATGGGTTACAGGGGAAGCTTTATGTCAGTCTCATCAGTTTTCTTGGCTTGTAGTCTGCTTTCATCTCATAAAATTAAGACTCACAAAAAATTAAGGACGAAAGCAAGTCACAAATCATCAAGTCCCTCAAGTACCTCCCAGGCACAGCTGTGTAAAGATATAGGGCATGTCTTCCCATGACAAGGCCAGGGCTAGCTCTGGGCATTTCAAGAGATGTACAGTTATTTATGAGTAATCGAAGGATTTTCAAAGCCATTCTGTGTGGGTTTTTGGCTTGACACTCTGACTTTAGAACTTAAGACACAAATCGGCCATGACATGGGGAGGAACCTTTCCTGGGGAGAGTAGATGCTGTTTGCAGCATGACCACTACACTCTTCCTAATGGTGCTGCTGGAGGCAAATGCTGATAGGAATTTGCTTGGAGTCACTTAGAACAGTCTTCATGTGCGTGATATTTTGACAATAGCTCAAATTGCCATAATCAAGGTATATACATTCATTTATAACATTTATTAATCTACATTTAAAAGTTCTTTTTTTTTTAAAGTTAACAATAATTTATTGTAATTTTTTTTATTAAAGTTTTAGGGTACATGTGCACAACGTGCAGGTTTGTTACATAGGTATACATGTGCCATGTTGGTGTGCTGCACCCATTAACTCGTCATTTAACATTAGGTATATTTCCTATTGTTATCCCTCCCCCCTCCCCTCCTCCCACAACAGGCCCTGGTGTGTGATGTTCTCCTTCCTGTGTCCATGTGTTCTCATTGTTCAATTCCCACCTATGAGTGAGAACATGCAGTGTTTGGTTTTTTGTCCTTGCGATAGTTTGCTGAGAATGATGGTTTCCAGCTTCATCCATGTCCCTACAAAGGACATGAACTCATCATTTTTTATGGCTGCATAGTATTCCATGGTGTATATGTCCCACATTTTCTTAATCCAGTCTATCATTGTTGGACATTTGGCTTGGTTCCAAGTCTTTGCTATCGTGAATAGTGCTGCAATAAACATATGTGTGCATGTGTCTTTATAGCAGCATGTTTTATAATCCTTTAGGTATATACCCAGTAATGGGATTGCTGGGTCAAATGGTATTTCTAGTTCTAGATCCCTGAGGAATAGCCACACTGACTTCCACAATGGTTGAAACTAGTTTACAGTCCCACCAACAGTGTGAAAGTTTTCCTATTTCTCCACATCCTCTCCAGCACCTATTTTTTCCTGACTTTTTAATGATCACCATTCTAACTGGTGTGAGATGGTATCTCATTGTGGTTTTGATTTGCATTTCTCTGATGGCCAGTGATGATGAGCATTTTTTCACGTGTCTGTTGGCTGCATAAATGTCTTCTTTTGAGAAGTGTCTGTTCATATCCTTCACCCACTTGTTGATGGGGTTGTTTATTTCTTGTAAATTTGTTTGAGTTCATTGTAGATTCTGGATATTAGCCCTTTGTCAGATGAGTAGACTGCAAAAATGTTCTCCCATTCTGTAGGTGGCCTGTTCACTCTGATGGTAGTTTCTTTTGCTGTGCAGAAGCTCTTTAGTTTAATTAGAACCCATTTGTCAATTTTGGCTTTTGTTGCCATTGCTTTTGGTGTTTTAGACATGAAGTCCTTGCCCATGCCTATGTCCTGAATGGTATTGCCTAGGTTTTCTTCTAGGGTTTTTATGGTTTTTAGGTCTTACATTTAAGTCTTTAATCCATCTTGAATTAATTTTTGTATAAGGTGTAAGGAAGGGATCCAGTTTCAGCTTTCTACATGTGGCTAGCCAGTTTTCCCAGCCCCATTTATTAAAGAGGGAATCCTTTCCCCATTGCTTGTTTTGTCAGGTATGTCAAAGATCAGATGGTTGTAGATATGCGGCGTTATTTCTGAGGACTCCGTTGTGTTCCATTGGTCTATATCTCTGTTTTGGTACCAGTACCATGCTGTTTTGGTTACTGTAGCCTTGTAGTATAGTTTGAAGTCAGGTAGCATGATGCCTCCAGCTTTGTTCTTTTGGCTTAGGATTGACTTGGCAATGCGGGCTCTTTTTTGGTTCCATATGAACTTTAAAGTAGTTTTTCCAATTCTGTGAAGAAAGTCATTGGTAGCTTGATGGGGATGGCATTGAATCTGTAAATTACCTTGGGCAGTATGGCCATTTTCACAATATTGATTCTTCCTACCTGTGAGCATGGAATGTTCTTCCATTTGTTTGTATCCTCCTTTATTTCATTGAGCAGTGGTTTGTAGTTCTCCTTGAAGAGGTCCTTCACGTCCGTTGTTAGTTGGATTCCTAGGTATTTTATTGTCTTTGAAGCAATTGCGAATGAGAGTTCACTCATGATTTGGCTGTTTGTCTGCTATTGGTGTATAAGAATGCTTGTGATTTTTGCAGATTGATTTTGTATCCTGAGACTTTGCTGAAGTTGCCTATCAGCTTAAGGAGATTTTGGGCTGAGATGATGGTGTTTCCTAGACATACAATCATGTCATCTGCAAACGGACAATTTGACTTCCTCTTTTCCTAATTGCATACCCTTTATTTCCTTCTGCAGCCTGATTGCTCTGGCCAGAACTTCCAACACTATGTTGAATAGGAGTGGTGAGAGAGGGCATCCCTGTCTTGTGCCAGTTTTCAAAGGGAATGCTTCCAGTTTTTGCCCATTCAGTATGATATTGGCTGTGGGTTTGTCATAGATAGCTCTTATTATTTTGAGATACGTCCCATCAATACCTAATTTACTGAGAGTTTTTAGCATGAAGGTTGTTGAATTTTGTTGAAGGCCTTTTCTGCATTTATTGAGATAATTATGTGGTTTTTGTCATTGATTCTGTTTATGTGCTGGATTATGTTTATTGATTTGCGTATGTTGAACCAGGCTTGCATCGCAGGGATGAAGCCCACTTGATCACGGTGGATAAGCTTTTTGACGTGCTGCTGGATTTCGTTTGCCAGTATTTTATCATGGATTTTTGCATCGATGTTCATTAGGGATATTTGTCTAAAATTCTCTTTTTTTGTTGTGTCTCTGCCAGGCTTTGGTATCAGGATGATGCTGGCCTCATAAAATGAGTTAGGGAGGATTCCCTCTTTTTCTATTGATTGGAATAGTTTCAGAAGGAATGGTACTAGCTCCTCCTTGTACCTCTGGTAGAATTCGGCTGTGAATCCGTCTGGTCCTGGACTTTTTTTGGTTGGTAAGCTATTAATTATTGCCTGAATTACAGAGCCTGTTATTGGTTTATTCAGAGATTCAACTTCTTCCTGGTTTAGTCTTGGGAGGGTGTATGTGTCGAGGAATTTATCCATTTCTTCTAGATTTTCTAGTTTATTTGCATAGAGGTGTTTATAGTATTCTCTGATGGTAGTTTGTATTTCTGTGGGATCGGTGGTGATATCCCTTTTATCATTTTTTATTCCATCTTTTTGATTCTTCTCTCTTTTCTTCTTTATTAGTCTTGCTAGGGGTCTATCAATTTTGTTGATCTTCTCAAAAAACCAGCTCCTAGATTCATTGATTTTTTGAAGGGTTTTTTGTGTCTCTATTTCCTTCAGTTCTGCTCTGATCTTAGTTATTTCTTGCCTTCTGCTAGGTTTTGAATGTGTTTGCTCTTGCCTTTCTAGTTCTTTTAATTGTGATGTTAGGGTGTCCATTTTAGATCTTTCCTGCTTTCTCTTGTGGGCATTTAGTGCTATAAATTTCCCTCTACACACTGCTTTGAATGTGTCCCAGAGATTCTGGTATGTTGTGTCTTTGTTCTTGTTGGTTTCAAAGAACATCTTTATTTCTGCCTTCATTTTGTTACGTACCCAGTAGTCATTCAGGAGCAGGTTGTTCAGTTTCCATGTAGTTGAGCAGTTTTGAGTGAGTTTCTTAATCCTGAGTCCTAGTTTGATTGCACTGTGGTCTGAGAGATAGTTTGTTATTATTTCTGTTCTTTTACATTTGCTGAGGAGTGCTTTACTTCCAACCCTGTGGTCAATTTTGGAATAGGTGTGGTGTGGTGCTGTAAAGAATGTATATTCTATTGATTTGAGGTGGAGAGTTCTGTAGATGTCTATTAGGTCCACTTGGTGCAGAGCTGAGTTCAGTTCCTGGATATCCTTGTTAAGTTTCTGTCTCGTTGATCTGTCTAATGTTGACAGTGGGGTGTTAAAGTCTCCCATTATTATTGTGTGGGAGTCTAAGTCTCTTTGTAGGTCTCTAAGGACTTGCTTTATGAATCTGGGTGCTCCTGTATTGGGTGCATATATATTTAGGACACTTAGCTCTTTTTGTTGAATTGATCTCTTTACCATTTTGTAATGGCCTTCTTTGTCTCCTTTGATCTTTGTTGGTTTAAAGTCTGTTTTATCAGAGACTAGGATTGCAACCCCTGCCTTTTTTTGTTTTCCATTTGCTTGGTAGATCTTCCTCCATCCCTTTATTTTGAGCCTATGTGTGTCTCTGCATGTGAGATGGGTTTCCTGAATACAGCACACAGATGGGTCTTGACTCTTTATCCAATTTGCCAGTCTGTGTCTTTTAATTGGAGGATTTAGTCCATTTACATTTAAGGTTAACATTGTTAGGTGTCAATTTGATCCTGTCATTATGATGTTAGCTGGTTATTTTGCTCCTTAGTTGATGCAGTTCCTTCCTAGCCTCGATGGTCTTTACAATTTGGCATGTTTTTGCAGTGGCTGGTACCGGTTGTTCTTTTCCATGTTTAGTGCTTCCTTCAGGAGCTCTTGTATGGCAGGCCTGGTGGTGACAGAATCTCTCAGCATTTGCTTGTCTGTAAAGGATTTTATTTCTCCTTCACTTATGAAGCTTAGTTTGGCTGGATAGGAAATTCTGGGTTGAAAATTCTTTTAAGAATGTTGAATATTGGCCCCCACTCTCTTCTGGCTTGTAGAGTTTCTGCGAAGAGATCAGCTGTTAGTCTGATGGGCTTCCCTTTGTGGGTAACCCGACCTTTCTCTCTGGCTGCCCTTAACATTTTTTCCTTCATTTCAACTTTGGTGAATCTGACAATTATGTGTCTTGGAGTTGCTCTTCTCGAGGAGTATCTTTGCGTCATTCATTGTATTTCCTGAATTTGAATGTTGGCCTGCCTTGCTAGATTGGGGAAGTTCTTCTGTATAATATCCTGCAGAGTGTTTTCCAACTTGGTTCCATTCTCCCCGTCACTTTCAAGTACACCAATCAGACGTAGATTTGGTCTTTTCACATAGTCCCATATTTCTTGGAGGCTCTGTTTGTTTCTTTTATTCTTTTTTCTCTAAAGTTCTCTTCTTGCTTCATTTCATTCATTTGATCTTCCATCACTGATACCCTTTCTTCCAGTTGATCGAATCGGCTACTGAGGCTTCTGCATTCATCATGTAGTTATCGTGCCATGGTTTTCAGCTCCATCAGGTCCTTTAAGGACTTCTCTGCATTTGTTATTCTAGTTAGCCATTCATCTAATTTTTTTTCAAGGTTTTTAACGTCTTTGCCATGGGTTTGAACTTCCTCCTTTAGCTCGGAGTACTTTGATCATCTGAAGCCTTCTTCTCTCAACTTGTCAAAGTCATTCTCCTACAGCTTTGTTCCGTTGTTGGTGAGGAGCTCCGTTCCTTTGGAGGAGGAGAGGCACTCTGATATTTAGAGTTTCCAGTTTTTCTGCTGTTTTTTTCCCCCATCTTTGTGGTTTTATCTACCTTTGGTCTTTGATGATGGTGACTTACAGATGGGGTTTTGGTGTGGATGTCCTTTCTGTTTTTTAGTTTTCCTTCTAACAGTCAGGACCCTCAGCTGCAGGTCTGTTGGAGTTTGCTGGAGGTCCACTCCAGACCCTGTTTGCCTGGGTATCAGCAGCAGAGGCTGCAGAACAGCAGATATTGGTGAACAGCAAATGTTGCTGCCTAATTGTTCCTCTGGAAGTTTTGTGTGAGAGGAGTACCCAGTCGTGTGAGGTGTCAGTCTGCCCCTACTGGGGGGTGCCTCCCAGTTAGGCTACTCGGGGGTCAGGGACCCACTTGAAGAGGCAGTCTGTCCATTCTCAGATCTCCAGCTGCATGCTGGGAGAACCATTATTCTCTTCAAAGCTGTCGGACAGGGACATTTAAGTCTGCAGAGGTTTCTGGTGCCTTTTGTTTGGCTATGCCCTGCCCCCAGAGGTGGAGTCTACAGAGGCAGGCAGGCCTCCTTGAGCTGTGGTGGGCTCCACCCAGTTCCAGCTTCCCGGCCACTTTGTTTACCTACTCAAGCCTCAGCAATGGCAGGCGCCCCTCCCCCAGCCTTGCTGCTGCCTTGCAGTTTGATCTCAGACTGCTGTGCTAGCAATGAGCGAGGCTCCGTGGGCATAGGACCCTCCGAGCCAGGCACGGGATATAATCTCCAGGTGTGCCATTTGCTAAGACCATAGGAAAAGCGCAGTATTAGGGTGGGAGTGACCTGATTTTCCAGGTGCCATCTGTCACCCCTTTCTTTGACTAGGAAAGTGAATTCCCTGACCCCTTGCACTTCCCGGATGAGGCGATGCCTCGCCCTGCTTCGGCTCATGCTCCGTGTGCTGCACCCACTGTCCTGCACCCACTGTCCGACACTCCCCAGTGAGATGAACCCAGTACCTCAGTTGGAAATGCAGAAATCACCTGTCTTCTGCATCGCTCACGCTGGAAGCTGTAGACTGGGGCTGTTCCTATTTGGCCATCTTGGCTCCACCTCTAAAAGTTCTTTTTACATTTATAAGTTCTGTGCCTCTGGGACCCCATTTTGTTTGAAAAGACGTGTTCATACTTTACATTATCATCCATTTAGCAGGCAAATGAAAAGCAGTGGAAACATGATTGAAAGTGATGTTATTGTTTAACTGAAATCATGGTAAAGAGAGTAATGAGAAGGTTGACAGTCTTTGAAGGTTAAGAAGGAATAGGTCACAGTTAAAGTCTTATCCCTCCCTCTCAGACCCTGAAACACAGAGAATTACTGCATTTACTCACAGAGTGGTCATCACTATCCATTGTAACATCTAGTTATCTGCTTCGAAGGGGGAAGACAGAGAAGTAGGTTCAGTAGGGCAAAGATAAAGCAGTTTGTCTCCGAATGCTTTTCTCAGTGAATTAAGAAAAGGTATAATTATCTGAGAGTGAGGAGGTGACAAGGATGATGATTGAGGAGAGAGAAGGCATGGTTTAGGATTGCCAGGCAGGGTTCAGGGCCCACTGACTCTTGTAGTCAAAAATTTAAAGTAGAATCACCCAACATGGTGGTACTTTTTCCTCCATACATACTCAGATGCTTAGGTGCAAGGGAGGCACTGAGGGTGGCCAGAGGTTAACCAGGGGTGGGGTTTGTCAGGTGAGTATGGCTGAAGGAGCAGAAAGGACAAAAAGACTAAAGATGAATGCAAATTGCTATGGTTTGATATATTCCCCAAAAAGTATGTGCTGGAAACTCAATCATCATTGTAACTGTATTAAGAGTGAGACCTCTAAGAGGTGATTAGGCCACGAGGATAGATTAATGCTGTTATCTCAGGAGCAGGCTCATTATTGTGGGAGTGGGTTCCTTATAAAAGGACAGGTTCAGCTCCCTTTTGCCTCTCTTTCTTGCCTTTCTTTTGCCTTTCTGTCATGGGATGACACAGCAAGAATGCCCTTACCAGATGCTGACCCCTCAATCTTGGACTGGCCATACTCCAGAATCATGAGCCAATAAATATCTGTTCATTATAAATTATCCAGTCTGTGGTATTCTGTTATATCAGCACAAAATGGTCTGAGACACAAAGAAACAAATATCCTGATGGACCACAGAGTCCAAGATAAGTAAGAAAGAAGACAGAACAAGAAGGGGTCCCTGACAATGAAAAAGTGAAAGTTTCTAGATTACAGGGATGAAGGATTATTGGAATGGAGCCACAAGAAGATGAGAAGTGGAGGTCAGAGACTAGAGTGCCTAAGGTCAAGAATTTGGAGGCTGGGCATTATTAAGGATGACAAAGACTAGAAAAGGACCATAAACAAGAAGATTTGTAGGAGGCAGAAAGTTGAGAGACTAGGATGTTGGATAGGTCACTGAAGGGATGCTGTGTCACCAAAGTGGAAATTCACAGGACTAGTGGGCAAAACCACATCAGTGGTCTAGGTAATAAAGTGTTCTGTGAATGAGAGGGACTGGCTACAAGGCTGAAAGATGGCTAGAACAAGGATCATGGTCGGTAGTACATTCAGATGGCAAGCACTTTAAAGGACCTGGAGTTCTGGTCTGGAATAAGTCCAGAGTTAAATTGGAAAGAGAATAAAGAGCCACTATTTGAAAAAGCTGCAAGGTAGCTGTGCCCTTGGGGGAGAGGCAGACTTTGGAGCAAAACAATGATGGTCATTTTCAGAGAAGAGCTGGAGACAGGAAGCACCTGCTAATGATGACAGTGAGCTCCAGAGGGCAGAGTTTGGGGGCTCAAGGTGGTGGAAGCAGAGTCAGAAGAATAGAAGCTAAACTACATTGCATGGGGAAAGAGTCCGGGGATGAAAGAAACTTGGCTTTATGGAGATGAGAGGCTTGATAAATGGGTCCTGGAGGCACTGTAGGGGATAGCAGATTAGGAGTTCTAATGACAAACTCCTACTTGTGACCAATTTCTTGGGTTAATTGTGATGTCAATACTTGGTGGCACGCAATGTTAAGGCAGCAGTGGTCTGGTCTTTCATGGAGCAGAGAAAATTTGTTCAATCTCTCCTCAACCTTCAGAGAGTTGCACTTCTACACTGGAGGAAGTGGTTTTTCCACTGAGTGACAAGCTTATTTTGGAAGGTTATTTAATCTAATATATACTTATAGAGCCCTTAGTGTGCACTATGCACTATTCTAGGAACACAGGCTATATCAGTGAAGAAATGAGACAAAGATCCTTGCTCCAGGGGCACTTGAATTCATTACACTACATAATGAATAAAGTTATACAGCACAGTAGAAAGTGATAAGGGCTACAGAAAAAAGAAGCTATAGAGCAGGATAAGGGGACACCTGGAGTGCTGCTATGTTGGGGAACTGAAATATTGAATAGGGTGGTCAGAGTGAGAAGGTGACATTTGAGCAAATACTTGAAGGTGGTACAGGAAAGAGTATAGCAGGAAGAGGGAACACCTGTGCAAAGGTTATGGAGAGAGAAGCTTGCCTGTTGCGTTAAGATAAACAATAAGAGGACAGGGTGGCTACAGCAAAATGAGCAAAGGGAAAAGTCGTAGGAAGGTAGTAAAATAATTAGAAATGATTGTAATTAAGTAAATGGCAACTATTCCTAGAGAAAGAATCTATGTCCAAATGGACATCAGCACATCACACAAAAACACTTCTGAGTTGGAAGTCACAGCCAAGGCAGGATTAGAATTCAGTTCTCATTTTACCTCTATGAATTCTGAATTTTTCTCTGGAAATGAGAAGTTGGAGTAGAGATCTCTCTACATTTCCATCTGGTTTTAAGCCTCAAGCCTCAAGGGAATAGGAACAGATGCTCTGATGACAACAGGTTGCAGTGTTTTGTCTCTGGAGGACACTAGAAGCTTATCGAGGCAGACACTTAGACCAATTTTCCTTTTTTGACTAAACAAGTATTTTATTTATTTATTTTATTATACTTTAAGTTCTGGGTTACACATACAGAATGTGCAGTTTTGTTACATAGGTATACATGTGCCCTGGTGGTTTGTTGCACCCATCAACCTGTCACTTACATTAGGTATTTCTCCTAATGTTATCCCTCCCGTAGCCCCACACTCCCCGACAGGCCCCAGTGTGTGATGTTCCCCTTCCTGTGTCCATGTGTTCTTCGTTCAACTCCCACTTATGAGTGAGAACATGCAGTGTTTGGTTTTCTGATCTTGTGACAGTTTGCTGAGAATGATGGTTTCCAGCTTCATCCATGTTCCTGCAAAGGACATGTTTTCATACAGTTTGCCATGTGCCTGCAAAAACTACCTATTATCCTCAATGAACATGCATTCAGAGTCCACTAGAGGGCAGCCCTGCACTTAGAAACTGAAAAATGTTTACTTGGCAAAGGGAATGTATCCTCTCTTGGGCCACGATGACCAGAACAATCAGAATGAATAACAAGACACTGTGAAAAGCTTTCAATAGGATTTCAGTTTTTCAACACTTCTTTAGTCATGGGCTGTGGCCTAATGTAACAACAATTAGTATCAGCCCTTGAATGTCTGATTTTTAAACTTTTCCAGATACCTAATAGACATTATTTCACTCAAGCCTCAAAATAATTCTATGAGCAGTGAGCTATCTTTATTGTTCAGATAAGAAAACACAGACTCAAAGAGCAGAACAGGGGTGGGGTCAAGATGGCTGACTAGAAGCAGTGGCAATCAGAGGCTCCCCTTGAAAAGAACCATAACAGCATGCGAATCCTGCACCAGCAACTGAGGTATCCAGATTCCAACATCGGAAATGACTAGGTGGCTGCTGTGATCCACAGAGAAGAAGGAAGAGTAGTGTGGTGTGGTGGCTACACAGGGCAGAGGAGTCCACTCCCCCCAGCCAAGGGAGTCAGTGAATGAGCATACTACCCAGCCTGGAAAATGTCCTTTTTCCATGGAACTGTGCAACCCATGGTTTGGAAGATCCAACTCATGAGTCCATTCCACTGGGGTCTAGGGTCCCAACAATGAAGCCATACAGATTCTCAACAGGCACTAAGCTAGAATCTGCTTAAGGCTGCTGAGCTCCTGGGGGAGGGTGATCAGCACCACAGCTGCAGTTGCCTGCTGTCTAAGCCGTTTGGACTCCTTGGGGGACGGGTGACAGCCAACACTGGGACTGATAGCTGCCTAACAAACTAAGCTCTAAGGGCAGGTGAAGGGCAGCAGCCATCTCTATAGCTCCAGGCCAGGCTTTTCCCCTGCTGGAGCTGGGGAGGCTGGACAGCTTGGTCCCAAGAGGTATCCCCCACAGTCCAACACAATGGCTGTGGCAGATTGCGGACAGAGTGCCTCTTCAGGCCTGACCTTGACCCATCAAGGCAGGGCCTCCCTACAGGAACTCCAACAACTTCAGCCAGGGACTCAAGGACAGAACTCTGATCTCCCTGGGCCTGAGCCCTAGCGGGAGGGGTGGCTGCAGTCTCTGCAGACCAGTAGACTTATTCTTTCCTCCTGCTAGTTCTGAAGAATTCAGGCAGCCCAGATGTGTGGGTTTCCCCCCAGTGAAGCACGCCCAATCCACCAAGGGACAAAGTGCTTTGTTAAATGCGTTCTGCTCCCCTTGCCACCTAACTAGGTGAGATCTTCCAACAGGGGTTGTCAGACATGCTATACAAGAGCGTTCCTACTGGCATCAGTTAGGTCAGAGATCCCAGAGGAAGGAGCAGGCACCCATCTTTGCTGTTTTCCAGGCTCCTTGTGTGACATCTCCAGGCATGGGAATGAACCAGATGAATAGGGCCTGAAGCGAACCCCCAGCAAACCACAGCAGCCCTACAGAAGAGGGACCTGATAACTGCAAGAAAAACAAACAGAAAGCAACAACAATGCAACAACAACAATAGCATCAACAATAAAAAGTCCCCACAAAATCCCCACCCAAAGGTCAGCAGCCACAAAGATCAATATTAGACAAACTCATGAAGATGAGAAAGAATCAACGAAAAAAACGCTGAAAATCTAAAAGGCCAGAGTGCCTCTTCTCCTCCAAATGATCACAATGCCTCTCCAGCAAGGATGCAGAACTGGATGGAAGATGAGATGGACAAATTGACAGAAATAGGCTTCAGAAGGGGGGTAATAACAAACTCCGCTGAGCTAACCGAGCATGTTCTAACCCAATGCAAAGAAGCCAAAACCCTTGATAGAGGGCTACAGGAGCTGCTAAATAGAATAACCAGTTTAGACAGGAACATAAATGACCTGATAGAGCTGAAAAACACAGCACAAGAACTTCATGACGCATACACAAGTATCAATAGCCAAATCAACCAAGCAGAAGAAAGGATATCAGCATTTGAAGACCATCTTGCTGAAATAAGGCATGCAGACAAGATTAGAGAAAAAAGAAATGAAAAGGAATGAGCAAAACCTCCGAGAAATATGGGACTATGCAAAAAGACCAAACCTACAATTGATTGGAGTACCTGAAAGAGACAGAGAGAATGGAACCGAGCTGGAAAACACACTTGAGAATATTATCCAGGAGAACTTCCCCAACCTAGCAAGACAGGGCAACATTCAAATTCAGGAAATACAGAGAACACCACTAAGATATTCCATGAGAAGACCAACCCCAAATAATCATCAGATTCTCCAAGGTCAAAATGAAGGAAAAAGTGGTAAGCGTAGCCAGAGAGAAAGACCAGGTCACCTACAAAGGGAAGCCCATCAAACTATCAGCAGACCTCTCAACAGAAACACCACAAGCCAGAAGAGAGTGGGGGCCAATATTCAACAATCTTTTTTTTTTTATCATTATACTTTAAGTTTTAGGGTACATGTGCACAATGTGCAGGTTAGTTACATATGTATACATGTGCCATGCTGGTGTGCTGCACCCATTAACTCGTCATTTAGCATTAGGTATATCTCCTAATGCTATCCTTTCCCCCTTCCCCCACCCCACAACAGTCCCCAGAGTGTGATGTTCCCCTTCCTGTGTCCATGTGTTCTCATTGTTCAATTCCCACCTATGAGTCAGAATATGCGGTGTTTGGTTTTTTGTTCTTGCAATAGTTTACTGAGAATGATGATTTCCAATTTCATCCATGTCCCTAAAAAGGACATGAACTCATCATCTTTTATGGCCACATAGTATTCCATGGTGTATATGTGCCACATTTTCTTAATCCAGTCTATCATTGTTGGACATTTGGCTTGGTTCCAAGTCTTTGCTATTGTGAATAGTGCCACAATAAACATACGTGTGCATGTGTCTTTATAGCAGCATGATTGAACATTCTTAAAGAAAAAAATTTTCAACCCATAATTTCATATCCAGAAAAACTAAGCTTCATAAGCAAAGGAGAAATAAAGTCCAACATCACTGATCATCAAAGAAATGCAAATCAAAACCATGCCAGTCAGAATGGCAATTATTAACAAGTCAAGAAACAATAGATGCTGGCAAGGCTGTGGATAAATAGGAATGCTTTTACACCGTTGGTGGGAATGTAAATTAGTTCAACCATTGCCAAAGATAGTGTGGCAATTCCTCAAGGATCTAGAACCAGACATACCATTTGACCCAGCAATCTCATTACTGGGTATATAACCAAAGGAATACAAATCATTCTATTATAAAGACACAGGCAAACATGTTTATTGCAGCACTATTTACTATAGCAAAGACATAGAGCCAACCCAAATGCCCATCAATGATAAACTGGATAAAGAAAGTGTGGTACATATACACCATGGAATACTATGAAGCCATAAAAAGGAATGACATCACGTCGTTTGCAGGGACATGGATGAAGCTGAAAGCCATCATCCTCAGCAAACTAACACAGGAAGAGAAAACCAAACACCACATGATCTCGCTCACAAGTGGGAACTGAATAATGAGAACACATGGACACAGGGGGAGAAATGACACATACTGGGGCCAGTCGTGGGGTAGAGGGCAAAGGGAGGGAGAGCATTAGGACAAATAACGAATGCATGCAGGGCTTAAAACCTAGATGATGGGTTGATAGGTGCAGCAAACCACCATGGCACACATATACCTATGTAACAAAGCTACATGTTCTGCACCTGTACCCCGGAACTTAAAAAATAATAATAATAAAGAGCAGAATATGAAACAGGGAATCTTGTTAACATGATTTATTGTAAGAGTAGCCTCAAAAGAAGGGGAGCAAAGGAAGCAGGATACAAGAGAAGAAGGGGACAAGCAGAGATATGGCCTCAGCTGCAGTCTGCTTTGGTCTGACCCCCTGGGAGCTCTGGAACATGCTTTGTCCTGCAGAGTTGGTCCCACCTTGAGAAAAGAAGATATGCCTTTGTTCTCCTGCATTAGCAAGTCATGTCTGCAGGAATCCACTCCACCCCCTACCCACGGGGGTTATATTCTCTATCAAGGAAAGTTCTCCAGAGATAAGAGCAGCTCCGAGCCATCAGGGATCAACACTCAGAGCCATGGGATATGGGTGCACTGGACTGGCAAAGGGAAATGGGCATGGTACCGCTGCAGCATCCACTGTGGAATATCCTTCCAAGGATACTGCTAGTAGGTGTCAGAGCAAGACTTTAAACCCAGGTCTGTTTGCCTTTCACACCTTATGCTCTTAGGGAAGTTGAGAGAAAGAGACAGAGAGAGAGAGAGAGGGAGAGAGAGAGGGAGAGAAAGAGACAGAGAGGGAGTGGGGAGGAAGAGAGAGAGAAAGAGAGAGACAGAGAGAAATGTTTGATAATGTTCTCATATATAAATGTAAAAATACAACAAAATCAATAAACTGGGAAAAGAAGAAATGAGAAAAAGAGATCAAAGTAGCAGGGACCAAGTGTAACCAGAATGAGGCTGGCCCTTTGGGGACATGTGCTCTGACTCTAATGACGAGTTTCAGGTCACCCTTAATGCTTGGATATCCACCAAAAATTCAAGCCCAATTCCCACCTAACACTAGCAAGTAATAGTAATATCAATTTGTGCAGAAATAGAGGTGTGAGTAATATTGAACATCACACTGAGAAACTTCTGTTTAAAAACTTTCCTTACGTCAGATGAGTCGGTTGCGAAAATTTTCTCCCATTTTGTAGGTGGCCTGTTCACTCTGATGGTAGTTTCTTTTGCTGTGCAGAAGCTCTTTAGTTTAATTAGATCCCATTTGTCAATTTTGGCTTTTGTTGCCATTGCTTTTGGTGTTTTAGACATGAAACCCTTGCCCATGCCTATGTCCTGAATGGTAATGCCTAGGTTTTCTTCTAGGGTTTTTATGGTTTTAGGTCTAACATTTAAGTCTTTAATCCATCTTGAATTGATTTTGGTATAAGGTGTAAGGAAGGGATCCAGTTTCAGCTTTCTACATATGGCTAGCCAGTTTTTCCAGCACCATTTATTAAATAGGGAATCCTTTCCCCATTGCTTGTTTTTCTCAGGTTTGTCAAAGATCAGATAGTTGTAGATATGCAGCGTTATTTCTGAGGGCTCTGTTCTGTTCCATTGATCTATATCTCTGTTTTGGTACCAGTACCATGCTGTTTTGGTTACTGTAGCCTTGTAGTATAGTTTGAAGTCAGGTAGCGTGATGCCTCCAGCTTTGTTCTTTTGGCTTAGGATTGACTTGGCGATGCGGGCTCTTTTTTGGTTCCATATGAACTTTAAAGTAGTTTTTTCCAATTCTGTGAAGAAAGGCATTGGTAGCTTGATGGGGATGGCATTGAATCTGTAAATTACCTTGGGCAGTATGGCCATTTTCACGATATTGATTCTTCCTACCCATGAGCATGGAATGTTCTTCCATTTGTTTGTATCCTCTTTTATTTCCTTGAGCAGTGGTTTGTAGTTCTCCTTGAAGAGGTCCTTCACGTCCCTTGTAAGTTGGATTCCTAGGTATTTTATTCTCTTTGAAGCAATTGTGAATGGGAGTTCACTCATGATTTGGCTCTCTGTTTGTCTGTTGTTGGTGTATAAGAATGCTTGTGATTTTTGTACATTGATTTTCCCAGAATCTACAATGAACTCAAACAAATTTACAAGAAAAAAACAAAACCCCATCAAAAAGTGGGTGAAGGACATGAACAGACACTTCTCAAAAGAAGACATTTATGCAGCCAAAAAACACATGAAAAAATGCTCATCATCACTGGCCATCAGAGAAATGCAAATCAAAACCACAATGAGATACCATCTCACACCAGTTAGAATGGCAATCATTAAAAAGTCAGGAAACAACAGGTGCTGGAGAGGATGTGGAGAAATAGGAACACTTTCACACTGTTGGTGGGACTGTAAACTAGTTCAACCATTGTGGAAGTCAGTGTGGCGATTCCTCAGGGATCTAGAACTGGAAATACCATTTGACCCAGCAATCCCATTACTGGGTATATACCCAAAGGACTATAAATCATGCTGCTATAAAGACACATGCACACATATGTTTATTGAGGCATTATTCACAACAGCAAAGACTTGGAACCAACCCAAATGTCCAACAATGATAGACTGGATTAAGAAAATGTGGGACATATACACCATGGAATACTATGCAGCCATAAAAAATGATGCGTTTATGTCCTTTGTAGGGACATGGATGAAATTGGAAATCATCATTGTCAGTAAACTATCGCAAGAACAAAAAACCAAACACTGCATATTCTCACTCATAGGTGGGAATTGAACAATGAGAACACATGGACACAGGAAGGGGAACATCACACTCTGGGGACTGTTGTGGGATGGGGGGAGGGCGGAGGGACAGCATTGGGAGATATACCTAATGCTAGATGACGAGTTAGTGGGTGCAGCGCACCAGCATGGCACATGTATACATATGTAACTAACCTGCACAATGTGCACATGTACCCTAAAACTTAAAGTATAACAATAAATAAAATAAAATAAAATAAAATAAAATAAAATAAAATAAACTTTCCTTACAACCTCTCTGTCCTGGACTGAAAAGTCTTTTCCCTAGTCTGTCTAAGTTGGCCTGGCCTGCCCCACAACCACTCACCATTTTATAAACCCAGTCCCCAGATTGGGAAGCAGAGGCCAGGCTGATGTTTCAGTCATCTGCTGCACCAATATACTAAAAGAAGAGATAATTTAATGCTTTCACTGGGCACCAAAGTTTTTTCCAAGCTTTCTGGCAGCCAGAGCAAAAAAGGAAAATATGGTAAATTATTTAATTTTCAGTTTCCAAAAGAAAAAAGGAAGCTCACTAGTTAATAATAACAGGGGGTATTATTTCCTGACACCTAATTTTAGATTAAATTTATCATGTGGTGTTTATATTGAGGAATCAAGTAACATGAAGGTGAATGTTCTCAAGTATTTTATAAAGAATGCGTCCCTACTATTATTTTTCTTAGAGCTCTATTTATTCCCTTCCTGGCCCTTGTAATCTATAATGAGTGACTTTGTATATCTCTTCATTTGTTCATTTGTCAACTGTCTCCTCCACTGGAATGTCAATTTCACAAGGGCAGAGGCTTTGTCTGTGTGGCTTACCGCTGTACCCCCAGCCCTCCCCTGGGATCCAGTGGCAGGCTATTTGTTGAATAAATAAGTAAATAGAATAGATCAAGCATCATGGTGATGTAGTGTGCCAAGAGAGGATTTAGTAACCAATATTATCAGGGTCAAAATTGTCGAGCATAAAAATCAAAACCTAATTTGTTATAAAGAGTGCTTCTAACCAGTAACTCATATTATTCAAGTTTTAGGGTTATAAATTATGGTATACAGCAAATAATATGAATGTATACCTGATACGCAAAGAAGACAGCTTGACCAAGTAAACAACTATTACCTTTTGTGTTGTTTTAGATTTGCTTTCCTCTGCTGCAGTGGTATTTCCCCTTTTCCTGACTTGATGGTTTTACTCAGTGCTCCATGTACTGCACAGGCACTGGCAGGGATAAAGGAACCGGGCCACAGAAAGGCCGAAATGTAATCCAGGCCGACATTTTCAAATATCAGAAACCTGTATTTCAAGTTTATATTTGGCCACAGTATTTGGTTATGGATTAAGCCTCATCAAAAGTAAATTTCAAAAAGATTTCCGAAGAAGTTTCTATGATTGTTTTAGATTTTAAATAATTATAATCTTTGGTTAAACACTTAATACCCACCTACTATCACAATAAATTCTTTTCTTTCTATGATAGGTCAAAAGTAATATTCTACACAACTGAAATTTATGGAAAATGCGGTTGACATATCCTCTTATCTATGAGTTTGACATTACTGGGTAAATAATCCTGGAGAAATTTTTTGACAATGTACCACGATATAGTCTTGCCTTAGAAATCAGAAAGTGTTTTCAAAATTCTGTTTTCAGCAGAAATGAGGCATGGTAATTAGGATGATGATTTAAGCAATAACAACAACAAATTGACCAGAGAGAGATTTTTAAAAGGCATTTCTTCCCCTAGAAAATGTTTTTAAGGAATAATAATATTTACCGGTTAGCTTTTCCTACTAGATATTTTATGATGCTGAAATTACTAGATTTGTTATGAAAATATTTTGTGTAGTTCCCAAGAGGCTTGGCAGGCCTCAGGCTTCTGAAACATAATGATTAGCAATTATTGTTATTTATCACAATCAAGGTCATCGAGCATTTATAAATAATGTTTAACAGTAGCTTGTAAGTGGTTCATTTGGTAATTTCCTTTGGCAAGAAAACTGGAAAACTGACATTTTCCATTAACGAAAATGTCAAGCAACATCAGAAGATCAAACCTATAAATAGCGGTCCAATTTCTCATCGTACATACATGTATATGGTGCTGCCAATACATACAGAGGCTTTTGCTGACACAGACTGTGAAAGGATGGCTACATCCACAAAGCCCTGTTCAACTCTGTCACCAATTATATTAAGTTGACTTGGATAAACTTACCCACCTACTACTCTCTACAGAGCAGATTACTTTCTTCCCATTTGGTGTATCTTGATAATAAGTAGGACTCTAACTTTGCTCTGTCTGCCATTCTGTTCAGCACTTTAGATGTATTGTTTCATTGAATGATCTTGGAAATGTAATAAGATAGGTTTGTCCTTAATTTATAGTTGAGGAAATTGAGGCATATTACAGTTTACTATAGTCATGTGTTTGCAGGTCCACTTCCTCTTTTAGGACTTTGAGTTCTTTAAAACTATGTTTGTTTTTTTGTGTGTGTGTGTGTTCTCCAATCCAATCAGTTCACTTTTATTTAACCTATTGATATTTCCTGAGTTCCTCCTATGTGCCTGAGGCCTCCCCAGAGACTGACATATAGTGGGCCCTCCACAAACATCTGCTGATATGTGCTAACCTCCAATGTTAAATTGGCTCTTAGCTGTATGTCTTATACGTAACATATGTTCCTGCAATTGGAAGAAATTTGTCAGATAAAATTGTCTCTTCAGGAACTTGGCAGTGTTTCCAATCCAGCAGCCAGGCTGACAATGAAAATGACTCAAAACATCTCAAAGGAAGAATCACAGCTGAGAGTCTCTGCAGCAAGACCCCAACAACATGAAAAGGGAGTAATGGTCTTCCACAGTACCAGGCAATGCAGAAGGCAGCTATTATTTTGACAGAGCCAGATTTTGATGACCTCCCCATATTTGCTGTATAATGGAAACCAAAATGCTAAAATAGAACTCAAAAAGGTGAAGAATGCAAGGAGGAATATAATTAATAGATATCAAATAACAAAAGAAGTACTAGTATTTTAAAAAATTGTAAAAAGAGCCCAGACAGCAGAGATCTAAGAGACAGACCTAAATGCAGAAAGAAAGGCAGATGTAACAGGGAAGAATACAACCCAGATAAGGAAGTCCACTATATTTGGCAATGTTTTTGTGTAAAATTAAAAAACCAGATTGGCCTCAAAGAATCTCTTTTCATTTATCTTTAACTCTGGGCCAATTTCAAATGCAGACACTGATTCTGATTATGTTTGGTAAAGGCAAGAGGTTTCTCTGGAGCCAGAAAAGTCATATGCCACATCTCAAACTTTAACCTAATACAAAATTCCATGACACTTATGTTATTTTAATCGTGGTAAAATATATACAACATAAAATTTACCACCTTAACTGTTTTTAAATGTATAGTTCTGAGGCATGAAGGACATTCATATTGTTACGCAACCATCACCACCATCTCCATCTCCATAATTCTCTTCGTCTTGTAAAACTAAACTCTATACCCATTAAATAATAACTCCCCAATTCCTGCTTCCTCCCAGCCCCTGGCAACTACCATCCTACTTTCTGTCTTTATGATTTTTCACTACTCTAGGCACTTATAGATATTTTGAATAAAAATGTAAGAAAATAAAAGTAGGTACCTCAACATACACTGATCAAATGTGAAATATGTCCAAAATATGCATTGCTGTTTAAATAGAAAAGGTAACTGAAAATCCAGCCAGGACAAGGTAACTAAAGCAACAGTGAATATCATATAGAGCAATGAGCATTTTGATTCAAAGGCATCTATGATATGAGGTCAGAGCAGGCACCAGATCCCCCTGATCTTTGCAGACATTTTCAGGCATTTGGGTCTGACTCTGAGTGATACAGGAGACCACTGGAGGATTTTGAAGAAAGCAGAGCATTGTATTATATGTTCTCTTAGCATCTGTAGTGGATGCTGATGGTGCCACACCCAGAGCTCCTTAAACTTGCATTCATTTTCTCTGTTGCTGTCTCCCTTCTCTGGAAAACTGCCTTTGGCCTTATGGGAGTTCCTCTACCCAAGGGCCATGCCCATCCTGGGTTAACTCTGGTTAATGCCTGATTTGCATGGGGGAACAACTATGAAAGGCCAGCCACCTGCCTTAAGGTGGAACAAGTCTGTTGTACAATTAATGCTCCAGAGCTCCCATGGGGTCAGGCGGAAGCTCCATTCATCTGAGACCACACCCTTCCCCTGCCTCAGATTCGGACACTCCTCTTCCCGAGAGCATTCTTACAATAAGTCATATGTACCCGAACTCCTGTCTCAGGCTTTGCTTTTGGAGAACCCAACCTAGGCAGCATTATGATCTTTTGCCTTCATAACCTGTGTTACAGCTGTTAATTTGACACTGATTTCTGTGATTCTTTGACTAATTTCTGCCTCCCCATTGGCATGTGAGCTCCTGTGCTCACCTTTGCTTCTTCAGTATCAACCATAGGGACTAGTATTCACTGAATGATTTAAACAGATCTTGTAAAAGTCTTTTCCCTACTGGCTTTATTTTTCATTACAAAAGCATCATGTTGGTGCTGTGTAAAGGTGACAAAGTATTTATGTGATGGCTGTGTTTATTTGAAAATATAATCAATTGCCATTTTAAAATCACCTATTAAATGCCATGAAATCAAATGTTGCCTGCATCTCCCAGTGAATGCATGACAAAAGGTGGTTCCTTTGACCACAACTGCCAAGTCAGCTGCTTAGTTTTTTTTTGTTTTTTTTTTTTTGTTTTGTTTTGGTTTTTGAGATGTAGTTTCACTCTTGTTGCCCAGGCTGGAGTGCAATGGTGCGATCTTGGCTCACTGCAACTTCCTCCTCCCAGGTGCAAGCGATTCTCCTGCCTCATTCTCCCAAGTAGCTGGGATTACAGGCATGCACCACCATGCCCAGCTCATTTTGTACTTTTAGTAGAGACGGGGTTTCTCCATGTTGGTCAGGCTGGTCTCAAACTCCTGACCTCAGGTGATCCGCCCGCCTTGGCCTTCCAAAGTGCTGGGATTACAGGCATGAGCCACCGTGCCTGGCCAGCTGCTTAGTTTTAATTACCAAACAATGAATATCCTAAGAGGGACAAACTCATTAAAAATATAGTTTGAAAGCTAAGCATAGTGGCACATGTCTATATATCCCAGCTATTCAGGAGGCTGAGGCAGGATGATTGCTTGAGTCCAGGAGTTCAAAGCCAGCCTAAGCAACAGCAAGACTCCATCTCAAAAAACAGACAAACAAAACAAAAAACAAACAAACAAAACTGGGTTGGTGCTTCACAGAGCTCTACTGTATGAAAAACTTTAGGACTTAGGCATTCCAGAGCTGAGTTTTTCCTTTTCATTCACGAGTCAACACTAATGTACAATGAAGCTATCAGCATTTCTACAGATGGGCTTCTCCACCTCCTATGCAATTTCCTCTTACGTTATATCATTTTTCAAAAGTGGAGGTAATAAGAAAATCTTGCATCAAATATCATGTTGAAAGTGAAAAAATGCTACAGCTTAGAACATAAAGGAGACTGGAGATCTAAGTGATATATTCTGGTGACATTTAAAAAAAAAAAAAACAAAGTCCAGTAAAACACATAGATAAAGTGTGTAGCACTTTCCGTGCAAACAAATGTCTTTAACAAGATCACAGAGGTACCCATCTAAATATTAGGGCACTAAACTCAAATTTAGTTATGTGACCAAGGCTGAAGAATGAATTGATTTCTTGGCGATCTCTAAGAAGTCTTGTTCCCAATCAGCACATGGTCAGGCTTGTGCCAAATTTCGGGGAAGACTGTTTATGTCAACACAAACATATGGCATTGAGGAATTATAATCCTGGGTGGAACATAAAGTCCACAATTATTTTTACAATGTGAGAGAGACAGGATGCATTTAATCAGGGAGAGGCTGCATAACTCACTTTGCACAGCCTCAAGGTCACCTAATGACAGGCAGACAAGAGAGACTGCTATGGGAGACACTAGCCACACTCCACAGCACAGATGGCTCATGTCCACAGTGCTCGTCACCCACTGGCAATCTTAGTGTCTCAAACTGAGATGCTACTTGTTCAGTAACCTTATCCAGGCAAAATAAAACTTCCAGTGTCACAGGAGTCTGATACATATCAATGCACAAAATACAGCTTATCTAAATTTCTCTTGAGGACTAGGATAGCCATTGCTAATTTCTATGAATGCATTATATGTCACCCCAGTCTCAATTCAAGGGCATCAGTTAAGACTAGCCCTCATCAGTAGCAACATGATACCACGTCTGGGTCTAGAACCACATTAGAAGGGCTAAAGATGGCAGTTCTAACTACACAGTAAATTCGTATATCAGGTGTCCTGTTGAGATGAGGGTTGGAAAGTCTTTTTTTTTGTTGATAAATGGATGTTATTTGTATGGATATGTGATGACATTTACCCTAACCAGGACCTCAGACATATATAATAGGGGCTCCACAGACATTGATAAATGAATGATTTCTTGTACAAACCCAAAGCGGGGGAAAGCTGACCCTTATATTGCAAGGTGGTGACCAGCACTGACCATCTCAGGAAAAGCAGAGAAATATTTTTACATGAGGGGCCTGGAAGGTTGGGTCTGAAGAAATTACAAAGGAGGAGGGCAGAAGGTACATAGGATAGAAGAATAAATGTTGATCTAGAAATTAAATGGCCTCAAGGTTTATGGATTTGACTCTCTATATTTGCTCCTTGTTTGTTCTACCCTCTCAAGTTTTATGGAGATCTCCATTTCACAAGACTAGTTTCCACCTAATTGTCTTTAACCCAAAGTTACCATGCCAAGCACTTTTAATAGAGACAGTACATCCATCCTGTGGAGGTGGATGCCAAAGGCAGTCGGAGTGAGTTTTGCCTGGCTCTGCAGGAACTGAACAAACATCAGGTTGGGAATGCATCAGAGAATACACTGGTCATATCAACAAAAGCATCCTTGTCCAAAGGCGGTAACAATTCCATCGTCAACTGGGGGGCATGTGAATTTCTTGTCAGTTTCTGGAAGCTGATTCAGGTGAATCCACCCCATTTTCTCCCAAGAGATCTGCTCTGAGTGTGCTGACTAAGCCTGAGCCTGGCCTGAAGACTTGCCCCCCTCATTTCCTTCTAGTCCTCAGCATGGACTCCCCCTTAATGCACACTTCCTCTCTCACGTCTATAGTGTTTTCTTTGGAGGCATTCCTTAGTGGATAACGTGAGGAGGGAAGTGGGCAGTTTTGCTTACTTATTATCACCGTTTTTTTTTAAAATAAACCTTTTATAATTAAAGGAAATTTAGAATATAAAGTAAAAAAGAGAAAAAAACACACAGAATAATTTTTTTTTAATACTTTCAGTTTTAGGGTACATGTGCACAACGTGCAGGTTAGTTACATATGTATACATGTCCATGTTGGTGTCCTGCACCCATTAACTCGTCATTTAACATTAGGTATATCTCCTAATGTTATCCCTCCCCACTCCCCTCCTCCCACAACGGGCCCTGGTGTGTGATGTTCCCCTTCCTGTGTCCATGTGTTCTCATTGTTCAATTTCTACCTATGAGTGAGAACATGCGGTGTTTGGTTTTTTGTCCTTGTGATAGTTTGCTAAGAATGATGGTTTCCAGCTTCATCCATGTCCCTACAAAGGACAAGGAACTCATCCTTTTTTATGGCTGCATAGTATTCCATGGTGTATATGTGCCATATTTTCTAAATCCACTCTATCATTGTTGGACATTTGGGTTGGTTCCAAGTCTTTGCTATTGTGAATAGTGCTGCAATAAACATATGTGTGCATGTGTCTTTATAGAAGCATGATTTATAATCCTTTGGGTATATACCCAGTAACGGGATGGCTGGGTCAAATGGTATTTCTAGTTCTAGATCCCTGAGGAATCGCCACACTGACTTCCACAATGGTTGAACTAGGTTAGAGTCCCACCAACAGTGTAAAAGTGTTCCTATTTCTCCATATCCTCTCCAGCACCTGTTGTTTCCTGACTCTTTAATGATCGCCATTCTAACTGGTGTGAGATGGTCTCTCATTGTGGTTTTGATTTGCATTTCTCTGATGGCCAGTGATGATGAGCATTTTCTCATGTGTCTTTTGGCTGCATAAATGTCTTCTTTTGAGAAGTGTCTGTTCATATCCTTCACCCACTTGTTGATGGGGTTTTTTTTTCTTTTAAATTTGTTTGAGTTCATTGTAGATTCTGAATATTAGCCCTTTGTCAGATGAGTAGGTTGCAAAAGTTTTCTCCCATTCTGTAGGTTGCCAGTTCACTCTGATGGTAGTTTCTTTTGCTGTGCAGAAGCTCTTTAGTTTAATTAGAACCCATTTGTCAATTTTGGCTTTTGTTGCCATTGCTTTTGGTGTTTTAGACATGAAGTCCTTGCCCATGCCTATGTCCTGAATGGTATTGTCTAGGTTTTCTTCTAGGGTTTTCATGGTTTGAGGTCTAACATTTAAGTCTTTAATCCATCTGGAATTAATTTTTGTATAAGATGTAAGGAAGGGATCCAGTTTCAGCTTTCTACATATGGCTAGCCAGTTTTCCCAGCACCATTTATTAAATAGGGAATCCTTTCCCCATTGCTTGTTTTTCTCAGGTTTGTCAAAGATCAGATGGTTGTAGCTTTGTGGCATTATTTCTGAGGGCTCTGTTCTGTTCCATTAGTCTATATCTTTGTTTTGGTACCAGTACCATGCTGTTTTGGTTACTGTAGCCTTGTAGTATAGTTTGAAGTCAGGTAGCGTGATGCCTCCAGCTTTGTTCTTTTGGCTTAGGATTGACTTGGCAATGCGGGCTCTTTTTTGGTTCCATATGAACTTTAAAGTAGTTTTCTTCCAATTCTGTGAAGAAAGTCATTGGTAGCTTGATGGGGATGGCATTGAATCTGTAAATTACCTTGGGCAGTATGGCCATTTTCACGATATTGATTCTTCCTACCCATGAGCATGGAATGTTCTTCCATTTGTTTGTATCCTCTTTTATTTCCTTGAGCAGTGGTTTGTAGTTCTCCTTGAAGAGGTCCTTCACGTCCCTTGTAAATCGGATTCCTAGGTATTTTATTCTCTTTGAAGCAATTGTGAATGGGAGTTCACTCATGATTTGGCTCTCTGTTTGTCTGTTATTGGTGTATAAGAATGCTTGTGATTTTTGCACACTGATTTGGTATCCTGAAGACTTTGCTGAAGTTGCCTATCAGCTTAAGGAGATTTTGGGCTGAGACGATGGGGTTTTCTAGACATACAATCATGTCATCTGCAAACAGGGACAATTTGACTTCCTCTTTTTCCTAATTGAATACCCTTTATTTCCTTCTCCTGCCTGATTGCCCTGGCCAGAACTTCCAACACTATGTTGAATTGGAATGGTGGGAGAGGGCATCCCTGTCTTGTGCCAGTTTTCTAAGGGAATGCTTCTAGTTTTTGCCCATTCAGTATGATATTGACTGTGGGTTTGTCATAGATAGCTCTTATTGAGATACGTCCCATCCATACCTAATTTATTGAGAGTTTTTAGCATGAAGGGTTGTTGAATTTTTTCGAAGGCCTTTTCTGCATCTATTGAGATTATCATATGGTTTTTATCATTGGTTCTGTTTATATGCTGGATTATGTTTATTGATTTGCATATGTTGAACCAGCCTTGCATCCCAGGGATGAAGCCCACTTGATCATGGTGGAAAAGTTTCTTGATGTGCTGCTGGATTTGGTTTGCCAGTATTTTATTGAGGATTTTAGCATCGATGTTCATCAGGGATATTGGTCTAAAATTCTTTTTTTGGTGTGTCTCTGCCAGGCTTTGGTACCGGGATGATGCTGGCCTCATAAAATGAGTTAGGGAGGATTCCCTCTTTTTCTATTGATTGGAATAGTTTCAGAAGGAATGGTACTAGCTCCTCCTTGTACCTCTGGTAGAATTTGGCTGTGAATCCATCTGGTCCTGGACTTTTTTTGGTTGGTAAGCTATTAATTATTGCCTGAATTTCAGAGCCTGTTATTGGTCTATTCAGAGATTCGACTTCCTCCTGGTTTAGTCTTAGGAGGGTGTATGTGTCCAGGAATTTATCCATTTCTTCTAGATTTTCTAGTTTATTTGCATAGAGGTGTTTATAGTATTCTCTGATGGTAGTTTGTATTTCTATGGGATCGGTGGTGATATCCCCTTTATCATTTTTTATTGCGTCTATTTGATTCTTCTCTTTTATCTTCTTTATTAGTCTTGCTAGCAGTCTATCAATTTTGTTGATCTTTTCAAAATACAAGCTCCTGGATTCATTGATTTTTTTATAGGGTTTTTTGTGTCTCTATTTCCTTCAGTTCTGCTCTGATCTTAGTTATTTCTTGCCTTCTGCTAGCTTTGAATGTGTTTGCTCTTGCTTCTCTAGTTCTTTTAATTGTGATGTTAGGGTGTCCATTTTAGATCTTTCCTGCTTTCTCTTGTGGGCATTTAGTGCTATAAATTTCCCTCTACACACTGCTTTGAATGCGTCCCAGAGATTCTGGTACGTTGCGTCTTTGTTCTTATTGGTTTCAAAGAACATCTTTATTTCTGCCTTCATTTCGTTATGTACCCAGTAGTTATTCAGGAGCAGGTTGTTCAGTTTCCATGTAGTTGGGCGGTTTTGAATGAGTTTCTTAATCCTGAGTTCTAGTTTGATTGCACTGCGGTCTGAGATAGTTTGTTATAATTTCTCTTCTTTTACATTTGCTGAGGAGAGCTTTACTTCCAACTATGTGGCCAATTTTGGAATAAGTGTGGTGTGGTGCTGAGAAGAACGTATATTCTGTTGTTTTGGGGTGGAGAGTTCTGTAGATGTCTACTAGGTCCGCTTGGTGCAGAGCTGAGTTCAGTTCCTGGATATCTTTGTTAACTTTCTGTCTCGTTGATCTGTCTAATGTTGACAGTGGGGTGTTAAAGTCTCCCATTATTATTGTGTGGGAGTCTAAGTCTCTTTGTAGGTCTCTAAGGACTTGCTTTATGAATCTGGGTGCTCCTGTATTGGGTGCATATATATTTAGGATAGTTAGCTCTTTTTGTTGAATTGATCCCTTTACCATTATGTAATGGCCTTCTTTGTCTCTTTTGATCTTTGTTGGTTTAAAGTCTGTTTTATCAGAGACTAGGATTACAGCCCCTGTCTTTTTTTGTTTTCCATTTGCTTGGTAGATCTTCCTCCATCCCTTTATTTTGAAACTATGTGTGTCTCTGCACATGAGATAGGTTTCCTGAATACAGCACCCTGATGGGTCTTGACTCTTTATCCAATTTGCCAGTCTGTGTCTTTTAATTGGGGCATTTAGCCCAATTATTTCTAATATATATGAATATTCCCTCCAGATCTTTTAAAAATCAATATGAACACACATATATACATTCTCTATTTATTTAGCAAATTAGTCTTACTACACATGCATTTTATTATTTCTACTTCCAAAACACAAAGACAGTATGATAAAGAGTCACATTACTCATCAGCTGCACCGAGAGATAAAATCAAGACTTGCAGGGCATGGACTATTTTTTGGTCCAAAGAAGAAGCCCGTCAATGTACCCTAGCTTCACTGCCACTATGGAAAGAAGGACCCATTCTCTCATTTTAGAAGAAAAAAATTGAAAGGGGGAAAAAAAACAAATGGCAGGTGAGTGCAACACCTGTTTCTATTTCCCAGTCCATCTGTGTGAGCTTCCCATGTGTTACCGTTTTAATCTGCCGAAGCATAATCAGAACATGTCCCTATGTCAAAAAATACTGAGAGTGAATATTCAAATACAAAATGTCGAAATAACAGAAATAGGATTGGGGTTTGATACTTTTTAGACTACATTTATTTCCTTATTTTGTGCAGCATAATCTGTAGTCTTAAAAAGCAATGTTTATTATTTTTAAAAGTAAATTTAGAATCATAACAAAGTTTAGTTCCACGTTAAAATTATTTCATGTCACTGATACTTTAAAATCATATCCCTCTGCTTATATGGTGCTATTTTCACCCAAAAACAAAGTTAAATTAATATGCAAATAATTGCATGCTGGGAAAGACAGAGGTACTAATAATAATCACATTGTCAGTGCACTCTGAATAAGAACTAAACTACCAAAAATTACTACCTCAGAGAAGAAACCAGTGTTGTTAATAATTATTCCCACTGAAAGAGAAAATTCCAGGGTGAATATCTGTATTTATTCCAGAATGTCTTTGTGAGTCATTAAATATTGCTCATGTGAATATAAGATATTATAAAAAGTAATTGAAGTTTAACATGTTGCCAACATTTTGTAGCTAATAGTCATGGAAATACAGATACCACATACTGTGTTTTAAGGTGATTAATGCTTAGGAATAGCAAAGAACCATAAGCGTCAATTATAATTTTACTGGCATTTTATTGCTCAGGAATGTTGTAAATGCCAATTTTGCTTTATTCTAGGAAGTAGAAATAGTACATATATTAGAATTCCTTAACTGGATTTATGGTCAACAGATGGCACATGAATCATTCATAGGTATAATATGATAAACTGTAACAAAACCTCCAACCTGGTTTTATTCCCAGCTGGGAGTCTCATCCACGAAGACAGAACGGAGTGCTTGTCATAAGGAATAAATAAGAATTTAATTCAAAATCATCTAAAGATTAGAGCATTAGACTCAAATTTAATTATGTGACCAAGGCTGAATAATGAGGTGATTTCTTGGTGATCTCTAAGGAGTCCTGTTCCCAATTAGCACATGGTCAGCTTATGCCAAATCAGTGTGCTATTGCTAGTGTTCCCAGGACCTTGAAGGTACAGATTTCTTTTGTGCAAGGACAACAGATACCTTTTGAACCTTCTCCAAGATGAATTTTTAAAATGCTTCCATCTGGTTTTCTATTTGATTTATGATCTAAATTGTACTTATAAGTAAAGCACAGTAATCTAGACTATCAATATATACACTATCTATTATCTATACTATTGTAACTGTGAGAGGTCATAATATGCCACCCCCAATACACCTTTTTGACAGGAGCATTGTTGAGCTGAAGGCAAGAAAGAAGCAGATACCTGAGAGCTCTCTGCCCTCCCTCTATTTGCCTAAAATCAGGACATAAATTTACAAAAACATAATATATCTCATCTCCCTTTTCTACCAAGAAGAACAAAGGGTAACCAATGAAAACAACTTTAGACCCTTATGGACCTGGAGATGGCACCAGAGGAATCTACATTAACAAGCTTTACTAACTAGCCTTTATTTGCCTTCCCACAAGTTGCTGCCGCTGGAGACTCAAAGTACTTTGTTTTGTCACTTCTCTAAAAATTTACTGTTCTTTTTGAAGATGTTATATAAAGTGCAATTCAGAGTCACCTCTTTGATAGTTACTCCTTCTCTAGGTATCTCCCACGTATGTATGAAATATACATGTTAACAAAACTTCTGTTTTTCCCTCGTTAATCTGCTTTTTTGTTGTTGTTGCTGTTGTTACAAGTGTCTGTTTCAACTAAGAACATATGAGGGTTAAGCAAAAAATTACTTTTTTCCCTACATATCTATAAATCCTCCCTTATAATCCTAAATACTGTAGAGAAAAGAAATTACACATGTAGACACAATTACTACTCACAATGTTATTATCCACCTAATACAATTTTTATGGAATCACATTGTAGTAATTATGAAGTCAAACAATGTGCATTAGTCACAATTTCTCCCCACTGATCTCAAATATTTTGGCCATTTTCTGTCATTAAATTCTCCACCATGAGGTAGGTTGGAGGGAAATGGAATTCAAACTGGGGTAGTTTACTAATTTTGTTTTTATGTCTGGCAAATAAGTGGGGAAAAGTAGAAATGTATGATCACTAAGAGCATCGAAAGGAGATGGGGGGCTTTGTCTTATTATCAGAGTTTAGGTTAACACACACACACATACACATATGTAAGATGCTACAGTTATTCTAACACAGTTCAAAATGCTTCTTCAATCTCTTATCTATTTCCCTGTTATGAAATGAACTTCATATCTATTTTATGAATTAGTTGAGGTAACAGCAGTTGTGACAATTATAATAACAGTAGCAGTTATTATATTGAATGCTATCTATTGTATTTTTTTTAATTTAGTCTCTTTGGAGACTATCAAAAACTGCCAATGCCAACTATATTTAAAGTCATCACAGCAGGGTACTGGGAAAAGTTTTCAATCAGCAATAATTGTGCTTCAGATAAACCTCATTGGCTACAACAATTGCCACTGTGTGAAGCTCCATCTATTGTTAAGAGTAACGAACACACAAACTAGAAAACCTAGAAGAGACAGATGAATTACTGGACACACTCTCCCAAGACTGAGCCAGGAAGAAACTGATTCCCTGAACAGACTTAACAACAAGCTCCAAAATTGGATCAGTAATAAACAGCCTACCAACCAAAAAAAGCCTGGGACCTGATAGATTCTCAGCCAAATCCTACCAGATGTACAAAGAAGAGTTGGTACCATTCCTACAGAAACCATCCCAAAAAATTGAGGAGGGACTCTTCCCAAACTCATTCTATTAGGCCAGCATCATCTTCATACCAAGGCCTGACAGAGACACAACAAAAAAGGAAAACTTCAGGCCAATATCTTTGTTGAATATTGATGCAAAAATCCTCAACAAAATACCTGCAAACAGAATCCAGCAGCGTAACAAAAAGCTAATCCACGATGATCAAGTAGGCTTCATCCCCAAGATGCAAGGTTGATTCAACATATGCACATCATTACATGTGATTCATCACATAAACAGAACTAAGGACAAAAACCACATGATTATCTCAATAGACCCAGAAAAAGCTTTCAATAAAATTCAATACCCCTTCATATTAAAAACTCTCAATAAACTACTTATTGAAGGAACATACCTCAAAACAGTAAGAACCATCTATGACAAACCCACAGCCAACATTATACTGAATGGGCAAAAGCTGGAAACATTTCCCTTGAAAACTAGCACATGACAAGGATGCCCTCTCTCAGCACTCATATTCAAAACAGTATTGGAAGTCCTAGTCAGGGCAATCAAGCAATAGAAAGAAATAAAGGGGATCCAAATAGGAAAAGAGGAGGTCAAACTATATGTTTGCAGACAACATGATTCTATGTCTAGAAAATCCCAGTCTCGGCCCCAAAACTCCTCCAGCCAATAAACAACTTCAGCAAAGTTGCGGGATACAAAATCGATGTACAAAAATCACTAGCATTTCTATACACCAACAATAGCCAAACTGAGCACCAAATCAAAAAGGCAAGCCCATTCACAATTGCCACACAAAGAATAAAATACCTAGGAACATAGCTAACCAGGGAGGTGAAAGATCTCTACAATGAGAATTATAAAACACTTCTCAAAGAAGTCAGAGAAGATGGAAACAAATGGAAAAACATTCCATGCTCATGGATAGGAAAAATCAATATCATTGATATGGTCATACTGCCCAAAGCAATTTACAGATTCAATGCTATTCCTATCAAACTACCAATGACATTCTTTGTAGAACTAGAAAACAACTATTTTAAAATTCATATGGAACCAAAAAAAGAGCCTGAATAGCCAGGGCAATCCTAAGCAAAATGAACAAAGCTGGAGGTATCATGTTACTTGACTTCAAACTATACTACAAGGCTTTGGTAACCAAAACAGCATGGTACTGGTACAAAAACAGGTATATAGAACAATGAAACAACAGGGAGCCCAGAAATAAGTCTGTACACCTATGACCATCTGATCTTCAAGAAAACTGACAAAAATAAGCAATGGGGAAAAGACTCTCTATTCAATAAATGGTGCTGAGATAACTGGCTAGCCACATGCAGAAGATTGAAGCTGGACCCCCTCCTTATGCCATATACAAAAATCAACTCAAGATAGGTTAAAGACTTAAATGTGGCCAGACGTGGTGGCTCACACCTATATTCCCAGCACTTTGGGAGGCCAAGGCAGGCGGATCACTTGAGGTCAGGAGTTTGAGACCAGCCTGGCCAACACAGCGAAACCCCATCTCTTAAAAATTAGTCTGGTATGGTGGCACGTGCCTGTAGTCCCAGCTACTTGGGAGGCTGAGGCATGCCCAGGAGGTGGAGGTTGCAGTGAGCCGAGATTGTGCCACTATATCTCAAAAAAAAAAACAAGTTAAATGTGAAACCCAAAACTATAAAAACCCTGAAAGACAACCTAGGCAATACCATCCTGGACATAGGAATGGGCAAAGATTTCACGGCAAAGACACCAAAAGAAATTGCAGCAGAAGCAAAAATCAAGTGTGATCTAATTAAACTTAAGAGCTTCTGCACAGCAAAAGCAACTATCAGCAGAGTAGACAACCTACAGAATGGGAAAAAATTTACAAACTATGCATCTGACAGACGTCTAATATCCAGAATATATAAAAAACTTAAACAAATTTACAAGAGAAAAACAACCCCATTAAAAAGTGGGCAGAGGACATGAAAAGACACCTTTCAAAAGAAGACATAACGTGTGGCCAACAAGCATATGATAAAAAGCTCACTATCACTGATCATTAGAGAAATGCAAATAAAAACCGCAGTGAGATACCATCTCATGCCTATCAGAATGGTTATTATTAAAAAGTCAAAAAATAACAGATGCTGGCAAGGTTGCAGGGAAATGGGAACACTTATACACTGTTAGTGGGAGTGTAAATTAGCTCAACCATTGTGGAAAGCAGTATGTTAATACCTCAAAGAGCTAAAAGCAGAACTACCATTCAACCCAGCAATCTCATTACTGGGTATATACTCAGAGGAATATAAATCATCTACCATAAAGACATACATGCAAATATTTATTGCAGCATTACTCACAATAGCAAAGACTTCAATCAACCTAAATGCCCATCAAGGACAGGCTGGATAAAGAAAATATGGTACATATGTACCATGAAATAATATACAGCCCTAAAAATGAATAAGATCTTTTCTTTTGCATGGATGGAGCTGGAGGCCATTATCTTTAGCAAACTAATCCAAGAACAGAAAACCAAATACCACATGTTCTGACTTATGAATGGGTGCTAAGTGATAAGAACTTATGAATACAAAGAAGGAAACAACAGACACTGGGATCTACTTGAGCAGGGAGGATGAGAAGAGGGAGAAGAGCAGAAAGATAACTATTGGGTACTGGGCTTAATACCTGCATGATGATATAATCTCTACAACAAACTCCCATGACAAACTTTCACATATACGCCAAACCTAAAATAAAAGTTTAAAAAAAGAGTAATTTACATTTACATATACTGTCTGCCCCTAAATAACCCTGCCAGATAACTATGGTTACATTATTTTAAGGTGAGAAAACTGAGGCTCAGAGAAATGACATAGCTTGTTCAGGTTCACATGCTTGGAGCTGCTGTATAATGTGAGTGAAGGGCATTCTATCTCCTGTGTGCCCTTCTGGGTCCACTCTCCATTGTGCCCTCAGGTGGCTAATTTCAAGGGATCACATTGGTGGGCCCTTGGCCCTCTGATATGTGGTGGGTTCAGCCATTTGGAAACCCTGGCAGGTGACTAGAGGGAGAGAGTGAGGTGGATTTTCACAATCAGGGTACCGTATTTCTTCCCCCTTGGTTCCGTCTCCAGAGGACTAATTACATTGCTTCGGCAAAGGCCACGGCACCTATGAGGGCAACTCTCCGTCCTCGGCATTCTCTTTATGCTTTCAGTAATCTCTCCGTTCCCTACCCACCCCCTGCCCCCAACTGAGGATAATAATGGCTACAGGGTACTACACTATCATTTCAGGTTTCTCTAGAGCTGGCTCACACCTTTTTAAACAAAACTTTTGGTTTACCCCTCCACACCTTATCCTAATTTGGGTGTACTATTTCCTGCTGGAACACTAATATCTATGCTATTCACTAAGACATGCTCTGAGGATATATAATCTGTGCCTTTAAGAAACTATTATTCTTGAAGTTGGAGCAGAAGCAAGAAAATATAGTGGTCATTCAGAATTTTCAAATGCGTATTATCTGTAACCTGTTTTCTGGTAACCATTGGAGAACCTCTCCTTTAATATCTTCAGTGTTCTTGGTAAAACTCAGGGTGCCCTCCCTTGCCTTCCAAAGCTTCTGGGCTTAGGCCTGCCTGTTTTTGATAATGATTTGGCAATAGATACACTCTAAACAGCCAAGGAAATCCCTCTGTACTTATTGGACAGAGCCCTTCAGAAAGCCTAGTTCTGAGAGGCAAGAGAGAAGACAGAACAGGCTGGGGTGTACTTACCTCGAGATCTTGGAGTAGCCACCTGTCTGCCTTAGCTACAGGGACAGAAGCTCAGGGGCAGCCACCCACATCATTTTGCTAATGGCCTTTCCTGGCCCAAGATTATAAGGACTTAAACATTCACTTTCACAATGTGTATTTCATTGCAACCACAAAAGGAACAACTAGTTTCAACTGATATCAAACATATACAATTATGCAGAAATGTATATTATTTTGCTAAATTTGAAATATTTTTCATTTAAATTTTGTGATTGTCAATTTTATGTGTGAACCTGGCTAGGCTACACTCCCCAGGTATTTGTTAATCTAGGTGTAGCTGTGAAGGTATTTTGTGGGTGTGATTAAAACCCATAATCAGTTGATTTTAAGTAAGAGGACTTATCCTAGATAATCCCAACAAGCCTGATTAAGTCAGTGGAAGTTCATGCCTGAGGGTTCCAGCCTGCCCTTTCTGATGACCTGACTCATGGATTATGGTCAAGCCTAGTCAGTCCCCAAAATTACATAAGCCAATTCCTTGCAATAAATCTCCTAATATATATCTCCTACAGGTTCTCTAACTGACCCTGACCAATAAAAATATCTACTAGGAAGATCAAAGAGTTGAGATTTTAAATATATTCTTAATTGCTATAATTAAGTAAAAAAATAAAGCTGTACTGACTCAGGTGTGGAAATGACACAGCAAATCATTAAGTAGCTCCAAATAGGGAGAATGTAGAGTTTAAATTGAGAAAAATCACACTTAGTTCTATAAAATGCTTTATTTTTTCTTTTAATGCAATTCAGAGTTACATGGCTACCAGAAAATGGTCTTAAGGAATGTATATAAAATCATCCAAATCAGTACACTTGGAGGCTTTGGGGATCTACAGATATGTACATAAAGAAGGTAAAATCCAATTGGGTCGCAATACTAATCAGTTTAATATGTAACATGTTCACAAATGCACTGTATGCATTTGTGAAAATTTATGGAAAGACATGGAGAAAAAATTATAAAGAATTATTACTGCTCTATACTTGTACATTAAATACTTTATCAAACTATTACTTAATGCCTGTATAGGGATAATTTTAACTCTGCTGCACCATCCAGGTAACGGGTTATTTCAAAATCCAAATCTGGGGTCTTCCAGTGGATTTCTAGTTTCCTTTCAAAACTAGAAAATGTCTGTATCAAAATGACCCAATATATTTATACTTCCATTGATTCTCCAAGCAGTTATAATGATCAGATGAATACACATATTAAATGAAGATTATAAGAAAAGTTTTAAGCATCTTCAAAAATTGTCATGGCCCATAAAAATGACTATGAAATTCTACTGCAGTATGCTTCAAAGCAGTATATAATTCCAAGTTCTTCTTCAAAGGTTCATGACAATTTTGTGAAAGGCCAAAAGCTCTTCTAAATAATGTTTTACTTGCAGCCTGACCCTGAAGCAAGGATTTTATAAACAGCACTGCAGCCAGGCCTCAGAGTGATTCTGCAATGAGTTTAACATCGAAACAAGACTTTGCCATGGACAAAAATCAACCTTTACCCAATTTTGAAAGGGAAGAATAAAGACCTTGGATAGGTGTTAAGAATTTATCTATAGTAACCTAATAACTAATAGAGAAGGCTCTTAGAGAGCAGAGAAGTGATTTCTTCTCACGTTCAGGCTCTAATAACAAACACAATTGTGAGGAGCCCTATGCTGCCACCTCTTTATCAGTGGTCCATTGCACAACATCTTACTGTCTCTTGGTTTGAAACTCATGCCAGCAACTTCTTACCTGCTATATTATCATGTATACCATTTAAAACTCTTCATAGTGCTTAAAATACTTTGGAAGTAGTAGAAAGCAAAGTTTTTTTTCTGAATTGAAACAAAATAGAATCCAAGTCGCTCATAATGGTAATTAAGGGCTAAAAATTAAAGAAAAGAAAGATAAAGAAGATGAAAATAAATATTTTCCCATTTTAAATGCATCAGGTGACATTCTTGGGTGAACTGTCAGGCACTAAAATAAGAAAGGAATTTAAATGTACAGCTGAAAAAGAAATCTAAAATATTAAGTCACTCAGCACCACATACTGCCCCAGATAGTATACAGAAAATAGAAGACAGTGAACTATTTTAATACTGAGTTTTAAAATTAAGAATAAAAATGTAATTGGCTAGACACAATCCTTCCGGGCTATTCTCAATCTGAAACGTAAACTTAGCTGATCTTTGCAAATGTAGATTTCTAACATATAATATGAATATGTCACTATACTAGTAAAATAAGCTGTAAACAATGAGCAAATGAGAGAAATCACATGAAAAATATTGCTTTTACTTTTAAGACAGATATATGATTATTAGAAATATAAATATACACATGTTCAGATATACATAAATTTTCAACTTTGGACATGTAGAATATCAACTTTCTGGCATCTTTAACTCAAGTACTAAGCTTTATGTTTTTACTGTGATCATAGTATTATGTTTAAATAGCAACACACAAGATAGTGCTTAAGAAGCAGGGGGTCATCCCTGCATTTGCATATGAATTCACAAGTTCCAAACAAAGTCACCTATTTCATTCATCTCTGCATCAATAGCATCTTGCACACTGTAGGACATGCAATATAACAGGGATGAAGTAGTAAGTGAATGAATGCATGCATGTATGCATGAATAAATGAGATGATGGATGGATGGATGAGAAAAAAGAGATTAGATAGGCTTAACTGACAATAAAGTGAGTTATCCTCACTTAAATATCAGTCTTGATGAGTTGTTCATAGCTCATTTCTCACACCATCAAATATTCCCCCAACAGGGAGAAGAAACAGCAACTGACTTTGCCGGCTGTTCACTCACATCATCTCATTTAATCTGCACAGCTGCCAAATCAGGTAAGCATTGCCCATTTTACAGAAAACAAGACCATATACCCTGGTACTGGGTCACCCGGAAAGTGCTGATACCGGATCCAAATCCAGACCCTTTGTAATCCAAAGTATGTGCCTTTTCTGTTTACGTTTCTATAACATCTAGATGATATGAGCCCCTTCTCGTACATGAGCTTACTGAATTATTTGCACATAATTTTATTTACTGTTGCTTTGTCTTATGTGTATGTTCTCTCATAATACCGATGTATGAGAACTTGAAAATATAAAACTAAATTGAAAAAATCAATCATCTATAATTCTACTGCTCTATAACACAGAAACTGTCTGCAAGTCAAGTGAATCTTGGCTTCCAAATCCAGCATCTTGGCCAAGAATGGGCTGGCAGATTTTCTTTCACATTCCTACACAGTGATTCTAAGTCACAGCCCACACTCAGTAACTTAGGGCTCTAAAACATGAGGCCCTGATTCTCTAAGACCTAGGGGTGCCTTTACATGCTCATTCAAGGATTGAAAAGCCCTGGGTGGGAGGACACTCTGGGCTAATGCTTTGTGAAGAAGTAACTGCACTACAGCCCTTGAATCTCTTCATTTTGCAATGCAATTTAGGCCCTTCTCAGAGGAAACATGTATCTCTGGACAAACAAAGAAGCACCATTTCACCCAGAGATAATTTTCACATGAGAATGAACTTTATAGGTCCTCAATTCCCATCCCTTCATTGAACAAGTGGAAAAAAAAAAAAAACTAGCCCAGAGACCATGTAGCCATTAGTGCTTTGGGGTCCTTATCCATCTCCAAATTATGTCCCAGCAGACTGACAGGGAATTTAATTCCTCCTAATAGTCACTCAGTTCCTTAAACAATGAAGATGCAGAGTTACAATAACAACAGGTCAGGGGTTTAGACACAATAACCACTGACACTTACTGAGGGATTACCACATGTCAGGTGATGCCTAAATTTTTATGTGCATAATTTTACTTGACCTTCATAACAATCTGGAGATAGGTGGTATTATTATAACCATCCTATAGATGGGCAAACAGGCTCTGAGAAGTTAAGCCACTTGTTCAAGGTCATACAGCTAAAAAATGGCTAATCTTCAGTTTGAATCCAGATGAATTAATTAGACATCAAGAGTGTCGATTACCATGCTATACTATTCTGCTCTTAACTGGCCTTATAAAGTCTTTTAAGAGAGTCCATTCATCTTTTGTTCATGAAACAGGATCATATAGGGATAATTTTAACCCTGCTGCGCCATCCAGGTAACCTGCCACCTAATGCCCTTATTCCCTGGGCCTACCTGAAATGCTTGCATTTAATTCCCTTTAATCTCCTACTTGTTGACTTAAAGGTCCTAATGCAAGACATGTGGCTGGCTGATGCTATAATGAGAAGCAGATATCTCAAAACAAAATAGGAAAATGTATCTTGTTGAGGGAGCTAATTTCAAGAGTAGAAATAATGCAATAGGACTAAAAGATGCAGTTTTGTGGTCTTCTGACATTAGATATCTCGACTAGTAACGGGTTATTTCAAAATCCAAATCTGGGGTCTTCCAGAGAGCAAGGTCAGGAAGTAAGGCCAGTGTGGTTGATTTTGTCCTTCAAACCCAGTGCCTTACTCTCCGGCCTCAACAATCCAGACTCAACATGTTCCTTTCCTGGTTGAACTCCCAGAACATGAAAGGAAAATGGGACTCGCAAATCGTGGGAACTGCAAGTGATTCAGTTTAGAGTAACATGAGTTGATCTCTTCTTGTTTCTCCACTTTTATTTCCTTTGGCCTTATCTATTCTAGCAGAACTGTGGTTACATCAGTAAGCCACTTCAAATCCTTTCTGAAGTAAGACAGAAGTATAAATGAATAAAATAATTATCAGGGAAATGCGTGTGGATCTCTTTGCTCTCTGGGTCTGCTGCTACCATTTCCCTTCCACCTGTAAACACCATTCTGGCTTCTTCTGCAAAAAACTCAAGGAAAATTGCCTGAAAAACAACATGTGTGGGAAATACGGTCCTTGACTTTAACCCTGAACATAATGTTCTAAGACATTTTTTAAAACTAGATTTCCTTCCAGAATTCAACTTGCACCAGTCTGCCAAATAAACATTTTGGATTCAAACAGTAGTTAGGGAAATGCTTGTATCTTAGATTTGAATGAGAAGAGGAAACTGCTGTGGTTGAGAGATTGCGAAGTGCCATTCCATTCGGCATGACATTAAAAGAGCAGCAACAATCAAAGCTGCACTTCTCCTCACCATGAGGTTCCTGTCTGCACAGCACAACACTCATGAGGGGGAGGTATCGATTTTCAGAAGGAAGATCCAGTGTACAACTTGGTCCCCAAGAAATGCAATTGTTTAAAACCAGAACCAACTAAAGTGGCTTATGTAAGCTCACATTTAAGGAAACATCTGCCTCTGCCTTGATTCCCTCATTAGCAACCTGTTATGGCTAAACTACCACATGGTGATCCAAAATGTCAATTCTTTAAAGTTGTAACTTTGCCAAAAGAAATACACAACACATATATGTGGCGCCAATAGTGCTGCTTTGATTTATAAGCTAGTCATGCTAGTTTAACTGTAGAAATAGTGCTGTCTTAATACAATATTGTTCCTCTGCAAAGCTGAATCAATTCTTTAGAGTTCTGTTTGGTGAATAAAAACAAGAGAGCAGGTCAACTTGCTAATGAACTACATTTTCCCCCATGATTAGGGAAAAGAGGGAAAAAGAACAATTATTAGCAAAAAGTTTACTGCATGCTATTATTAAACTTTGCCTCCCTAAGTAAAATTAAACAATTGTTTTGTTAATAGGACTCATGTGTTTTTTACAAGAAAGTCTCAGGGATAAATGTCCAGTGAGAATTGATTCCCACTTTGGATATGATGGGCTTTGGGGAGGTGCAGGAAAGAATGGGGGGAGAGGGACTGACACTATAAACAGACTAAACTAGGTGCAAGAGATGGGACTAGTGGGTTTCACTGCTTACGTATTTCTAAGAGCCAAACTCACTGGCTCTTATGATGCTCCCTAAGTCAGTGATGGGGACTGGAGGAACAAGTCACTGTCACATCCACTGCTGATCCCACTCATTCCCAGGGATAATGCCAGAACCAGGAGAAAGGCCTTCCTTAAGATTGGGAATGGGAGATGCCTGAGAGCTCAGGAAGCTGATGCCAGTTCCTTCTTTGCTATACACAACAAAGTCTTTTTTCCTACCTGTTTTGTACCTCATATCACAAGTACTCAGTTCAGCCTGCTCACATGGGGGGCACTAAGTTGATAAGGAATCACGAACACCATGGTGCTAGACAGGAGCACTGCCATTCAGAAGAAAAACGATTCCGGATATAAATCTGTTGAACTCTGCTTCGGTTATTCAACATATGTTACACAATATTTAATTATATTGAATTGATACTTAAAACTTTCATTCTTCTATACAATCCACTTGTTTTAGTGTTGCTTTTAATTATAAACTAAGATTCAGTAAGTTTGCTTTTTTTTTTTTAAAGTATACTTTAAGTACTAGGGTACATGTGCACAATGTACAGGTTTGTTACATATGTATACATGTGCCATGCTGGTGTGCTGCACCCATTAACTCGTCATTTACATTAGGTATATCTCCTAATGCCATCCCTCCCTGCTCCCCCTACCCCATGACAGGCCCTGATGTGTGACGTTCCCCACCCTGTGTCCAAGTGTTCTCATTGTTCAATTCCCACCTATGAGTGAGAATATGTGGTGTTTGGTTTTCTGTCCCTGCGATAGTTTGCTGAGAATGATGGTTTCCAGCTTCATCCATGTCCCTACAAAGGACATGAACTCATCCTTTTGTATGGCTGCATAGTATTCCATGGTGTATATGTGCCACATTTTCTTAATTCAGTCTATCATTGATGGACATTTGGGTTGGTTCCAAGTCTTTGCTATTGTGAATAGTGCCACAATAAACATACGTGTGCATGTGTCTTTATAGCAGCATGATTTATAATCCTTTATGTACCCAGTAATGGGATGTCTGGGTCAAATGGTATTTCTAGTTCTAGGTCCTTGAGGAATCGCCACACTGTCTTCCACAATGGTTGAGCTAGTTTACAGTCCCACCAACAGTGTAAAAGTGTTCCTATTTCTCCACATCCTCTCCAGCACCTGTTGTTTCCTGACTTTTTAATGATTGCCATTCTAACTGGTGTGAGATGGTATCTCATTGCGGTTTTGATTTGCATTTCTCTGATGGCCAGTGATGATGAGCATTTTTTCATGTGTCTGTTGGCTGCATAAATATCTTCTGTTGAGAAGTGTCTTGTTCATATACTTCACCCACTTTTTGATGGGGTTGATTTTCTCTTGTAAATTTGTTTAAGTTCTTTGTAGATTCTGGATATTAGCCCTTTGTCAGATGGGTAGATGGTAAAAATTTTCTCCCATTCTGTAGGTTGCCTGTTCACTCTGATGGCAGTTTCTTTTGCTGTGCAGAAGCTCTTTAGTTTAATTAGATCCCATTTGTCAATTTTGGCTTTTGTTGCCATTGATTTTGTTGTTTTAGACATGAAGTCCTTGCCCATGCCTATGTCCTGAATGGTATTGCCTAGGTTTTCTTCTATGGTTTTTATGGATTTAGGTCTAACATTTAAGTCTTTAATCCATCTTGAGTTAATTTTTGTATAAGGTATAAAGAAGGGATCCAGTTTCAGCTTTCTGCATATGGCTAGCCAGTTTTCCCAGCACCATTTATTAAATAGGGAATCCTTTCCCCATTGCTTGTTTTTCTCAGGTTTGTCAAAGATCAGTTGGTTGTAGCTTTGTGGCATTATTTCTGAGGGCTCTGTTCTGTTCCATCAGTCTATATCTCTGTTTTGGTACCAGTACCATGCTGTTTTGGTTACTGTAGCCTTGTAGTATAGTTTGAAGTCAGGTAGCGTGATGCCTCCAGCTTTGTTCTTTTGGCTTAGGATTGACTTGGCAATGCGGGTTCTTTTTTGGTTCCGTATGAACTTTAAAGTAATTTTTCCAATTCTGTGAAGAAAGTCATTGGTAGCTTGATAGGGATGGCATTGAATCTATAAATTACCTTGGGCAGTATGGCCATTTTCATGATATTGATTCTTCTTATCCATGAGCATGGAATGTTCTTCCATTTGTTTGTATCCTCTTTTATTTCGTGGAGCACTGGTTTGTAGTTCTCCTTGAAGAGGTCCTTCACATCCCTTGTAAGTTAGATTCCTAGGTATTTTATTCTCTTTGAAGTAATTGTGAATGGGAGTTCACTCATGATTTGGCTCTGTGTTTGTCTATTATTGGTGTATAGGAATGCTTGTGATTGTTGCACATTGATTTTGTATCCTGAGACTTTGCTGAAGTTGCTTATCAGCTTACGGAGATTTTGGGCTGAGACAATGGGGTTTTCTAAATATACAATCATGTCATCTGCAAACAGGGACAATTTGACTTCCTCCTTTTCTAATTGAATACCCTTTATTTCTTTCTCCTGCCTGATTGCCCTGGCCAGAACTTCCAACACTATGTTGAATAGGAGTGGTGAGAGAGGGCATCCCTGTCTTGTGCCAGTTTTCAAAGGGAATGCTTCCAGTTTTTGCCCTTTCAGTATGATATTGGCTGTGGGTTTGTCATAAATAGCTCTTATTATTTTGAGATACATCCCATCAATACCGAGTTTATTGAGAGTTTTTAGCATGAAGGGCTGTTGAATTTTTTCGAAGGCCTTTTCTGCATGTATTGAGATAATCATGTGGTTTTTGTCGTTGGTTCTGTTTATATGATGGATTACGTTTATTGATTTGCATATGTTGAGCCAGCCTTGCATCCCAGGGATGAAGCCCACTTGATCATGGTAGATAAGCTTTTTGATATGCTGCTGGATTCGGTTTGCCAGTATTTTATTGGGGATTTTTGCATCAATGTTCATCAGGGATATTGGTCTAAAATTCTCTTTTTTGGTGTGTCCCTGTCAGGCTTTGGTATCAGGATGATGCTGGCCTCATAAAATGAGTTAGGGAGGATTCCCTCTTTTTCTATTGATTGGAATAGTTTCAGAAGGAATGGTACCAGCTTCTCTTTGTACCTCTGGTAGAATTCGGCTGTGAATCCATCTGGTCCTGGACTTTTTTTGGTTGGTAGGCTATTAATTATTGCCTGAATTACAGAGCCTGTTATTGGTCTATTCAGGGATTCAACTTCTTCCTGGTTTAGTCTTGGGAGGGTGTATGTGTCCAGGAATTTATCCATTTCTTCTAGATTTTCTAGTTTATTTGTGTAGGGGTGTTTATAGTATTCTCTGATGGTAATTTGTATTTCTGTGGGATCGGTGGTGATATCCCCTTTATCATTTTTTATTCCATCTATTTGATTCTTCTCTCTTTTCTTCTTTCTTAGTCTTGCTAGCGGTCTATCAATTTTGTTGATCTTTTCAAAATACAAGCTCCTGGATTCATTGATTTTTTGAAGGGTTTTTTGTGTCTCTATTTCCTTCAGTTCTGCTCTGATCTTAGTTATTTCTTGCCTTCTGCTAGCTTTTGAGTGTGTTTGCTCTTGCTTCTCTAGTTCTTTTAATTGTGATGTTGGGGTGTCCATTTTAGATCTTTCCTGCTTTCTCTTGTGGGCATTTAGTGCTATAAATTTCCCTCTACACACTGCTGTGAATGTGTCTCAGAGATTCTGATATGTTGTGTCTTTGTTCTTGTTGGTTTCAAAGAACATCTTTATTTCTGCCTTCATTTTGTTATGTACCCATTAGTCATTCAGGAGCAGGTTGTTCAGTTTCCATGTAGTTGGGTTGTTTTGAGTGAGTTTCTTAATCCTGAGTTCTAGTTTTATTGCACTGTGGTCTGAGACACAGTTTGTTATCATTTCTGTTCTTTTACATTTGCTGAGGAGTGCTTTACTTCCAACTATGTGGTCGATTTTGGAATAAGTGCAATGTGGTTCTGAGAAGAATGTATATTCTGTTGATTTGGGGTGGAGAGTTCCGCAGATGTCTATTAGGTCTCCTTGGTGCAGAGCTGAGTTCAATTCCTGGATATCCTTGTTAAGTTTCTGTCTCGTTGATCTGTCTAATGTTGACAGTGGGGTGTTAAAGTCTCCCATTATTATTGTGTGGGAGTCTAAGTCTCTTTGTAGGTTTCTGAGGACTTCCTTTATGAATCTGGGTGCTCCTGTATTGGGTGCATATATATTTAGGATAGTTAGCTCTTCTTGTGGAATTGATCTCTTTACCATTATATAATGGCCTTGTTTGTCTCTTTTGATCTTTGTTGATTTAAAATCTGTTTTATCAGAAACTATGATTGCAACCCCTGCTTTTTTTTGTTTTCCATTTTCTTGGTAGATCTTCCTCCATCCCTTTATTTTGAGCCTATGTGTGTCTCTGCATGTGAGATGGGTTTCCTGAATATAGCACACTGATGGGTCTTGACTCTTCATCCAATTTGCCAGTCTGTGTCTTTTAATTGCAGCATTTAGCCCATTTACATTTAAGGTTAATATTGTTATGTGTGAATTTGGTCCTGTCATTATGATGTTAGCTGGTTATTTTGCTTGTTAGTTGATGCAGTTTCTTCCTAGCATCAATGGTCTTTATAATTTGACATGTTTTTGCAGTGGCTGGTACCGGTTGTTCTTTTCCATGTTTAGTGCTTCCTTCAGGAGCTCTTGTATGGCAGGCCTGGTGGTGACAGAATCTCTCAGCATTTGCTTGTCTGTAAAGGATTTTATTTCTCCTTCATTTATGAAGCTTAGTTTGGCTGGATATGAAATTCTGGGTTGAAAATTCTTTTCTTTAAGAATGTTGAATATTGGCCCCCACTCTCTTCTGGCTTGTAGAGTTTCTGCAGAGAGATCCATTGTTAGTCTGATGGGCTTCCCTTTGTGGGTAACCTGACCTTTCTCTCTGGCTGCCCCTAACATTTTTTCCTTAATTTCAAGTTTGGTGAATCTGACAATTATTGGTGTCATGGAGTTGCTCTTCTCGAGGAGTATCTTTGTGGCATTCTCTGTATTTCCTGAATTTGAATGTTGGCCTGTCTTGCTAGATTGGGGAAGTTCTCCTGTATAATATCCTGCAGAGTGTTTTCCAACTTGGTTTCATTCTCCCCGTCACTTTCAGGTACGCCAATCAGATGTAGATTTGGTCTTTTCACATAGTCCCACATTTCTTGGAGGCTTTGTTCGTTTCTTTTCTCTCTTTTTTTTTCTAAACTTCTCTTCTTGCTTCACTTTATTAATTTGATCTTCAATCACTGATACCCTTTCTTCCACTTGATCAAATCAGCTACTGAAGCTTGTGCATTTGTCACGTAGTTCTCGTGCCATGGGTTTCAGCTCCATCAGGTCATTTAAGGTTTTCTCCATGCTGTGTATTCTAGTTAGCCATTTGTCTAATCTTTTTTCAAGGTTTTTAGCTTCTTTGCGATGGGTTTGAACATCCTCCTTCAGCTTGGAGAAGTTTGTTATTACCGATTGTCTGAGGCCTACTTCTGTCAACTCGTCAGAAGCATTCCCCGTCCAGCTTTGCTCCGTTGCTGGCAAGGGGCTGCATTCCTTTGGAGGAGAAGAGGTGCTCTGATTTTTAGAATTTTCAGCTTTTCTGCTCTGGTTTCTCCCCATCTTTGTGGTTGTATCTACCTTTGGTCTTTGATGATGGTGACGTACAGATGGGGTTTTGGTGTGGATGTCCTTTCCGTTTGTTAGTTTTCCTTCTAACAGTCAGGACCCTCAGCTGCAGGTCTATTGGAATTTGCTGGAGGTCCACTCCAGACCATGTTTGCCTGGGTATCACCCCAGCGGAGGCTACAGAACAGCACATATTGCAGAATGGCAAATGTTGCTGCCTGATCCTTCCTCTGGAAGCTTCATCTCGGAGGGGCACCTACCTGGCTGTATGAGGTGTCAATTGGCCCCTACTGGGAGGTGTCTCCCAGTTAAGCTACTTGGGTGTCAGGGACCCACTTGAGGAGGCAGTCTATCCGTTCTCAGATCTCAAACTCCATGCTGGGAGAACCACTACTCTCTTCAAAGCTGTCAGACAGGGACATTTTAAGTCTGCAGAAATTTCTGCTGCCTTTTGTTTAGCTATGCCCTGCCCCAGAGGTGGAGTCTATAGAGGCAGATAGGACTCCCTGAGCTGCGGTGGGCTCCACCCAGTTCAGTCTTCCCAGCTGCTTTGTTTACCTACTCAAGCCTCAGTAATGGTGGACGCCCCTCTCCCAGCCTCCCTGCCACCTTGCAGTTCAATCTCAGACGGCTGTGCTAGCAGTAAGCGAGACTCCATGGGCGTGGGACCCTCTGAGTCAGGCATGGGATATAATCTCCTGGTATGCCGTTTGGAAAAGTGCAGTATTAGGGCGGGAGTGTCCTGATTTTCCAGGTACCATCTGTCACGGCTTCCCTTGGCTAGGAAAAGGAATTCCCTGACCCCTTGCACTTCCTGGGTAAGGCGATGCCCCACCCTGCTTTGGCTTCATGGGCTGCACCCACTGTCCAACAAGCCCCAGTGAGATCAACCCAGTACCTCAGTTGGAAATGCAGAAATCACCCGTCTTCTGTGTCGCTCACACTGGGAGCTGTAGACTGGAGCTGTTCCTATTTGGCCATCTTGGAACCACCCTCCAAGATGCAGTAAATTTTCTTAAGCTGATAAACCTGTTACAGATTTTGTTAATAGCAACGGAAGAAAAATTGGTTTTCCATAAGTTGCCTAACAATGAAAGCATTAATCAATGAATTAAAAACACTGTAAGGCAGGATATCTGAAATGACAGATCAAAAAACTCAGCCAGTTCTCTCCAAAAGTGAATGATTTTTAAAACTAGAAAAAATTATCAAAAATAACTATTTCAAGACCCTGGAAACAGACCGAAGGCACATAACAAGTTGAGAAGCATTTATTCAAGTAAAACTATTGAACCTCAGTGGAAGTCTGTGGAATTTTAGCTTGGGACTGCTACCATTACCTTATTATCTCCAACACATCCCCAACACCTGCCAGCTGGTAGTTCTACCAGGGTGAGACAAGCCATGAAAACCTGCAGTTTTTGCTGCAGAAAGAAACCAGATTGATTTGGAACAGAGAACAGTAAAACCTCATGCCCCGGGGCATTGTCAGAAACAGCAGCAATTCCAGAGGCAAAAGAATGGGGGAAGACAATGAAGCTGTGATCCTATTTGGGACAACCAACATGAAGACAAGCCAGAAATTTAACAAGGAGATTTGGGCAATGAGATAGCTGTAGTGAACCCTGATAAGCTCCTACATATATATCCCTGGTGGTCTGGGAGGCTGTACATATGTGGGAGGCTGCACACATACTCAGTGGCAATTGCAAAGTCCCTAGCTATTCCTACTTTCCTGTCAACGAATAATTTACTCTCCAGCAAAATTATCTTTCAAAAATGAGGGCAAAACAAAGGCATTCGTAGATAAATAAAGAGGGGGAAAATTCATTACTACCAATCCTTCACAACCTCATTGAGGAAACAGAGTTTAGGAAAAAACACTTCGTATTTCATTCTATGAGGCGGTATTAGCCTGATATAAAGCTAAACAAAGATGTCACAATTAAAGAAAATTATAGACCATCAGGAATATAGACACAAAATATCTAAAAATATTACAAAACAAATCCAGAAATACATACAAATTATACACCATGATTAAGTGGGATTTGTAACATTTGAAATCCAATTAATGTAATATACCGTATTAGTGAAAAAAGGGCAAAAACCACATCATCATTTTAATAGATACAGAAAAAGCATGTCACAAAATCCTACATGCCTTCATGATAAAAACTCTCAACAAATGGGATGGAAAGGAATTCTTCACAGCAGCATCATTAAATAATGGCTAGGGAGTGAAAACAATGCATTGAGTGAATGGATAAGCAAAATGAGGTATACCCATGTGATAGACTACTATGTGGCAATGAAAGGGAATAAATGACTCATGCATGCTACAACATGGAGAAACTAAAAAATAGTATGCTAAATGAAAGAAGCCATGTGCAAAAGATGATGTATTATATCCTATACATATGAAATTTCCAGATAAGGCAAATCTACAGAGAAAATAAGTAGAGTAGTGGATACTTGGGGCCAGGGTGGGAAGAGGCTGAATGCAAATGGTCCAAAGGGAACTTTTGAGGATAGTGAAAATATTCTAAATCTGATTGTGGTGATGATTGCATAACTCTATAAATTTACTAGAAATCATTAAATTGTACAGTTAAAATAGGTTAAATCTATGGCATGTACATTATACCATCATAAAGCGCGTTTAAAAAGAAAAACATCATAGCAACTGAAAAGTGACAGTTTTATAAAGATGATGAAAACCTCTTCCCTGTCTATGAGAGAAGCATTTTAGTCAAAGTAGAGAACTTTTGTCAGAGTCCTCTAGAATAGGGGTCAGCAAACTATGACCTGTGGGCCAAATCAGGCCCCTCACCTGTTTTTGTATGGTCCATTAGCTGGGAATGGTTTTTACATATTTTAATGGTTGGAAAAAAAACAAAAGAATAATATTTCATAATGTGAAAATTACATATATAAAACTCAAATTTAATGTTCACAAAGTTTATTGAAAGATAGCCATGCTCATTAGTTTAACCTAAGACCTATGGCTGCTTTTGTACTACAAAGTTGAGTACTTCCAACAGAGAGCTTATGATCTGCAATGTCTATGGTATTTACTATCTGGCCCTTTACAGAAAAAATGTTCAAACCCCTGTTTAAAGTAGCGCTTCTCTATTCTGAATGCACTTTAGATTTACTTGGAAGCTTGAAAAAAATACTCCCAACTGAATTCCACCAATCTCCTTCCCCTTCACCCACCCAACTACATGACAATCTTGGGACAGTGTAGTTTGTTAAAAGCTCTCTAGGTGGTTTCAGTGTCCAGCCAGGATTAGGGATCCCTGTTCTAGATCATCCATGGAGCTAAAGCCAGGGGGGTTTGAGTTTTATTTTAATACACTGACATCACATCAAAGTTTGAAAATTAGTGAGTAAAACAAATTTAGACCAGTTATCTAAACCACTGGCAGATGTAATTAGCTTATCTGTGACAAAACTTCTTGTTGTTCTGTCTCCTGAAGAGAAGGGACCCATATGGCCACTGTTTCTCAGTCAGAGTTTCCAAAATATATTAACTGAGTTTATCACTAATAACCAGTTTCTCTGTGACAAATGACTGCCAGAAGGAGGATTTCTGCAAAGAGCACTAAACCTGAATACAAAAAGGTATAACAGAAAATAAAAGAATGCCAAGATTTTGATGATTCCACTGCTCTCACTTATTTTAGGTTTCTAGATCATGTAGCCCAGTACAATCAACAACTATTTAAAAAGTAAGTGAAAATGAATGACAAATAGCATATAATATAGATTAAATGTGGCCACCAGCTCTTTGTAGCATCCGTTATCAAGCTGGAGTCTATCAGCCTAACCCTGAGCCTTGACCTCAACAGCAGCTTCTACTCATGTTCTTCTTGGAATCCGGAGGCCATCACGCTGTGAAGAAGCTCAGGATAAAAGAACAAATGGAAAGAGAGACCCAGTCATCCTAGCTGTCCCAGCTGAGGTCAGACACCAAAAATAAAAAAGTCACTTTGACACTGAAGTGACAGAAACCTTTAGAGAAAGCAATCATCTCAGAATTCATAAAACTGAAGGAATGAAAAGCTGGGCATAATCAGATGCAGCAAAGGATTTCAGGAAAGCATATGTTTCTAAAACATATGAAAAAATGTATGCATTATCAAAAGGTCAAATTCATGATGGAATACAACTTCAAAAGGAATAGAATGTATAAAGGAAAGCAAATGATAATGTAATTGTGAATGGCCTTGATAAAAGGGAAAAGGAACCCACAAATATGGTTACATGGAAAATTCTATTTCATTCATCTTTGCATTCATTCATATAAACATACAAACATGGAATGCCTATCATGTGCAAAGTACTGTGCTCTAATGAGGTTATATGTGTAAAAAGCACAAACTAAAGATGGAAGAATTCATATTTTTGAAAAACATACCCTAAAGACAAAAGAACATAAAAATTAAATGGCAGAGATCTATTAAGAACATATATAGAAAAGGTCATAATTATATAAGACATTCAAACTAAATGCTGTCTGAAATTATGTTCCAGGGTAATATAAATAAGGAACAACAAAATTGCTTGGGGCAGATGGTATAATGCTAGATAACAGATGCTAGTAGAAAAATCAGACCTCTTCAACATCTTTTATCTTCCACCTTTTCTAAGGAAGAGACTATTTTCCAGTTAAAATAAGAAACTGGAACCCAAGACAGGAGATAGATAAAATTAAAACAAAAGAGCACACAGGTGCTTTGTACTGACTTCAAGTTGCCAGTTGAGCCAAATCATATCCAGGGCCCAGAAATAACTTGCAAATATGATAGCAAACCATCTGAAGATAGGCCTTAAGAGCTCAAAGTCAGATCAATGTCATTCCACATTTCAAAAGTGAAAAGGAGGTGGATTCTGCTTAAAATCAATGCCAATAATATTTTGGAAAGACAGTTTATGAAACAGGTGATGAATGAGCACTTGGAGGGAAAAAGATTCTGAGAAGTTAGAAATCACTGACAGATAATGATTTGTGTGGCATTTTATGCAGCAAATGTTTCTCAGACTTTTTTTAGTCCTCATGATACCTCAATAAGTGATTAATATATAATTTTATTACCATGATACAGATGAAAAAATTGAGGTGATTCAACATTGAGTGTATTATGTTTAAAGTTACACAGTAAGTGGCTGAGTTACAACTCAAAATCAATTTACACTAAACTTCATTTCTAACAGGACAAGGGATTGTTACAGAGTACTGAGTCCATTTCAGCAAGACATTTGACCAAGTTTCTTGTAATATGCTTTTAGACAAGCTAGAAACTGTGAGATAGATGATGGCATGGAAAAGGAACCTCTTCTTCTTTTGGATGTCTGAAAAGCACCTCAAATTCAACTTGTCCAAAAGCAAATTCATAAGCTTCTCCCTCAAGCCTGGATCTCTTTCAGTATTTTTGCATTTCAATGAAGGCATCTTTTGTATTCCAGAACTTGACAGATATTCTTGACATGCTTCCTTCATGATCTCATACCCAATCCATCACTAAAGCCTACAAATTTTACACTAAAATACCTGTCAGCACATGTAAGGTATTATTGCTCTGTTGCTGACAATCAAGTATCTGTCTGGTTGTTATTCCTTAGAAGCAAATCTTTTTTCTCTAGCTGCTTTTGAGATCTTCTGTTTGTCTTCGGTGTTCCACAGCTTCACTAAGAGTAGTCTATATGTAGATTTATTTTTATTATCCTCCTTAGGAATTTCTGGGCTTCATGAAAATCTTGATCAGAGCCTTTCATCAACTGTTGGAAATTCTCAACCAATATCTCTTCAAATATTGCTCTAATCTATTCTTTCTCTTTTTTTTCTTCTAGAACTCTGGCTAGCCTCTCTCACTCAATCCTCTCTTTGACTCTTAACCTCTCTTTCATATTATCATCTGTTTCTTACTTCTTAATTCTAGATTTTTAAAAATTCATCTTACAGTGTTTAATCTTCACCAATGTTTAATCTGCTATGTAATATGTGTGTTAAGTTTTATTTAAATTATTACTTACTTTAATGAGTTCTTTGTTTTTAAATTTGCTTGTTCTTTATTCATATTTTCATATTTGCCTGACTTCTTTAACTCAGCAAGTATTTTCTTATTACTCTGTAGCTGTTGATTCTAGTGGCTATATATTTTACAGTCCTGGTTCTACTGCCTCTGGCTTTTACTTACATTGATTTGTTTCCTTGATTAGTAATTTTAAAATATAAACTGCTCATGATAAAAACTTTCTCTTTAAAAATTTTTTGAGTCCCAGGATGAGGGTATGTTCCTTCCAGAAAGAATGTGCACTGGAGCCAGAGGACTCCATTGTCTTTTGAGAGGCTATATGACACATTTTTAGGTTGTTCTGACTGGTGGTTTATTCAGATGATGTATCACATTTTAACTTAATTACCCCTCTCCCCAGAAAATTTATATTTTTTGAAAAGTCATCCATTACATTGAGATTTTAAAATTTGCATAGAATAATTTAGAGCAGTGATTGTCAACTCTGGCTTTACATTAGTGTCATCTTGATAGTCTTCAAAAGTCTTGCTGTCCAGGCCAGTGAAATAACAATCTTTGAGAGCATTTTCTTGTAGCTCTGAAAGTGATTACTGTGTGGAGCCAAAGTTGACAATCACTGATTTAGAGAAATTGAAGTAAACGTGAATCACCTGGCGATCTTGCTAAAATGCAGATTCTGATTCAGTACGTCTAGGGTAGTGTCTGAGAGTGTTTATTTTTATTTTCGTTTTCATTTCTGAGACAGGGTCTCTCTCTGTTGCCCAGGCCAGGCTGGAGTGCAGTGGTGCAATCATAGCTCAGTGTAGCCTCAAATTACCAGGTTCAAGTGATGCTCCCACCTCAGCCTCCTGAGTAGCTGGGACTATAGGCGTGCACCACCACACCCAGTGAGTCTGTATTTCTAACAAGCTCCCAGGTGAAACCATGGCTGCTAGTCTGTAGACCACAATTTGAGTACCAAGAATTTAGACTAGCTTTCTCTTGTAAATGTTAATCTTCTTTGTACCAGTGCTTATATCTCCTCAATGTTCTAAAATTGTTCATTTCTCTTTCTCTCTTTGAACAGTCTTATTGGGAGGTTTTTTAATACTTTATTCATTTGTATTCCTTTTTTGTATTTTATTCATTTTTTTCAGGAAACAAGCCAGCTGAATTTTAATTTGCTAATTCTACTCTTTTTCTTTAAATTGTTAATTTCTGCTTGTACTTTTCTTAATTTCTTTCTTTTATTACCCCAAGTTTTCTTTTATTACTCTTTTCATTTCCCAACATTTAAATCCCTAGTTTAATGATTGCTATGCTTAATCTCATCCTAAAATATCACAACTTTACTTGCTTTTTGTCTGTTTGACCTGTTGCACTGTTGCAAATGTTCTATTATCTCCAGCTAAGCATTTGCCTATTTCTCTTAGTATTAAAACTGTTATATTAAAAGCTGAATCTAAGGCTATCTTAACCATATAATATTGTTTACTTTTATATACTTATAAGTTATTCCTTTTTAAATTAAAATCCTACTTTGTCCCATTTAATGCTTTTCGCCTTTAGCGAATTCCAACTTTTTTTGGCATTAATAGCACCACTCCAACCTTCTTGTTTAGAATCTTCTAGTGGGTGATATATTTGTATTAGTTTTCTCTTGTGATGTAACAAATCACCACAAACTCAGTGACAACACCAATTTGCCACTGAATTGACTATCCCTCAGTTTCCATGGGTCATAAGCTCGGCACATTTTATCTGGATCGTCTGCTCAGGCTCTCATAAGGCTGAAAGGAAGGTGTTGCTTAGCTGTGTCCTCATGTGGGAGGCCCAACTAGGGAAAGATCTGCTTCCAAGCTTCATCAGGTTGTTGTCAGAGCACATTTCCTTACAGTAGTAGGACTGAGGTCTCTGCTGTCTTCCAGCTGTTGGCTGGGGACTATTCTGAGGTCCTGGACATGTGGCTCCTCCGTCTCAGCACTGGAGAACCCCCAGTTAATAACCTCTCACACTTCTCTCTCTCTGACCTTTCGTTCCTAGCAGTCAGAGAAAACTCTGTTCTTAAAGGGCTTGTCTGATTAGGTCAGGCCCATCTGGATAATTTTCCTTTCTTAAAGTCTACTGCTTCATATCACACTACATAATCCCAGGAGAATTATGTAAGATGCATACACCAGGTTAGAGGGTTGGATAGGGTAGAACCTCAGGCCCATTGTAACATTCTGCCCACCACAATGTTCATTTCTTTATTTTTATCTTTTCTATGTCACTTTATGTAGGTGAGTCTCTGGTAATCACGTTGACTTTGCTTTTCTATTAAATTTGAGGGCTTTTTATTTTTTAAGAAGCTGAACAAATTCATATTTACTGGGACAATATGCAGTATTTGATCTTTCTGTGTCATTTTATTTTGTGTTTTATTGCCACTCCCTTGACATTCTAGGGATCAAAGCTTTCTTAGATCTTTGTTCTATTTTTTTGGTTATTCAGAAGTAATATGTAGTCTCAACTTTTTTTTTGGCCATTACCTGCATATTTTTAAACCACTTAATCCTATTTTCTCAATCACCATAGAGAATAAAACAGTAGCTAAAGATATGCCTACAGAATTTTCCCTTTTCCTCTTCTCCCCTACCAAATAAAGAATCATAGCCTTTATACTCAGAATATTAGTACTTTTTATAATTTCTTTTAAGAACTACTTTTGACATCATATTAAGTTGTACAATCATAAGAACAAGTATTTAACATTTTTAAAAATTAACACAAATCTTAAAGCTTTCATTACTTACCACTTATTTTAATGTCATTTTCCTTTAACCTGCGATCTCTCTTTTGATTAACTTTTTAATTGACTAAATATAAGTAACTTTAAGTTCTTGAAGATCTGAGAATTCTTTTGGGTTACAGACTGGAAGGCACTTTCCCAACTGCTTCTGGCTTGATAACATTCCTATTATTAAGAGGCATTTGGGGTGAAGTTAAATTCAATTGTGATCTCTTGTGTCAAAGATACATTCTTTTTTTTTCTTTTTTCTTTTTTTTTTTTTTTGAGATGGAGTCTTGCTCTGTCACCCAGGCTGGAGTGCAGTGGTATGATCTTAGCTCACTGCAACCTCTGCCTCCCAGGTTCAAGTGATTCACCTGTCTTAGACTCCTGATGGGATTACAGGCATACACCATCATGCACAGCTTTTTTTTTTTTTTTTTTTTTTTTTTGTAGTAGAGATGGTATTTCACCATGTTGGCCAGGCTAGTCTTGAACTCCTGGGCTCAAGTGATCTGCCCACCTCAGCCTCCCAAAGTGCTGGGATTACAGGCATGACCCGCTGTGCCCAGCCAAAGATATATTCTTAAGGTAACCAAATAAAACATAAAACCCGCTGGGCACACCTGACTATCTGTGAACCTTAAGCATGTGGCTTAATTTCCCTTGGCTGTCTTTCCTCTTGGGTGAAACAGGGCTCAACCAAGTCATCTCTGACTTTCTTTCCAGATCTCCCAGTCAAGATCTTAGGAAACTAATAGAAAAATCAATATTTTATCAACATACTATCCCATAAAAGCAGAAGGATTAAATTCTAGTAATATTTTAATGAAGTCTATGTATATATATTTATAGTTTCAGAGTCATATAGTGATAGACAGAAAATGTAAAAATGAATATTTCTCTTGGTACCCTACTTAGAAGTAGAAGTAGAAACTCATAAACAATACTTCTTGCGATTGTATATACAGTTGTGTTATTTTAAAGTCTAAGAAAAAAACTTTTGATGAACTCACAGTATTCATCTAACAATATCACACAAGCATGTGTTTCTTAGCTTCCATTTGCAAATGTTTTGGCTAGATTTTACAATGACATAGTTCAAAATTTAGAAAAGTATTAAAAGTTTTACAATAAAAAGTTTTCCTCTTAAATTCTGTCCTCTAGCTACCCAATTCCCTTCCCCATATCAAAGCTCTGTGCTTTGCATATATGCTTCTAGAGGTATTTTGTGCATATACAGAATATCTCTTTCTCCTCCCCTCTCTCCCTTTCTCCCGCTCTTCCTCTTTTTTCCTACAAAAACAGACAAAACTGTCTTTAATCTTGATTTTCACTTACCATATCTTTGAGATATTTGTGTATCAGTATAGAGTACTTCCTTATTCTTTTTTTAATAACAACATGGCATTCCATTATCTGGATATACCATAGTATGTTTTCCTAATATTGTATTGGTGTATATTTTAAACAATGTTACAATTATAACCTCAAATATATACCATTTCAAATCTGTGAAGTACATCTGTAGGATAATTCCTGGGGATGAAATTGCAAGGTTATAGGCTACAAACACTTGTAATTTTGAGTTATAGCTACTTTGCTTTCCATAGAAGGAATAATGGTTTAAACATCCACTCAGTAATGTATGAGCCTACAATAGTATGATTTTTTAATAGTTCCAAAGTTTACCACATGGTACTTTCAAATTCCTATCCTGATTTTCTTTTTTGATTGGTTTTGTGGACCTGTGTGGAATGAGAGTGTGAAGAGTCAAATGGGCCCTGTTTTATGCCCCAAACTATCTTGGCTTCTCTCTCTTTCCCAGACCACATGACTACTGCAAAACACACCCTACCACTATAAAGCTTCACAAATTTAGGACATATTGAATCGATCAGGGTCCATAATCCATTAAGTTTGAGTGTCTCTACAAAGTCCGCTTAAATACAAACTGCAACATAATAGCAGCGGAAAGCTAGTGAACTCTTGGCCCTATGAATCCACATCTAACGAGAATTGATTTAATAGGGCTCCAAGGGTCTGTATCTTATTGCTAATAAAAGAAATCCCTTCCAGGTCTTTTTCACAGTGCCTAAATATTAAATAGGGCTTTTGATGACTAAGCACCAGAAAATTTAATTAAGAGGGGGATGTACTGATCTCATAGGACAGTGTTCTTCTACTGGATAACTTATGGAAAACAGACAGGAAAGCAATCAAAACTCAAGCACAGGGCAGAGGCACCACAGCATATGGAGTCATGATATCCCAAGCCCACCCTGGGTCAGCTATCATCAGCTCAGAATCCTCTCCCAAAGCACAGGGATGTTCACTTCCACTTTAATCCTAAGAACCTGCTCTAAAATCAGGACCACTGCATCAGAGTAAGGACATGGAACAACAGCAAGTTGTTTTCCATTTGTTTTTCCTCATTGGATGGAGTCATCATAAAACTTTAATAATATTAAATAGAACTAAATAATAGTAAATAGGGTTTAAAATACAGAAAAGAGAGTGTTGTCATAAGTTATGGTTAGCCATCAAAGCACTTAGGTTCAAAAGTTTAATGCACTGCATGCAGCTCTTCCAAATCAGAAAGAGAAAATTTGTAGATCATTAAGATCACTTCACATTCTTGAACCCAGTCTCAGTCATGGGTGCCTCAGATGAGTCTAGAGAACACAAGAGTCAAGGTCATCAGAACTAAAAGTGTGCTCATGTGATCACTTTATCACCACCACATCCACAACTGGAAGCCGCTCCAGAGAAAACAACTATCTCATTTAATTTTTTAAAAGTGGAGGTCATTATGTTAAGTGAAATAAGCCACACACAGGAAAATAAATGTTGCATGCACTCACTCATATCATATGTGGGAGTTTAAAAAGCGAATTTCATAAAGATAGAGAATAGATTGGTAATTACCAGAGCTGGGAAGGAGATAGTAGAGGGAGAGATGAAGAGAGGTTGATTAATGGGTACAAATATACAGGTAGACAGAAAAAGACAGATCTAGTCTTCTATAGATCAATAGGGTGACTATAGTTAACAATAATCTATTACACATTTCAAAATAGTGAGAAGAAAATAATTTGAATGTTTCCAGCATAAATAAAAGATAAATGTTTAAGGAGATAGAAATCCCAATTACCCTGATTTGATCATTACACATTATATGAATGTTTCAAAATATCACCTGTACGCCCAAAATATACACATCTATTATGTATCAATAAAAAATAAAGTTTGAGAAAAGGAAAAAACCTAGGTGTCTTTGTTGATTAACATACCTAAAATAGAAGGAGAATTTGCTAATTCCTATTTCTATAAAATCCAAAAACCAGACCTGTCAGACCTAAAGGATCAATGCTTTCCTAGGAGATATATAAAATACTGGTTGCAGCAAGGTTCATACAACATTTTTATTTTGGCACAAAGTCCCAAGAGTTTACTGCTTCTTAGATGGTTATTGGTCTTTTCTGCCTTCCACGCCGTACATACAATGGGATCAAAGGAAACTGCAGTGACGTGGCCCTGTTCTGTTATTCTGACCTGCACTGAACACACATTTCCAACTCTGAACGCACGGAGAGGTACTAAGCCCACAGAGTTGCTAACATTGTTATGGTGTACATAAAACTCAGCTCTATTTGCTTAATTTACAGTAACTAAAGAGCCCTTGCCAAACAGCACTTGCCATAAAGAACTCAACACAGGGCATGTTCTTGGATGTTGTCCATGACATTTTGTCAAAGCAAGTTTCAAAAGGATCAAACATGATATGTTTCTCCAGTGAGCAAACATTGAATGGGTAACCAACATGACTGTAAAATCCAACTTGGTGGTGTGTCTCAGTAGCCTGGAAAAGTTTTATTTTTCACATGTAAGCTAGTAATTCTACTTTTAGAAATAAATTTTAAGAAAAACCAATTGGAGAAGATAAAATTTTATAATATATGAGGATGTTCACTGTAGCATTATTTATGTTATAAAAAATCATAACCCGAATATCCAGCAATCAAGGAATAATAGACTGAAATGTATTTATATGATATGGTATAATGTGATGTGATGTAATGTATGCTATGACATGACTTTATAATATAATCTAATGCTGTCATATCTAATGATACAGGATACTGTTTAATATAATGTTAAGTGAGGAAAAACTGTATAGAATATATAGAATGCCAATTTGCTTAAAAAAGTCAGTCTACTGTAAAAAAAAGTGTGTGTGTGTATATATATACACACACACACACACACACATACATTTTTAAAAGACTGTATTTCCTCCCGATATAGTTTGGATGTTTGTCCTCTCCAAATCTCATGTTGAAATGTGATTCCCAATGTTGGAGGTGGGGCCCAGTAGGAGGTGTTAGGGTCATGGAGGTGGCTCTTTCATGAATGGCTTAGTGCCCTCCCCACAGTAATGAGTGAATTTTTACTCTATTAGTTCATACAAGAGCTGGTGCCTAAAAGAGCCTGACATCTCCCTCTCTCACTCACTCACGAGTAAAAGCTTCCTGAGGTGTTACCAGAAGCTGAGCAGATGCTTGTACAGCCTGAAGAACCATGAGCCAAATAAGCCTCTTTTCTTTTTAAATTACCCACCAGGTACTTCTATTTTACCTTCAATTGTCTCCCCTTCCTCTTGTACACTCCCTCACATACACATATAGTGACCCCAGCCAGACAGTAAATGATGTGGGGCAGGATTTTATTTACCTTTTTCATTCACTTTTTTCCAAAGTACAGCAATGCATACCATGGGGCTCAATAAATATCCATTAAAAGTAGTAACTGGTAATAAAATGCTGAATATGTAAGAAGACAACTTACCAATGTTTTACAGTGGTTATTTCTAAGGTGTGAAATTAGATATAATTTTTATTTTCTTTAAACTTCTATGTCCTTTTCCTAGTTTTCTATATTGTCATAAATTTATAACCAGAAAGCATTTTTAAAGAAATTAATTTCAATAAACAAAATTATGCTTATTTGCTTTCATATGCATTTTTAGTCTATTGTTTGCTTTAATAAATATTAAGTGCAAATAATGAATAATGTCTCACCATCCATCCAAGTACAGTGAAATATTTGAGCAATAAGAAATCATGTACCATTAAAAAATAAAATAATTTTTCTCCATTAAGATAAGTGAAGAAATAGAAGCTATTAAATCCATAAATTTTACAGAAAATAAAACATACCATTGAAAAGAGAACAGAGCTAAGAACATACTCTCATTATTAGCCAAAGATCTAGTACAACATTCAAAATTCTTCCACTACACTAGCTACTTAAGAGCAAAAAGAATTGAGGTTTGAATAATATAATCCAATGTCCCTTTGGAAAATAGAAAATAGCACTATCTTTCTACAACACTTCCTTTTCCTTTCCAGTATCTTTACTCACCTTACAGGGGGCCCTAAAATTTCAGACATTACCTGGCACCATCTGATATTTTTCATTTAAACACAAACGTATATTCATCATTAAAAATTCTCCAAATACAATAGAGTATAAAGGAAAATGATTCAAAATGCATGCACAAAAAAATAGCTAATGATATCATTGTGTGTATTTCCATGCAGATTTATGTATGTATGATTCAAGTGTGTTAAAACACACACATATATAAAAATATGTACCTTAACATATATTTTATTGAGTAGTATCTACTATTATACAAACATTAAGCATATATTACTTTGCAGTTCTTTAGCACCTCATTCATCTTAAAAACAGGTGTCTAATAAGAATTAGGATAAACAGATAAATAACATGTGTATATCTACACATACACATGCATGCATACATACATACTCATTGATGTATACATATTACACACACCCAGAAATTATACTCTCCTAAATTCTACTTCTGGAACAGATTCTATTTTATTGATTCAGAATCATTTCCTCACTGGAACATTGGCTTCTGTTACTCACTTCATCAGATTATCCTGCCATTAAATCTTTACATTTTGGTTCTGTAATTTTTGAACATAATAATTCCAGAGCTTCAAAATAATTACAATTCTAAGTTATTTTCCTAGATATAGGTAGCAAAAACATGAAAGAAAAAATTATCTCTTTAGAAGTTATACATTTAGGTTTTTTTCTTTACAAAACTAATGGGCACTTTGCAAAAATTCTGCAGATACAAAAATTCTGCAAATCCCACCCACTATCCTATCAACCTAAGACAATCACTGTTAGGCCTTTGTTTTTTCTTTCTAACTTACACACACGTGCAGATAAGCACGTGTGTGTTTCACTAGATGTAATTTCAGTGATCATGATATTTTATGTCCTGCTTTATTTTTTTAACTGCATGGACTTTTTTTCCATGTAGCTACATAGTCTTCATGTGTATCCTTTTCAAGAGCTACAGAAAGAGCCAGATCACTCTAGAGTGTTGCCCTCTCTGGCTGTTTTCCTGCTGAAAGCTCTGCTTTGAACTGGCTGCTCTTTCTTGAGCTGTTTCATGTCAAAATTCCTTAGAGGTTGGCCACAGAAGACAAGGAGATAAACCAAAAGTGAGCTGAGTTTGTGGCTCATTAGGAAATTCATTAATGGGATTGGCAAGTTTTAATTTGAAGCCAAAGTGAGATTTGGGGGCAGCCTATGGTTTTCCAAGGTCCGGAAATGACATTCTAAAGTTGGCTCAACACAAGGACCCACAGAGGCTGACTGCACTATCACTCTGGTGGACAGAGGACTGGCCAGGGCTGGACGGTGTGGGTCATCACTCAGGAAATGAAGCATCTTCTATGAGGAAGGGAGGATAACAAGGTGGGAAGAGCATTGCCCTGGTGCCAGGCCAAGAGGGCTCAAACTCCTGCTTTGCCACTTGTGAGATGTAGAATGTTAGGCACCTCTCCACGCCTTAGCTTTCTCATCTGTTATATTAGCACCATCAGAATGGCTAAAGTGAAAATAGAAGGGCCGGGCTTGGTGGTGCATGCCTATAATTCCAGCACTCTGGGAGTTTGAGGCAGGAGGATCTCTTGAGGCTAGGATTTGACACCAGCCTGGGCAACATAGTGAGACCTCGTCTCTACAAAAAAGTTCTAAAATATTTTTAAAAGTAGGAAGATAAAATTAAAACAGATAATACCAAATTTTCATGAGCATATGGAATAATCAGAACCCTCATATGTTACTGGTGGGAGTGTAAACTGGTACAACTGCTTAGGAAAACTATTTGGCAATATCTGCCCTAATACATGCATTCTCTATGACCTAGCAATCCCATCTTTGGGTATATACATAGCAGAAATGCAGCCATAGGGTCATAAGAATATAGAATGCTCACAGCAGAAGTATCTATAAGAGACCCAAACTAGAAACTACCCAAATGCCCACAGACAGTAGAATAGATCAATACATTGAATACTATAGAGGAAAGAGAATAATCTGTACAACATGCAACATGCAGGTGACTCTTTTGAACATGACTGAACAAAGGAAACCAGACTCGAAAGAGGATATATTTATATAAATATAAATGATACCATTTATATAAAGTTCAAAAATAGGCAAATTAATTTATGTCACTAGAATTCAAGGCTGGCATTATCCTTGGTGAATAGTGATTAAAAGGCAGCACAGGGTGGCTTATGAAACTCAGACAGTTCACACTTCTTGATCTGTGTGCTGGTTACACAGGCATGTTCAGTTTCAGTTTCATGGGAGATGCCAAGCTTCCTGCTTTCTCCTAGGAGACCACAGTTTAGCCAAAGCTGGTTGAAAGCTGCTTCTCTGGACTCTCATCCCTACTTCTCTCTCCTCCTCCTTTTCATTTGAATTTTACTTTCTCTCTCTTTATAATTCTACCTATAATTTAATTCACTATAGTTCTAAATTGTCCTTTTTCCTCCACAAAAGCATATACCTATCATACATAGTATATATCAGTGGAGTGTTCATTCTTCCCTGGTTAGAATTCAAGGATACTAAAAGCTCTTAGTGTCACTAAACAAAATTCACTATTGTTATGAAAGTTAAAGTCAGCAGTAGCCATAATTTAGCAGTTAACCTGTCATTAGTGTTTCTATTTTTCTTATTAAATCATATCTTTTGGGCCTCTGGTCACTTTGTAGCTCTTCTTTGAGTCCCTTTCATAAGCTCCCTTCTTATTTGGGCCAATAAATGAAGGCCAAGCCCAAACAAAGGCCACATTGTATGTTATTGGGCAAATTCCAGTTCCTCTGATGGATGACAGGCCTCAAATATACAAGGACCAGGTGGCCACATCACAGAAACTGGTCAGAGTAAACAGCAGGACTGTGTCTGCACCCATGTCCAGAGGCTTTCCCCAGCCTGAGATGCTCTTCAGAATGTCCTGGTCCAAAATTTGTTGATCCCTTCAGCTAAACTATCCATTCTTCATGGTGAAAGTTAAAAGCCAAAAATAAGAACAACATGGTTTGACAGAAAAAAACCTCATGACTCTACTTTCTCTTTCACATTTTACTATTTGACCTTGTGTGAGGCACATGCACAATGTTAATGTCTCAGACAGGTCATCCCTAGTAGGGAGATTATAACATCCTGCCTATAGGAAGGCAGGGGATGGGCCATCCATAGTCACTTGAAGGCCCTTCCAGCAAGAGACCTGGACTGAAAGCACTAAATGATTTAACCTGGGTTGGAGCAAGATGACCAAGTGTATGGGGGTGGGTAGGCAGATCTGGGCATGGACGCCTGCTCTGTCACTGCCAAGCTGGGTGACTTTGGATCAGTGACCTACCTCATGGAACCTTTGTTTCAATGGAAATAATTAACTGTTATTGGGGATAACAACTAATGTGAAGACTAAGTTAAACCAAGTTCCATAAAACACTAAACTAAGCCAGACCACAAAGACAGATGAGGACAGATTTAGGGACCTGGAGAATGACAACTTGGCTTCAGTGCAACAGAGATACACACGTATACATTTTAAAGTTAAATATAAGTCACAAGTCCTCAAGAGAGTAATTAGAGCCCTGGGAGGAATCTGCCAGGCTGAAGCAACCCAGAACTGCAAGCTCCACGTCGGGGAGTCTTTGTGTATTACGGTGCAAGCATATTTCTGCATGCTGTATTTGCATGCTCTGCCTTCTGATTCTTTCTGTGACAGTGTCTCCCTGAGTCTCACTGCAGCTCATGTGGCTGTGCAACTCAGCACAGGCCAAGGCGAATGTTCTCAGAGAGGCATCATTATTCCAGAACTGGAAGTCCACCCTACCATGTCTTGTTTGCTGCTTGGAGATACTGGGGCTCTCAAGTTGTGAGTGCACATCTGAGCCATGGAGTTGGCCTTCGTGGTCCCTTCTCCCATTCCTGTTTCCTCCAGCCCCATAAATCCCCCATCACTCCCCTGTGGAGGCTGCACTAGCCACAATGGTTCTGACTCCTCTGTTGAAGGGACTAGAGCCAAGGCTAGTGTTTCCAGATTCTCCACAAATATTAATCTTGAGGATTCAGAAAGAAATTAGAATTCCTGAGAATCCTGGGAAATCCCAAAGTCATAAATTTCTTAAACACTTCCAACACTCTGTATACTCTTCACTCATTATTGCAGATACCTAAAAATGTCTTTAACAAAAAGAAATACTGGTTTAGTAGTATTTATAAAGAACTTCAGCCTATAATGAATATCCAAACAGGAAAATGGGGATGAACGTTATTCAATAGAATTTGAATAACATAATATTTGACTCTCCTAGGAAGGTTAACAGTATTACACAGATGTAGGTGTTGAAATTGCCAAATTAAGGACTTATTTTGTTTCTGAAATTTTTTAATATTTCAAAACGTCATTCATAAGATTTGTATAAAGTATATCATGCCTATATTTGTAGATTTTTGCACAAATGACTCATGTTAGCAGCAAAGGAGGCTAGAAACACATACTTACAACATGGCAATAGTGGCCATTTCTCTCCCAAGTGCTCCTGTCCTGATTGCTAGAAATGTTGACCTTCACCTTCAACTCCATACATCAGCATTTCCTGTTCCTGCTTGTCCTTGACATCAGTGAATTCCTTTAAACCAGTAACATCTCTGCATTGACTGTAAAGCATATTGCTCACAGAAGAATTATAATACTTTTCCTTATTTTCATGATGTTTCTACTGATTTTTCTTGGGATTTAGGATTTGGGGAAGTATGCAAATTTCCAAAGTAATGATGAGAAGAAATTCCCATATGGAAACATGAGCCAAGGTCCTCAGTGGAATGCCAGACCTCTAGCTTTCCTGTTGCTTCCTGCAGAACAATGGCCCTGACTTCCTAATCCACTTCTCCTCGAAGCTATAGGGTTCCTGACCTTGTAATTGGTGATCTGTATTTTGATAACCCACCCAGTTCATGAATATACTTGACTCTTCAATTCTATTGTTCCCTGAGCACCAACTGTCATATTTACAGAACCCCTGCCTGCCTTGTGCTCCAGTGTTTCCATACCTTCAAAACTGACAGTCACCCTCCCCACCTGAACACACCCACACTTGAGACTTTCCAGTCCCACAGCCTTCACTCTATCTTTATCTGCCCCGTCCCTGAACCCTGTAGAAGCACATGTAAAGAATCTTAAACCAATAGTGCAGTCCGTGTTTACACCCAGGCACAAAAAGCATCACCTGAACTCAAGGTATGTGGTTTCCAGCGAGAAAGCTGAATGCCAGGGGCAGATCAGCCCCAGGACTCTTACATGAGTTAATTCCTGAGAAAGCAACTCCAGTGAAGACAGGGAAGCTGTCACTGACATGTAAGGCAACAGAATGAAACAAGCTGTCACCAGGTCGTGGGAGGAAGACATAGTATCAGCGAGAGGGAAACACAGTGTGGGACTAGAGGGGAGGTATTTTCCATCTGTTCTAGCCACTGCCCATCTGCCTTCAAATTATATCTGTCCACAGTCTAAGAGACAAAGCCTTCAAACACACCTGAACAACAGATTATTCTAACATTTCCTGTCACCCTCAATTCCTGTCAGGATGCCTCGCTGTATACTGATAACGTTTCTCATCTACAAAAACATTAACTTTTAGAAAGAATAAGTCAGTCACTGCTGCTGTCTGTTTCTTCCCCAGCTGGACTCCAAAGCCAGATTGTGCACATCTTAAAGCTTCTCATCAGATCCTGAAGCCCAGCATATTAAAGCATGCAAAACTAAAGAAGGAAGGTAACCCTTATTTGTTCCCTTTGGACCTTGTTCTTCTCCTTTCCTGAGCTGGTTGCTCTTGCCTGTTCTGCCATGATTCTGCTTGCATAGCATGCTGGTTTGGGCTCTCCTCCAGCTCCCAGCCTGGGTCCCAGACTCGTCTCTGCCACCTGGGGATGGCATTTGTTCATCTTGCTTTCTGAAGCCCATATCTCAAGTGTGATCTTGGGTCCTCACTAAAGAAAAAGGTCCTGAGAGTAGACATGAAAAACAAAGCCTATCACATCTGCTTCTTCTGCCCTCCTTAGCTCCAGGCTTGCAGACAAAGCTGATGTACTGAAATACCACAGCCTGTACTTTTAGGCACAGGAAGGAATCAGTACATGGGCACAGCATCAAGTTTTGTTGGTTGAACTGCATCCAAAATTCCCCAGAGAAGACAAAGGAACTAAGTACTGTCATACCACAACATTATCCAGTGCATGATAGGATAGTATAATCCAGGTGTTCTCAGACATTTATGCAGGCCTCACTCAAGCACACATTGCTGAATGCCACCTCCAGAGTTTCTGATTCAACAGGTCTAAAGCATGAGAATTTACATTTCTAACAAGTTCCCAGGCAGTGCTAATGTTGTTTTCTAGGAGCCTTCCTTTAAGAACCACTGAGGTAATAAAAGAAGCCTACTTTTGAGAACCAGACAGACCTAGTGGTGTAACTTTGAGCAAGTCGTTCAATCTTGAACCTCAGTTTCTTTATCTATAAAAAATATAAAAGATATAAAAGGAGAACAACAATAAATGAATGTAGTCTCTAGCACAATGCCTGGTACACAGTCGTTCTCAAAATAGTATATCTTATCCCTTTCCCTAATCTTAAAACAAGTTAAATAATATTTTGCAAAGTTTGATATTTTATTGCCTGAAACCTTGAATATATTTCTTGAAGGTCAAGTTTATGAGATGTCGTTTTAAAATTCATAAAAGTAAAGATGTATGGGAATTTTACTTAACAGTTTTTGCTACAGAATGAGATTTGGAATTGAGTGGCTTCTTCTCAGAGTTTCTCCTCAAAGTTTTAGACAGTGAAATGCAGAACACAACCATATGATGAGGGATTTTCCAGTGACAAGGACGTATGAAAGCATAAACCTACAGGGCAACTTTTGAAATGTGATTTAGCAAAGAAATATTTTGAGTGATTTTGTGATTCTAACAGATGTTGGCAAACATTTTCTGTACAATTTCAGATAGTAAATATTTTGGCTTTTTGGGCCAGTCTCTATCATAACTACTCAACTCTGCTTTTGTAGCACTGAAGCAGCCATAGATAAAACATAAACAAGTGGAGTGGCTGTGTTCCAATAAAAGTTTATTTACAAAAACAGGTGGTAGTCCAGATTTGGCCCATGAGTATGTATCTTGTCAAACCCTGCACGAAAGGTTCTTAATGCTTAGCTACCAACTTTGCAATGATGGGTGAATAAATAAGAAATCAGAAAGATCATAATGCATGAGACTTTTGCCCATTTTCCTGCATCTAAATTCATCTAGATTGTCAGAGGACCCCTTATTCTAGAGCAGTCCTAGAAATGCTATGTATTCTGTCCTCATTTAAATTCTGGCCTACTCATTATTAGAATTAACAATACTCAATGCAAATTATGATTACTTTAAAATATCTAATTCAGACGGTGTGCCAATGCTCCAAGGAAAGTTTAAGCACATCTCTGAGAAGTGAGGCTCCTGGCCTCTGACACTAGGCACTACCAATGTGTAAGACATATACCCTAAAGGTAGAAAGCAGCCTCAATGCTATTAGGCTACAAGAGTGCAGGTAAGACTCAATGAACTCTCAAAATTCTTGACGATGGATCTCTCTGACCACTTCTGGCCCAGCACAGACCAGGTCAATGAACATTGAAAGGGAGAGATAAGACTCATCTTGTGTTGGGAGGCCAAGGCGGGTAGATCACGATGTCAGGAGATCGAGACCATCCTGGCTAACATGGTGAAACCCCAACTCTACTAAACAAAAACCAAAAAAAACCCCCAAAAAACCGAAAAATTTAGCTGGGCATGGTGGCGGACACCTGTAGTCCCAGCTACTTGGGAGGCTGAGGCAGGAGAATGGCGTGAACCTGGGAGGAGGAGCTTGCAGTGAGCTGAGATTGCACCACTGCACTCCAGCCTGGGCAACAGAGTGAGACTCCGTTCCAAAAAAAAAAGACTCATTTTGTGGGTGCAGGACTGACTGATAGAGTGAGCAGTTTCCACTTTGGAGGCATCTTCCAAACTCCTGTTCTTTTCTATGATGTCGCTTTAAACATTAGTGCAAGCCTCCTTATACAGGATCCTACTGCTCTTTCCATCACCAGGTAAGACAAGAGTTTTGGAATGGTTCTTCCAGGGCTAGAAACCACAGTCCTATCTTGTGATACACTCTTCTGGAATGCCTGGCTTTCAGTGGAGGGCTAATGAGGACCAGCATGGGGCCATAAACAGAATAAAGGCTATGGAACACAACCTAGTAAATATTAGAGGACTATGCAACTCAGGGACATAAGTTACAACTAATTCTATGTGGCAGCAGTAACCTGATACCAAAACCAGATAAAGATATCACAAGAAAAGTACAGACCAATATTCCTTACGAATATAGATGCAAAAATCCTCAACAGAATATTAGAAAATCAAATACAGCAACATATAAAAATGATCAAATACCATAACCAATTAGGATTTATTCAAGGAATGCAAAATTGGTATAACATCTAAAAGTCTATCTGAATTGTACGCTATATTAATGGACTAAAGAAGAAAAACCATATGGTCATGTCAATAGATGCAGAAAAAATATTTGACAAAATCCAACACCCTTTCAAAATAAAAGCACAAACTAAGACCACAAAGGAACTTTCTCAACCTGATAGAAGGCATATATGAAAAATCACAGTTAAAATCATAGTTCATGAATAAAGACTGAATGCTTTCCCCCCTGCCAAGATAAAAAACAATACAAGGATCTCTCATCACTTCTATTCAGTATTGTACTGGAGATCCTGGACAGGTAAGAAGAAGGAAAAAAAGGAATTAAGAGAAGAAAAGAAGTAAAATTATCTCTATGCAAAGATGACATGATCTAGTATACTGAAAATCTTAAGGAGTCCATAAAAAATTGTCAGAACTAATAAATAAATTCAGGAAGGTTTAAGTAAAAGATCAATATAAAAAACAATTGTCTTTATATATACTAACAATGAACAAGCCAAAATGGTAACTTTAAAAATTCTATTTACAATATTATTGAAAGAAAAAAAATACCTGAGTATAAATTTAACAAAAAATTACAAGATTTGTACATGGAAAACTACAAACATCATTGAAATAAATTAAAGATGCAAATAAATGGAAAGATATCCCATGTTTGTGGATTAAATCACTTATTATTCAATAATAAAATGTCAGTACTCTCCAAACTGATCTACAGATTCGATACAATCCCCATCAAAATTCCAGCTGTTTTTGTTCTTTTGTTATCGATTTTTGCATAAATGTATAAACTTATCCTAAAATTCATATGGAAATACAAAGGCAAGAATGGCCAAAATCATCTTAAAAAATAAAAACTAAGCTAGAGGACTCCACATCACAATTTCAAAACTTACTACAAAGTTAGAATAACCAAAACATTCTTGTACTGCCTTAGGATAAACATAGCTCAATGTAATGGAATGAAATCCAGAAATAAGCCATTAAATTTATAGTGAATTGGTTATAGACAAGGATACCAAGACAATTAAATGAGGAACAGTAGTCTTTTCAATAAATGGTACTGAGACAACTGGACATCCACATGCAAAAGAATGAAGTTGGAATCCTATTTTACTTCATATACAAAAATTAAATCAAAATGGACCAAAGACCTCAATTTAAGAGATAAATTTATAAAATTCCTAGAGGAAAATATAGATGTAAATCTTTACAACCTTGGATAGGCAATGGTTTCTTAGAAATAAGCATAAGCAACCAGACAAAAATAGATAAATTAAAATTAAATATTTTTGTGCTTCAAAGGATATTATTAATAAAGTAAAAACACAATCCAGAGAATGGGAGAAAATACTCACAAATCATATATATAGTAAGTGAACTGTATTCATAATACATAAAGAATGCTTACAACTTAGTAATAAAAAGACAAGTAACCCAAATAAAAATGAGTAGAGGATCTGAACAGACATTTCTCTAAAAAAGATACACAAATGGCCAATAAGCCTGTGGGAAGACGCTCAACATCATTAACCATCAAGAAAATATAAATCAAAACCACAATGATATACCCACCAGGATGGCTGTGCTCAAAAAGACAGGAAATAATGAGTATTGATGAGTATGTGAATAAACTGGAACCCTCATACATTGCTGGTGGGAATATAAAATGATACAGCCTTTTTAGAAAAGTTTGGCGATTTCTCAAAAGGTTAAACAGAAGTACCATATGAACTAGCAATTCCACTCTTCAGTATATACCCAAGAGAGGTGAAACATATTTCTGCACAAAAGCTTGTTAATGAATATTCATAATAGCATTATTTATAATAGACAAAGTGGAAACAACTCAGGTCATCAACTAATGAATGGGTAAACAAAAAAATGAAAATATTATTCATCCATAAAAGTGGATGAAATACTGATACACGCTTAACATGGATGAACCTCGAAAACATGCCAAGTTGAAAAAGCCCTACACAAAAGGCAACACATTGCATGATTCCACCTGGACACATAAAGTGTCCAGAATAGTCAAATCCATAGGGCAAAAAAAAGTATATTAATGATTGCTAGAGGTTGAGAGAATGGGGCTTCTTTTTGGAGCGATGAAACTTTTCTAAAATTAGACAGAGATAATATTTGAACAACCTTGTGAATATACTAAAAACCACTGAATTTTACACTTTAAAAGGGTGACTTTTGTGCTATGTAAATTATAGTTCAATTAAAAATATATTTTGGAATATTTGTACGGGCCTATTTCTGCATTCTATTATGTTCCATTGATTTATGTATCCATCACTCTGCCAATACCACAGTTGTGATTACTGTAGCTATACAATGTCTTGAAATATACTAGACCTATTGGTCGCACTTTATTCTTTTTCAAAATTGTTTTAGCTATCTAATTCCTTTATTTCTCGCTATAAATTTTAGAATAATCTTGTTGATATCTAAGATTTCTTGCTAGGATTTTGATAGGAATTGCATTATATTTACATATCAATTTGGGTAGAATTGAGATCTTTAATATGTTGAGTCTTCCAATCTATGAACACTGTATGTCTCTCCATTTATTTAGATCTTTAGTTTATTTCAGCATATAAGTCTGGTATCTGTTTTGCTAGATTGACATCTAAATATTTCATTTGTTTTTGAGTGACTCTAAACAATATCATATTTTAATTTGATACAATCTATCACAGTATCCATGTGTCCATATGTTTTAATTTGATACAATTTATCACAGTATCCATATGTGTCCATGTTTGTTTCTAGTGTACACACACACACAGACCACAAACACACACACAATGAATTTTTGTAGGTTTATCTTGGATCTAAAACTAAATTTGCTTTTAGTTCTGGGAGTTTTCTGGTGATTCCTTGGGATTTTCCATGTAGACTATCATGACTTCTGCAAATAAGAGTAGTATGCATCACACTTTCCAAACTATATGCATTTTATTTCCTTTTCTCATCTATTGCATAATCTAGAACTTCTAGTACCAAGCTGATTAAGAGTGGAGAGAGTAGACATCCTTGACATGTTCCTGATTTTAAGGGGGAAGCATTCAGTCCTCCACCAATAAGTACAGTGGTAGCTGTAGGTTTTTTGTACATGCTTTTTGTCAAGTTGAGGAAGTTACCTCTATTCCTATTTTTTTTTTTGATAATTTTTTTCAGGAATGTGTGTTGAATTTTGTCAAATGCTTTTTCTGCATTGGTTGATATGATCACATAATTTTTCTTAATTACTCTTTCAATAATATGAATTACATTGATTGTTTTTTTAAAACTGAACCAGCTTTGCATCTCTGAAATAAACCTCACTTGCTCATAGTGTATAACTCTTTTTATATATTGCTACATTTTGTTAATATTTTGTACAAGATTTTTGCATCTATATGCAGGAGGTATATTGATTTGTAATTTTCTCCCTTTATCTTTTTTTTTTGTACTGTCTTTGTTTCTTTGGCATCAGGGTAATACTAGTTTTATGGAATAAATTGAGAAGTAGTCCCTCCTATATTTTCTGCAAGATTATGTAAATTGGTTTTAATTCTTCTTTACCCATTTGTTAGAATTTTCCAGTGAAGCCACTGGATCTGGAGATTTATTTTTGGGGACAGGGGCTAATTTTTCAATTTCTTTAATAGTTATAAGGCTACTGAAATAATCTATTTTATATTGAGTGAGTTATAGTAACTTATACTTTCAAAAAACTGAAATTCTCTAAGTTCATCTAAGTTGTCAAATTTATATGTGTATATAGCTCTTATTATTTTTAGGTATGTGTCTTCAATGCCTAGTTTGTTGAGGGTGTTTCTCATAAAGAGATGCTGGATTTCAAATGCTTTCTCTACGTCTATTGAGATGATCATATGGTTTTTGTTTTTAATTCTGTTTATGTGGTGAATCACATTTATTGATTTATGTATGTTGAATCAACCGTGCATTCCACAAATAAAGCCTACCTGATTGTGGTAAATTAAATATTTCATGTGCTTCTGGTTTAATAGTATTCTGTTGAGGATTTTCACATCTATGTGCATCAGGGAGACTGGCCTGTAGTTTTCTTTTTTTGCTGTGTCTTTGCCAGGTTTTGGTATCAGGGTGATGCTGACTTTGCAGAATGAGTTAGGGAGAAGTTCCTTCTCCTTGGTTTTTTGGAATAGTTTCAGTATGGTACCAGCTCTTCTCTGTATGTCTGGCAGAATTCGGCTGTGAATCCATCTGGTGCAGGGATTTTTTTGGTTGGTAGGTTTTTTATGATTGATTCAATTTTGGAACTTGATATTGCTCTGATCAGAGTTTCAATTTCTTCCCTGATTCCATTTTGGGAGGTTGTACATTTCCAGGAATTTGTCCAACATCAACTGAAGAGAAAAAAGCTGGACGCATTCCCCTTAAAAATAGGAACAAGCAAGGATGCCCATTCTCTCATCAGTCCTATTCAACATGGTACTAGAAGCCCTAGCCAGAGCAATCAGGCAAGAGAAGCAAATAAAAGGTATCCACATAGGAAAAGAAAAAGTCAAATTGTATTTCTTCACTGACAATGATTCTATACCTAAAAAAATCCTAAAATATCCGCCAAAAGGATCCTAGACCTGATAAATAAGTTCAGGAAAGTTTCAGGATACAAAATCAACGCACAAAAATCAGTAACATTTCTGTGCACCAATAATGTTAAAGCTGGGATCCAAATCAAGAAAGCAATCCCATTTACAATAGACACACACAAACACACACCTAGGAATATTTCCAACCAAGGAGGTGAAAGATCTCTCAAGGAGAACTACACAACCCTGCTGAAAGAATTTACAGATGACATAAACAAATCAAAAAACATTCCATGTTCATAGATTGGAAGAATTAACATTGTTAAAATGGCCATACTGTTCAAAGCAACCTACAGACTCAACACTACTCCTATCAAACTACCAATATTAGCTTTAACAGAATTAGAAAAAAGTATTCTAAAATTATTATGGAACCAAAAAGAGCCCAAATAGCCAAAGCATTCCTAAGCAAAAAGAACAAAGACATCACATTACCCAATTTCGAACTATACAATTAAGCTACAATAACCAAAACAGCACAGTAGTGGTACAAAAATAGACACATAAAACCAACAGAACAGAATAGAAAATCCAGACATAGAGCCTCACACCTACAACCATCTGATCTCTGATAAAGTTGACAAAAAGAAGCAATGAGGACAGGACTCCCTATTTAATACATGTTGCTGGAATAGCTGCCTAGCCATAAGCAGAAGAATGAAACTGGACCCCTACTTTTAACCATATATAAAAATTAACTCGAGATGGATTAAATATTTAAATGTAAGACCTAAACTATAAAAGTCCTAGAAGAAAACCTGGGAAACACCATTCTAGACATCGACCTTGGCAAGGAATTTATGACTAAGTCCTCAAAAGCAATTGTAACAAAAACAAAAATTGACAAGTAGAACCTAATTAAACTAAAGAGTTTTTGTACAACAAAAGAAACCATCAACAGAGTAAACAAATGACCCACAGAATGGGAGAAAATATTTGTAAACTATGCACCTGACAAAGGTCTAATATCCAGAATCTATAAGGAACTTAAACAATTCAACAAGCAAAAAACAAATAACCCCATCAAAAGCTGGGCAAAGGACATGAATAGACACTTTTCAAAAGACGACATACAAGCAACCAACAAGCATATAAAAAAATCCTCAATGTCACTCACCATCAGAGAAATACAAATCAAAACCACTATGAGATACCATCTCACATCAGTCAGCATGGCTATTTTATTAAAAAGACAAAAAATAACAGGTGTTGGTGAGGTTGTGGAATAAAGATAACACTTACACACTGTTGGTGAGAATGTAAATTAGTTCAGTCACTGTGGAAAGTAGTTTGGAGGTTTCTCAAAGAATTGAAAACAGAACTGCCATTCAACCCAGCCATCCCACTACTGGGTATATACCCTAAGGAAAATGAATTGTTCTGCAAAAAAGACATATGCACTCATATGTTCATTGCAGCACTATTCACAATAGCAAGGACATGGAATCAACTTAGGCACCCATCAATGGTGGATTGAATCAAGAAAATGTGGTACATATACATCATTGAATACTACACAGCCATTAAAAAGAATGATATTATGTCTTTTGCAGCAACATGGATACAGCTAGAGGGCATCATCCTAAGTGAATTAACACAGGAACAGGAAACCAAATACCACATGTTCTCACTTATAAGTGGGAGCTAAGCACTGGGTATACATGGACATAAAGATGGGAACAATAGACACTGGGGAGTACTGGAGAAAAGGAGGAGGGAACAATGGCTGAAAAATTCCCTATTGAGTACTATGCTCACTACCTGGGTGATGGGATCATTTCTACCCCAAACTCAGCATCACACAATATACCCCCATAACAAATCTGCACATGTACCCTCTGAATCTAAAATAAAAGTTGAAATAATGAAAAAAGAAATATTCATCATATTCGCTTTATTATTCTTTTGATGTAGACAAAGTCTATATTGATATTGTCTGTGTCCTCGGTGATACTGACAATTTGTGTTTTCTCCTTTTTTTCCCTTGTGAGTCTTGCTGAAGATTTATTTTTTAAATCATTTTGAGGAACCAGACTTTGTTTCATTTATTTTTATTGTTTTTCTGTTTACAACCTAAATGATCTCAGTTCTGATCCTTATTATTTCCTTCCTTCTGCTTGCTTTGGGTTTATTTTGCTCTTTTTCTGAGTTCTTATGATGGGAACTTAGATTATTGGTCTGAGACTATTCCTCTTTTCCAGTATGCATTTAGTACTATAAATTTTCTTCTATGTACTACTTTAGCAGTTTCCCATAAATTTTGAAATATTGTATTTTCATTTTAATTCAGTTCAATGAATTTTTATTTCCTTTCAGACTTCCTCCTTGACCTATGGATTATTTAGAAGTGTGCTATTTAGTTTCAGTGTGTTTGTAGATTTTTCCTGTTTATTTTTCTGTAGATTTCTAGTTTGATTATATTGTAGAGAACACGCTCTATTATTTCACAAGTTTTAAATTTGTTAAGGTTTGTTTTATAGCCCAGAATATGGTCTCAATATATATTCTGTTGCCATTTGAGTTCTGCTGTTGTTGGGGGAAGTGTTCTATAAATGTCCATTAAATCTCGTTGCTTGACTGTGGTGTTGATTTTTTCTACATCCTTGTTGATTATCTCCCTGTTTGTTCTATCGGTTGTTGGGAGAGGTTGTTGAAGTCTCCATCTCTAACTGTTGGCTTGTCTATTTTCAGTGTTAGTTCTACCAATTTAAATTTTACATATTTTCAAGCTCTGTTGTTTGCTGCATAAACATTTAGAATCACTATGCCTTCTTCGTTGATCGACCTGTTTATCATTATGCAATGCCCCTCTCTGATTATGGTGATTTTCTTTGCTCTGAAATCTAGCTTATCAGATATTCATATAGCTAATCCTGATTTTTAAAATTAATTTTTATATCATATATATAGTTCTATACTTTTACTTTCAACCTATCTATATCGTTATATTTGAGGTGAATTTCTTGTAAATAGCATATGACTAGGATATGTTTTTTAAATCCACTTTGCTAATTTGTATCTTCAACTGGTATATTTAGGCCATTTACATTTAATGTCATTGATGTGTTAGGGCTTAAATATGAAATTTTTTACTATTTTTTATTTCTGTGTTTACTTCCTGTAGATTACTTGTCCTACCTTCCTGTAGATTACTTGAACATTTTTTAGAATTTCCTTGTGATTTATGTAGAGTGTTTTAGAATATATCTCTTTGTATAGCTTTTTCTAGTGGTTGGTAGGTATGACATTTTATAGCCATAACATACATCATGCTCTACTGGTATAATGATTTTACCAGTTCAAGTGAAGTATAGTAAACTTACCTTCCTTTATGTTCCTTTACCCCATTCACAATATAATTGTCTTATTTATTCTACATGCATTTAAAACATCAAACAGTATTATAATTTTTGCTTCAACTGTGAAACATAATTTTAAAAATATATTTAGAAAAGGATAAAGAAAGCCTATTGTATTTATCAATATTTTTGCTTGCCATGTTCTTTCTTCCTTCTTGATGTTCTAGGATTTCTTCTGTTATCACTTCCTTAGCAAAGGTCTCCTGGTAACAGATTCTTAGTTTTCCTTCATATGAGAATGCCTTGATTTCTCCTTCATTCCTAAAGAATATTTTCACAAAATATAGGATTCTGAGTTGACAGTTTTTCCCTTTTAGCACCTAAAAAATACATGCTATTTTTTGTTCTCGCCTGTATGATTTCTGTTGAGAAAGCTATCATTCTTATTGTTTTCCCTGTGCAGGTATGGTATCATTTTTCTCTGTTTTCAAGAGTATAGTTAGGATGTGTCTTGGTGTGGATTTCTTTGGGTTTATCCTGTTTGGTATTCACTCAGGTTTTTGTTTGTTTGTTTGTGTCTATTGTCAAATTTGGGGAGTTTTCAGCCATTATTTCTTCAAGTACTTTTTTCAACTCTCTTTCTCCTTTCCTTCTGTAACTCTAATAATATAAATTTAGATCCTGTATTATAGTCCCATAGCTTCCTGAGGCTCTATTCACTTTCAGTCCACTCTACTTTCTCTCTGTTGTTCACACTAGGTAATTTCTATTGTTCTACCTGCCAGCTCACTGATTTTTTTCTTCTGTTCTGCTATTGAGCTTCAGTTATTGCATTTTTCACATCTAAAATTTCTACTTGGTTCTTCTTTATATCCTTTATTTCCTCGCGGAGACTTTGTACTTCCTCGTTAAGGGTTTATTATTATTATTTGTTTCTAGTATGTTTGAAATTGCTCATTGAAATATATTTTTTAATCATGGCTGCTTTAAAATCTTTGCCTGATAATTCCATCACCTCTGCCCTCTCAGTCTTGGCATATATTGATTGTCTTTTTCATTCAGTTTGAGATGTTCCAGGTTCTTGGTATGATGAGCAAATTTGTATTGACACTTGTATACTATTGTATTATGTTCTGAAACTCTGAATCTTATTTAAACCTCTGTTTTAGCGGCTCTCTCTGACAACACTCTGGATTTACTGCTGCCAAAGAGAGTCAGAAGTCCAGGGTCCTCATTTGACCTCTGTTGATACCTGAGGAGGGAGCTCCTTGTTGCTGCTGGGTGGAAATTCCAGCTCCCCACAAGATCTCTGCTTACTCTACAGTGGAGGTGGCCTCATTGTTACTGGGCAGTGGTGAATATTTTTACTCTCCACTAGGCCTCCTCTGACACCACACTGGCTGGGAGGGAGCTTCCTTGTTTCTTCCAGGTGCTTGTTGGTCTGGCTGTCCAAGTGGCCCCACTTACACCACAAGAGAGGTGAAGGGCTCATTACTGGCCATTAAGGATAAAAGTCTCAGCTTCCTGCTTAGCTTTTTCTAGGTAGGGGTGGAGGCCACAGATTTTTTTCTGTGTCGTTTGGATGGAGTAGAGCAGTTATCATGTAAAAATTGTCTGTCTTGTTTGGCTGCCCTTTTCCTAGTCCTTTGGCTTTTGCTGGTTTTGGAGATGGGAACATTTTCATCTCTGACAATTGGTATTTCTGTGACAACTGGTATTGCCAACTTTTTCACCTTCAAGACTCAAATATATGAGGCAAACAAAACAAAACAAAACAAAACAAAAACCTAAGAGAACTCAACACCATGCCACTCCTCAGTACCCAGGGAACACAGCCAGTCTGCCTTCTTCTGTCCACTGTTCATAGTCCTCTTATTATGTTTGTCTTAGATATGGTGAGCCCCCAGGGTTTTTAGTTATACTTAATGAGAAGAATGGAAAAAAGTACATCTAATCCATCTTCCCAGAAGGGGAAGTCAGACAGCCGTCAACACTTTTTTTTTTTTTTTTTTTTTTGAGACGGAGTCTTGCTCTGTAGCCCAGGCTGGAGTGCAGTGGCACAATCTTGGCTTACTGCAACCTCTGCCTCCCAGGTTCAAGCAATTCTCCTGTCTCAGCCTCCTGAGTAGGCTGGGACTACAGGCATGTGCCACCACACCCGGCTAATTTTTGTATTTTTAGTAGAGACGGGGTTTCACCATGTTGGCCAGGCTGGTCTTGAGCTCCTGACCTCAAGTGATCCACCCACCTCAGCCACCCAAAGTGCTGAGATTACAGGCGTGAGCCACTGCACCCAGCCAGCTGTCAACATCTTTACAATGTACCTGGAGTTGGGGTATAACTTCCCACCTGAATATGTGCAAATTTTGTAACACAGGCTGCAAATTCATCTCTCAGTTTTCAAGATTCAACCCCCTCCCTCAAAAAACAAATGGTTTAAATGATGATTGTTTGTACTTAGGCAACACAGTGAGTTTAAATATTCCCTTGAAAACAGTTAGGGGAGTGGAGTAGAGTTCCTGTCACTTAACTGTCTACTACGTACACTGGAAGACAAAAACTTAGCAAAAGGCCTACTGTCACAATTGTGGAAACAGGAAGAGTTCACCAGTGCTCACTTGCTGGTTGATTTTTGCAACATGCTTAATTCCTGGGGACTAAGAATCTACATTTAGAAAATGAGCAGGTTATTTTTACCTAAATTCAAGACTGATTTCTAAATTCCACTTTAGCCCCAAAATTCCATCATTTATTCTTGAATATTCTCTCTACTTCATAGAGGAAACTAAGGTCTGATAACGTTAATTTTAGTGAGAGGCTTCCCACAGGTAAAGGGGAGGCATAAAATTCAAGTAGAGTTTTACTGCCAGAGGGATCCTTTGTCATTCCCAAAAATGGCAACAGTGGACCAGAATCATCTCTATGTCCAGTGATCTTTTGAGCACATCAACAATACTGAAGCCTCTAATGACACAGTAGAGCAGAATGCCTTAAAAGTGAAGAGGCTGGTATAGGAGGACTGGCCCTTGTGACTCACGAAGAACCAGCCCAGGAGGGAGACTCTCCCTCACTATGGTGCTAGGATGAGCACTGCTTTGGAACCACCTTTAAGACAGAAATGTTTCTCCAGGAGAAAACAAACATTCTCAGTAGCTGCAAAGCTTCCACTTCATACTGAAAAAGCTTCCCCTGTGTATTTAAGCTATCAAAGCAGAAACTATTGTTTTCTCAGAAATTCACTCTTCATTTGCCCACTGATCCATTCTCTATATAGAAATGCTTTGTTTCTTTAATCAGAAAAAAAGCAGAAGCCACTGTATAGTTCCTGCAGAAGGTATGCAGGGAAACAGAAAATGTATGAAAAAACCTCCCTAAATAAAAGACATCTGAGACTCTAATTCAAATGAAAAACAAAATGTCTCAGCAGCTAAGAATCTTCTCTAACCACAAGTCAGTACGTGAGTGAATATACAAAATAAAGAGAAACATCTAAGGTCTAAACAATTAAACATCAGTTGTAAAACAAACACTAGCATTTCTTTCTGCTTGTAGAGAATAATCTAATAATAATAGGACAATATACCTTACCTTAGGAAAAGCCAAACCATAAAAAACATTTGAGTTTACTAAACAGATATAAAAATTTAAAGGTATCTATAATTATGGAATTCATGGACTAGATCAACCAGTCACAATTAAGCCAGTAAGAGTTCTTATCTCAGGTTCTTATGAGCATTTACTGTGTTCTAGAGGTTGCCCAAAGAGCTTTCATTTTATTTTTTATTTTTTTTTCATAGTCAAAGGAACATTTATTAATATAGGGCTTTCATTTTAAATGAGGATGAAGACATTTAATCCTCATAACTCTCCAGTCAGATGCCCCATCATCTTCCTTGTATGGTGAGAAAGGTGAAGGCACAAAAAGATGAAGGTACATGCCCAAGGTCACAAGTCAGGTAAGGATACTCTAGCTACAAAACAAACTAGCATCAATGAACCCCTTAGCTCTTACATTTTCAGTAAGATAGATAGTGTGATCAAGGATCTGGCATTCAATACCAGCTCTGTGCCTCTGCTTTGAGGTTCATGTAAAATGAATAAATAGTGTACCAAGGAAGGAGGATTAAAAATACAGTCATCAATGAATTTCTCTCTCTCTCTCTCTCTCTCACACACACACACACACACACACACACACACACACCACACATACCCGCACACATGGCAGAGAATGTGGGCCATTACAGGCCTACTTCAGGATCACACGAATCTGTTTATATTGTTACAGCAACATAAGCGCTTAGATGTGATTCCAGACCCACACAATTGGATAAAACTGGTACCAGAGGGGCCAACCCAGGAGGTGACAAAAAAGAAGGCAGGAAGGGAAGTGGGAGTGGCAGATGGACAGGGCAAGGCAAGGCTGCATGGCAAAAGCCCAGGCCTGGAGAAATGCAGATTGCTGGCACCTACCACCTCCTCTCAGCACTTAGAGATACTGCACAAGAAGGGAGACAAGCCAAAGCCATTGGCCTGTGGCTAGGACCTTGCAGTCTGACCTAGGACCTTGCCTGAGCCTTGGGCTTTAGAGCAGGAGAGGGAAATCTAGCAGGGGCACCCAGGTAGTCTCCAGCCTGATAAATAAGGCAGCAGGTAGGGCGTAGCTGGAATTCTGAAAACAATCAAAACCAGGTCCCTCAAACCAGGACTCAGACCAGCCTGGGAAGTGGTGAAGCCCCTACTCCAGGTACATTTCTCGCACGTGAAGAAAACCAAAATATTTCACCTAAAAATACATGTCTTTGATACATTTAGAGATTGCTTTTCAGAAGGGCTGGAAATATAGGCATAGCTAAAAAGCTGTCTTTTGTGGGAGAGATTTGCATCTGTAGAGAGAATCTGCATTGATGTAGCCATGCTTTCTCTGAGGCCCTCCCTTGTCCAAGTCTAAGAAAGATTAACTGAGAGTCTGACACTTTAAAAGTCTGAAAGAAACATTTACCATCTAGTCTCCCTGAGGGCTGCTACAGCTGTAGTTAGTCTGCATAACAAGACTACCTTTGCTACCACCCTCCTCTTCTCTCCCTCCTATAACCTATCTTGACACCACAACCTCACTTACCACCATAACCTGTTTTTTGGTCATGCTCTGAGTCCCCATTCTTTCTGTAATCCCAAGATGATATAAAAGCATCAACCATCTTATCTTTCCTTGAGATCTTCATAAGACTTTCATGCACATTAATAAATTTGTATGCCATTTCCCCTATTAATCTGTCCTTTGTTAGCTGATTTTCAGCAAACCTTCAGAGGGCGAAGGGGAAGTTTTCCCTGAGCCCCTACACATAGAATGAAGCAATGGCACAGCTCAGGCCTCATTAGGCAGGATGGGGAATGAGGCCCAGGTGGTTGCGGGATACTCACCCTTCAAGATATAAAAGACAAGTTAGGCACTGCAAAATGGATGACTAGGGGTAACTCTCACAGCTTCAGGGGTTGACCACACATGAGCATTCAGGGAAGAGGGTCCTCTGGCAGAGGCTAAGGCATTGATTTATAACAGTCTGCCATTGCTAACTTTAAATAATCAGAGTTAGAAAATATGATTAAATATAGAGTTTATTTGAGCACAAATTTGATGCTGGCCTCCTTGGGAATATAGATTTTTAAAGAATGGAAGTCAGGGCCGGGCGCGGTGGCTCATGCCTGTAATCCCAGCACTCTGGGAGGCCGAGGCGGGTGGATCACGAGGTCAGGAGATCGAGACCACGGTGAAACCCCGTCTCTACTAAAAATACAAAAAATTAGCTGGGCGTGGTGGCGGGCGCCTGTAGTCCCAGCTACTCCGGAGGCTGAGGCAGGAGAATGGCGTGAACCTGGGAAGCTGAGCTTGCAGTGAGTCGAGATCGCGCCACTGCACTCCAGCCTGGGCGACAGAGCAGCGAGACTCCGTCTCCAAAAAAAAAAAAAGAATGGAAGTCAGTAATCCAAAGTGGAGAAGTTTTGGAGGTTATTTATATAGATAAAGTTTGGAAAGTTTAATAGAATCTTAATACTTTTTAATATAAGGCTTAACATTAAGTTATAATGATCTGATTGGTCAAGAAGATCTTTTCATGAGAAAGGTATATTTAGCATTTTATGCTACAGATGTAACAGACTTGGGGTCTTGGGCATCATCTGGTCTGAGTTAGGCATATGACAATAAAGAAGGCAGCTAATCTATAATAAAGGTCAGTGATTTGAAGGGAAGGAGGTCTAGTCTCTGATCTCTCTTAGTCATTTACAGAATGAGAACAATGAGAGAGTTAATTCATAATCTAAGAAGCAGAAGTTGCAACTACATGTTATGTGACTCAGATCACAGTCACATCTCTCTCAAGGCTTAAAGTGTTTTGGAAGTTTCAACAGCTTTTTTTTTTTTAATTTTCCTATTTTTTTATTTTTTTTAAATTTTCTTTCAAAGAAAGCATCCTAGATAAACCCAGTAGTTTTGACTCTTTTTATGTTTGTGTTTAGTTTCACTTTGCTATGAAGGCTCATTTCCAGAATGTCATGTTCCTGGCAATGAATAATTGGATAAGTTATAAAGTTGATGGAGTACAGGCTGAATTTAAAGTAACGTGAAGGAAGTGACTTGTTACATAAGTCAGACTAAGTGGCTGTATCTTTAATTAATGTAATCTTTTTGACTAACCATTATGTTATTCTTTTTAGTCATATGTATGTTGACTCTATTGTAAATGAATGTTGTATAAGTGAAGACAAAAACAGGATAAAATATAGTATATGATTATAATTTTTGAATAAGTAATAACTTTTGTCACCAAGTTTCCCAAGACTTAAACCAGTTACTTAGTCAATTGCTCAGGGAGAGTTTTGGCTTTAAATGGTTAGTTATTTGGGTTTTTATATCAGCCATTAATTTAGTGATGTTATTTGATTTGGGGTATTGAAATTTATGATAGTGCATGTTTTCCCTTGGGCTGTTGTATGTCTAAAGTCATATGGTTCTGTAATATAGCCTTTTTTATAGGAGTTACTTTATTGTTTAATAATAAGATATCTATGTGGCTATCATTTATGGCCGGTTTTATATTTGGTTAGGGCCTCTATATGTTAAATGACATTTTTAATATCTAGTTGTGGCATAAAGATGAAAGCTAAATGATTTAATCAGCTGAGTTTAGAATAAACCCAATAAGATTACAAATGAGGAAGGTTTGTGGGGTTTGAAATGGTATGCTTTGGTATGCTTATGTCCAAATATAACCCAAAGAACATGGTAACTATGGCCATAGATTGGTATCACACAGCCAAGGTGTTCTTTTTGGAGCTAGCCAATAAATGCTTGTTCATTGTGTCTATTTAGTGGCATGTCAATCAGTACTTTGTAATATAATGGCATGAATATACTGTTTGGGGGGTATCTATTTTATTTTCTTAGTGTTAGTTGGCCAGGTATCTTTGGTGTGATTTTTTTTTTTTTGTTCTCAATATAAAAGGATAAGCTGACTAAGCTGACCAGAGGAGCAAGCAAATCAGATAAAATTGTCCATAATTTGTGTTGTATCATCTTGAATTGAGCTGTCTTATCTTTTAGTTGAGACAGTGTTACTGTCTTACCTCTTAGTTGGAGCAGTGCCACTGTTAAAGCTAATGAACTGGGGTTTTTATTGAAAAATTTTTAATGTCTTATTTTGTAAGGTTTCATTAATAGATGAGTGATATATATTATCTTTAGACATATCAGTTCTAAGTACTGGTGACTGTTCTTGAAAAACAAAGATATATTTTTGATATTTTATTTAGTCTTTGGAGAGGAGATGTCTATCATGGTAGGACAGAACCCCTAGAAAGGGCATGGGGCCACATAACTAGCAAGTGTCTTTTTTCTGGCTATTAGCATAGTCTTGTGCCCACTGTAAGAAGAGATTGTGTTATAGGTAACAGTTGATAATAGTAGCATTAAAACATAAGAATTAGGGGAGGGGTGAAAAGAAATAAATTTAATGGGAACTTATAAAAGAAAATATTTTTCATCTATTAACGATTATTAATATCAACGATTTGTTTAGATATGGGCCTGGTCTAGTGTCTTGGGAAGGTTGGCTGTCTCAGATGTCATTTTTTTTTTTTGGCCTGGCATTGACCTATCTAATAATGAAGATTACCTTCTGGTGAAATCATCTATTTAGGAGATAAGATATATGAATTTAAGAGTCTATGTCTTCTAATTTTGCAGTGCAAGGGTTACTAGTAAGAATTACCTGATAAGATCCCTTTTACTTTGGTTGGAGAGAGTCTTTTAAAAGATACTGCTTTTAGTAAATAAAATCTCTTGGTTGAAATTCATGGTCTTTAAATTTTTGTCTCCCAGAAGCTCACCATGAAAATAATTTTTTATTAGTATATAATTTTTAGTTAGCTGCCATTGTAATAGTTGAATATGTCTCCATTTAATATCAGAGATGTATAATTTTTTGAGTGAATTTTATAGGTTTATCTGTTATAATTTTAAATGGAGACAACTGATGTCTATTAAAAGGGGTTGATCTTAGGTTATACAAAATCAATGGAAGAGCTTTTGGCCAAGGAATTTTTAAAGCCTCAGTTAATTTTGTCAATTGAGTTTTATTATTTAGTTTGTGTTTTTTACTAACCAGATGACTGGGGATAATAAGTATAATGGATATGTTGGAGGACGAGCCAGATTTTATATACTGATTGTACTGATTGAATTGTCTGTCTAGTAAAGCAAGTGACTCTGTTGCTAAGAAGTTCCAGGGGAGTTCCTCGAGTTAGAATAATTTTTTAAAGATAATTTTACTTACTGTTAAGGCCTTTGTTCTTCCATGTAGAAATGTTATGATCCAATGACAAAATATGTAAATCACCATTAGAACACATTTGCATTCTTGTGATGGTGGTAGCTGAATAAAATCTAAGTGTCATGCTGCAAAGGGGCCTTTATAGGAAGGGGAAAATGTCTTTGGGAACTGTATAAATTTTTTTATTACATTTTGGGCAAATGTGATAGTCATTATATATCTTATGATCTATGGCTGGAGAAATGTTTTAGAAATACCATTTTTCTCAACTATTTTATCAGGACTCCAGTGAGTTAAGTCATATATGTAGGTTTACAAATGATGACTGAAATGTAGCAGGAAGTATAGGTGCATTGGCCCATATACCTCATCTTTGGGAGGATATGTTCCTCCTTCTGTTTAGTTTTTTGCTTGCTTGCTTGGATTTTGGAGTTCTATACTTAAAAAGTTTCATGTCAAATTTAATGTTCTTTAGGTCACTGATATTAGAAGTTAATATAGATTGAAGTTAATATAGATTGTTTATTTTATTGTTTAGATGTATTTAGAGCAGCTTTTTTTGACTATATTATTGGCTAGTGTTTTGTCTGTTTTTTGGAGTATCTGATTTGGAATGAACTGGGATTTTAATAATGACCAGACATTTTGGTAATAATATGGCTTTTAACAATTGTATAATAAGGTATCTTTTTTAATGGATTGATCAGAAGATCTTTGTTTTATAGCACTTAAAATTTTTGAGCTATTCTGAAAGCATCTCTGCTGTCTGTATGCATATTAGCAGAGTTTTTTGGTCAGTTAACAGGCCCTAATTAATGTTATCCGTCTTATTTGTTGAGCCAAGGTGACTTCTGGTTTTATTTTTTCAGTTAAAGATATTGTACTGTAACCTGTGCGATAAGTTCCAGATTTAATTTTAAGTAGGATCTATCTGTAATCCACATAACATCAGTGTTACTAAGAGGAATCTCTTGTATGTCTGTTCTAGAAGAGCAAAGCTGGTTGCTTAAGATTATGCAACCATGCAGCATCTCATCTGAATGTAGAGGCAGAAGAGTGGCAGGTTATAGATGACTGCACCTAGAGATTGTAATGTGAGGTATAGAAAGAAGAGAAATTTCATAAGAAGCTAATCTGCTGATAGAACAATGTTGAGTGTGGTGTGAATTCACAAGTGCTTCCATAGAATGTGGAACAAAAACAGTGATGGGAAAGCCCATCACTATTTCTTCAGTTGTTCTTACTAATAGAGCAGTAGCAGTTATTGTCCTCGTGCAAGGTGGCCATTTTTTAGTCACAGAGTCTTGTATCCTTCTGGTCTGTTTTGGTCTGCACGTTTTTGTGTTAGACTGCCCTAAGGCATTGTATGATTTCATGAACAAACAATGAAAATGGAATATCATAACATGGGTGTCTCAAAGCTGGGGCATTTATAAAGCTTTTTTTAACTTCTTTCAATGTTAACTGATTTTTCTTAGTCCATTTCAGGGGTTCTAGTTTATCTTGTTCAGAAGAGTATATAAAAGCTGAGTTTTTAGGCAGAAGTTTGAAATTTAATTCTGATAGTATCTTGTCACCCCAGAAATCTTTTTAGTTGTTTTATAGTTTTGGGGGTCAGGGAAGGCCAATATACTGTTTAGGTGGATGAAAAGACCTTCCTTTGATATTAAATTACCCAAATATCTTTGTGTGACAAAACTAATGTGTTTTGTTTTGAGGCCTTGTGTCCCTTTAGAGCTAATGGTTATAACAAGTGAATCTCATCCTCTATAGAGGTTTGCCTATCCTCTAAGCAGAGAAGCAAATCATCTATGTATTGCATTAAAATAGATTTCTTACAGAAGTCAACATCTGAGAGACCTTTTAATATTTGTGAAAAATAAGTAGGGCTCTTAGTGTATCCCTGAGGCATGACTCTCCATGTGTATTTTCTGTCTTCCCAAGTGAAGGAAAAGAGAAATTGTCTTTATCTACAGGAATATTGAAGAATGTATTATATAAATTTATCACAGTAAATAATTTTTTTTAAGATGGAGTCTTGCTCTGTCACCCAGGCTGGAGTGCAGTGGTGCAATCTCAGCTTACTGCAACCTCCGCCTCCTGGGTTCAAGTGATTCTCCTGTCTCGGCCTCCTGAGTAGCTGGAATCACAGGTGCATGCCACCACACCTAGTTAATTTTTGTATTTTTAGTAGAGACAGGGTTTTGCCATATTGGCCAGGCTGGTCTCGAACTCTTGACCTCAGGTGATCTGCCTGCCTCAGCCTCTCAAAGTGCTGGGATTACAGGCATGAGCCACTATGCCCAGCCAAGAATTTACCTTTAGTTGATATTACAGTCAACAACGTATGGGGGTTTGGCACTACCAGATGATGAGGAATATCATTAATTTCTCTAAGTTCTCACACAAACCTCCATCCTCTACCATTTGGTTTTCTTATAGGAAGGACTGAAGTGTTATATGGGGTTGTACAGGGAATAATCAAGCCTCTTTTATATAGTCTAAAACTATACGTCTTATTCCTTCTAAAGTTTCTGGTTTTAAAGGATTTTGCTTAAGATTTGGAAGAGATTTTGTTGGATATATTTGAATTTTGATTGGAGCAGCTAAGATAATTTTTCCAACATCAGTGGAAGACTTTGACCATAATTGATTAGGTACTACATTTAGCAGTTTTTGTAACTTTTTATCACTTAATTATTTGGTGTCTTCTGTTTTCGTATTATTCTAGTACTAATTCCAGAGGTGGTCAGAACCAAACAGCCTGCCAACCTACTGGGCACATCACCATATCTGGAGAGCCAGATCCAGCTGGGTATGCAGGAGCTAGTCTCTTCCAGCCTGAGGTATAAGAATTAGCCAGGGAAGGGGTCCTAAGTCTTAGGCCCACACCCACCGATAGAGGAGAAGCTGACACAAAATGGGAGCCTGTAAGTCAGACCAGCAGGGGGAAGGTGAGCACAGAGGGCTGGGACCAGGCCAGGGAGGCTGGCTCTCCTGGCAATTTAAGGCAACCTGGTTTCCAGCCAAAAAAGTCTTTGGGCTAGGACAGGAATCTCCCCATCTGGGAGAAGGAGAAGAAGCTCATTATAAGTCACCCTGACAGTCAGGGAGAGGTTGTTGATGAATTTCCTTCTGCAGGTATCAGGTTCAGAAACGGACCAGGAGGTGGATCTGTTGGCTTCAGAAGCTGAGTAAGGAGGGGAAGGCAGCCCTTTAACCCTGAGGCAGGAAACTGCCCCCAGGCACTGAAGGAGCCTGTGAGAACAAGTAAGTTGTCATGCCACCAGCACAGCACAGAGAGAGGAAGAAACTCTGATTTCCAGGCTGTTCATTGTGCTTACCTCCTCTGCGTTTTCAGGCCATTTCTGGCTAAAGGATTTTGTACATTCCTGAATTACTGTAAGTGAGAAAAGCTACTTTTTCAAATTGCTGTGGAAACTTTCCTCCTTGCTCCCTTTCAAGTCCTGAATTCTATGCACATGTAATGCCAAAGAAATGCTTTCCACAGCCAGAGGTCTAAGAAATGAAGGTCAGGCCAAGAATTAAGGCCACAAAAGCTTTATCAGGGCCCAGAAGCTGAGTCTCTGGCATTTGCAGTGGAAAAGTAAATAAGATCAGGAACTTGGAGCCATAAAAGCAACCTAGTAGAAAACTGTTATTAAAGAAAGTGGGATTATGGGGAGAACATATTTGAATCTCCAAATTAGTAACTGTACATCTTTGAAGGACCACAAGTTAAAAAGCAAATAAGAGCATCAGCATGATTCCTTTTTCTACATTACAAGCACACTTGTAACATCAAACTCTCCTGACCATTTCTAAAGGCAGACCCCACAGGTGAATGTCTGATAACTTTACGGCGCCAAAGATGTGATATAAATTTTGAATAGTGGGCCATTCTAAAGCCATGTGTTATTTCAAAGGTCATGAAGTATTTGGTCAACCATTAACTTCAGGGAAACATGAAAGGGTTCATTCTGTCCTGAGATGCATAAACTCTTTGTCATGAATATGGCATGGACACAGTATGCTTTTTTTTAAACTGTGTAATAAACCCAACACTGAGGCATGACTCAGAGACCACCTTCACGTGACAGAGACAACAATATTTGATAGCAAAGGCCAATATCTGACTAATTAGCTAAAACTTTAGCTGGCTCTTACAGATACCTAAAAACCACATATAAAAAAGGAATAATCCTAAACAAAATTGGGAAAGAAAGCTTACTTTTTGGTTTAATAAATCCCAAACTGCTTAATCTTGCATTTCAGACCAGCACTGTCCAATAAAAATATAATGTGAGCCATATATATAATTTAAAACTTTCTAGTAGCCACATTTTAAAAAGTAAAAAAAAGTGAAATTAACTTTAAAAATATATTTAAGATGTAATTTTAGAAACATTTCAATGTGTAATCAATATAAAAATTATTGAGCTATTTTACATTTTTTATACTTGATCTTTGAAATCTAGCATTTATTTCACACTTAGACTACACCCCAATTTGGATAAGACATACTCAAAGTGCTTAATGCCACATGTGGCTAGTTGGCTACTGTATTGTCCCAACTACACACTTCTCATATACTGACTTAAACCCTACCACTTTCCCATCCCTGAACACATCCCAAGTTTTAGCAAGCACAGGTGCCAGATTTTCCAAGATGGTCCTAATTTCATCTATTCTATCCCACGGCACCTGAATGTCCTTGTTTTCAGTACCAAGGGCAGTGTACTGCCTTGGTACTGGTCTCACTCTAGGGCTGCTCCGCCTGAGTTTGAATTCACTTCTTACTCTGTACAACTTGAGCAAATTATTTAACACCGTTTTAGAGCCTCGGTTCTCCCATTTTGTAAATAGATAAGAATATGCGGCCGGGCATGGTGGCTCAGGCCTGTAATCCCAGCACTTTGGGAGGCAGAGGTGGGTGGATCACAAGATCAGGAGTTCAAGACCAGCCTGACCAACATGATGAAATCCCATCTCTCCTAAAAATACAAAAATCAGCGGGGTGTGGTGGCACACACCTGTAATCCCAGTTACTCAGGAGGCTAAGGCAGGAGAATCGCTTGAACCCGGGAAGCAGAGGTTGCAGTGAGCTGAGATCTACCACTGCACTCCAGCCTGGGTGACAGAGTGAGACTCTGTCTCAAAACAAAACAAACAAACAAAAAAAAAGAACGTGCTTTTCCCAGGATTGTTGGGATAAAGGGAGATGATATTCCTGGAACCCCACACTCTATTCAATGCTATTAGTAACAGTGAAGTAGAATTATCTTCAAAACAGTCTCTTCCTCCCCTGCCCCACCACAGGTCCTGATTTGGGGTTGTGAAAACATGTTCCCTTTTCTATCCATATTACTTTACCCAGGATGCTCCCTGCTGCTCAGACCTATGTGTCAATCCACTAAAAAATCCAGTCCATCTTCAAGGGTCAAATCAAACACACCTCTCCTTCAGGAAGTCTTTTCCTTTTCCTAGCCCCCTCCTCTAAGACAGATGTATTCCCATGAGTCTGCCTTAATATCTTTATTTCTCATTGTCTATAGCATCCTAATTATTCATATAGGATTTAGCTCATCTTTTGGACTCTTCTTCAAGGGCTAATAACCTTACTAAATTTGTGAGTCCCCTACTGCCCTTTCACCCCTTTCATATTTGCCCAGAAGGGTCCTGACATTCAAAATATGATTTTGAAGCAAATTAATAAATACCCAACAGCTTTGGATTAATATTGGCCTTCCATTATTGACAAAAATACCAATACTAAGACAGAGTTTTAAAAATAATCTTGTGAGATACCTTCTAGCTTTAAGATCAGTCCTCTCCACTCTCCTTTCTGCGGCCTGCGCACCTGCCCTCCATGAGTCTCCAGGCTCTCTCCCCAGGTCTCCCAGTTCTGTCTCCTCCTAGGCCTTCCCCCATCACAAAGTGATCTCAACCAGAGCTGTGTCCTGCCTCCCACTGCACCATTAAATGCACCTGCTCTCAACTCTGATTTTTCAGGGCACTGCCAGGTGACCTGATCTACCAATCCCATCGAAGGAACTACCTTGGAGCATCCCCACTGAGACAGCAGATTCATTAACTGGGCAGGTTAATGCCAAAGTGTTAGTACAGAATATCAAAGAGCTACAAAAGGCCATGAGGAGACCTCAGGCAAATGCACTCTGTGCACACACAGTTATTTCACAAACCATAAGGCATATTTCTTCTAAAGACAAGGTGATCTGTCTTCCAGCTTCAGGGAAGGATATAAGCAGAAGTATTTGCTAATTCATTAGCTTAATTTAAGTGTTCAGAACAAAAGACAGTAAAAACAAAGGAATGTTACTGTTTGAAATAGAAACTTTTTGAGTTTCTACTAAGTTCTTATAATAAAATTTTTGTTTAAAATGAAAATAAATCTTGAATGAAGAAAGATCACTAACTCATTTTATTAAAGTACCATGTTCTTTCTACTTTAAGAAATGGTGATTAATCCTCAGAGGAGTCTCTGTGTCACTGACTAGAAACACAAATTATTTCTAGATTTTGAGAAAGGCTTTGCTTCCTCATAGTGGGTCTCCAACAAACCCTGGCAGCTCTTATTTATTTTCTCAGAACACTTAGACCTGAGCAATGGGGGGGGTGGAAGATTACCCCTGGAGGTGGCAAGGAAGATGTGGGCCACATCTGCAAGTGAGTAATGGTACCATTATGGGCAACAGAAACAGGTCTCAAAAGCGTTTATTTCCCCTTCCTTAACACAGGCCAGAAGAGGAGCTGACACATCATAGCTGCTGGGCTGTGGCAGCTGCGCCTGGGAAAGACACAGCAGGAAGTGCTATCTCACACTCACTGCCCTCTGCTCTCCCTTCCTTCCCCTGGCCCAGCCTAGGCGCCAGTCGCAGTTACAGAAAATAATTGCATCCAGTCTAACCCCTGCTACTCCACAGACCAAGTCCATTAGAGCACCAGCAACCTTTGGAAGTTATCCAAATGCTAACTAGCTTTTGGCAAGCACATAGTAAATGAGAAATTTTAAAGCCTGTGGCTATCTCATCAATGACTCCAAGACTCAGTTTGAACACCAGAGGATTGTACAATTAACAGTCATTTTTAAAACCACTTTGTAAATGTTCCTGATGATATAAAATCATAGTGCATAAACTGTGATTCCAGTTTAGGTCTGGATATCTTGCTGCAGGTGTCTTCTACTACCTGAGAGGCCCAATGGCAGACGACACGGAGCCCTGGCATCAGGAAACTCAGGTCGCATCCAGACTCTACCACTAACTGCCTATGCACCCTCTGAGCGTGTTTCTTCATCTACAAGTCAAAGGTTGGGGCATAATAAATATTTGGCTCTCTTTTAGCTCTCAAAAACTCTATTACTTAGAGTAATACTAGGCTATGTCGCTGTGAGAAATAAACCCCAAGGCCTCAATGACTTAACCCAATAAACCCACACAAAGTCTCCTGCTGATCATCAGAAACTCTCTTCCATCCAGTGTCAAAGGGATCAGGCTCTCTCCATCATGTGGTGCCATGTTTCCACACAAGGCCTCCAAGGACACCACAGAAGGCGAGGGGAGAGGTAGTAGAGTCACACCAGCTCTTAAGTGCCCCGACCTGGAAGTAATACAGGCCCTTCCTCTCACTGTCGATTATCCAGACCTAATCACATGGCTGCAATCTAACTGCAGAAGGCACTGGGAATATGCATGAGCACATAAGATATTTGGTGAGCACTGTTTATCTCTGCCACACAGGTGACAGTCTATTTACTTATTTTAATAATTTAATCTATCTATATATTTATACTGATGAAACATCATGATATGCTACACTGTAGATGTGAAGAAAAAGTTCTTAAAATTTTGTCTGCCAGATACACAGAAAGGCAGATGGAGAGGAGGGAACATGGCCTTTGATGATGAACACTAAACCAAATGCCCAACACCCAAGCAGACACAGTCCATGGGGTACTCAGGAGTTCGGTACTCAAGAGTTACCATGGGGAGACCAATGCACTCCAATTGATGCCAGGCCTCCTCTATCTGAGTCACACAGGAAGCACTGGGGTCCAACAGAGGGAAACAAGTCTTAACCTCTCCCACCCCTAATCACACTGAACCTGGATGGTCTGCCTGCTAGTCTGTTGATAGCCTAGGAAGCTGTATTTTGCATTTCTTCTTCCAGTCAGTGCCTCTTCTCTTCTCCAAGACTTTATTTCTGCCATGAACAATGTCATCAAAAACATGCTTGTCCAAAAGCTGTCCAACAGTACCTGGTGCAGCTATAAATACCACACTGATCCCAGCTGAGGGCCCCACACTCCCACTCAAATACTAGTAGAAATCTGGTAGTTGGGTAAGACTTTTGAACATCATGGACTTAAATGTGGCATAGGTGCCCGGTTATTTTTTTCTACTATTTGAAAATTTCTCAAGAGTTACATAACTGAGAGAATAAAGGTATGGAAAAAGTCATATGACATAGATGATATATTTCATTACTGGGAAAGCATAACTGCTATAGACAAAGTTGAAGATACTGTGTTGTTATGCTAATTTATTATTTCCATTGAATTCTGTTTAGGCACTCAGTATGTTTAGCCATACTCTCCTAAATGGAGGAACACTAGAAGCAGAGAGGGCAATCAAAGCTAAGTGTAGAAACCTGAAAGTTCATGAAAAGATATGTTCTCAGTAGGCAAGACCAATGCCTGCAATCATAGAACCTGGGGATAGAGCTGTTACAGAAAGAACACAGCCCATATCATGGGGTGCCTCACCCGTAGAGGCTCTATCAACAGAGATGAAGGAAAAGTCAGGGTGAAGTTTCCAGAAATGTCAACTTTCCTACAAATGGGACATGGTTAATGTGCAGCAATGACCCAGGCTTTGGGTCAAAATGAAGCCCAGAGGATTCATTTTGACCTCTGAGGCTCAGAGGTCAAATAGCCCAACATAATCATGATAATCATGATAGAAGGACTCATACCCATATCTGTTTGACCCCAAAGCATGCTCTGCACATATGCTGCACACCGGGAGTGCTTTCCACCTCTGCACGCTCCCCAGGATCCTCACATGACCTTGACTAGTAAGCAAGTTACTGTGGAATTTAGATTCCAGATGACAGACAAAGCAAACACTTAATGGCCTCTGCTCCCTCTCAAGACCACTTTCCAATAATAGCAAAGAAATAAAAACAATTAATTCATAATGGTAAAGAGAAAAGGAAAAGAACAATCAGATACCTGCTAACTTCAATAAAGCTCTGAAAAAGATGGAGAGGTAGCGGTAAACAATGTTAATATTTTCAATCGTAACTATATAAGGGCTACAACAGTTAGAATCATCCTATGAACAAAACAGGAGACTCAAATATGTTTTTGGAACAGCGGGTGAATGCCCCAACCTTGTATGTATGAGAGTAAAGCTATTATAGGGAAAGCTGGGACACAGGGCAGAAGGAGGTAAAGAGGTAAAGACAGGGACACTATTTGAATGTTGCACTGTCAGAACTGAAAAAGAATGGCAAACATTGACAGAACAAGACTCAGAGGTTTCCATCTATTATTTAAGTTTGAAAGATGACTAGTAGAACACCAAGCCAAAAATAATAATATAATCATCAAGAAACAAAAGACAAGGGTAATATAAGTAAGTGAGCTAAGTCCCCAATTTCAGAGCAGAAAACTGAAAGAATGTCTAATACTGATATATTGAAATATAGCAACAGAAGCACATGTTTAGATTTATGAAGGTCATGCCAGGAGGTCTAAAGGACCAAGAACTAAATATGGAGCAGAGGACTTAGGCTTTTCATTATAAGGTCTTCTTTACCATTTGCATAATTTTACTATTTGCCTGAAATCATCTGATAAAAAAGAAACACAGAAAATAAAATTAACCAAGTACAATATGAACTTTTTGACACATTTACTTGAGTAATCTAGATAAAACCCAAAGCACCTGGAGGTAGGAGCAGGCGTCACCATGCCTTTTGTTTCCAGCATCCTCCATCCATAGTGTTAATCCTGTTGTGTGTCTTGGAGAAATGGAATCAACACTTACTCTACTGAATTTGTAAATAAGTCCTCACCTCCAGTATCTGGTATTGCCTGTCTACTATTCTCAGGCCTATCAATTCTCTATCTTCCCCCAACAGTCCTGCTATAAACATATAGCTTTAATGACATTAAAAATTCAATGCATCACATCCCCAGTGCTGAGAAAGTGTCTCATCTTACTGACATGGGGTTGACAGAATCACTTTACATAGTGAGGCCTGTGACTACCTACACACAGCAGCTGATATCTACACACCAACCACGATGTGCCTCTGCTCACTGTGAGCTGTAGCAGACAGTGGGGGATAGTAGGAGTCCTGTAAAGAATGAGGGCTGTAAGCTTTCCCCAGTGTCCTTCTCCACTTACCTGCCAGAGCCAGGACAGTCACATTGCCCCTTCCATATGGGTAACAATATCACATCCATTCTAAATACATGCTTTTGGGAAATAAAAAAAAACACGACCAGGCGCAGTGGCTCATGGCTGTAATCCCAGCACTTTGGGAGGCCGAGGTGGGCAGATTGCCTGAGCTCAGGAGTTCGAGACCCACCTGGGCAACATGGTGAAACCTCATCTCTACTAACATACAAAAAATTGGCCAGGTGTGAGAGCTTGCACCTGTAATCCCAGCTACTCAAGAGGTCGAGGCAGGAGAATTTCTTGAACCCGGGAGACAGAGGTTGCATCGTGCCACTGCACTCCAACCTGGGCAACAGAGTGAGACTCTGTCTCCAAACAAACAAACAAACAAACAACAAACAAAGAAAAACACTTAGCTATGAATTTTTAAAAAATTTAAATAGCAGAATTTGGAAAAGATCTAAATTGTTATCAAAGGACCATATTAAAGGGGGAGAAAATTACAACAAAACTAAGCTCCAAGTCTAATCAGCCTAACCATAAAATGACAAACTAAAAAAGTAAAATATTATCAGAGACACCAAATACCATGCTTGCCTTCTGAATTATCTCAGAAATAATGACAAAATTAAGCGGTTTAAGATTCAAAACAACCAGACTAATGAGTGGACCTTGTTTGGATTCTGATTTGAACACATTGTAGAAAAAAGATAGTTGGATAAATTTACTGGACATTAGATGATACTAAGGAATTATTTTAAGGAGGGAGGGAGAGTAAAACAGTTTTGAAATGGTTTAACCCAGTCTACGTAATGGAGAGAATCTGGAAAACAAAATACTGGCCCTACTCCAATTAACTGTGTGATTCTGAGCAAGCTTTGTAATCTCTCTGTTCTTGGATGCCTCCATGTAAGCTGGTGCTAACATTATAGTGACTTTAGTGAGGAATCAATAAGATAAATTGTGCAGTACCCAGGGCAGTGCCAGTTCAAGCTGACTGCTTTATACATTTTAGTTCTCTTTCCATGAATTCTTCATCCCCATTATCCCTCTTTACATTACCATGATGTGTTCTGAGGACACTTAATTCACACTCCCACCTCCTATTTACTATTACACTTAACGTCTGAACTGAAGAACAGATCATTATAAACACTGGATAAGCTCTACTACACTCAAGACCTAACCTCACAAAACCTAGCCAGAGAAACTAGGTAAATAAAGAACAGCTGGTCGGGGGAAAAGGAAACTAATTCAAGATTGTAAAATTTAAAAAAGTCTTCTATTATGAGTTATACATTCATTAAAGGAAAATACTTTCTATAATTCTAAAATACTTTCAAAGTTCAGTTCAATAATACTACCTCCTAGATTCTTTCACATACCCAAAATTCAAGCAATATAAAAAGGTGAGGCAAATGTTTGGCAATTTCAGTGGTTTTGCAGTGTCATAATCTTTTTATTCGACAGTAATATTCTTTGCTGGAATCATTCAGAATGTCACCTCAGTTTGCTAGGTAGCTATCAAGGCATGTCACTGGTCATGGGCAGAGGACAATAGTAACAACTGTCTTCAGAGAAAAAATGTCCAGTTCCAGTGCCACAAGAGCTGCCATGGCAAGCAGTCATTCCTCTTTGGCCACTGGTGATTTCAAGCATCATTTTCTCCATTATAAGCAGGTTCCCATAACCATGCATTTTCACAGAATTGCAGTAGGCTACTGACTGCTGTCCACTAAGACTACCTGTCCTCATGAGATAGACGGTGCCCATTTTGTTGGGTCTACTACAGTGACAGCTGCTCTTTCTTTAAAATTTTCCTCCTCAAACCAAGCCCTAAAGCTGCTCTTCCACATGGACTGGCACCTGACTCTGCAATGGAGCTAAGGCAAGTCTCCACAGTCAGAAAAGGACATTAAACAAGGTCTTGGCTTATCCATATGTGAGTTTCCAGGAGATGAAGCATGACACACAGATGGTCTTTATGATTTAAAGGAAATATTAAGGTGGATTCTTCAAACCACACATGAAGTTAGTCATATGGATTGACAATCAATCTACATGTATCCATCCATTCCACAGAGGTTTAGGGCACACCCACGGTGTGCCAGGCCCTGTGTCCAGAGATTGGGGCACAAAACTGATCAAGACATGGTTCTTTCCAATGGTTCAGTAGAGGAAAGAGGCTGAAAGATACAGGGAAAACACTACCATGTAGAAACTGGTCTCAATGTAAAATAGTGACCACAAACTTCAAGTTGGTCTTAGCGCTGCCAAGCAACTGTACTAGTTTCCCTGCTCCATCTACTCTCCTATTGTTCTGGTGACCTTTTCCATGACATTTTAATTTCCAACTTGGACCTCCCACTTGATTCCTAGTTGCAAATACATAAATGCCAAGTTGGCATCTCCTTTGGATGTCCAATATTCATCTCAAATTGAAGATGCCTGAGACAGAGCTCTCAACTTTACCTGGCTACAAAATACCCTGCTCCTCTGTCTTTATATTCAGTGAATGACAACTTCATTCTTCAGTTTCCTATGCCAAAAAACCTTGGGGACGTCCTTGACTCTGTTCTCTTTTATATTCTATATGTAAATATGGAAATTCAGGATTATGCCAAAGCTCTACTCATGCCCTTTCTCACTCAGCTTAAAACTGGTAAATCTTTCCTACCACCAAAAAGGGATTGTTTTCCTTCTATCTCGGAGTACCTCAGACTTTATACTTCTTGGCAATGTTATGTCCCTTGCTAGGCTATAAGCACCTTAGTGTAATCTTTATTTCCACCATTTTTTGGTCTCACATATAGTATATATTAAATATATACTTGTTTGATGAAAGACAAGAAATCTATTAATAATTAATTGATTTAAAACTGTGCTGGGCACTGTTCTAGCTGTTGGATAATCAAAGTGAGCAAAACAGGTTTTTGCTTAGTGTCTAAGGAAGAAGATGGTGCTGTGAATAAACCCATGGAATCCCAAGGAATAATAGGTTTTATAGATGAGGGAGACTAATACTGACCTACCATCAGTTTCAATACATTAGGCCTAACACATGACCTCATTTCTATCACTCTGACTTCTTCCAACTTAGGCATAGTTGGAACTGACCTGCCATAGTATTTCCAAGAGCCTTTCATGGGGAAATATCAACTGCAGAGGAGTCAGGAGACTACCTCTTCAGGCTTCAGTTTCCTCTTCTATAAAATGAGGGAAGTGGTGCTAAGCCAGGTGATCCCATCCCAGCCTGGTGGTCAGTTTCCTTGTATCTGATCTTCAAAGCTCTTTTCCTGTGCTACAGTAGCTGAGAGTTTAAACAGAACATTGTACATGCATGAGACTCATTCTCACAAGAACTGTTCACTTAACACTTTGGTTATCCTTCAATAAGACCTGCCAACAAAAAACTAAGGCCAAGAGGAAGCTCAAGGCAGCGTGTTCACCACAAGCTCCACTCATTCTATAGCTAGTAATGACATACAGGGTCAGAAGTCCCAACAAAACCCTGATTGGGACCGTGAGCAACACATTTCTGAACTGACATTTCTGAAACTGGCAAACCTTTCTACAAAGGACAGGACATTCTGACAAACATAAGTGTATATCCAAACTCAGGGCTAGCAGGAGGGAATACCCTCAGGAAACCTGTTACGCTTGTCCACATGTGGTTTGCTGTACGCTGCTGAGCAAAACAGGCATCTCACCTTAGTCGTTCTTCTTCTTTTTTGCGAAGATTGAAGTCTCTTTGAACCACCTGAAGAACATGCTCTGTTTCATCATCAGTCAAACCAGACAGGTCCAGCTTCCTCCCCATGGTTACTCAACACAGATGATGAAACAAGACCTGGGAAACCAAAATGATACAAGCAAGATAAAATCTCTACATGGACAAAATCAACCTATTTTGTTATTAAAATAGAGTTAAATATAGTGTTTATATGTAAGTGTTTATGTAAGGTAGTATCTTTCTCTTGACTCAGACTCAGCAAATATTTACAAATGACCTCACCAAGGCCACAGAGAAAAAGAGAAAATAATGGGTCATTTGCCAGTTTCATCATCCCAATTCTTAAATTAAGAAAAAAAAATTCTTTATAACAAAGTGAACCATACATAAGACTTAGTATGGATTTCTGCAAAATGCCAAAAGGCAATATCTAAAAGTTCTAAACTTTTGTGCTTTGAAGTTCTAAATGTTAAGTATTATATGTAACTGCAAAATAATACAAACAAAATAATTATTTTATAAAAATAAAAATATGTTAATTTATAAAAAAAATTATAATACTTTAAAAAAATCCTATGTATAATATATCCCTTAAAGTTTTAACCATATGACTATGAAATACAAACTAAAAATCAATAAGTTCTCTTCTTCAAAAGGATAAAAACATAAATAATCTTATTTTGCCATTTTCTCAGCAGCAGCAAAGATGATATTGTAGGGAAACACCTCTAAGCAGTACATACCTAAAAATTATGGGAAACTCTATTTTTAAAAATAATTGTTGGCTGGGCACAGTGGCTCAAGCCTGTAATCCCGGCACTTTGGGAGGCCGAAGTGGGCAGATCACCTGACATCAGGACTTCAAGACCAGCCTGGCCAACATGGTGAAACCCTGTCTCTACTACAGATCCAAAAATTAGCTGGGCATGGTGAGCGTCGCCTGTAGTCCCAGCTACTTGGGAGGCTGAGGCAGGAGAATCGTTTGAACCTGGGAGGCAGAGGTTGCAGTGAGCTGAGATCGCGCCAGTGCACTCCAGCCTGGGTGACAAAGCGAGACTCCATCTCAAAAAATAGAAATGGCAAATAAGCATATGGAATAATGCTTAATTTCAATGGTAATTACAGAACTGCAAATTAAAACTATATTTTACATCCACCAAAATGAAAATTTATATCAAATGTTGGTGGGAAGTGGGACAATGACAGTTTTCATTTGGGGGTATAAATTGGTGTAATCTCTTTGTAATACAATCATGTTTCATTTTAAAAGTTGAAAATTTATATACCCTATAAATCAGCATTTCTGCCACACTTAGGTATATGCTTCAGATATAATCTTAAAAATATACACCAGACATCAATTGGGTTGTATCATATGAAATTTTTAGTTTGGATCATTGACCTATAAAAATGGCGATTTCACATAGTTAACCTAACAGAAGAATAGTAACAATAGTCACATTCAAAATAGCAAAAAATAAATAAATAAATAAATAAGACTGGAAAAACACTAAACATCCATAAATAGGAGGAATGATTTAAAAAATAGGGCATATTTGTTTTATACAATAGAATATTCTACCACAGTGGCAAAGAACATACAATAGGTACATTCATCAACAGGGATAAATCTTAACATAATGTTGAGACAGAGAAGCACACCACATGTACAGAATACATGTACAGCATGCATACAAGTATTATTTTTTTTTAGATCATAAGGGTCAAAAACATAGAATGTCAAAAAATTATTGTCTAGGAATAAGTGTGGTAAAACCAAAGTGGAATGTGGTACTTCTAAGGAGAGGAGAGAGGATTTCATTGGGAATAATCACATAGGGGCTTCAGAGCTATCAGTAATATTCCATCTCATTAGAGAGACACAGTATTGCTGCTGCTGCTTCACCTTGTTATTAAAAGGTTGAAGTCATGCATACTATTGTCCTTAAGGTATCTTTCATAAGCATAAAATAAACCTAAAACTAAATAAAAATAATATAATCTATAAAAATCATAACTAAAGCAAATACTTAAAGCATTGTTCAAGGAATATGCTTATTATTTACAATAAAAATAACAATAATGATTATAATAGATCACTATTTGACTGGATATCTACTATGTTCCAGATGCTCTAGTTTATACATACATATAAACTACATTTATAAATGTATATGTAAATTTATACATTCCCATAAAATCCTATTGACAGTCACTACCACCACCATTTACAAATGAGAAAACAGGTCAATATATATTATGTCTAAGACAATGGCAACCTGGGATTTGACTGTGTCTTGGTCTGACTCAGAGTCCCTGCCTTAATATCATGTAAATGCTTTCTAGTTTTAAAACCTCAGGTTTTAAAATCTGATGTCCAGAGTTCCCTGCCCCCTTTTTCTAGCCTGTAATGATTAAGAATAGGAGACCCCAAGCATGGTTGCTATTTAAAAGAAGGTTATCTGCCCTTTTCATTTCCAAATAATGGTAGTAAACATAGAGAAAGGAACAGCTCAATCCCCAGAAATCTTTTGCTAGATGATTTAAAACCTTATGACTGCATAATGCGAACCAATCTCAAGATTTAACCAACAAATCACAACAGGAATTCCAACTATTTTTTTAAAAAATTTTATTTTTCACTCCATTAATGCTATTTCTCAAAAGTAAATTGTCAGTCCACTTTGCCCAAGTGGTGTTAGGGTTGAGGGCAGGAAGAAACCTAATGTACTTGCACTAGGTTTCAGTTAAGTCAATTAGAAGTAACATCCTACCCACAGACTGCAAAGGCAAGGGAAGAAGCTCATGGGCTGCCATCTTCTAGCTTCCTGATGAGCATAAAGAGACAGACTAGAGGGCCCACTGAAAATGCAGACTGATTCTTCCTTTAAAAAGCCTCATTAAAGGTGTTAATGGCATTTTGGAGTTTCCTGGAAGGTGACATTTCTGTTCCTTTGACTTTATTTCACTGGCTTTTGGTTTCTGAGAATTCTAAATGAGATTCTAAGGAGCCCAGTTAGTGAAAGACTGAAGTGACAGCTTTGATCATATCAAACCTAAAAAAAAAAAAAAAAAAAGATCAGGACTTGTTTTTGTAAAGAAATAAATAAAATAGCTCCAAATGGACAAGTCAGAGACTGAGAAAACTTTCTTTAAATTGGTAAAAGCTTCTTCCTTTTTCTACAACAAACACAGTCAGAGTCCCTGTGCGACAAATGAAATAGCATCCTAGAGCTGGAGAAGGCTCGTGTCCATGAATAAGAGGTCACATAGGTATGACAATCTCATTTAAGGATGAGAAAATGCAATCAGTCCCAGGAGAGAGAAGCAGTTTCCCAAAGACACATAGCCAGTTCAGGTGCTCCTAACTTCCAGACCGGTGCCCCTACCCCTTGATTTCTCTGGTTTATAGCCAACCAACATGACAACAGAGAGGATATGTTTTTAAATTTACTAATGAGAAAATTAGTATGTCAATATTTAATTATATCACCACTTCCCTAAAGTGTGTTTCTCAGGTTATTGTTCCCACAAGCAGTTTGAGAAAGGGACTCTAAGGTGAAATAAATATGAGAAATGCTTCTAATTGTATTGCCTTCATGGGGCTTACACAAGACATATTAGCTTCTTGGAGCTTCTGGGAAGTCTATCAGAATCAATTTGCCTTTGCTTAACTCTGTGTTTCTCAAACATATATGTCTGCAGAAACCTCTTTCTTTGATAACATCTACCTTTTCACATCCAAAGAAATGACTATCTGGTAAACTCTACACTAAGTCAAAGCAATGATGACAAACTCCAGTAGCTATTCCAACATAATTACTGAATTGATTTAGCTATTTTTCAAATTTAATTATCATAAGAAGCAACAGAGTTAGATGAGCTTCAGAAGAAGCTGATGATGGATGCAACTTTAAAGCTAGGAGACCAAAACAAAGGCAGAATTGTCTATGTTATTCCTGGCTAAAATAACTAACATGAGGAAGGACACAGATGTGTCTACAGGTACTGGTTAATACAACCCTTGCAAATGAAAAAAAAAACAAAAACAGAGAAATTACAAGAATACTTAGTACATAATGGAAGATTCATTATAAAAGGTCAATGTGTACGTAAGTGATATTCTATTAAAGTACCTAGAAGGGTCAAGGACAAATGCTTAAATGGGATTTTCACAAACCCACAGTACATTTTTGTCTGTGTGATAATGCACCTGATATAAAGAGAAAAATAAAACTATAAATTCCTAAGAGTGATAAAGGGTAATTATTGCTGGGGCTTTGCACTTTGACCATGGTGGGTTTAGGTTAGAACTGAAAAGAAATTTCTTACAACTATAGAGAAACCTAAATGTTAAGACTCTCACATTTAAGGCATGGGGGATAAAATGAACTTGGCCTGCAAAGGACAAAAACAACAACACTAATAATGAGAGATGTGCTTTCACTGTGACTGTTCTTTGCAGCAAGTGGTGCTTAGGCTGTATGGCTCACTGATCTTCATTCTTTCACCTTCAAGGGTGTTACCCTACCATGAACTGGCCCCTTCTCTGAAATTCACCCCTGACCGATGCACAGGGGTGGGCCCAGAGCAGACAGGGTCACACCACTGGGGCACAGCTGACTGGACCAGGCGTGCCACCCAACTTATGCAAAATGTCAGAGCCTCTGTCCTGGCAATTTGATATTTGATATTCAGTGAGTAGATGTTAGTCTTGGTGTTCTATTTCTCTCCTGCCTGAGAATAGCACCAAATATCCTTTTATTACTGAAATACATTTTCCATTTTGTTTTTTGTTTCCATTTATCACTTTAGTTTCTCTAAGTCACTGACACATGCTCCTTAGAATTCTCACAGAGCTGGCTGTGGTTGGCCAACTGTCCTAACACCATTTATTGACCAATCTATCTGACTTGGATGATCCATGGATGAGATACATAGGCATGTATATGCGTACGTGCACGCGCACACACACACACACACACACCACACACACACACACGAGTTTTTCTCAGGACTTTCTGGCCTGACCTGTTCTAAGCTGGTGACTTAGTACCTGATCTCAGGTCAGGAACATACTTTAAAACCTAGTATTGCAAATCATCTCTCATCATTTTTATTTTTCAAAACTGTCTGACTTTTTGACATTGCCCATTTATGTCCCCAGGTGAACTTTAAAATCATTTTACTAAGGTAGAAGTAAAAACCCAAATGAATTTTCTTATTGATTAATTTGTCAATTGATTTGGGAAAGAACTGCCATCTTTACAATATTAGTTCTTCTCATAAAGGAATTGAGATTCAGTAGAAGTTAAGAAATAAACTAAAAGTAACACCCAAATGTTTACCGCAAAAAAAGTTTCACATAGCGAAAAAAAAATATATATATGGATAAAATTAAAAGGCAAGCAACAATTGGCCGGGCACAGTGGCTCACACTTGTAATTCCAGAACTTTGGGAGGCCGAGGTGGGTGGATCACTTGAGGTCAGGAGTCCAAGACCAGCCTGGCCAATATGGTGAAACCCCGTCTCTAATAAAAATACAAAAATTAGCCGAGCGTGGTGGCAGGCACCTGTAGTCCCAGCTACTCAGGATGCTTAGGCAGGAGAATCGCTCGAACCCGGGAGGCGAAGGTTGCAGTAAGCCGAGATCGCGCCACTGCACTTCAGCCTGGGCGACGGAGTGAGACTCCGCCTCAAAAAAAAAAGAAAAAAAAAATGCAAGCAAAAATCTAGGGAAAACCAGGAAAGATAATTATCCTAATATATTAAGCACCCTCATAAAATACAAGAAAAATATAGAACTGTCTAAAAGATAAAATGACAAAGTTAAAGAGAAAAAGCAATTTACCATCTATGTCCAACACAGTTTAATAAAATATCACATATCATTAATAACCAAATGCTGCTAATTACACTAAGTTGCAATTTTTCATTTAATAAGATTCTGGGAACACAGGTACTTATATACATTTGTAGAGGGGCTATAAGTAAGTATAAATGTTTAGATGGCAATCTGGCAGTAATTATCAAACATCCTTAAATACTGAGCCAGCCATTTCAATCTGCGTAAGAATCTTCTTCAAGAAAATGAAAAAATGTGCAAAGACTTATGTACCAGGATGTTCATCTCAGTGTTGTCTATTACAGAAAAATACTGTAAATAAACTGAAAGTCCAAAAGCAGGACAGGTTAAGTTGTGGTACAATCACACAATACAATATTTTATGTCAATAAAATGTATTTAAAAGAAAGGCGTTTATGACATATTAAGGTAAAAAGTCAGAGGAAAAATGCAGCATATAGTTTACCAAAATAATACAATAATACAAGAAAGTATACAGCAACACTATTAAAATAGATCCAAATGAACCGTCTATGCAAGTGTCCATCAAGAGAAAAACAAACTATGGTATATTCACCCACGGGAACACTACACAGCAATAAACACAGACAAACTTCAATAACATATAACGGTATAGGTATATTGTATTGAGCAAAGTAAGTCAGATGGATGATCCCAATTGTATAAAGTTCAAAATCAGGCAAAACTAGTTTAGAATGTTAGAAGCAGTGTAGTGGTTACCCTCTGGAAGGCAGTGGCTAGATGGGGCCAGGCTTGGGAAGTGGTGACATTTCTTTATCTGGGTGCTGGTTACATTGATGTGTTCAATTTGTGAAAATTAATTTCACTATATACTTATGATTTATGCATTTACATGCATGTCATGGCTCAATAAGAAGTAAAATAATATAGTATGAATAGTACAATCTTGTATAAATAGATAGAAATATACTGAAAGAAAATCACAAAAAAATTACCAACAGTTATCTTTGAGTGATAAAATTTCGTATGATGCAATTTTTAAAAATTTGCTTTTGCACATATTTTCTCTTCCTTTTAAAATAAACATTATTTGAATAAACAAAAATTATCAAGGATATATATGACGATATTCATTTTAGTGTTATTTACAATAGCAAAATTGTTCAAGTTACTAAAATATCTAATAATAAAACATTGATTAAATTTGCTATTATATAGCTCTAAGATAGAATACCATACTGCTATGAAGTGGATACAGCACTGACATAAAAATGTTCAAAGCATATTTATAAATAAAAATTATAGATTAAAAAACTATATTAAATTGCCTCAATTTTTTGTTTTTCTAAACAATGTATGTGTGCATGCGTGTGTGTGTGTGTGTGTGTGTGTGTGTGTGTGATTTCCACTTAAAATAATTAACTAATCATGCCAAATGTTCACAGTGCTAATCTCTGGGCAATAGGATGTCTTATAATTTTTAGTTATTGATTGTTCCAATTTTCTCACAATGAACATGGATTGCTTTCTTAATGAAAATAAATGTTATTATCATGTTATAGGAAACAGCCTGAAAACTGGTCCCTATTGAATTATAATTGATTTCACATTAATTTATAGCTGCAGAGACCATAAAACAAGAGGTGGTACAATACCAGCTACTAAAAATTTCCATTTTATATAAAGGGCTTGAAATAATACTTAATGGCTACTCCATTAGCATCAACTGGTGAACAAACTAACAATTACTCAGGTTCCTATTATGCTTCAAGAATCAGAAAGAAAATTATATTTAAAGACTTGGAAAACTTCCAAAAAACCTGGGGATGAGCACAGGATAATTGCAGATCTTAGTGTAATTAATGCAAAGGTGGGTAAATCCTTCCAATCTGAAAAGGCCAAAAAATAAAAACATATAGTTCAGCCTCAGGCCTTATGTAAACTGCACAATTTACAAAAATCTAGAAGACATAAAACCATCTATAAAAGAGTTTTGGGTTTTATTTATAAGGCCATACAACCCACTTGGTCAAGTTTGATAACATCAGCTGAGATAGGAACCAAAACAAACTCTTACCATACTTGGCTTGCAAGAACCTCTTAAAACACAAAGGGGATGTGTCCCTTTAAAGTTTTGCCAGGTGACAAAAAGAAAAGCAGCGTGCTGACCACATTTATTTATCTGAGCACCCATGAGACATTATGTGAGAAGCATTTTATTGGAAGTGCTACAGAAAGTTATCTATGCCCTCCATTCCAAAAACCGAAGCAGGAAGTAGGTTATTATGAAGTGGTGGATGCTTAAGAGCAGTCATTCATGAGTGGCTTTTCTTACATTTTCCAAGTTCTCTATAATATCATTATATTAATTTTACAACTTAAAACTTACTTTTAAGGCTAGTCAAATGATCACTCTTCACATTTGATTATTCAACTTTCAGATCATGATACAATGCACTTCTTTAACTTAATAGAAAAAAATTCACACTCTGAAACAGTCTGTTTGCTCACTAGGCAAGAGTTAGGCTAAATTTAATTTACATAACTTACATAGATTAATAGAAAATCTAAATTTCTAGCAATGCACTTATGTAAGATTATCTTCTCAGTCCCCAACTTAGTCCACACTGAACCCATATGTGCTTAACCCCTAAGGCCTCTGCCTTAGGGAGTAGCAACTGCTGCCATCCAATATCCAAGATGACCTTACTTTCCTTCCTTTCACTCAATCACACACAGGAAGTCAGCCTTCAATTCTTAAATTCCACCTCTATTGTTTCAGTATGCCATCCCTACTCATCTCCATCCCACAACCTCGCCTGATTTCAGGTTCTCACCAGTTTTCACTTGGGCTAGGTAAGAATGTACCCAGTTACTTTACATTCTAAACCCTCACCCTATTGTCATTACTCCTAGAGCCAGGATAATGATCTCTCTTCACATGTAAAGCAGATTAAAGATATAAATTTTTAAAAATAATGAAAATAGAATTATTTTATTAACTTTTTATAACTTTAGGATAGAAGAAGCTTTCTAGAGGAAGACGGAAAATCCATAAATACAAAGAGAGATGTATTTGTCTATATAAAAATTTGAAGTACTATAACTAAAGATATCATAAAGTCAACAAAGTCAAAGTCATTATAAATAAAGTCAAAAGAAAAAAAACAGAAAAGGTATGTGTAACATAAGAAAAATGGTTAGTAGTCCTAAAATTTAAAAGAATCTCTACAAAATAACAAAAAATGGCAATTAAAAATTGACAAAGGATATTAAAAAGATATATTATTTTTATTCTTCATGTTAACCTATTGATGGCATAACACATTTCCACCCTGAATTAGTAAAATGCAATAATATTGGTCATTCCAAAGGTAGCAAAGATGTAGGGAAATTAGCTCCTTCATTCAGTAGAGAGATGAACTGATGCAACTTTTCAAAAAGTAGACTGTAATGTATTTAAATTAAATACCATTGATCCAGCAATACTAATTTTGGAAAAGTGAACTTAGAAAAACAAAGCACATGAGTGTAAAGGAATGTGTAATCAATGTTTACTACCCCACATTTTATAGTTGCAAATACCTGGAAATAATCTGAAAGTCTTCAATAGAGAATGATTACATTAAATGTGGTACACCTATTCCCTGGAATATCATGCAGATATTATAAAGAATTAGATCAACTTTCACCAATACAGAGGGGATGCTCATTATACATAGTTAAAAGAAAAAAAAATCTGAGCAATATGAATATCACAAACTTTATATATACAATGAAGCCTATATTTCTGTTTAGAATAAGGCAAGAGAAGATCATGAAAATTTTCTTCATACTATCTGACATTTAAAAATAAATATGCATTACCTTTAGGCAGCTTAAAAAAAAACAGGCTGATTTCTTGTTTGAACTTGGCAGGGTGAAAGTCAGTATTTCTCCCTTATATTGAAAATTGTTTAAAAAGCAACTGGGAAAATAAGAAACAAAAATGTAAATTTCATTTCAGCTAAACCAGGAGACAATAAAAAATGACAGAGACCAAATATACGTGGAAAGTTATCTAAAACAGAAGAAGTGGAGTGGGAGGAAGAGGAGATAAAAGGCTGCAGAGAGAGCTTCCTGAAGCTGCAGACATCAGCAAACACCAGCAAAACTACCCTTCTTCAAGGCAAGGGACACCACCTGAGGTGCCAACACTTGTTTGAAACAGGAAGCATTGATCAGCTGGCTCAAATAAACCCAGTTTGTTTGTTTCCCAAAAAGAAATAGCGACAATTATACAAGGAATCATACACAGAGAAGGCATATTTACTATAAGCAGTCTTCCTTTTCACTACTCCCCAGCCCTCAAATAAAAAATCAAAACAAAAAATACTCCTTTCTCCACTGGCTTTGGTGAAATAAAGTTGCTGACCAAATATTAAAAAAAAAAAAAAAAATCAGCTAACCTGGACCACAGCCCCTACCCCTATGAACTTTCCATAGATAGCTATTCATGATAAAATTAAACTCTTTTGATAATAAGTAATAAATAAGAACTCAGAAACTATACAAAAATATTAAGTTTTTAAAAAATAAGCACAAAAGTAAAACAACAGGAGAAGATCTCTCATTATAAGACTTACTGGAACACTGGAAAGAGTGACCAAATATTTTTTAAAAAATGAAAAACTTAATGATAAATGACATCCATGAATGAAGAAATGGGGAAATATCAAAAAATGATAAAATATGACATGGTAGGATTTGGGGAAGTTGTGGGGAAAAATAATAACCATTGCAAAAATTATGCCAAAAGGCATGCACGAGAAGTGAGAAATTACTAAAACAAAGTAAGAAACATAGTGGCAACAGCAGATGAAGAGACAAGAGGAAAGGAGCCAAAGGAAAATGGGGGAAAAAAAACGAGTTTAAAAGGTTGGAAGAATATTCTAGATATGGAGGAAAAGTAGAAGAGAACCCTTTCAAGAAGGAAATGGAGAGATGAAACAAATGATGAAATAAATAAACAAAAATAGAAAAATTTGAGATTATCTGGGAGGAGTAGAGAAGAATGAGTCTCAAGGAAAACTGATTTTTAAAAAAAATTTTAGATTTTTTACAACTATAGAAACAATCTTTAAGTTATTGATTCAGTTTTGGAATTATCCTGGTGTGGATTGTAAGGCATGGTTATAGTGTCAAAGACTAAAAAATGAAACCATAAAGGTAATAAAAGAAAACATGAGATGATTCTTTTATAATTTCAGAGTAGGAAATGCCTTTCTCAATATGACACAAAATTCAGAAGTCATTAAAAACACTGAATAAATTCAACATAAATTTTAAATGTCCGCATAATAAACAACATTATAAGCAAAGTCAAATGAGGAAAAAATTGTCTTTTTTTAATTATTATTATACTTTAAGTTTTAGGGTACATGTGCACAATGCGCAGGTTAGTTACATATGTATACATGTGCCATGCTGGTGCACTGCACCCACTAACTCGTCATCTAGCATTAGGTATATCTCCCAATGCTATCCCTCCTCCCTACCCCCACCCCACAACGGTCCCCAGAGTGTGATGTTCCCCTTCCTGTGTCCATGTGTTCTCATTGTTCAGTTTCCACCTATGAGTGAGAATATGTGGTCTTTGGTTTTTTGTTCTTGCCATAGTTTACTGAGAATGATGATTTCCAATTTCATCCATGTCCCTATAAAGGACATGAACTCATCATTTTTTATGGCTGCATAATATTCCATGGTGTATATGTGCCACATTTTCTTAATCCAGTCTATCGTTGTTGGACATTTGGGTTGGTTCCAAGTCTTTGCTATTGTGAATAATGCCACAATAAACATACGTGTGCATGTGTCTTTATAGCAGCATTATTTATACTCCTTTAGGTATATACCCAGTAATGGGATGGCTGGGTCAAATGGCATTTCTAGTTCTAGATCCCTGAGGAATCGCCACACTGACTTCCACAATGGTTGAACTAGTTTACAGTCCCACCAACAGTGTAAAAGTGTTCCTATTTCTCCACATCCTCTCCAGCACCTGTTGTTTCCTGACTTTTTAATGATCGCCATTATAACTGGTGTGAGATGGTATCTCATTGTGGTTTTGATTTGCATTTCTCTGATGGCCAGTGATGGTGAGCATTTTTTCATGTGTTTTTTGGCTGCATAAATGTCTTCTTTTGAGAAGTGTCTGTTCATATCCTTCGCCCACTTTTTGATGGGGTTGTTTGTTTGTTTCTTGTAAATTTGTTTGAGTTCATTGTAGATTCTGGATATTACCCTTTGTCAGATGAGTAGGTTGCGAAAATTTTCTCCCATTTTGTAGGTTGCCTGTTCACTCTGATGGTAGTTTCTTTTGCTGTGCAGAAGTTCTTTAGTTTAATTAGATCCCATTTGTCAATTTTGGCTTTTGTTGCCATTGCTTTTGGTGTTTTAGACATGAAGTCCTTGCTCATGCGTATGTCCTGAATGGTAAAGCCTAGGTTTTCTTCTAGGGTTTTTATGGTTTTAGGTCTAACGTTTAAGTCTTTAATCCATCTTGAATTGATTTTGGTATAAGGTATAAGGAAGGGATCCAGTTTCAGCTTTCTACATATGGCTAGCCAGTTTTCCCAGCACCATTTATTAAATAGGGAATCCTTTCCCCATTGCTTGTTTTTCTCAGGTTTGTCAAAGATCAGATAGTTGTAGATATGTGGCGTTATTTCTGAGGGCTCTGTTCTGTTCCATTGATCTATATCTCTGTTTTGGTACCAGTACCATGCTGTTTTGGTTACTGTAGCCTTGTAGTATAGTTTGAAATCAGGTAGTGTGATGCCTCCAGCTTTGTTCTTTTGGCTTAGGATTGACTTGGTGATGTGGGCCCTTTTTTGGTTCCATATGAACTTTAAAGTAGTTTTTTCTAATTCTGTGAAGAAAGGCATTGGTAGCTTGATGGGGATGGCATTGAATCTGTAAATTACCTTGGGAAGTATGGCCATTTTCACGATATTGATTCTTCCTACCCATGAGCATGGAATGTTCTTCCATTTGTTTGTATCCTCTTTTATTTCCTTGAGCAGTGGTTTGTAGTTCTCCTTGAAGAGGTCCTTCACGTCCCTTGTAAGTTGGATTCCTAGGTATTTTATTCTCTTTGAAGCAATTGTGAATGGGAGTTCACTCATGATTTGGCTCTCTGTTTGTCTGTTGTTGGTGTAGAAGAATGCTTGTGATTTTTGTACATTGATTTTGTATCCTGACACTTTGCTGAAGTTGTTTATCAGCTTAAGGAGATTTTCGGCTGAGACAATGGGGTTCTCTAGATATACAATCATGTCATCTGCAAACAGGGACAATTTGACTTCCTGTTTTCCTAATTGAATACCCTTTATTTTCTTCTCCTGCCTGATTGCCCTGGCCAGAACTTTCAACACTATGTTGAATAGGAGTGGTGAGAGAGGGCATCCCTGTCTTGTGCCAGTTTTCAAAGGGAATGCTTCCAGTTTTTGCCCATTCAGTATGATATTGGCTGTGGGTTTGTCATAGATAGCTCTCATTATTTTGAAATACGTCCCATCAATACCTAATTTATTGAGAGTTTTTAGCATGAAGCATTGTTGAATTTTGTCAAAGGCCTTTATTAGTCTTGCTAGCAGTTTATCAATTTTGTTGATCCTTTCAAAAAACCAGCTCCTGGATTCCTTAATTTTTTGAATGGTTTTTTGTGTCTCTATTTCCTTCAGTTCTGCTCTGATTTTAGTTATTTCTTGCCTTCTGCTAGCTTTTGAATGTGTTTGCTCTTGCTTTTCTAGTTCTTTTAATTGTGATGTTAGGGTGTCAATTTTGGATCTTTCCTGCTTTCTCTTGTGGGCATTTAGTGCTACAAATTTCCCTCTACACCCTGCTTTGAATGCGTCCCAGAGATTCTGGTATGTTGTGTCTTTGTTCTCGTTGGTTTCAAAGAACATCTTTATTTCTGCCTTCATTTTGTTATGTACCCAGTAGTCATTCAGGAGCAGGTTGTTCAGTTTCCATGTAGTTGAGTGGTTTTGAGTGAGATTCTTAATCCTGAGTTCTAGTTTGATTGCACTGTGGTCTGAGAGACAGTTTGTTATAATTTCTGTTCTTTTACATTTGCTGAGGAGAGCTTTACTTCCAACTATGTGGTCAATTTTGGAATAGGTGTGGTGTGGTGCTGAAAACAATGTATATTCTGTTGATTTGGGGTGGAGAGTTCTGTAGATGTCTATTAGGTGCGCTTGGTGCAAAGCTGAGTTCAATTCCTGGGTATCCTTGTTGACTTTCTGTCTCGTTGATCTGTCTAATGTTGACAGTGGGGTGTTAAAGTCTCCCATTATTAATGTGTGGGAGTCTAAGTCTCTTTGTAGGTCACTCAGGACTTGCTTTATGAATCTGGATGCTCCTGTATTGGGTGCATATATATTTAGGATAGTTAGCTCTTCTTGTTGAATTGATCCCTTTACCATTACATAATGGCCTTTTTTGTCTCTTTTGATCTTTGTTGGTTTAAAATCTGTTTTATCAGAGACTAGGATTGCAACCCCTGCCTTTTTTTGTTTTCCATTTGCTTGGTAGATCTTCCTCCATCCTTTTATTTTGAGCCTATGTGTGTCTCTGCACGTGAGATGGGTTTCCTGAATACAGCACACTGATGGGTCTTGACTCTTTATCCAATTTGCCAGTCTGTGTCTTTTAATTGGAGCATTTAGTCCATTTACATTTAAAGTTAATATTGTTATGTGTGAATTTGATCCTGTCATTATGATGTTAGCTGGTTAGTTTGCTCGTTAGTTGATGCAGTTTCTTCCTAGTCTCGATGGTCTTTATATTTTGGCATGATTTTGCAGTGGCTGGTACCGGTTGTTCCTTTCCATGTTTAGTGCTTCCTTCAGGAGCTCTTTTAGGGCAGGCCTGGTGGTGACAAAATCTCTCAGCATTTGCTTGTCTGTAAAGTATTTTATTTCTCCTTCACTTATGAAGCTTAGTTTGGCTGGATATGAAATTCTGGGTTGAAAATTGGAACGCAGTTCCTCACCAGCAATGGAACAAAGCTGGACAGAGAATGACTTTGATGAGCTGAGAGAAGAAGGCTTCAGATGATCAAATTACTCCCAGCTACGGGAGGACATTCAAACCAAAGGCAAACAAGTTGAAAACTTTGAAAAAAATTTAGAAGAATGTATAACTAGAATAACCAACACAGAGAAGTGCTTAAAGGAGCTGATGGAGCTGAAAACCAAGGCTTGAGAACTACGTGAAGAATGTAGAAGCCTCAGGAGCCAATGCGATCAACTGGAAGATAGGGTATCAGTGATGGAAGATCAAATGAATCAAATGAAGTGAGAAGGGAAGTTTAGAGAAAAAAGAATAAAAAGAAACAAGCAAAGCCTCCAAGAAATATGGGACTATGTGAAAAGACCAAATCTATGTCTGATTGGTGTACCTGAAAGCGACGGGGAGAATGGAACCAAGTTGGAAAACACTCTGCGGGATATTATCCAGGAGAACTTCCCCAATCTAGCAAGGCAGGCCAACATTCAGATTCAGGAAATACAGAGAACGCCAGAAAGATACTCCGCGAGAAGAGCAACTCCAAGACACATAATTGTCAGATTCACCAAAGTTGAAATGAAGGAAAAAATGTTAAGGGCAGCCAGAGAGAAAGGTTGGGTTACCCTCAAAGGGAAGCCCATCAGACTAACAGCGGATCTCTCGGCAGAAACTCTACAAGCCAGAAGAGAGTGGGGGCCAATATTCAAAAATTGTCTTTTCACATCAAAGACAAAAGAATGATTTCCCCCAATATAAAAATTTCAACAACTGGAGTTTTTTTAAAAACAGCAAAAACCCAATATAAAAATAGACAAAGAGAAAAATAGCAAAGGAAATAGAGTTCACAAAAAGAACTATAAATGGCTCATAAATCTATCAAATATATAAAAAGATAAGTGCAGACTGAAGGACTTTTTGTTATTTAACCTATTGGCTTTGAAAAGATTGAAAAGCTTGTATCATATCATGCTGGTAAGTCTATGAGGAAATAGGCACTTTCATACATTGCTATTAGGAATGTAAATTTATACCACCTCTATAGAGGGCAATTTGTCAATATCATTATGATAGGGAGGGAGAAGGGGGGTGGGGGGAGGGAGGGAGAGAGAGACATGGATTGAGATTCATTTTCTTTGATTTTTAGTGGTTCCACCTCTAGGAATTTACCCTACAAAGACAATGCACTTACATTCATGCAAAAAAAAAAAATAATAATGACTGTATAGCCATACAATGGAAAAATATGTGGCTGTTAAGGAAAAAAAGGAAGAAAAATTATTTATGAGCGAATATGGAAAGTTCTTCAAGAACTTACATATTTAAAGGGTTAAGTACAAAAAGCAAGATGCAGAAAAGTAGGTATGGTATGTTTTCATTTGGATAAAATGGGAGAAACAAAATATATGTTTCTATTATATACATACACCTTGCAGTTTGAGTTCAAAAGCAGTCATCTGGCAGAACTTCTTGCTTGTGTGAGGTCAGTGTTTTATATTAAGTCCTTCAACTAACTGGATGGGGGCCCATCCACATTGTGGAGGGTAATCTGCTTTACTCAAAGTCCAACCATTAAATGTTAATCTTCTCCAAAAATCACCCTCATAGAATATCCAAAATAATGTTCAGCCACATATCTGAGCACTGTGGCCCAGCCAACTTAACACAAAACATTAACCATCACAATTGTGTTTTCTTTCTTGGGTTTATAACTTTAAGCAGCAGGGAGGAGCAGGGAGGGACAAGTCCATGCCATCTTGTCTGAATTGTGATCTCTCCCTCTCATTTCTTAAGGGTGGTTTTGCTTGTTCTGAAATTCTAAGTAGATGCTGTTTCCTTTTAGCACTTTAGGATAGTATTCCATGGTCTTCCAGATATTCTACTGGTTTCTAGTCAGATATCAGCTACAATCCATTGTCTGCCTTTTGTTCTCTGGTTGCTTTTAAGGATTCTGCTTTGATTTTCAGTTTTAATATAACGTGACTAGAATTTGTTTTGTGTTATATTTTTGTCCTGATTTGTAGAGAGTTTATAGAGACAGCATCTTCAATCTGTAGATTTCATAAACTTTCATCAGCTTTGGAAAATTCTCAGGTACCTTGTCTTCGAATAATAACTCTTTTTGAATCTGTTTTTCTTCCTGTGGCTCCAATCACACACATTAGTTGGACTTTCTTACTGTATTGTTCAGGTCAGATAGTCTATCTTCTGGTTTTATATCCTTTTGTTTTCTCATACATCATTCTGGATATTTTTCTGACCTAGATAAGAAATTCTTTTTTTATTTATTTTCTCTTCATGTATATTAAATCTGCCATTAAACACATATTTAAGTTTTTTTTGCATTTTTCAACTCTAAATTTTCTTTTTTTATATAATTTCAACTTTTAGATTTAGTGGGTAGATGTGCTGCTTTATTATATGATACATTTTCTGCTTTATTATTTTTTAGTGGTCCTGGTTTTTCTCCCTAAATTCCTAATCTTTTCCTTTATCTCCTTAAATGTAGTAACATATAGTTATTTTTAAATCTGTGTCTGATAACTCAGTATCTGGGGACTCTGTAGGTCTGTTATGTTTTCCATTTCTTCTGTTCCTTTATGTTTATTTCTTCTCATCTACACTTGTACACGGTTATTTTCCTCTAGAGAGGATGTATGTTTGTTTCCGTCAGGTGCTGACGGTACCAGCAAGCTTGCATGCATTAGCAATTTCAGGATTGGGACAATTTGAAGCTAAGCTGCAGTTCCTGCACAGGCCTTCCACATCCAGTTCACTCTTACTTAACAGGTAAGACTTTTTGAGATTTCAACCCAAAGTGAGGGTTTGTCAATAGGATCTCTCCCCTTGCCAGGCCTCTAATTCCTATCTCCCTATCTCCAAGGAACTGTCAAAAGTGCTGTTTCCTCAAAGTGCAGTTGAGGAAAAAACTGGCCTCAAATGCTGTTCTCACATTCTTGGATCATTGTGCCCCATAATGGGCTCTGGCCCAATGACTCTTCAGTATCTTTTTATCTCTACAATGGCTTTAAAGAGACATATTTTTTATTTTTCTCTCATATTTTATTCAGCTTTTATAGATGTCCTCAGTGAAAGGATATCCCAATTGTCTGATCTGCCATTAACAGATATACTCTTCTGCTATATTAATGCGGAGGGGGGGCAGGTGCAGTGGGGAGGGTTATATGATTATGGTCCTTGGATTGTCCAACCCTGTATTCCTAATTCAAAGTATGTAATAGCAAACATACCATATTTATTAGAAGTCACACACTGTTTTAAGCACATTGCATATTTAACTAATGTATTCCTCATAACATTAGGAAGCAGGTACTATTATTAACGTTCTTTTACAAAGAAGAAAATTTAAGCTGTGAGAAAGTAAATAACATGCCCAAGATCATCCAGCTTAACTGCCTCCAAAGACCATGCTCTTAGCCACTGAGGAAAACTGAGCCTAGTTAAAATTATTCAAAGTCATATTAATCAGTCAGCCAGAAATGATGCATAATTGTGTTCTGACAAAAATAGACAAATTAAAATAATATTTAAAATAATTTTAAATGTCATTTGTGGGTTCTAAATCTCTATTTTGATACCCACCTTTGCAAACTATCTTAAGACTGGTGATAAGATTTGTGTCCAGCTGGACATGCAAAGTTGCCCAACGTACAAGCCTAATATATCCTTTGATGAGATGCAAAAGGGAAGGATATTTTGGAGAGGATCAAATCTGCTCTGAGCATCTAAACTGAAACTAGGCCACAGGGAAAAGAATTAACATGCAAAACACCAACCACTTCCACCTTTCATGATCATAAACCCATGGGTCTTCAAATTGCAAAGGATGACTTCAGTGCATCACTCATTATACTACAGCTCACTAAAAAAAAGCTAACAAGAAAAAAGGGAGCATGTTCACATATCAGGTTTAATATTCATAAATCAGATTAAATATTATAAAATGCTAAGGATTAATTTTAACAAAAATACTTCTAGTAAAATGTATTGGATTAAAACATTCATTTCCTATGCTGTCTCTCAAAACTCTAGAAAAAAGATGGGAAAAAAACCCTCAAAAGTCATTTAAAAAAATGCTCAGGGACGAAGAAACGAGAAAAAAAGACAAGAAGAAGAAGAATGTCAACAAAATTTTAAAAGATGGAAGTACGTAGGAAGGAAAACTGACTTGGTATAGTGAAAAAAACTGAAATCTAAGCTTACAGAGTAGAAATGCAACAAGATAATGGCTATTTGTTCGGTAAGAGCTAAAAAGGTTAAAATATCAGGAGTCACCAGGGTCCTCCAAAAATGAAGATAAAGGGTGAAGCAGAAAGGTAACTTCCTCTCAGGAGAGACTGGGCTAGAGAGGCTCTGGATTTAAAGACACTAGGCATAGCTGAGCAGTGTAATGTCACACTAAAAATAGGAAGATTCATTAAAAATCGACATCAAGAACATTGAGGCCTCTGACTCACTGTCCGTACTTGTTTCCCAAGATAGTGGCATTTAGGTTATACCTGAGCAGCAGACTAAAACATTTCTTTGAGGAAAAAACTGATACGTTTAAATGAAAGCCCTGGAGATATTACTAACTGGTAATTTTCACAACTGGGGAGCAGCAAGGAAACAGCTTGCTTTATTCTATGGTGAACCCCAATCTCCCCACTTGTTAAGGTGCCTCCAATCAGCATTTTATTGCTTATTCTTAAATATGAGTAAACAGCCCAAGATTATCAGATATTTGAGGAAAACTCCAACTTGAAAGACAAAGAACAAAACTAACAAACAGGATAACAGAAGAAATGGGTGTAATGCTCAGAGTTGAAGAAAACCTAAAACAATCCTATGATATCTAGGTATGTCAGAAGATACTGATTTTATCCATGAAAAAGAAACAGGATGCTAAATTAAAAAAATAGTTAGTGAACAAGAATAAACTTATGGAAGTTGAAAACATAATGACAATAAATAATTCAATAGAAAGCTTGGAAGATAAAATTGAGGCAACTTCCCCAAAACAAACAAAGAGAAAATAGTAAAAAGAAGAAAGTTAAAAGAGATATAGAAAGAGACAACAGAGAGGATTGAGAAGAATAAATTATTTTTAAAATTATGCAAAAATTCCTCAAACTGAGAAATGCTAATTTCCAGATTAAAAGGACCCACTGAGTCTCCAACACAATGAATGAAATATGACATCAAAATATATCAATCAAAGAAAATTTCAGAACACCTGGGATAAATAATAACAACAAAATGTGCTACCATTTATTGCATTCTATGGGTAAAGAACTGCTTAAATATTTATGTGTATTGATCCATTTAATTGTCACAGACCTAAGGAGCTAGAAAGAATTATTATTTGCAGATGAGTAAATAGAAGCAAAAAAAGACCAAGTAACTTGTTGAAGCTAACACATTTATGAAGTAGGAGATAGTAATATGAAATGAACCAAGCTGTCTGGTTCCAGGGAGGCCTCTTAGCATCAGCATTGTTTTCACTGGAAAGAAATATAAAAACAAAGTTGAATTTTTCTCAATGAAGAAATGGCTGAATAAATTTGAGAATGCCTACTCCTTAGAAAATTATGCAGCTTTTATCATTTTTTATACAACATCAACAAAGTTTAAAATGCAGCTTTAAAACTGAGTTATTCCAAGTGATTTCCAGCAATGGAAAACTAGATTGCGTACATTAGCCCTTCTGCAGATAACAATTATAAACTATGGAAAAATATAAAATAAGTAATTGAAGGCACTAGAGAGAAGCCAAAAGATGACAAATATTTGAGGAATTTGACCCTGGGGGGAGTGGGAAGGGATAGCATTAGGAAATATACCTAATGATAAATGACGAGTTAATGGGTGCAGCACAGCAGCATGGCACATGTATACATATGTAACAAACCTGCACGTTGTGCACATGTACCCTAAAATTTAAAGTATAATAATAATAAAATTAAAAAAATAATAATAATAAAAAGGGGAACCATATGCACTGGGTAAGATCCATATTTATAAGGCTTCTTCAATGAAAACAGTCACCAGTTTGTGTGGCTAGAAGTCATGAAGTATCAGAGAATGAAGTTCAGTGTTGCCAGGGTGGCTGGAAATTGAGGTGGTAGTGGGAACCCAGAAAGAAAGGAGTCCCAGAGAAGAGCTAAAAAATCTACCTACAAATTTCCTTCAAATCCTTGTCTGATCCCAGACCTGTGTGTGTGTGTGGGAGAGATGCCAAGGAGGCCAGTGAACCGTGAAAAATCTGAGCAGAGATTTCAGCTGCTGCCCTTCACAGGAAAGAAGAGTGTGGAGTTGAAGGCCAACAAGTTAGAGGGTCTTAATAAATATCTCAAGCTTTCCTATGAAACCAGAGAAGAACCACATTTTATGAGTACACACTATGTCCCAGGATTAAGATATTCACCATAAGTCTAACGACAAAATCTGAAAGAGCTCCTTTCTAACAAAATGTAAAATGAAGCTCTATACAATGAAGATGATTTAACTGCCTTAAAAAAGAAAACTCAATACACTTTAGGAGAAAGAAAACTACAGAAACCAGAGTCTCTGTACTATATCCTCCACAATGTTCAATATACCATCAACAATTGCTAGACATGTGAGGAAATAGAAAAAAAAAAGTCACCCAAGGTCAAAGAAAAAGGAAACAGACCCTGAGATAACCCAGATGTTGGGATTTGCAGAAAAAAATAAGACAAACAAATAAGACCAACAGGTAATTTATAAGAGCTATTATATAAATGAAATAAAAACATTTCCCCAAAATGACTCTCAAGTTAGAATAAGAAAGGATAACAACTGACTTTATGTTCTTCATATTTAAAACTAAAGAACTCAAAGAATAAAATACACAAAAACATATCAAACTCTCTCCCTCTACATATATATCTATATACATAGATATATAGATATATATAAAATTATTATTTTTTTGAGACAGAGTCTCGCTCTGTTGCCAGGCTGGAGTGCAGTGGTGCGATCTTGGCTCACTGCAACCTCCGCCTCCCAGGTTCAAGTGATTCTCCTGCCTCAGCCTCCCAAGTAGCTGGGACTACAGGCGTGCGCCACCATGCCCAGCTATTTTTTTTTTTTTTTTTGTATTTTTAGTAGAGACGAGGTTTCACCATGTTGGCCAGAATGGTCTCTATCTCTTCACCTCATGATCCACCTACCTCAGCCTCCCAAAGTGCTGGGATTACAGGTGTGAGCCACTGTGTCCAGCCCAAACAATATTTTAAAAGAAGTTGTAGTATTTTTCATCAAAGTCAATTTGCTACAAAAAATACAAATTTATGTATATTGATCCAATTCATTGTCATAGACATAAGGAGCTAGAAACTATTATTTGCTGGTGAGTAAATAGAAGCAAAAAAGATATATATGTACATGTCTATACATACAAATGTATATATATATACACCTCTGTGTATATATATACATTTGTATTTTCAAAAATGTTCATTCAACACCTTCTGAAAGTACCAGGCGCATACTGTTGAAAAATCAGACCTAAGATGGCCGAATAGGAACAGCTCTGGTCTACAGCTCCCAGCATGAGTGACGCAGAAGATGGGTGATTTCTGCATTTCCATCTGAGGTACCGGCTTCATCTCACTAGTGAGTGCCAGACAGTGGGCACAGGGCAGTGGGTGCAGCGCACTGTGCTCGAGCTGAAGCAGGGCGAGGCATTGCCTCACTCGGGAAGCACAAAGGGTCAGGGAGTTCCCTTTCCTAGTCAAAGAAAGGGGTGACAGACAGCACCTGGAAAATCGGGTCACTCCCACCCTAATACTGCGCTTCTCCGACAGGCCTAAAAAACGGCACACCAGGAGATTATATCCCGCATATGGCTCGGAGGGTCCTACGCCCACGGAGTCTCGCTGATTGCTAGCACAGCAGTCTGAGATCAAACTGCAAGGTGGCAGCGAGGCTGGGGGAGGGGCGCCTGCCATTGCCCAGGCTTGCTTAGGTAAACAAAGCAGCCGGGAAGCTCGAACTGGGTGGAGCCCACCACAGCTCAAGGAGGCCTGCCTGCCTCTGTAGGCTCCACCTCTGGGGGCAGGGCACAGACAAACAAAAAGACAGCAGTAACCTCTGCAGACTTATATGTCCCTGTCTGACAGCTTTGAAGAGAGCAGTGGTTCTCCCAGCACGCAGCTGGAGATCTGAGAATGGGCAGACTGCCTCCTCAAGTGGGTCCCTGACCCCTGACCCCCGAGCAGCCTAACTGGGAGGTACCCCCCAGTAGGGGCAGACTGACACCTCACATGGCCGGGTACTCCTCTGAGACAAAACTTCCAGAGGAACGATCAGACAGCAGCATTCACGGTACATGAAAATCCGCTGTTCTGCAGCCACCGCTGCTGTTACCCAGGCAAACAAGGTCTGGAGTGGACCTCTAGCAAACTCCAACAGACCTGCAGCTGAGGGTCCTGTCTGTTAGAAGGAAAACTAACAAACAGAAAGGACATCCACACCAAAAACCCATCTGCACATCACCATCATCAAAGACCAAAAGTAGATAAAACCACAAAGATGGGGAAAAAACAGAGCAGAAAAACTGGAAACTCTAAAAAGCAGAGCGCCTCTCCTCCTCCAAAGGAACGCAGTTCCTCACCAGCAATGGAACAAAGCTGGACGGAGAATGACTTTGACGAGCTGAGAGAAGAAGGCTTCAGACGATCAAATTACTCTGAGCTACGGGAGGACATTCAAACCAAAGGCAAACAAGTTGAAAACTTTGAAAAAAATTTAGAAGAATGTATAACTAGAACAACCAATACAGAGAAGTGCTTAAAGGAGCTGGTGGAGCTGAAAACCAAGGCTCGAGAACTATGTGAAGAATGCAGAAGCCTCTGGAGCTGATGCGATCAACTGGAAGAAAGGGTATCAGTGATGGAAGATCAAATGAATGAAATGAAGCGAGAAGGGAAGTTTAGAGAAAAAAGAATAAAAAGAAACAAGCAAAGCCTCCAAGAAATATGGGACTATGTGAAAAGACCAAATCTATGTCTGATTGGTGTACCTGAAAGCGACGGGGAGAATCAAACCAAGTTGGAAAACACTCTGCAGGATATTATCCAGGAGAACTTCCCCAATCTAGCAAGGCAGGCCAACATTCAGATTCAGGAAATACAGAGAACACCACAAAGATACTCCTCGAGAAGAGCAACTCCAAGACACATAATTGTCAGATTCACCAAAGTTGAAATGAAGGAAAAAATGTTAAGGGCAGCCAGAGAGAAAAGTCGGGTTACCCTCAAAGGGAAACCCATCAGACTAACAGCAGATCTCTCGGCAGAAACTCTACAAGCCAGAAGAGAGTGGGGGCCAATATTCAACATTCTTAAAGAAAAGAATTTTCAAACCAGAATTTCATATCCAGCCAAACTAAGCTTCATAAATGAAGGAGAAATAAAATCCTTTACAGACAAGCAAATGCTGAGAGATTTTGTCACCACCAGGCCTGCCCTAAAAGAGCTCCTGAAGGAAGCACTAAACATGGAAAGGAACAACCGGTACCAACCACTGCAAAATCATGCCAAAATGTAAAGACCATCGAGGCTAGGAAGAAACTGCATGAACGAATGAGCAAAATAACCAGCTAACATCATAATGACAGGATCAAATTCACACATAACAGTATTAACTTTAAATGTAAATGGGCTAAATGCTCCAATTAAAAGACACAGACTGGCAAATTGGATAAAGAGTCAAGACCCAACAGTGTGCTGTATTCAGGAAACCCATCTCACGTGGACAGACACACATAGGTTCAAAATAAAACGATGGAAGAAGATCTACCAAGCAAATGGAAAACAAAAAAAGGCAGGGGTTGCAATGCTAGTCTCTGATAAAACAGACTTTAAACCAACAAAGATCAAAAGAGACAAAAAAGGCCATTATGTAATGGTAAAGGGATCAATTCAACAAGAAGAGCTAACTATCCTAAATATATATGCACCCAATACAGGAGCACCCAGATTCATAAAGCAAGTCCTGAGTGACCTACAAAGAGACTTAGACTCCCACACAATAATAATGGGAGACATTAACACCCCACTGTCAACATTAGACAGATCAACAAGACAGAAAGTCAACAAGGATACCCAGGAATTGAACTCAGCTCTGCACCAAGTGCACCTAATAGACATCTACAGAACTCTCCACCCCAAATCAACAGAATATACATTTTTTTCAGCACCACACCACACCTATTCCAAAATTGACCACATAGTTGGAAGTAAAGCTCTCCTCAGCAAATGTAAAAGAACAGAAATTATAACAAACTGTCTCTCAGACCACAGTGCAATCAAACTAGAACTCAGGATTAAGAAACTCACTCAAAACTGCTCAACTACATGGAAACTGAACAACCTGCTCCTGAATGACTACTGGGTACATAACAAAATGAAGGCAGAAATAAAGATGTTCTTTGAAACCAACGAGAACAAAGACACAACATACCAGAATCTCTGGGACGCATTCAAAGCAGGATGTAGAGGGAAATTTATAGCACTAAATGCCCACAAGAGAAAGCAGGAAAGATCCAAAATTGACACCCTAACATCACAATTAAAAGAACTAGAAAAGCAAGAGCAAACACATTCAAAAGCTAGCAGAAGGCAAGAAATAACTAAAATCAGAGCAGAACTGAAGGAAATAGAGACACAAAAAACCCTTCAAAAAATTAAGGAATCCAGGAGCTGCTTTTTTGAAAGGATCAACAAAATTGATAGACCACTAGCAAGACTAAGAAAGAAGAAAAGAGAGAAGAATCAAATAGATGCAATAAAAAATGATAAAGGCCTATCACCACTGATCCCACAGAAATACAAACTACCATCAGAGAATACTACAAACACCTTTACACAAATAAATTAGAAAATCTAGAAGAAATGGATAAATTCCTGGACACATACACCCTCCCAAGACTAAACCAGGAAGAAGTTGAATCTCTGAATAGACCAATAACAGTATCCGAAATTGTGGCAATAATCAATAGCTTACCAACCAAAAAGAGTCCAGGACCAGATGGATTCACAGCCGAATTCTACCTGAGGTGCAAGGAGGAACTGGTACCATTCCTTCTGAAACTATTCCAATCAATAGAAAAAGAGGGAATCTTCCCTTACTCATTTTATGAGGCCAGCATCATCCTGATACCAAAGCCGGGCAGAGACACAACCAAAAAAGAGAATTTTAGACCAATATCCTTAATGAACATTGATGCAAAAATCCTCAATAAAATACTGGTAAACCGAATCCAGCAGCACATCAAAAAGCTTATCCACCATGATAAAGTGGGCTTCATCCCTGGGATGCAAGGCTGGTTCAATATATGCAAATCAATAAATGTAATCCAGCATATAAACAGAACCAAAGACAAAAACCGCATGATTATCTCAAAAGATGCAGAAAAGGCCTTTGACACAATTCAACAACCCTTCATACTAAAAACTCTCAATAAATTAGGTATTGATGGGACGTATCTCAAAATAATAAGAGTTATCTATGACAAACCCACAGCCAATATCATACTGAATGGGCAAAAACTGGAAGCATTCCCTTTGAAAACTGGCAGAAGACAGGGATGCCCTCTCTCACCACTCCTATTCAACATAGTGTTGGAAGTTCTGGCCCAGGCAATTAGGCAGGAGAAGGAAATAAAGGGTATTCAATTAGGAAAAGAGGAAGTCAAATTGTCCCTGTTTGCAGATGACATGATTGTATATCTAGAAAACCCCATTGTCTCAGCCCAAAATCTCCTTAAGCTGATAAGCAACTTCAGCAATGTCTTCAGGATACAAAATCAATGTACAAAAATCACAAGCATTCTTATACGCCAACAACAGACAAACAGAGAGCCAAATCATGAGTGAACTCCCATTCACAATTGCTTCAAAGAGAATAAAATACCTAGGAATCCAACTTACAAGGGATGTGAAGGACCTCTTCAAGGAGAACTACAAACCACTGCTCAAGGAAATAAAAGAGGATACAAACAAATGGAAGAACATTCCATGCTCATGGGTAGGAAGAATCAATATCATGAAAATGGCCATACTGCCCAAGGTAATTTACAGATTCAATGCCATTCCCATCAAGCTACCAATGCCTTTCTTCACAGAATTAGAAAAAACTACTTTAAAGTTCATATGGAACCAAAAAAGGGCCCACATCACCAAGTCAATCCTAAGCCAAAAGAACAAAGCTGGAGGCATCACACTACCTGACTTCAAACTATACTACAAGGCTACAGTAACCAAAACAGCATGGTACTGGTACCAAAACAGAGATATAGATCAATGGAACAGAACAGAGCCCTCAGAAATAACGCCACATATCTACAACTATCTGATCTTTGACAAACCTGAGAAAAATAAGCAATGGGGAAAAGATTCCCTATTTAATAAATGGTGCTGGGAAAACTGGCTAGCCATATGTAGAAAGCTGAAACTGGATCCCTTCCTTACACCTTATACCAAAATCAATTCAAGATGGATTAAAGACTTAAACGTTAGACCTAAAACCATAAAAATCCTAGAAGAAAACCTAGGCATTACCATTCAGGACACAGGCATGGGCAAGGACTTCATGTCTAAAACACCAAAAGCAATGGCAACAAAAGCCAAAATTGACAAATGGGATCTCATTAAACTAAGGAGCTTCTGCACAGCAAAAGAAACTACCATCAGAGTGAACAGGCAACCTACAAAATGGGAGAAAATTTTCACAACCTACTCATCTGACAAAGGGCTAATATCCAGAATCTACAATGAACACAAACAAATGTACAAGAAAAAAACAAACAACCCCATCAAAAAGTGGGCAAAAGACATGAACAGACACTTCTCAAAAGAAGATATTTATGCAGCCAAAAAACATATGAAAAAATGCTCACCATCACTGGCCATCAGAGAAATGCAAATCAAAACCACAATGAGATATCATCTCACACCAGTTAGGATGGCAATCATTAAAAAGTCAGGAAACAACAGGTGCTGGAGAGGATATGGAGAAATAGGAACACTTTTACACTGTTGGGGGGACTGTAAACTAGTTCAACCATTGTGGAAGTCAGTGTGGCGATTCCTCAGGGATCTAGAACTAGAAATGCCATTTGACCCAGCCATCCCATTACTGGGTATATACCCAAAGGACTATAAATCATGCTGCTATAAAGACACATACAGACGTATATTTATTGCAGCACTATTCACAATAGCAAAGACTTGGAACCAAGCCAAATGTCCAACAATGATAGACTGGATTAAGAAAATGTGGCACATATACACCATGGAATACTATGCAGCCATAAAAAATGATGAGTTCATGTCCTTTGTAGGGACATGGATGAAATTGGAAATCATCATTCTCAGTAAACTATCGCAAGGACAAAAAACCAAACACCGCATGTTCTCATTCATAGGTGGGAATTGAACAATGAGAACACATGGACACAGGAAGGGGAACATCACACTCTGGGGACTGTTGTGGGATGGGGGGAGGGGGGAGGGATAGCATTAGGAGATATAACTAATGCTAAATGACGAGTTAATGGGTGCAGCATACCAACATGGCACATGTATACATATGTAACTAACCTGCACATTGTGCACATGTACCCTAAAACTTAAAGTATAATAATAATAATAATAAAGAAATATTTACATTTTTTCCATTTGACATAAATACAGTAAGAGACAATGATCTTTAAAAAAAAGAAAGAAAGAAAAATCAGACCGAAAGCGTATAGAGACTGTTGGAATTATTAAGACAATAATAGTCTTTACATTTCTCTATGTAAGTATTCATTAACTTTATAATCAGAAGCACTATTTATGCTATTCACATTAGGAGAAAAAAGCAAATGAAAAATAATATGATTTCTAAAAATAAAGCTGGAAGATTAGAAAAAATTCATCAGTTGTCTCTATTTCATAAATGAAACTCCAGGCCCAACTATGCAGAGATACAAAAATATCTTAAATAATAGCTTCAAGCATCTATGGTGTGTGACAGCTGCAGTCACCTTTTCAAGATATACAACTGTACTGGGTTCAGTTTTTTCTATATATTTTATATATATTATAGCATACACATATAATGCTTGGTACTCAGTAAGCACTGTTTATTATTATTCTCTTCATGCTAATAACACTTGAAATTGTTTTTAAAAATTAAAAAATAATTCTAGATAATTCAGACATAATTTCTACACATCATCACAACCTCTGAAAACACTATCTCCATTAGACAACTATACAGGTCTCAGTGATGTTAATGATGATGATAATCATTAATAATAATGATAGTAGCTATCATTTTTTGTGGAATGTGTTATTTTGGCAGGCTCTGCTCTAAAGTCTCTCAAGAACCCTTTTATAGTTACTATATTTTCTCTTCTTTAATTGAGAGAAATTGAGTCGAAAGACAGTTAAATTAAGTTGACCACTGTCACTGGGCAAGTAAACGGCTACAAGTTGAAGACGTTTGGCTCCTGAATTTATGTTCCTAACCTGTTTGCCATCCCACTCTGCTGTTCAAAGATTGATTATAAGAAGAACTCATGCTGACTAAAGATTTTCCTCCATGCATAATAAAAACTATTTTTAAAGGATAGCCCTAAAGTCCATGCAGTTTTCAAAGTTGAACTCAAATCACAAGCCTACATTTATTTAAATTTTAAGTGACTGGCATTCCAAATTGCAAACAGTTCTATACACTTGAAGCCCTTGGCTAAACCAAAAGATCTAACTTAATTGGGCCATATTCAAGCACTGTGTTCTATAATGTTCCTATTTGGGGGTTTTCTAAATACAATCTGCCTCTCCCAAAGGTATCTGCTTCTCAAATTAGAATAACCCTCACTGCCTTCTAGCATAGGATGCAGCTACAGAGAAATGAAAGGTCCCAGAGGCGTGTGTCATTGAATCACAGTAAATCTCCTGTTGGTCTGACAGCCCACCTACATGGGAAAATGGACTGGACAGAATAATATCCTCAGCTAGTATATACACTTCATCTTTTCTTTGGCAGGAATTAAGATCAGAAAACCTGAAGACATGACATCATTCATTCCATACTGAACTACTCATCAGTCACTACGTCATGAACTATAGTATAAGTTGGTGTAAGTAACTGCTGAGACCCAAAGAAAGCCCTGTGATCACATTTCCCTTTGCACAAGGAATAATGAAACATCTGCTGAAATTAAGCTCAAAATAATGCCTGGTTGTATTTAATGTTTTCATTGGAAAAACACAAGTTAACTACAGAGAAAGGGCGTGAAAACAGTTATTTTTTAATCTAGAAATTTAAATCTGATTTTGCATCCAAGTTTATATTTTGATTTCCTTTGACTTCCTTCATTTACAGGATATGGGAAAAAACATGAATGCTAAGTGAAAATGCCCTTTTAGAGAAATATTTCCTAAAACAGACAGAAAAGTAAAACCCAAAAAAAAAGAAAAAAGACTTTATTAACCTTAAGGCAGTTCTATAGCCAGAAGAAAATATCAGTAAGTAAACTCAGGCTTAGCTCTAGCTAAACGAAAATATTAATCTATTTGTATCATTTGAGAATTCTCTCCCATGACACCTGTCAGTTTGGAAGAATGGAACAAATTGGAAGAATGGAACAAATTGGAACAATGGTGCTTGCTACAACCTAATCCAGTCCTTCCTGGCACTCACATACCTGCACATTATTCAGTCTGTGTCAGGTCTCTCCTTCTTCCCTCTTTCAGGGCAGGGTAAGGATGTCTAGAAGTACCGTCATTAGCTAAAGAGATTTCCCAGGAATGAGAAAAGACCAAACTTCCTGGCTTGCAGTATTAGGCCCTTCCTGTCTGAATGACCCCTGCTATGCCCCTGCCCCTGCCCTTGCCCTTGCCCTGGATGTGACTGCATTCCAGTCATGGCAACCCCCCTGCAGTTCCCTCCAAATACTGTGTGCTTCAGGCCTCTCTCCTTGGCATTTCACCTAGGCAACTCCCCAGAGCCAGGATATGCATTATACACTAAAAAACTTCCCTGACCAAGTTAGGTGCCCCCTTTCCTGCTTCCCACCCCTCCACCTTGACATATCTCATGCCGTTGGCATGCAACTGTTTGCTAATGGCAGATCTCTGTGAGATGAGGAGCCACACATTGTTAGTCTTTGCTTCCCTCCATGCCAAGAAGATACTGAATACATGTATTCTGAGGGAGATGAGGAGTTTGGGGGAGGGGATAGTACCTTGGTTTATCGGAGACGGCAGTAAGTGCTATGGATAATGTCATGTAAAACTATGAAAGATGGAATCATAGTCCCATGTTACAGATGGTAAAACAGATTCTCAGCTTGATTAAACTACTTGCCAGATGTAATGGCAATGGAAGTCAAAGAAGGGGACTTCAATCCAGGTTGAGTTTGAACTCTAGGCTCTCTACTCCCTTATCTTGAGAGAAGTACGCAAAGGCTTTAAATAAATTATTATAAATACTATCAAAGAACTAAAAGAAACCATGTCTCAAGACTTAAGTGAAAGTATAAGAATGATGTATCACCAGAGAATATCAATAGAGAGATAGAAATTATGAAAAAAAACAAATTAAAATTCTGGAGTTGAAAAGTGCAACAACTAATTTTAAAAAAATCACTAGAAGGGCTCAACAGTATATCTGCACTGGCAGAAATAATCAGGTAACTTGAAGATAAATCAATTCAGATTAGTCTGAACAATTAAAAAAAGGAATGTGAAAAGAATGAAGAGAGTCTCAGAAACTTGTGGAAGGTCATCAAGCACACCGAAATATTTCTAATGGAAGACTCAGAAAAACAGAAGTGATCTTAAAAAGGGATGTAAGATAATCTGAATAAATAATGTGGAGAATTTCTCAAATTTGATGAAAAGTATTAATCGCACATCCAGAAATCTTGAAGAACTCCAGGTAGGATAAACTCAAAAAGATCCATGCCTAGGCACATCACAGTCAAACTGTCAAAAACCAAAGAAAAGACAGAATATTTTCAATTCTGTCTTTTCAAGAAGAAAAAAAGTAACACATCACATACAAGTGATCCTCAATAAAGTTAACAGCTGACCTCTTACGAGAAATTGTGGAGGACAGAAGGTAGTGAGTTGACATATTCAAAGAAAATGAAAGAAAAAGACTATCAACCCATAATTTTATATCCAAAAAGACTTACACTTCAGTGTGAGAGCTCCGTAAAGGAGGTGTTTGGGGTGTGAGCTTTGGATTCATTGGTTTGCACTTGAAAGGCATACTCCCTGGACCAGTTGTTTACTATCTCTAGGAACGGGCAAATTCTTGAAGGAGCAGACCCTTTAGGGTCAGCAAGTCTCCAGATGTCAAAGGATCAGAATACAGGAAATAAAAGATATGGTTAATATACTCTATTTTGGCATTTTAAACTCCCAGATAAAGCATATTACCTAGCATATAATTGGTGCTCAATAAATGTCAAGGGTTTGGAGAGGTACCCAGGGCAGAACTCCCAAGCAGAACACAAAGAACTCTGAATCTCAGGAACTCAGTCCCTTATCCAACAGAGCCAAGAAAAGCACTTAATTGGTGTTGCAGGAGAAAAGAAAAACCCAGTGAAATCCACACAAATTGCCTCTGAGGATGGCCTCACAATTTATCTTTTAGGGACCTCAATACCCCCAAAAAAGTCAAATGGATACAACCTTGTAAAGAACATACAATATCCAAGAAGGCTCCTAGCACAAGAACTACCACAATTGTAAATTTCTTGCCTGTAGATTTGGCCCAGTTCTCAGAGAAGCAGGACAGAGCCATTGCTTTCTACCTCCCATGCTTAGGTACCATCCTCTGTGATGGACCTCAGCCCACTAGGGAGCAGGGCCCAAAAGTATATGGTACTTCATGGTTCTAGGGTCCCTCCTTATCTTGGAGTGTTCCCCTGAACTACACATTACTATGTGGGTGTGCACACACATGCAAATATACAAAAAGACAGTGAGAGAGAAGGATTCCCCTCATTTTTATGACTGAATATTTTATTATATTATTGTATTTGATATCAATCTCACCTTTTCTTCATCCATTCATCTGCTGATGGATACTTAGGTTGCTTCCATGTCCTGGCTATTGTGAATAATGCTGCAATGAACATGGAGGTGCAGATATGTCTTTGAAATAATGATGTTGTTTCTTTTGGATATATACCCAGTAGTAGGATTACTGGATCATATGGCAGTCCTATGTTTAATTTTTTAAGGAGCTGCCAAACTGTTTTCCATAATGGCCGTACCAATTTACATTTCCAATAACAGTGCACATGGATTCCCTTTTCTCCACATCCTGACAAACACTTGTTATCTCTTGTTTCTTGATAATGGCCATCCTAATAGGGGTGACAAGATATCTCAACGTGGTTTTCTTTGCATTTCTGTGATGTGTGATGTTGAGCACTTTTTCATATACCTGTAGGCCATTTGTATGTCTATTCATCATTTGCCTATTTTTTAAATGGGATTTGTGAGCTTTTTGCTATTGCATTATATAAGTTCCTTATATTTTTGGATATTAAAATCTTATTAGATACGTATGTAGTTTGCAAATATTTTCTCCTATTCTGTAGAATGTGTTTTCACTTTGTTCAGTGTTTCTTTTGCTATGCAGAAGCTTTTTAGTTTAATGTAGTACAACATGTTTATTTTTTTGTTGCTTGTGCTTTTGTGAAAAAAATCATTGCTAAAGCCAACATAAAGGAGCTTTTTCCTAATGTTTTCTCCTGGGAGTTTTATGGTTTCAAGTCTTACATTTAAACCTTTAATCCACCTTGAGTTAATTTTTCCAAGTAGTGTAAGAGAGGAGCCCTATTTTATTTTTTGGCAGGCGGATATCCAGTTTTCTCAACACCACTTACTGAAGAAACTATCCTTTGCCCACTGTGAATGCTTGGTTTCACTATTAGGTATTAGTTATCTATATATGCATGGGTTTATCTCTGGGCTCTCAGTTCTGTTCCACTGGTCTATGAACTGGTTTTTATGTCAGTACTATACTGTTGGATTACTACAGCTTTGTAATATTGTTTGAAATCAGGAAGTATGATGCCTCTAACTTTGTTCTTTTTGTTCAAAATTGCCTTGGCTACTTGGAGGTTTTTGTGGCTCTATATAAATGTTTAAAAGTTTTTCTCTATTTCTATAAAAATGCCATTAGAATTTTGATAGGGGTTGCACTGGATCTAGAGAATGCTTTGGGTAGTATACATATTTTTACAACATTAATTCTTCCAATCCAAGAACATAGGAAGTCTTTCTATGTGTTTGTTTTCAGTTTCTTTCATCCATGTCTTTTAATTTTCAATGTACAGATCTTTTACCACCATGGGCAAATTTATTTCTAGGATTTTGTACTCAGGAGGCTGAGGCAGGAGAATCACTTGAACCCGGGAGGTGGAGGTTGCGGTGAGCTGAGATCACACCATTACACCCCAGCCTCGGCAACAAGAGCGAAACTCCGTCTCAAAAAAAAATTTTTTATTATTTTTGATGTGATTGTAAATGGCCTTGTATTCTTTTTCAGGTAGTTTTGTTATGATATAGAAATGTAACTGATTTTTGTATGTCAACTTTGTATCCTGCAGGTTTGCTGAATTCACTTATTTTTTTAACTTTTATTTTAGGTTCAGGGGTATATATGTAGGTTTGTTATACAGGTAAATTATGTGTCATGGGCGTTTGGTGTATAGATTATTTCACCACCCAGGTAATCAGCACAGTACTTGATAGCTAGATTTTTTTTTTAAATCCTTAACCTCAATTCCACCCTCCCTACCCTCAAGTAGGCCCCAGTGTCTGTTATTCCCATCTTTGTGTCCATATGTACTCAATGTGTAGCTCCCACTGATAAGTGGGAACATGTGGTGTTTGGTTTTTTATTAATGTGTTAGTTTGCTTAGGATAGTGGCCTCTAACTACACTGATGTTGCTACAAAGGACGTAATCTCATTCTTTTTTATGCCTGCATAGTATTCCATGGTGTATATTTACCACATTTTCTTTATCTGGTCTACTACCATTGATGGGCATTTAGGTTGAGTCCATGACTTTGCTATTATGGACAGTACCGCAATGAACATATGCCTGTACGTGTCTTTATAGTAGAGTGATTTATATTCCATTGGGTATATACCCAATAATGGGATTGCTGAGTCAAATGGTATTTCTAAGTTCTCTGATAAATCACCACACTGCTTTCCAGTAAACAGATGAATTTATTTACATTCCCACCATCAGAGTATAAGTGTTCCCCTTGCTCTGCAACCTGACCAGCATTTATTATTTTTTGACATTTTTAATAGCCATTCTGACTGGTGTGAGATGGTATCTCATTGCAGTTTTGATGTGCATTTCTCTAATGATCAGTCATGCAGAGCATTTTTTCATATGCTTGTTGACCATGGGTATGCCTTGTTTTGAAAAGTGTCTGTTAATATCCTTCGCCTACCTTTTATGGGATTGTTTATTTTTTGCTTGTTAATTTGTTTAAGTTCCTTATAGATGCTGGATTTTAGACCATTACCAGATGCATAGTTTGAAAATTTTTTTTCCATTCTGTGGGTTGTCTGTTTACTCTGTTTACTCTGTTACTCTGTTTACTCTGTTAATAGTTTCTGTTGGGCAGAAGCTCTTTAGTATAATTAGGTCCCATTTGTCAATTTTTGTTTCTGTTGCAAGTGCTTTTAGTATCTTTGTCATAAAATCTTTGCCAGGTTATACATGTGGAATGGTATTTCCTAGGTTATCGTCTAAGGTTTTTATAGTTTTCAGTTTTACATTTAAGTCTGTAATCCACCTTGAGCTGATTTTTGCATATAGTGTAAGGAAGGGGTCCACCTTCAATATTCTGCATATTGCTAGCCAGTTATCCCAACACTATTTATTGAATAGGGAGTTCTTTCTCCATGGCTTGCTTTTGTTAATTTTGTCAAAGATCAGATGGTTGTAAATGTGTGACATTATTTCTGGGCCCTTTATTCTATTCCATTGGTCTATGTATCTGTTTTTGTACCAGCACTGTACTGTTTTGGTTACTGTATCTTTGGAGTATAGTTTGAAATTGGGTAATATGATGTCTCTGGGTTTGTTCTTTTTGCTTAGGATTGCCTTGGCTATTTAGGCTTTTTTTCGTTTGTTCCATATGAATTTTAAAATAGCTTTTTCTAATTCTGTGAAGAATGTCATTGGTAGTTTGATAGGAATAGCATTAAATCTGTAAATTGCTTTGGGCAGTATGGCCACTTTAACTGTTTTGATTCTTCCTATCCATAAGCATGGAATGTTTTTCATTTGTTTGTGTCATGACAGATTTCTTTTAGCAGTGTTTTTAAATTCTCATTGTAGAGATCTTTCACTTCCCTGGTTAGCTGTAGTCCTAGGTATTTTATTCTTTTTGTGGCTATTGTTAATGGAACTGGATTACTGATTTGTCTCTCAGCTTGGATGTTGTTGGTGTATAGGAATGCTAGTGACTTTTGTACACTTATTTTTGTATCCTGAAACTTTATTGTAAAGTTATTAATCAGATTAAGGAGCTTTTGGGCAGAGACTATTGGGTTTTCTAAGTATAGAATCATATTGTCTGCAAACAGGGGTAGTTTGACTTCCTCTCTTCCTATTTGATGTATTTTTTTTCCTCTTGTCCAATTTCTCTGACTAGGACTTCCAACAGTATGTTGAATAGGAGTGATGAGAAAGGGCATCCTTGTTTTGTACTGGTTTTCAAAGGGGAATGCTTCCAGGCTTTGCCCATTAAGTATGATATTGGCTGTGTGTTTGTCACAGATGGCTCTTACTATTTTGAAGTATGTTCCCTCAATGCCTAGTTTATTGAGATTTTTTAGCATGAAGGGATGTTGAATTTTATTGAAAGCATTTTCTGCATATATTGAGATCATCATATGATTTTTGTTTTTAGTTCTGTTTATGTGATAAATCACATTTATTAATTTGTATATGTTGAGACAACCTTGCGTCCCAGAGATACAGCCTATGTGATAATCATGGATTAGCTTTTTGATGTGCTGCTGGATTTGGTTTGCTAGTATTTTTTTGAGGGTTTTTGCATCTATGATCATCAAGAACGTTGGCCTACAGTTTGTTGTTGTTGTTGTTGTGTCCCTGCTGGGTTTTGGTGTCAAGATGATACTGGCCTTATAGAATGAGTTAAGGAGGGGGTCTTGCCTCAATTTTTTGGAATAGTACCAGTTGTTCGTTTTACATCAGGTCGAATTCATCTGTGAATCCATCTGGTCCTGAGCTTTTTCTGGATGGTAAGCTTTATATTACTGATTCAATTTAAGAACTCATATTGATCTGTTCAGGGATTCAATTTCTTCCTGGTTCAATCTTGGGAGGTTGTACATTTGCAGAAATTTATCCATTTCTTCTAGATTTTCTAAATAGTATACATAGAAGTAAGTGTTCATAGTAGCCTCTGAGAGGTTTTGTTTTTGTTTTTTGTATTTCTGTGGTGTTGGTGGTAATGTCCCCTTTGTCATTTCTTATTGTGTTTATTTGGATCCTCTCTTTTTTTCTTTATCAGTCTAGGTGGTGGCCTGTTTTATTAATTCTTTCAAAGAACTACTCCTGGATCTGTTGATCTTTTGCATAGTTTTTCATATCTCAAATTCCTTTAGTTCAGCTCTCATTTTGTTAACGTCTTGTCTTCTACTAGCTTTGGAGTTGGTTTTCTTGTTTCTCTTGTTTCTCTAGGTATGGTAAGCTTGTTAATTTGAGATACTTCTAGCTTTTTGATGTGAGTGTTTAGTGCCATAAACTTCCCTCTTAACACAGCTTTAGCTGTGTCCCTATGATTGTAGTATGTTGTAACTTTTTTCTCATTTGTTTCAAAGAATTTCTTGATTTCTGCATTAATTTCATTATTTACCCAAAAGTCATTCATTCAAGGGGAGGGTTAATTTTCATGTAATTAATGTAGTTAGCATGGTTTTGAGCAATATTCTTGGCATTGACTTCTATTTTTTATTGCACTGTGGTCCAAGAATATGATTGGTATAATTTTGGTTGTTTTCTTTTAAGGCACTGAAGATTGTTTTATGCCCAATTGTGTGGTTGATTTTAGAGTACATACCATGTGCAGGTGAAAAGAATGGATGGATATTCTGTTGTTTTGGAGTGGAGAGTTCTGTAGAAGTCTATCAGGTCCATTTGGTCAAGTGTCAAGTTCAAGTCCCAAATATCTTTATTAGTTTTCTGCCTTGATGACCTAACACAGTCAGTGGGGTGTTGAAGTCTCCCAGTACTATTGTATGATTAAGTCTCTTTGTAGGTCTCTAAGAACTTGCTTTATGAATCTGGGTGCTCCTGTGTTGGATGTGTATATATTTAGGATAGTTAGGTCTTCTTGTTGAATGGAGCCCTTTATCATTACAAAATGCCTTCTTTGACTTTTTTGTCTTTAGTGGCTTATAGTATTTTTTGTCTGAAATTAGAATAGCAATCCCTGCTTTTTGCATATTTGATTATGTCATCCTGTTGTTAGCTGGTTAGTATGCACACTTGTTTGTATGGTTGCTTATAGTGTGACTGGTCTATGCATTTAAGCATGTTTTCGTAGTGGCTGGTAACAGTCTTTCCTTTCCATATTTAGCACTCCCTTCAGGACCTCTTATAATCCAGGGCTGATGGTAATAAATTCTCTTAACATTTTCTTGTCTAAAAAGGATCTTATTTCTCCTTTGCTTATGAAGCTAAGTTTAGCTGGAAATGAAATTCTTGTTTGGAATTTCTTTTAAGAATGCTAAATATATGCTTCCAATCTCTTCTGGCTTAAGAGTTTCTGCTGAAATGTCCACTGTTAGCCTGATGGGGTTCCCTTTGTAGGTGACCCACCCCTTCTCTCTCTCTGGCTTTAATATTTTTTCTTTCATTCCAACCTTGGAGAATCTGATAACTACATGTCTTGGGGATGGCCTTCTTGTGTGGTATTTCACAATGATTCTCTGCATTTCATTAATTTGAATGTTGGCCTCTCTGGCAAGGTTAAGGAACTTTTCATGGATGATGTCCTGAAATATGTTTTCCAAGTTGCTTGCTTTCTCTCTCTTTTTCAGGGACATCAATGAGTTGTAGATTTGATCTCTTTACATAATTCCATATTTCTTGAAGGTTTTGTTCATTTTTCTTTATTGTTTTTTCCTTTACTTTTCTCTGAATTATTTCAGAGAGCTAGTCCTTGAGCTCTGAGATTCTTTCTTCAGCTTGGTTGATTCTGCTCTTAATACTTTTGATTGTATTCTGAAATTCTTAAAGTGGGTTTTTCAGCTCTATCAGATCAGTTTGGTTTTTTCTTAAAATGGCCATTTCATATTTCATCTCCTGTATCATTTTATTGAATTCAATAGCATCCTTGGATTGGGTTTCAACTTTCTCCTGAATCTTGATATCTTCATTTCTATCCATGTTCTGAATTCTATTTCTGTCATTTCAGCCATTTCAGTCTGGTTAAGAACCACTGTTGCAGAACTAGTGTGGTTGTTGCGAGGTAAGAAAACACTCTGGTTTTTTGATTTGCCAGAGTTCTTTTGCTGGTTCTTTCACATCTTTGTGGGCTGATGGTCCTTTAATCTTTGAATTTGCTGTCCTTTAGATGGGTTTTTATTTCTTTTATCCTCTTTGATGTCCTTGGGGGTTTGATTATGGTATAAGGTAAGCCTGGTTGACTAGCTTCATTTCTGGAAGATTTAGGGGACCAAGGGTCAGCTGAGGACTCGTGAGCTGCATGCTCTAACTCTGGGGGGCTAGCATCAAGCCATGGCTTTGCTCCCTAGCCTGTTGAGGTTAGGAACCTGCTGCACTGAAGACGCCAACATGTTCCTGGACCACTGGTCACAACACCCTTATGGGTGGTGCCAGCCAAAGCGCTCCACTAGTGGGTTGCAGTGGGACCTGTGCTCATTCACATGTGCCAGCAGCAGCAGTGCAGCAGAACGCATGCTTGTTGGCTGAGACAGGGCATTGGCAGAAGCAGGGGTGCTAGCATCTGTGTGCATGTTCACTCCAGTGGCAGAATCAGTGCAGGAATGGGGTGCTGGCAGGTATGGGGCTGGTGCCTTCTGTGCACATGTTCACACTAGTGGGGTATACATGCCTACACATGCCAATGGGAAAGGAAGGCAAGGTCAACCCATGTGTGCATACACTAGTGAATTGATGTGGGGAGTGGCCGTGGGCAAGTGTATACTAGCAATGCAGCATGGAGGAGGCTGTAGTTGGGGCAGGGAGTAGGTGGGCTAGTGCAATTCAGAAAGGGCCACTTTGCTGGAGCTCTTCAATGGTCAGGCATGGTCTTCTAGCACAGGAGCTACAGTGTGGGCTTCTGGGAGACACCCTAGCTGGGCATCTAAGGATGTACCACAAGAAGGTGCAGCCAGGCTGGGCCCCCGTGAGAGGCCAGAAGACAGGGAGGTCCTCAGGTTGAACTAGCCCCATCTCATGAACAAGATCACCCTGATCTGTTCAGGTCTGACAGTTCCCCAAAGGCTAAAGTCTCCTAAGGGAGCAAGACAAGCCTTGGGCAATGGGCATTCATGATCATGCTCCACTAGAGATGCTGCCATATCAAACCCTCTGGGCTCTGTACAAGCTGGAGTTATCCTCCTACCACCTCTCTAAGCAGCTCTCCCTGCAAGCTCAAGTGTTCATGGGGGTTTTGGGGTCTTCTGCTGCCAGGATTCCAGAGGTCTGTGGCAAGAGCAGGTTGCTCCTCACCTGCTCAACTCACACCTTCCCCAGGAGTCATTCAGGACCAGGAATGAGTTCCAGTGTATAGTTGAATTTATTTATTAGTTCTAACAGTTTTGTGTATGTGTGTGTGGAGTCTTTAGAGTTTTCTATACATAAGATCATGTCATCTGCAAACAGAAATAATTATACTTCTTTTTGCATTTGTATGCCTTGTATTTCCTTTTCTTGCCTACATATAGAACTTTTAGTACTATGTTGAATAGAAGCAGTGAGAGTGGGCACCCTTGTCTTGTTTCTGAGCTTAGAGAAAAAGCTTTCGGCTTTTCACTGCTGAGTATGATGTTAGCTGTGGGCTTGTTATATATGGCTTCTATTATTTTGGGGTACATTTTCTTCTATAAACAATTTGTTGAGTTTTCTAATCTCAGAAGGATGTTGAATTTTGTCAAATGCTTTTTCTGCATTTTATAATCTTATGATTCTTCATTCTGTTAATGTGTTTGCATAACCTTTACTGATTTGTATATGTTGAACCATCCTTGCATATCAGGGATAAGATCCCTTGACATGCTTAACCATAGTGTATGATACTTCTAATTGCTGTTAAGTTGGCTAATATTTTGTTAAGAATTTTTACATCTATGTTCATCAGAGTTATTCTTCTGCGATTTTCTTGTCATGTCCCCATCTTGCTCTAGTATCCATGTAATGTTAGCCTCATAAAATGAATTTGAAAGTGCTCCCTCATCTTCAGTTTTTCAGAAGAGTTTGAGAAGGACTGGCAACAGTTCTTTAAATGCTTGGCAGAATTCACCTTTAAAGTCATCTAGTCTGGGGCTTTTCTTTGTTGGCAGGTTTTTGATTACTAAATCAATCTCCTTATTCATTATTGGTCTGTTCAGATTTTGTCATTTTTCATAATTCAGTCATGGCCGGTTGTATGTTCCTAAGAATTTACTCGTTCTTCTAGGGTATCCAATTTGTTGGTTTATAATTGTTTACAGTGCTTTCTTATGATCCTTTGTAATTCCACTGTATCAGTTGTATCCTGTTTCATTTAGAGTTTTATTTACTCAAGTCCTCTCCATCTTTCGTTAGTCTAGCCAAGGGTTTGTCTATTTTTTTTTTTTTTTCAAAAAACCAACTCAGTTTCATTGGTCTTTTCTATTGTTTTTCTAGTCTTTATTTTCTATATTTCTGCTTTAATATTTATTGCTTCCTTTCTTTCTGTTGATGTTGAACATAGCTTATTATTCTTTCTGTAGTTCCTTGAGGTGTAAAGTAAGGCTGTTTATTTGAAATCTTTCTTTTTCTTAAGGTAGACATTTATTGCTAACAACTTCCCTCTCAGAACTGCTTTTACTGCCTCCTCTTAAGTTTTGGTTTATGGTGTTTCCATTTTTGTTTCTCTCAAGGTATTTAAAAATTTCCCTTTTGATTTATTATTTGACCCATTGGTTGTTCAGGAGTGTTTTAATTCTCTTGTGTTTGTAAATTTTCCAATTTTCCTCCTGTTATTAATTTTTAGTTTCATACCATTGTGGTCAGAAAATACATTTGAAATGATTCCAAACTTCTTGAATTTGTTACAACTTTTTTTGTGGCCTAACATATAATCTATCCTGGAGAATGTTTTGTGTGCCCTTGGAAAGAATGTCTATTTTGCTTCTATTGGATGGAAAGTTCTATATATGTCTGTTAACTCCATTTGGTCTATAGTGTTATTAAAATCTGCTAATTTTTTATTGATTTTCTGTCTGGATGATCTATCTGTTGTTGAAAGTGGGATATTAAAATCTTTTACTGTTACTGCATTGCTATTTATTTTTCCTTTCAACTCTGTTACTATTTTCTTTATATAGTTAGGTTCTCCAATGTTGGGTGCCTAAATTATAATATCTTTTTGATGAATTGGCCCCTTTATCATTATATACTGACGTTCATTGTCTCTTGGGGCCATTTTGCTTTATTGAAAGTGTATTTTGTCTAACATAAGTATAGCCATTCCTGATTTCTTTTGGTTATCATTTTCACAGAATATATTTTTCCATCCTTTCACTTTCAGTCTATGTGTGTCCCTAAAGCTAAAGTGAGTCTCCTGAAGGCAGCAAATCACTAGACCTTGTCTTTTAAAAACCCATTCACTCACTCTATGTCTTTTGATTGGAGAATGAAATCCATTTATGTTTAAAATAATTATTCATAGGTAAGGACTTACTATTGCTATTTTGTTCATTGTTTTCTGGCTGCTTTGTAGTTCCTTTGTTTCTCTCTTTCTCTTTTGCTGCATGCCTTTGCAATTTGATGACTTTTTGTCATGGTATACTTTCATACCTTTCTCTTAATTTTCTGTGTATCTTCTACAGGTTTTTCCTTCTTGGTTTCCATGAGGCTTACTTAAAATACCTTATAGCTATAATATCCTATTTTAAGCTTATAACAATTTAATTTTGATCATATATAATAACTATAATTTTGCTCTTGCTCCTTCACATTTTAGGTTATTGATGTTACAATTTATACCTTTTGTCATATTCTGTATCCAGGAACAAATTATTGTAATTATGGTTATGCTTAATATGTTTGTTTTTTAACTCTTATATCAGAGTTGAAAATGATTTATACACCACCATTATAGTATTAGAACTTCCTGTGGGCTTCCTTCACTCTTTCATTCTTTTTCTTTTTGCTCCTCTGGCTGGATAATTCAATTGACCTGTCTTAGAGTTCAGGGATTCTTTCCTCTGCTTGATTGAGAATTATGTTGAAGCTCTCTATTGAATTATTTGTTCAGTCACTGAATTCTTCAGCTCTAGAATTTTAAAAAATGATTTCTCTTTGAACTTTTCATTTTGTTCATGTATTGTTTTCTTAATTTCCTTTAGCTGTCTTTTTTTGTCATTCACTAAACTTCCTTGAGATTATTTTTAATTCTTTGTCAATCGGTTCATAGATACTCATTTTTCCTTCCTTCCTTCCTTCCTTCCTCCCTCCCTCCCTCCTGTGTTATCTTTTCTTGTCTTTTGTTTCTGAGACAGGGCCTCACCCTGTCACTCAGGCTGGAGTGCAGTAGCATGGTCTTGGCTCACTGCCTCCTTGACCTCGCAAGCCCAAGCAATACTCCCACTTCAGCCTCCCAAGTAGCTGGGACTATAGGCATACACCACCATGCCTGGATAATTTCTTTAAAAAATCTATAAGGTCTTATGTTGTCCAGGCTGGTCTCAAACTCCTGGGCTCAAAGAATCCTCCCAAAGTGCTGAGATTGGCCTCCCAAAGTGCTGAGATTAAGCATGAGCCACCGCATCTCATTGATATTTATTTCTTTAGTGTTTTTTGGTGCTTTGTTCATTTCCTTTGCTGCTTGCCGCGTTTCCTTGATTCTTTATGAACCTCATATCCTTACATCAATGTCTGCATATCGGGGAGTTAATTATCTCTTCAAGGCTTTTACATGTTCACTTGGGCAGGGAAGGACCTTCACTAGTTAGTCCAGGGGCCATCAGATGGATGGACCATCTAGTTGTTTCTGTGGGCATGTGAGGCTTGCTGACAAAGTATCTAATAGGGCAGGGCTGCTGCCCATGATCTGAAGCTGGCCAAGGCTGCTGATTGTGATCTGTGGCTGGGTAGCTCCGCTGGTTGGGCTCTGGAAGGGGCTGCTTGTTGGGATCGTGGTCAGGCAGGGCTTTTGGCTGGGCTGTATAATTGCCCCTGGCCAGGTGAGACCCCAGGTTGTGCTTTTCCAGTGGGTGGTGTTTCTGGTTCTACTGTGCATTCAAATGGGGCTGCAGGCTGGGCTATGCAACTGGACTAGGACTCTGGCTGTGTTCCACAATTGGGCAAGGCTACAGGCTGGGCTCTAAAATCAGGCAGGGAGCGGGGAAGAAGGTGGATAGAAGGCAGGGCTAATGTGCAGCTCCCACATGTATGAACAGAGCAGCATGTAGAGACGCACACTGTGATTGTTTGCTCCAAGAACCACCACAGGAATGTACCAGAAAAACTGAAAGAATTCACAAATCATTTGAAAGAAGTGGCACACCACTGCAAATTCTGTGAAACAGGCCAAAAACTGTGAGTTCCCAAAGTGTAAGAGGGGGAAATCTGCCTCCAAACACACATCCCCACTGGGGAATCTGAAAATCCAAATCATGAAAGAAGGATTTAACCTTACCTAGAAGTAAAATGAATTTAGGGAGTTGCACAAAATATAATAGTAGAAGTAGCAGCAGGAAATGCTTTGAAGACACTCCCAGTCTCCAGCTCAAGCCCCAGGAAGCCATCTCTGACTATATCTCACAGGGGGCCTCAAGAAGGCAGCCAGCAGAATTGAGGAGGGGTTGCAGGGTGAAAAATCTCCCAACTGAAATTGGTAGTGGACAAATTTTCTTGAGCAGAGTCTTGGGGAGAAGCGGGAGCTGCTGCAGACACAAGTGCAGGAGTGCAGGAGCTGCCAACAGAGTGAGAAGACAGGGATAGGCAAGGTCCAAAAGCCATGCTTGCTTTCTCAGTGGGGCAGCTCACAACCCGGGACAAGGTCTGAGTGGGGCACTGTGGGAGTGAGACCGGCCTCACCAACTGTGTAGGAGCTGGGTGAAGCCTCCTGCTACCAGCTACCAGCCTCTTGCCCCACCTCCCTGGCAAACCATATGAGATAGCAGAAGCAGCCATGATCCCCTCTGGAACATAACCCCATTGGCCTGAGAACCACCCCCTCACACCCCATAGTGGCCGCAGGAAGCCCCGTCCAAGGAGAGTCTGAAACCAGACTCTCCTTCCTCTGCCCCTGCCTGATGTATTTCCCTACCTGCTCTGGTAGCCTAACACAAAACATAGAAACTTTTGGGAGCTTTACAATATTGCCCATCACCTGAGATACCAATATAATTACCCTGGCCATCTTAGGGCAAACTTGGATTCCCCTACTACTACTAGAGCTCATGCTCTCTTGAAAACACCACCTCCTGGCTGGAGGATAACCAACTTAGGCCATTACAGCAAATCATGACAGAATAAACCTGACCCCAGGAAGAAGACAATACCTAATTTCCCTAACTGCAACGTCTTGGCTAACCAGAAATTTTGAATGTGTCCATGTGACAACTTCACTGCTAGCATAACCAGCATTCAAGAAAGCCAGCATAGTACATATATCTATAACCAAGGACTCTCATGAAGTCTACTTCACTTCCCTGACACCTCTGTGAGAGCAGATGCTGGTATCCATGGCTGGGAGACCCAAAGATGAATCACATCACACACCTCCTTGCAAACATTCCCCCAGCACCAGCCTGGAGCCTGGTTGCCCCTCTGGGTGGCTAGACCCAGAAGAGCAATAACAATCACTGCAGTCAAGGTCTCAGGAAACCCCACCCCTAGGAGAAGGGGGAAAGCACCACATCAAGAGATCACCCTATGGAACAAAGGAATCTGAACAGCAGGGCTTGAGATTAAGACCTCTCCACTGAAATAGTCTACCCAAATGAGAAGGAACCAGAAAAGTAATTCTGGTAATATGACAAAAGAAGATTCTGTAACACCCCAAAAGATCACACCAGCTCCCAAGCAATGGATCCAAACCAAGAAGGAATCTCTGAATTGCCAGAAAAAGAATTCAGAAGGTTGGTTATTAAGCTATTCAAGGAGATACCAGAGAAAGAGGAAAACCAACTTAAAAAAATTTTAAAAAACAGTACAGGATATGGATGAAAAATGCTCCAGGGAAATAGATGTCATAAAGAAAAAACAATCACAACTTCTGGAAATGAAAGACTTGGAAAAATACAAAATGCACTGAAAAATGTCAACAATAGACTAGAACAAGAAAAGAGAACTTTAGAGCCTGAAGACAAAGGTTTTTAATTAACCTAATCAGACAAACACAAAGAAAAAAGAATAAAAAAATTAACAAAGCCTCCAAAAAAGTTGAGATTATGCTAAAAGACCAAACCTAAGAATAATTGGTATTCCTAATGAAGAAAAGAAATCTAAAAGTTTGGAAAACTTTTTGAGGGAACAACTGAAGAAAACTTTTCTGGCCTTGCTAGATCACATTACCTAACTTTAAACACTTTTGATACTATTTTATACCAGTACCAAAACAGCATGGTACTGGTATAAAAAATAGGCACACAGACCAATGGAACATCATATAGAGCCCCAAAATAAAGCCAAATACTTACAGCCAACTAATCTTCAACAAAGCAAACAAAAACAAAGTGAGGAAAGGACACCCTATTCAACAAATGGTGCTGGGATAACTGGCAAGCCACATGGAGAAGAGTAAAACTGGGTCCTCATCTATCTCTTTATATAAAAATCAACTCAAGATAGATCAGACTTAAATCTAAGACATGAAACCATAAAAACTATAGAAGATAACATTGGAAAAACTCTTCTAGACACTGGCTTAAGCAAAGAGATCATGACCGAGAACGCAAAAGCAAATGCAACAAAAACAAAAATAAATAGACGGATCCTAAGTAAACTAGAAAGCTTCTGCACAGCAAAAGAAATAATCAGCAGAATAAACAGAGAACCCACAGAATGGGAGAAAATATTTGCAAGCCATACATCTGAAAAAACTAATATCCAGGATCCACAAGGAACTCAAACAAGTCATCAAGAAAAAAACAAATAATCCCATCAAAAAGTGGGCTAAGGACATGAATAGCCATTTCTCAAAAGAAGACACACAAATGGCCAACAAACATGAAAAAATGCTCAACATCACTAATGATCAGGGAAATGCAAATTAAAACCACAATGAGATACCACCTTACTCCTGCAAGAATGGTCATAATCAAAAAATAAAAAAAATAATAGATGCTGGCATGGATGTGGTGAAAAGGAAACACTTTTACCCTGCTGGTGGGAATTTAAACTAGAACAGCCACTATGGGAAACAGCATGGAGATTCCTTAAAGAAATGAAGGCAAAACTACCATTTGATCCGGCAATCCCACTACTGGGTATTTACCCAGAGGAAAAGAAGTCATTATATTAAAAAAGACACTTGATATGCATGTTTATAGCAGCACAATTTGGAATTGCAAAAATACGGAACCAGCCTAAATGCTCATCAACCAATGAGTGAGTAAAGAAAATGTAGTATACATATGCTATGAAATACTTCTCAACCATAAAAAAGAATGAAATAGGCCAGGCGCAGTGACTCACGCCTGTAATCCCAGCACTCTGGGAGGCCAAGGTGGGCAGATCACTTGAGGTCAGGAGTTCGAGATCACCCTGACCAACATGATGAAACCCCGTCTCTATCAAAAATATAAAAAATTAGCCAGGTGTGGTGGCGCATGCCTGTAATCCCAGCTACTATGGTGGCTAAGGCAGGAGAATCGCTTGAACCCAGAAGGCAGAGGTTGCAGTGAGCCAAGATCTTGCCACTGCACTCCAGTCTGGCAACAGAGTGAGACTATCTCGAGAAGAGGAGAAGAGGAGAACAGAAGAGAAGAGAAGAGGAGAACAGAAGAGAAGAGAAGAGGAGAACAGGAGAGGAGAGGAGAGAAGAAATAGTGGCATTCACAGCAACCTGGATGGAGTTGGGGACCATTATTCTAAGTGACGTAACTCAGAAATGGAAAACCAAATATCATATGTTCTCACTTGTGAGAGCTAGGCTATGAGGACACAAAGGTATAAGAATGATATAAAGGACTTTGGGGACTCAGGGGGAAGGGGGGAGTGGGGTGATGAAATAAAAGACTACACATTCAGTACAGTGTACACTGCTCAGGTGACAGTTGCACCAAAATCTCAAAAATTACCACTAAAGAGCCTACCCATGTAACCAAGCACCACCTGTTCCACAAATTTATTTTATATTGAAAATAAAACAAAATTAGGCAGGGCCACAGGCTGAGGCCTGTCATTGAGCAGGGTCTGGTTGTACTCCCTGCCTGGGTGGGACCAGAGGTGTGCTCTGCAGCCCATCAAGTTGTTACTAGTCTCCCAAGTCAGGTGAAGCTGTGTGCTGTGCCCCATAGTTGGGCAGAACTGCAGACTGGGCTCCACAATTGGGAAGGGCTGCTGGCTATGCTCCAAGTTTGGGTGGGATCACTGACCAGGCTCCCTACTTTTGATTTTTTCCTGTTTCAAAAATCTATCTCCATAAATGTTCAATTCTCATGCCTTTGTCTAATGCTTGGTTCATAGCACATGTGGGCTAAATTGTTGATTGCTAAGTAAATGAAAGAATGAACAAAGAACTCCCCTCTGGCTGCAGGGGCACTCTAGCCCACAAATGGCTCTCCTCAGTCACTCTCTATAGATCTATATTCTACCAAGGATCACTGCAATGCAGGAGAAGCCTGACCAGCTCCAGTCTAGCTGTGCAGAGAACCTTCCTTTCTACAGTCTAAATGCCATCACCACAAAACTACCAGGCACCAGATCCTATAGGCATTTTGACCTCTATTTGAACCATTGCCTCTCCTGATGCCCCATGGAGGCTCCAAGCTCATGCTGTCTTAGGCAAAACATCCTCTTCCCATCAGAAGTGACACTATGATTTTATTTCTGACAAATGAGAACAGGGCTAGAAGCTGAAAACTGGTGAGGGAGATCTAATTATCCCTGTATTGTAAACTTTGATTGTATTTTCTATTAGATCCTGGTAGAACCTTCTTCAGAAGTGAACATGGTGAAGGTGGAAGAACAGCTTCCATGACTTCTGTTGGCCATACTTGGTGACAGAAGTTCCTGCAAAATCATTTCTAATGGCATTAGATGGAGACCCATACCCACACCCTGAGGAAAAAAGTGGCTAGAATTAGCAGGAGTGTGGGAGTGGGGCAAGGGAGCAGGAGTTGTGACTTCCCTAATTGAGAACTGTGGACTAAACCAGTGATTCTCAGCAGGAACTATAGTGTCTCCCAGGAGACATTTAACAATGTCTGGAGAAATATCTAGTGGTCACCACTGTGGGTGTGCTACTGGCTCCCAGGAGGTAGAGACTTCATTGCTGTCATCACTGCAGAGTCTGGGCTCTGAAATCACACACATACATACATACATCCATCATAGATTATTGGCAACTAAATAACCTGGCTTATAAATCTTGATTCATTTTTCTGGCTTTATCTGCAATGACTGGTCTTAGAGAAAACAAACAAAAAAGGCCAGTGTTTGTATCAGAGCCCAGAATATCCCCCTGTCATCTTGATATTAGAGAGATGCCTGCAATCCCCTGCTTTTGTTTCCTGACTGTCTGGACACAGTGTAAGTCTCTCCTGCCTTTTGGGTTTTTTTCTCTGTCTGCTTCACATTCTTCGGGTATTTTAATATGGATCCCCTGCACAGACCACTAATGAACACTCAATAAAAATACACAGCTCTTCAGCCCACTGAGAATTTCCCTTTCAGTTTCAACTGGATAATGATCCTCTTTGCTCTCTCTACTATGTAAAAGTCTGGTACGTTTCTTCTGTCTGTAATAAAAGTGTGTCAATATAAGAGCTGGCAGCTGGCTACATTTGAAATTAGACCACATAATTATACTAGAGAACACAAGATCATGAAAAAAATATGCATTAAAACTTCACTAACTTAGACCTCACCAATTCTGAATTTGTGATCAAACACAGTAGGCTCAAATTTACTGTTCCATTTGTTCTCAAAATAAAGGGATTAAGACAACTAATAGTAGATTTTTTTAAGGAGAATATTTACATTCCAAAGAGAGCAAATTACTATCAGGTACTTACTTAGAATTTATATGTAAACACTACAATTACAGTGTAAGCAAATAACAGCTGCAGAGCCTTGGTTTTTATATGTAAACCTCAGAAGGTTCTCCTAGTCACAAATGGTGGAACTTAATCCCAGGACCCAGGATAAATTTTGTTCCTTCACATTTTCACTTTTAGAATAAAGCTCAGGACAGCTGGAAAGCACCAGTGGACACTGTGGTAATGGCTACCGGGAGAATGGGCTAGTGCCTTGAGGGTATGTGGGCTGACCCACAGGGGAGGCAGAAGGGCAGGAGCCAGAGAATGCTTGGTAGAAACCTGATAGACAGCTTCCCAGTCAATGAACTACAGTTGTTCTTGGGTCACAGAGCATGCGGTTACAAATAGAGCTTCCTGGAGAGGTTTGCAGCTTCCCCCTAGACTAGTCCTCTACTCGACTCCCTGTGAGACACACACTCATACTCTCTGACACCCTACTCTAGGAAGAGGAACATCAGAACACACACTCTTGACCTCTGTGCCTTCCCTCTCAGGAAGTACAGGCATGTCGTGGTGACCATCCTGATAATCTCTAAGTTATAAATCCGAACTTTTAAAGTTGTCTCTTAGTCATTTAAGTTTGTTAGAGGGAGGACATTTTAGGAACAGGTAGCTGACAATGTTTTGTTCTTGGCAGTCACTAATTCTCTCCTACCCACACTTATAAGTCAAAAGGGTCAGGCTTTCTTTTTCCTCCTAGAGCCTCAGAGCTCAGTTTTATTTATGGGAGAATCATCATCTCTCTACACTGTAGAAGAAACTCTCATCTGACTTAGATGACACTGAGTTGTAGAAAACCCGAGGACTAGCAACTGCCAAGAACACAAAATCTTCAATTTACTGTCCCCAAAAATCCTCCTTTTAACAAATTTACACAACTAAGAGACAACTTACAAGTTCACATTTATAACTTACAAATTACCAGTGTGATCACCATGACATGCCTGTAGCTACTGATGAACCTCTCACCATCTCCACTCCGGGAAGGCTGGACCTCTGTCTCCCCAGGTCATCCATCACATCCCGTGGACCGGAGAAAACAACTTGCCAGTATTACCCTGGCACAATTTTTCCATTGGATGGTTAAAACTACTTCATAAAAATGTAGTTGTTTTGATGGCTTCAGTATTAGACTCGGAAATAAATGAGAAGCACAGAGGTGGCTTTATCTATTTGTATCCAACTTCAGACTACCCAAAGCATCCTGGGAAATTTTTTTTCTTTCCTTATTCCGTCATCCATTGGTACTGGAATATGGGACCCCACTTTAGGATTACAGTGGACAGCGTGGTTTGGAAAGAGGACAAGGCAAGTTGTAGCCCATCATTTTGGGTCCTTTGTCCTTTCTGTCTGCTCCTACTTCAATGCTGTGGTTTACCTATATCTATATCCTATAGGATAGACAGATGTACCCTCTACATCCTAGTAATGTGTTCCATAGAATAAAAAATTCTCCTAGAGACTCACAGAACTGGAAGAATACATTAAAATGAATTAATTCCCTTCTTTCAAAATACGTTACTCCTGTGCACATTTGATACAGAGGTCTGAACATGCTATGGCATATTTTTCCTAGGTCTGCTCTTTTTTTTCCAACTCCTCCTTACCACAGAGATATAAATTATTAAAACTCACAATGTTTCCCTCTCTCGTGGCATAAAAATTTAGCAACACGTTTAGGGAAGAGGTCATCTTAATTGAAAATTCCAAGTTTTGTGCATTTGCCTTCAAAAATAAGGAAAAGTATCTATTAATCAAAATACTGATGAATCTCAAGTGTATAACATGTTTACATGTCTGACATGGATTTCTGATATACTTCACTTTTATTTCACCCTTAAATATTTGTCATCTGAAAGTACATGCTCATGAGAGCTCTTAAGTAGCTTAGCCTCCTTTCTTACATGTGTCATGCAGATATTCTTAGCAGTGTCATGTGACTATGTATGAACAATAATCAGTAGAACTTCCCTTACAAGGGAAAGGCAAGGCCTCTCCACTGAAATAGCAGAAAAAGTAAAGAGGAGTCAAAATAAGCAAAAGGAAACTATTTAATATCCTACTTTCTTTCTTAAAAATGAGTGTAACTTATTAAAGGGGAACACAGAACTCTGTATTTTGATAAATGATTGAAGTATTAGGCTTGTATTCTGGTTTATTTTAAAAAAATAAAAAGTACCTTTCCAATTTTATGCAAATACAGTACAATCATTCAATGACATATGAAGCAGCCATTAAGAATATCTATAATGAGCATTTGCAATAGCATGAGGAAACATTTAAATGATGCTGAGTAGGAAGGCAGGATACAACACTACACCCGTGTGGCTCCAACACTGCAGAGAAACTTATCTGTGAGGCTCAGCTGGGACTCACAGTCTGGCGTCTATAACACTAGAAGGCTGCTCATTTGTTCTTCTCCACTCCTAACCCCACCAGCATGTTGGAGGAAGCTTTTGCAGTACCCTCTAGCCTTCAACGGTATTACAATTTTGGAGGGCAGGAAGGTGCTTACGATGAGTATCAGTCAGAGCAGTTCTTCAGAGAGCTGTGTGATTGCTGCAGCCCTAATCATGCCCAGGTTTACTCATAAACATAGAGAAAGACTCAGAGAAAGACTGGGATTCAGGGAAATCCTTGGGGGGTGAGGGGGATAACAGATAACATGGTCCTGCATGGAAACTACTAAGGCAGCAAACGCTACTATGAACTCCAGCCAGAGAGGCTCAGGGAGGGCATATATGGAAGCATTCATACAAAAGAAGGAATGAGTTTCCAGAAATACAGTAGATGAGGACAATGCCACTGGAGAGAGGAGGCCAGGCAGCCAAGAGGCCTGGGCCTTAAAAGGATCATCTCTGTGGGTATCAAAATCACTGAGAATTAACCCAGAAGCAGTGCCATCAAGAAAAGAAGGTAAAGAACTATGACCTGTTGAGGTACTTGTTGAGAGCAAGGAGCATATGGGCTTGCTAGTGGAAGAGGGTAGTTATGAGTACCAGCTATGACTATACAACCAGTTACAGAAACAAGAAGTGTAACTATCATGAGTATTTCTTCCTTATTTTGTTATGAACATGAAGAGAAGAAAACAAATACCTTTGTTTTCTTCTCTTTCTTACCTCCTTATCATGTACTGACTTTATAGCATAGCATTTAAGTAGAGTTAACTTTACATCACAGTATTTAAAGTTATGGGATACACAAGAGTGAACATCATCCAAGACTTTGCATCCTCTTCTGGGGAAAGGGTTAGTGAGTTTTCAGTTGCATGCAGGATATCTTTATCATAAAAGGTGGAAGTATGACCTTGTTATTGTCTTTATTTGGAGATTAAGTATGGGTTAAAGAGATGCATATGGTTGCCAAGTTGATAAAGGATGGACCTGTGATTATTAATTTCATGTGTCAACTTGCAGGGTGTTTTTGGATGAGCTTGGCATTAAACTTTGAGTAAAAGAGATTGCCCTGCTTAATGTGAATCAACCTAACTCAGTTGGTGCAAAGTCTGGATAGAACAAAAAGAATGAGCTCCCTGAGCAAGAGAGGATTCTCCAGCAGACTGCCTTCAGATTTCATATGCACAATTTGCTCTCCTGGGTGTCCACCTGCTAGCCTTCCAATGGGAACTTTACCATCAGCTCTCCTGGGTCTCAAGCTGCTGGCCCACACTGCAAATGCTGGACTCACCAACCTCAATAATCATGGGATCCAAGTCTTTAAAATAAATCTATTTCTATAAATATGCATATTGTATTGATTCTGTTTCTCTCAAGAACCCTAACATTAATCTTAACAGAATTAGAGGAAAGGATTTAGGGATCAGCAGGGAAGTGCAATAAGGGAGGAAAGTAGATAATAGCATCTGATGACACAGTTTTTGTTTTGCTATATAGAGGTGGCAGCCTGAACAACTTCAAAGCAACAATGAGGAACAAGGAAGGCACTTCTAACACCTGCAGGCCCAGTGGTAGTTGGATAGAAACAGCATCTACTTGGGAGAGAGAAAGGGAAGGAAATGAAATGCACATCTGGGAAGATGATCCAGGGGATACTGCTGATGATCAACCTTCACAGCCCTCATAGGGAAAAGGAAAGGTGGGAGACAGGGTCAGACGAAGGAGTGTACATAGGTGAGTGGGGATCAGAGTCCAAGGGAATGCAGGGTGATCTAGGAGACCTGGGATTCTTGTGGAAATTAATGAACTAAGATTAAAGGAATGATAACATTGGCCCTGATGGTACCAAGGCAGATGGTGTCTGCAAGCTTTGATGACTGGGATAGGAGAGAGGAATGAAGCTTTTCCAAGAGTTGAGAGAGTTCAGGGGACCACCTTTGTTAACTCCTGCTGAACAGTGGGAACTCTTCCAACTTCTATGCTAATCGCCATCCATGTTGTCATTTTAAATGCTTCAAAACAAAGTTTTCCAAAATGTGCATATATTTTAATTTCTAGTAACTCATTTAGAAGGCACAAAATTTATATTTGATCTGCAAGTTCTAGAATCATTCTGTGACTGCAGGAAGGTCATCTCATTTTGCAGTGAACATAAATAATTGAAATTTGATCTAAGTGTTTTTACCTGTTCATTCAGTTTCAGGTGACTACTGGAAGCATGAATTTTTTTTTTTTTTTTTTTTGGTAGGGGAAAGTTCTTTGTAATGGACCTAGTGCTGCAGGGCAACTGCTCTTGCGCTGACTGGAAAAGGCCTGCCTGGATCAGTATCTGTGCTTAGAAAAAAAGTGGGTGACAATTCCCTTATCATCCAGGAGTCCCTTGAGCCCCCACCTCCAGTCAATTACTAGTAGATAGATGGCATTTATTTGTTGACTGATTTATTGGAAAGCAGACTATTAAAAATAACTCTTGCAAAATTTCAAGTCCTGCCACAGTGATGTTACTAAAACAATGTCAACTATTCGTACTAAATAAGATACGCAAAGTGCCCAAAAAGTGCCTAATGCTCAGTATATGACTTTGAAACTGAGGGATACATTCTATACCTAAATAGAAAAGTACCCCAACTATAGCTTTCAATAATTGAAAAGCAGACAGAAATATAGATAATTTAAAAAATGAGAAAATAAAATGTATATAAATAGTAAATTCCCAAATGAGGGGTATTTTTTAAATATGTGGTAAAAAGCCAAATTCCAAACCAGCTGCCACTGAACTTCACACCAACCATCCCAAGGGCATACATCTGTGCCCAAAGTAAATGTCCAAATCAGCCCAGCAGCACCCCATCCAGGCCTTGCAATGAGACAGAGGTAGCACTCTACCTCTCCAGCTGCATCTTCAGTCACAACCACCAGAGTAGAGTCTACTATTTCTCTAATGGATTGTCCCAGGCAGTCTAGGGCTGTTGCTTTTATTGCCGTTGTTGTTATAATCATCATTGAGCCTTTCAGTCAAAAAAGAGGCTTGATGCTTAATGAGCTCTTTTGGATTTTGGAGATGACATACAGCACATATGAGTATCCTGCTCTCATTCATTTACTAAGTAAACTGTAAGGCAACCAGTTTTGAGTGGGGCCTGAAGCAAGAAAAGGCTGAGTAGCAAGTCCAGGTGGCAGAGTAAGCTGCTCTGTCCCTGAGGCATAAGCTGCTCTGTCCCGTATGCATAACCCAACGGATCCAATGATTTGTAAAGTGTCTATAATAAATAGAGATGCTACGCTGGACCTTTGGGAAATTGTAGAAGTACCACAAATGCTCATAGGGTTTTAGAACAGAGCCACACCCCCTTCTACAGATAACTGTTCTCCTTTTGAGAAACAGCTCATGCTTGCTACAAGGCCCTGGCATTGAACCTCTGACTATGGACATAAAGTGACCATGTGGCCTAGATTTCTGCTTCTTCTCATGCTAGGTGTTTATAGTAGGTTCCCACTGTCAAGTGGTAATGGTATATAAGCAATCAGGCCCAAGCAGTTCCAGAAGATATCAGTTGCATGGCCAGGCATTCAGATGCCTATGCCACCTATGCCTGTTGCTCTGTCTCATCTTCCTCAATTCACACCTGTGTCTTCATGGGAAATTCCTCATAATCAACCAATATAAGCAGGGGAAACCTCACGTCTGATTTATGAATGATTCTGTGAGATATAATTGACACCAACCAGAATTGGGCAGCTGTAGCATGACAGTCCCACTCAGGGTAGCTCCGCAGGATATTAGTAAAGGGAATTCCTTCTGGGAGGCAGAATTTCCAGCAGTATGTTGACTTTCCACATTGTCTGGACTGAGAGATGCCTAGAAAAATGGACCTACATCAATTTGTGGGCAGTAGCTAACACCATGGTGAATGGGAAATAACAGGATTGGAAGATCAAGGATAAGGAGATCTGGGGAAGAGGCATGTGGGTGAACCTTTCAGAATGGGCATAATGCGATGTTATTTGAATGCCTATGTGGAAGCTCGAACACTCTCTGCAGAGGAAGCTCTCAATAATCAAGTAGACAAGATGACATCTGTGGAGGTCTCTCAGCCTCTTCCCCAGTGCTTGTTCAATGAGTCTTCATACAAAATGGACATGGTAGCCTGTCCCCATGAGGCCAACAACATGGTTATGCATGAGTCCAACTTCATGTACTTCCCCTGTCCTGACCTAATCTATCTCCACTGCTGAGGATCTATCTTTCCAATAGCAGAGGCTAGCACTATTGGGTGTAGAGGGCAGGAATCAAGTCAATCACATGGTGGCAGAGTGATTACACTATACCCCTTCCTGATACAGAGGGGGCAGTGATTTCTTCCTGGAATAGACACTTAGGATATGCCATCTCTGCCTGTAACGCTCCTGTTTGCACTGTTATCCATCACTTGAGAATACTTAACTGCCAGTTTCCTCCCATTAACCAGGGAACTCATTTTACAGCAATTTGGCCATGGACTCATATCCATGGAATGCATTAGTCTCACCAAGGTAACATATCACTTGATGAAATGGTAGACTGGCCAACTGATAATTTTGGTTCCACCAGTTTTCTCCTTCTGGACAAGATATTTTCAAAGCACCTCTCTAATCTGATCCTTTTTTGTGCTGTGGTTTCTTCAGCAATCCAAGGCCCAAATGCAATAAATAAGTTTCTTTTTTTCTTTTTCTTTCTTGTCTTTTTTCGAAGCCTCAATATAGTGAAAGTTGAAATAAATGTTTGAGCTAGACTGGAGTGTACATTTTCAAAAGGAAAATAGTTTCAAATATAAAAGCTTAAAATAAATTATTATGCTCAGCTCAGTCTTTCAAACTGTGACTATATTCAAGCATATATAAGCAATAACACTATAAAGAAATTTGACCCTAGATAATATCCTATTAGATAGATAACAAAAAGGAGTGTGAAACTGCTTTAGGTAATAAGAAAAAGAAGCCTCCATGGAAGGAGGGAAATTGTTTAATCATCTTTAACATTGCCTGATCCACTGCGGGTTTCACAAACCCAGCTATACTCTGGTAATTCATCCTCCATCAGCAGGAGGTTCAGACACAAACTTTAATTAACGTTAGCAACTTCAAAAATAATTAAAGGTGCGTTGCAGAATTCAACACACAAGAATTACTGGAGGAGGCTGGCAAGATAGCGAAATAGGAGCAGCTCCAGTCTGCAGCTCCCAGAGAGACCAATGCAGAAAGCAGGTGAATTCTGCATTTCCAACTGAGGTACATGGTTCATCTCATTGGGACTGGTTAGACAGTGGGTGCAGCCCACTGAGGGCAGACAGAAGCAGGGGGGGTAATCACCTCACCTGGGAAGCGCAAGGGGTCAGGGAACTCCCTCTCCTAGCCAATGGAAGCCCTGAGGGACTGTGCCATGAGGTACCATGCATTCCAGCCCAGATACTGGGCTTTTCCCATGGTCTCTGCAATTCACAGACAAGGAGATTCCCTTGGGTGCCTATACCACCAGGGCCCTGGGTTTCAACCACAAAGTTGGGCAGCCCTTTGAACAGGCTCTGTGCTAGCTGCAGGAGTTTTCTTTCATACCCCAGTGGCACCTGAAACGGCAGCAAGACAGAACCGTTCACTCCCCTGGAAAGGGGGCTGAAGCCAGGGAGCCAAGTGGTCTAGCTCAGCAGATCCCAACCCCACAGAGCCTAGCAAGCTAAGCTCCACTGGCTTGAAATTCTCGCTGCCAGCACGGCAGTCTGAAGTCGACCAGGGACACTGGAGCCTGGTCAGGGGAGGGGCATCAGCCATTACTGAGGGTTGAGTAGGTGGTTTTCCCCTTACAGTATAAACGAAGCCACCTGGAAGTTCAAACTGGGTACAGAACCCACCACAGCATAGCAAAGCCCATGTAGCCAGACTGCCTCTCTAGATTCCTCCTGTCCAGGCAGGGCATCTCTAAAAGAAAGGCAGCAGCCCCAGTTAGGGGCTTATACATAAAACTCTCATCTCCCTGGGACAGAGCACCTGGGGGGAGGGGCGGCTGTGGGCACAGCTTCAGCAGACTTAAACTTTCCTGCCTGCCGGCTCTGAAGAGATCAGCGAATCTCCCAGCATAGTGCTCAAGCTCTGCTAAGGGACAGACTGCCTCCTCAAGTGGGTCCCTGACTCCCGTGCCTCCTGACTGGGAGACACCTCCCAGCAGGGGTTGACAGACACCTTATACAGCAGAGCTCCAGCTGGCATCTGCGGGGTGCCCCTCTAGGTTGAAGCTTCCAGAGGAAGAAGAAGCAGCAATCTTTGCTGTTCTGCAGCCTCTGCTGGTGATATCCAGGTAAATAGGGTCTGGAGTGGACCTCCAGCAAACTCCAGCAGACCTGCAGAAGAGGGACCTGCCTATTAGAAGGAAAATTAACAAACAGAAAGCAATAGCATCAACATCAGCAAAAAGGACCCCAATGGCACAAACCCCATCCGAAGGTCACCAATATAAAAGACCAAAGGCAGATAAATCCACAAAGATGAGGGAAAACCAGCGCAAAAAGACTGAAAATTCCAAAAACCAGAATGCCTCTTCTCCTCCAAAAGATCACAACTCCTCGCCAGCAAGGGAACAAAACTGGATGGAGAATGACTTGATGAATTGACAGAAGTAGGCTTCAGAAGGTGGGTAATAACAAACTCCTCCGAGCTAAAGGAGCATGTTCTAACCCAATGCAAGGAAGCTAAGAACCTTGATTGATAAAAGGTTACAGGAACTGCTAACTACAATAACCAGTTTAGAGAAGAACATAAGTGACCTGATGGAGCTGAAAAACACAGCACGAGAACTTCGTGAAGCATACGTTGTAGCCAAATTGATCAAGCAGAAGAAAAGATATCAGCGATTGAAGATCAACTTAATGAAATAAACCATGAAGACAAGATTACAGAATAAGAATGAAAAGGAAAAAAGCCTCCAAGAAATATGGGACTATGTGAAAAAACCAAACCTACATTTGATTGGTGTACCTGAAAGTGACGGGGAAAATGGAACCGAGTTGGAAAACACACTTGAGGATATTATCCAGGAGAACTTCCCCAACTAGCAAGACAGGCCAACATTCAAATTCAGGAAATACAGAGAACACCACAAAGATACTCCTTGAGAAGAGCAACCCCAAGACACATAATTTTCAGATTCTCCAAGGTTGAAATGAAGGAAAAATAGTTAAGGGCAGCCAGAGAGAAAGGTCAGGTTACCCACAAAGGGAAGCTCATCAGACTAACAGCAGATCTCTCTGCAGAAACCCTACAAGCCACAAGAGAGTGGGGCCAATATTCAACATTCTTAAAGAAAAGAATTTTCAACCCAGAATTTCATAACCAGCCTAACTAAGCTTCATAAGTGGAGGAGAAATAAAATCCTTTACAGACAAGCAAATGCTGAGGGATTCTGTCACCATCAGGCCTGCCTTACAAGAGCTCCTGAAGAAAGCACTAAATATGGAAAGGAAAAACTGGTACCAGCCACTGCAAAAGCATATCAAATCAACACTATGAAAAAACTACATCAACTAGTGGGCAAAATAACCAGCTAGCATAATATCATAATGACAGGTCAAATTCACACATAACAATACTAACCTTAAATGTAAACGGGCTAAATGCCCCAATTAAAAAACACAGACTGGCAAACTGGATAGAGTCAAGACCCATCAGTGTGCTGTATTCAGCAGACCCATCTCATGTGCAAAGACACACACAGGCTCAAAATAAAGGGAAGGAGAAAGATTTAGCAAGCAAATGGAAAGCAAAAAAAAGGCAGGGGTTGCAATCCTAGTCTCTGATAAAACAGACTTTAAACCAATAAAGATCAAAAATGACAAGGAAAGGTATTACATAATGTAAAGGGATCACTGTGACAAGAAGAGCTAACTATCCTAAATATATATGCACCCAATACAGGAACACCCAGATTCATAAAGCAACTTCTTAGAGACCTACAAAAAGACTTAGACTACCACACAATAATAGTGGGAGACTTTAACACCCCACTGTCAATATTAGACAGATCAATGAGACAGAAAATTAACAAGGATATTTGGGACTTGAACTCAGCTCTGGACCAAGTGGCCCTAATAGACATCTACTGAACTCTCCACCCCAAATCAACAGAATATATATTTTTCTCAGTACCACATAGCACTTATTCTAAAATTGACCATATAATTGGAAGTAAAACACTCCTCAGCAAATGTAAAGGAACGGAAACCATAATAGTCTCTCAGACCACAGTGCAAACAAAATAGAACTCTGGATTAAGAAACTCACTCAAAATACACATGAAAAACACACAACTACATGGAAACTGAACAACCTGCTCCTGAATGACTACTGGGTAAATAAATAAATTCTTTGCAACCAATGAGAACAAAGACACAATGTACCGGAAACTCTGGGACACAGCTAAACCACTGTTTAATTTATAGCACGAAATGCCCACAGAAGAAAGCAGGAAAGAGCTAAAATTGACATCCTAACATCACAATTAAAAGAACTAGAGGGCAGGCGCGGTGGCCCATGCTTGTAATCACAACATTTTGCGAGGCCAAGGTGGGCAGATCACGTGAGGTCAGGAGTTTGAGACCAGTCTGGCCAACTTGGTGAAACCCCATCTCTACTAAAAGTACAAAAATTAGCCAGGCATGGTGGCGGGCCCCTGTAATCCCAGCTACTCAGGAGGCTGAGGCAGGAGAATCACTTGAACCTGGGAGGCGGAGGTTGCAGTGAGCCAAGATCATGCCACTGCACTCCATCCTGGACCACAAGAGTGAGACTCCGTCTTAAGAAAAAAAAAAAACTAGAAAAGCAAGAGCAAACAAATTCAAAAGCTAGCAGAAGACAATAAATAACTAAAATAAGAGTAGAACTGAAGGAGACAGAGACACAAAAAAACCCTCCAAAAAATCAATGAATCCAGGAGCTGGCTTTTTGAAGATTAACAAAATAGACCACTAGCCAGACTAATCAAGAAGAAAAGAGAGAAGAATCAAATAGACACAATAAAAAATAATAAAGGGAATATCACCACTGACCATCAGAGAATACTATACACATCTCTATGCACATAAACTAGAAAATCTAGAAAAAAAATGGATAAATTCCTGGACACATACACCCTTCCAAGACTAAACCAGGAAGAAGTCAAATCCCTGAATAGACCAATAACAAGTTCTGAAATTGAGGCAGTAATTAATAGCCTACCAACCGAAAAAAGCCCAGAACCAGACAGATTCACAGCCAAATTCTACCAGAGATATAAAGAGGAGCTGGTACCATTCCTTCTGAAACTATTCCAAACAATAGAAAAAGAGGGACTCCTCCCTAACTGATTTTATGAGACCAGAATCATCCTGATACGAAAACCTGGCAGAGACACAACAAAAAAAGAAAATTTCAGGCCAATAACCCTGAAGAACATCAATGCGAAAATCCTCAATAAGATACTAGCAAACCGAATCCAGCAGCACATTAAAAGGCTTATCCACCAAGATCAAGTCAGCTTCATCCCTGGGATGCAAGGCTGGTTCAACATATGCAAATCAATAAACGTAATCCATCACATAAACAAAACCAATGACAAGAACCACATGATTATCTCAATAGATACAGAAAAGGCCTTCAATAAAATTCAACACTCCTTCATGTTAAAAACATCCAATAAACTAGGCATTAATGGAACATATCTCAAAGTAATAAGAGCTATTTATGACAAACCCACAGCTAATATCATACTAAATGGGCAAAAGCTGGAAGCATTCCCTTTGAAAACCGGCACAAGACAAGGATGCCCTCTCTCAACACTCCTATTCAACATAGTATTGGAAGTTCCGGCCAGGGCAATCAGACAAGAGAAAGAAATAAAGGGTATTCAAATAGGAAGAAAGGAAGTCAAATTGTCTCTGTTTGCAGATGACATGATTGTATATTTAGAAAACCCCACTGTCTCAGGCCAAAAACTCCTTAAGCTGGCAACTTCAGCAAAGTCTCAGAATACAAAATCAATGTGCAAAAATCACAAGTGTTCCTATACACCAATAGTAGACAGAGAGCCAAATCATGAGTGAACTCCCATTCACAACTGCTACAAAGAGAATAAAATACCTAGGAATACAACTTACAAGGGATGCGAAGGACCTCTTCAAGGAGAACTACAAACCACTGTTCAAGGAAATAAGAGAGGACACGAACAAATGGAAAAACATTCCATGCTCATGGATAAGAAGAATCAATATCACAAAAATGGCCATTCTGCCCAAAGTAGTTTATACATTCAATGCCATTCCCATCAAGCTACCATTGGCTTTCTTCATAAAATTAGAAAAAACTACTTTAAATTTTGTATGGAACCAAAAAAGAGCCTGTATAGCCAAGACAATCCTAAGCAAAAAGAACACAGCTGGAGGCATCATGCTATCTGACTTCAAACTATACTACAAGGCTACAGTAACCAAAACAGCATGGTACTGGTACCAAAACAGATATATAGACCAATGGAACAGAACAGAGGCCTCAGAAATAATACCACACATCTACAGCCATCTGATCTGTGACAAACCTGATAAAAACAAGCAATGGGGAAAGGATTCCCTATTTAATAAATGGTGTTAGGAAAACTGACGAGCCATATATAGAAAACTGAAACTGGACCCCTTCCTTACACCTTATACAAAAATTAACTCAAGATGGATTAAAGACTTAAACATAAGACCTAAAACCATAAAAACTGTAGAAGAAAACTTAAGCAGTACCATTCGGGACATAGGCAAGGGCAAAGACTTCATGACTAAAACGCCAAAAGTAATGGCAACAAAAGCCAAAATTGACAAATGGGATCTAATTAAACTAAAGAGCTTCTGGACAGCAAAAGAAACTATCATCAGAGTGAACAGGCAACCTACAGCGTTGGGATTCACTCAGGTTGGTGGCAGAAATATTAAAGGGAAATATTAGAGAAAGTTATGGGGAATAGTCACAAACCTTTTTGGAAGGCCGAAAGGTTACATAGCTGTAATAATTGAACAGGCTGAAAGCGACTGGGTCTTACCTTACAGCATTAGGTCATAGGGTAAATGCTAGGGACAACAGAGTCTTCCCCAGTTAAATCTCTTTACCCTACCTCCATTAACTAACTTTTGAGCCAGATGGCCCTCTGGCGGGGAGGTCAACCAGGAAAATTGCCCCCAATAGTATTTACTCTAGAGCACCGGTACCTGAGCTTTAATCATTCCTAGAACTACTCTCTTAACCATGTTAATTATCCACAAGTGTGTTTACTCAAAGTTTCTGTTGTTAATTCTATACTAAATAAATGCTTGGAGTGCGGAGCTGCTCAGGGTGGCGGCTGCCATTCTTTACATGACTCTCCTCGGAGTCTGTGAGTGGCCTCAGACCCTCAGCTGGACTGGCAAAGCAGAATATCTGTGTGCCAGTGTACTTTAATCATCTGTCGCCGGGTCAGGGGTCTGCAAGGGACAGACTCCCCGCAGCTAATGCCCTCGCAAAAGGAGCACTGCCTCACTACAGAATGGGAGAAAATTTTTGCAATCTATCCATCTGACCAAGGGCTAATATCAAAAATCTACAAGGAACTTAAACAAATTTACAAGAAATAACAAACAACCCCATCCAAAAGTGGGCAAAGGATATGAACAGACACTTCTCAAAAGAAGACATTTATGTGGCCAAAAAACATATGCAAAAAAGGTCATCATCACTGTTCATTAGAGAAATGCAAATAAAAACTACCATGAGATACCATCTCATGCCAGTTAGATTGTCAATCATTAAAAAGTCAGGAAACAAAGATGCTGGAGAGGATGTGGAGAAAGAGGAACACTTTTACACTGTTGGTGAGAGTGTAAATTAGTCCAACCATTGTGGAAGACAGTATGGCAATTCCTCAAGGATCTAGAACCAGAAATACAATTTGACCCAGCCATGTCATTACTGGGTATATAACCAAAGGATTATAAATCATTACACTATAAAGATACATCCACACATATGTTTACTGCAGCACTATTCACAATAGCAAAAACTTGGAACCAACCCAAATGCCCATCAATGTTAGACTGAATAAAGAAAATGTGGCACATATACATCATGGAATACTATGCAGCCATAAAAAAGAATGAGTTCATGTCCTTTGCAGGGACATGGATGAAGCTGGAAACCATCATTCTCAGCAAACTAACACAGGAACAGAAAATCAATCACTCCATGTTCTCACTCATAAGTGGGAGTTGAAAAATGAGAACATATGGGCACAGGGAGGGGAATATCACACACTGGGGCCTATTGGGGAATGGAGGGCAAGGGGAGGGATAGCATTAGGAGAAATACCTAATGTAGATAACAGGTTGATAGGTACAGCAAACCACCATGGCACATGTATACCTATGTAACAAACCTGCACGTTCTGCACATATATCCCAGAACTTAAAGTATAATAAAAAAAACTTACTTATAGTGTGCCTTCACAAGCAGCATGTTATTTTCTCATCTTCAAATAACATTTTCTGTAGCATCAAAAATTATATATATTTATTCAAAACAGATTTTAATTTTAAATAGTTAATAAAATATTTGTGGTATGTTTCACTTTATTTCTATTTTGCCAAGATTGAGGGATAAAAATCTGCCAATCTCTGTCTCTATTCTTTTATTCAGCTGGTTCCCCACCCTCACCACACCCCCCGCCCCCAGCAATTCTCAAAGAGTTTGCAGAATACAGTTTTTAAAACAAAGATTTTAGTCCTTAAGAAAAATAATAAACAGGAGTTAGAAATTATTTTCACTATTTGGCAGAATTCTTGTGTAAGAAGTTTCCAGGACTTTCTATCTGTGCTTCCTTCTGTCTTAAGATGGATAAGCTTCACAACAGGGTTCTGCTGTTTCATATTCAAATTACATGGACACATGAGTAGATCAATAAAAAGCATATTTTATTTAATTCATTCTCAATGTCTTTTTCTGTCTCAGTGGTTTTTAAGGAATTCATCCATTCTTATTGACATGGAAGTAGAGAATAAATTCACCCACTGTCCCCTCTACGAATTGTCTGTACATACTAAATTCTGTGGAGACTAGTTGTCTCCTGTCCTTTTTACTCCTAGCATTCAATGATTAAAATGATATTTTCTCATTGTATTGTTTAGTGACCTTTCATTTTCAGTTTTCCTTATTGTGATATATTGTTTCCTTATCTTTCAAATATTTGGGTAGAAATGTGATTGTATAGTACATTTATCTTGGAATGTATAATATAAATTATATTTATATAATGAGCCATTAAACTTTAACAGCAATTACCATTTTGTGATAAAATTTTCACAGCTACCAATAAATAATTGCTATAATTAGATTATTTTGTGGTAATGGTAAAGGAATATTACTTATATTACAGCATAATTTATGTCATATGAAAATATTCTGAGACTTAAATTGGAAATGCCACAGCATCATTTTAGTAAAATAAACAAATGGCAACTGCTATGAACTACAAAATGAAACACAAAATTTAGTTAAACTTTACCAATAGATTCTTTCTTTTTTTATTTTAAGGTATTTTCTAAGAACCACATGAATGAAAAGTAGCTTCCAATATTAGAAACATTATTTATAGTTACATCGACAAAGTGTTTTGTTTGTTAAATTTATTCCTTTCTTCATGAGTTAAAGCAAAATATCTAACTACTCTGTTATAAATGACACTTTACTTGATTGGTCAGAGAATAGTCCTAATAAATATACAAATAGCCTATTTTTGAAAACTAAAAAATTACAATATTTTTAAAAGTTCAAAATAAAAGCAAATTCTACAGACAAGGTTACAGAACTCTTAAGCATAACCTAACCAAAATAGCTGAATAGCTGCAGCTTCATCTTAAATAAAGTGGCCCAGCAATTTGAGAGGGACTACCAAAGGCTGGGAAGGTTGTTTTGTACTGAGCAGTCATGCCCATGGGTATTTACTTCAAACTGGATAGAAAAGAACAACAAATTTTCTTCACTTAGTTTTTCTTTTCAAGACAGAGTTTCGCTCTTGTTGCCCAGGCTGGAATGCAATGGTGCAATCTTGGCTCACTGTAACCTTTGCCTCCTGGGTTCAAGCGATTTTCCTGCCTCAGCATCCTAGGTAGCTGGGATTATAAGCACCTGCCACCATGCCCAGCTAATTGCGAATTTTTTGTATTTTTAGTAGAGATGGGGTTTCACCATGTTGGCCAGGCTGGTCTTGAACTCTTGACCTCAGGTGATCCACCCGCCTCAGCCTCCAAAAGTGCTGGGATTACAGGCGTGAGCCACCGTGCCTGGCCCTAGTTTTTCAAATTCTGAAGGTAACACCCTAAAAGCATAAGATAAATAATGTGACCAGTGGAATCTGTGCAGTCTCTGCCCATTTTTTCTAAATTCAATAAACACTGTTTAAGTGCCTACTTGTACCCAACGCTATGCCAGGCAAAGGAGAACCTGAAAGTCAGGAACACAGCACTGATTCTCAATTTCTATAGACAGCAGTGAGTGACAACCCCTAACGAGTTTACCTCCATCTAGCCCAGCCAGGGCACCTTTCCTATCCCATCTCTTTGTCATCTCTTTCTTTTGGAGTCTCAATTCTACAAAACAGTTGTCAAAGGAGAACCACCTCCTGGGTAGTAGGCACCAGAAAGAGCCTATAATAGCTCTCTACCCCTCTCATTCTTTTGTGATTTTTTTCCTTTTGATTATTAGAAGATTTTCATTAACCCCCCAACCCAAAAAAATTCCCATTTATAAAACGCGAAAGATATTACATGCTATAAAAGAAAATCACCCTGACACCATCAAACAAATACAACCACTGCTAACATATTGGTTCATTTATGTCTCACTTCTCTCTCTTGGTAGGTGTTCCTGTTGTTGTTATCATCCTATTATACACAGAAGCATGCTTCTTTTTTCACTAAACACTTTATCTCAAGCATATTTTCCATGTCAGTCTGATTACCTTTAAGCATCACTCCTAATAGCTGTATTATCTTTTATCAAGTGGATCTGTTTACTAACCTGTTTCCTAGTGTTGTGTATCTGGGTTGATTCCAATTTGGTGCTATTTCACAGAGGACTATGATAAACATTTTTGTGCATAAACGGCTTTCCACATTAATGAATTTCTTCCCTTAGGGTAGTTTCCCAGAAATAAGATGACTGGGTCTAAGGCTAAGAACATAAAGATACATATTCCTAAAGATATATATTCAGGCACCTGCCTGAAATGCAATATATAAACAGTGAAGCCACCTGAATGGGGAAAAATTGGCATAGAGGACAACATTCCTACTGCTCAATCATCTTACTTGTGTGTGTTCATTGGGGGCACTGCTTTACACTAAAATTATTTCTTTCCTTCCAGATTGAACCCTAAACAACTGTATAAAGTCTTTAAAAAACAAAACTTGCTTTTGATGCTAATTAGGTTTTCATTTTTTCCTACTTAAGAAATGAGTGTTACGTGCTCCGAACTCCCCATGCTAGAGATTGCTAGTGTTTTCTTAAAATTTGTCCTCCTTATCAAATTTATCTGATGGTAAATATTAAGTATTGAATGCATGTCATCTCAAGTCCAAAAAGCTTTTTTGAGACCTACTTCAGTTTAATGAATCTAAAAGAGTAAAAAATACAAGCTCTCAGTCTCTGTGCCTCTCTCTGGCAATTAAGTGAATTTCTCACATTTCTAATAGGAAGAAAGGAAGCAATGTAAGACATCCATTTCCACTGAAAAGATAATTATTTGAGAAGTTCTTTAACAAATTTGGAGAAGAATAACTTGAAGAAAATTTGTGCCAGGTTGTTACAAACATATTCTGTGTTGTAACCCAAGATTCCTCCCTATTCAGAAAGGAAACACTAAAACCATTTCCAGAACATAAATAAAGCCATGTTCTCATGATGCAGAGAATGCACACAGGGTGAGAGGAAGAAGAGTGCAGAAGCAGCAGAAAGAGATTCCTCGCAGATGTGCTTATTTTCTACATTCCAACATTTCCCACATTAAAATTCTCAACTTCCTTCTGACCAACAGAGTGCCAGGTGCAATGCAAACAACTCTAACTTCTTCCTTTAACTTGGTTGTGAATATTTAATTTTAGGTTATCTTTTCTTTACATACATGAGAAACCCAGAAACTTATAAACCATCCCACAAGATGGTTCTACCAGCACTGTCCAATACGAGAGCCACCAGCCATAGGTGGCTATTGAGTGTGTAAAACATAGCTAATGCAACTAAACTGAATTTTTAATTGAATTTAATTTTAATTAATTAGAATTTCAAGTGATATTCAATTCAGCTATTAGAAATGTGTAAATATATGTAGAATGACATAGGTATACTGATTTATTTTTTCAACTGTGTATTTTATGAAATATAGATATAAATCAAGTAATTCTTATAAAAATTTATATCTAAATTGACATGTGCCATGATTGAAAAATATGCACCAGATTTCAAAAATAAGTATTAAAAAGAAGGTAAAATATGGGATTAATAATTTTATATTAAGAAAAAGTTTTAAGCCACAAATAAATGTATTGTATTCACAGGAAAATAATGATTATATTGGTTGGGACCTAGGCAACTAAGAGATGCAAAAAATGCTAACGGAACAGTTTTGGAGGGAAGAGCAGGAGTTCAGCTTTTAGAAGGTTGATTTGGAGATATTTATTGCACATCCAGGGGGAGATGTCAAGTAGGTCATTCAAGGAGTTCAGGAGAGAGGTCCAGCCTAAATAGATATGCTTGAAGATCACTGGCATAAATGGTAATTAAAACCATGAAACAAGATGAGTCTATAGGAGGTAAGATAAATAAACAGGTAAAGAAGATTAAAGCCTGAGTCCTGGGGCAGTCCAACACTAAGAGGTCAAGCAGAATATGAGAAAGAACTTCCAGAGATTTAGAAGGTAAAGGTAAAGCAAGAGTATATCCTTGAGACCTGGTGAAGAAAGTGCATCAAGTAGGATTAACAGATTGGTTGCTTCGAAGGCTGCTAAAATTTTAAGTATCATGAGTACTAAGAATTGACATTGTATTCCATAACATGGTGGTCATTCATAATCTTGAAAGTTTCCGGTGAAGTTGATGAAACTGGGCTGGCAATCTGCAGGGATGGGTTTAAGAGAGAATGGGAGAAGATTATTTGCATACAGCGAGTCTAGACAACTCTTTTTTAGCAGTTTTTTTTCTTTTTTATACAGGAAAGCAAAGAAATGGGAGCCATAGCTCGGAGTGGAAGTAAGCTAAAGAGGGAGTTTTTCCAAGAAAAGAAAAATAACATATTTGTAAGCCCATGAGAAACATGTGGTAGAGAGAAGGAAAGTGAAATTCAGAGGAGAAGAAAATTACTAGGGTGATATGCTTGAATATTTGAAGAAGGTGGGCTCCAGGGCTAGGGAGTGGAGCGACATTTCATATTGGTCACAGAACAAAGGGCAGCAGATATGGCAGGTGAGCAGACAGTGGTGCAGGCCTGTGAAAGTTCCTCACAATGGCTTTGGTTTTCTCAGTGAGAGAGGAAACCGGGACAATGTGTAAGAGTGAGAATGGTGACGAGGTATAGATATTTGAGGAGACAGGAGAAAAATGTGAGACATCAATGAAGAGAATAAGAGAGTACAAGGACTAGGGAACTATCAGGCAGCAACAAGGATCCACCTGAGGTTCATGGTCACGTGAGGCCAGTTAACTGTAAGTTCTTCTCCAGCCACATTCAGCATCCTAAACGCAGGTATGGAGTAGGTAAAGATCAGGATTTGACCAGTGCTATGGTTCATCCAAGTGAATAGAATATTGCCCTAAAGAGATAAGTGAAGTGAGGGTGTATGAAGGTTTTTCTATAGGGTAGACCACAAAAGAGTAGCTGGAAAAGGCAAAATAAGAGAATCTCAAGCAACTGGGGTTAGAGACTGAAAGAGACACTGAGGAACTTTTAGAGTTGAAGTCAGAGAGAGAGGGTTAGAAATTGAAGATTGGTTGTCAGAGAACATAAGCAGGAAACAGATTGTGAAGCTGGTAGTTACTAGGAATGACAAAGTCTAGGTTACAACTGTGGAAGTGAGTGGCAGGGCCAGGTGGAGGAGAGATAATTTGAGCAGAAAAGGTAAAGAACTGAGAGGCCAGGATGTTAGAAAGAGCCTACGTACAGTTGCATTCACAACTTGGCATACCTCAGAGAAATTGTGAGTTTGGTGCCAGGCCCCTAAAATAAAGCAAATATTACAATACAGCAACTCATGCAATTTTTTTTAGGTTTCTCAGTGCATATAAGTTGTGCTTACACTATGCTATAATCTATTAGGTGTGCAATGGTATTATGTATAAAAAAAAGTACAGTGTCCCTGGCCAGAATAACAGCCCCATGGCCCCAACCCCATTGAGCCAGGACTCAAGTTAGCCAACACACGATGTGCATGCAAGCTCTCCTTAGAAACACCCCAGCAAGCCCACTTCCAGCAGCCTCACCAGAATCACCACAACCTCTCACAGCCTAGGACACTGAGAAACTCACAAACATCTTTAGTGTGGACTACAAGTGAAAAAACAGAACAGGAACTACATTACTATGTCCAGCTAAATCCAAAGTGAATGCATACCACCCAACCAAAACCCCAAGACCTATCAATACAAATAAGTCTTTCCCTGTGAAACATTCTCCATAGAATTGGAAGAGGCAACTGTTCCACTAGATGTGTAGGCATCAACCTAAGGACACATCAAACATAAAAATGCAAGAAAACATGACACATCTAAAGAAACACAATAATTCTACAGTAAAAGATCTCAATCATACTGACGATCAGGGAAATGCAAATCAAAACCACAATGCAATGCCACCTTACTCCTGTAAGAATGGCCATAATCAAAGAATCAAAAAACAGTGGATGTTGACATGGATGTGGCGATCACAGAACACTTCTACACTGCTGGTGGGAATGTAAACTAGTATAGCTGCTATGGAAAACAGTGTGGAGATTCCTTAAAGAACTAAAAGTAGAACTACCATTTGATCCAGCAATCCCACTACTGGGTATCGACCCAGAGAAAAAGAAGTCTTTATTTGAAAAAGATACTTGCATACACATGTTCATAGCAGCACAATTCACAATAGCAGAATCGTGGAACCAACCCAAATGCCCATCAATCAATGAGTGGATAAAGAAACTCTGATATATATATGATGGAATACTACTCAGCCATAAAAAGGAATGAATTAACAGCATTTGCAATGGCCTGGATGAGATTAGAGACTATTATTCTAAGTGAAATAACTCAGGAGTTGGTAACCAAACATTGTATGTTCTCATTGATATGTGGGAGCTAAGCTATGAGGATGCAAAGGCATAAGAATGATACAATAGGCTTTGGGGACTTGGGAGGAAGAGTTGGAGGGGAGCGAGAGATAAAAGACAACAAATATGGTGCAGTGTATACTGCTCAGGTGATGGGTCCACCAGCCTCTCACAAATCTCCACTAAAAACTTACTCATGTAACCAAATACCACCTGTACCCCAATAACTTATGGAAAAATAAAAGATATTATATATATATATAAATTGCCAGAAATAATTCAAAATCATAATCTTAAGAAAACTCAGTAATATACAAGACAATACAACAGACTAATAAATAGGGAGCCTCAACAACAGACAACACAGGACAAAAGAAATAATTTCTGAACTTAAAGATAAGTTTTTTAAAATAAGTCAGGCAGACAAAAAAATGAGAGAGAAAAGAATTTAAAAGGATGGAGAAGGCCTACAGAATTTATGGAACACCACTAAGCAAATAAATAGTCACATTATGGGCATTCCAGAAGGAGAAGAGAAGAAGAAACATGTAGAAAATATACTTAATAAAATAATAGCTGAAAACTCCATAAGTTCCTAGAAGACAGATAGACATCGACACCTAGAAGCTCAAAGGACCCCAAATAGATTCCACTCAAACAGGTCCTTTCCAAGGCGAGTTACAGTCAAACTGTCAAAAGTCTAAGACAACGAATTCTAAAAACAGCAGGAGAAAAGCATCAAGTCACATATAAGGGAATCCCATGAGACTAAGAGTAGACTTCTCAACAGAAATTTTACAGGACAGGAGAGAATGGAATGATATATCCAAAGTACTGAAAGAAAAAAAAACTGCCAATCAAGAATATTATATTCGGCAAAGCTATCCTTCAGAATTGAAGGATAAATAAAATCTTTCATAGACAAGCAAAAACAGGGAATTGATCACCACTAGACAAGATGCTCAAGGGCATCTTCCATGGGGAAGTGAAAAGACAGTAACTACCAGCATGTGAAATTCACCAAGTGTGAAATTATCATCACATTCACCAAATGTGAAATTACAAAACTCACTGGTAAAGGCAATGCACAAAGAAGAAAAAAAAGGAACCAATCCTCATTGCTATAGAAAATCAAGCAGCAACAAAAGTAATAACAGAGGAAGTAAAGAATAAAAGATATACAAAACAATCAAGAAAACAACCAATACACTGACAGGAGTAAGTTCTCACCTATTAATAATAATTTGAATGTAAACAGATTAAATTCCTCAATTAAAAGATACAGATTGGCTGAATGGATTAAAAAAATAAGACCTGGCTTGATGCGGTGGCTCACGCCTATAAACTGAGTATTTGGGGAGGCCAAGATGGGAGGATCGCTTGAGCCTAAGAGTTTGAGACCCGCCTAGTGAACACAGTAAGGCCCCATCTCTACAAAGAAATTTTTAAAAAGCTGGGCATGGTGGCACATGCGAACACTCTTAGCTAGTGAGGAGGTTGAGGTGGGAGGATCATTTGAGTTCAGGAGTTTGAGGCTGGAGTGAGCTATGGTCATGCCACCGCACTCCAGCCTGGGCAGCAAAGCAAGATCTTGTCTCTAAAAACAAACAAACAAAAAATTAAAAATTAAAATGCAAAACCCTACTATATGCTGTATACAAGAAACTCACCTTACCTGGAAAGACACCCATAGACTGAAAGTAAAGGGGTGAAAAAAGATATTCCCTTTTGGGAATGGAAACCAAAAGTGAGCAGGAGTAGCTATACTTCTATATATTGCCTGATATAATATCAGTAAAACAGACTTTAACCAAAAACAATAGAAAGAGACAAAGAACATTATATAATAATAAAGAGACCAATCAATTCAGCAAGATAATATAATTGTAAATATATATGCAACCAATACTGGAGCATCTAAATATATAAAGAAAATATTATTAGATCAAAAGGGAGAAATAAACCTCAATACAATAATCATTGAGGATGTCAGCTCCCCACTCTCAGCATTAGACAGATCATTTAGACAGAATATGAACAAAGAAACATTGGATTTAAACTGCACCCCAGACCAAATGGGTCTAATAAATATTTATTCACCCAACAGCTGCATGTTCTTTTCATCAGCGCATATAACATTCTCAAGGGCTGACCATATGTTAGGACACAAAACAAGTCTCAAAAAATTTTTTAAAACATCATATTAAATACATTATCTGACCACAATGGAATAAAACTGGAAATTAATAATAAGAATATTCAAAACTATACAAATATACAGAAATTAAACAACACGTTCCTGATCAATGGGTAAAAGAAGAAATTAAGCAGGAAATTTAAAAATTATTTTAAACAAATGAGAACAGAAACACAACGTATCAAAACCTATGACACAGCAAATGCAGTATAAAGACTCAAGTTCATAGCAATAAATGCCCACATCAAAAAAGTAGAAAGATTTCAAATAAATAACCTAACGATGTATCTCAAGAAAATAGAAGAGCAAAAACATACCAAATTCAAAATTAGTAGAAAGAAAAAATAATAAAGAGCAGAAATAAGCAAAATTGAGACTAAAAAAATACAATAGATAACAAAAAATTGTTTTTTTAAAAAAATATAAACAAAATTGACAAACTATTAGCTAGACTAAGAAAAAAAGAGAGAAGGCCTAAATAAATAAAATCAGAAACAAAAAAGATGTCACAATGGATATCACCAAAATGCAAAGGCTCATGAGAGACTATTATAAACAACTATATACCCATAAATTTAAAACCTTAGAAGAGATGGACAAATTCCTAAACACATATAACCTACCAAGATTGCATCAAGAAGAAATAGACAACCTGAACAGACCAATTAAAAAAGTAACAAGATTGAATCAGTAGTAAAAAGCCTCCCAAAAAAGAAAATCTCAGGATCAGATGATTTCACCACTAAATTCTACCAAACTGTTAAAGAATAGTTAACACCAACTATTCTCAAACTATTCAAAGGAATTGAAGCATAAGGAGTTCTTTCTAACTCATTTTGCCAGGCCAGCATAGCCCTGATAGCAAAACCAGATCAGAAAAATAACAATGAAAAATACAAGCCAATATCCCTAATAAATATAGATGTAAAAATCCTTAACAAACAAAAAACCCACAACATGTCAAAAAGATAATACACCATGATGAAGTGGGATTTATCTCAAGGATACAGCGATGGTTCAACACCTGCAAATCAATAAATGCAACACATCAACAGAATGAAGGGCAAAAACTATAATATATGATTATCTGAATAGATGCAATGAAAAAATTTAATGAAATCCAACATCCCTTCATGATAAAAACTCTCAATAAATTAGGTATAGAAGGAAAGTGCATCAACAAAATAAAGCCATATATGACTAGCCCACAGCTAACATCATACTGAATGGGAAAAAGCCAAAAGCTTTTTCTCCAAGAACTAGTGCAAGACGAGGATGTCCACTATCACCACTTTTATTCAACATAGTACTGGAAGTACTAGTAAGAGCAAATAGGCAAGAGAAAGAAAGAAAGGGCATCCAAATAGAAAAGAAAAAGTCAAGTTGTCTCTGCAGATGACATAATCTTATATAGCAAAAAATCAAAATACTCTACCAAAAAGCTCTTAGAACTGATAAACAAATTCAATAAAGTTGTAGTATACAACATCAACAAGCAAGAATCAATAGCACTGGCTGGGCACAGTGGCTCAATGCCTGTGATCCCAGCACTATGGAAATACAAGGTGGAAGGATCACTTGAGGCCAGGAGTTTGAGACTAGCCTGGGCCACATAGTTGGACCTTGTCTCTATATAAAATTTTAAAAAATTAGCCAGATGTGGTGGCATATGCCTATAGTCACAATTACTTGGGAGGCTGAGGCAAGAAGACCACTTAAGCCCAGGAGTTTAAGGCTGCAGTGAGCTATGATCATGCCACTGCACTCTATCCTGGGAAACAGAGTGAGAAACTGTCTGTTAAAAAGAAAAAGAAAAAAAAAAACGATCAGTCGGATTAGTAGGATTAATATGCACAAACAATCAACTATCTGAAAAAGAAATCCAGAAGGCAATCCCATTTACAATGGCTACAAAAAATAAAACAAAATACCTGGTTCCTAGAAATAAATATAACCAAGGAGGTGAAAAACCTCTACAAAATAAACTATATAAAACACTGATAAAAAGAAATTGAAGAGAATACAAATGGAAAAATATGCCATGTTCAAGGTTCAAAATAATGAATATAATTAAAATGGTCATACTATCCAAAGCAACCTACAGATTCAATGAAATAATCCCTATCAAAATACTAATGACATTCTTCACAAAAATAGAAAACAAAATCCAAAACTATGTATGGAACCACAAAAGACCCCAAACAGCCAAAGCAATCCAGAGCAAAGAGAACAATGCTGGAGACATCACACTACCAGACTTAAAAATATACTGCAAAGCTGTAATAACCAAAACAGCATAATATTGCCATAAAAACAAACACATAGACAAGTGGAATAGAATAAGGAACCCAGAAATTAATCCACATATCTACAACCAGATGATTTTTGACAAAGGCACCAAGAGCATTCACCGAGGAAAGGATAATCTCTTAAATTATGGTGCTGAGAAAACGATGTCCATATGCAGAGGAATGAAACTATACCTCCACTTCTCGCCTTAAACAAAAATCAATTCAAAATGGATTAAAGATCTAAATGTAAGAGACAAAACTACAAAATTACTAGATAAAAACATAGGGGAAATACTTTAGGACATTGATCTGGAAAAAGATTTTATGGATAAGACTTCAAAAGCATGGGAAACAAAAGCAAAAATAAGCAAAGGGATTATATCAAACTAAAAAGCTTCTCCAAAGCAAAGGAAACAATACATAATAAATAGAGTGATAAGACAACCTACAGAATGAGAAAAAAATATTTGCAAACTATTCATCTTACAGGAAATTAATATCCAGAATATAAAATGAAGTCAAACATCTCAACAGAAAAAAAAATCCCATTAAAAAGAAGGCAAATGCTCTAAGTAGACATTTCTCAAAAGAAGATATGTAAATGTTCCACAAATATATTTATAATGCTCAACATCACTAATTATCAGGAAAATGCAAATCAAAACCACTATGAGTCTTCATCTTACCCCAGTTAGGATGGCTATTATCAAAAAGACAAAAAATAACAAATGCTGGCAAGGATGTGGAGGAAAGAAAACACTTACATACTGTTGGTGGGAGTGTAAAATAGGACAGCCACTATGGAGAACAGTATGGAGGTTCCTCAAAAAGCTACAAGTAGAACTACTGTATCATCCAGCAATCTCACTACTGGGCTACTGGGCATTTATTCAAAAGAGAAGAAATCAGTGTATTGAAAAGACATCTGACCAGGCACGGTGGCTCACGCCTGTAATCCCAGCACTTTGGGAGGCCGAGGCGGGCAGATCACTTGAAGTCAGAAGACCAGTCTGGGGAACATGACAAAACCCCATCTCGACTAAGAATACAAAAATTTGCTGGGCGTGGTGGCAGGCACCTGTAATCCCAGCTACTGGGGAGGCTGAGGCAGGAGAAACACTTGAACCCAGGAGGCGGAGGTTGCAGTGAGCCAAGATTGCGCCACTGCACTCCAGCCTGGGTGATAGAGTCAGACTCTATCTCAAAAAAAAAAAAAAAAAAAGGAAGAAAAGAAAAGCAAAGCCATCTGCACTCCCATGTTTATTGCAGCACTATTCACAAGAGCCAAGTGTCCAACATCAGGTTAATGGGTAAAGAAAATGAGGTGTATATATACACCAGGAAATACTATTCAGCCATAAAAAAAAAAAAAGAATCAAATCCTGTCATTTGTGGAAACATGAATGGAACTGGAGGACATCACATTAGGTGAAATAAGCCAGGAACAGAAAGTTAACCACTGCATGTTCTCACTCCTTTGTGGAAGCTAAAACAAGATGACCTCATACAAATGAAAGTAGAACAGAGGATACTAGAGGCTGGGAAGGGTAGAGAAAGGGAGAGAATTGTTAAATGATACAAAATTACAGCTAGATGAGAGTAACAAATTCTAGTGTTCTACAGCATTACAGGATGACTATAGTCAATAATAATATGCTATAGAGCAGAGGTATCCAATCTTTTGGCTTCCTTGGGCCATATTGGAAGAAGAATTGTCTTGGGCCACACATAAAATACACTAACACTAATGAGAGCTGATGAGAAAAAAAAAATCGCAAAAAAAAATCTCATAATGTTTTAAGAAAGTTTACGAATTTGACGAATTTGTGTTGGGCCACATTCAAAGCCATTCTGGGCCACATGCAGCCCATGGGGCACAGACAAGCTTGTTATAGAGTTCCAAATAGCTAGAAGTATGACATTGAATGTATCTAACACAAAGAAATGATAAATGTTTGAAATGATGGACATGCAAATTACCCTGATCTGATCACTGTATACCGTATATATTGAAACATCACTACATACCATAAATATGTATAATTATTATATGTCAACTTAAAAATATAATATAGTATAGCTCTCTTAAACACAGACTTAAAAACAAGAGGTATTACTAGAGACTAAGAGGGTTTCTCATAATGGTATACACTTAAACTAAAAGGCACCTTCAAAATATACAAAACAAAAGGAAAGCACAAGATGAAATTAATAAATTGGCTTTCATATACTTCTCCTTCAATAACTGATTAACCAAACTGCAAAAAATCAGTTAAAAAATGGAATATTTGAATAACATAATTAACTAAGTTCAGCTAATAAACAGATATGAATCTCTGCAACCAATAACTTTCTTTTCAAGAAGTTATGGAACATTTGTGAACAATAACTATGTACCAGGCCACAAAACAAGCATCAACAAATTTCAAATAACTGGAATCATGTAGACCATATTCTCTGGTCACCATGAATTAAAATAGAAAAAAAAATATTAAAAAGTTCTAGGAAAAAACATATAAGTCATAAGTCAAAGAAGAAATTATAATGAAAAATTTAAAAATTCACATGTGAACAATAACAAAAACATTATATATCGAAACTTGTGAAATAAAAACACTGCTGAAGCAATACTTAGAGAAAAATTTATAGTCCTAAATGCATATATAGGAAAGAAGCTAAGCTGTAAGTTAATGAATTAATCATGTAAATTTAAGAGATTAGAGAAAAAAAACCCAAAGAAATAGGAAAGAAATAATAAAGATGAGAACAGAGATTAATAAATAGAAACAATGATAGGATAGAGAAGACAAAGTCAAAAGTTGGTTCTTTGGAAAGTCTGAAAAGAACCAGTAAAAACTCTGGTGAGATTGGCCAAAAGGCAAAGAAGGCACTAAGTCGGGGCGGGGTGGTACAGGGGTCGGGGGTGGGCAGTGGAGGACAGCAGGAAGTGTTTGCTGCCTCTGCAGGCTTCCTTATCCCACTATGTACAAGGGACTTGGGTGTTGCACTCCAGTAGGAAATCTCACCTTCAGGTGCTCTTGACTGAACATGCAGAGCACATCCTTCTGCCTCCTTCCAGGTACCTCCCATGCATCCCATGATCCCACTTTTTCTAGCAATGTTTCCACCTTTTGGGGAAGCAATTTTAACTATCTTTCAGATTTGTGAAAAATGTTTGGTCTTTTGTTTTTCATTCTCTTTGCTGCTTTCAGATCATTTATAAAAGAGAAGGGGAAAATGTCAGCATTGCATCCCCATCCACCATCAGCAGCAGCCTGAGGGAAAAGCAACCCAAGCAGAAAGTGGATGGTGGCAGGGGGAGTGGGAAGAACATGCATCAGGTACTTGGAACCTGCAAAAGGAAGGATTCAGACCTGGGAGCATGAAGGAGCCTTTAGGGGATCTCAGCAACATTCCAGTGCCAGACTGCAAGATCTGCAGTTCTAGGAGAGGCACCTGACATCCTCTGGACCACAGAGCTGAAAAATTGATTGGTGGGTTTCTGAAAGACTTTGAACAAGGATTAAAACAATGAAAACAACATTTCTGATTTTTCTTATAATTAGCTGTAAAAGAAAGATACTCATCTCAAACATAATACTATTTACGTATCATTCTAGTAAATCAAAATCTCTAATGATTAATAAATTGCTTTTCAGAAGAAGCAAAGCAACAAAACTGTATTCATGTAAGACAAACACAAAAGCAGCACCTGCCATATTTTCTGAGGCTGGAGCTACATAGGGAAAATGAAATGATGCTGGAGACAGAGGTTTTCAAGGGGAAGTCAGAAAGGTTTTAGGAACTGGAAGCACTGCTTACACATACTGGGATCTCTTCAGGAAACAAACAAACAAAACCATCATGTAAAGAGGCTTGGGTATTTTTCTTTTCCCCAAAGATTTCACCAGAATCCTGTCATCTGGGCTTGACAGACTAGAAAATGACCCAACACACTTTGAGATAGTTACATTTCACACCAAAAAGAGGGAACCATATCACAGGACACTGTTATCTGAGCCACCAGGATTCAGTGTCAGAAGATTATTTGAGGCTTTTGGCAAATAGCCACATTAGATCCCGAGGTCATGGGCACCTGTTTTCCAGGCACTCATCCTTCCTGGGGCACACACGTTTTGCATTTTCTTCCCCAGTGTCAGCTCAGTAAGATTAAACTGTCAGCCCACAGCATGGATTTGTGTATCCCGGCTGCAGATCACACATCTGTCTCATCAGTGGTATCACATTGTAAATCACAGCCACAAAATGGAATTCCTTACAGTGTTTTTTCTTGCCCCAGATGATGTTATATAAATATACACAGAAAATTTAACTCATAATTATCTAGGGAAGATAATGATTGAATAAAAAACCAAAAACAGTTTTCTGAAAGCTTTTAGGCACACAGTTTCATAAAGTTCTTTTTACTTTCCCTGCAGAAATGCAGAATTCATCCTCAGGGTAAGTTGGAAGTGGGAGAGGTTTCTTTCAGTAAATCATCCAGCCCATCCCCCAACCATGTCCACCTCACTGCCATTTCCTCACTAACCCTCTGGTGGTGTCACGCTGTTCTGGTCTGCCTCTCACTAGCAATTGATCACATATATTCATTCACATTAGGGTGTTAATATCACAGTGTTACTTTGCAGTTACCCCAACGAAAGTCTTCTAAATTTTAACAGAATAGAAGACAAAAAGGAATAATTGTCCAATGGTAGAATCTACACCCTAGGATGGGTGAGACAGGGGCAGAGCTGGACAGATGTGCTTTCCTGGTTCTCCCGAACAGGTGTTTACTTCCTCTTGTAGTCTGTCCTCATTAAAGGCACTACTAAATAGCTGACCATTTAAACTCTTACCAGTTTTCCCCAGCTAGGTAATTTTTTTTTTTTAAGATGGAGTTTTGCTCTTGTTGCCCAGGCTGGAGTGCAATGGCTCAATCTCGGCTCACTGCAACCTCTGCTTCCTGAGTTCAAGCAATTCTCCTGCCTCAGGCTCCTAAGTAGCTGGGACTACAGGCATGCACCACCATGCTCAGCTAATTTTTTGTATTTAGTAGAAACGAGGTTTCACCATGTTGGTCAGGCTGGTCTCAAACTCCTGACCTCAGGTGATCCACACACCTCGGCCTCCCAAAGTGTTGGAATTACAGGCATCAGCCACCGCGCCCCACTGGTAAATATTTATATGAGGTTTATGATATATTTATGTACAATCACTTATATGATGCAATATTCAAAATGAAAAGGTCAAAAACCTCTGAGCTTTCTAATTGAACTTTAGGGTATTTATATATACACAAAAATATATACCTATGTATTTTCTCCTTTAACATCTTTGTTCTTCCTTCTGTAGTATTATCTCCTTAATGTGACAGATACAATCCATCTACATTGCTATAGAAATTTAAATTAGTATTGTCACTTTGGGGAGTAATTTGGCATCAAATGGTCAAATTCAAAGTTTACATAAAATAAGACCCTGCAATTTCACTTCTAGGCATATATCTTCAAGAGTTTCTTGTACATGTGCATAAATAAATTTCAAGGATGTTTACTGAATGCATCTATGTAATACCCCCCCAAAATTAAAGAAACAATCAAAAGTCTATCATAGAAAAACTTATTAATAAAATATGTTATTTCATATGATGGAAAGGTATTTAGTAGTTAAAAATATGAACATGATCTGGGTAAAACAACTTAACTATTCTTTCAAAAACACCAAATAATAAATGCAAGTTACAGAATGCACAGGAAATAAAAAACAACCTCCATGGATAACTCTATAGTGAAGTTGGCCATGAAGAGCCAATAAATATGCAGATACATTCTGCCTCACCAGTTGAGAAAGGTGAAATAAAAAGCAAGGTTCTGGGTTTCTTCTTTTTGCCCAAGAAACTAGCACTGTTATTGAATAATCATACTTATCAAAGGCAAGGCATGGGAATTTGGCATACTCATATACTACCGATGGCAAGATAAATTTATAAACTTTTCTGGAGGGTTATTTGAAAATATATATCAAAAGCTTAAAGTAAACTAACTTTGACAAAGTACTTCATCTCAAGAAAATAAAAAATGTCTACAAAGTTGAAGTTAATAAAAGTCTAAAGTGCCTAATGTCTTAAAAGAATGGTTTCATTGAACAAATTACAGTACATAGATTAAACAGATTATTTGAAGGATGAAAGTAATGACAGAAGAATAAATACTGGCATTAAAGTTGCTGATGTGTTGTTAAGTTTTTTAAAGTATCATTTTATTTTTAAAAAATAATATTCATATGGTCCATATTATTCAAGGATACTTGTTACCAGAGAAAAGTCAGTTAAAGTGAATCCACTTAAAATATCACAGTAAATAATGGGAAATAAAAAGTTTTGATTAGTATTACATTTTAAGGGAAAAAAACAAGAGGATACATTTTATTTAATCTTTTAGCAAATTTTGATATACAACTTTACACTAGTTCTTAGAACCACACTATACAATACATGCGGCTACTGAGCACTTGAAATGTGACTAGTCCAGTTGAAATGTGTTGTGGGTATAAAATACATTCTAGATTCCAAAGGCTTAGTATAGAAAAAGGAATGTCACACATTCCATTGATAATTTTATATTGATTTTATCTTGAAATATATACAAAAGTATATTTGATATACTGAATTAAATATATTATTAAAATTAGTTCCACCATTTTAAAAAATGTTTTTAATGTGCCCATGAGAAGATTTTAAATTACATGTATTCCTAGCATATTTCTTCTGGAAAATGCTACCTTAAAATAAATCATGTTTTCATATTTGGGGAATAAATTCCCCAGCAAACTTAAGAGCACAAAACATCCTTCAATGAGCATTTGACGTTTCTGACAAGCTCAGAAACAGTATCACTTTTGAGCAAAATTATTTGAGGATGGGCATCAAAAGGACCTCTCCTTATTTTGTCATTCAACTCATTCTCTTCTGGAGCATGCAGATACTGTCTCTTTTTCGATCCTTACCAGGTTTAGGGCTGTCAGCAATCAATGTGTTCAACAATCAGCAAGTGTTTTCTGCAGATTGTCAACCTAGTTTCATCAGTTTCACGAAGTTCTCCATCTTTTGCAAGATTTGCAATTCTATTCTACAATGAATTTGCACTATCATGTCCAGTAAAATCCTATATAACTGAGGAGCAACTGGCCCATAAAGGAAATGATGCTTAGTAGGCAGACACTCGTTAGTGCTATCTTAAGACATCACAATGGGGACCTACATATAAGTGGGCAATTCATTAATGAATGTTTTCATGTGATGATGTGAAGGCTGTTATCATTACAGAGGCTTAATAACTAGTGAGATTCAGAAAATGAATATTTTATAAGGTTTGGATTTATGTATACAATATCAAATGACCTCTGGAAAAAAATATATAAAAATTTCAAAAGCAACTAAGTGGTGGGAATATAGGTGATTTTTACTTTCTTCTGTTTGCCTATATTTCTATAATTATTATGTTTTATATTAACACACTTAGTTTAATTTAATTTCAATTGCCAAGTCAAATACCACATTCTCCATTAGCCACTCCATTTGGGCCGGCCTCCCCCTAGTGAAGCCTCCTCCTCAGGACTCCAAATCAACGCTCTTTGATAATTTATTACTAACTACATTGTATAATTATGATAATAACTAAGACTTAAGTGCCAGGCACTGTTCAGAGTGCTTCATATTTATTAGCCTTTGTAAACTCTTCAGTCAGTCTGATCTTTCTTCAAGACACTGATCCTCAAGTAAGAGAAGAAAGAAAAATACCTACAAGGGGAGTTTACTCTCAGGATAGGTTGTCAGTATGATTTGAAAAGGCAAATTCAGGCTGGTGCGGTGGCTCACGCCTGTAATCCCAGCACTTTGGGAGGCCGAGGCGGGTGGATCATGAGGTCAGGAGATCGAGACCATCCTGGCTAAAATGGTGAAACCCCGTCTCTACTAAAAATACAAAAAATTTAGCTGGGCGTGGTGGCCGGCGCCTGTAGTCCCAGCTACTCAGGAGGCTGAGGCAGGAGAATGGTGTGAACCCAGGAGGCGGAGCTTGCAGTGAGCCGAGATTGCACCACTGCACTCCAGCCTGGGTGACTGAGCAAGACTCTGTCTCAAAACAAAACAAAAAAAAAAAGAAAAAAAGAAAAGGCAAATTCAATATTAAAATATAATTTTACATTTGGAAATATAACGTTTTCATAATACAAACTTTGGAAGGAAAACAAAATGAATTGATATTATAGCTAATAATTCAACTTTGTTAAAGAGGATATAAAAAAGAATATGATAAAAATTTAACATAAGCATAATTGAAAAAAAAAAAAACGCTATTAGAATACCAAAAGTATACAATTTCTTAACACGTTAAAGCAAATCTGCCACAAACCTAAAGTAACCACCATACTCTTGGTGAATATTTAAAACATTATCAAAGTCATACCAGACTGGGAGGTCCACTATCACCACTATTCCTCTACATTATGCCAGAGGCCCTAGGCAGTGTAATATTCCAAGGAAAAAATATATAAACAGTTTTAAAACAGAAGAAACAAAACCACCATTACTTGTAGTACCTATGGCTTTCTACAGAATATCCAGAGAATCTACAAACCAACAAAGATGCCAAATAGAAAATTAGAATACAAAAAAACAGCCCCCTTACTATATACTGGCAATAACCAATTTTAAAAATGTAGCTAGAGGAGAGATGATCCCATTCACAAGAGCAATAAAACTTCTAAGGACTAATGAAGGGATACTAAGATGTGATATGTATGTGTATATATATATACATACATACACACACACACACATATATATGATGAAATACACCAATAAAAAGGAATGAAGCAATGATACATTCAACAACTTAGATAACCTTGAAAACATTACACTAAGTGAAAGAAGCCAGACACAAAATGCCACATACTGTATTATTGTATGATTCCATTTATATGAAATATCCAGAATGGGCAAATGTATAGACTTAGTAGATTGGTAAGGTTGCCTAGGGCTGGGTGTGTGGCAGGGTGCGTGGAGGGATAAGAACTGAGAAATGACTGCTAATGGGTACAGGGTTTATTTTGCAGGGTTCAAAAATATTCTAAAATTAGATTGTGTTGATGGCTGCATACCCTGCAAATTTACTAAAAACACTAAATTGTAAACTTTCAATGAGTGAATTGTATAGTATGTGACTTATACCTCAACTGAAAAATGATAATGAAAACCTATAAGGTGCCTAATACAAGTTTCAGAACTTTATGGAGAATATTATAAAGCCTTGTAGAATGACCTACAAAATAATGTATAGAGATAGGCCATGTCCATGAAAGGAACATATCAATAGTGAAAAGGTAAAAGTCTCCTCTAATTAACCTTTAGATTCAATGTAAATTATAACAGGAATTTTCATAGGAAGGGATAGATCCTAAAATTCATGTTGAAGCCTAAAGCATCAAGAATAGCCAAGACAGTTTTAAGGAAAAAGGGTAAGAAGAGAAGATTTATTATAAAGCTTTAATAATTAAATGAAATGGTATTAGCTCAGGAATCACAAAAACATGAGTAGAACAGAGAGTCAAGAGACAGATCCAAGGATATAACGGAAATTAGCATATGTCAGAGATGGCAACAAAATAAGTGAGAAAATAGTAAACTATTCATTAAATGATACTGTGGTAAATGGTTTTCAATATGGAAAACAATTATACTCCTGCCTCAACAACACAGGTATACAAATTTCAGAGGAGTTCAAAGACCCAACTATGAAAAACAAAATTTTGCCAGTAAAAAAACCAATGGAAATACACAAAAAATTGAAAAACTATATTAAAACTATATATTAAAAAGATAATCTCTAAGGGAAATGCAAAGTAAAAGAGCAGTAAAATACATTCCAAGCTTCTCAGATTAGCCAAAATCAAAACATCTGATTAATACCAGTCACAGCCAAAGATATGGGAATACAAGGAACTCCAACACAATGCAGTAGGAGGGCAACCTGCCAAACCTAGGAGAGCTAAAATAACAGATGAATGTTGATTTAAGCATACATATCCTACTACTCAGTTGTTCCCCTTCTGAGGATATATGCCCAAGACACACTCTTGTACATTTCTACAAGATCTTGTCAAGGATATTCCTTGTAATATATTTAATAATACCAAGAGGTAGAAAAATCTTTTATCTATCAATATATAAACTGTGGCATATCAAAGGAATGCTAAGCTAAAATGAGTCAACTAGATTTACAATGATCAATATATGTTATCAACACATGTAAAAAAAGTTAGGTGAAAAAAATCACAAAAATAGATAAGACAGGTGTCCATAACATGTTGTTTTAAACACATAATAAAACTACACACTCTAGTAGGCACGCTGAGTCCCAGCATTGCAGGTTGAATGGACTTGACCCCAAGTTCTCATCTTTCACTGTCCTTCTTGCTTATGACAGAATTTTCTATTTTCAGCAATTCCATACTTACACTTAAGTGGCTACATGTAAAGTGCTAGAGTAGGTGCCAGTGAAGACAAAAGAATTATATATAAGACTCCCCTCCACCTCCGGCCACTGCAGAAGAGTACAACTCAGCTAGGGATGTTGTCTCAGGCACTTGGCTCTTAACCTTCACTCCGGCTTGCATAGTGTGTAAACTTAGAGTGTGTAACTTTCAAGGTGCAGTTCTTTTATCTTAAAATTGGAAAGCCATCCTCCTCCTATTGTGAAGAATAAATATAATTATCGTGCCCAACACATGACAAACACTCAACACTCTTGGTGATTATGGGCATGGAAGCCACCAAATGAATACAATCTTCTAAACAGCATCTCAGTCGTGCTGACAATAAAAACAAAAGGTGATGGATGGGAGAAGGGCACCAGCTGGGTCCACTTAGCCTTCTCCATATCTGGATACAACATCCCCACATCTCCCGGGTCACTTGGGCATGCTCTGTGGGATTTTGGGACATGTCTTCCAGCAACAGTAGCGTGGCTACAGCCAGGGCTATGTATTCTTCCAGGTTCAGCATCGACAGGGCTCTGTGAAAAGAGATACCAGCCTTCGGAATGAGAACTCATTCCTTCAAACCTCTGAAGAGATTCTGGGGTAGGATGAGGCGACCAAAGCTTGCTTCTCAGTTAACCCTCTTTAAAATCACAAGGACACACCACCTTAACTCCATCTTGCTGAGGGAAAGGCAACAGTGTCCCACCTCCAGCTCCCTCCAACAAGCACCTGCCCCCATCCCACGGCCATCTTCATAAAGAGCTGGGATAGAGTTCTACCCATGGATTTAGTAGCAGGGACCATACAAGGGATCTACTTGCTAGATATGGAAAATAGTAGTTGGAAATCATGTTCGGAGATACTGAGTTGTTGGATTGTTGGATTTTATTCCTGGGATTCCTTTCTGAGAGCTTGGGAAAAGATGGTAGGTATTTCAGTTCTCCAGCCAACCTGGCGCCACCATGTGGCAACAACACCAACAGTTCATAAATCAGTCAGCTTTCAAATTCTGATTCTCTGTCAACTTTTTATCTTTGAGGAATTCAAAATACTTCCTTTTTATATATCAAATGAGAATCTATTCATTTTTTCTTCATTCATATTTTAATATCACATAATTTCATGTTTGCATTACTTTAATTCACCCTATGAAAAAGCTCTTATGGGAACAAACCAGCCGCCATTGACCAATGTCAGCACTGTTACATCTGGGATCAGGTTTGTTACACCACCAAATAACTAATGATCAAGGTGTGGTGGGACAACCAAGTCATTCTTCACCCAGATTGTAAGGCTAAATTATTCCTTCTATTTTTCTGTACTGGCTTAAGTATAACTACTCTTGGATTGCATTTATTAAAAAGGAGGTAGAAAATCATCAAGAAGTCTCATTTTAGCTTGGGAACTAAAATGATAAAATAAATAACAATAGTAATAAAAATAAAACTAACCTGATAAAACTAAGCAGGATGATGGCTACCCTTGGAGGATAGTGCCTGTAGGTAGGGGTAATGGGAAGATTGGAAATATTCTGGGTCTTAATCAGGGCACTGGTTACACAGGTGTGCTCAGTTGTGACAATCCACTGAGTGTATCCTTCAGAACTGCATTATTTTCTGGAATTATACTTCAACAGACTGTTAAATTCACCAAGGTCTGATCAGTCATCTCCCTTTAACTTGGCTTTCCGGCAAGAGTCTGTGCATACACAATAATAATTCGAAGGCAAAATCAGGGGGAAGCCTTGTTTTCTACGGGATATTTTTCAGCCATCGGGAATCCCTCTGGGCAGGGAGGAAGGAGATAGAACATAATCTATGCTACCGCTAGTTTAAATGACTGAGCTGAGTATGGCTAACACTTCACTTTCTCAAAAGTGAACAAATTCTGCAGCCGGATAACTCTCCCTTCTACCACCATACACGCAGACAAACGAAACCCAGACCACACAGAACACTGCGCCACCAAGAGATACACACCATCTCTACAGAGACACACTTTGACTCCTCAGAGACAACACACACACACACAGCCTCCCCCCACTCTCCAGAAACAGTCCCACAGACACAGCTTCTGGCCCACAGAGACAGCTCGCAGATGGAGGTAGTGGTGGGTAATTAGGAGAGACGCAGCTGCCCATGGCCAGGCAAAGGAACGTGAGCAGGAAGATGGAAAGCAGTATCTTCAAAGTCTTGGGAAACTAAATTTCTCTAAAAAGATTTTGAAATCTGCAAATAGGGTCCCAGATATTGCTGTAAAATTTTTTAAATTACCTCCATTTCCACCGTAGACCCAGATGCCTTGAACCATCTTCCTTCGACTTTTTAATAAAACCCCAGTGCATTTTCACATTTATCATATCCTATGAACTCCAAGTTCCTTGGGAAGATTGAAAGGCGGCGGGGATTATTTCATTTTATAAATGAAAAAGTTCAGGTTCAAAGATGCTGGTCAGTCATCACAAAACTAAGTATTGATCTCATGGCTGAGTTTCAGAGTTGGGGTGGGGGAGGCTGAGTTGAAGGGACAAGGTGATAATGGCAAGAGAGGCTAGGTGACGCTCTCCCCAGCCCAGAGCTCTGAGAAGCGCCCACAACACCACAGGCGGCCCCACTGGAGCCACCTCAAAGGACCTGGAGTAAAAGAATCACACCCGACATCATTTGCATACCCCAAGACTGGCCAGCCCCCAGTCTCAGTCTTCCTCCCCTGAGTAAGTGTCAAGAAAATCAACAAATCGAGATCATGGTCGGGGAGATGGAGAGCATGGAAATGAAGCCAGACTCAAGGCATTTTCTAGGAGCGGATAGGAGCCAACGTTAGCGAACCAAGCCCACAGCGTACTCGCTTCTCTTAGGAAGTCCCTAGGCCCAAACCAGTGTGTGCATTTAAGAGTTTTGGGATACGTACTTATCCTTGGGGACGGTGCTTATTTGGCAAAAGAAAAGAGGAGCAGGACGGATATAAGAACAAATTCCCCTACCCTGCCAAGACGTCAGTAAATTAAGGAACAAGAAGGGGAGCAAGTGCTCCAAAAAGCCGCAGGTCTTGGGGTTCCCACCACTGAATCTTTCCGCTCCACGCGTCCATCAGGAAGATCCTCCGCCGTTACCTCCAAATCTATGTAGAGCCCCCTGGGATTGGCTCCCTACCTCTTCAAGTCTGGCGGCTGTGGCGGAAAGGGAGTATGAGGAGGAACCCGGGATGAAGCTGAAGTGACCGCCCCGCCAACAGCTCTCCCCTCCCCAGGCAGCCCGCGGGCGAGGGCCAGACGCAATCCACCTGTGTTCTAACTCTGAGCACCAGCTGTGACCTTGAGAGAGTCCCTGATTACCCCCGTTTTACAGAATTAAGAGTTTGAGTCAGGTCCGTCGCGCTGGGCTGCTTGCGGGGCGCTTAACGGATGGTTTGAGGCGTCCCGCCGGTGCGCCCGCAGCACAGTAGGTACGCGGTGAACCGCAGCCCAAGCACTACGTGGCCATCCGGGATCGGAAAACGCGAGGGAAACGCAGAGGCGAGCTCCCACCCCAGCAGCGAGAGAAAGAGGCGATTCTGGCTCCGCGATGATCCCTGAGCAAGTTCAAGTACCCGCGCCCCTCGCCCCTCCGCAGAGGCTGACTGGCCGCGCCTAGGGTTCCTGGCTCCGGACGCGCACAGGGTGCGGGGGAGCGTGAGAGACACCTCCACACCTTCACACACCCACCCCCGAAGTTGCGGCAACGTTGAGGGGAGAGTGGCGCAAAGCTGCCAGAGGGGAGAAGAGGGAGGCGGACGGTACTCACGGGGGGTGGCCAGCCTGAAGCAAGTCCGCGACCGGGGTCATCGATGGCGGCCGGGCTCAGGCCACCGCGCCTCAGTACGCCCAGGGCACCTGCCGCAACGCGCCGCGTGGATTAGAGGCTGCCGGCGGCGAAGAAGGGGCGCGGGTCGGTCTGCGCGCTAAAGCTGGGCTGCAGCACCGCGGGGGCTCGGCTGCCAGAACCGCAGCCGCAGCGGGAACCCGGGAACCGACAGGAGGCGGGAGCGCAGCGGCGTCGGCAGCAGCGGCTGCGAGGGAGGCGCCCGCGCCGCAGGCAGCCAGGGCCAGCCTGGCCGCAGCCACCGCCGACACCTGCTGGCCCGGCCGAGAGCCAATCAGAGGCGCCCGGAGCGGGGGAGCCTGCGGAGGCGGGGCGGGGGCGCGTGCAGGGCGCCCGGCGGGAGGGGCGGCCCGCGATCGCGCCTGCGCCGGGGCAGGGGGTGCCCGCCGGGCCGGTTCCTCCAGAGCACCTCGGGCGCGCGGGCGGCACGCGCCGGGAGGGGCGGGGCGCACCGGGAGGAGGCGGGGCAGGGCTGCGCGCGCCCGGGGCGGGGACCCGCGCCCCTCCCGGGGCTCTTCCCTGCGGCGCAGTGCAGTATTGGGGCCGCGGTTCGGGAGCCCCCATGTGCGACTCCAGGTCCTTCCCCGATTCTAAGTCAGGCTTTTCCTGTCTCCTGCCTCTGAGTCCTGGGGGCCCGGACCCTCAGTGACCGTAGAGTAATGGGTCACCAGAATCCGGGGCCTGCCTGAATCTAAGACATGGTGTGGCGCTCCTCCACAGACAGCTCTTCCCCACTTCACAGTCCCTGGGTAATTAAAGTCTCCGTAGTGACCCCTATCTGGATTGCTTTAATTCTCCCATAAATTTACTACTACGCTAACGACGCTCATTCATTCAACACACATCAAAGGGGTTACCGATCAGGGAGCTGTCCAGGCTAATGCGCCCCCAAGTCTCCCAAACACAGCTGCGGAACCGCCGGGTTAGTGAGCCCGCGCTGTCAGAAAGACTCCCAAAGACTGCTGCAAGTGAGGAACGCTTTCGGGCTCGTGCCAGGAGTTCCCGGTCCTGGAAGAATGACTGGGAGTTGAAAGGTTCCACTCCAGGCCGGGACTTCATTGTGCGTTTGCATCCATTAAGCCAGGGATCTTCCTGAGACCCACTGCCTCAGCCCCAACAACTCGGCTGTGAAAACACTTTGTCAATTTTAGCTGCAGGGTGGAAGTCGCTCCATGAAAATAAAGCATTTATGGAGTTACACTGGCGATTTCTGAATCCCTGGAAATCCTCTCAAGCCGGTGGGTTGAGGCTGTTCTCTCCGTGTAAATGTGCGCAGTAGAAATAAATGGCTTGTTTGCTGATCAGTCCACAGCAGAAAACAAAACAAAACAAGACAAAACCTTAAAGAAAGGAACTCGGAAGGTAAAGGAGTTAATTTCTTTAAAGATTCGATTCCCTCCTTTAAAGGGATTTTAATGTCTACAAACTGGTAAAGTGGAAGGAAGTTAGTTTGTTTCTCTTTTGTTTACATTAAATTTAAATTTTATTTAGCTGTGCTTGATTAGCATTCATGTGGCACAAAATTCTAAAACTACAAATGGAACACAGTTAACAAGACTCCCTCCCACCCTTGTCTCTCAATTCCTCTTCCTGGGGGCAACCAGTGTGTACCTCCCTCAAGGAAATTGACATATACACAAACATATTTGTCTAATGCTCTTATTTTTATTTTTGTTGTACAAACTATGCACATTGTTTTACATTTTGATCTTTTCCCTTAACAAGATATTATCGTGGAGTCATTCCATATCATTACCAAAAACTTTTTCTTGTTATTTTACAGCTGTATGATATTCCATTGAATAAGATATGCCAAAATTTATGTAAGGGCCCCCAATTATGGGCATTTAAATGGTCTCCAATCTATCACTGTTAATAACAATTATGCATGAATAACTTTGTTCCTATGTAACTGTGTACGTGTGGGGGTACATATGAAGAATAAATCTGTACAACTGGATCATGGGGTCAACGGTGATGTGCATTTGTAATTTGGATAATGTCAAATGCCCTTCATAGAGATATAAACTCATGATCTCACACAAGGTATGTGAGTGCATATTTCACACACCCACCCCTCTGATGGTTCTGAGCCTGTTAGCTCTCATATCCATTCCTAGTCCTTCCGACTCTGCTTCATGGGGGGCTTCATTTCCCAGACTCCCCTATCAATTGGCCGATGGGACTCAGCAGTAGGAGAATAGGAGGGAGAAAGGGAGAAGCCAGGGTGTTTCCCATTCTTCCCTTTCAGCTTGAGTGGTGGGAACAGAAGGGTGTCTAGGGCAGCAGCTACTCCTCCTGGGTGGTCCCAAGTCCAGTAGGACAGGCTCAGTATGGGCTCAGCTCCCTGGGTTCTGGCAACATCTCCCCCTCTTGTCCCTTTGGCCTGGAGGTAACAGGATGTCCTACTGTTGCTAATCTCCAGTGGTCTCACTGTTTCCTGGGAGTCTTTCAGCCTCTCACATCCTCCGGGTAACCAACTCTATGTTTTAACTTCCCCCCATTTCAAATATTCCAAGTGGTTTCTGTTTTTCTAGTTGTACCTGACTGATACTTTTCTGATACACTGACATATCCCTTTACACAGTACATTATCCAACTTGCAGATCTTTGCCAATTATATAAAATGGTCTCGATAGCTTGACTTGCTATTATCTTATTAAAAGTGAGGTAGAACATTTTGCATATGTTTATGAGACACTTGTATTTCCTTTTAAACTCTATGTTCATATCCTTTGCCCATTTTTTGGTTTATTTTTGTCAGACCAATAGATTCTTGATTGTGAAACCAAGTCCTGCCAGTGAAACATTTCATAAAAACATTTGTTTGAAACTAGGTTTTCAACATGATTTTACCTCAGGGAGCAGAGTCCAATAAAAAACAGTACTGTGAGCCTGTTGATTGCTATGGAGGGGAGAAAAAATAGGATAAGAATGTTCAGGAGTTGATAATCCATCTGGACAGACAAAATAAACTTATGTTAAATGGTGTTCATTGTTCTGAATTGTTGTAATCAATAAGTGCAAATTATAATAACAAGTCGATTGGCCTTTCCCCTAAACAATGTATCATGTAATCATTCGCTATCATTATAAGGAGTTTCCCCTTCTTCCTTCCTCCCTCCCTTCCCTCTCTCCCTCCCTCCGTCTCTTCTTCCTTTCTTCCTCCCTTCCTCCCTCCTTCCCTCCCTCCTTCCTTCCTTCTTTTCTTCCAGCTATATGATATTCTACTGAACAGGATTTATTATAACTTATTTAAGAGGTCTCAAGAACTCTTAGTTACAAGTGGCAGAAACCCAACTCTAAGAGGCTTAGAAGTGAAAAGAAATACATAGGCTCACTTAAATGCAAAGTCCAGATGTAGGTCTAACGTCAGGCACTTTTGGATTCAGGGGTTCAGGTGATGTCAGCAGAAATAGAACTACAGTCTCAGCCTCTCTCTAGTTTGTTTGCTCTCTCTTTCCCTCTTTCTCCACTACTCCTCTCTGCTTTCCCCCTTAGGTTTTATTATTAAGCTGACTTACTTAATGTAGTGGCATCTGACAGCTCCAGAATTACCTTCTACTCAGTGGCCAGCACCTAAGAATGAGGCAAGTCTTCCCTTCCACAGTGCACATTAAGTTGCCCAGGAAAACTTATTTGTCTTGCTCCAATCATTAAGTCCGGCCCTTGAGAAGTGTAAAGACTGGAGTGTTATGTTTGTGAGTAGCAAAGACAGTAAGACGGACACAGTGGTTGGAGTAAATCAGCTGAAAAGTTTACCACAACTCACCTATTTTCCTACATGTGCCTCCCGACTGGTACATAGTAAGCCACATGTAAACACTGGAATTCATTTCTGTCCAGATCCAGTGAAGATTTCAGCTTTTTCAACTGGATGCCAGGCCAACAGGATAAATGTTTGAATATAGAATGTCAAAGGGTACTTTCAACATGGGCCCCATAGGGGCTGCATCATGACATGATTGGGTGCTGGGTTCAAAGTTTATTTGGCATTATGCAGATGTTTGCAAAGCTGACTTAGTCAATCCACTTCTTTACAGACTCTCAGAATCAAAGTCCTAACATCTTACCTAAGTTATAAACACTTTAAAAGAAAGACAAATAAATACAGAATAGTTAAGTGATTCGAGCAAGGTCACAAATAAGGCAGGAAGTACAGATGGAAGCCCAGAGACAGAGGAATGAAAATGAGCCCCAGTTTCCTATTGGTAGGTAGTCCTTTGGGTTAGAAACAGGCCCACCTTTCTTCACCAGCGCTAATACTGACTGCTTTTTAATGTTCTCTGTGAAAGGTTTGGCATCTGAAGATGATTTTGGATAACAGTGTGTCTGGCACAGATGACCTAAAATACCATGTTCTCAATTCCCCCATCCTGAGCAGTCTCCAGCAAAATGTCATTGAATCCAACCATAGCATCACTTCATGACTCACAGGCAGCGCTTGTTTTTCCATTTTCTGCATGATCTTGACCACCGTAAGAGCATTAATGGATTCCTCCTTTATCAATAAGAGCTCTTTGACATTTGTGTGCACAAGGAACCGTACCACGTCTTCTTTTAAAATGCGAATCAGACAATTCATTTCTTAGCCAGAAGACTGATGAGTTTATACTAGCAAGAAAAGGACATGTCTCAGGAGGATTCTGGGTAGAATTAAAAGAGCATTAATCACAAGACTGAGGTGCCAGTCTGAACTCACCACTTCCTGGCTGCATGACCTTGGGCAAGTTGCTTAACTTGGCTGAATCCAAGATTTTTTCACATATAAAATATGTTGTAATCCTCTCCACCACCCTGTAAGATTGTTATTGATACAATGTATGTGGAATCATTTTGTACATGAGATTTATTATATGTTACTTATTTAAAAACTATCATTTTCAACCTGGAAAATGAGTTTATAAATGAAGATTCTATGCTATTTTGTGACATTTCTGGCGCATAAGTGGTGAAATAAAACTTTCACTCACTGCTTCCTTATCAGCCAAAAATGTATCTCGACCTCTTCCATGTCACTTAGCACTTGCTATGTATTATTAGTTATTTGCATAGATCTCCAATCTCCCCTGCTAGACTCTAAGTGCCCGAAGTTAAAGCTATGTCACATCCGTGATCTCTACAGGGTGCCTGGAACAATATCTTAATAAATTGTTGATATTCAATAATTATTTGTTGACTAAAAAGTAAGTGAAAAGAAAAATTTATAAGTTGGACCCCATCATAATTTAAAATGTTTGTTTTGTGAAAGACCCTATTAAGAAGACAAAAAGACAAATGACATTCTGGAAGAAAATATTTTCATATCATGTAACTGACAAAGGACTTGTATTTCCAATACACATGGAACTCTTTTTTAACTTTTAAGCTCAGGGGTACACGTTTGTTATATAGATAAACTTGTGTGATGGGGGTTTGTTATACAGATTACTTCATCACCCAGCTATTAAACCTAGTACCCATTAGTTATTTTTCCTGATCCTTTTCTTCCTCCCCTCTCTACCCTCCAGTAGGCCCCAGTGTATGTGGTCCCCCTCTCTTTGTCCATGTCTCCCCATCATTTAGCTTCCACTTATGAGAACATGCAGTACTTGGTTTTCTGTTCCTACATCGATTTGCTAAGGATAATGACCTCCAGCTCCATCCATGTTCCTGCAAAAGACATAATCTCTTTTTCATGGCTGCATAGTATTCCACGGTATATATGTACCACATTTTCTTTATCCAGTCCATCACTGATGGACATTTAGGTTGATTCCATGTTTTGGCTATTGTGAATAGTGTTGCAATGAACATATGAGTGCATGTGTCTTTATGATAGAACAATTTATATCCCTTGGGGTATGCACCCAGTAATGGAATTGCTGGGTTGAATGGTATTTCTGGTTTTAATTCTTTCAGGAATTGCTGCACCATCTTTCACAATAGTTGAACTAATTTACACTCCCAACAGTGTACAAGCATTCCACATAGGAAGTCTTAACATTCAACAGGAAACAAACCAATTAGAAAATGGGAGAAAAATGAAGAGATACTCCACCCAATCAATCCAATTAGAAAATATAGGAAAAAAATGAAGAGATATTTCACCAAATATTGCTGGGAAATAAGCACATGAAAAGATGTTCACTATCATTAGCCATTAAGTAAATCCAAATCAGAGTTATAATGAGATATCAATACACACCCACCTACCAAAATGTGTAAAAAAAAAAACAGTGACAACACCAAATGCTGGCAAGGAGGCAGAGAAATTGTGTCATTTATACATTGCTGGTGGGAAGGTAAAATGATGCAACCACTCCAGCATATAGTTTCACCATTTCTTTTAAAACTAAGATCAGACTAACCATACAATCCAGCAATTGAACCCTTGGACATCTATCCTAGAGAAATGAAAACTTCTATTCATGCAGAAGTTTGCACAAGAATGTTCATAGCAGCTTTATTCATAATGGAAAAACTAGAAACTACACAAAAGTAAATAGTTAAACTGAGGAATCTCCATACTGTGGAATACTACTCACATATAAGACAAACTATTGATAATACAACAACTTGGATGGATCTTAAGGGCATCGTGCTGTATTTTCAACAGGCAAACTAAGAAGCCTATATGCTATCTCGTTCCATTTATATAACATTCTTGAAATAATGACATTATGGAGATGGAAAGCAGACTAGTGGTTACCAGGTATTGGGTATGGGGGTGGGTGGAACAAGAAGCAGGTATGCCTATAAAAGACTAGACCGAGAGGTCCTGTGGTAATGTGTCCAGAATTGGTTCCTTCCGGTGGGTTCTTGGTCTCACTGACTTCAAGAATGAAGCCGCCGACCCTCGCAGTGAGTGTTACAGCTCTTAAAGAAGGTGTGTCCGGAGTTTATTCCTTCAGATGTGTCCAGAGTTTCTTCCTTCTGGTGGGTTCATGGTATCGCTTGACTTCAGAAGTGAAGCTGCAAACCTTCACAGGGAGTGTTACAGTTCATAAATGTAGTGCAGACCCAAAGAGTGAGCAGCAGCAAGATTTACTGTGAAGAGTGAAAGAACAAACCCTCACACCCAGCCGGTTGCTGCTGCTGGCTGTGGGGTAGCCAGCTTTTATTCCCTTATTTGGCCCCGCCCACATCCTGCTGATTGGTCCATTTTACAGAATGCTGATTGGTCCATTTTACAGAGTGCTGATTGGTCCATTTTACAAAGTGCTGATTGGTCTGTTTACAAACCTTCAGCTAGACACAGAGCGCTGATTGGTGCATTTACAATCCTTTAGCTAGACAGAAAAGTTATCCAAGTCCCCACCAGACCCAGAAGCCAAGCCAGCTTCACCTCTCAGTAACAGTACAGTTCCATCTCTTGATTGTGGTGGTAGTTACATGAAGCCACATATGTGATAAAATTGTGTAGAACTATATACACGCACATACTAGTGGGTGCATATGTAACTGTTGAAATCTGAATAAGCTCTGTGGCTTTTACCAATGTTAATTGCTTTGTTTTGATATTATATTATGGTTATGCAAGATGTTAACATTAGAGGAGGCTTGGTGAAAGTTTGCATGGGACCTTCCTGTACATTTTCGTGTAACTTCCTGTGAATCTTTAAGTATTTCATAATTTAAAAACGTTTTTAAAGGTGAATTAAAAATGAATACATTTCTCCACTTGAAATTGGAAGAGGTACATCCAGCGCCATAATAATATGGTATATTGTACATCTTATAATACTGTATTCAAGTCTATAGTTTGAAACTTCTTTATAGTGAGCAAGGTTTTCAACTAATATTTGTGAAAGAAGATAATTCTCACCCTGGCCTCATATCAACTACACATGCAGAAAGCATGTCATGCACAAAAATATCCAGGAATATTGTGACAACTATAATATAGTAAAGACTAGATATGAGATCTGTAAAAATTTTTGTCCTCAAGGTACAGAAAAGTTCCAGAGTGCAGAGTACACAGCAGGTCTGTGGCTTCTGATGTCCTCCTGGGCAGGTTGCCTTTCTGACTACCATATAAAGCCTAGATAAGATCTCTGAATATCAAATGGTTCTTTCTCTACCATCCTGCAAATATTAGGCAGATTTGGGCCTTATATAACCTCAACATGACATCCTGTCATGGCTTTTTTACACACAAATCTATTTCTGTTTTTTAATGAGGCTAGATAATTAAGTCAGCACTGACTAAAACATTCAATTTTGTCATACAAGTACACCACTTTGTATTGTCCACACAAAAAGAAATGGTTCCTGATGTTTATATTAGATGTTTCTCTGAGCTCATGCATTTATATCACTGCCTGTTTTAGGTTAGGTTCTTCAGGAACAGAGTCTGAGACAGGAATCTGGGGACATGTGAATTATTGAGTAGGTGCTTAAAGGAAAAATGAAGGGAGAGAAGCATAAAAAAAGGGGAAGTGGTCTGAAAAGGGATCAGCTTCAGCCTGAGCCCATGGGGAGCTTCAAAGGATGAATTATGCCACACAGTTATCCCCCTTTGAGGCAAGGGGCTGGCCTTTGTAATCCCAGTAAATCAGTCATGATCTACCTGCTGCCCCTGGTTGGAGCACATTCTCCCATGCAAGGTGGCTTCTGTTTAGCTGAAAGCAATTATCTGAAAGAGGCAGTCATGAGCCATTAGGTGCCAACACTTAGACCAGCTGGGAAAGGGGCACAACCCCAGGAAAGGGCATCTGGAACGGCACCAGCAGTGCCAACTACACTTTCCTCCCTAAATCCTTGTCACATAATAAAAGGATAAAAGTAAGAGTAAATGAGGAGCAGCACTGGAAGCCAGGGAGGGATGTCATATATACCCTGAGAATTGGAACAGCTTAAGATATATCAGCTTGACAAAACAGCCAGTAAAAAATGAGCAAAGGGTGTGACTAGTCCACACACAGAGGTAAAGCACAGGTAATCCACAAACTTAGAAAAGATGCTCAACCTTGCCAATAATGCACAAAGTGAAAATTAAAACACATTTTGTTAATTATAATTTTAAAAGGAAAGAAGATTGAAAATATTTACATTGGTAAAAATATGGGGAAATAAGTATTCTCAAATTCTATTGGTGGGAGATTTTTGGAGTTCTACTTAGTTTAAGACATACAAACTGTTTGAGCCATACATTGTATTTCTAGAACTCTGTGCTACCAAAATACTAGCACGAGGTACAAAAATGTTTGCACATGACCTTTTCTGCATAAATTATAATACTGAAAAATGCAAACACTTTCAAGTCTGAATTGGCAACAGGTTAAAATAAGGAATTCCATACAGTTACTAGAAAGGTGAATCTGTATGTACTAATATGCGGAAAGTTGACCATAGTCTAAAGTAAGTTGGCCAGGTTCAAGGTGGGAGTTGAGGGATGAATTATAAAATAGGATATACTATAGGCTTGTATTTGTGAGGAAAAAAGTACTTATATGTATAAAAACTACTTGTTCCCTTACAAAACAAAGTATTTTGCTTTGTTACTTATATATGCCTATATCTACATATATATCTATGTGGAACAAAACAAAACACTTAGCAGGGCATGGCATTCTTTCTTTTCTTAAGAAAATAGTGTTTCTATAAACAGAGTAAACAGACAACCTACAGAATGGAGAAAATATTTGCAAACTGCACAACTGACTAAGGTTTAATATCCAGAATCTATAGGGAACTAAAGAAAATTAACAAACAGAAAGGAAATAACCCTATTTAAAAGTGGGCAAAGTACATGAAGAGATACTTTTCATAAAAAGACACACACATGGCCAACAAACATATAAAGGCTCAGGCAGGGCATGGTGGCTCATGCCTGTAATCCCAGCACTTTGGGAGGCCGAGGCAGGCGGATCACTTGAGGTCAAAAGTTTAAGACCAACCTGGCCAACATGACGAAACCCCATCTCTACTAAAAGTACAAAAAGTAGCCAGGCATGGTGGTAAGTGCCTGTAATCCCAGCTACTTGGGAGGCTGAGACAAGGGAATTGCTGGAACCTTGGAGGTGGAGGTTGCAGTGAGCCGATATCACACCACTGCACTCCAGCCTGGGCGACAGAGTAAGACTCCATCACAAAAAAAAAAAAAAAAAAAAAAAAAAAAGAATGCTCAATCTCACTAATCATTAGAGAAATACAAATCAAAACTGCAGTGAGATATCATCTCATACCAGTGAGAATGCCTATTATTATAAAGTCAAAAAACAACAGATGCCGATGAGGTTTCAGAGAAAGGGGAATGTTTATACACTGCTGGCGGGAATGTAAATTAGTTCAGCCACTGTGGAAAGCAGTGTGGCAATTTCTCAAAGAACTTAAAACAGAAATACCATTTGACTCAGCAATCCTGCTATTGGGTATATACCCAAACAAATATAAATCATTCTACCATAAAGACACATGCACACATATGTTCATTGCAGCACTAGTCACTATAGCAAAGTCATGGAATCAACCTAAATGCCCATCAACAGTAGAAAGGATAAAGAAAATGTGGTACATATGCACCATGGAACACTACACAGCCATGAAACAGAATGAGATCATGTTATTTGCAGCAACATAGATGGAGCTGGAGGCCATCATCTTGAATGAACTAATGCAGGAACAGAAAACCAAATACCACATGTTCTCACTTATAAGTGGGAGCTAAACAATGAGCACACATGGGCATAAATAAGGGAACAACAGACACCTGGCATACTTGAGGGTGGGGAGGGTGGGGAGGGTGGGAGGACACTGAGGATCAAAAGACTACCTATCAAGTAGTATGCTGATTACCTGGGTGATGAAACAATCTATACACCAAACCCACATGATATGCAATTTAGCTATGTAACAAACTTGCACACGTACCCCTGAACCTAAAATAAAAGTTAAATAAAAAAAGAAAGAAAATGGTGTTCTCAGGAGGAACAGGGAAAGAAAGCTATCCCCAAACAAATCAGATTTTTCTCCAAGAGCTATGAGGAGACTTCTTTACTTGTTATTCTAGGTCAGGTGCTGAGAAGCAGAGCCTGAGACAGGGATTCACCAGCACAGGATTTATTGAGTAGATGCTCTCGGGAGAACGGGAATGATGGGAGCAGGATGAGGCAGGGGAAGGATCTGAGTGAGCAAGAATGTGGTCTCACTGGAAACTAGCCTCTGGATTGATACCATGGAGTTATTTCTCTGGAGTATGAATTTCACCATAGAACTAATTGCATCTTGAAGCAAGTGGGACCAGCCCTTAGCATTCTTATACCAGAGCAGGCTAGTAGCATTGTCTACATTTGGGGTGATCAGGATGAGATCCTCCTGAATGAAGTAGCTCCTGCTCCCCGAGAAGATAACTCTCCAAAGAAAGGGGCAACTGAGCATCATTAGCAACCAACACTCATAGCACCTGGGGTTGGGGGTGCCTGCCTGATGAAGGGGATCTGGGCAGATACCTTAAGGGAACATTAGTTATATAAAAAGCAAGGTGAGTACGCACTCACTGTATTTGGCTCTTGAGTCTTGGGGTAAAAAAGGCAAGAGGAATTCTCGTGAAACAAAACCTTTTTAATCAGATGGAGGCCATCTCTACCAGATTTGAAAGCTGGTCCGTAAAGAGGAGATGGTTCAATTTATATGAAGAGTGGGTAGATGCCCCAACCTTGCTACCTGAAATTTAAAGTTATGAAAACCAGTTGGTGAGGAGCAGAATGACTCCACTTAGTGTTCCTACTAGCACTTCTCTATGAATGAGGGCCATTTTACCCTCTGGCTGGATATATTAGAAGGTGGTGGGCTCAACTCAGGGGCATGCACTTGGCAAGTGGAGGATGAGCTGAATTTCAGCCTCCATTTGTCCTCCCAGCCAGACACCTGTATGCAGCAAACAGCTACACAACTGGACAGAGTGACCCTGACCAAATAAAGGTCCAGTGCAGAGAAGGGCAAGGAGATCACTAAAATAAAGTTACTTTGAGAAATGAGGAAGCTAAGCTTGTGAATAGGCTCCACATGAGGACTGAGGTGTTTGCAATTGGAGTGGGAAGAAAGAGAGGGAGCCCAGAACCCGAGAGTGTGGCTGCAAGTCTCCCAGGAACAGTGCTTAAGCATGGGAATGTGATCAAACAGAGCTGTGACCTTGGCCCTCAACACAGGGATCCACTGTGGTCCAGACCAGCAAGGGCTATCCAAACCACACAAGGCCAGTCTTCAACAGCCCCACCATGAAGCAGCAGATAAATAGGAAACATAGTTCAATGCATTCTGCTTGCTGTGTGAAAAAACAGGATGCACGCCACTGGACTAAGCTTCAAAAGGTAAACTCTGAATGTTCTTCTCTTCAGCAGTAATTAATTTTAAAAATAAAAATATGATCATATGTCTATCTTGAGTTGATAAAGCAGATCATTTTGGACTAAATAGAAATAAAAATAGAAATGTGGAGGGAAAATACTGTTTCTGGTAAGTATGGCATTTTTCTCTGAGTCTTTTTAGAACAATTAATATTTTATTATACAACTATTCCTTCCCTACTAAATATTGGCTTTTTAAAATCTTTGCTGCTTTCTTTAGTAAAGTTGATTCTATCTTGGAACGACAATGCAGAAATATAATCGAATCTTGTCATTCACTGACTAGGGTATCCAATAAGGGTCCCTGATGCTGCTGAGAGATTCTGATAATAAAAATATTATTTTACAGAAGGAAACATGATTACTGACTTACATAATCTTGATGTGTGACTCTCTCCTCTTACAATTTTTCTTACTATTAATCAGGTTCTTACAACAAAGCCTAGGCTTGGTTAATAACCTCTATAACCAAATAAGATTACAATGCTTCTCTGAATCCTGAACTGGTTGAGATCCGTGGCAGCTGACTCACCTACAGCTGTGCTGAGGATTAATAAAATTAGCAGGAATGCCCAGAAATTCAACCAGGGCCCTGCGTGTGAGTGTGCCTCTTTTTCATAACAATCCTCGAATCCTGTGGGAGACTTTAATTGTCATGATCTTATTCACTGGGTATTAGCAGTAAGTTTGCTATTAAAGAGGCAAAGTCAGGCATCACCAAAGAAAAAGTCAGATGAACCTGCCCGCTACCCCTCCACTCCTGATCCTCCACCCCTAGCTCTGCATTTTCCTTATTCCATTGCACTTATCACCCTTTAACACACTAAACTTTCTTACTCTGCTTACAATTTGTTGTGTGTCTTCCTCACTAGAATGTAAGCTGCATGAGGGCAGGGGTCTTTATGTTGCTCACTGATATCTCCAAGTGCTCTGGACAGAAGCTAGAACACAGGAAGTGCCCAATAAATACTTACTGAAGAAATGAAGACACCAGAGAAAATGCTCATCCACAAACATTTACAATTCAAACACATTCAGAGGCTTTCATGCACACTGAATATTCACATTTTGTTTAATCAGATGACCTGAATTTGTATGTATTTTAAAATTTCTTTGAGAGGTAAAGAATTTCTATGCTGGTTGCAATGATATTCCAGCTCATTAGTGATATTTCTCCTCTTGGTAACCCCTCCTTTACCACTACCACCGCCACCATTAAGAGAGAGCCAACAGGATTATGACAGTAGGAGAAAAAAAAAAAAGTGGATCTGGAACATAGTAATCCAAGAGTCAGGAAGAAAGGGATATAATGTGGAGGAAGCTTCTATTATACAGGAAGAAAAGAGAGAAGTATTCTTTCATTCAGGAGAGCAATAGAATAATTTGGAAGGAATGTGAGGAGAAAAAGACATTATTTGCTTCTTCCAAGGATCCACTGACGCTCTCTTGTATCCCAGAGGATTTAAACAGGAAATGTGGAAGGGTAGTGAGAAAATGGAAACAACGTAGCATTTGAAGCAACCACTGAAAACAGAGTGGGCTAGTAGCATTGAGACCCTGAGAGACTGAATATACAAATGATAATGGTCAGACCACCTATGACAAGAATTCTGACCCACAACCCCTGGAGCACTAAGCCCGGAATGGTCAATGACTGCCAGCTTCCCTATTTTTTGTCCCCCTCTTCCAATTCAGGACCAGGGAATGCCAAATATGCTACACTGATCAATCACTTAGGATGCCCACCGCCAGCTTCCCATGCCAGCAACCTCCAGAGAAATCTGAAGATTTCTCTTTCATCTATGACCTAGGGTATGGTTAATTCTCATAATTTTATTTTCCTCATCATCCACTTTGCATATAAGTTTTACTTTCTCATGTCAGAAGCAGGGCTCACTCACCCAAAACAGTTTCCAGTTCTATGCCACAGCAAAATGGCTCAAGCCAATGGCCAGAGATAAGACCGTAGAGGCATCTCTACCACCTAGCAGACTGGGCTTCTACTTTCCTGCAGCTTCCTTTAAAGAGAACTTTCAGGCATTTAACTGTAAACTCAAAGTAACCCACACACCCTATTCCCTTATACATGCTAATAGTTGTTACATATTTCTCTCTCTCTCTCTCTCTCTCTCTCTCTCTCTGCGTGACTCTTCATACCTGCCTCGTGTGACCCCAGGTACAGAGAGAGGACTACCCTCCCAACTCATTGCACCCACCCCGCCCAGGATCTGTAAGTAAAAAAAAAACCTTTGAACTTGTTTCCTGTTGTGGCAGTGTATTGAATTTGTTACCTTCCATCTGAAGAACTAGGGGCTGTCCTAGTTAGGGTTTTCCCGGAATGCCAAAGAGATCACAAGATTGGGTTCCCAATGCCAGAGCGATGGTCAGGCGGGCATAAACTGGGTCAGATAGGAGCCACAAGGGCGTTTGCCAGTATAAACAAGTTCCCCATGTGAGGGACCTCTGGTCACAGGTTGGATAACTAGGCATTAGGGCATCCTGTGAAAAGCCCACTGTAAACGTCCAGCTCCCCTTCATTTCCCGTTAGGACAGGGCTGCTAGACACTCTGATACTGGAACAACAATTGAGCTGGGAACTTTCAAAACACAGTGATGAAAAAGAATGGCCTGATTCCACCAAGGATGCCAAACAAATGGGAACTAATAATAAAATCCAGGCACCAAACTGAGAATAAATAGCTGAGGAATTCAACAACACAGAGGATGGAGTTCTTTTTTTATCCCTTTTTACTCTCTTTGGTGCTTCTGTTTTATGTAGGGTTGTCTAAAAGTGTTGTCTGTCATATAAAGGCAAATCACAAGGTAGAACACTGGCATAGACCCTACAAGCCTATTGTTAGAGCCGGTTTCACAGACCAATGAGTTTGTAGTTCTCACCAAACCAGTCCCCATGTGGACAAAGTATTTTGCCAAGTCACCAATAAAACTGGATGAGGTTCTCCTTCCATCATTTTTGTTGTTGTTGTTCTGAGAGCCTAGCTTTGATCCAGAGAGAATGTTCTCCTTGGTGCATGTTCTCTTTGATTTTCTGCCTGTGTATAGGTGCTGACCATCAGGTCTGCGTTCAGAGGCAGCCAAGCAACAGGTGGGAGTCTCAGATGCAAAGTACATAAGCATTGCTTTCAACTGACTGTTGCCTGCTCTTGTGAGTCATTTAAGTCTAAATCCTTTCTTCCTTCAGAAGAAACTCCTGCTGTATAATTCTTTTATTTCTTTCTCTAAGTGGTATAACTTCACCAATGATAATTTGGGCCTTGAATGGCCACTATAAGGGACATTTGACTTGAACAAAATTGTTTATTTGAGAAATGCCTTAGAAAAGAAAGAGAATAGTATTTATCAGGCTCCATGGGCAACACTTTTTGATTGGTATGTAGAGACTTCTAAATGAAATTCTGATTTGAAAATTGTTTTACTAAAGCATTCTTTGGCCAAAAGTAATAAACAACATTACAAATGTAAGCAATGAAAAAACTATCAATAGACTCATTTCCCTGGTAAATCTTCTCCCTCCTTGTCCTCCAGTTGCCTCCCTGTATCTAGCTCTCCCTTTTCCTTCTTATCTTTCTGATCTCTCTCCTTTTACCCTTATTTCAACTCTCCCTTCTTCTTCCCCCTTTCAAGACCCCAAAATGCAATTTGCTTCTAAAGATCCATCCCATCCCTGAGCCAGGTGTGTAAGCAATTGCATAAGTTAAACCTCAGATACAAGCTGAACTAAGAGCTATGTTTCAGGATTTCCTTAAGCACAGACAAGGACAAGGATTATTCACAGAAGGATTCAGACTTCCTTTGGGTGCATATGTGTCAGAGTGGAACAGCTGAACTATATCAGTTTGTACATTTGTTGGTCAAACCCTCAGCTAAATACTAAATCCTGAATGACAATAGCTAATTGAATTGACCAAGAAAGGGATCTACAGAATCCCTCTTTCCACAATAAATGTGTGAGTCAAAAAAGGCCCTAAAACCAGAGCAAAGTCTCCTAAATGCCATACCTAAAACATTTCTCAATAAAAACAGATTGAACCATAATTCCATCATGTAAACACACAAAAAAATAAAACTATAGAAGTTTATGGCCATACGGCCTACTTCCCAAGGGACACATTTATCCCCCTATGATATGGTAACTGGAAGACCCTGAATTTAGACTTGGGATTTGCTTACTTGGTCTAGTTTGGGCAATTTGGATTTCTGGTTTCAAAGTATCTTATAGGGACTCCTAATTGTTCTTGTTTTTGTCACAGTGAACAGGATACTAGTCTGTTGTAGTTTGTCCAGATTCTAAAATGCTATTCTGTAGCTGCTGTCTCATCAAGATGATTGCCATGATGATACAACAAGATGCCCACAAAATCTTGCAATACAGTTGACCATGGAGACAACTGAACAGTCTCTGAGCAGTGAAAATCTGAATCTCTAGCCTTTTCTGAATTTTTCAGGTTCTTACAAATGAAAGAATAACCAGGAGGGAAATCAAGACACTGAATTTACAAATGGACAATGGCCAGACCATATATGACGACAGAACTCTGACCCACAAACTCTACAGGAACTACCCAGGTAGCCAAACCACAACTTCTGCAGCAATCTGCCTGGAACAACTTGCACCTGATTAATGACTGCCAACTTCTCTACTTTTTGCCCCTGTTTTCAACTAAGAGCTAATTATGGAAAGCCAAATATGATTCCCAAACCAATCTCATGGGATGTCCCACTTCTAGTTAGCCTACCTACAGTTTCCCCATGCCAATCAGGGTACATCTGAAGTCTTCCCTTTTTTCCGCCATAAAGCTTTCCTACCCCCCTACCTGTCTTGTCATGTTTGCCAAATGCAAATGCTAGTGGCTGACTCCCTAGCTATCACAAGCTCTGAGTAGCCTCTTCTCATTCTCATTTAGGTGGTCTTCATTTAATTCCACATCCTACTTGGAACTTTGGAAGGAGGTAGCCTTACTTAGTTTCCCTGTGGCAACATGGAGAAACTGCCACCAAGTAAGAATAAAATTGTGGCATATATACAGTGAGAAAGAATAGGTGATGGTACCCTGATACTCCCTTTTCTTTTACACAGCATAGAAGGAATCCATAAGTCCCCTATAGTCTCTGTGAAAGAATGTGGAAGGGACTGAGAATTGAGAGCCAGCAAGCCTACAGGGACCACTGTTGGGAGGGACTAGGCAATGTTTCCATAGGGGATGTGAAGTGGTTTCTCTGGGCCAGGATGTGGAATTTGGCTAAGACTCAGAGGTTCTGCCAAATTATTAATAGCTAAAGTGGCCTTAGGTCATCAGAAGAGTCTCCAAGTCCTTACCATACCAAAAACACTTCATGGATTAGGTTTTGCTTTGTAACAAGCCAAATTTAGCAACCCTTCCTCTAATAAATATGTCCAAACAAAGATACAAATCATTTTCTTATGTCTTCAGAGGACACCTGAAGTAAGGCTTGGATGTTAAAAATAATCACTGAAGGCTGGGGGGAATGGAAATAATATAGAGAGTATTATTATTTGAGACTAATGTTTCCAAACTTTGTTCCACAGAACAATAACTTGGGGAGCTATTAGAAGATACTCCATGAGAAAGGTGTTTTGTGGTTGAAAGAAGTTGAGAAACAGTATGTACCGTATTCACTCCATAGAGACTAAAATGTGTGTAAGCGTAATGAAGGCTCTGAGAAGTCCTGCAACAGACTTGTCTAACTTTATCTAACTCAGTGATTCTTAATCTTACGAAAGCAAAGTCCTCTTCATTTTAGTGCACAACCCATATTTTATAGGCAATCATACCCTGAAATATCAATTAGCTCATTTAAATTGTATTCCACCCCTTATGAAAGGGACCTCATAAGGCAAAGAGCTTGCTGGAGTCTCTCCATTCTTGCTTCTATACGTTAGATACTGTCCCAAAAGCCCAAGGTGAATTTCTCCATGAATAGACAAAGAGAAGAAGGTCAAAGCCTTCTCCTGCCTACCTGGGCTCTGCATTCCCAGTTCTGCTTGCCTCGCTGAAGAGCCATTCCTTTCTAGATGAAGTAATACCTAAAATGTCCTTCCTCACAAGATAGGAGAGAGAGAAAAGTTTTTGAGTGGGAACTCTGGAGTCTGATTCCACTGCATCTCCATTTACATTCTCTGTGTCCCAATTTCTTTATCTGTAAAATAGATAAAACCAGTAGTTACCACCCCATAGGGTATTGTGAGCATTACATGAGTTAAAGCATAAGAAATACTTAGAACAGGGCCCAGCATATAGGGTGTACTCTATAGATGTCAGTAATTATTTACTTTAGCTTAGATCTGACAGCCCTCAAAAGAATATCCCCATCAGACTGAAAAGTGGATACCAAAATTTATACAAGAAAAATACATCATGAGGATTTAGGGAAATTTTTTTCTGGTAGCAAAATATTTTGTTAGCATTACTTTCTCTGTGGTGGTACAAAACCCTCTTAATACATTTTGCATGTTTATATTTTATTATTATAATTTCAGAAGCAACATATTCTAATGCTGGGAGCCTGGAAAATAAAAGGAAGCAAGAGAGAGAAAAATGCACTCAAAATTGTCTGCCTTTGGGGACTCAACTGGTAATATTTTGTGATATATGTGTGTATACACACACACATACACATTAGGAAAATAATGACATGATATATCTGTAGAAATACTTTCTACCTAGCAAAATAGTATGTATGCTTTCCCATTTCAATTGATATTCCTTAGAAATATTATTTTATCAGCTGCAGATTATTCCTGTATCTGTATGTGGATGTATCATAATCCATTTTTTGATTCCTGAGTGTTTGCTCACAGAGATTATTCAATTAATCACCAATCATAAAACCAGCATTTTTACAGAAGGTATATACACAATCTTCACCTGCTGGAAAGTTACTCACTAGCTCTTTTCACTGGATTGCCCACTCATACACAATGCCTACAACTTAGTCTTCATTATTTTTGAGGATAAGTGAATTCAAGTCAAGCACATCCACAAGTCAGACAAGTCAGCCTGAGGAAATCAAAAGGCTAGGAGACAGAGTTTATTGAATAATATTAAAGGAAATAGTATTCTTTGAACATTGCCAATTTTCTCTGTATTTATTATTCAAGCATTTAACAAGATCTTTCTTCATTTTTGTGCTTGATGCCCTTCTACTTTCCACAAAATGGAAGTATTTACTATAACGTGTATTGTTCCATATTATGTAACAGCATAAAATTGACCAGCACATCTGTATTAGTTCCTTCTCACACTGCTATGAAGAAATACCTGTGACTGGGTAACTTATAAAGAAAAGAGGTTTAATTGACTCACAGTTCCTCATGGCTGGGGAGGCCTCAGGGAACTTACAATTATGGCAGAAGATACCTCATCACAGGGCAGCAGGAGAAAGAATGAGTGCCAAGCGAAGGGGGATGCCCCTTATAAAACCATCAGATTTCATGAGACCTCACTCACTATCATGAGAACAGCATGGGGGGACTGCCCCAATGATCTAATCCCCTCCCATGAGGTCCCTCCTACAACATGTGGGGATTGAAATTCAGATTACAATTCAAGGTGAGATGTGGGTGGGGTCACAGATCCAGACCATATTAACATCCTTCCTTCATTTCAGGAGAAAGAAGATCTGGTATGCATCAAGGATAAAATATTGTAAGAAAAAAGTTATCTAGAAATCTCAACACTAAAGTATCAAAAATGCCAAATTTATCTTAAATAGACTTTTTTCCTAATGATCTTTCATATTTCAAATCATGCAAATAGAACAATCAACGGATGACTGGCCCTGGTATCTATGGTGATGACAGCATCTACAGAGCAATGGACAACCAACCAATTAAAAACATCACACGAGCTGAATTCTCACATGAGAGGCAGTGAGATGCAGAGCATACTGTGTGGGGCAGTCATTATTTTTTCACCTGTTGGGAATCATCACTTTCTCATAACACACCCCATCACCCCAGCTCCTGGGAAGGACCCAGGTGCAGCCATCACAGCATCTAACACCCAGGTTAGAGTGACTGCTTCAGTCACAGTAAAGTGACTACTCTCAAGAGGTAACCTGAGAAATTAGGTTTACGATTTAGTTCAGGAATATTCATTGAACCACTGAGAAAGAGTAGCTACTGGTAAAATTTTTGTTCTATTTGCCACAAATAGAATAAAAGCTGAATCTGCTTACAGTAATCTTGCCTGAGAACAAAGGTAAATGATGTGTAAGAAATCTCTGCAAATCATTTAGTTCATGATTTTGCAGGATGCCAATATGAGCATAGCACACGTGAATGGTTTTCCTGATCTTGTCTGGACTCACTTCATACATCTGTGGGCAGCCCCCTAGATTAGCTGGGCCTGGCTGGTCTAGGATGGCTTGTCTGACTTCCATGGAATCTCTTCTTATCCAGCAGACAAGTCCAGGCTTATTCACACAGCAGAAGCATGGTTCCAAAAAAGTGAGTGGAAGCGTGCAAGGCCTCTTGAGGCCCAGGCTCAGAACTGTCATGGTGTCAGTTTCTCCACATTCTGTTAGTTGAAACAGGTCACAAAGCCAGCCCTGATTTAAAGGGGTAGGGAAATAGACCCCATCTCCATATGGGAGGAGCTGCAAAGTCACATTGCATGGAGGTCTAGATATAGGAAAGGAAATAATTTTGGTCATTTTTTAATAAATAATCTACCATAGTCCATTTTCTGGCTACAATTATTCATGTCCCTCCTACATGCAAAATACACTTACTTCTTCCTGAGACTTCCGTTTATCTGGATCAGAGTCCAGGACTTTTGGACCTGCATTCTGCCATACGAGGTTTCCCACGATTAGAGACCTATGAACTAAAAAAACAAGTTATGTGCCCTCAATGTACCCAACAAACAAGTGTGAGACTGGGACAGGATAGCCACAAGAGACTTCCCCATTCAAAATATGCTGTCAATGGAAATTCATGCTATGAAAAAACCTTGCACATTTTACAGAGCACAGGAATTCATCACAGAGCAAAAGATGCTGCAGAAGTGCAGGCTGAACAGAAAAGTTGCAGCAGGAGGCTGTGGATGGCACTAAGGCATTTTTAAAGTAGCTCTCATGTTTCTAGTTTCTGCAGATGCTGACATAACAAATTCTGATTCTAAGTTACTTGGCCAGATTCCTTTCTACATGTCAACAAGGATTTTCTGGTAAATAAAACATTCATGCATTTTTTTATTAGCACTTGATGCTTTTTTTTGAAGTTGTTGCCATTTTAAAGTGATAAGTATATACCCCAAATCCTGATATTCTGTATAATATTTGATGAGTGAAAGGTTTATTTTGTGTTTTATCATTAAACCTTTAGAGTTTTCCATAATATGTTTTTCTTTTCTGTTTTCCGCTAAGTCTGGATGGCTTTGGTCAATGTAAGCTGATAGCTACTTAATATACCCCTTGATTGAGTCCTAGGGCATATTTTTATTAAATAAAGGTTTTCTAAAGCATAGGTAGCTTTTAAAAACTTGTAAAACTTATTGTTGAAGGATAATATAAGATAAAATGTATACATATCATATGTGTACAGCTTGATAAATTTTATAATTGAATACACATGTAATAAGCACACAGATCAAAAAACAGAATATTACCAGCTCCTAGAATCTTCTTTGTGCCCACTTTCTACCATTATTCCTCTAGGGTAGGGTTTCTCAGCCCAGCACCACTGACATTTTGGGTTGGACAATTATTTGCTGTGGAGGGCTGTCCTGTGCATTGTTGGATGTTTAGCAGCATTCCTGGCCTCTACCCACTGGCTACCAGTAGCAGTCCTATCAATGGTACAACAAAAATCTCTCTCCAGATAAAGAGATAGGCCCAATATTTCCTGGAAAAAAAGTCATCCCCAGTTGAGGACCACTGCCTGTAGGGTAACCACTGTTATGATTTCTAATAGCATAGATCAATTTAGCCTGTTTTTATATTTTGTACAAATGAACTCATACAATATACTCTCTTGCACATGGCTTTATTCTCTTAACATTTCATTTGTGAGATTCATTCATTATTTTTGTGTGTAGTCATAGACTGATCATTCTTGTTGCTGTATGGTACTCCATCGCATGACCATACTGCAATTTATTCACTCAACTATTGAAGGCCATTTTGGTAATTGCCAGTTTTTGACTAATATATAGTCTGAAAACTTATTTATTTCTGATCACACCTTATATCCCAAACTACATACCATATGTTACTTCTAAACAAAAATTTTTTTTGAGTCAGGGCATCTAAATTTTGGGAGTTTTGTTAATCTGAAATCACATGTTAGACATTATATGTAAACTATTTTTATGGTAATTTCATAAGAAACCCACAATGAGTCCACTGATCCTGAGGACGAAGTTGGGAGGGGGAAGAGAAGAGGAATCCATATTCAGTGCAACCAATATTCATTGAACACCTGATTTCCAGGCACTTTGTGGCTCTGGAAGTGTAAAAATAAAGAAGACAAGTTCTGTACCTTGAAGAAGTTTCTAGTTCCCTTCTTGTAATGGCTTGCCAAACTTTCTCTTCTTGGCTGATAAAATCTTTAGAAAGTTGCCTCTGATAAGAAGATCCAGGCAGATCTTCTACGCCAGAAGGAGTGTGAGATGAGCAGCTAGAGCTGCACCTGCTCTAGGTATTTGTCAAGAAAGATAAAAGTAGGAGTCCTAGACTTATAGCCCATCTCACCAAGGTAAGGAAATAGGAAAGAATTTAGAGCAGAAACCTTGGCCAGGATAGGCAGGTACAAACTTCAGGAAGAAATATCCCCTGTCCTCAAGAGCCTAATCACAGTAGAGACTGGATGCGGCATGAGAGGAAAGATAACAGACACAGCCCACAGGAAACCAGCTAACAGAGAGGACTAAAATGCTTAGTGATGTGCCAGAGATCTTTATAACTAAGTCTCAAAAGTTCATTTATATTCATAACACACATCCTACTAGACAAAGGAGAATGTGAGCCTAGAGAAACGATGACTCTGCTGGGCTTCTGTTTTTTAAAAAATATAGGTCCTCGATAAGTATCAAGCATATTGGGTAGCTGTCTTTTTAGAAGAAGAGTTTTATTACCAGTATTTTGTGAAGCATCTTTGTCTCTTATCTTTGCTACTCAAATATTTCATTAACTGCAACTTTAGTACAATAGAAAACAAAGGCCAATGTAACCAGTATCAGCCTTCTTATTCATCACTCTAAAGCTTCTGAGACTTTCACTTCTTTTCCTCAATTTATATTTGTTCATTATTACTACACACTCTTGAAATTCAGTACTATTTAATTGAATAAACCAAATGATTATGTTGTGAGTTTTTAAATTAACTTTTGATTAAAGTTGCCTTTTCATTATCAACTTATAAATATATAACATAATAAGGAATTGCAATTCTATATGAGAAGGTTTCTGAATTTTCTCTTAAGTGAATCAGTAGGAATTAAAGGGATATTTTAATTTTCTATTACCATGTGCGTATTCATTATTTAATAGATCATTGCATAAAACCTTAGTTCCAAGGAAATTTTAGATAATATTTGAAAAAAATGATGTTTCAATGACTTTACTAGGCAATCCTTTAAACACCGGGACTAATTCATTAGAAAAGCAACAGGCAAAGCAAAACAAATCAAAACTTACTCAGCTTTTTAATGGTCTTGTTCTTGTGCAGGCAGGAATATGCCCATCCACCCCTGTACTCTTCTCCTACTGCCAATTAACCAATTACAGAACAATGAAACACTGAGTCATTGAATTTTAGGTCCTTAATATTTAAAAACAAACCTTTTACTTTTGTTTTTTGTCCAGCAGGAAAATCCCACAAGAACACATTTTTCACTGTATTTATTCATCACATGCTAAAATAACCCAGAACAAATGTACAAGACTTTCCATTGAACTACTTGTGCCTTCCCATTAATCTGTCTCAAAAACATTTTCACTGCAAAGGATTTGTAATAGGTTATCACATGATAACAAATATTTTTCTCTTTAAAATTCTTGCTTACTTATTTGTGAGCTCCAATATTATGAGTTAGCATTTTAATAAGTATGCTTATTGTTTAAAGAAAACGTGCATCTTTTTGTAAAGCAAAATATGTATGTTTTTTAAAACATTATCTGCACATATATATGTGTGTCTGTGTGTGCACATATATTCTTACATATATATACAATATATACTATGATTAATTTTATGTGTCAACTTGACTGGGCCACACGATGCCCAGACATTTGGCCAAACATTGTTCTGGTTGTTTCTTTGAGGGTATTTTTGGGTAAAATTAACATTTGAATTGGTAGACTGAGTAAACCAGAGTGCTCTCCCTAATGTGGGTGGGCCTCATCCAATCAGTTGCAGGCCCAAATAAAACAAAAGGGCTGATCCTCCCCTGAGTAAGAGAATTTTTCCTGCCTGATAGCCTTCACACTAGGACATCAGCTTTTTTTCCTGCCTTAGGACTTTGACTGAAATATCAGCTCTTCCTGGGCCTTAAGCCTGCTGGTCCAGTGTACCATCTGGTCTCTTGGTTCTCAGGCCTTTGGACTTGGACTGGAGCTAAACCATTGACTCTTCTGGGTCTCCAGCTTGCTGATTCAACCTACAGATCTTGGGACTTGTCAGCCTTCACAATCTCGTGGGCCAATTTCTTACAATAAATATCTTAGTATATATTAGCCCATTTCTCTGGAGAACTCTGACAAATACACATGTGTATATACATACATACAGTACCAAATGATAGTTAAGAGCACAGGAACTCTGCAGCCAGTCTGCTTAAGTTTAAATCCCAGACCCAAACAGTAACAAAAGCAAGTTACTTAACCATTGAGAGCCTCCGATTCCTTACTCTAAAATCAGAATAATACTCGTATCTATTTTGTAGGGTTGTTATAAGGGTTAAATGAGCTTTACCCAGAGATCAGAGCAGCATCCAGCCTATGGCAAACACAACACAAATCTCTGCCTGTAATTACTCTATATGTGTATGTATTTGTGTTTGTGTAGTGCAGGTGTAAATATTGTCTTTTGTGTCTCTATTACACACATTTGGATTTTTGTGTGCCAGGTTTTTCTTAATGTGGGAGATGTGCATACACTTATAAACGGTCAGAAAATTACTTAACTCTACATCTTCAGGTTAAATAAATCTAACTTTTGACTTTTGCCTCATATATTTTATATTTTAAACTCTTCAAATCTTTTCATACATTTTTTTCTTAAATCTCCCTAAATTTTTCCCATCTCTAGAGCTGTAAACCCCAAAGTGTTATAATTTGGACATGAGCACACAGCTGTGAAGCCCTCCATAGGGCTGTGTGTTCTTCAAAGGCTGAGACCAGCCCCAGTGCCCAGGTCTCATTCCCAAGTGCCTAGTATTAGACTGCCCAGAATGTGTGCTCTACCCTGCTTATAGACCAGTGGTTTGCTCCCTGACTGCATATTAAAATAACCAGGAGAGCTTTTTAAGAAACAGAAAGGCCTAGGCTCATTCAGAGCAATTAAATTAGAGTCCCTGGGGATGTGGCTGGACACTGCTATTTCTTAAAAGCTTCCATGTGAGTCCGAAGTGCAGTCATGATTAACAACTAGTGCCAGATAGAGAGGACATTACCATCAAACATTGAGGGATGTGATCTGAGCCAAAGCCCCTGCTCCAGATTTCTGTATAATGACCCAGCTGCAGGAGAGGAGCCAGCGGTATGCATTCCTCAGTGAATGTAGGAAGCAGCAGCTTCCCAGCTCTTTCTCGGAGGTCCTAGGACAGCTTCTTGAGGACGTGGTCCCTGCCTTGTCACCAGTACCTCCGGAAAAACATATCTACATAGTGAAACTAGAAATTGTGTTTTAGAGAAACTGCTGTCAAACTTGACTTCTGTTGCCACACAAATGATGGAAGATATTCACATGCATGACACCGCTCTGCTCTGATACCCTTGTGATATTAAGTTCCCAGCCGTAATTCTATTTGAGGAAGCATATTAAAAAGTGAGTTAGTGACAGTGACATTATTATAAGAGCAATCAATTTGGTCTATAATTAAAGTAATAATTTGCAAACTTAGGTAATTTAGTTAATGTTCATTTACTCAGCAAATATTTATTGAATGTCTGCTCTTTTCAACGACTGTTCTGGGTGCTGGGCAGGCAGTAGTTAAAATAAAAAGATAAATTTATTGCTATTGTGGAAATTACATTTTGGAGTAATTACATTTTAGTGAGGAGACAGACAATAAACCAACAGATGAATAAACAAATGCATGTGTATGGGGGGCGAATTATGGCTAAATATCATAAAGAAAAGGAGAAGGTGAGAGAGAAAGTCAGGATAGACCTCTTGAGGGGGTGATATTTGAATACAGAGATAATTTAAGAAAATGAGAAAGCAAGTCTTCTGGGTATCTGGGAAGAGTGGTTTAAGCAATTGCAAAGACTTGGGGAGATAGCCAGATGTGTGTGTTCAAAGAACATCAAGTGGGCCAAAGTGACGGGGATGAGAAAGGAAGGCAAGAGTGGTAGGGAGGAGGTGAGTCAGAGGGGCAGCATGGGGACCAAGAGTCTGTAGGGCCTTGAGGGACTCTGTGAAGTCTTTAGATTTAATTCTCAGTGCAACAGGAAGCAATGGGAGAGTTTTGAGCTAGGGAATGCTCAAACTAACTCTGTGAAAGATGGCTCAGAGTACTGGTAGAGTACGTACTGTAGTAGAGGGATGAGGGAGGCAGGATGGCTGTCAGGTGGCTGGTATAGCAGTCCAGAGGAGACATTGGAGACCTCCACAGAGCTGTTGCAGAGGAAGTGGAGAGAAGTAGCAATAATTTGGGTATGTTTTGAAAGTAGAATTATAGGGATTTTCTGATGGATTAAAAGTGGGGTATGAAAGAAAGAGGATTTTTGTGGAGATGGTGATGTTGTACATTGAGATGGAGAGCATTAGGAAAAGAGGGTGTTGAAGTGAAAATCAAGAATTCGGTTTTGGATACAGTAAGTTTGAGGTGCATACTAGATATTTAAGTAAAGATATTGAGCAGACACTGGTTACATGAATTACAATTAAAAGGAGAGGTTGAGCCTGACATTATCAATTTGAAAGCCGTCATTGTGGTATGAAATTACATATTTATCTATTTTTTGTATCTTTCTCCCCCTGAAAATGTAACTTTCAAGAGGACAGAAGACTAATTTGTTTTGTTCTTTAACAGCTGTTTAAACATTGGTTGGAACATAGAAAGTGCCCAAGAAATGCTGAATGAATGAAAAATTAAATGTTAGTTCAAGCCAGTATAAACATAAATAAAAAAGAGGCTGTCATAAGTGCTAAAGGCTGGCACGGTACAAGAGTTGAGTGATCACCCTGTGCTTCAGTGGTCAAGGAAATAGTCTTGGAGAAGACTGTCCATTATTAGATATCAAAGAATGGGTAAAAGGAGTTAGAATAGGTGTCGGATTTGGGGGAAAATGCTGGATTTGACGTAGGATATACTGAACTTGATGTGACAATAGAACATTTGAATTCAGTAAAAAGACATTTAAGTTATTAATAGGTTTATAAATAGTTTGAGATCTGCAATTGCAAAGGACAGACACTGGCACTCCTCCTTTCTGAAAATAGAACCCACAAAGCTACATTAGGACATTGGACTCTAAATGTGTAACAGGAAAGTAAATAGGAAGATTGAGACACCAAGAAACAGTTGAAAGGACTTCAAAAGCAGGGCTTCTCAAAATGTAATGTGCATGCGAATCACCTGGAGAGCTCCCTAAAATGCAGATTTTGATTTTGTAGGTCTGGGCTGGGGCCTGAGCTTTTCTAACAAGCTCCCAGGTGATGCCAATGCTGCCCATCCCGGGCCCACATTTTGATTAGCCAGGTACTCAAGTGAGGTGTTAAACAAAAATGAAAAATTTTCCAAGAAAATAACCAAAAACCAGTTATGTGTCAGGTTTCACTATACCCCTCATTGACCTTGAGAATAAAAAAGAATTGGGTTGTGGGGCATCAGAGGAAACTTATTTAGACAAGACTTATTTGTAGAAAGCTGCTAGTGGGATGGAAGTAGAGGTGCAATGTATAAGGTGTATTCCCTTCATCTCAAGTCAAGAGAGAGAACGTCAGGGGGACTCCAATAGCATAAGTACCATCTACAATGGGAGAAACAAAGTGGATTGAGGTATGACAGGGAATACAAAGGGTGAGACCCAGGCTGGTCAACTGTCCTCTGACAAGTTGAAGCAGCTGCTTAGTAATCACCCTGTTCACCCAATTTATCAGGGCAAATAAAATGTAACAGGTCAGAAAACAGGTTAGTAGGCAGGAGGAGAGATAGAAGGGAAAGACTGCAGGAAGCTCTAACTTAGGAAGGTAGAGAAAATTTACCTTTAAATCAAGTTTGGAGTCTAGATTATTATATGGAACTAGGATAATAATTTCTGAATTAAAATTCTATGGTTTATTTTTAAATGACCATAGGATCTTTTATTACCTATCAGTGATCATAAAGTAATTTACTGAGTAAGTCTTCATCCAAGGACACAGAAGATTTCTCCCACTGAGAAAACTTTAAAGAGACAGTAGGAAACAAAGGAAAATTGGTTTATGGTTATGCCCATAAGTTCTGCTCATTCCATATTTTTGTGATAAGTGGATTCAAGGGAGAGGAAGAAAGTCAGCCTTGGATCTGCATATCAGCTACAATATGCCCTTCAATAATTTTCTCATTCAGTTCCTTTGTCTGACACCACAAAGCAAAATAAGATTATTTTCTAGGTGCTAATCCTCTCAGAAATCTTGGACAACCCATTGCTGCTAACACTGCCCCTGTAGATTAGCCCCACTGTGTCTGTGCTCACACTGTGCGCAGTTCAGAGCTTGCCCTTTTGTAAGAGACTTGCTAGTTCACTTCGCTTTGGACAGACAACTGCAGTGAAAGAAACTGCCACTCCCAGGTCTCACTGCAGCCACAACACTATCAGACATTTTCATATCCTGTGCACGTCAGAGGAAGGGCTGTCAAAAGACAAAAAAAAAATTATATCAAATTTAGTTAAACATCTTAATTAGCTTTTGTGATTTATAATCGGACAACACCTCATTCTTTAAAATAGAATGAGTGTTCCATAGAGCTAAGCAGAGGAGGTTGGCTTTATAGAAAGAATAAGGGCTGGGGAAAGCAGAAACAGAGAACAGAATGTGGATTGTTCTTTTCAGTTGCTTTCCTTGTAAAGATTAAAGCAGAGAGGACCTCCTTAATCCTAGCTAAAATTAACTTGTTTGGGGATTTGGCTATTTAATTTTTTTTCCCTTGAGATAGCGGATGGAGCTGCCTGCCAAGTCCTGTGCCGAGCGCCTGCACTCCTCAGTCCTTGGGTGGTCAATGGGACCTGGTGCTGCGGAGCAGGGGCGGCTCTCGTCAGGGAGGCTTGGCCGCTGGGAGCCCACCGCGGGTGGACTCAGGCAAGGCGGGCTGCAGGTCCCTAGCCCTGCCCGGCGGGGAGGCGGCTGAGGCGCTGCGAGAATTCGAGCGTGGGGCAGGCAGGCCGGCAGTGCTGGGGTACCCGGCGCCCCCTCCGCAGCTGCTGGCCCGGGTGCTAAGCCCCTCACTGCCAGGGCCCAGCCACGCTGGCCAGCTGCTCCGAGTGCCACTGAGCCCACTCCCACTCGGAACACATGCTGGCCTGCCATCGCTGTGCGCAGCCCCAGTTCCCGCCTGCGGCCTCTCCCTCCACACCTCCCTGCAAGCAGAGGGAGCCGGCTCCGGCCTCGGCCAGCCCAGAGAGGGGCCCCCACAGCGCAGTGGAGGGCTGAAGGGCTCCTCAAGCATGGCCAGACCGGACGCCGAGGCAGAGAAGGCGCTGAGAGTGAGCGAGGGCTGCCAGCACGTTGTCACCTCTCACTTCCACTTCTCCATCACCCACAGTCACCCTCAGGTTTCATGCCTGGTACGTAACAAAATCATCTCTGTAAGGAGTGTAAGTGCTCTGTTGAGCCAATAACTACCTGTGTTCTATTAGAACTCCATCTTCGCAGTTTCCATGGGCGTGGATGACAATGCAAGGTGCACCACTGCTCCAAGCCATGCACCAAGCCAGCATTTGTCCTGTTAAAAAATTTTATAGGAGGTCATTGGTTTGGACTGAGCTCCTGCAATGAGGCCAACACACCAGACCAACATGGAATTACTCATGCTGAAGTTCCACACCACCAAGTGAAATCAAGTTGTTTGGCCAGGCACCGTGGCTCACGCCTGTAATCCCAGCACTTTGGGAGGCCGAGGCGGGTGGATCACGAGGTCAGGAGATCGAGACCATCCTGGCTAACACGGTGAAACCCCGCCTCTCCTAAAAATACAAAAAGAAATTAGCCGGGAGTGGTGGTGGGCACTTGTAGTCCCAGCTACTCGGGAGGCTGAGGTAGGAGAATCGCTTGAACCCAGGAGGTGGAGGTTGCAGTGAGCTGAAATCGCGCCACTGCACTCCAGCCTGGGCAACAGAGCGAGACTCCGTCTCAAAAAACAAAAACAAAAAAAACACAAAAAAAGAAATCAAGTTGTTTATCTGACCTTCTGAGAAATCAGAGGAGAGAAAGGTAACAGTCAAATTTGCTGAGCATGGTGGTGCATGTCTGTAATCTTAGCTACTTGAGACATCATGGTGAGAGGATTGTTTGAGTTCAGGAGTTTGAGACCAGCCTGAACAACAACGTTGTGAGACGTTGCGGGATCCACTAGCAGAAGCCCGCTCGGCTCCTGAGTCCGGTGGGGACTTGGAGAACTTTTATGTCTAGCCGGAGGATTGTATATGCACCAATCAGCACTCTGTGTCTAGCTCGGGGTTCGTGGATGCACCAATCAGCACTCTGTATCTAGCTAATCTGGTGGGGACTTGGGAGAACTTTTATGTCTAAAGGATTGTAAATGCACCAATCAGCACTGTGTGTCTAGCTCAAGGTTTGTAAATGCACCAATCAGTGCTCTGTGTCTAGCTCATCTAGTGGGGACTTGGAGAACTTTTATGTCTAGTTAAAGGATTGTAAATGCACCAATCAGCACCCTGTCAAAACGGACCAATCAGCTCTCTGTAAAGCGGACCAATCAGCTCTCCATAAAATAGACCAATCAGCAGGATGTGGGTGGGGTCAGATAAGGGAATAGAAGCAGACTGCCCAAGTCAGCAGAACACTTTGCTCTGGTACGGTTCTGCAGTGTGGAAGTTTTGTTTTTTTGATCTTTGTAATAAATCTTGCTGGTGCTAGTTCTTTGGGTTTGCACTGCCTTTATGAGTTGTAACAGCCACCGCGAAGGTCTGCAGCTTCACTCTTGAAGCCAGCAAGACCACAAACCCACCAGAAGGAAGAAACTCCGAACACGTCGGAACATCAGAAGGAACAAACTGTGGACACACTAACTTTAAGAACTGTAACACTCACGGCGAGGGTCCCCGGCTTCATTCCTGAAGTGAGACCAAGAACCCACCAATTCTGGACACAGAAGAACTCAAACACCCTTCTCATTATCCCTTCCTGGACTCTTTCTTGGCTCTCAACTTATATCTCATGCACCAGCTACCTGAAGATTTCTTACAGCCTCAGCACATGAAGATTCCCTTCAAGACTCTCATTGTCCTTTCTTCTAGAGAGTCTTCCTTATCCTAAGCTTAACCAAGTGAGAGAAACTTCTGAACCTCCAACATTTGGGATAAAACTCTATAATGGCTTATCTCCCTGTGTAGTCATTTCTGGTGCGCTAACAGGTGTGTGGGGGAAGGAATGACCACCTCTTACTGGGTGGCTTTTCTTTTATTCATTATGTGACTGTTATATCACTGGATTTTGCTGATGACCTAAAGGTTACAAAACTCTAGATGAAGACATCCTAGGTGTATAGCAGAGAATCATGAAGAGATCATGCTGTCTAACAGTAGATTGTTGGCAGGTGAGTTTTGAGAGGGGCCAGCAACCAGATGGTAGATATTTTAGGCAAGGTGCCTTCCAAGTTGTTCTAGTCGTTTGATGCTGTAATGGGAGTATCTCAGCCACAGTAGCTGGAAGGCACCTAAATTCTTTTGCCATCAGGATTTCTTATTGTCAACATTGGACCCTTGATCCTGGGTTTTCTGTAGCCATAGTGAGGCAATGAGTATCACATAGGCCCCAGCAGTGTAAGTGTTGCAGAGATTTACAGTTCTGTCTTGACAAGATTGTTGCGATATTTTTAATAGCTTTATTGAGAAATAATTGATATACCATAATATACACCAATTTCAAGTGTTTAGTGATTTTTACAGAGTTGTTCAAACATCACCACAATTCACTCTGAGAATATTATCATCCCAAAATGCATATCCTGCCATTTTGCAAATAATTTCAGTTCCCAAACCCCATCCTCAAGCAACCATTAATCTATTTTCCTTCTGTATAGGTTTTTCATTTCTGGACATTTCATGTAAATGGAGTCACAGACTATGTGGTCTTTTACATTTAGCTGCTTTTATTGAATGTAATGTTTTTGGGGTTGATTCATGTGGCAGCAAATATCAGAATTTGGGTCCATTTTATTGCCAAACAGTATTTTCTGGTATGGTTTTAATGGCCATGTTCTTTGCATTTCTGAGATACATGATATGGCAAAGATTGTTTTTCTGATTTGTAGGGAGAACAGAATATTTTAAAGTGAGACTGGCCTGGATAGTGGCTGTAGATATGGTGTGAAAACATCCTTCCTCCTTTACACCAATAGAGTTTGACACATATCTGCTAAAAAAAATTAATGTTGCCATTCATCCAGAATCATTTGACCAGAACGAATATATTCATATGCCAATACAACTGTCATGAATGGAGACAGGGAACCAATAAGAGAAGGAAGCAGGGGATTTGTACAATTCTTGGACTGATGCGTACCAGACCATTTTTAAAACATGCACACAGTCACACATTATCACACACAAAAAAACCGTTAGGTGCACACACAGAGACACACACAAGCAAAACAATGAGTATGCACCGACACAACTTCAAGCACACAGAAACATTAGCTTTCTTTCAGCACTATTTACTCAGAATGCAGAGTATCTTGATTTCATCCAAGGTCAAAATAATAATGATATATATTTTTTCTATTTGAAGGTTGTTAAAGATGGCTAAGTGCGATGGCTCACGCCTGTAATCCCAGCGCTTTGGGAGGTCAAGGCAGGAGAATTGCTTGAGGCTAGGAGTTCAAGACCAGCCTAGACAATATAGACAGCCTCTGTACAAAAAATTTAAAAATTAGCTGGGCATGGTGGCATGCAGCTCTAGTCCTAGCTATTCAGGAGGCCGAGGCAGGAGGATCACTTGAGCCCAGAAATCCAGGTCAAGGCTGCATACGATTGTGCCACTACACTCCAGCCTGGCCTGGGTGATGGAGTGAGACCCTGTCTTGAAAAAAAAAAAAAAAAGATTCTCAAAGACAAGAAGACACTACTCTTCTTGGAGTTAACATGGACCAGATCAGATACTTATAAAGAGTAGATTTTCGAGGTGGGCGGATGGAGAGCTTGAGCTGAGAAGTTTGATACCTGGCAACATGGTGAAACTCCATCTCTACAAAAAATACAAAAATTAGGGGGCATGGTGGCACATGCCTGTAGTCCCAGCTGCTCAGGAGGCTGAGATGGGGAGATCACTTGAGCCTGAGAGGTTGAGGCTGCAGTAAGCTATTATTATGCCACTGCACTCTAGACTGGGCCACAGGGCAAGACCCTGTTTCAAAAAATATATGTAAAATAAACAGGTTTTCTGTACTAAGATATATAAATCTTGGTCAAATAAATTGTCAGAAAATAAGTATTTGTCTGACTTACTGTCCTTGCTTATTTCTGAAATTACAGGGACAGTAATTATGTTAAAGAGAAGATAACAGAAACTCTTTTATATATGTATGTATGTATCTATCTATCTATATTTCTAATCTACCATCTCTTCTCTACTTTTAAGAGTTGCGTAGTATTCCGTATACTCATGTTCTTATTTTAAATTTTCCTTTTTATAGACATTTAGATTGTTTTCAATTTCCAGAATAATATTTTCCCTTTTATGGACATTTAGATTGTTTGCAATTTTCTGAACCAAACTTTTAATTAGCTTTCTGTACATCTATTCAAGAGTGAGAGCATTCCTCTAGACTGTATTCCTAATTGTTCAATTGTTGAATATAGAATATTCCAAGTTAATATCCTGATATATATTTCAATTACCTTCTAAAAATGTTGCACTAATTTACATCCACTGGCTATTTCAGTTCCCATGTCCCCAGATCTCCATTATTAGCATTCCTTCAATTATTTGCTAGTCTGATGTTATCTTTTTGTTTTGATTTGCATTTTTCTGATTTTTCAAAACCTTCTCATAGAAATATTGGTCATGGATACTTCTCTCTGTGTTTGTTTCCAAGTTTATAAACTTTGTCCAGTATACTAGATTGTTTACTTTTCTCTAATTGATTTGTGGAAGCTCTTTATATATTTTGATTACATACATATAATTGTTAATATTATGTAATGTTATAACTTTAGATATTACATTATGTGATGACTTTATTACAATGCATATTGTAAATATTTCAATTCTGTCACTGTATTATATTTGTGGTGGGGTTTTCTAGTACAACATTTTATCCAAGTAATTTTTATCATTATCAAGCTTGTTAAAAAAAACTTTTATCTTCAAATAATTTTAGATTTAGAGAAAAATTGCAAAGATAGCAAGAGACTTCCTGTGTACTCTTAACCTAGCTTCTCCTAATGTTAACATATTATACAATCATTAAACATTTGTCAAAAGTAAGAAATTAACATTTCTTATGATACTATTAACTAATTTACAGATTTTATTTGAATTTCTTCAGTTTTCATACTAATGTACTTTCTCTGTTCCAAGATTTCATCTAGCATACCATGTTACATATGGTCATCATGTTTCATTTTTCTCCTATAATCTGACAATTTTTAGTGTTTCCTTGTTTTCATGACCTTGACACTTTTGAACAGTACTTGTCAGGTGTTTTGTGGAATGTTCCTCAATTTGGGTTTGTCTGATATTTTCTCATGATTAGACTGATGTTACGGATTTGGGGGAAGATCATGACAGAGGTGAAGATGTCTCCTCATCACATGATGACTTATAGTCATGTTGATATTATGTACCCTCAGATACGATGTGATAACTGGTGATGTTAACCTCGATCACTTGGTTAAGGTAATGTCTGCCAGATTTCTCTGCTTAAAGTCACTGTTTTCCCCCTTTTCATTCTCTATATGTCAGAAGCAAGTCATTAAATGTAGCCCACACTTAAGAAGAAGGAAATTGAGCTTCACTTCCTGGATCGGGGAGAAAAATCTACATTTATTTGATTTTTTTTTTTTTGTAAAGACATTTTATCCCTTCTCCTCTATTTATTTATTCATTCAATTGTTTATTTGTGTTGGCATAGCTTTATAAATATTTGTTTTATTCTTTGAGTTATAATCCAACTTATTCAAGAAATTGGAATTTTAGTGTTTTCAAATTTATCAACCTTTTATCTTCTGTCTTCGATTCTCTTGAATATCTAGGCACAATGACATCCACAGATAGCTTAACCTATTCAGAAAAATATTTACATCTTATAACTCTATTTCTTGTGTTATTGCAAAGGCAATGGTATGTGTAATAATCTTGAACATTAGAGAGTTGACCTGTATATCTTATTCTTTCTCTTTATGCTATTTGCTCTTAGTTACTATAGGTAACTTTCTTAAGTGAAAGTAATTTTTCGACATCCCTCATTAAAGAGGTAACTTACTCTTTTGCAATTGAGAAGTCACTTACAGGAAAAAAAGGAGATAATTGGAGACCATGTGAATATGTTGTTTCCCCAAAAGTTTTTACCTAATGGTGTTAGCATCCACTGATAATTCTTGCCTAAATCAATTATTACATTGGAGTTGTAAAATGATTTTCCCTACTATTATTATTCTTTCTAAATCTATTAGCTAGTGTTTTTCTATAAAACGTGAGGCTTTTTTTTCTCTTATGTTTCTATTTTGGGGTATCACTGTATCTTTTAATTCAGCATGTTCTAATTGATTATTGTCATTATTTTATTTAGTACTCAAATTGTACCATAATTAGCCCATCATGCTCCTTTAAGTTAGCTCTCATGTCTGTTTATCATGTCTCTATCAGATTTTGAGCATCCTTTCACTTTCTGACACAACATGTTCAGGGGTCATCTTGTATTCTCCCAGCTCCTGTTGTGCAACAAACCATTTTCCAAGGACCATTGGTTTCTTTTATTAGAGAATGGTATTTAGAAACCAAGATCTGGGCAGTTGGTGTGCTCACTGCTACTATTAATACTTTGTCATGGCTTCTAGACTCTCAGTAGACAGAGCTAGAAAATATATGTATGTACATGTAAATGTACACACATTTCTATTTGTCTGTCTGTCTCTATGTTATATATCATGAGTTTGTGCCAATAATAAAAAGAAACTTTCAATTTCAATCCAGCACCACAGATTTCATTTTAGCTTCCTCATTCTCAATATATTTACTTATCTCAAAATTACAATGCATAAAAAGTAGTTTTAGAATTGCTAACACGTACCACTATGGGGAAAAAAACAAACTTTGCTAACTATAGTTCAGTATTTCTTTACGGTTCTTTTTTAGCTTACTCTGAAGGCATATAGTCAAAATACTGTGTTTAAAAAGTTACTTGGGTGAGTTCTTCTTATTTTCACCTTCAGTTTAGTGATGCTATTCATTTGGAATACAGTTAGATATATTTCTTTTTGTTTGCATTCATTATAGGGTTTCCTCTCTCATCCTTGTAAATATTTTAATTTTATTTTTTATTTCTATAAAACACAAACATGACTCCAAAGATGAAATTACAGCAAACCAACTAATCAGAGAAGTATTGCCTCATGCTCCCCAACCCTTCTACCCCATTCCCATTCATATCCTTGAGGTAACCAATTTTGTTAGTTTTTGGTTTGTCCTTCTTGTCTGTACTTTTTCAAAAATGAGCAGGTACACGTACAATGTCTTCTTTCATTATTTCTCTTGCAAAAAGGTGCTGTACTATATCTACTCCTTTCTTTTATTCACCTTAACAATAGTCTATCACTACATTATTGTTATTAGTGCTTCCATTTCAAAGCCTAGGCTCAGAAAGTTAAGTAACTTTTCTTGGCTCACAAAGCCAAGTGGTAGAACTAGGAAAATGGACTTGCACTCTGATACTTTTTCTTCTGATCTTTTCTATTTTTTGTAATTAATTTGTAATTCTCAAATTAGAGTTAATAGGTAAAAATGATATTTACATTTTTATTTTCTGGAAATATCACTGCTTCCCAGAAAGTAAATCCCAGCTTTGTTCAGAGCAGTTGATGATATGTTTAATGAGCATTTGGTGTAGCTCTAATATTTCCTGTTGTGGCACAGCTTACTGCTTCAAGTTTATTTTTTGAGAGTTGAAAATACTTTGCAAGATTATTTGCTTCCTTACCATCCCACACTCCTTCTGTGTATTCCTACTTTAGGATTCTCAGCTAAGATGCATATTGCCTTTAAAATCTTTACAATTTAATGTATTAGAGAGTTGACTTTACCACCAAAATCATAGCAAGTAATCATTGTATGATTTCTTCCTTTTTAAAAAAATATTCTAGCAGTTCAAAAAATTATTTTTTGGTTCTATCTACAGAGAGGTACACATGTGGCAACACTATATTTTACTAATATACAAATTCACCTAAAATACCTATCATCACGGAAATAGTTTGAAAAGGGAAGAATAACCCAGTCAACTTGAGTTTGAGTAGCCACCTTTCAGAATACTGATCAATTTTTCTTTCATTCAGCTTTTGAGCTGATGCCTTCCTTTCTTCACTGTTTAGCCCCCAAAGACCCCAATACAACAATATTAAGCCACTGTAAATATAAAGTTTATCTCTGGAACTAAATGTGACAACATGGTCCCACCTGAGTCATGGCAGAATTTTCTCAACTGTCAATATTGGACACACCTAGATGGGTCCTTTTGGTGAATAAACAAACTGAGAAAAACCACATGTAAAAAAGGGTTAGCAATTAAAAGAAAGCAGACCAATCTGAGGTATCAGAACAAATTCTTACGAATTTGACTTTTTCTAAGATGCATCTTTATACACTCAGTGATATTCTACATCAGAGAAAAATGCCTTGGAGGAAAAAATATGGTCACTGAGTTTTAAAATACAATGGACCGCTTAGATTCTTGGGTATAATATTGTATATTATTAGATAGGTTCATGGATGAGAATATTGTATCATCCACACATACTAATATTTTTGTCTATGTCTTTCTAGTAGTCCAATATTTATACCTGTTGTTCTTTATCTCATTTCATTATATGGGGTATTAGCTATATTAAATATATTTTTATGTAATTATAGTGATAATAAGTGTTCTTACATTGTTCTTGCCTGTCGCTATTTATAAACAAGATTGGTTTAAAGCTTGCCTGTCTTCCTTCCTTCCTTCCTTGTCAGGCTTTGTTATATGAGTAATATTGGCATCAAAAAAAGAGTTTGAAAGTATAATTTCTTTTTTCTATGCTCCAGAGCAGTTTACATTGATACTAGTAACACCTCCCCCATTTGTGTAAGAGCTAAGTAGGGTAACACATATAGAGATCTTAGATCAGTGGCTGGCATATAGAAAGCACTCACCTGACATTAGCTATGATGGGATGTGTTAAGACCTAAGTTTTTGTTTGTCTTTGATATGAATGAAAAATGCATGATTATGGAAGTTGGTGTAGGGGAAAGATGGCTGAGGATTCTCCCTAGAGAGAGAAGTAAAATAATCATTGCTTTAAATCCAGTCATCAACAGGCATGTAAAAGGTGTGTGTGGGGGGGCGGGGGAGGTGCAGGTGTGTAATTCCAAATGAGCACATTGGAAGTGCCAAGATCGCAGTCACCTCCAATGCCTCTGTCTTACAAAATGACTTCATAACCCACTGTTGTGGCTCTTTGTGGTACTTTCTCAGATCCCATTACTCAGCTGGTCCTCCATTTCCCAGGTCCTATGAGTATGGGCTGCTAATGGCACACAACTGTCCTTTCTCCAAATGATGTCCTTAGCCAGAGGGCCTTGCCAGGAGCTTACAACCCTCTGCCCCCAAGGCAGTCAAAGGCAATGACGGACTGACACAGCAGTTCAAATTGGCTGGCTTCTTGTCTCAAAGTGGGGCCAACATTACGGTACAATTTATATCCCAAGCCCCATGGGAGCAGGTTGAAGCTCAGCTCCAGCTGTGATCATATTCCTGCTCAGCTCCTTCCCCCACTTTATCTTCATTGTCTCTTTTCCTCTCAAATTTCCCATGAGCACATTCTTAGTAAATACTGTGTACATGCATCCCTGTCTCAGACTCTGCTCTTGACAAACCCAACTTAAGAGAGCCACTTAGCCGGGCGCAGTGGCTCACGCCTGTAATCCCAGCACTTTGGGAGGCCGAGGTGGGCGGATCACGAGGTCAGGAGATCGAGACCATTCTGGCTAACACGGTGAAACCCCATCTCTACTAAAAATACCAAAAAATTAGCTGGGCATGGTGGCGGGCGCCTGTAGTCCCAGCTACTTGGGAGGCTGAGGCAGGAGAATGGCGTGAACCTGGGAGGCAGAGCTTGCAGTGAGCCGAGATTGTGCCACTGCACTCCAGCCTGGGTGACAGAGCGAGACTCCATCTCAAAAAAAAAAAGCCACTTAAAGGGAGTAAGTCCTGTGGGTATGGATGTTGGCAGGTGTTAAGAAACAGAGTGAAAATTGCCCTAAATGAAGCAAGGAGGGGGGGCGTTTGTTATTTGGAATCCTGAAAGGAAAGAAGAACCTAGAGAGCCAAGCTGGAAGCCAGCCAGCCAGTGGTCTGAGATGGGCTTTTTCTCTTGACACCTCTGCAAGTTTCATCCATCCATGCTTGTGACTTCATATCGCAGCTTGCTCCATATTTGCTTTCACAGTACCCAAATTTGTCTTTAAACAGTATGACTTTCAAAATCACCTCACTGGCATCCTAAAATCATCTCACTGACTAAATCACAGCAACTGAAGATATTATATGGTTTCCTCATTTAAGAAAATCTTTGTTCTAGCAGTTAGGAAAAAAATATATTTTAGCTCTATCTACAGAAATGTACACATGGGGCAACACTGTATTTTACTAATATAAATAGGGATCTATGTAAGAAAGCTGATTGTGGTTGCAGGTGTCATGTCCTTGGGGATGCCCTTGACCTTTGACAAGGACATGGGTCATGTACTTCCATTCTCACATGCATGGATGTGAACAGTATCTGCCAGAGGTGGGATTGTTTTATGCTTTTAAAAGCCATGTCACATACACAGTAATGCAATGCTTCCAACAAACCTCTGTGGTAGGAATAACATACGGAAATAACTTTGTTTTTCAAATGAAAAAAATGTCACTATGGTGTTTAGAGCACATGCTCTAGAATCAGTCAGCCTCAGCTTCCAGTTTTGACTGGAGGATATTCTTGCATATCAGATAAGCTTGTACACACTTGTGTGTGTGTGTGTATTCCTTGAAACACAATTCAGTAAATAGGCTGTACATATGTTAGTTTTGAATCAATTTCCTTAGAATTCACTCATTTATTCACCTAATTGACAATCATTTATTGAGTTCCTGCTTTGTGCAAAGGTTTGCCAGTTGTTCTGAGGACATTGCCTGGAGGAATATAGATGCGGGCTAAACTCATGGAGTTTAACCTTGTTTGGGAGATAGACAATAAACAAACACATACAATAATCTTATATTGAGATAAGTGCTCTAAAGGAAACAAACAATAATTTGAAGGACAATAATCTGCTTTGGATTTGTATATGGGAGAGTTTTCATTTGGCTTTTTGCAGAAGCAAACCCTGACACAGAACTTGAAGAGCAAGTGGTTTAATTGGGAGGTGAAGAAAACACCCGTAGGGTAGTGGGGAGGTGAGACAGGGAAGGGAAAGCAGACAGGCAAGGATGTACCATCAAGCAAGTTACCACTATGGGTACCTGAAGCTTAATCCCACCAGGAACACTGGGAGCCAGTGTAGAACTCAGGCCTAAGATTTACTCTACTTGAAAACAAAGGGGTTATAGGATGTTTCTGTACCAGTTCTTGTCAATCATGGATTGACGGCTGCTCCTGGGGGTATTAAAGCCCCAGTGCTTCTGGCTCACCTCCTGTAGGCCGACAAAGTGGATTCTGGAGACCAGAAAAAGCTCTCAGCAAAGACAGGTGCTGCCAGTTACAAATCTTATGGGCATACACTGAGGTGGTGAGTATTTGGGCAATATAGGCTGGCCAACACAAGCACCTGCCGTAGATGATGACTTAAGACCTTCTGATATGGTTTGGCTCTGGGTCCCCACCCAAATTTCATGTTGAATTGCAATTCCCAGTGTTGGAAGAGGGGCCTGGTGGGAGGTGATTGAATCATGGGAGCCAACTTTCTCCTTGCTGTTCTCATGACAGAGTTCTCATGAGATCTGGTTGTTTGAAATTGTGTAGCACCTCCCCCTTTTCTCTCTCTCTTCCTCCTGCTCTGGCCATGTGAAGATGTGCCTTGCTTCCCCTTTGCCTTCCACCATGATTGTAAGTTTCCTGAGACCTCCCCAGTCATGCAGAACTGTGAGTCAATTAAACCTCTCTTCTTTATAAATTATACAGTCTCAGGTATGTCTTTTTTTTTTTTGAGACAGAGTCTCACTCCGTCGCCCAGGCTGGAGTACAGTGGCACGATCTCAGCTCACTGCAAACTCCGCCTCCCAGGTTCATGCCATTCTCCTGCCCCAGCCCCCTGAGTAGCTGGGACTACAGGTGTCCACCACCACGCCTGGCTAATTTTTTGTATTTTTAGTAGAGACAGGGTTTCACCGTGTTAGCCAGGATGGTCTCAATCTCCTGACCTTGTGATCCGCCCGTCTTACCCTCCCAAAGTGCTGGGATTACAGGCATGAGCCACCATGCCCAGCCCAGTCTCAGGTATGTCTTTATAGTAGTGTGAGGATGAACTAATATAGAAAACTGGTACCAGAGATGTGGGGCATTGCTGTAAAGATACCTGAAAATGTGGAAGTGACTTTAGAACTAAGTAATGGGCAGAGGTTGGAACAGTTTGGAGAGCTCAAAAGAAGACAGGAAGATGTGGGAAAGTTTGGAACTTCCTAGAGATTTGTTAAACTGTCATGACCAAAATGCTGATAGTGATATGAACAATGAAGTCTAGCCTGAGGTGGTGCCAAGTGGAGATGAGGAATTTATTGAGAACTGGAGTAAGGGTCACTCTTGCTATGCTTTAGCAAAGAGACTGGCAGCACTTGGCTCCTGCTCTAGAAATCTGTGGAACTTTGAACTTGAGAGAGATGATTTAGGCTATCTAGTGGAAGACATTTCTTTTTTCTTTTTTTTTTTTTTTTTGAGATGGAGTCTTGCTCTGTCACCCAGGCTGGAGGTGAAAGACATTTCTAAGCAACAAAGCATTCAAGATGTGGCCTGGCTGCTTATAACAGTGTATGCTCATATGCATGAACAAAAAGAATACCTGAAACTGGAACTTATATTTTAAAAAGGGAAGCAGAGCATAGAAGCTTGACAAATTTGCAGCCTGCCCATGTGGTAGAAAACAAAAACCCATTTTCTGGGGAGGAATTCAAGCCAGCTGCATAAATGTGCATACATAAAAGGGAGCTGAATGTTAATAGCCAAGACAGTGGGGAAAACACCTCCAAGGCATTTCAGAGACCTTCGTGGCAGCCCCTCCCATCACTGGCCTGGAGGCCTAGGAGCAAAAAATGGTTTCATGGGCCAGGCCCAGGGCCCTGCTGCTCTGTGCAGTCTCAGAACATGGAGCACTGCATCCTAGCCACTCCAGCTCCAGCCATGGCTAAAAGGGCCCCAGATACATCTCAGGCCACTGCTCCAGAGGGTGCAAGCTGGAATACCAAGGCTTCCATGTGGTGTTAAGCCTGTGTGTGTACAGAGGGCAAGAGTTGAGGCTCGGGAGCCTCTGCCTAGATTTCAGAGGATGTATGAAAATGCCTGGATGTCCAGACAGAATTCAGCTTTAGGGGCAGAGTCCTCATGGAAAACTTCTGCTAGGACAGTGCAGAGGGGAAATGTGCAGTTGGAGCCCCTACACAGAGTCCCCACTGGGGCACTGTGTAGTGGAGCTGTGAGAAGAGGGCCACCATCCTCCAGACCCCAGAATAGTAGATCCACTGACAGCTTGTGTGTACCTGGAAAATCCACAGACACTCAACACCAGCCCTTGAGAGCAGCCATGGGAGCTGAGCCCTGAAGAGCCACAGGGGTGGAGCTGCCCAAGGCCTTGAAAGCCTATCCCTTGCATCAGTGTCCTGGATATGAGACATGAAGTCAAAGGAGATTATTTTGGAGCTTTCAAATTTAATGATTGCCTTGCCAGGTTTCAGACTTGCATGGGGGCCTTTAGCCCCTTTGTTTTGGCCAATTTCTCCCTTTTGGAATGGGAACATTTACCTAATGCCTGTACCCCCATTAGATTTTGGAAGTAACTAACTCATTTTTTTTTATTTTACAGACTCAGAGGCAGGAGAGATTTGCCTCATCTCAGATGAGACTTTGGACTTGGACTTTTAAGTTAATGCTGGAATGAATTAAGACTTTGGTGGACTATTGGGAAGGCATAATTGTGTTTTGAAATGTGAGAAAGACATGAGATTTGGGAGGAGCAGAATCTGGTTCAAAGACTCTCTGATTTGCAATTGGTTAAGGAGGTGAAGCTTTGTCTAAAAACTTAGGGTTGGCAGAAAGGAATGTTAAGGTCTAGCCCATGGGCATGTCTTTTTCCAGGACCCTCAGGAAGAACTTCAGAACAAAGGACAAAGTGGTCAGAATTCAGTCTTCAGTTCCCCCTTATCTGAGGTCTTCAGAACAGTGGATCCATATGGAGGGTGTCTGGGTTTCTGAAAAACAACTCAGAAACATATGGTAAAATGTTATCTTTGGCTTCTATAGGGAACCAAACATCTTATGGCTCTAACTTCCTTAGCTAGTGTTTTAAGCTACTATTACCTTCTTATTTATCAGGTTGCTCATTTACTTCTCAGGGCTACCTGGGTGCCTGGAATTTCTGTCGAAGAAACTCAATATTTTCATTTATTTCCATACCTGAGGGAGTCTGGGAGGCCCCTAAAAGGATTCCTCCTCCATCTCAGGGAGAATATGTTATATTGTCATTTATTTAGTTTCATTTCTTTTTCCTCTCTGAATCTCCAATACCCACCATCATGACTTGGTAATAGCAATTTTCCAGAAAATGTTTGTTTAAGAAAAAAAAAAAAGGATAGAATTTCAGAAAGGGAAAAGGGAGATGTGTTTATCCCTTTGTTTGTCTCTTTAAGGTCCTTAGTGTCAAAGAACCTTACCTGGATCATCAATCTTCCCATGTCTCCTGCATCTTCCCTTTTGACATAAAAATCATTTAAGTCCCTCACTTTTTCAAAAAATCCAGATTTATTTAAATATAATTTATTCAACAAAAATCACCACCCTTTTAAGTGTACACCTTGAGGAGTTCTAACAATGCATGCCATCATGAAACCACCACCAAACTCATGATATAGAACAGTTCCTTCACACCAAAAAGTTCCCTCATGCCCCTTTGCATTCAACCCCTGACCCCCAGCCCTGGTAACCACTGATCTGATCTCTATTCCCATAGTACACCTTTTCTAGAATGTCACTGAAATGGAGTCATATAGTATGCAGCCTTTTGAGTCTGGCTTCTTTCACTAGCAGCATGCATTTAAAGTTCATCCATGTTGTTTTATGTATCAACAATTTGTTCTTTTTTATTATATGAGTAGTATTCCACTATATGAGTGTGGAAATGAATATTGATGAATATTTGACCAATTTTTACTTTGGAGTATTTATGAATAAAACTATGTATCAGTTTCTACAACTTAGTTAAAGAACAAACTTAGTGGCTTAAAACAATACAAACATATTATTTTACAGTTCTGTGATTCAGAGGTCTGGTAGTCTTGCTGCACTAAAATCAGGGTATCAGAAGGCAGTGTCCCTTTCTGCAGGCTCCAGGGGAGAATCCCTTTCTGCTCATTAGGTTGGCAGAATTCCCTGTGGCTGTGGCTCTGAGATCCTTATATCTTTGCTAGCTGATTGGTGAAGGCTATTCCCAGCTCATGGTCTTCTTCTTGATCTTCAAAACCAGCAATAGCTGGTCAATTCCCTCTCATGCTTCCTCCATCTTCTTTAGTCTCATCACTCTATCCTAGCCAGATAAAGTTCTCTACTTTTAAGAACTCATGTGATTAGATTGGGCCCAGAGGAATAATTCAGGATAATCACTTATCTCAAGGTCTGTAACTTTCATCACATCTGCGAAGTCCCTTTTGCAATATAATGTATTGTATTCACAGATTCTGGGGATTAGGGCATGAACATCTTTGGAGAGCCATTTGTTGTGTGCCTATCACAACAAGCCACCATAAACATTAGCATGCAGTTTTTATGTGGGAACATGTGCTTTTATTTATCTTGGATTAATACCTAGGAGTGGGATTACTGGGTTATATGCTAAGTCTATGTTTACTTTTTTAAGAAACTGCCAAACTGTTTTCTGAAGTAGTTGTGACATTTAGTACTTGCACCAGCAATGTATGAGGATTCTTGTTGCTCTGTATCCATGCCAACACTTGATGCTATTGGTTTTTTAAAGTAACAGTTTTATTAAGATGTAATTCACATACCATAAAAGGTACTCTTTTAAAGTATAGGATTCAGTAGTTTTTAGTATGTCAGCATTTTTTATTTTAGTCTCCTCTAAAGGAGATGTAGTGGTATCTCTTTGTAGTTTTATTTTTTTATTTCATAATGATTAATAATTTTGAACCCATTTTCATGAGCTAATTTGTCATTATTTATCCTCTGGGTGAAGTGTCTTCAAATCTTTTAAAATTTTGATCAAGTCCAATTTATTAATTTTTTCATAAAACCATAAGGTTTGTGATTTTTATATCCTAAGAAATCTTTGCCTCACACAAAATGACAAAACATTCTGGATTTTGTTAAGTTTGTTTTAGGTTTTATATCCAGGCCTTTCAAGTTAAGTTTTCTATGTTGTGCAAGATATGGATCAGGTTTACTTTTTTGCATATGGATGTTCAATTGCTCCAGCATTATTTGTTGAAATGATTGCCCTTTCTCCATTGAGTTATTTTTGAATCTTTGCAAAAATCAGTAGAATATGTTCACATGTCTATTTCTGGACTCTTGTCTATTCTAATGTTCTCTCACCAATACTACACTGTCTTGAGTACCATGGCTTTATAGTGAGTCTTGAAATCAGTTAGTCTGAGTCCCTAGGGCTCTCACTTTTACATCTTTATTTTTTTCCTGAATGCCCTTCAAGCTACTACCAGTCTCTGCTCTCTCCTTGACAGCCAAGTTTCTTGAAAACGTACTGAATATTCACTGTTTTTATCTTATCTCCTTCCACAGCCTCTTATTCTGTGACAAACTGAACCCTCTATGTCTCTAATTTTTGTCTCTTTAGCTCTGCAAGACTTCCCCAAAATGTTTTGGCTTCTCTGCTGATAACAGTAACTGTCTGCCAAGGTAGCTACTCAGAGTCCCAGGATCATGTTCCTGACCTAGAAATGGCAAATGACCCAAGGCAAGAGCAACTGCAGAATGCTGGCCCACCTCTCCAGGGTTTCTCTTCTTTGGAACCCTGCCCTGAAGTCCTGCTAGCCTCAGCATCTGCATTGTGCCTTTCAGTAAATTTACAAAAACAATCTGGCCAGTCTTGGTCTTATTCAATCTATTCCATGATAACTGGAAAGCAGTCAGTCTTGACGGTGACATTGAAGAGTCTGATGGATACTTTTCTAGACCTTATATTACTATTGACTCACAGGTTGCCAGCACCTTCTTTTAATGCTCACTCTTCCTTTGATTTATATGATAAATTGGGATTTCCTTTTCCTTTATCCTTTTTCTCCTCCCACTATCTTGCTGGTCTGGAGAAAAGGTGTATCTTAAGGAGATAGAAACATGATTACCATAATAGCGACTTGGGAGGCTGAGATGAGAGGATGGCTGAGGCCAGGAGTTTGAGACCAGCCTGGGAAACATAGCATTTCTAACAAAATTTAGAAAAAATAAAACTTTACATTAAAAAAAGGAAATGTTACCATAATAATGCTTAAAGTGTGACATCAGAAGAGGCCAAGATAAACAGAGAAAGATTTGTTCACCTTGTAGATATCACTCTCAAGAATCTAAAGAACCTAAAGCTGTCACCTCTCAGCCCTCCCCACCCCTGCATCCCCTCTGGGTTGGACCATCAAGACGTGCTGCCGCTATTCAAAATGGAGTTTAGAGGAATAACCACAAATGCCAGAACTTTGTGTGACTACTTCACAGTTGAGCTCTCTAAAGGAAAGACAGGAGGGTAGAAGGGGCATATGGGTCCTGGGAAAGGGGAGGAGAGGGAGGAAAATCAGAGAAAAGTGCCTTATATGTTTTTGATAGAAGTCTCCACATTGTTAAACACAATTTCTAGGCGCCCATTAGTTTGGACTGAGCTCCTGCCCCAGGCCCAACAGACTAAATCAAAATAGAATTACTGCTGCTGAAGTTCAATGCCACCAAGCCAAAACTAAGTTGTTTATCTGACATTCTGAGGAAGAGAAAGAGAGAAAGCCAAATCCCCAAACAGGCCAGTTTTATCTGGCATGATAGGGAAGCCCGCTCTGCTTTACCCGTTACAAGGAAAAGTCACTTTGAAGTGACCAGCCTGCTTTTTGTTTTCTGCTTCCGCCTTCCTTAGCCCTTTTCTGTCTACAAAACCAACCTTCTCTGTTCAGCTCCTCTAACATTCATTCTATTTTATAGAATGAGATGTTGCCTGATTCTAGAATCACAAACAAAAGCCAATTAAGATCTCCAAATTTGTTGTAATTTTGTCTTTTGACACATAGACAGGTCCAGAGAATTCAGAAAGAGTAATGTGCTGCTGGTAACTTTCTCTGGTGTCTGCAGCTTGTTCTCCTTTCTGCATGTGCCTGTACCTGCCTTGATGCTGTGTACATGGCTTCTTTCTCCATTGATATCTCTGTGTATTACTACCCGTCTCCTTTATGTGGTCCTTTGACTCATCCTTTAAATGGTGGTTTCTTTCCTCCAAGAATGCCCCTAGATTCTTCTCTTCTCACTCCGCACCCTCTTTGTATGTAAACTCACTGACTCCATTGGCTCCTAAAACCACATATATACTGGTTACTCATAGATTTACATCCCCGGCACTGGTCAGTTTACTGGGCAGGACCAGATGCAGAATATGTTGGTATTCAGTGCAAAATAAAAATGTGTGGTTCCTTGTTCAAAAGTTATTACAAATTTCAAAGTGGTGACAGTGGAATGTTAAGCCAAGCATGGGGGGCCTTCCGAGCATAGGCCCAGTGTGACTGCACAGGTCACACATCTGTCATACCTGCTCTGCTACTGAAATGGAGACCAATATGTCATCAGTTTTTTAGACACTTCTGCTTGGCTGTCCCAAAGTGGTTGTTTGGCCTCTTTACATAGCTAATATTCCTGTTGAACAGATCACAGTTAAATTTGATTCTGAGAAGGGGTTAAGGTTTCTGTAACATATGATTTTCAATATCTGTACCTATTAAATTACTATAATTGACACTCATCTTTCCTGCAGAACAAGAAGTGATTTTACTACATGTTCTCCATTATCCAACAGTTCCAAACCTAGATATTTACTGAAGAAAAATCGAAACAATTGTGCTCAAAAGGACAAGAATGTTCATGCAATGGAATACCACTCAGCAATAAAAAGGAATGTGCTGATACATGCAGAAACAAGGGCAAATCTCAGAGAAATTATGCTGAATTTTTAAAAGCCAGACACAAAAGAGTAGCCATTTATATAGTGTTCAAGAAGAGATCAAACTTGTCTATGGTAACAGAAATCAGAACAGTAGTTGCCTCTAATGGGGGGTCAGGGGGCATAAGGGAACTTGCTGGGTCAATGGGGATGTAAACACGTGAAAACTAATCAAACTGTACACTTGTATTTGTGCATTTTATTATATATAAATTATCATTTGATTCTTTAAAAACCAAAAGTTGAGAAAATAATTAAAAATTAACTAGGGGCCAAGTGCGGTGGCTCACACCTGTAATCCCAACACTTTGGGAGGCCGAGGCAGGCAGATTACCTGAGGTCAGGAGTTTGAGACCAGCCTGGCCAACATGGTGAAACTCCGTCTCTACTACAAATACAAAAGTCAGCTGGGTGTGGTGGTGGGCACCTTTAATCCCAGCTACTAGGGAGGCTGAGGCAGGAGAATCGCTTGAACCTAGGAGACAGAGGTTGCAGTGAGCCAAAATCATGCCACTGCTCTCCAGCCTGGGTGACAGAGCAAAACTCCATCAAAAAAAAAAATTAACTAAAGAAACCTAGATGTGTTTACCAGATGGTTTAGATTTTTCCAAAAACATGTAGATGAACACAGTTCATGTACCCTTAAGTGTATGGAAGGAAGACCTCTCTTGGAAGACATCAGGTAGGAAAGCATTCAAATGACTCAGTCATAAAAAGCTGGAGGCAGAAGCAGTCAGGTGGACCACATTTCATTAAAAAGTTAGGCGGGGTTCTGTTCCAAGTGTCCAATGACATCTAGTATGTAGTCTCTGATTCAACCTTTCACATATTCCCAGTAATGTACCACCTTCCAATCCATGCCCCAAACTAGACAGATTACCAGGATCAAGGAGCTTTTTCACTAGATTTAAAGCTGTGGGTCAGAATTTAGAATAATGACTTAGTTATGCTGCCCACATCAGGGACTGGATGGAGAAGAGTGGTCATGTTGAAGGAAGAAAAGGAAACACATGCTTTCTTTCAAGGGCCAATCCTTGGGTCAAAGCCTCAGGAGCTCTAATAATAATAACTTTTTTAAAAAAGGAATTATCCTTCCATGGCTTGTTGAGTGCTCCCTACCCCAATTATATCCCTTAGAAATTCCGTTTATAAATTTCCCTCAACTGCAGCTCTCTTCCTCTACTCACCACCTAGGGAGAGTTTTCTTTGTAGTCCAGTGCACTAGCTATTGAGGATGCCATGGTACCTGTTCAGGGCAGGAACAAAGAGGAATTTTTGTCTTTGGAGGAAGGCCCGCTAGACAATGAAAATGGTGCTAGAATTAGGCAAATCACCCAACTTTCACCAGTCATGTATATTAGAAGAGATGGTCACAGTGGCTAAGCAGCTGGGAGAATTCCCCTCCAATACTCACATAATCCTTTTTTAAACACTGTATAGATGGAGCTATTTTCACTCAAACAAATTTATTTTGCTACTTTGTGTAATTTTTTAAAAATTTTAGGCAAAACCATGTATTTAATCTCCCATCTTGACCATCTTGATCTAATTCATGCTTCCTTTGAAATATTTGCTTCATTTTCGTGCAAGCTATTTTCTTGCTCGTACTGTGTTGTGATGATAACTTTACATGGTTACAAATAGGAAGGAAAGAGTTTTAGTTTAACTGGATGATGCTGTTTTGGAAGATACTTTGGAATATACTTTAATTTCTGCATATCATAATAATGCTATAGTGATATCTACTTACAGATTACCAGCTTTGTGAAATGAACTTCTATCCCAAAGCTATTCTGTTTTTTATTCCTTGTTAGCTTATTTATTTAGTTTATTTATTTATTTAGTTTATTCCTTACGGAGCTTGTTAACTCCACTATGCAAAATGCTATTTCTGAATGTGCCAGTTAGTACCTTGAATAATGGTCCAAGTCCCTCTCTTATTTCAGTGCACGTTTTTGCCTCTTGCTTTAAAGAGCCATTAAGTGGGTCTTTCTTTGGACCAAAAAGAGTTCAAGAATGACTAAGCTTCCTGTGTGTTTTCATCTATTTGGAGAGAACTATATGTCTTTATTTCATTTCTGCACAGTTGCAATTACATTAAGACACTTACCAAGCATCAGAAATCATAATGTAAAGGTCTTGATTGTTGTCTTTTTTATTGAAAGTGGCCTAGATGGGACTAGACTGCAAAACGTTAAGGAAAAGGAGGGCATAGGAAAGCTTTGGGTCTTACAAATAACAAACTAGAGGGCTCCTACATGTGCCCGGTGCTGCCCTAGGTCTTGGGATGCAGAGATGAGTGGGTCAGCTCTTTTATTTTTTTGAGACGGAGTTTCACTCTTGTTGCCCAGGCTGGAATGCAATGGCGTGATCTCGGCTTACCACAACCTCTGCCTCCCCGGTTCAAGCGATTCTGCTGCCTCAGCCTCCCGAGTAGCTGGAATTACAGGCATGTGCCACCATGTCCAGCTAATTTTGTATTTTTAGTAGAGACAGGGTTTCTCCATGTTGGTCAGGCTGATCTCGAACTCCCGACCTCAGGTGATCTGCCCACCTCGGCCTCCCAAAGTGCTGGGATTACAAGCGTGAGCCACCATGCCTGGCCCAGGGTCCCAGTTCTTAAGGAGCTTTTGGTCTTGATGTGGAGGCAGACACTTAAAATAAAAAATGTTGTTCACATACCTAAAGGCTTCAGAAGAGACATGTGTACAGAGAAGAGGAAAAGCCAACCAAGGGCCCTGAGCAGCCCTGAAGAAAGGCCACAGAAGGAAAACATCAGCTACCTCCCAGTTGCCCTTGTTACACTTACATGGGGGAAGAGTCTCCTTGCTTCTGCAAAGTTCCTGTAGTAGATGCTGTTGGTCCCCTTTATCTGGCAGGCATCACCCAGCTACTGGGAGTGTTGGACAGTTGCCCCTCTATCCGGAGACTTGCCACCTTGGCTTACTGGACACCACTTCTGAAAATGCCTGGGATATTACACACTTCCTGTCAATGACCTATAGGACACCACTTCTGGAAATGCTTGGGATATTATGCCCTTCCTGTCAATGGCCTACAGCCAATCAGTAACTGATACAGGGTACAAAAGGCTGGCCCCCTTGCCTTAGGAAGGAACAACTCTGCGATGTACTTCATGCTTCAGATTCCCCACCATGGGATTAAGGTGAGGTTAGACTTCAGCTGAACTCACATGTCTGCCCAGCTTCTTTCCTTGTCCTGCCTGCTTTCCTCACTCTCACAGAAATTAATCTCTCCCTTAATCACTTGCATGACAACCCACCTGGGCTCTGCTTTTTGAGAATCTACGTAATCCAGTCTCCTATGTTTACTCTTAGCTTGTTGGTGTGTTTGGGCCTGAAAAAAAGATCATAGAGCCAGAGAAGATGAAAGGGAGAAAGCAGAACAGGGAAATAATCTTAACCTAGGATATCCCAGCTCCATAACCCTCTTCTAAATGAAATGACCACTGATATGGTTTGGCTGTGTCCTCACCCAAATCGCAACTTGAATTGTATCTCCCAGAATTCCCCCATGTTGCGGGAGGGACCCAGGGGGAGGTAATTGAATCATGGGGCTGGTCTTTTTTGTGCTATTCAAGTGATAGTGAATAAGTCTCACGAGATCTGATGGGTTTATCAGGGGGGTTCTGCTTTTGCCTCTCTCTCATTTTTCTCTTGCCGCCACCATGTAAGAAGTTCCTTTCACCTCTCGCCATGATTCTGAGACCTCCCCAGCCATGTGGAACTGCAAGTCCAATTAAACCTTTTTCTTCCCAGTCTCAGGTATATCTTTATCAGCAGCATGAAAATGAACTAATACAACCACTATTATAAGGAGAGAGCCACATGAAGAGAGGATATGGGAGGAGGAGTGCATAAACAGGTCAGCCTCCTCCAAGAATCTTGGAGGAAGTCAAATGAAAATTTGATTAAAGTTGAAAGTACAATCACTTGGGTGCTTGAGCTCTCAAAATTCATCTCCATGGCAATAAAAAAATGCTGTAGAAAACAATTTGTAATTGATTTGCTTATGGTATCCTTTGGCTTTCATTCTTTTTCAAAAAATTTAATTTATTTTTTAATTGACAAAAGTTATATATATTTACAATGCCCTTCGGCTTTAACTTCTGACTTTTACACAAGACTTAAATCAACATGAAAGGCCATCCCTGAATTCCACATAGGCCAAAGCCCCCTTCATTGCACCACCTGAGGTCTCCCCCAGGGATCTTCTGGAACAAGAATTGTGCTTTCTAAGGACCATCCTAGTTACATAGGCAGGCAATACAAACAGCTGAGTCCATTCCAGAAGAGCTTTTCCTCTCAGAGCACAGGCCCTGGAGGAAGGTTCTTTGAGTTGTCTTGGATGAAATATTTTAGTATGCATCAGCAGACCTTCTTTAAGAAGATTGGAGCAATTAATGTTATCTTGATTAATGAAGCTAAATTAGCTTTGTAATCTCTAGTGCACCTTTCATCTTGCCACTAGGCAAGAATTTGGAACTGACTTAATGTAGCCCACCAGGCAGACTTTCACACAGTGCTGGAAACCTGCTGTAGTTGCTTTTCAGTGAAGTATTTGGCAAACAAAGTCAGGCCTGATCAACTTGTGTACAAGATGAAGCAAATAGAGCAAGGCTTAAAAAGCATGGATCATAGACCTGAGTGCAAGTTCTGGCTTGGTCATCACAAAGCCTTATATATAAAATGGTAATCACTATATAACACCATCCTTAAAGTTGTTTTAAATCAATGGTTCACAAACTGAGGTCCCTGAGACAAGCAGCATCAGTGTTACTTGGTGATATGGTTTGGCTCTGTGTCCCCACATAAATCTCATCTCGAATTGTAATCCCCATGGATCAAGGGAGAGACCTGGTGGGAGGGGATTGGACCACGCAAGCTGTTTCCCTCATGTTGTTCTCATGATAGTGAGGAAGTTCTCACTAGATCTGATGGCTTAAAACTGGCAGTTCTCTTTCTCTCTCTCTCTCTCTCTTCTGCCACCTTGTGAAGAAGGTGCTTGCTTCTCCTTTGCCTTCTGTCATGATTGCAAGTTTCCTGGGGCTTCCCTAGCCATACATAACTGTGAGTCAATTAAACCTTTTTTGTTTATAAATTACCCAGTCTCAGGTAGTTCTTTGTAACAGTGTGAAAATGGACTAATACCCTTGAGGACTTGTTAGAAATGCAAAATTGTGGTCCCCACTCCGGATCTACAGAATCATAAATTCTGAAAGTGAAGCCCAGAAATCCAAGCCCAGAAACACTCCAGGGCATTCTATGCAAGCTAAATTGTTCTAAGCAATTGTTCTTAATCCTGGCTGTTCATTACAATCAACTGGGGAGATTTTAAAATATCTTGATATTGTTGTATTCCAACTCTGCTCTAATATAATTGATCCAGGGTGGGGCAAGCTGGAGAACTGTTAAACATAACAGGCCAAGCTTATGTTTAAAAGCTCCTCAAGTAATTCTAATGTGCTACCAGGATTGAGAACTGTTATTCTGAAGATTAAGTGGCATGCATAGTGTGTATATAGTAATTTCCCAAGTGTAATTTATTATTTACTTATCATTAATTATGTTGACGAATAGGTGATCAGTGTCCCTTGTTTAGCTGCATTTATTGGGTTCTCCTCACCTCTATAGGAAGCTGCACCCCACCCAGATGCCTGCTGAGTATTAAATTTGAGTTGCAAAGTAGAACAAAAGTATTGGTTTCGGAATAAGTAAGACCTGAATTTGAATTTGAGCTTTGCCACTGACAAGATAAGTCACCTTAGGAAATATTAACCTCTTAGGGAAGTCACCTAACTTCTCTAGGCTTCAGGGATGTCTTCTCTAAATTAAGATAAAACCGATTCACAGGCCTGGGCAGCCAAAAGCACTCAAACCCATCCCTCCATTTTTTTCTCACTTTTTCTCCTCTTTTTCTTTTCCCCTACCTCCAACCCTTGTCTTCCTTGGTATCTATGACAAATGACCCTCTAATTCCCTTCCCCACAATGTGACTTGGCTATTTGGTAGAAGGAATGGAGAGATGATAAGAATATCATTGTACATTCCTCTCTGGCAGTCAGTGCCTTTTGCTGTGTAGGGCCTTTCATGTTAGGGAGATGAGATGGGCCAGGGCAGGGCTCAGGGGACTTGGTACTCCAACTCTGAGTCCTGAAGCCTGGCTCTGGGGAAGACTTTCATGAAGGAGGACCTAGGGTCTTGAACTTTCTTTGGTGCCCAGCCTTGCTCCCTGGCATAGGGACATCTTTAGGGATCCAGGAAAAAGATGAAGAACAGAATGCACCTGCAACTGGAGGGACATTTTTAGGGATCCAGGAAAAAGATGAAGAACAGAATGCACCTGCAACTGGAGGGCCATTTTTCTAAGATGTTCACTTATGTCCAAATACAAATTTGTACTTGTGGTATCAGTTTGCCTAATAGGCTAAAATTCATACCCAAAGGGCACAGCCAATCAAATTTCACCTTGTGAAGTCTCCGGTAACAACCTCCAACCTCTTCCCTCTCTGGTCCAATGGTACATGTTTGATCAAGAGAAGGGGAATTAGGAATGACCATCAAGCATGAAGGCGATGCAAAGCCAGGAAGAATAGGAAATAAACAAACTGAGCAAATAAATACAATATACCTCACATTGCTCTAAATTACCCAGAAGAATATGAATGGGAAATATTCTAGTCTGCGGGATTTAAGATTCAAAGACTCATCAACCACTTTCTGAGAGACTAGGGACAAAACACAGGGCACAGATTTTTTAAATTTTTTCCAGGCTTTTCTTTTTCTAAGATCTGGTTTCTGTTTGAGCATTGAGCCATATGCACAAAACCTGGAGTTGCAGAGAGTACCAGATGCTGTTAGTGCCTCTCTAAATATTCCCTAGGGCCTCACCATTTTAATGCAGGCTAGTCAACCTTCAGCTGCCAGCATCTGCATCTCTGGAAGCTGAGGTCTTCTGCCTGTGTGTGGAGCAGGTTAGAAGCATATGGCAAGAATTCATATAGCATCCTTCCTTCCCAAGGAAGGATTGACCCCAGGTGGGATAATGCAGTGCCTTCTACACTAGTCTGAGAGTGCCCCAGTGGGATTGAGCTCCAGTTACCCACAGCAGTCACTTACTTAATAACAAACGCTTCATTGCCTGCCTGCCCTGTCCTGCCTCACTTCCCCACTTCTATCTCAGTGTGTCTTCCAACATCTCTTAAGTGGAAAACTTGCTTCTATTCAAGTTCTCTGGGTTTGTTTCTGGAGAATCTGATCTAAGACACAGGGAAACCCAAGGTTGCCATGTGATTACCCACCTTCACTTGGGGCTTGGTGGGTCCTGCTCTGCTGAACTTACCACCGTAGCTTAAGTCCTAAGCCTGGGGCTACTCATGGGAAAGCTTTACTTTTTCAGCCTTAGAAAGTGTTCATTTTCTTCTTGTCCACAGTCCTCTAGTGCAGGCAAAACAAATTGAGCTCTTGAAGCAGGCATGCCCTTATAGTAGAGATAAATGGATTAGCACCTATTGAATTAGGAAGGAAGTTGACTGTTTGCCCTGCCTCTCAGCCTCAGTTCTGAGTGATGATTCATGTCCCAAGTGTCTTCCCTTGGGATGGCTATGAAAAAAAAAATTATCTTAGATAGCAGTGGCTTCTGAAATTCTGGTTCTGGGGAAGCTAAGAAGACACAGAGTGATGTTACCAAAGTTCAGTCACTCTGTGACAATGAATGTGTTAGAATAAAGGATGGAATTTATTATAAAAATTGCATATTACCCAATTATAGGGGTTGCTGGGAAAATAAAATTCTGAAAGAAGTAAAGAAAAAGAGCCATGGGGTCAGAGAATAAGTCCTAACCAGACCTCCTAAGGCACTATTCAGTAGACAAGTCAGAGCTTGCAGGGAAACTTGATAAGCATGTCCAGTTACTAAAGTAGAACTATCATGGAGAGAAAGTTGTTGCCTCTGTGAGTCTACCACCTCTGTGCTTCCACAGTCAAGTTGGTGAGCTGGGCTTGCAGCTGGTCAGCAGGACCAGCTGTTGGGAAGAACTGGACAAGGAGAGAAGGAGAATGAGGACAAGCCAGAGCTGGCTGCATACCTCTGCATCTGCCCATCTCTCTATCAGATCCCAAAGTCCCTTGGGGAATAATGGCCGTTGCTCTATTTCTGTCTCCAAAATTTTGTTCCGATTTCTCTTTTGATCAGCCCTATCTGGAGCCACTCAGGGACAGCGATTCTGGGCAACCTAGTTCCAGCTCAGTGAAGTTGACAATAGAATGACTCAGCACAGTCAGATATCAGGTAGAATTTATCATGCCAAATGACCTACCCCAGACTTTGACCAAAATTCAGCTGACTTTGTTTTAGTTTTTGCTTGTTTGTTTTTAAACATTCTCTCCTGTCTTCAAACACAGAGGGGGTACTTATTACTGATTTCTGTACCCCAGGAGCTATGTGCGTCAATGATGAATTTACTAGAGCAGGGATTCTCAACTGGGGGGATTTTGCCCATAAGGGGATATTTGGCAATGTCTGGAGATATTTTTTATTGTCATGATTGGGAGAGGGTAGAGGCCAGGGATGCTGCTAAACATTCTACGTTGCATAGGAAAGTCCCTCAGAACAAAGACATAATCTGGCCCAAAATGTCAATAGCACCATTGTTAAGAATCCTGCACTAGAAGTAGAAGCCTTCCACTAATTTACTCAATTCTTTTATTTTGTTTCATCAAGTGCATTTAGAAACACTAACAGAGAATAAGAAGCATCTATTAATAACCATAGGTTTTTATCTACTTCCTTTACCAAAAGGAAAAGGAAGATTCTAAACTTTTGCAATGATTTCAAGGCCCTTGTTTTTTTCTGAACAGGATATAATGACATCCTTCCTTTTTTTTTTCTTTTTTTAAAAAATTGTTTTCATTTTTTATAGAGACAGAGTCTTACAATGTTGCCCAAGCTAGTCACAGGATCATGCTTTAATGCATCTCTTCTAAGATGTAGAGCTTCCTCTAGTACCCCAGAACAAATCAGGTCCCCATTAGTCACTCTCATAGTACCCGGAATTTTTTCTTTACATCATTTGTCACAATGACAACAAAACACTTACTAGTAAAATCATTTGTATGCTGCCTGCCCAATCCACTAGAATGTAAACATTATCTCACATAGTCTGCACAACCATCTTATGAGGAACATATTTAATTTTATAGATGAGAAAACTGAGACTTAGAAAGGTTGAATGCTTCATCTAAAATCACCCAGATAACATGTAGAGAAATCCAATATCTGCTGCAGTAAAGAGTCATGAGGACAGGAAATACATTACTATCACAAAAAACAGAGATGAAATGTCTGCTTTTTGAGTGTTTTCCCTTAAGTATTAAAATGATAGCTCTGCTGAAATCTCTTCTGCCTGCAGGTCTGTAGATAGAAGCAGCCCCTGTTCCCAGAATCATCAACCCGCATATCTAAAGTCCTTCTGTAAATAGCTGTTAGTAAGAAAAATGCAAATGAGAATGTCTAATTGCAAATTGCTCCAGCCCCACTTTTGAGACGTCCTGTGGTGACTGAACCACACCTTCCTCCTAAGCAGACAGAAGTGGTGGCTCCTGTATTCTGGAGCTTGACTACGACCTTGGCAGGAAACCAGGCCTATTGCAGAATGACGTTGCTGGGCCCACTTCAGGACACAGAAGACTGTGGTCCTTGCTGGAATCTACCCATGGAGGGCACAGTTGTGAATGAGAGCCCTCTGTGTCTGCTGAGAGTACAGGACCTAGGGCCTTGGCTTCATCTTTAGAGTTGTTTCCATTTTAAAGGGTAGTCAGTGAAAATAAAATAAAACAAGTATAAAGACAAACATGTTTACACACACACACTCATATATACATGAGGATGTATGACTATACATGGTATGTATGTGGCTAGAAAAGTCAAGCCCTCTAAAACTAAAAGTATACTATCTGGAATATATCAACCTTTCTTTCAAATTTCAACATTACAATTCTACAATGCCTGATGTCTTGGTATTCATGTAGGACTTCCCTATATTAGGTAAAACCAAATGAAATTGATGTTACTATAGGTAAAAAGAAATATGAATAATGTGGTTCAACCTAATACAGACCAGAAAGTGGCAGGGTCAGGTCAGAGGCAGGAATCCCTTCTCCAGGAGGCCCAGCAAGTGAGGGGCCCAAGCTTACAGGAAAAGGGGGCTGGCATATCATAGAGATAGGATATCAAAAGAGGCCTAAGGGGGCCAAGACAGTGGCTCATGCCTGTAATCCCAGCACTTTGGGAGGCCGAGGCAGGCGGATCACCTGAGGTCAGGAGATCGAGACCAGCCCGACCAACGTGGTGAAACCCTGTCTCTACTAAAAATACAAAAATTAGCCAGGTGTGGTGGCTGGCTTCTGTATTCCCAACTACTTGGGAGGCTGAGGCAGGAGAATCCCTTGAACCCAGGAGGCAGAGGTTGTAGTGAGCTGAGATCACGCCATTGCACTCCAGCCTGGGCAACAGAGCCAGACTCCATCCCCCCAAAAAAAAGAGATGCCTAAAGGGGCAGGATCCCAAAACTATAATGATGGCAAAAAAATGTAAACTAAAATGTTATCTTGTCAAAAGGGAATGGCTGAGAACATGGCAAGCAGCAAGTGTTAGGAGATGTGTTGTTTCTAAGCTCCTGACTGAAGCAACTCATCCAGAGCCTGGTTTGAGATTCATTAAACTACAGCTGAAAAAAGCATTCACCCTGAGAGGAGGAGGCTCAAACAAAGACACTACCTGCAGGATGGAGGATCAGAGAAAAGTGGTCTCCAAAGGGCTGGGCTGGCCCTGGAGCTCTGTGGGGTACCAAAGGAGGTACAGGAGGGAGTACCTCCAACTCCTATGAGCAGGCAGGAGAGACATCAGCTGAGGACTGGGGAGGGAGGGCAGCTACCAGGAAAGGTGGGCCACAGGTTGAATGCTTCAAGGAGGAAGGTGTTGGTGTGTGGATGAAGAGGGTCCAATGAGAGAAGAGTGTAGAGTGACTTCTGGACTCAGAAGTTTCCAGAAGAGCCAGGACCAACTCCTCTTCCATGGCTACCACAGAAATAGGAGAAGACAATCAGGAAACCTGGTCACTTATTTCAGACTTGCTCTCAACGAGCTGTGCTCCCTGGCAGAAGTTCTCTGAGCCTCAGTTTCTTCATCTATGAACAGTGGAAGCATGGTTCAGCTTTTGGGTCAAGGTCACCTGGCAGAGGACCAATTGCTTGTCAGAGAGTGGTTTGCTGGGGAACAAAAAGTGACATTCCAGAGCATTTTCATTTATCCAACGTAAGGGTAGAATTTCTGGGGGTGATTCCAGGAAACTGAGCCATGACACTCAGGTATATTATAAACAAAGTAGATGTCTTAGCTTACTAATTTTTCAATCTGACTGCTGTCACATTTGCTGGGAATTATTTACTTCATTACTGGCTATTACAGGCTGAGTCATGAGGACAGAAAATATATTACTACCACAGAAAACAGGGCCGACACCCAGGCATATTTTAATCTAAGTAGATGCCTTAGCTTTCTAATTTTTGGATGTGACTACCATCACATTTGCTGGGAATTCCCTTGTTCATTGCTGGCTATTAAGAAACATGGGTCAGTGATTTAAAAGAGATGTTTAGGACTCTTTCTCTTTTAAAGACATCTGCATGTCCATAAACAAAAATAGAAGCCCCTTTTCAAAAGATCAGGAGATCAGGAGACGAGGTGCCCTAAACAGCAGTCCTCTTCCCCTGGAAAAGGCTGCAGCAGCCCTCAATTTGGGATTCAGAGTGGTTTTCACAATGGCACCCTGCTGTAGTTGGTGCCAAAAGTAGATGTTTTAGGAGGCATTTCTGCAACCCAGAATCTGTGTGTACAAAAAAGTTAAGGCCTAAGTGATATACAGGAAAGCCTTATGTATACAAGAAACAAACAAACAAAACCTCTTCATTTAGGAATTAAAGTGATCATAATTTTCAAAATATTTCAATGTTGGCATATAGTTATATATGCTCAGAGTTTTACAATTTACATAAGTATAAATTTAATGCAGAAAGCTTGGGGAAAACACCAAGGAAAATGTAGCTCCCGGCCCCACCATCCAAAATTAACCATTAAAGTTTGTTATCTAAACTTCTAGTTGTTCATTTCCTTTTCAAATATTTATTGAGTGACTAATTATTGGCTGCACATGCCAGGCATGTGCACTAAGGAGGAGGAAATGATACTCTAGGTTCCATTTCTCTTTTGTTCTGCCCATTCCACTCTATTCTTTCCTGCAGGTGTTTGTCATGGAATAGGAGGCAAGCTGGCCTTGTGAAAAGAGATGGGCATTGGCTCAGTCCAGCCTTCCATATTTGTTGCAGGGATAATGATGAATAAATGTAAATAATCTGGCACTGAACCTCACATTTGGCAGGTGCTCAATCAACAGTAGCTATTGTTAATTTTTACTATTGTTATTTTTATGTAAGAATTCTTATTATCAATTGCAGCTAATTTTAGTTCTGCTTCTGCAATGGTTCCAGATGCATTTTTAAGTATTGAATCTCTAACCTTGGACTTCCCAAGGAGCATTGTGTGCTCCAATGCAGTCTCCATAATTCTTGCTGCCAGTTGTCCCCCCTCCCCCCAAGAAATTACTTTTCTTACCCTTTCCAGGGTTTTTCAGCTTTTAGATTCTATGTCTCCTGCTCAGCCCATTGCCTTGCCTTCTACCCATTGTGGAGGTGGACATTGATGTAAATGTTACACTTCATTCCTTTGGGGAGAAGAATGATCAAAGGTGGGCCATTTGGCTAAGCTATAAAGGATGGCCCCTGGGGAAGAAACAGCCATTTTGCTATTTTCTGTATCCTCCTTCTCAGCCTTCTCCTCTTTTAACAACTCAGTACTTAGATCGTATATTAGTCATTGGCCATGAGCTACTTCTGAGGAGAAGACGTAACTTTCAGCCATTTCCAGAGTGAAGTTGCCTTGGCCAAAAGAAATTCTTCTCAGTGGACAGGAACATCTGGGAGCCATTAGCAGCCAATACTCACATCGCATTGGAATGAACCCAATGGCTCCATGAAGGGTATCTAGAATAGGCAACCCAAACATTTATATTACTAGCCTAATATATGGTATTCTTTATCCCAAGAATGAACACAAAAAATAACTCTCAATATTCCTAAATGTCACTTGTTGGAAGAAATATAACTCAATGGTTAGGCAACAGGATCTTCTCCATGGAAAGAGGGATGACCCAGGGACCTGGGTATGGGCAGAATTGTGCTACATTAAAAAGTGGATAAACTGAATGTTACTCTAGGAAATAAGAGGATAAAGAAAACACTGCTGATTTTTATTAAACATTGCCAGGTACCACAATCTCCTTTTCCAATATTTCAAAAATTATTTAAAACATTTGACAAGCACAATTTAAATAACAGAGAATGAGATGGAGCAGGGACCTCCCCCCCGCAGGGACCTCTGGGCCCTCCAATCATAGAAGAAAGGAAAATCTTTAGTTCCTTCAAGGAAAATTCCAGGCACCCAGCGATCCCTGAGAAATAAATGAGCAACTTAATAAGAAAAAGGTAATAATAGTTTAAAACAATAGCTGAGGAGTTTAGATTCACAAGATGGTAGATTCCCTATAGAAACAAAAGAAAACATTTCAACATATACTGCTGAGTTGTTTTCAGAAACCCAGATCCCCACCAAATGGATCCACTGGCACACAGACCTCAGATAAGGGGCAACTGAGGACTGAACTCTGACCATTTTTTGTTCTAAATTTCTTCATGGAGGAAGTCATACCCATGGGCCAGAGCTAACATTCCTTTCTGCTGACCCCTAATTTTTAGACAAAGCTTCACCTCCGTAACCAATTACGAAGCAGAAAATCTTTGAATCCTCCCATGACCTATGTGCCCTGCTTCAAGATGTCCTGCCATTTTAGGTCAAACCAATGTATAATCTCCATGTATTGATTTCTGACTTTGCCTGTAATCCCTGCCTCCCTGCCTTTAAAAACCCTTATCTGTAAGCCATTGGAGAAGTTGGGTCTTAAAGCTGAGCCGCCTGATTCTCCTTACTTGATACCTTGCAAATAAACATCCATCTTTCTCCTGCTGCAAACCTCAGTATGGATGTTTGCCTTACTGTGTCAGGCAAGTGGACCCCAGTTCAGTTTGCTAACAGAAATATTACATTATACATATATTGAACATTAGGCATGGAGTTTGAAAATAGCCACTGGAAACTTCTAGGTGGCATAAGCTTGTAAAACACACTCGCTTCACCACATGAGACCTCATTCAGTCCCTGACCTGCTCGTGGGCATGGAATTCCACTATACCATTCACTTTGATCCTCCCTGTGAAAGATGTCTTTTTGCTAGTATCTTTTCTCCTTATGTCTATTTCACTCTTAGCCATGGTTGCTGATTTTCCCAAATATGGTTCCTGATGTCACGCAAACTTCATATTGGTTTTCTTCCACTTGTGGTCCAATGCCAACAACCTCTTCCCATTTCTCAAGAAGGCTGGAGAGTGACTTAATCTATTTATCTGCCTTTGCCCTTTATTGGTCAGGGGGATGCCTTGGAATCCAGAAATATTCATCATGCCACTGGTTTCTTAGAAGAAGAGAAAAAAACTCTTCCATACATTTTAGCTGGAGTAGTCTGATTCTGAGATTTCCTGGAGTCATTCTAATTTCAAATTCTGAACCATTCCCCAATACACAAATTATTTATTAAATCATGTGTCTTCACATTAAAGTTATAATGCTGTCACTGTAGTTTGGGCTGATCTTAAATAGATCCCATTTAATTATTGGATTCTGAGTCTATTAGATATTGCTGTCAAATAGACATATGTAGGTATCTTAGGACATCAAAGTAGTATTTACTGCTCCTGGCAACCAATTAATTCAACAAACCATTAGGCTAAGAGCAAAATGGTCAACATTATTAATTTTCTTGTCATTGTCACAGTGTAGCTAGACATAGTAGTTATCTAGCAACTAAAAAATGGAAGCTGCCGATGTAAGGCTGAGCCACCAGTGCAATGGCAGACTGGAAATTTCAACTCTACTACCCCAAATTTGAGATGCTATTTCAAATGACAAACAATTAGAAGATAACTAATAGACACAAATATATAATCCTATATTTCATAGCTGAGTAGAAAGTATCACAAATTTCTTGGATTTCTTAAGCTAATTGTTACAACTGAGCCAAGCATACAGTAAGAGAACACTAAAAAAAAAATCAAATTATTAACTGCTTCTCACTACACAAGCATTTTATGAGAAAATATGTGGGGAAAGTACAAAAAGGTAAAAGAATTTATTGGAAGTTGTTGGAAAGCTATTTTTACCCTTCGCTATCTGATCATATGTGGTCACGACCCATGGTGGTAATGCTGGATGGGACAGGTGGTATAGCTGCTGGAGTCTCTAACACTCCAATCCGTCTTGGCATTCAAAACCTAGGCCTTATCCTTTTAGCCTGCAATAACTTTATTAGCATTCTAGTAAGCATTTTAATAGGTATGCTATGCTGTTAAAAGATAAATAGAGTCACATTTTGAGGAGGCTTAAAACTGAGGCATTCATTTTGGATCACATCTTAGAATAATAAAAGATAGTGATAGTCAATTCAATATTTACTCAGTAAATATTTATTAAGTACTCTCAATATAGTAGTTATTGTTTATGCACTGGAGACTCAATGGTGTATAAAGCAGACATTGCTTTATACTTGCCTGTGAAGAAAGAAAAATACTTTTATCTGAGGAATGGAAAGCCTTTAAAATTATCAGACTTAGACAGGCATTCAAATGAGGCAGCAATCATGTCCTACTCCTCCCTTTGAGCTATGCATTCATCTATTGAATCTGCTTGCTATTGCCACAAATGCCTAGAAATTAACCTAATAATGCTGTACCTGATACATAGCCTACACCCTGTAAAACGATGTATAGCCAATCACTAATCAGTGTTATTTATTTAAACCACTGAGAATTCCTGACAAATCACTTTATTTTAGCCCACTCCTTGACCCCCCCCCTTTTTTTTGCCATTAAAAGCCTGCTTGTAACAAAAACCAAAGGGAGCTCATATCCAAGGTTACTTGGGTTTGAGTCTTCTGGGAAGCTGTTCTCACTTTGACTCAAGTAAACTCTTTTTTTTTTTTTTTTTGAGATGGAGTTTTGCTCTTGTTGCTCAGGCTGGAGTGCAATGGTGCAATCTCGGCTCACTGCAACCTCCACCTCCCAGGTTCAAGTGATTCTCCTGCCTCAGCCTCCCAAGTAGCTAGGATTACAGGCACGTGCCTCTGCACCTGGCTAATTTTGTATTTTTAGCAGAGACAGGGTTTCACCATGATGGCCAGGCTGATCTCAAACACCTGACCTCAGGGCACCTGCCTCAGCCTCTCAAAGTACTGGGATTACAGGCATGAGTCACCACACCCAGCCAAGTAAACTCTTTAAATTACATTTTGTGCCTCAGCCTCTTCCTTTTAGGCTGACATCTGAATGGAGTTCATAATCTAGTGGGGGAGAAGAAGCCAAGTAAAGGAAAACAAATGGGCCATGCCCAGTGGCTCACACCTGTAATCCCAGTAATTTGGGAGGCTGATAATGAGGTCAGGAGGCTGTAGGGGGAAAATACAAAGAAAAGAATTTTATGAAGAAAAATGTTTGGGACTAATCAATACCCTCTGCTGTCTCATAACAGAAAAGGAAGTCTGAAGAGCACTGTTCAAATTTTCAGCAGAAAGATTTTTATTTGTTACAAACTGAGATTCACTCATCTCATTACAATATCAAAAGATGTTTGAAGGCCCTTGGGTTACTCCCCAGCCCTCTCTCATTGATTTCTTCTAAGATGAAGATCTCTGTAATGCACTGATGACAACAACATAAATGTTATTGCTGAAATGGATATCTCCTTCCTACTTCTCCCATCCCCCATTCATGACAGAGGGCTCATGGAGCTTGATGTGAAAAGATCATTGTCCCAATCTTTCTAGCCTTATTCCTTAGAACACTTAAGTAGCCACTAGCTCATTTTTAGCCATCTAAATATTGGCCTGATGTTAGGGTCTTTCTGTTCTGAGAAATACTTTGACCTGGACTGCTAATTATTACTGGGATAAGAAAAGGAAAGGCAATCTTTGTTATAATAATGGCAGAAAACTTAGCAAAATTGGAAAGCAATAAATTGGGTATTGAGCAGAAAATATTTCCAAGCCAAGTGTTGAAGGTGTGGCCTGTTTTAATTTTGCTGCTTATAGTAAATAAAACCCCATCTGAAGGTCACCAACATCAAAGACAAAAGGTAGATAAATCCACGAAGATGAAGAAAAACATGTGCAAAGCCTCAAAATTCCAAAAACCAGAATGCCTCTTCTCCTCTAAAGGATCACAATTCCATGCCAGCAAGGGAACAAAATTGGATGGAGAATGAGTTGATGAATTGACAGAAGTAGGCTTCAGAAGGTGGGTAATAACAAACTCCTCTGAGCTAAAGGAGCGTGTTCTAACCCAATACAAGGAAGCTAAGAACCTTGAAAAAGATTAGACAAATTGCTAACTAGAATAACCAGTTTAACGAAGAACACAAATGACCTGGTGGAGCTGAAAAACACAGCACGAGAACCTCGTGAAGCATACACAACTATAAATAGCCGAATTGATCAAGCAGAAGAAAGGATATCAGAGATCGAAGAGCAACTTAATGAAATAAAGCATGAAAAGAAGATTAGAGAAAAAAGGAATGAAAAGGAATGAACAAAGCCTCCAAGAAATATAGGATTATGTGAAAAGACCAAACTTACATTTGATTGGTGTACCTGAAAGTGATGGGGAGAATGGAACCAAGTTGGAAAACACACTTGAGGATATTATCCAGGAGAACTTCCCCAACATAGCAAGACAGGCCAACATTCAAATCCAGGAAATACAGAGAACAACACAAAGATACTCCTTGAGAAGAGCAACCCCAAGACACGTCACCAAGGTTGAAATGAAGAAAAAAATGTTAAGGGCAGCCAGAGAGAAAGGTCAGGTTACCCACAAAGGGAAGCCCATCAGACTAACAGCAGATCTCTCTGCAGAAACCCTACAAGCCACAAGAGAGTGGGGCCAATATTCAACATTCTTAAAAAAAGAATTTTCAACCCAAATTTCATATCCAGCCAAACTAAGCTTCACAGGTGAAGGAGAAATAAAATCCTTTACAGAAAAGCAAATGCTGAGGGATTTTTGTCACCACCTGGCCTGCCTTACAAGAGCTCCTGAAGGAAGCACTAAATATGGAAAGGAAAAACCAGTACTAGCCACTGCAAAAGCATATCAAAATGTAAAGACCATCGACACTATGAAAAAACTGCATCAACTAACGGGCAAAATAACCAGCTAGCATCATGAAGACAGGATCAAATTCACACATTAACAATATTAACTTTAAATGTAAATGGGCTAAATGCCCCAATTAAAAGACACAGACTGTCAAATAAGATACAGAGTCAAGACCAATCGGTGTGCTGTATTCAGGAGACCCATCTCATGTGCAAAGACACACATAGGCTCAAAATAAAGGATGGAGAAAGATTTTCCAAGCAAATGGAAAGAAAACAAACAAACAAACAAAAAGCAGGGGTTGCAATCCTAGTCTCTGATAAAACAGACTTTAAACCAACAAAGATCAAAAAAGAAAAAAGAAAGGCATTACATAATGGTAAAGGGATCAATACAATAAGAAGAGCTAACTATCCTAAATATATGTGCACCCAATACAGGATCACCCAGATTCATAAAGCAAGTTCTTAGAGACCTACAAAAAGACTTAGACTCTCACACAATATTAGTGGGAGACTTTAACACCCCACTGTCAATATTAGACAGATCAATGAGACAGAAAATTAACAAAGATAGTCGGGACTTTAACTCAGCTCTGGACCAAGCAGACCTAATTGACATCTACAGAACTTTTCACCCCAAATCAACAAAATATACATACTTCTCAGCACCAAATCGCACTTATTCTAAAACTGACCACATAATTGGAAGTAAAACACTCCTCAGCAAATGCAAAGGAATGGAAATCAAAGCAAACAGTCTCTCAGACCACAGTGCAATCAAATTAGGACTTAGGATTAAGAAACTCACTCAAAACCACACAACTATATGGAAACTGCACAACCTGCTCCTGAATGACTACTGGGTAAATAACGAAACTGAGGCAGAAATAAAAAGTTCTTTACAACCAATGAGAACAAAGACACAACGTACAGAATCTCTGGGACACAGCTAAAGCAGTGTTTAGAGGGAAATTTATAGCACTAAATGCCGACAGGAGAAAGCGGGAAAGATGAAAATCGACACCCTAACGTTACAATGAAAAGAACTAGAGAAGCAAGACCAAACAAATTCAAAAGCTAGCAGAAGACAAAAATAACTGAGGTCAGAGGTGAACTGAAGGAGATGTAGACATGAAAAACCCTTCAAAAAATCAATTGATCCAGGAGCTGGTTTTTTCAAAAGATTAACAAAATCGATAGACTGCTAGCCAGACTATTAAAGAAGAGAGAAGAAACAAATAGACACCATAAAAAATGATAAAGGGGAGATCACCACTGATCCCACAGAAGTACAAACTACCATCAGAGAATACTATAAACACCGCTACACAAATAAACTAGAAAATCTAGAAGAAATGGATATATTCCTGGATGCATACACCCTCCCAAGACTAAACCAGGAAGAAGTCAAATCCCTGAATACACCAATAACAAGTTCTAAAATTGAGGCAGTAATTAATAGCATATCAACAACAACAAAAAAAAAAACCCAGGACGAGATGAATTCACAGCCGAATTCTACCAGAGGTACAAAGAGGAGCTGGTACCATTCCTTCTGAAATATTCCAAACAATAGAAGAAGAGGGACTCCTACCCAGCTCATTTTATGAGGCCAGCATCATCCTGATATCAAAATCTGGCAGAGACACAACAAAAAAAGAAAATTTCAGGCCAATATCCCTGAAGAACATCAATGCAAAAGTCCTCAGTAAAGTACTGGCAAACCAAATCCGGCAGCGCATTATAAAGCTTATCAACCATGATCAAGTTGGCTTCATCACTGGGATGCAAGGCTGGTTCAAAATATGCCAGTCAATAAACATAATTCATCACATAAACAGAACCAGTGACAAAAACCACATGATTATCTCAATAGATGCAGAAGAGCCTTCGATAAAATTCAACACCCCTTCATGCTAAAAACACTCAATAAACTATGTATTGATGGAATATATCTCAAAATAATAAGAGCTATTTATGACAAACCCACAGCAAATATCATACTGAATGGGCATTAAGCTGGAAGCATTCCCTTTGAAAACTGGCACAAGACAAGGATGTCCTCTCTCACCACTCCCACTCAACATAGTATTGGAAGTTCTGGCCAGAGCAATCAAGCAAGAGAAAGAAATAAAGCATATTCAAATAGGAAAAGAGGAAGTCAAATTATCTCTGTTTGCAGATGACATGATTGTGTATTTAGGAAACCCCATTGTCTCAGGACAAAAACTCCTTAAGCTGATAAGCAACTTCAGCAAAGTCTCGGGATACAAAATCAATGTACAAAAATCACAAGCATTCCTATACACCAATAACAGATAAACAGAGAGCCAAATCATGAGTGAACTTCCATTCACAATTGCTACAAAGAGAATAAAATACCTAGGAATACAACTTACAAGGGATGTGAAGGACCTTTTCAAGTAGAACTACAAACCACTGCTCAAGGAAATAAGAGAGGGCACAACCCACTGGAAAAGCATTCCATGCTCATGGATAGGAAGAATCAATGTTGTGAAAATGGTCATACTCCCCAAAGTAATTTATAGATTCAATACTATTCCCGTAAAGCTACCATTGACTTTCTTCACAGAATTAGAAGAAATGACTTTAAATTTCACATGAAACCAAAAAGAGCCCGTATAGCCAAGACAATCCTAAATAAAAAGAACAAAGCTGGAGGCATCACACTACCTGACTTCAAACTATACTACAAGGCTACAGTAACCAAAACAACATGGTCCTGGTACCAAAACAGATATATACACCAATGGAACAGAACAGAGGCCTCAGAAATAACACCACACATCTACAGTCATCTGACCTTCAACAAACCTGACAAAAACAAGCAATGGGGAAAAGATTCCCTGTTTAATAAATGGTGTTGGGAAAACTGGCTAGCCACATGCAGAAAACTGAAACTGGACCCCTTCCTTACACATTTTCCAAAAATTAACTCAAGATGGATTAAAGATTTAAATGGAAGACCTAAAACCATAAAAACCCTAGAAGAAAACCTAGGCAATACCACTCAGGACATAGGCATGGGCAAAGACTTCATGACTAAAACACCAAAAGCAATTACAATAAAAGCCAAAATTGACAAACAGGATCTAAATCAACTAAAGAGCTTCTGCTATCATCAGAGTGAACAGGCAACCTACAGAATGGGAGAAAATTTTTGCAATCCATCCATCTAACAAAGGGCTAATATCCAGAATCTACACAAAACTTAAACAAATTTACAAGAAAAAAAAAACCCATCCAAATGTGGGCAAAGGATATGAACAGGCACTTCAAAAGAAGACATTTATGTGGCCAACAAACATATGAAGAAAAGCTCATCATCAGTGATCATTAGAGAAATGCAAATCAAAACCACAATGAGATACTTTCTCACACCAGTTAGAATGGCGATCATTAAAAAGTCAGGAAACGACAGATGCTGGAGAGGATGTGGAGAAATAGGAATGCTTTTACACTGTTGGTGGGAGTGTAAATTAGTTCAACCATTGTGGTGGTTCCTCAAGGATCTAGAACTGGAAACACCATTTGACCCAACAATCCCGTTACTGGGTTTATACCCAAAGGATTAGAAATCATCCTACTATTTAGACACGTGCACACGTATGTTTATTGCAGCACTATTCACAATAGCAAAGACTTGAAACCAACCCAAATGCCTATCAGTGATAGACTGGATAAAGAAAATGTGGCACATATACACCATGGAATACTATGTAGCCATAAAAAGATGAGTTCACGTCCTTTGTAGGGACATGGATGAAGCTGGAAACCATCGTTCTCAGCAAACTAACACAGGAACAGAAAACCAATCACTGCATGTTCTCACTCATAAGTGGGAGTTGAACAATGAGAACCTATGGGTACAGGGAGGGGAATATCACACATTGGGGCCTGTTGTGGGGTGGGGGGCAAGGGGAAGGATAGCATTAGGAAAAATACCTAATGTAGATGACCAGTTGATGGGTGCAGCAAACCACCAATGGCACATGCATACCTATGTAAAAAACTTGCACGTTCTGCACATGTATCCCAGAACTTAAAGTATAAAAAATAATAATAATAAATTGAACTTCAAATTTAAAAATATCTATTCTTCAGAAGATTCTATTATGAGAATGGGAAAAAAGCCACAGACTTGGAGAAAATATCTACATACCATATATCTAATGAAGGACTTATATCCAGAATGTATCAAGAGCTCACAAAATTCAATAATAAATAGACAATCCAAGGACAAAAATACTTGAATAAACACTTCACCAAATAAAGTACAGAGATGGCAAATAAATTCATACAAAAATGCTCAACACCCTTAGGTATTATGGAACTAAATATTAAAACTTCATTAAAACCACCATCATCCTGTTAGAATGGCTAAAACTTATGACCAACCATACAGAGTATTGGTGAGGATGTGGCAGAATTACAACTCTCACACAGTTCTGTTAAGAAAGTAAAGGAAGCATCAACTTTGGAAAATAGTTTGGCAGTTTTTAAAATGTTAAACATGTACCTACTATATGATCTACCATTCCACTCTTAGATGTTTATGCAAGAGAAAAGAAAACATATGTTCATACAAAGACTTGCATGCACATGTTCATAGCAACTTTACTTGCAATAGCCAAAATCAACCCGAATGCATACTGACAGACAAATCAATCAACAAACTATGATATAGCCATATCATTGAATACCATTCATTAATAAAAAGCAATGACCTATTGAAAGATACAATAACATGGTTGAATTTTAATGGCATTACAGTGAGTGCAAGAAATCCAACTAAAAAGAATACAATTATATAAAATTTTAGGAAATGCAAATTAAGGTGTAAGTACGTAGGAAAAGGAAGTATTTTCTATAGTAATACCACTCAATTATTTAGACTTTTGTATTTTAAGCCCAAAATCACACATTTACCAGCATCAAACAACTTTTTTAATACTCCATGGCCTATCAATCTTTTTATTTAAAGCAACAAATGCTACCTCCCTGATCTGCACAAGTATTTTCTATTAAGGCTTTTAGGTCATTCACTTTCTTAATCCTGATACTATCATTCTGAATTATTCTACAGATTTTTTATCAAGTTGTACTAGTCCATTCTCACATTGCTATATATAAATACCTGAGACTGGGTAATTAATAAAGAAAAGAGGTTTAATTGGCTCACAGTTCTGCAGGCTGTAAAGGAAGCATGATGCTGGCACCTGTTCAGCTTCTGGGGAGGCCTCTGGAAACCTACAATTATGGTGGAAGGTGAAGGAGAAGCCAGCATGTCACATGGCTGGAGGAGGAGAGAGCGAGAGAGAGAGAGATGGGCGGGGGAGGGGGGAGGAGGTGCCACACACTTTTAAACAACCGGATCTCATGAGAACTCACTATCATGAGAATAACACCAAGAGGATGGTGCTAAAACCTTCATGAGAAACTGTCCCCATGATCCAATCACCTCTAACTAGGCCCCACATAATTTGACACAAGATTTGGGCAGGGACACAGATCCAAACCATATCACAAGGGTAATAATGTACTGTATTGATTTTCCAGATGAGGATGAGGTGAGACTTTTTTTTGTCAAGTAGGAAAAGGGTATTATTACATAGAATTTTAGAAAGGAGAACCAACCAGACAATCTACCCATCTGTCAGTCTATCAACTATCTATCATCTGTCTATCTATCTATCTCCCTGTATATCCACATACTACCTATTTACCTTTCGTTGTTAAATATAAAATTTACCCAGGATGTGTTTAGGTGTTGATATGCACAACCAGGTGTTACTTTTAGTTCAGAAATTTCTTCTTCAGCTATCGAGTTGGCATATATTTATTTAGTGAATGCTAGGTGAAAAATGACATGATCATTTCCCTTTCATGACATTAGCTTTCCCTTCTTGTTTTATAAACATGCCAGTGTTTTAAGTTGTATTTTCTTGTCTATCACAAGTCATTTTTCAAAGACTGCTCTTATTTCTAATTATCAAGATAATGGTTTCCCTGTTAACTGTAACTTTTTATAGCAACATATTAATTTTTTTAAATCTTACTTGTCTTTGAAAAGGAGAGAGCTGGCAACTTGGCACAAGAAGAGATGTGTAGAATAGTTCAATATATTATTTACAATGCACGAGATATTTAATATATAACTGAGGGGGTTGAGAGGACAATTCCTAAATGGAAACTTTAACATTTTCATAACTTTAACATTTTTATACCAAGTGGGGTAAAACAACTTTAACATTTTTTTCATAACAACTGGGGTAAAACAACATTATATAGGTGGTGAAGAAGATTGTAGATATGGATGGTATGTGTTAGAATATTGCAGAACAAATGCTGGAAATTGTAGGACCATATGGTTGAAATATAATTTGCTCATTGCTGCCATATTTTCATTCAATAAAATTAGAGAATTCTTTCTGCTTCCATAATGAATGCTAAAGAAAGATATACATTAAATCAAATGGCACAGAAGTAATTATATGTCATGGTCTACAAAGGGATGATATATGTTCATTACCAGATCAGACGCAAATTTCACAGATGCAAAATTTCTTTTAGCTGATTGTATTATTTTAATATTGACTGAGTGAATAATAAAAACTTTATTGGAAAATGCTGCCTCCTATGAAGAATAAATATTATTTCAGCTAACTTTTTTTGGAAGATAATAAAATTTTCTAAAAGATTGGGTAGATCATTTTTTAAAAATCCACTATGCCTCCCTCTTTCAGTTCCATTTCATTGGCTACATAAAGGGATTAGAATTTTACTTTATTGCCTTGAGTATCCTAATTAAAGTTTTAAATTTAATTTTGAAGAAGAGGAAATTTTCTATCAATGAAGAAACACTTGTACTTATAAGAGCTCTTTTTAATAATAAAAAAAGAATTTATTAGTAAATGATTTTCTTCTGAGAAATTACTTTTGCCAAGATAATGAAAAGCTCAAACTGAGTGGGCATACAAATTATTATTGGTTTATTGGCCTAGAACCTGGGTACATTTTGTCTGAACCTAAAACATTAATATCTAGTGATGAAAAATCTTCACTGAAAAGGTCAGCAAAACATTAAGTAGCCATAACCAAGAAAGACTTACAAAGTGAATCAATTATCTTTCTCTAAGTGAATGAATGCATTAGGAAATTTATAAGGCTGAAAATCAAAGGGCGAAGGACATTGTCACAGGTTGGTACAGTGTCTCATACAGTGATGTTTAAATCTAAGTTGAAGAGGGCATGGGTTAGAGAATGCAGAGATAAATGTGCTGATGATTTTCAAACAGTATACACCGGTATGGGTACACAGGTCATTCACGGGAGTCATTCTTTCTGGATAGCTTATGTCTAGGACATATCTGTTGCCAAATATTTTGCATATCGCCATTGGGTATAAGCATATATTCTGTGTACTGTGCATTTAACTTCATTTACTTATTCAACTAAAGTTTGTTAAATTCTTAGTATATGTTGGTGAAATATCATGTTCAAAAAGGGGTTGTAATCTGAAGATTGAAGATGGTCCACTTTTAAATAAATAGGTCACAGGGGAAAAAGGATGAACAACAAAAAAAATGCAAAAGGCTCATGGACTATTAGGTGAGACTGAATAACATTTTATATTTTTTCTTACTTTTTAAATTTGTCTACAGCTATGCAAATGGTTCCTGGTAGGTTGTTCATTTTTTCCGACTAGACTATTTCACTCCACAGTAGGAGGCTTCTCCTAATATTGAAGCAAGATCAAGCCGCTATTTGGAAATCAGGTTAGAAAAATAGCCTGACCACATACTTTTTCTGCTGACCGCTTGATCTATGGCTGGCAAAGGCCTTGCTGACTTCTATAGCTCACCCATATTTTCAGCCTTTAACTTTAAACTTTAAGAAAATATTGATGGGGTTTTCCAGACTCCTCTCCACTCATTCCCTAAAGTACTATACTTCTTTTAAAAAAAAAGTTTCATCACATCTTCTGTCATTCCCTTCAATATGAAAAAAATTCAATTCTATCTGGTCGAAGTTTGGACCAGAGTCCAAAGTTTGGTTCGGACAAAGTCCGAAGTTTGGTTGGAGCTATGTAAGTCATTTACTCATTCATTTACTCAAGTATTTCTCAAGGGCCTGCAATGGGTCAGTCTCAGTTTTAGGCAGTGTGAGTAAAATGTAAAAGAAATTCCCAATATAGCTTAGCTTCTGGGGAAATTAAATAGAAAATAATCAAAACAAATAAGTACAGAGTAAAGACTATGGTGATTAATGCTGTAGAGAAAAAAATGAAGCAGAGAAGGGGGATAAGGTATTCTAGGAGTGGTATTATAATTTTAAATAGTGTGTCGGAGAAAGAGTCATTGAAAAGACAGCACCAAGTAAAGAAGGACAGGGAAGCAGCCATTATACTATTAATAGCTAGAAGAAGGGCATTCCAGGTGGAGAGCACTGCAAGTGCAAAGGCCCCAAGTCAGACATGTGCTTGTCATGTTTGAGAAGCAGCAAAAAATTCAGAGTGGCTGAAGCAGAATGAGCAAAGGAGAATCATAATAGGAAATGATCAGAGATTTAACAAGGGGGCCCAATTGTAGCACTGTAGGGCATCGAAAAGACATTGGCTTTCTAATAGGTTGGAGATGAATTTATGAGAAGGTGCTGCCAAAGGAATAATGTATCCAATTTATGTTTTAATGGAACCTCTTGTTTGATACTTCGTTCAATGAGCAAAGGAAAAAGCAGCTGCAGAATATATCTCTCTGTGATTCCTTCTTTGCTTCCAATTTTGATTGCACTCAGTAGCCTTCAAAAATATTTTTTAAAATCTTTGGTTCTGGTGGTTTTAGTAGCCTTTAGTAGGAATATTGATAACTGCCACATTACATTTCAGCTAAAGGCAGACATCTTGCCATCACTCTTTACCCACTTACCTTCATACAATTTGTGACCACCTGACACGCTGCATATCAGTTTGATGGTTTGTTTTATTATCCATCTCCCCAAACTAAAGCGTAAGCAACATGAAGTTCTGACCTTGGTTTTACTTATTGTTGTATCCCATTGCCTACAACTCCTAGATTGCCGTCGGTTTTTACAATGGCTTCTCTGCTTCCATATTTACTCCTTTACACAATAGCCTGAGTGAGCCTTTTAATGTCATGTCACACCTCTGCTGAAAACCCTGTGAAGGCTTTCATCTCACTTGCAAAAGCCAAGGACCCCACAAGGCCTATGGAGCCAAATGGTCAGGTCCCCCTATAACTTCCTGATCTCATCTCCATTTACTCTCCTACTCACTCATGCCTCTTTCATATTTCTGGCCTTCTGGCTGATCTTCAACCACATCATGCATATTACTGCTTGAGGTCTTTGTTCATGCTGTTTCCTCTGCCTGGAGTACTCTTCTCCAAAATGTCTGCAAGGCTTGCTACTTCACTACCTTCAGATATTTACCAAAATGTCACTTTTTCAACAAGGACTACCAAGTACAGTTGTGTATATTGTGCGCTTTGTGATCTAAAAGCAACAAGTGACTGAGATAGGCCCAGCAGTTATGCATACTTATGGAAGATATATTTCCTTCTTCTTCTTACTATAAATTTCACTTTTTCTTTTCTTATTTACATACTTTCTACTTCTTTCTCTTGCCTAACTGCTCTGGCTGAGACTTCCAGTACTGTGTTGAACAGAAGTGGTGAGAGTGGGCATCTTGTCTTTTTTTTTTTTTTTTTTTAATTTCCCTAGTTCATTTTTTTCTCTTTTAAAAATATTTTTATTTTTAATTGAGCTAAAATTGTAGTCAGTGTTTACCATCTTAACCATTTATTTTTAATTTATTTTATTTTATTATTATTATGCTTTAAGTTTTAGGGTACATGTGCACAATGTGCAGGTTAGTTACATATGTATACATGGGGCATCTTGTCTTGTTCCTGATATTAGAGTAAAAGCTTTCAACTTTTCACTACTGAGTATGGTGTTAACTGTGTGCTTGTCATATATGGCCTTAATTGTGTTGAAGAACATTCTTTCTATACTTAATTAGTTGATAGTTAGTATTTTAAAGGATGTTGAATTTTGTCAAATGATTTTTCTGCATCTATTGAAAAGAATGAAAATAAACTCTTATCTCATTCTCATACAAGAATCAACTCAAAATAAAGACTTACATGTAAGACCTAAAACTGTAAAACTACTAGAAGAAAACATAGGGGAAAAACTCCATTACATTGGTCTGGACAGTGATTTATTAAATATAACCCCCAAAGCACAGGCAATGAAAAGAAACAATAGACAAGTAGGATTTCATCAAACTGAAAAGCTTCTGCTCAGTGAAAGAAACAATATAGTCAAGAGACAACCCACAAATTCTGAAAAAATATTTGCAAATCATGCATTAGATAAGGGGCTAATATCCAACATATACAAGGAACTCATACTACTAAATAACAACAACAAAAAAAACCCTAAAATAAACAAAATACCTGAATAGATATCTCTCAAAAGAACACATAAAATTGGCCAACAGATATATGTTTAAATGCTCAACATCTCTAATTATCAGAAGAATGCAAATGAAAGCCACAATGAGATATTACCTTGCAGCTGTTAGATTTATTATCAAAAAAAGTAAAGATAATTGTTGGCGAGGATGTGGGGCAAAGGGAACATTTGTACACTGTTGGCGGTATTGTAAATTAGTACAGCCATTTTGGAAAACAGTTTGGAGGTTCCTTTAAAAACTAAAAATAGAATTACCATATAATTCAGCAATCCCACCACTAGGTTTATATCCAAAGGAAAGAAAATAGGTATGTTGAAGAGATATCTGCACTCCCATGCTCATTGCAGCATTATTCACAATAGCTAAGATATGGAAACAACCTAAGTATTCATCAATAGATGAAAGGATTAAGAAAATGTGGTATATATACAGAATGGAATGCTACTTAACCTTAAGAAATTCTGTCATTTGTGACAACATAGATGAACCTAAAGAATATTATGCTAAGTGAATTAAGCCAGGCACAGACATGAATACTGTCTTCCAGTATTTGGCAGACCTCCCAGCCTGCCAAACCATCTTGGCCCACACAAATGAACACTCTATCCCGTCATCCTTCTCAATAGGTCCTCCTACGTTAGCTTCCATCTCACTCATATGTGGAATCTAAAAAAGTCAAACTCATGAAGTGGAGAGTAGAATGGTGGTCACCAGAGGCTGGTTGTGGGAAAGGGGAAAGGGAAGATGTTGGCAAAATGTACAAAGTTTTAGTTAGATAGCAGGAATAAGTTCAGGTGATCTATTACATAGTAGGGTGACTATAGTTAATAATAATATATTATAGCAGCATGACTTATAATCTTTTGGGTATATACCCAGTAATGGGATGGCTGGGTCAAATGGTATTTCCAGTTCTAGATCCCTGAGGAATCGCCACACTGTCTTCCACAATGGTTGAACTAGTTTACAGTCCCACCAACAGTGTAAAAGTGTTCCTATTTCTCCACATCCTCTCCAGCACCTGTTGTTTCCTGACTTTTTAATGATCACCATTCTAACTGGTGTGAGATGATATCTCATTGTGGTTTGGACTTGCATTTCCCTGATGGCCAATGATGATGAGCACATGTATGTTTATTGCGGCACTATTCACAATAGCGAAGACTTGGAACCAACCCAAATGTCCAACAATGATAGACTAGATTAAGAAAATGTGGCACATACACATCATGGAATACTATGCAGCCATAAAAAATGATGAGTTTATGTCCTTTGTAGGGACATGGATGAAGCTGGAAACCATCATTCTCAGCAAACTATCTCAAGGACAAAAAAACAAACACCACATGTTCTCACTCATAGGTGGGAATTGAACAATGAGAACACTTGGACACAGGAAGGGGAACATCACACACCGGGGCCTGTTGTGGGGTGGGGGTGAGGGGAGGGATAGCATTAGGAGACATACCTAATGTAAATGACGAGTTAATGGGTGCAGCACACCAACATGGCACATATATGCATATGTAACAAACCTGCATGTTGTGCACATGTACCCTAGAACTTAAAGTATAATAAAAAATTATAAAATAACAATAATAATATATATTTCAAAACAGCTAAAAGAGAGAATTTCCAATATTCTCACCACAAAGAAATGATAAATATATGAGATGATGGATATGCTAATTAGCCTGATTTCATCATTCTACAATGCATACACATATCAAAGCACCACATTGTACTCCATAAATATAATTATTTGTCAATTAAAATAAAAAATGAAAATTTTCTCAGATTATTGCTTTAATTCTTACACAAATGTAATGTGAGAATTAAGCAATAATCTGTGAGAAGAAAATGGGGCAGTTATTATAACTAAGCATAATCCATTGCAAAAACATTCACCTGCATCCGAGTTACTATTGCCATTATCCTACTACATTCCCATGGTGATTCATTGACTAGGTACCTAGATTAAGATTCTTCACAGAATGTCTTTCATGAATTCTGAGGGTACAATTTAAATAAGGCACCGTTGGAAAAGTGTTTCATTGCAGTTTGCACAACTATAGCCAGCTAAATAAATCAAGAGTTAAAGATACTCTCAAAATATAGAAAAAGGGCTTCCTCATATGCCCTTCAAAAATAAAACATTAGGCCGGGCGCGGTGGCTCACGCCTGTAATCCCAGCACTTTGGGAGGCTGAGGCGGGCGGATCACGAGGTCAGGAGATCGAGACCATCCTGGCTAACATGGTGAAACCCTGTCTCTACTAAAAATACAAAAAATTAGCCGGGCATGGTGGCGGGCGCCTATAGTCCCAGCCACTCGGGAGGCTGAGGCAGGAGAATGGTGTGAACCTGGGAGGCGGAGCTTGCAGTGAGCAGAGATCGCACCACTGCACTCCAGCCTGGGTGACAGAGCAACACTCCGTCTCAAAAACAATAAAATAAAATAAAAAATAAGTAGAACATTAAAGACAATGCCAACAAATACTCATTAATGCCAACAATAATATTTCTCTCATCCCTTTCATTCTGTCTACATAACCAATTCTTGTTTTGTTAGACCTTGGATCAGCTGTCTACTTTTATTAAGTCATCTACTGGGTTGCAAGAGTCCTGACTGATGCCCCCTAGTACAGTCTGACAGGTCTCTCTGCTTAAAGTGGCAAGGTTAGCTTCTCTGTGAAACCTGCAGCTGTGAGCATATTCCTTGCAGTATCAATAATTACCATATGCAGTGCAGTCCTTTTTGCCAAAGCTCTGAAGCTGTCCTTCTTTGTTAAGACCCAATTTCTGGCTTATACCTTATAGTAGGCAATCGGACAAAGTAAGGTGAGAACAGAAAACCACCTGTTGATGACAAATTTATTATAGTAACAAAAAAGATAGACAAAATGAAGTATGGCATTTTCCTTTAATGAATAAGAAAATATATAACTATTTTATACAGATCAGGTCAATTATCCTGAAAGTAAGAACACATTATAGCAGCTGAGAAGCCTTAGCAAATCTCTAGAGCCTTTCCATCCATCCTGCTAATAGAAAAAAAAAAAAAAAAGAAGAGTTGTCAGAGGAGATTGGCCCCTTGATTATGAATGAAGCATAGAAGCCTGAGAACGAAAAATGCTTGTAGCTTGGCTCCCTTATTAACCAGAGTGGCAATAAAATAGTTTAAATGAACATAGCAGGTGACTGGGGAGCTTTAACCCTTTTAGAAGCAAGAAACTTTTGTCGTTTCCTTATAAAATAATTCAAGAGCATGACAAAAATCAACACAAAGTTATCTGGTTTTCAAGTGAAAGGTTTTTTGGAAGATAAGGAACCTCTCTGTGCTCTGGGCAGATTACACAAAATGTAGAGAACTTCTTCTGACTCCTTTTTAAGAGCTAACCGAATACTCCAAACATGGATTTTAGGCTACCAGTAATCTTTTTCATCATTCATATGCTTTCTTTGTTCATTAGTTATAATATACCTTTATATGCATGCTTAAATATACACACTAAACAAATAGATGACATTAATTAAAGGTTTCAACTTTAATTTTAAGATAAAATAAACTCTATTCTCATATTATCAATCATAGCATATCTACATTGATTTTATCATCTTAACTGAGGTGAAGTTAACCTTTAGTTAGAATTCCAAAACCTCAATACATTAATTATTTTTAGAAAGATCAAATTGAACAAAACTGTCCTGCAAATATAAGTGGATTTTTGAAAGGAAAACAAAGTTGGCATCTCCATTTATGGAAAATAACAACCCACCATTGTCATCCAGAAGAAAAATTTGGGGAGATGTCATTTCAGAACCTTTAGAAAACTAGGTTTGAAATGTTTTCATAAACTGGTGTGCTGTAGAGTGGAGACTAACTGACAAGAACTAACTCACTTCCCAGTGCAAGGTATAGAAGTGGCCCAGTGATGGCGCCATGTGCCCTAGCATAGATGCTTGCCTGCATGCATAGATGACCACTGAGAGCTCTTGAAGACAGGGATACTGTCCACATTCAGCACTCGGTACAGCTGGCAAGCTGAAGGAAGGTGAGGGTTGAAGCATGGGTCGGGCAGAGTGAAGTCAAGCCTGGGGAATACAAGGGTATTCCTTTCCAAGGATCAGGCTGAGCACTTAGCCTTCCTCAGCTCTTTTCCCTTCCTTGTTCACATGGTTTGGATGTGTGTCCCTTCCAAATCTCTTGTGGAAATGTGATTCTCAATATTGGAGGTGGGAGGTGATTGGATCATGGGGGTGGATCCCTTATGAATGGTTTAGTACCATTCCCTTGGTGATGAGTGAGTCCTCACTCAGTTCATGTGAGATCTGGTTGTTTAAAAGTCTGGGACCTCCCATCCTCACTCTCTTGCTACTGTTCTCACTATGTGATGCACCTGCTCTCCCTTCACCTTCTGCCATGATTGGAAACTTCCTGAGGCCTCACCAGAAGCAGATGTTGGCACTACACCCCCTGTATACCCACAGAACTGTGAGCCAATTAAACCTCTTTTCTCTATAAATTACCCTGCCTCAGGTATTCCTTTATAGTAATACAAACAGACTAATATACCTCTCCTGTTTCCCACCTCATTTATAGGTTTCTTCCTGAAGAGCACTCCCTAAATCAATCCCATGGCCTTGAATCTTTCTCAAGCTCTGTTCTAGGAAGCTCAACTCAAGACAGATAAGCACACTTTGATGAGAGGGGTTGATAATACAACCCCACTCTATTGATAATGGAGGATTTCCTAACACTTTTTATTTCACTGCTTACCCAGAGATTAAGTCCCCTGGGTTACTATCCCCCTTCCCTTCTCTCTACATCTATCAGTCTTTCATGAATCCTATTATTAGGGTTCAGAGACACATCTCTTTGGGTCTAAGGTCTTGGAAATGATCATACTCAAATAGCATGTCCCCCTGATCTCTAAAGGGTTATCACACAGTTATTACTTCCAGGAAAAGAAACGCGCCCAGTAGGATGCCAGCCAGTGCAGGATGTGCTCCAAGGGACTGTCTCAAGATGAAAACCATTCCCCACTTCAGCTTAAAGGAGGTGATACAAAGTAAAGACAAGAAACAGCCTTGAAACAAATGTTAATGTCTCCTTTGCCAAAACTACCAAGTCTGGTCTGAGCTCTCATTGTCTCTGGCCCGAGGAGCCATACCCCAGGGCTTTCATTTATTACTCAGTTATAAGGAGCTCACCAGCTCTCTTTGCTGTCCCCTCTCTTCTTCCCAAGGAAAAGGTCTCAAGATTCCCAGGTGGGTGGCCTCCATGAGCCTCAGCAAAGCCAGGCAGAAGCACATTCCCCAAGACTCATTCCCCGTTTCTGGCTATAATGATGGAGCAGGTAAAGGCAGCTGGAGGCCTGACCCCTGTGCTCTGTCTGCAGCTGAGTCACATGTCAGCAAATGGATGGAGAGGCTGACAGATGGGCTGGGAACCTGTGAGGGCCTGGTGGGGACCCCGGAGTCTCCAGAGCAGCTGCAAAGACTACACACAGGTGCAGAACATAATTAGGAGGCCACAAGTGTGCAGCATCTACTTAAATGAGGCCACCCAGACTGTATCTGGAGACAAATGGACAGATGTTAATGCAAACGTATCATCGATGCTCCTCTCAAAGGGCTATGAACCAGCTCACTTCAGCATCTCTGTGTCCGGGGGAAAGAGGGTAACATCAGGACAGCAACAGACATGCACTGCAGTCAGCCCAGTATATGGCGGTCCAGAACTAAGGCTGGGGAAGGGAAAAGGAGCAGGAAAGTGCTGGGGCAGGAATGTACTGGAGGAGCCACCAAGAGTTGCCTCATTAACTTTCTCAATTCTTAAAAGGGCTCCCAGCCTGCCAAACCATCTTGGCCCACACAAACCAATAGCATTCCCTTATCCTTCTCAATAGATTCTCCTACATAAGCTTCCATCCATAACAGCCTCTGTACCAGAGTGGTTATCAAACTTTAATTTGCATAAAAGTTAGCTACAGGAATTTATGAGAAATGCAGGTTTTCAGGTTCTTATCCTGAGTCAGAGGGAGGAGAGGTAATTCTTGCTCATATTTCACAACTCAAGAATCCTTAGTAGCTAGCAGAAGAAAATGGTCAATGTTTTGAAACAGAATGACTGGAAGCCAATATATTCCTCCATTGTAACTGCTTCTCCATTGCAAATACCAAATCTTGAATCATAGCCGTCACAGAAGTGAGCCTCCTCTGTAATTCATTCATGCTAAAGAGAATAAAAGATGAGGTACTGAAGGATAGGAGAGATCATGGGAAGAGACAGCAGGGTGTGAGGTGTCTCCTCCGCAGTTTTGCGCAGAGTCTCACAAAAGGTACCCTACCCTTCTTCAAATATGCATAACAGTAAGTAGTGTTGATAAAGATAGAAAGATGCCAGAATATGTGCCTGCATGGTGGGCTTCTTTGATTCTAGTCACATTATCATTGTTCTACCATAAATATCATGAGACCTTGCTGAACTTAAAGTCTTAGCTGCTCAAAAAGCATTTTAGAAGCAAATACAATACTGGCTTTTGCACCCATGTTTGGCTCTCCTGAGCAGGTCTTGACCCTCCCACCAGATCTCTGGGATTGGACATGTGAATTCTAGCCTCATTAGTTACTATGGTGGCCTCATGCTGATGATTGATGTATCAGAGATCTTCTCCAGCCTCTCATTTTGCAGCAATAAATGTTTCCATGAAAACAAAAACTGTGTGGTTCAACTCTTCTTTGGCTCCAGCTATCTCTAGCTTGGATAAGTCACTTTATTTACCCTCATTTTATTCATGGAGTGTCTGTTATTCTGTTGTTTTTCAGACAGTCCCATCAACTTTCAGGGCTTTTTTCTGTAGTACAGCAGACAGCTTTACTAGACGGCTAGTTCAGCATGAGCTGAAAGTAAATGAAGCAAAGACTATTGCATTCTAAACCATTTTGATGCCACCTCCTGTCCAACCCAAGAATTTGGAGCTTTTCCCCCCTGCAACTGGAGAGCCCTCCTTAACTCCCTATTTTTTAAAACTAACAGAGGCATTGGAGCAACTAGCTTAAAAATAAAGATGGTTAGAGGGAGATGAGGAGAATGGAAGGAAGGAGGAGGAAAAGAAAGAGTGATGGAGACTCAGTGAGGTTAGTGGGAGAGGGGGGACCTCTTGTGGAAATTCTAGGCTCAGTGACAAAGACAAGAACACTACAGAAAGTACATGGTGGTAATGGTTCTCAAAGTTGCCCCACTGGGTAGCATACTTTAGTCTCTTAGTGCCTCAACTTAGTATAGGATGACATGAAGAAATAATGGTAAGAGAGTGCCTATATCACTCTATGAGGCCATCTACCTATCTTTTCTGCACTCTGAGTGCCCATCATGACAGTTCTTATTTGCTACTAAGGGTAATTTATTTGGGTATCATTTTAATCAGTGTGTGTGTGTGTGTTCTCTCTCTCATGTTCATTTGCCTTGAACACATGGCCCACAGTTTGGACCATCCTTAAAAGCCATGTTTTTAAAAAAGAAAATCAATATACAAATTATTTTCTGGAAAGTTATAGAAAGTGATCACAAGACTTTAGAAGTGAAATCGTGTGGAATGGAGATCTCTAGTGAATGAAGATTTGTTCCAGATTTTCCATTAACATGACGTGAGATTTAAATAAAATAATGCATGTAAAGCACTTAGGCTATGCCTGGCACATGATAAGCACTACATAAAGTAGTTGTTACTATCACTACTATTAGAGGGTTACATTAAAAATAGTAAATGCAAGTCTCCCGAGTGGTACCCAGGGGACTCTGATTTTCCCTGGACTGCAGTTCTGAGACACTGAGCGGGAGCTGGAGATGTCAAGGGCATGCCCTTAGATCTGAGCCCAGAGGGAATACAGTGCATGTGTTCACATTAGAGAGAACACCTCTGTTCTCAGCTCCACATGTGGAAGTATTCTCCAACCCTTCCTCAACCACAAGTTTATAAATTGATGGAGACATGTGTGGTAAAGTGAAAAGGATCTCTGAGTGGTTTTAAATATGTCCCTTTTGCTTTTAGACTTCAGGACTGGAATCATAAAGAATTCAGAAAAAATAATCTAAAAGTGGTTTAATCATTTAAATGTTATGTAATTATACTTCCCTAAATCTTCTACTTCTTCTTCTAAATCATTCTTAGTTTATCAACTGAAAGACAAAAATTACCTCCACATCGGCCAGGCACAGTGGCTTACGCCTATAATCCCAGCACTTTGGGAGGCCGAGGCGGGCGGATCACGAGGTCAGGGATCGAGACCATCCTGGCTAACATGGTGAAACCCCATCTCTACTAAAACACAAAAAATTAGATGGGCATAGTGGCGGGCACCTGTAGTCCCAGCTACTTGGGAGGCTGAGGCAGGAGAATGGTGTGAACCTGGGAGGTGGAGCTTGCAGTGAGCTGAGATCATGCCACTGCCCTCCAGCCTGGTGACAGAGCAAGACTCCGTCTCAAAAAAAAAAAAAAATTACCTCCACATATCAAAATTGTATTGCATCCATCAATCAACATTCTTAGCTTAAAGGTGTGATTAATCTTTTTCTCGAATCTATTGATTTAAAGATGTAATACTTCTCATAATTGTAATATCAAGATGCCAGACAAGGGGAAGAAACTCTGCTTAACTTAGTAATGTGGCAGAAATTTCACCTTGTGTTTTCTTTACTTTTTATGATATTTGTAGAAAGATTTTTCCTCCAGTTGGGAACATGGCAACACACCTATCATTCCATTCCATGTGGAATATTACTGCGATATCAGCACTACTTACAATGATTCATCATCTATTTAATTACATCTTCCTCCTCTATGGATTCTAAACCAATTTACAGGTTGGAGTTGAATCATAGTACCTACTTTATTGTTAGCTGGGTTGTAGAATGTGACTCGGACCTGAGGCCAAACTCAGCTTTCAATGACCTCTTTCCACCACACCTCGAATATAGACTTGGCTTCATACAACAAGGAGATTTCTGTCTACAGATGAGACTCCTCCAGTCACATGGATGAGAGATCTGAGAGTGCCTCAAGCCCTATCAAGCCAGATGAACAAGGGACCCAACTCAGGTGTACTTATCACCTAGAAGGAGGAATGAAGGGAAGAAAATGGCCTGTTCCATGCAGGTCAGCTAGAGAGAGAACCACTTTTTTTAATATCATCCATCAGATAAGTTACTTGTGCCATGGAAGAGGGAAGGACAGAAGTTTTTCCCCAACTCTTCCTGAGTGGTAGGGGTATTGACAGATCCTGTCCCATGGACTAAATCGGGAATACCTGTAGTAGGAATAGAAAGGTACACCCTACTGTATAACACATCATCAGTGGGAAATCATTGCAAATAAAGCCATAAAACTTATCTCAAGTTCAATAACATCCAATAAGGTAATTATGTATTTCAAGAGAATGAACAATAGAAATTATTTTTCCTATCTCCTGGCCTTTATAACCAGTGTGAAACATTCAAATGAAAAGAGCACTATGTCATTTTTATTACAAACTTTTAAATTATCTCACAGGTCTTGGGCACACAGGCATATTCTTGTTTTTCATACTACATACAAGGAAAGAATCATTGCTGCGTATTTTTATAGCTTTTTTGAGATATAACTGACTGCAAAGTGTATACATTTAAGATGCACAATTTGATGACATTCATGAAACAATCATCACAATCAAGAATACCATCCCCAAAGTTTCCTCACACCCCTCGGTAGTCCATACCTCAAACCGCAGCAGCATTTGACCTGCTTTCTTTCAGGATAGGTTAGTTTGTATTTTATATACATGATATACAGTTTATACTTTTTGTCTGTCTTCTCTTATTCAGCATTAATTATTTTTTAATTTGTCTAAATGGTTGTTTGTATCAATAGTTCATCTTTTTTTATTGCTGAGCATCATTCAATTGTATGTTTGTACTGCACATTGCTTATCAATTCATCTATTGGTGGACACTTAGACTGTTTCCAGTTTGTGGCCCTAACCAACAAAACTGCTGAAAACATTCATATACGAGTGTATGGACATATGCTTTTGTTTCTCTGGGGTAAATACCCAGGATTGTTGGGGTTGTATGGTAAAGGTATGTTTAACATTTAAAGAAACTGCCAAACTTTTTCCAAATTGGCTGTAATAAAGACATATTCTTTTTTTTTCTTTTTATTTTGGACAAATGGAAAGAAGCCTTTGCAATTTTGCATTTTCAACATTCTTTGCATGTTTTCCTTTCTTCTTTTCTAGCAAATATTTGTCTTCTTTTGTCATAGGTCTTCGGATTTCATGGAATTGTTTTCACTAATTATATCCTGGTCTTTCTACTGACTTGCTTCTCATCTGAAAAAGTCACCAACCTGTGGCATCTGAGGTTTGGAGAAATTACATTTACCTCATACATTTACTGTGAAGATTAGTGAAGATTTCAGGAAGCTTTTGAATAAAACAACTCAGTTGTGGTAGACCTAAATTTACTACCTGCATTTGTGAACAGGAGCAGGGCTGCAATGATTAAAATTTAGTGACAGGACCCTGGAGTGGCAAAAATACCCAAACAAAACAAAATAAAACAAAACCTCTGCTTTTCAACTGCATCCTGATATCCTCACCCCACCCACATTTGTCCCAAGGATTTTAGAAGTCAAATGGGAAAATTTATTTTGCTCTTCTGAGCCCTCACTGACATGTTAGAAAAGAGAGAGATTTTATATATACATATATTTATATATATTTATATTTATTTATATATTTATATATAAATATATATTATATTATATACTTATATATAATAGAATATATTATATACTTATATATAATAGAATATATTATATACTTATATATAATAGAATATATTATATACTTATATATAATAGAATATATTATATACTTATATATAATAGAATATATTATATACTTATATATAATAGAATATATTATATACTTATATATAATAGAATATATTATATACTTATATATAATAGAATATATTATATACTTATATATAATAGAATATATTATATACTTATATATAATATAATATATTATATATAATATATTTATATATAAATATAATATATTATATATAATATATATTTATATATATTTAATATATATTATATATTATATAATACATAATATATATAATATACATTATATAATTTAATATAATATATATATTATTATATATAATATATATATTATATATGAATATATAATATATAATATATTTAAATATATTTAAATATTATATAAATATTATATAATATATAATATATATTATATATAATATATAATATATATAATATATAATATATAATATATAATATATATTATATATAATATATAATATATAATATATATTATATATTATATATAATATATGTTTATATATATTATATATAATATATGTTTATATATATTATATATTTATTTTATATAATATATCATATATATTTATTTTATATAATATATCATATATATTTATTTTATATAATATATCATATATATTTATTTTATATAATATATCATATATCATATATATTTATTTTATATAATATATTATATATCATATATATTTATTTTATATATTATATATCATATATATTTATTTTATATAATATATTATATATTATATATATTTATTTTATATAATATATTATATATTTTATATATTTATTTTATATAATATATTATATATTATATATATTTATTTTATATAATATATTATATATTTTATATATTTATTTTATATAATATATTATATATTTTATATATATATATATATTTTAAGACAGAGTCTCACTCTGTCGCCCCAGGCTGGAGTGCAGTGGCACGATCTTGGCTCACTGCAACCTCCACCTCCCAGGTTCAAGCAATTCTGCGTCAGCCTCCCGAGTAGCTGAGATTACAGAGGTGTGCCACCACACCCAGCTAATTTTTGTATTTTTAGTAGAGACGGGGTTTCACCTTATTAGCCAAGCTGGTCTCGAACTCCTGACCTTGTGATCCACCTGCCTCACCCTCCCTAAGTACAGGGGTTACAAGCATGAGCCACTGCACCCAGCCAAGGGAGAGATTTTTTTAAAGCTTGAAAGCATTCTTATGAAATGGAAAAAAAGAACATTAAAGGATGATTTAGGAAATGGTGGGGGCAGGAACTGAGAGGTTGCTATAGGGACTATACACCATGAATCCTTGGTTTCTGACCTAGCTTGTACCATTTGAAAGCAATTTTTGGGCTTCCTAAAAAGTTTAGTCTATTCTGTGATTTCTGGCCAAATTTAGGACATGAATCCACCAAGAAGATGGATGTGCGAATTAATAAGCTTAAATAAACGTGGTCCCTTTGTGTCAGTGCTTTTACTGTTGGGAAGAAAAACTCATTTACTCAGCCCTCTGAAGTGTGAAGACAAACGGCAGGCCTCAATCCCCACTCATCCTCTCCACACCAGGCCTGCCAGGAGACGTCTGGTTGGTAAAGCAAGCAAAATGAAGTGTGCCACCTCAAGTGTGAAGGCAAGTTGTCCAGAGCCTGGAGAGATCAGTCAGCAACAAGGACTTGGGCCTGGCAACCAGAGGGGAAAGGGGTTTGGACAGCAGGCTCCAGAGAGAAAGGAAGGACTTTATAGTTACTCCAGCTGTCTCCTAATTAGTGACTCAGATGAGGAGTACTTGCAGGAGGAACCTTTTAGAAGTGAGTCACTCAACTCCTTAAGAGGCAGCTGGAGCTCCTTCCTCCATCCTCGTTATTTAATTCATCTCCCCCAGCCACCCTGCCCCTGCAAGCCAGCTTTGCACAGCCTTAAAATGATCAGGGAGTCTGGATTCAACTGGCACCATATGTTTGCCAAATTCATTCTACTTCTGTCCAAATATTTTGAAAATTTTGTCTAGTGTGGGCAGAAACCCCAAAAGGGTAAAGGCAATAGAAACCCATTTGTTTATCTTAACACATTGGCTCATTCTTTGTTCTCCCCGCACCTTACAATGACTATGACAATAACAACAAAAAAAAAAACTCTCTGCCTTCCCCATTCTCATTCTGATCCTTATAGACTTCTAATACTTTTTTGATTTTGTAATTCCTATTATCACCGCATATGCACCATTCCATATTGCGTTTTCCCACCTACATTGCCATTAGAGGTGGCAAGTGGGTGAGGACATCACAGAAACATAGAGAAACGTGTTTTAACATAATGACGATATCCCATTATCTAACATACTAACGGCTATCTGGCCTAGATCGGAATTTGGTTTTTTGTTCAGTAGTTACATATTCAAATGCATATAGTGCAGGAATAAGCACTCTGTGTGCCTAGCCATCTATACACCTATCTAGATTAGAATAAATAGATAGATAGATAGATAGATAGATAGATAGATAGATAGATAGTATTATGGTGGGTAGAATTTTAAGATGGCCCTCAAGACTTTCCCAGTCTCTGGTGTTTATACCCTTTTTAACTCCCAGTACTGTGAACAGAATGGATTTCACATCCATGATTAGGTTATGTTACATGGCACTATTGTCTTAAAGAAGATAATATGGATGAATCTGACTTAATCACATGAGCCCTTTGAATCTGGGTCCCAGAAATCAGAAAGATTCAAAGCATGACAGAGATTCAGTGTGAGGGAGATTCTCTGTTGAAGATGGAAAGGATCACACGGTAAGGAATGTGGGTGGCCTCTAGGAGCTGAGAGTGGCTCCCAGCTGATAGCCAGCAAGAAAACAAGTCTTCAGTCCTGCAACCACAAGGAACTGAATTCTGCCACCATCATGTGAACCTGGAGGCAGATTGCCCCCCAGTATCCATCAGACAATAACTTAACCTGGTGACATCTTAATTTCAGCCTTGTAATTTCCTGGGCAGAGAACCCAGTCACATCATACCAGACTTCTGATCTACTAAATGGTTGTTATAAATGTGTGTTATATTTGAAGCTGCTAAGTTTGTAGTAATTTGTTACACAGTGGCAGAAAATTAATGCAGATATGTATTTTCCTCCATTTCAATTATTTCCCTGGGATATATTTCCCAGAGCTACAATGGTTCCAGTTTCTCTTTAAACCCACCAACACTGTAATGCCATTTTATTTTTTTAGTTTAGTGCGCAGAAGTTAGTATTTCTTAAGCAACTGCTTAGATAAGCCCTCGGATAATATGACCGTTCATATCCAATTGCACTTGAAAAATCTCTTCTTGTTAATGCAGAGTGTAGGGCCCAGCATAATTTGGTTCTGTGCACTTTTCTGACAACTTCTAAATGCTATCCTTTGTATATCAGTCAGGGTTCAACTTGAGAAGCAGAAAGTGAATGACTGAATAAATGGAGAGAGGTGGAGATTTCGAATAATTGTCTTACATCTTTGTGGGAGCTGGCTAAACAAGTCTGACTTGCACTGAAGGAGTTGAGTGACAGTCAGCAAGGGAAGATCATGAGGAGGCGGGAGCTGTTGCCCACAGGCAGAATATCTTCTCTCTCTGACCCTTTCTCTCAGAAGTCTTAAACCTGCTTTTAAGGACATCCAGCTGATTAAATCAAGGTGGCAGATTACAGATTTAAAGACAACCAATTAGGAACTTTAACACCTCTTTAAAATTCCTTTGCTGCGGCACTTGGATTAGTGTTTGTTTGACTAACTGTGGAATGACTGCCTCAAAATGTTGACACATCAAAAAGCCATCACACTCCCTTAGCTCAGTCAGCTCCACACTCTAGAATTTTACTTTTCTTTTCCTAAGACATCTTTGGTGTTGTTTTCAGGATAATGCTGGCCTCAGAAAAATGAGTTGGGAAGTGTTCTCTCATTCTTCTGAAGTAGTTTATGTAATATTGGTATTATTTCTTCCTTAAATGTTTGAAAGAAGTCACTGGTGAAGACATCTGGGCCTGGAGATTTCTTTGTGAGAAATTTCTCCTCAATTTTGCTTTTTCTTCTTCCTACTCCTTCTCCTTCTCCTTCTTTTTTTGTTTTATGAGACAGGGTCTCACTCTGTTGCCCAGGCTGGAGTACAGTGGCAAAATCATGACTCACTATAGCCTTGACCTCCCAGGCCCAAGTGATCCTCCCACCTCAGCCTCCCAAGTAGCTGGGACTACAGGTGTTCACCACCACACCCAACTAATTCTTTAAAAAATTTTTTTGTAGAGATAAGGTCTCCTATGTTGCCCAGGTTGGTCTCAAACTCCTGAACTCAAGCAATCCTCCCTCCTTGGCTTCCCAAAGTGCTGGGATTACAGGCATGAGCCATCATGCCCAGCCTCTTCTTGATTTTGAATTCAGTTTCTTTAGCCTAGGGTCACTACTGGTAATTGTGTCTTTGAAGAAATTTGTCCCTTCCATCTAAGCTGCCAAAAGTAATTCATAGTATTTCCTTATTAACTTTTTCATGTCTGTATGTTCTGTAGGAATATGCCCTCGTGTATTCTTGACAGTGGTAATGTGTGTTCTCTTTCTCTTCCTCTCTCTCCCTCCTCTTCCAACCCCAATCTAGCTACTGTTCCATGTAGGTAGGGATTTATTGATTTTATTGACCTTTCCAAATGGCCTACTTTTTGTTTCTTTGATTTTTCTCTGTTGTTGAAGTGTTTTCTATTTCAATGGTTTCTGCATTATTTCTTTCTGCTGTTTTTTTAATTTAATTACTCTTATCCTCTACCTTAAAGGTGAAACTCTATAACAGTGATTTTATGCCACTCTTTTTCTCTAATATAAGCATTTCAGGCTATCAATTTTTATTTAAGGACTACTGTAGCTCATAATTAGGTTTTAATTGTCATTAGTTCCAACTCTTTTGCAGTTTTCTTTTAGATTTTTTCTTTGACCAGTGAGTCATGGAGAAATGTGTTTAATTTCCAAATACTTACAGATTTTCCAAATATAATTTTATTATTGATTTTTAATTCCATTGCAGTCAGAGAACATATTTTATATGAGTTCAATCCTTTTACATTTATTGAGACTTTTCTCTTGGCCAAGCTTACGGTACATCTAGGAGAATGGTTCTTGTGCACTTGAAAAGACCGTGAGATCAGTTATTAGGTGAAGTTTTCTCTAAGTTTCTCTAAATTTCTTAAATTATTTTCTAGTGTTGTAAATCTTCCATATATTTCTTTTTAATTTTAATTATTCTAACAATAACTAGATAGAATATAATCTTCTATTATAATTATGAATTCATCTAGTTTTTTTAGTTCTCTCAGGTTTTGTATAATGTATGATTTAGAATTGTTATGCATTTTTATGAACTGAAAGTCCCTCTCTTCCTGAAGTGTACTTCAATATTACTATAGAGACTTTGCCTTTCTTATGGCTGTGCTTGCATATCTGTAACTACTCATAGTACACCTTGCTTTAATATTATAATTCTTTACATCTGATAGAAGAATCTTACAACAAAATGTTTTCATTTACCGTCTTCCAGGTCTTTGTGTTATTTTTGTTACCCACTTTATTTTTATATAAGCTATATATCCCACACCACACTGTTATTATTCTTGTTCTGTTATGAATGAGAAAAGCTTTTCTGTTTAACCATGTATTTATCATTTCTGGCAGTCTTTGCTCCTTTATGCAAATCTAAGTTTCCATCTCGTATTATTTCATTGTTGCCCTTCAGGCTGAAGGGCACACAGACTGCCCTAAAGACCTTCCTTTAGGGCAGGTCTGTGGGCAATGAATTCCCTCAGCTTTTGTTTTTCTGAGAAGCCTATATTTCACCTTCATTTAAAAAATATGCTAGATGTATAGTTCTAGATTAACTGTTTTATTCTTGGGGCATCTTAATTATGTTGTTACATTGGCTTCTGGCTAGCATTGTGCTTGAGAAAAAATGTTGTTCTTATTGTGTCCAGAATTGGTGGGTTCTTGGTCTCACTGACTTCAAGAATGAAGCCGCGGACCTTCGCGGTGAGTGTTACAGCTCTTAACGTGGCGCGTCTGGAGTCTGTCCCTTCTGATGTTCAGATGTGTTCGGAGTTTCTTCCTTCCGGTGGGTTCATGGTCTCGCTGGCTCAGGAGTGAAGCTGCAGACCTTCGCGGCGAGTGTTACAGCTCTTAAGGTAGCGTGTCTGGAGTTGTTCATTCCTCTTGGTGGGCTCGTGGTCTTGCTGGGCTCAGGAGTGAAGCTGCAGATCTTCAAGGTGAGTGTTACAGCTCATAAAAGCAGCGTGGACCCAAAGAGTGAGCAGTAGCAACATTTATTGCAAAGAGCAAAAGAACAAAGCTTCCACAGTGTGCAAGGTGACCCGAGCAGGTTGCCAATGCTGGCTTGGGCAGCCTGCTTTTATTCTCTTATCTGGCCCCACCCACATCCTGCTGATTGGTAGAGCCGAGTGGCCTGTTTAGTCAGGACGCTGATTGGTGCGTTTACAATCCCTGAGCTAGATCCAAAGTTCTCCACGTCCCCATCAGATTAGTTAGATACAGAGTTTCCACACACAGGTTCTCCAAGGCCCCACCAGAGCAGCTAGATACAGAGTGTCGATTGGTGCACTCACAAACCTTGAGCTAAACACAGGGTGCTGACTGGTGTGTTTACAAACCTTGAGCTAGATACAGAGTGCCGATTGGTGTATTTACAATCCTTGAGCTAGACATAAAGGTTCTCCACATCCTCACCAGAGCAGCTAGATACGGAGTGTCGATTGGTGCACTCACAAACCTTGAGCTAAACACAGGGTGCTGATTGGTGTATTTACAATCCCTGAGCTAGATATAAAGACTCTCCATGTCCCCACCAGACTCAGGAACCCAGCTGGCTTCACCTAGTGGATCCCGCACCGGGGCTGCAGGTGGAGCTGCCTGCCAGTCCTGCGCCCTGCACTCGCATTCCTCAGCCCTTGGGTGGTCGATGGGACTGGGCGCCGTGGAGCAGGGGGTGGCGCTCGTTGGGGAGGCTCGGGCCGCACAGGAGCCCACGGAGGGGGTGGGAGGCTCAGGCATGGCAGGCTGCAGGTCCCGAGCCCTGCCCCGTGGGAAGGCAGCCAAGGCCCAGCAGAAATCGAGCGCAGAGCCGGTGGGCCGGCACTGCTGGGGGACCCAGTATACCCTCCGCAGCCACTGGCCGGGGTGCTAAGTCCCCCATTGCCCGGGGCCAGCAGGGCTGGCTGGCTGCTCCGAGTGCGGGGCCCACCAAGCCCACGCCCACCCAGAACTCCAGCTGGCCCGCAAGTGCCGCACACAGCCCCGGTTCCCTCTCCTGTCTCTCCCTCCACACCTCCCTGCAAGCTGAGGGAGTGGGCTCCGGCCTTGGCCAGCCCAGAAAGGGGCTCCCACAGTGCAGTGGGGGACTGAAGGGCTCCTCAAATGCCACCAAAGTGGGAGCCCAGGCAGGGGAGGTGCCGAGAGCAAGCGAGGGCTCTGAGGACTGCCAGCACGCTGTCACCTCTCATTATCATTACTGCCTACGTATAATATGCGTTCTTTTCCTTTGCTTCTGAAAATGGCCCAATTGTCCCACGGAACTGATGTTTATGGCTTCTTTTGCATAAACATAGAAATTGACCCTCCCATTCTTAAAACTTGAGAAAGTTACATTTGTCTTATCTGAGGTCCTCTCTCAGAAAACCAACCATCAGTTCTTCCAGATAGTATCAAAGTACTGAAACTTACCAGATCACTGCATCTGGACAATGAGACACCAGACCTCTCACCCACTATGATTGCCTAACCAACCACCTGCTTTCTGTTGACCAACTCCTTTTCCTTACCCCTCCCTAATTTCTGTTTTCCCACACATGGTTACATTTCTTCCTTGCTATATAAGCACCTAATTTTAGTCACGTGAGACGGATTTGAGACTGATCTGCCATTCTCCTTGGCTGCAACACTTGAATAAAGCCTTCTTTTCTGGCGATACTCACTGTTCCAGTAATCAGCTTTCTATGTGGCAAGCAAAAGTACCTGGACCAAACCCCTGGCATTTCGGTAACACTTCTTTCAAAACTTTCTGTTTACCTTGGTTTTCATCAAGCTTAATATGATGCTTCTAGGTGTGATTTTCCTTGTGTGTATTCTGCTTGGGTTTGTTGAGCTTCTTGGACTTCTGGATTAATTTTTTAAACCAAATTTAGAAAACTTTTAGTCATTTCTTCAAATATTTTGTGGGCCTAATCTCTCTCCTCTCCTTCTAGGACTCCAAGTACTCCTATATCAAACCATTTGATGTTTTCCCTCAAGTTACTGAAGATATGTTTGCTTTTTCAGTATTTTTTTCTTTCTCTTCTTCCATTTGCATAGTATCTATTTTTCTGTTTTCAAGTTCACTGATTTTTACCCAGTTCCCACTCTATTGTTAAGCTCATCCAGTGAATTTTAAATTTCAAATATTGTAGTTTTCAGTTCTTGTATTTCCATTTTGTTTTCTTAAAAAATATTTTTATCTTTTTTGTTGAGATGTTCCATATGTTTACTCATTGTCTGCCTTTTTCTTTATGTCCCTAAATTTGTTTATATAAACTTTTAAAAGTCTTTGTCAGCTAATTGAAGCATGTATATTTTCCTGGGGTGTGCTTCTATTGACTTTTTCTCCCTCCTGATTAGAGTTCACATTTTCCTGCCTTTTTGCATGTCTTAAAAATTTCTATTGTGTTCTGGACATTGTGGCTGTTAATATCGTTGAGAGTTTACATTATGTTGACTCCCCTTAAAACATGTTGAGTATTGTTTTAACTGACAATTACTTTAGCGGTGACTTTGCTTTATTATATCAAGTCTTGGTTTTAGTCTTTATTTGGATGGTGATAGAGAATCTGCACTTTTAAGTTATGGCCTTTTTGGAATCTCAACTGAATTTTCAGGTGCTCAGTGAGATCATGTCACTCTGGCTGATCAGAACTCTAAGAATCACCCATTCCTGTGTCACCTCCATAATCTATTTATCTCAAAGATGAATCGAATCTCTGTTCATTTTATAGCTCAATAGCTCTTCTCTGTGAGGCCTTGTGGAGTCTCATGCTGCCATGAACAGTTTATTATTTGGCCAAAGACTTAAGAGGGCCCCAGTGCAGATTTCTGGGGTTCCTTCTCTGTACAATTCTCTCTCCTTGCTTCTGTGCTCCAAAAATTCCATTTGCCTCAGTAGCTCTGAATTTCATTTATGCGTGTGTTTCCTTTTTTTTTTTTTTTTCAAGGAAATAACTGCTCTCTCCTTGGGCTCCCTTCCCTACGTTAACATTTTGGAAGTGCCCACAGATGCCTTGGGTACCAGAATGAATGCACAGTTTACTTCATGTGTTTTATGTTTCCTTTCAGGGATCACAGATCCATACTATCTGTGGTTCAGAACATTAAATGTCTCTTTATATATAAAAAGGATAGTAATTTTAATACCCATTATTCTATCATGACCAGAATCAGAAAGTTTTCAAAAGTTAGTTTAAACATCTCTAATGTATATTCTCTATCATATTATTATATCATATATGTAGTTCTTCCATCACTGTGGATTACAGTTGTCCCTTGGTATTCAAAGGATTGGCTCCATGACTCCTTGTGGGTATGAAAATCTTCAGATGCTTGAATTCATTACATAAAATGATGTAGCATTTGCATTTAACCTATGCACATCCTTCTATATACTTTAAATTATCTTTAGGTTACTTATAGTACCCAATACAATATAAATGCTATGTAAATGGTTGTTATAGTGTACTTTTACATTTTTTATTATTTTTAGAGTTGTATTGTTATTTTTATATTTATTTTTTTCAAATATTTTTGATCTGCAGTTGGTTGAACCCGAGGATACAAAGAACCAACTGAATTTCCTCATGTCTTATAATTTTGGGTTGTGAAGTAATCATTAACAGAATTTTACCTATGGGAATTCTATACAGTGTAGGTTGAGGACATATTCTTCCAGGTTATTTTGTCTTCTCTTCTTCCAAGAGCCCCATGAGTATTACTGGAAATTTATACATTGATTTCTTATATTATTTACTTTTTAAAAGTTAACATCAAGCCCAGGTAAAGGAGAGAGCTGTGTTTTTAGTCTTAGTAGAGAGATTTTATTTTTCTACCTCTACCCAACAATATCAAGCATATGAAAAGAAGTATAATATCAGTAGTATTTAAGGAAATGAAAAGTAAAACCACTGTAAATAGCACTAAAATCATCATGGTGACTAAAACTGGAGAGCTTGATTATGACCAATAGCTGTTAGGAATGTGAAACAATGAGAACTCTTATTTCTTCCTTCAGTGTGATTTGTACAATCATGTTGGATAATTGGCTGGCATTATGTGGTAAACCAAAACATTTGCCTATCCAATAGTTCATCAATTCTATGACTAGGGGAATATCTAAGAGAAATAAATGCATACATCTATCAAAAGATAGTAGTTGGATAATTAAAATGTTTTATATTCATACAGTGTGGTACCATGCAAACCCTGAAATGGCCTGAATGAAATAATATAGAGCAATGAGAACAAATAAATCACTGCTGCATGAAACAACAGAGATGAATATAAGAGAAATAATACTGAGCACCCCAAAAAGCCAGACATTTTAAAAATATGTTAAATTATTATATTTTGATAAAATCCAAATGGTCATAAAAGTTGGAAAAGTAGTTATTTCTGGGGTCCTGTGTAGGAGTAGGAATTGACCATATAGGAGTATACTAAGGCCTTCTGTAATGCTGGAGATGTTCTATATCTTGATCTAGGTGGTGGTCACACAGATATACACATGTGTGAAAATTCACTGAGCCCTATGCTTGAGATGTATGCCAAGCCTCAGTAAAAAAAATTTTCTAAGTAGGTATTATGCAACAATCTTTAACAAGTAAAATCTATCTCTAATCTTTAAAAATATGAATTAAACTATTTTAATTTAACTTTGAATGTGAAATCAAAATATTTTAAAATTCCTCCTCACATTGTTAATTAAAGGATGGATCTTCTTATACAATCAAAGCAAAAACCGATTCCTTTAAGCAAATTAGACACAACTACTTTTATGCCTCTCCCAAAGTTTTATATTTAGGGCTTTTGCAGTCTGCAGGAACTAAATTCAATTTCGTACTTGAAAATCTTTCCCCTGCCAGATGCAGATTCTGCTGTTTGCCACTGATAATTTAAAGGTGCTAAATTCAGACACTTTCAAACTATGTTTCTCTAGAGATCACCCTTCTTTCTATACATGAAGCAATTAAAAATAAGCTCCTATTCTGTTGCTGCTAGCCCTTAGATATCAAAGTGGAAAAGTTGGAAATTAGATATTTTATAGGGTCAGGGAAAGAGTGGCTTTCGCCAGGAATTGCGCTAAGTTTAATTTATGTTAGATGAAAGATTCATTTTTGAAGCTTCTTGGGATCTGTGATATTTGATGATATTTTACTTTTTATTGCACTCTATCTGGGATGATTCCAAAAATTTCTTAGTACAGTTTTAAACAGTATCCATTCTTGAAAGTTTTTACCTGCTTTTATTGAATCAGAAAAAGTCAAAGTTCTTTTCCTTATCAACCATTTCTAAATTAACTCCATATTTAAAAGCTGGAATTAATTTGAAAGTAAAAAAGGACAGCATCCACAGTGTACACCTATTGCTTTGTCTTCACAGCATGGCCATTCTTTTGGAAACATGCCCCTGTTTCTGAGAACTGTTCCTCCCCCTCTGCCATGCAGTTCCCATCCAATATCCTCTCATGACTCCACCCTCTAGTCATATTTGCTTGTCCCAGAAGTAGCATCTAATTCAAGTGGGTCCTCTAACCTATTTATCTATCCATCTATTTATTTATTTACAGTTATTTTTGCATTGTGGCTGAGAAATAAATCCACTTCTTCCCAGTGGTTGGATTAATGAGAAATACTGCTCAAGAATTGTTGGTGACCATATTTCACACCAAAGCCAATACAAAGATGAGCATATATCTTATATCCTGTATAGTCTTTTCTTATTAAGCCCAAAGGACTTCCTGACCATTTGCCACATGCTAACACATTCTTGATCTGGTAAAATATGGGATGGTAAACTGTCAAAAGGAAAGGAAGGTAAAGAAATACCTAGGTTGCTCAACTTCCTTGAGATTATTTTATATTACCACAAAGGAAGACAGTGAATGAATGAATGAATGAATGTGATATTCTTGCACATAACTTTTTGCTGCTAATTTGAAATATTTCTTTAGAGAGTAGAAAAAGCCTTAAGTGAAGAAAGAGAAGCTGCAATTTGATGTTATCATTATCCATCATCTTGGACATAAGAGGGATGTAGGTTACTTTGGGGAAGAAGCACTGACAGGTTTGTACCAATGGCGCTTCATGGTGGATAAACTTTTTATTTTTCCCTCCTAATATTGGAGTGGAGGGTGACCCCCATATATGATTGCCCTTTGAAACAACTAAAGGATGGATACATCACCAGCCCAGAACCAATAAACAATGAAGGGTAACATTAAAGTTTTACCCAATGGTATCTTGCGTAGAAAGGTGTTGAATTTGGTCTAAAACCTCTTCTGATGGATATCTCTAACTTTCTAAACCTTGTCCTTATGACCTTCTTAAAGAAATCTGTTAGTTAATCTTGTTAACCCAGTTAAGATAAAAGGATTCTCTACTAATCTTTAGTCAACAATTCCCCTAAAGTATAAATATCCTGGTGTCATTTGCAGAAAGTCTGAGTAAATTCAGAATTCTCATAGGTAGGAAATATGAGAATGTGATTGGGAGCCTGGAAGTCATGCATGATTGGGCGCTTGTTGCTGAATCTCTGACATCTGGCTCAGTGCCTGGTGTGTAGGTGCTTAATAAATATTTGTTGAATGTATGAATCAATGGGTTTCATTTTGAAACATGGACCAGTAGTCTAGCCATTAAGTCGTTTTTCCATTTTTTATCCTTTGTGTTTGGTGATCTGTACAAAATTTTTAAAGGTAGGGTTGTTTGAACATTTTTTCCGAAATTTTTCTGAAAAGAAAAAGGTCCACTTTGCCCGTTAAGCAGAAAAGATCTGAGTGGCATTCTTTAGGAGGGCCTTATGTGTATTACAATTCTTGCACCCCCTAATGGCCATATATGGGATCACACTTCAGAATAAGAAAGAAACCAAGTTGGAAATAGGACCATATTTTCAAAAAATATTGTAATCTGGACCCTGAACCCGGGCAAGTACAGTAAAAAAGATGCTCTTTTTCAGAACTTGTGTGTTTTTTGATGACCACCAAGAAGGGACAGATTATCTATATGACTGAATAAGCTCCCTGTGAACTTAAGGATGAGGTCAACAATGCTCACAACACAAATTAACAGAAGCAATCTTTTATAGCCTATCTTTGCAAATCAGAAAGTCTAGAAGACCCCATTTAATAGATTTTGGAAGAGCCAATTTAAAGTTTGGTTCCTAGCATTTGGAGAAGTGGCACTGTCAGCCTCAGCAATCTTTCTAGCGCACCAGGAAAAAATGCAACTTGTTTGGATAGAGCAAGAGTATGGTGGAAATTAGTTGACATTTTCCCATTTCAGATTTTGCCTCCCCCCCTGGCCCCATTCTCCCTGGGTTTTTGTTTAGAAGTAAAACTTTTAAAAGTCATATCTTTTCTGCAATCCACCTCAGGCTGTCTTGATAGTTATTATGGAAGTGAGTAAGGGGTCTACAGAGAAAGGTCAATTAGTAGACAAACTTCTGAAAAGGCTGAACCAAAAATACAGCAGGCTGAATCCAAATGTATATATCTACCCCTCACAAACCTCATAAAGGTGAGAGTTAAAAAATAGGAAGACCACCAACTTATAAAAAGAAGAATAGGAGATTAGTCAAAACTGGAGATTAGGCCGGCGTGGTGGCTCACGCCTGTAATCCCAGCACTTTGGGAGGCCGAGGTGGGTGGATCACTTGAGCTCAGGAGTTTGAGATCAGCCTGGCCAATATGGTGAAACCCCGTCTCTACTAAAAATACAAAAATTAGCTGGGTATGGTGGCCTGCGCCTGTAATCCCAGCTGCTCAGGAGACTGAGGCAGGAGAATCGCTTGAACCTGGGAGGCGGAGGTTGCAGTGAGCTGAGATCCCGTCACTCTACTCCAGCCTGGGCGATAGAGCGAGACTCCGATTCAAAAACAAAAAAACAGGCCGGGCACGGTGGCTCCTGCCTGTAATTCCAGCACTCTGGGAGGCCAAGATGAGTGGATCACTTGAGGCCAGGAGTTCAAGACCAGCCTGGCCAACATGGTGAAACACCATCTCCACTAAAAATACAAAAATTAGCCGAGCGTGGTGGTGGGCATCTGTAATCCCAGCTACTCGAAGGCTGAGGTGGGAGGATCTCTTGAATCTGGGAAGCAGAGGTTGCAGTGAGCCAAGATTGCGCCACCACACTCCAGCCTGAGTGACAGCGAGACTCCATCTCAAAAAAGAAAACAAAACAAAACAACAACAACAACAAAAATCTGGAGATTTTACAAATTTCCATAAATTTCAAAAGGCCAAAAGTGAAACGGTTACCTGATAACTGACTTAGCTAACCAGGTAAAGCATAAACCTGGTGCTGGAGATGGTAAAGGCAACAAGAAACATGTGTGAACTGTGACCCCAGAACCCAAAGAAGACACATGAATTAGAAACACGAATTACTTCTAAAGAAGTGAAGGTCTCTGTTGGGTGAATGTGAAAAAAAAAGATACAGTGATAGTTTAATAGCTGGTAGAATCTATCCATCAGCTCCCCTACTGCAGGGAAATCAGTGGTGTCCTGGCAAGAGAAAAGGAGAATTACTTTCTGGAAAGCCTTGCATAGCTGAGGTGAGATGTTGTGCAGAGAAAATTGGCCTCCATTCTGGATGATGAAACTTTGTGGGCCTCATTCACTATCTGATACTGAAATACTGATGGTCAGACATACGCATCTCAGAAAGGAGAGTGGAAGACTACTCTCTGGGGATACTGACCTTTAAATCTGTCTAAGCACATTACTTGTATTCAAATAAAATTAAACTAAAAGAAAGAGGGAGAGAGAGTTGATACATGACTCATCAGGAAGTTCAGCTCTAGTTACAATTTATAGCAAGCTACCTAGATAGTCTATGTTACTGTGGCTAAAAAGGTTGTGAGATGGGTGTGGGAGGATAGTCAGCTTTTTTGTGGGGGCTCCAGAGGTCCTCAGTAAGAACAGTCCTCTGACTATGCTTATATAAGAAGTTTAACTTCCTCTGGGTTAATTCTTTGGGAGGCAAGAATAAGGAATTTATGATAGCCCCAATTTTGTAGAAAAGGGGAACAACTCTTTTCATGGGAAATCCAAGAAGGAGGGATTGGGTATGTTCAAGGAAAATTCTCCAAACACATATCTATCTTTAGAGCACTCAAGGGTAGGGGTCCTGAATGTCCTGTTTTATTAACTTTGTAGTAACATGAAATACATGGCTTCTTATGTCTCTCCCAGAAATTTATGTCCCACTCTCTTAGCAGCTTTCAATAGAGGGAAGGTATAGCAGACCTTGTTAATGCCCCCCCAAATTCTCTTTACCATCTGGGACAGCCATTCCCTGTTTCTGAAAGATTGCACACATATGAGGTTCACACATGTGAGCTCTCCAGATTGCCCTTGGTTGACAAAAGCTGCCTTGCCAAGCCAGCGGCCTATCCAGTTAAATCCCCACCCACCGAGGGATGGGGTCTGAATGGGCTATGTGTCATTCTCCTTGAGAACACTTAGCCTTTATCCTGGAACTTTCTATCAAGGCTCCTTAAATGTCAAATTACTCAAAAAGATGCTTTAAGAAACCACTCCTGGCCAGGCGAGGTGGCTTACACCTGTAATCTCAGCATTTTGGGAGGCCGAGGCAGGTGGATCACCTGAGGTCAGGAGTTCGAGACCAGCCCGACCAACATAGTGAAACCCCGTTTCTACTAAAAATACAAAATTAGCCGGGCGTGGCGGTACATGCCTATAATCCCAGTTACTCAGGAGGCTGAGGCAGAAGAATCGCTTGAACCTGGGAGGCAGAGGTTGCAGTGAGCCCAGATCACACCATTGCACTCCAGCCTGGGCCATAAGAGCGAAACTCCATCTCAAAAAAAAAAAAAAAAGAAAGAAAGAAAGAAACCACTCCTGAGGCAGGTGACATCAGCAAGATGGCAAAATAGGAGACTCTGGACTCTCAGACAAAATAGACTTTAAGTCAAAACCTGTCTCCAAAGACAAAGTTCATTATATATTCATAAAAGGGCCATTTCAACAGAAAGATTGTAAATATATATGCACTCAACATCAGGGCACCTAAATATATAAAGCAAATATTGGCAGAGCTAAATTAGGGAGAAACTGACAGCCACAAAATAACAGTAGGAGACTTTGTTACTCCATTTGAAATAATGGATAGAACATCCAGACAGGAAATCACCAAAGAAACAGTATATTTGAACAACGCAATAGACCAAGTCAATTTTACAGACACATACAGAACTTTCCTCTCAACAGCAAGAGAATGCACATTCTCAAGTGCACACAGAACATTCTCCAGGATAGATCACATGTGAGTTCACAAAACCAGTACTAATACATTTAATAAGACCACAGTCAAACCAAGTATTTTTTCTGACCGCAGTGAAATAAAACTAAAAATCAATAGCAGTAAGAAAATGGGAAAATTCACAAATATGTGGAAACTAAACTGAACAACACACTCATAAACAACCATTTAGTAAACAGGAAGTCAAAAAAGGAGTTTAAAAATATCTCCAGGCAAACAAAAATAAAGACACAGTATACCAAAACTTATGGTAAAGCAAAGACAGCACTTAGAGGAAGGTTGATCACAATAAACACCTACATTTAAAAAGAGAAAGACCTCAAATAAACAAACTAAATTTATACCTCAAGGAATTAGAAAAAGAAGAATAAGCCCACAGCTAACAGAAGGAAGGAAATAACGATTAGAGCAGAAATAAATTGAAATACAGACTAGAAAAACAATAGAAAAAATAAACACAACTAAGTTTTAAACACAGATAAACAAAATCAACAAACTCTTAGCTAGCCTAAGAAAAGAGAGAAAACTAAAATAAATAAGTCAGAAATGCAAGAGGACACATTACAATGGATGCTTCAGAAATTAAAAGAATCATAAGGAACTATTATTAACAGTCATATGCCAACAAATTGTATAACCTAAAAAAAAAATTTCTAGAAACATACAACGTATCAAGACTGAATCAAGAAGAAATAGAAAGCCTGAACTGACCAATAACAAATAAGATTGACTCAGTAATCAAAATGCTCCAAACAAAAACCAAAAAACAGCAGCCCATGACCAGATAGTTTCACAGGTGAATTCTACAAAACACTTAAAAAAATTAATTCTAATCCCTCTTAAACTCTTCCAAAAAATAAAAAGGATAGAATACTTCAAACTCATTTTATGAGGCCACATTGCCCTTATAACAAAGCTAGACAAAGATACCATAAGAGAACAAAACTACAGGCTAATATCCCTAATGAAGACAAATGCAAAAGCCCTCAACAAAATAATAGCAAACCAAATTTAACAGCACATTAAAAGAGTTATTCACGGCTGGGCACGATGGCTCACGCCTGTAATCCCAGCACTTTGGGAGGCTGAAGCGGGCGGATCACGAGGTCAGGAGATCAAGACCATCCTGGCTAACACGGTGAAACCCCGTCTCTACAAAAAAAAAAAAAATTAGCCAGGTGTTGTGGCGGGCGCCTGTAGTCCCAGCTACTCGGGAGGCTGAGGCAGGAGAATGGTGTGAACCCGGGAGGCGGAGATTGCAGTGAGCTGAGATCACACCACTGCACTCCAGCCTGGGCGATAGAGCAAGACTCCGTCTCAAAACAAACTAACAAAAACAAAAGGGTTATTCACCATGACCAAGTGGGTTTTAGCTTTGAGATTCAAAGCTGATTTAATATACACACATCAATAAATATGACAAACCACATTAACAGAATAAAAGAGAACACCACACGATTATCTTAATAGATGCAGAAAAAGCATTTGACAAAATTTAACATCTAGTCATGATAAAAACTCTCAGTACAGGGAACGAAGAAACTTACCTCATCACAATAAAGACCATATGTGAGAAGTTCACAGCTAACATCAGAATCAGGAAACTTGAGCCTATTCCACTAAAATATGGTACAGGGCAAGGATGCCCACTCTCACTACTTCTATCAAACAAATTCTAGCCAGAGCAATTAGACAAGAAAAAGAACTAAAGGGCATTCAAATCAGAGAGGAAAAAGTAAAGTTATCTCTGTTTGCAGATGACATGATCACATATATAGAAAACCCTAAAGATTCAACAACAACACCAAAAATTATTAGAACTAATGAACAAATTTAGTAAGGTGCAGGACACAAAATTAATATACAAAAATCAGTGGTATTTCTATATGCTAACAAGAACTATTCAAAAGAAAATTAAGAAAAAAATCCCATTTATAATAGCAACAAAATTAATAAAATACTTAATGGTAAACTTAACCAACAAAGTGAAAGGCTTGTACACAGAAAATTGCAAATCATTGATGAAGGACATTAAAGAAATAAATGGAAAGACATCTCGGGTTTGTAGATAGGAAGGATTAAAATTGCTATAATATTTATGCTAACCAAAGTAATCTACAGATTTAATGTTTTTCCATCAATGGCATTCCCTACAGAAAATGAAAAAAATCCTAAAATTTATATTAATACACAAACTAAAACCTTTGAATAACCAAAGCAAACTTGAACAAGACAAAGTTGGGTGATATTATGACCTAATGTGTCTATAAATATTTGTATACATATTTCAATGAAGATTTGGGATATTTCTGCTTACTATATATTTAGGAGTAGCATTTGTGGGTCATAGGACAATTTCAGTAATTTTTAATTCTAGAATTTATATTTGAATCTTGTTTATGCATTCCAGTTTTTTGTGAAATTCTCTTTTCTTCAACATATTATTTACACAATTTTAAAGTGCTACTAACTGGCTCATTTGTGAAGCTGCCTTTTAAAATGTTTTAATTTTTATTTTTGTTTTTATTTTTATTTTTTGTTGGAACATAGTAGGTGTTTATATGTATCAGGTACATGAGATATTTTGATATAGGCATATGATGCATAATAATCACATCAGGGTAATGAGGTATCCATCAACTCAAGCATGTACCCTGTCTTTGTGTTATAAATAATCAAATTATAATCTTTTCGTTATTTTTAAATGCACAATAAATTATTATTGACTGTATTCACCCGGTTGTGCTATCAAATGCTAGATTTTGTTCATTTTATCTCATTATAATTTCATACTCATTAACCATTCCCACTATCCTCCACCCCCAACTATGGATCTCAGCCTCTGGTAACCATAATTCTACTCTCTACCTCCATGAGTTCAATTGTTTTAGTTTTTAGCTCCCACAAATAAGTGAGAACATCTAAAGTTTTTCTATGCCTGGCCTATTTCACGTAACATAATGACCTCCAGTTTGATCCATGTTGTTGCAAATGACAGGATCTCATTCTTTTTATGGCTGTATAGTGCTCCACTGTGTGTATGTACCCTATTTTCTTTTCTTTTCTTTTTTTTTTTTTTGAGATGGAGTCTTGCACTGTCGTCCAGGCTGCAGTGCAGTGAAGCTATCTCGGCTCACTGCAGGCTCCGCCTCCCAGGTTCACACCATTCTCCTGCCTCAGCCTCCCAAGTAGCTGGGACTACAGGCTCCCGCCACTACGCCTGGCTAATTTTTTGTATTTTTAGTAGAGATGGGGTTTCACCATGTTAGCCAGGATGGTCTCGATCTCCTGACCTCATGATCTGCCCACCTTGGCCTCCCAAAGTGCTGGGATTACAGGTGTGAGCCACTGCGCCCGGCCTTGAATTAGGCCTTCTTAATTCATTCTCCATGTCCCAACCCTTCTTACTTATCTACTCATCTGCTGATGGACACTTCAGCTGCTTCCAAATATTGGCCATTGTGAACAGTGCTGCAATAAACATGAGAATGCAGATATCTCTTCAATATACTGATTTCCTTTCTTTGAGGTATATACCTAGCAGTAGGATTGCTAGATCATATGGAAGTTCTATTTTTAATTTTTTGAGGAACCTCCAAACTGTTCTCCATGTTGTTGTACTAATTTACATTCTCACCAACTGTGTACGAGGGCCCCCTTTTCTCCACATCCTCCCCATTGCCTGTCTTTTGGATAAGAGCCATTTTTAAAACTGGAGTGAGATAATATCTCATTGTAGTTTTTATTTGCATTTTTCTGATGATAATGATGTTGAACACCCTTTCATATACCTGTTTGCCATTTGTATGTATTCAGATATTTTGTCCTTTTAAAAATCAGATTACTAGATTTTTTTTTTTTTTCCTATTGAGTTGTTTAAGCACCTTATATATTCTGGTTATTAATTGCTTGTCAGATGGATAGTTTGCAAATATTTTCTTCCATTCTATGCATTGTCTCTTCACTTTGTTGATTGTTTCTGTTGCTGTGCAGAAGCTTTTTAACTTTATGTGATCTCATTTGTCTATTTTTGCTTTGGTTCGCTTTGCTTGTGGGATATTACTCAAGAAATCTTTGCCTAGTCCATTGTCCTAGAGAGTTTCCCCAATATTTTCTTGTAGTAGTTTCATAGTTTGAGGCCTTAGATTTAAGTCTTTAATCCACTTTGATTTTATTTTTGTATATGGTGAGACAGGGGGTCTAATTTCACTCTTGAATACAAACGTCCAGTTTTCTCAGCACCATTTATTAAAGAGACTGCCTTCCTTCAATGTATGTTCTTGTCACCTTTGGCAAAAATGAGTTCGCTGTAGGTGTGTGGATTTGTTTCTGGGTTCTGTATTCTGTTCCATTGGTCTATGTGTCTGTTTTTATGCCAGTGCTATGCTTTTTTTGGTTACAATAGTTTTGTAGTATAATCTGAAGTCAGGTGTAATGTGATTCCTCCAGTTTTGTTCTTTTTGCTTAGCTTTGGCTGTTCTGGATCCTTTATGGTTCTGTATAAATTTTAGGATTGTTTTTTCTATTACTATGTAGAATGTCACTGGTATTTTGATAGGGATTGAATTGAACCTGCAGATTGCTTTGAGTAGTATGGACATTTTAACAATATTGATTCTTTCAATTCATGAACATAAAAGATCTTTCCTTTTTTGTGTGTCCTCTTTGATTTTCTTCATCAAGATTTTAGAGTTTTTATTGTAGAGATCTTTCACTTCTTTGGGTTAGTTAATTGCTAATTATTAAATTATATTTCTAGCTAATGTAAATTGAATTATTTTCTGGATTTTTTTCAGAGTGTTCACTCTTGGCATATAGAAATGCTACTGATTTTTGTATGTTGATTTTGTAACCTTTACTGACTCTGTTTATAAGTTCTGATAGATTTTTGGGAGAGTCTTCAGATTTTTTCAAATATAAAGTCATATCATCTGCAAACAAGGATAATTTGATTTATTTCTTTTCCAACTTGGATGCCCTTTACTTCTGTCTCTTGTCTGTTTCCTTTAACTAGGACTTCCACTATCCTATTGCATAACAGTGGTAAAAGTGGGCATCCTTGTTCTCCAGATTTTATAGGGTTGAGGTATGTTTCTTCTATACCCATGTTTTTGAGGATTTTTATCATAAAGGTATGTTGAATTTTATTAGATGCTTTTTCAGCATGAATTGAAATGATCATATGTTTTTGTCCTTCATTCCATTGATATGATGTATGACATAGATTGATTTGCACATGTTGAACCATCCTTGCATCCCAGGGATAAACCCTACTTGGTCATAATGAATGATCTTTTGAATTCAGTTTGCTAGTATTTTGTTGAGGATTTTTGCATCAATGTTTATCAGGGATATTGGCCTGTTGTTTTCTTTTTTTGATGTGTCTTTGTCTCCTTTTGATATCAAGGTAATACTGGCCTTGTAGAATGAGTTTGGAAGTATTCTTTCCTCCTCTATTTTTCTGAATAGTTTGAGTAGGATTGGTATTAGTTCTTCTTTAAATGTTTGGTAGAATTCAACAGTGAAGCCATCAGATCCTAGACTTTTCTTTACTAGGAGACTTTTTATTACAGTTTTTATGTCATTACTTGTTATTGGTGTGTTCAGGTTTTGGGTTTCTTCATGGCTCAATCTTGGTATGTTGTATGTGTCTAGGAATTTACCTATTTCTTCCAAACTTCCCAATTTATTGGCATATAGTTGTTCAATGCCTCTAGTGATCCTTTGAATTTCTGCAGTATCAGTTGTAAAGTCTCCCTTTTCATTTCTGACTTTATTTATTTGGATTTTCTCCCTTTTGTTCTCAGTCTTGCTGAAGGTTTGTCAATTTTGTCTATCTTTTCAAAACACTTAATTTTTTATTTTATTTATTTATATTATTGTCTGCTTCATTTCAATTTTATTTCTGCTCTGTTCTTTATTATGTATTTTCTTCCACTAATTTTGAGTTTGTATTGTTCTTGCTTTTCTAGTTTTTTAAGATGCATTATTAGGTTGTTTATTTGAAGTCTTTCTACTTTTTTAATGTGAGTACTTATAGCTATACACTTTCCTTTGAGTACTGCTTTTGCTATATCCCATAGGTTTGGTATGTTGTGTTTCCATTATCATTTGCTTTAAGAAATTTTTCAATTTCCTTCTTAATTTCTTCATTGACCTACTGGTCACTCAGGAGCTTATTGTTTAATTTCCATGTGTTTGAGAAATGGGAAAAGTTCCCTTGTCCCCCTTGAAGGACATGCAATGGGGTGTGGCTTGCTCAGACCTCTAGGGAAGGCTATAGATGGGCAGGCTGTGTGGCTCCAACCCCATGGCAGTGTCTAGGGGTGAATGTTTACCCCTGAAGCCCCAGGGGGTGTGTGTTACAGGGTGCTCTTTTAGTTTGCCATGTATAGGCGGCTTGTGTTAACCAGCTCAATTAAACCTCTACCTTGTGGCAAGGACAGAGGGCTTTCTGTATCCCGGGTTCTTGCCTTGGTGTACCGGAAGAATCAGATCACACATGGGTTTGGAGAATGAGTGCAAAGTTTTATTGAGTGGAAGTAGCTCTCAGCCGATGGGGGAGCCAGAAGGGAGATGGTTTTTCCCTGGAGTTGGGCTGACTGTCCTGGCCAAACTCCATCTCATGTGCTGGTTGATGGCCTGCCCGCATGCTCGTGTCTGTCATTGTGCTCTTCTGCCAGCCTGCTCCCCTCGACATCCTCTTGATGTCTAGCTGCTTGTCTTCTTCTGCCTGTGTGTTCCTCTCACCGTCCAGTATTTTTTTTTTCCTTCAGCACTTTAAATATGTCATGCTACTCTCTTGACCTATAAGGTTTCCACTGAGAAGTCTGCTGCTGCATGTATTGGAACTCCATTGCATGCTATTTGTTTCTTTTCTCTTGCTGCTTTTAGAATCCTTTTTTTATCTTTGACCTTTGGAAGTTCCATCATTAAATATCTTGAGATAGTTCTATTTGGGTTAAGTCAGCCTGGTGTTCTGTACCCTTCTTGTACTTGAATACTGATATCTTTCTCTAGGTTTGGGAAGTTCTCTGTTCTTATCTTGTTGAATAAACTTTCTACTCCTATCACTCTCTTTTTTTCCATTTTAAGGCCAATAACTCATAGATTTCCCCCTTTGAGGCAATTTTCTGGATCTTGTAGGCCTGTTTTATTCTTTTTTCTTTTATCTTCTCTGATTGTGTGTTTTCAAGTAGCCTGTCTTCAAGCTCACTAATTCTTCTGCTTCATGAATTTGCTAGTAAGAGACTGATGCATTCTTCAGTATGTCAATTGCATTTTTCAACTCCAGAATTTCTGCTTGATTCTTTTTAATTATCTTGGTTTCCTTTCTTGATTCTTTTTAATTATTTCAACTTTCTATTAATTTATTTAATAGAATTCTAAGTTCCTTCTGTGTGTGTTATCTTGAATTTCTTTGAGTTTCCTCAAAACAGCTATTTTGAATTCTCTGTGCATAAAGCTACATACTCCTGTCTCTCCAGGATTGGTCCCTGATGTCCTATTTAGTTCATTTGGAGAGGGCATATTTTTCTGAATGGTGTTGATGCTAGTAGATGTTCTTCAGTGTCTGGGTATTGAAGAGTTAGGCATTTATTGTCGTCTTTGCAATCTGAGCTTGTTTGTACCTGTCTTTCTTGGGAAGGATTTGTGGGTATTCAAAGGAACCTGGGTGTTGTGATCTAAGTTTTTGGTTACTGCAGCTATATCTGCACTAGGGGACTGCATAAGCCCAGTAATATTGTGGCTCTTGCAGGCTTGAAAAGGTCCTGCCTTGGACTAAATTCTATTACAGTTTATAAAGAAAGAAAAAAAATATTAGGCTGGTGCAAAAGTAATTGCAGTCTTTGCCATTACCTTTAATGTTTTAATTGCATTGTTTTTATGCAATTAAATAGTTAACATCACAAACCGACACTCTTCTAAGTACTCCACAACAGTTTTACAATGTCAGTACTTTTATTATTCCCATTTTGCAGATGAAGAAACAAGCAGAGCAGGTTTGAATTACTCACCCCAGCTCACAAAACTTAAGCAAGGTCACATAGCAAGCGGTGGGGCTGTGTTTTAACCCAGTTCTTTTTGCCCCAGTGTCTGTCCTCTTGGCTGCCAAGATGCACTGCCAGACCATAACTGATCTGTTTTATCTACTGTTGTGAAGAAAGCCCAACTAAATATACAGCATTAGAAACAATACCAATCATAAAATAACAAATAGATTGTTAATGACAGGACATTACTGTAGTAATAAAGTTGGAAATCTAGAAGAAATTGATACATGACAGTGACAGCAACTCTTGTCTGGGAACCCCTCATTTGTATGAATTTCTGGGAACTCTTATTTTTCATTGTGCTACACTCTCTGGTCATATTTGATTAGTACATGGATGAGTTTATAACTCAAACTGGATTGATCAAAATACATTCATTCTGATGAGCATAGTTAATTCGTGCAGACACCTGGATCAACCTAGATATCACTGAGTCCTTTTTCTAAGAATATAAAACTTGAAGCCAATAAGTTTCTTTAGTTTCTCTCTGGTGCCTGACATCTCAAGATGTGAAAATTATAGTGTTGGCATCCATATTCAACATGAAGTGAAAGAAGTTGGCCTACAGTGAAAAGGATAACAAGAACAGATACAAGCAGATTTGAGAGATGAAGACAGCATCCCTGTAGTTTCAAATATTTTGCTTGTCATACTGAGTTTTAGTTGTTCACTTCCTCCATGAACTATACAATTCCATTTTTAAAGCCTGTTGTAGTTGAGTTTCTGTTAGTTTTTTCATAAACAGTCCTAACTATTAGCATTAGTCATTAAATTTTTCTCAAGAGTGTTGAATTTGCTCATAATATTATAATTCCTAAAATTCTACCAAGACAAATTTGTGGAGGGAAAATTTGTTAAAGAGCTACTTATAAGGGCTTCAGGGCTGGGAGTGGTGGCTCATGCCTGTAATCCCAGCACTTGGGGAGGCTGAGGCAGCTGATCACCTGAGATCAGGAGTTTGAGACCAGCCTGGCCAACATGGCAAAACCCCGTCTCTACTAAAAATACAAAAATTAGCCAGGCGTGGTGTCACTCGCCTGTAATCCCAGCTACTTGGGAGGCTGAGGCAGGAGAATCACTTGAACCCGGGAGATGGAGGTTGCAGTGAGCTGAGATTGCGACACTGCACTCCAGCGTGGGCAACAGAGTGAGACTGCATCTCAAAAAAAAAAAGACTTCAGGCCTCACCTTTGACTATATAAAAATGTTTGAGAAACACTTAGTTCCCATATTATTTAAAGTGACACACAAGATTAATTTTAAAAATCTACAAATAATTTTATATAGATACTATAGCATTTATACACTTACATTTTTTATATTATGATTACCTGGTAAATTAACAGCAAAAGGGAACACTGATATATTGATTTCCTTTCTTTTATATACCCAGCAGTGGAATTGCTGGATCATATGGTAGTAATATTTTTAGTTTTTTAAATAACTCCCCCACAATTTTCCATAGTGGCTGTACTAATTTACATTCTCACCAGCAGTGTAGGAGGGCTCCCCTTTCTCTATATCCTCACCAGCATAGTTATTGCCTACATTTTTGGTAAAAGACATTTTAACTGGGGTGAGATGATGTCTCCTGTGGTTTTGATTTGCATTTCTTTGATGATTAGTGACAGTGAGCACTTTTTCATTTACCTATTGGTCATTTGTATGACTTCTTTTGAGAAATATCTATTCAGCTTTTTTGCTCATTTTAAAGTCAGGTTATTTATGTTTGCTGTTGAGTTATTTGAGTTTTTTATACATTCTGGGTATTACTCCACTTTCAGATGGATAGTTTCCAAATATTTTTTCTCATTCTGTGGGTTGTCTGTTCACTTGGTGGAATATTTTTTTCTGCTCTATAGAAGGTTTTTAGTTTGATGTAATCCCATTTGTCAGTTTGTGCTTTGGTCACCTGTACTTGTGGAGTATTGCTCAAGAAATGTGTGCCCAGACTGATGTCCTGGAGATTTTCTGCAATTTTTTCTTCTAGTAGCTTCATAGTTTGAGGTATTAGATTCAAGTCTTTAAAGCATTTTGAGATGATTTTATGTATATTGAGTAATGGGGTCTAATTTCATTGTTCTTCATATAGTTATCCAGTTTTCCCAGCACCACTTATTGAAGAGATTGTTCTTTCCTCATTGTTATGTTCTTGGCACTTTTGTGATAAATGAGTTGGCTGTAAATGCTTGGATTTATATCTAGGTTCTTTATTCTGTTCCATTTGTCTGTATGTCTGTTTTTATGCAATTATCATGCTGATTTGGTTACTCTAGTTTTATAATCTATTAATATTTTGAAGGCAGATAGTATGATGCCTTCAGATTTGTTCTTTTTGCTCAGGACTACTTTGGCTATTTGTGGTCTTAGGGTTCCATATAAATTTTAGTACTTTTTTTTCTAATTGTCTAGAGAGTGTCATTGGTATTTTGATAGGAATTGCATTGAATCCATAAAGTGCTTTGAGTTATATTGCCATTTTAACAATTTTTTTTAATCCATGACCATGGAAAATCTTTCACTTTTTTAGGACATCTTCAATTTCTTATATTGATGTTTTATGGTTTTCCATGCATAGATATTTCATTTGTTTGACTAAATTGATTCCAAGGTATTTTCTAATATTTGTAGCTATTGTAAATGAGATTGCCTTCTTGATTTCTTTTCCAGATTATTTGCTCTTAGTATATCTAAATGCTTCAGATTTTTATATGTTGATTTTGTATTCTACAACTTTACTGAATTTGTTTATTGGTTATAACAGTTTTTTAGTGGAATCTTTAGGTTTTTATGAGTATAAGATTATGTCTTCTGCAGACAAGGCTAATTTGACTTCCTCCTTTGTAATTTGCATGCCCTTTGTTTCTTTCTTTTGCCAAATTGCTCTGGCCAGGACTTCCAGCATTATGTTGAATAAAAATGGTGAAAATAGTCATTCTTATCTTGCTCCAGATCTTAGAGGAAAGGCTTTCACTCTTTTCAGGGCAATGCTTGCTATGGGTTTGTCATACATGGGCTATATTATTTTGAGGCATGTTCCTTCTATACCCACTTTGTTGAAATTTTTTATCATAAAGAGATATTGGATTTTATCAAATTTTTTCCAGCATCTATTGACATAATCATATGGTTTTTGTTCCTGCTTCTGGTAATGGGATGTATCATATTCATTGATTTGCATATGTTGAACCATCCTTGCACCTTTAAAATGAATCCCACTTGATCATGATGAATGATCTTTTAAATGTGTTGGTGCATCTGGTTTATTTGTTGGGAATTTTTGCATCTATGTTCATCAAGGATGTTGGCTTGCACTTTTCTTTTTGTTGTGTCTTTATCTGGTTTTGGTATCAGCATAATGCTGGTCTGGCAGAATGAACTGGGAAGTATTCCCTTCTCTTCAAGTTTTTCTGAACAGTTTGAGTAGAATTGGTATTAGGTCTTTAAATGTTTGGTAGAATTTAGCAGTGAAGCCATCAGGTCTCGGGCTTTGCTTTGATGAGAGACTTTTTATTATTGCTTTGATCTTGTTGCTTGCTATTGGTTTTTTGAGGTTTTCTATTTCTTCATGGTTCAATCTTGGTAAGTTGTATGTGTCCAGGACTTTATTTCTTCTAGGATTTCCAATTTGTAGAAGTATAGTTTCTCATAATAGTCTCGAATGATTCATTGTGTTTCTGTGTTCTCAGTTGTTATATCTCGTTTTTGTTTCTGGTTTTATTCGAGTCTTCCCTCTTTTTTTCAGTTAGTCTAGATAAAACCTTGTCAATTTTATCTTCAAAAAAAACCCCAAATTTTTGTTTTACTGAACTTCTGTATTTTTTGTAGTCTCCATTTCATTTATTTTTGCTGTGAACTTTATTATTTCTTTTTTTCTACTAATTTTGGGTTTGGTTTGTCTTTATTTTTCTAGGTCCTTGAGGTGAATTATTACGTTGTTTATTTCAAGTCTTTCTACTTTTTTGGTGTAGGCATTTATTGCTATAAACTTCCCTCTTACTGCTGCTCTTGCTGAATCCCATAGATTTAGATATGTTGTATTTCCATTTTCATTTGCTTCCAGAAATTATTAAATATATTTCTTAATTTCTTTATTGACCCATTGGTTATTCAGGGGCATATTGTTTAATTTCCATGTGTTTGTGTAATTTCCTAGGTTCCTTTTGTTATTGATTTTTATTTTATTCCATTGTGGTCAGAAAAGTTACTTGATATGATTTCCATTTTTTAAAATGTGTTCAAAATTGTTTTGTGGCCTGTGATGTGGTCTATTCTGGAAAATGTTTCATGTGCTGATGAACGGAATGTGTAATCTGCATCAATTCGATGAAAAGTTCTGTAAATGTCATTTGATCTAGTGTATAATTCAACTCTGTTGTTTCATTGTGAATGATCTGTCTATTACTGAGAGTGGAATATTGAAGTCTTCTACTTTTATTGTATTGTAGTCTACCTCTCAGTTTAGGTCTATTAATTTTTGCTTTATATGCTTGGGAGCTCTGGTATTGGGTGCATAAATATAAAAAGTAATTGTTATATCCTCTTGCTGAATTGATTCCCTTATCATTATACAGTGACCTTCTGTGTCTCTTTTTACAATCTTTGATTTATAGTCTGTTTTATCTGATATAAGTATAGCTATTCCTGCTTTTTTATGGTTTTCTGTGGTGTGGAATACCTTTTTCCATTCCTTCACTTTCAGTCTTTGTGTGTTTTTATAGATGAAGTGGGTTTCTTGTAGATAGCATAGAATGGGTCTTGTTTCTTTATCCATTCATCCCTCTGTCTTTTAATTGAAGAATTGAATCTATTTACATTTCACATTATTGGTAAGTAAGGACTTACTAGGCTGGGTCTGGTGGCTCGCACCTGTAATCCCAGCACTTTGGGAGGCTGAGGCGGGTGGATCACCTGAGGTCTGGAGTTCAAGGAGTTACTACTGCCATTTTGTTGCTTGTTTTCTGGTTGTTTTATAACTCCTTTCTTTCTCTTTGTGGTTAAATGGTTTTCTCTGATAGTATGTTTTAATTTGTTGGTTTTTATTTTTAGTGCATCTATTATAGGTTTTTGCACTGTAGTCATCATGAGGCTTACAGGAAAAAAACTTATAGGTACAACAAGTTATTTTTAAAAGATGACAACTTATTTTAGATTACAAAAACAGAATATAAATAAACAAAGAAACACATGAGGAAAGAAACCTTCACACTTTAACTCCATTCCCCCACATTTTGGCTTTATGGTGTCTCAATGTACATATTTTTATACTACCTACCTCTTAAGTTGCTGTAGCTATTATTGTTTTGGATAGATTTGTCTTTTTGGCATCATACTGGAGTTACAAGTGGTTACAAATCACAATATGGTATTAGAATATTCTGTGTTTGTTCATGTACTTAATTTTACCAGTGGGTTTTATACTTTCAGATGGTTTTGTTTTGCATATTACTGGGCTTTTTTCTTTCAGACTGAATAACTCTTTTTGGAAATTTTGTAAAATGGGTCTGGTGGAGGTGAATTCTCTCAGCTTTTGTTTGTCTTGGAAAGAATTTATCTCTGCTTCACATTTGAAGGACAATGTTGCCAGATAACAATATTCTTGGATGGCGAGTTTTCTTTTTCTTTCAGCACTTTGAAAATGTCATCTCACTCCTTCCTGGCCTGTACTGTTTCCATTGAGAAGTTTGTTGCCAGATGAATTAGAGGCCCTCTAAGTATTATTTACTTCTTTTCTTTTCCTGCTTTTAGTATCCTCTTTTTGTCCTTGACCTTTGAGAACTTGATTATTATATGCATTGAGGTCATTTTATTTAGGTCAAGGCTGTTAGGCATTCTCTGATGTTCCTGTACCTTGATATTTATATCTTTCTCACGTTTTAGAAAGTTTTCTTATGATTTTCTTTATTTTTTGACAGGAAAAAAAACAAGTTACTTTTAATGCCGTCATCATCATTATCATTACTATCAACAACAACAAAACAATAAGGACAATAAACAGGAATTGGACACCTCTGCAGTCCTTGAGGGAAGCAACAATATTAAAGAAGGTAGAGAATATTTCTGCTTATTAAATGGAAAAATTTCAACAAAAAACAATATGTCAATTCAAACCTTTATGACTAATACTTCTCAAGACAGTTTATAAGTATCCAAATTATATCTGTCCCAAATGGCTTCTAAATGCTAAGAAATCAAGTAAAATTATTGAATTATCAATTAATATTTATTGCAGGTCTTACATTAGTTTTAGATCAGCTTTATAATATTGGTTTATGTGTTTAATTAGCTGTATAGAGATATAGACATATTGAGGTATTTTGTATAATCAATACGTATGTCTATATTTATATAGATATAAATCTTTATATAATACATTTATACCCATTTTGTATGACTAGAAGTATAATTTTACCATGAAAATAAGCATATAGTAATTTTGTTATTTTATTATGTTTTTTAAATTTTTAATATTTGTGGGTACCTAGTAGGTGTATATATTTATGGGGTACATGAGATGTTTTAATATAGGCATGCAATATGAAATAATCACATCATAAAGAATGGGGTATCCATCCCTCAACCATTTATTCTTTGTGTTACATACAATCCAACAATAATCTTTTCATTATTTTTAAATGTATAATCAAGTTATTACTGACTATAGCCACCCTGTTGTGCTATCAAGTACTAGGTCTTCTTTATTGTTTCTAACTCTTTTTTGTACCCATTAACCATCCCACCTCCTGCAGATTCCCATTGCACTTCCCAGCCTCTGGTAATCATCCTTCTACTCTCCATGTCTATAAGTTCAATTGTTTCTATTTTAGATCCCACAAATAAGTGAGACCATGGGATGTTTGTCTTTCTGTGTCTCCCTTATTTCACTTAACATAATGATCTCCAGTTCCATCCGAGTCGTTGCAAATGACAAAATCTCATTCATTTTTATGGCTGAATAGTACTCCATTTTGTATATGTACCACATTTTCTTTATCCATTTATTGGTTGATAGATACTTAGGTTACTTCCAAATCTGAGCTATTGTGAACAGTGCTGCAATAAACATGGAAGTGCCGCTATCTCTTTGATATACGAATTTCCTTTCTTTTTAGTATATACCAGCAGTGGGATTGTTGGATCATATGGTAGCTCTATTTTTAGTTTGTTGAGGAAACTCCAGTCTGTTCTCCATAGTGGTTACACTAATTTGCATCCTCACCAACAGTGTACAACGATTCCCTTTGCTACATATCCTCACCAGCCTTTATTATTATCTGTCTTTTGGATGTAGGCCATTTTAACTGGGGTAAAATGATATCTCATTGTAGTTTTGATTTGCATTTCTGATGATCAATGATGTTGAGCACCTTTTCATGTGCCTGTTTTCCATTTGTATGTCTTCTTCTGAGAAATGTCTATTGAAATCTTTTGCCCATTTTTTATTAGGTTATTGGAATTTTTGCTGTACAGTTGTTTAAGCACCTTATATATTCTGGTCATTAATCCCTTGTCGGGTGGATAGTTTGCAAATATTTTCTCCCATTCTGTGAGTTGTCTCTTCACTTTGTTGATTTTATCCTTTGTGCAGAAGCTTTTTAATCTTGTGTGTTCCCATTTCTCCATTTTTATTTTTGTTGCCTGTGCTTGTGAGGTGCTCAAAAAATGTGTGCCCGAACCAATGTCCTGGAGATTTTCCCTAATGTTTTTGGTAATAGTTTCATAGTTTGAGGTCTTAGATTTAAGTCTTTGATCTATTTCAATTTGATTTTTGTATATGATGAGAGATAGGATTCTAATTTCATTCCTCTGCATATGGATATCCAGTTTCCCCAGCACCATTTATTGAAGAGACTGTCTTTTCCCAAGCGTATATTCTTGGCACATTTGTCAACAATGAGTTCACTGTAGGTTTGTAGATTTGTTTCTGGGTTCTCCATTCTCTTCAACTGGTCTATCTGTCCTTTTTTTATGCCAGTATTATGCTGTTTTGGTTATTATAGCTCTTTAGTATAACTTGAAGTCAGGTAATGTGATTCCTCCAGTTTTGTTCTTTTTGCTTAGGATAGCTTTGGCTATTCTGGGTCTTTTGTGAATCCATATAAATTTTAGGATTGTTTTTGTTTTTTCTATTTCTGTGAAGAATGACATTGGTATTTAATAGGGATTGCAATGAATCTGCAGATTGATTTGGATAACATAGACACTTTAACAATGCTGATTCTTCTAATCCATGAACATGAAATTTGTTTTCATTTTTTGGTGTGCTCTTCAATTGTTTTATAGTTTTCATCATAGAGCTCTTTTACTGCTTTGGTTGATTCCTAGATATTTAATTTTATTTGTGGCTATTGTAAACAGGATTACTTTTTTGTTTTCTTTTTCAGATTGTTCACTGTTGGCATATACAAATGCTACTGATTCTTGTATGCTGATTTTGTATACTGCAACTTTACTGAATTTGTTTTAAAGTTCTAATAGTTTTCTTATGGAGTCTTTAGTTTTTTCCAAATATAAGATCATATCATCAGCAAATAAAGATAACTGACTTCTTCCATTTCAATTTGGATGCCCTTTATATCTTTCTCTTGTCTAATTGCTCTAGGTAGGACTTCCAGTACTATGTTAAATAACAGTGGTGAAAGTGGGCATCCTTGTCATGTTCCATATCTTAGAGGAAAGGCTTTTCAGTTTTCCACATTCAGTTTGATACTAGCTGTGGGTCTGCTGTACATGGCTTTTATATGTTGAGGTATGTTCCTCATATCCCCAGTTTTTTGAAGGTTTTTATCATGAAATGATGTTGAATTTTATTGAATGCTTTTTCAGCATTATTTGAAATGATCATATGGTTTTTGTTCTTCATTCCATTGATATGATATATCACACTGATTTGCACATGTTGAACCATCTTTTCATCCCAGGGATAAACCCCACTTGGTCATGATTAATAATCTTTCTAATGTATTGTTGAATCAGTTTGCTAGTGTTTTATTGAGGATTTTTGCATCAATGTCCATCAGGGATTTGGGCCTCTAGTTTTCTTTTTATGTTGTGTCTTTTTCTGGTTTTGGTATCAGGGTAATACTGATAGGTAATACTGGCCTTATAGAATGAGTTTGGAAATATTCCTTCCTCCTCTATTTTTCAGAGTAGTTTGAGTAGGATTGGTTTTAGTTCTTTAAATGTTTGGTAGAATTCAGCAGTAAAGCCACTGGGTTCCAGGCTTTTCTTAACTGGGAGACTTTTTATTATGGCTTTGAGGTTGTTGTTATTCATCTGTTCAGGTTTTTTATTTCTTCCTGGTTCAATCTTGGTAAGTTGTATGTGTCTAGTCTAGGAATTTGTCCATTTCTTCTAGATTTTTTAATTTAATGTCATATAGTTGCTCATTGTAGCTACTAATGATCCTTTGAATTTCTACAGTATTATTTGTAATTTCTTCTTTTCCATTTCTGGTTTTATTTATTTGGATCTTCTGTCTCTTTTTTTGGTTAGTCTGGCTAAAGGTTTGTCAATTCTGATTAACTTTTCAAAAAATCAACTTTTGTTTTATTGATTTTTTTATATTTTCTTTATTTCAATTTCATTTATTTCTGCTCTGATCTTTATTATTTCTTTCCTTCTACTAATTTTGGGTTTGTTTCACTCTTGCTTTACTAGTTCTTTCAGATGAATTGTTAGCTTGTTTATTTGAAATTTTCCCTCTTTATGATGTAGGCACTTACAGCTAAAAATTTCCCTCTTAGTAATACTTCTGCTATATCCCATAGGTTTTGGTATGTTGTGTTTCCATTATCATATGTTCCAAGAAATTTTTAAATTTCCTTCTTAATTTCTTCATTGACCCACTGGTCATTCAGGAGCATATTGTATAATTTCCAGCTAATTGTATAATTTCCAAAATTCCTCTTTTTATTAATTTCTATTTCTATTCCATTTGATCAAAGAAAATGCTTGACAATATTTCGTTTTTTTGAATGTTTTAAGACTAGTTTTTGACCTAACATATGATCCCTCTTGAAAATGATCCATGTGCTGAGGAAAAGAATGTGTACTCTGCAGCCATTGGGTGAAATGTTCTGTAAATATCTATTAGTACCATTTGGTCTATAGTGCTGATTAAATCCAATATTTCTTTGTTGATTTTCCATCTGGAAGATCTGTCCAATGCTGAAAGTGAGGTGTTGAAGTCTCCTGATATTATTGTATTTGGGCATATCTTTCTCTTTAGCTCTAATAATATTTACTTTATATTTCTTGGTACTCCAGTGTTGTGTGCATGTATATTTTAAATTGTTCTATCCTCTTGCTGAATTGACCCCTTTATCATTATATAGTGACCTTCTTAGTCTGTTCTTATAGTTTTTGTCTTAAAATTTATTTTGTCTGATATAAGTATAGCTACTCCTGCTCTTTTGTGGTTTCCATTGGCATGAAATATCTCTTTCTATCCCTTTATTTTCAGTCTATGTGTGTCTTTGTAGGTAAAGTGTTCATCTTATAGGCAACAGATCAGTTGGTCTTGTTTCATCCATTCGGCCAATGTCTTTTTATTGGAGAGTTCAGTCCAATTACACTCAATGATATTATTGATAAGTAAAGACTTACTCCTGCTATTTTGTTATTTGCTTTTTGGTTGTTTTGTGGTCTTCTCTTTCTTCTTTCTTTTCTTCCTGCCTTCTTCTAGTGATGGTCATTTTCTTTGGTGATATGATTTTCTTGATTTTTATTTTTTGTGTACCCTTTGTATGATTTTTGGTTTAAGGTTACCATAAGGCTTGCCAATACTATTTTGTAATCCATTATTTAAACCTAATAACTTAACATTATTTATATAAATACACAAACAAGCAAAAAGGAAACTAATAAAAACTCTATACCTTAACTTTCTTGCCTAACTTTTTAACTGTTTGTTGTTTCTATTTGTATCTTGTTGTACTATGTCTTGAAAAGTTGTTGTAGTTATTATTTTTTATTGGTTCATCATTTAGTTTTTCTACTTAGGATAAAAGTAGTTTACACATCACAGTTACAGTGTTACAATATTCTGTGTTTTTCTGTGTACAAAATTCACTGTTACGGATGATTTCTTATTGCTCATTAACGTTCTTTTCTTTCTGATTGAGGTGCTCTTCTTAGCATTTGTTGTAGGACAAGTCTGGTGTTCATGAAATCCTTCAACTTTTGTTTGTCTGGGAAGGTCTTTATTTCTCCTTCACGTTTGAAGGATATTTTCATTGGATATACTATTCTAGAGTAAAAGTTGTTTTTTGTTTTTTTTTCTTTCAGCACTTTAAATATGTCATGTCGCTCTCTCCTGGTCTGTAAGGTTTCCAATGAAAGGCCTGCTGTCAGGTGTATTGGAGCTTCATTGTATGTTATTCTTTTCTTTTATCTTGCTGCTTTTAGGACCTTTTCTTTATCCTTGATCTTTGGAAGTTTGTTTGTTTGGCACATGCCAGCTAAAGAAGGGCGCTTAAAGAAGCATTATATACTGGTTGCTTAGCCCACAACTAGATTCTGAGTTGGTGCTTAGAGCTGAAAGAGCCTCATTTGGGCCAATTGTCTAATTAAGAAATAAGAGTATTGAATGTTGAATGTTGAGCTTCCTCCTTCCTCCAAACAGAAATGCTATCCGAGGGGCAGATCACGAGGTCAGGAGATTGAAACCATCCTGGCCAACATGGTGAAACCCCGTCTCTACTAAAAATACAAAAATTAGCTGGGCGTGGTGGCGGGTGCCCATAATACCAGTTACTTGGGAGGCTGAGGCACGAGAATCGCTTGAACCTGGGAGGCAGAGTTTGCAGTGAGCCGAGATCACGCCACTGCACTCCAGCCTAGCAACAGAGAGAGACTCCGTCTCAAAATAAAAAAAAAAGAAAGAAATGCTCGCTGAGGATTCCAACCGACTGACCAACTTAAAGGATCATAGTGTGCATCAGACATTTTGCCTCAGATTTTCATCCCAGAGATTCAGTGTAATCAATATTCCAAAGATGGTTATGGTCTATGGAACAGACTCATATGTACACACTCAGGAGACTAGTGAAAGGAGGCTTCTTGGTGGTTTCTCTCTGCATACAATTATGACAGCTCTGGGAGTAAATGTGAGCCTTGCAAGTCACTGGATTAAGCAGTAAAACGAAGTTCCATGTCTGGCATTCTAGTCTTTGAGGAGGAGAGCCTGTCATTAACTAGCTGCATGACCTTTGGCACAGCATGCTGTGATTGGACTAAATGACCCAAGGTTCATCTCATGACAATTCTAAAGCTGCCAAACATGTGGCCAAATGCAGGACCTGCAAACTTATGTGATGTCAACATCTGATCTCAAGAAGTTGGTGGTAGAGGGCAGCATAGAGAGGAACTTAAAACTAGGAACAAAGTTGGTTTCAATTATAGTCAAAATTAGGCTTCAGGAACATCATACAAATATGCCTAAATATTTTTCACCTTAATAAAAATGAAACAAACACACCTTTCACTCTTCAGGGACTGCTAGATAGGGCCACATTTTCTACTCCTTTAAAAGACCAACCACAAAATAATGGTCTATATAGCATTTCCAATTCCTCACCACTTGGCTTCTCTCCTCACTTCAATCTGGCTTCTCCTCTACCACTTTCCTGAAATTTCTCTTGCCAAAAATCACCAAAAAACCTCCACATTGCCATATATAATAGATACATTTCAGTTGTCATCTTGACCTCTCAGTAGCATCTGGTGTAGTTGGCCTCTCTGTTTTTCATAAAATACTCTCTTCTCCTGGTTCCCATGACATCATCCACTTCTAATCTTACTGGTCGTACTTTCTTTGGCTGACTCCTTTCCTAGTACCCTTCTCCTAACCACCTGTAAGGGTTGGACTTTTTCCAATTTCAGTTTTCAATCTTATTATTTAACACTGTTCTCCTGTTTGGCACATTTTATTGCCCCCAGCTTGGGTCTTATGCCTACCCCATTGACATTAGTGATTTAAAATCTCCGCTAGTCTTACATGGAATGGATAAGAAGTTCCCCTAAAGGAACCAGAAGAGGAATGTGTGAGAAAGCTGCTGGGTGAGCAGCTTTTACTCATTGCCCTCAGATCAGTTGAAAAAATAATTACAGTTTATCCTCCCATGGTGCTAACCCCACAGAAAAGTGGCCCCAAATGCAGGGTTCACCTCTTTGCATTCTGTTCTCCTCCTAGATGCTTGACCTAAAGTTCTTCCCTTTCTTGTTAGTTATCTGTTGCCTCAGATAAACTTTTCAATGATGCTTCATTCTGTTTTTCTTGTTCTTAGTGAGACGCTGGTCTAAATTACTAAAGCACTATTACAAGAACCAATAATTCTGAGAGCAGAATCTTTGTCTCACAAAAAAAAAATTTATTAGAGTTCCTGGTATCATGAGTCTCTAATCTGATGACATATGTCTAGTTATAGACACAAATGCCCTCAGATTCTGACTTTGCTAACTACAGTGTTTTTTAACAAAAAGTCTTTCCTAGACCTGTTAGACATTTTGACAATGAACGAAAATATTGTTCTGTTTTCAGCATTAAAATCCATACAACTCTAAGTAAAATCTTGGTTGACTGTCCTAATTTTCTGAAGGCAGGATAGCATTTAATCTGTTAACTAAAACTCATGCTTGATGAATCATAACTAAAGAGTCTGGATCACACAATTTGCAGAGGACAAGTTGTGACTCTATGACAAGTGGTTAAGTTTAATACCAGAAACCTGCTAGACTTTTTGGATTTTCCAATCAGCATGGAAAACTCACGGGGAGCATGAGTGTCTTCATTTTGAAATATTTATTTCATCATCTGTTTGGGCATGAGTGTTCTTTTGACTTGGAAAGCCATCATAATTTACTCAGATAGAGTACCTTTGTGTCCAAAAGTCATGCCTTCTTAACTTCTCACAGAATCAACTGGGTTCAACTTATTAACTCAGAAGAAAGAAGAGAGAGAAGCAGCAGCAGAGGAATGTAAGAGTGAATCCAAGCCTCTGTTCAGTAGTTCATGGTTGAGATGAGTCAGACACTGAATGTTGAGGCTGTACCTGTGCTAGTCAAGGCTTCTAAAAAAAAAAAAAGAGATGGCCCACAATCAGAACCACCCACTGACACATGTCCAGGATGCCTGCAAGCTAACATAGCTACTATGTACCCTAAGCAGAGAAGGGGGCAACACCAGGCTGGCTGTAACTGATAAACAAAAGCTCTCAGGCAAATGTCCTCACATGATTTTATATTCCTTGGCACTTCTGAATGTCCACAGGTTTATCTAGGACCTCCTCTATAAGGCAAACTTTTAGTCCTGTAGTATACCTTTAATATTTGCTGACAAAAGTACCTGTGATCACCCCTTCAGAGCAGAGTTACACAGAGTCTGAATTGAGACACCGTGGTACATCTGTGCTCAGCTCCCAGGGACGCTAGATTCCACATGCCATATGGGATGACTTTTCCAGAGAGCTCTGCGAGTCTTTCACTTCTGAACCAAAATGGTTTGGAAGTGCAGTTGGCCCTCCATATCTACAGGCTCTGCATCTGTGGATTCAACCAACCATGTATCAAAATATTTTTTTAAAAAGCAATAAAAATACAACCGAAATACACAAATTTTAAAAGTACAGTATAACAACTATTTACATAGCATTTACATATTAGATACTTTAAGTAATTTAGAGATGGTTTAAAGTATACAGGAGGATGTGCATGAGTTATATGCAAATGTTTTATATCAGAGACTCGAGCATCCACAAGTTTTGGTATCCAAAAGGGATCCTGGAAAAAATCCCCCACTGATACTGGGGAATAACTGTAGTTCTACTTCAGGTATGATGGAGTAGCCTCCTAACACACTAACTCTCCCATAATGGTGGTAAAGTTCCCAAATTTGATGAAAGACATACATTTAAAGATTCAGGAATGCAGAGGCATCATATTACCTGACTTCAAACTATACTACAAGACTACAGTCACCAAAACAGCATGGTACTCATATAAAAATAGGCACATAGACCAATGGAACAGAATAGAGAACCCAGAAATAAAGCCAAATGCTTACGGCCAACTGATCTTTGACAAAGCAAACAAAAACATAAAGTGGCGGAAAGGACACCATATTCAACAAATGGTTCTGGGATAACTGGCAAGCCACATGTAGAGGAAAAAAACTAGATCCTCATCTCTCACCTTATACAAACATCAGTTCAAGATGGATCAAAGGCTTAAATCTAAAACCTGAAATCATAACCATTCTAGAAGATAACATTGGAAAAACTCTTCTAGAGTTTTGCTTAGGCAAAAAGTTCATGACCAAGAACCCAAAAGCAAATGCAACAAAAACAAAGATAAATAGATGGGACTTAATTAAACTAAAAAGCTTCTGCACAGCAAAAGGAACAATTAGCAAAGTAAACAGACAACCCACAGAATGGGAGAAAATATTTGCAAACTATGCATCTGACAAAGGATTAATATCCAGAATACAAGGAACTCAAAGAAAGCAGCAAGCAAAAAAAAAAAAACAGTGGGCTAAAAATATGAATAGACAATTTCCAAAAGAAGATATATAAATGGCCAAAAAAAAAATAGGAAAAAATGCTCAACATTACTAATTATCAGGGAAATGCAAATCAAAGCCACAATGAGACACCATCTCACACCAGTCAGAATGGCTGTTACTAAAAAGTCAAAAAACAACAGATGCTGGCAAGGTTGTGGAGAAAAAGGAACACTTTTACACTGTTGGTGGGAGTGTAAATTAGTTCAACCATTGTGGAAGACAGTGTGGCAATTCCTCAAAGACCTAGAGGCAGAAATTCAACTTGACCCAGCAATCCCACTACTGGATATATACCCAAAGGAATATAAATCATTCTATTATAAAATACATGCACACATATGTTCACTGCAGCACTACTCACAATAGCAAAGACATGGAATCAACCTAAATACCCATCAGTGATAGACTCGATAAAGAAAATGTGGGGCCGGGCGCAGTGGCTCATGCCTGTAATCCCAGCACTTTGGGAGGCCAAGGTGGGCAGATAACAAGGTCAAGAGATCCAGACCAGCCTGGCCAACATGGTGAAACCCCGTCTCTACTAAAAATACAAAAAAATTAGCTGGGCATGGTGGTGGGTATCTGTAGTCCCAGCTACTCGGGAGACTGAGGCAGGAGAATCGCTTGAACCCAGGAGACAGAGGTTGCAGTGAGCCAAGATCGTGCCACTGCACTCCAGCCTGGCGAATGAGCGAGACACCATCAAAAAAAAAAAAAAGAAAGAAAGAAAATGTGGTACATATACATATATGCAGACATAAAAAGGAAAGAGATCATGTCCTTTGCAGGGACACGGATGGAGCTGGAAGCCACTATCCTCAGCAAACGAACACAGGAACAGAAAATCAAATACAGCATGTTCTCACCTATAAGTGGGAGCTGAATTATAGGAAAACGTGGACACATCATGGGGAAAAACACACACTGGGCCCTGTCAGAGGGTGCGGTGGGGAGGAGGAAGGAGAGCATCAAGAAGAATAGCTAATGGATGCTGGGCTTAATGCCTAGGTGATGGGATGATCTGTGCAGCAAACCACCATGGCGCACGTTTACCTATGTAAAAACCTGCACACCCTGCACATATACCCCTAAACTTAAAATAAAAGTTAAAATTAAAAAAAAAAACTCTGATCCACAGATGCTCAAGGAGACTGCTTTGAGCAATAATAAAACTCCAGTCTCATGCCAAAAATAAATAAAATAAAATAAGATTCAGGAATTCAGCAAACTCCAAATAAGATAAGAAGAAAACCATGCACAGGCATGTCATAGTCAAACTGCTGAAAATTAGAGATAAAGGAAAAATCTTGAGAGAAATCAAGGAAAAATGACACATTATATATAAGAGAATGATTTGAAATATTGCATACATCTCTTATGAAACCATAGAGGCCAGAAGACAGTGGAAAACATCTTTAAAGTGCTGAATGGGGATAAAAATTGTTATACCAGAATTTTATATTTAGAAAAATATACTTCAAGAATTCTAGCAAAACAAAGATATTTTCAAATAAAAATAAATTAAGAAAATTTGCCACTAACAGATGTTCTCTACAAAAAATACTAAAGGAACTGAGCGTGGTGGCTCATGCCTGTAATCCCAGGACTTTGGGAAACTGAGGCAGGTGAATCACCTGTAGTCAGGAGTTCGAGGCCAGCTTGGCCAGCATGGTGAAACCCCATCTCTACTAAAAATACAAAAATTAGCCAGGCATCATGGTGTGCATCTGTAGTCCCAGCTACTCAGGAAGCTGAGATAGGAGAATTGCTTGAACCAGAAGGCAGTGAGCTGAGATCATGCCACTGCACTCCAGCCTGGGCAACAGAGTGAGACTCCGTCAAAAAAAAAAAAAAAAAGAAAGAAAGAAAAGAAAAATTAAAAAAGGAAATGGTAATGCTAAAGGAAGTTCTTCAGAATGAAGAAAAATGATACCAGAAGAAAATTTAGATTTTCAGGACATAGGAAGAGCATTAAAAAATTGTAAATTCATTACTACAACCCCAAAAGCAAGTGCAACAAAAATAAAAATAAATAAATGGGACCTAATTAAACTAAAAAGCTTTTGCACAGCAAAAGAAATAATCAGCAGAGTAAACAGACAACCCACAGTGGGAGAAAATATTCACAAACTATGCATCAGACAAAGGACTAATATCTAGTGTCTACAAGGAACTCAAACAAATCAGCAAGAAACAAAGAAATAATCCCATCAAAAAGTTGGCAAAGGACATGAATAGACAATTCTCAAAAGATACACAAATGGCCAACAAACATATGAAAAAATGCTCAACACTTCATGCTAAAAACTCTCAATAAATTAGGTATTGATGGGATGTATCTCAAAATAATAAGAGTTATCTATGACAGACCCACAGCCAATATCATACTGAATGGGCAAAAACTGGAAGCATTCCCTTTGAAAACTGGCACAAGACAGAGATGCCCTCTCTCACCACTCCTATTCAACATAGTGTTGGAAGTTCTGGCCAGGGCCATTAGGCAGTAGAAGGAAATAAAGGGTATTCAATTAGGAAAAGAGGAAGTCAAATTGTCCCTGTTTGCAGACGACATGATTGTATATCTAGAAAACCCCATTGTCTCAGCCCAAAATCTCCTTAAGCTGATAAGCAACTTCAGCAAAGTGTCAGGATACAAAATCAATGTACAACAATCACAAGCATTCTTCTACACCAATAACAGACAAACAGAGAGCCAAATCATGAGTGAACTCCCATTCACAATTGCTTCAAAGAGAATAAAATACCTAGGAATCCAACTTACAAGGGACGTGAAGGACCTCTTCAAGGAGAACTACAAACCACTGCTCAATGAAATTAAAGAGGATACAAACAAATGGAAGAACATTCCATGCTCATGGGCAGGAAGAATCAATATCATAAAAATGGCCATACTGCCCAAGGTAATTTACAGAGTCAATGCCATCCCCATCAAGCTACCAATGACTTTCTTCACAGAATTGGAAAAATCTACTTTAAAGTTCATATGGAACCAAAAAAGAGCCTGCATTGCCAAGTCAATCCTAAGCCAAAAGAACAAAGCTGGAGGCATCACACTACCTGACTTCAAACTATACTACAAGGCTACAGTAACCAAAACAGCATGGTACTGGTACCAAAACAGATATACAGACCAATGGAACAGAACAGAGGCCTCAGAAATAATGCCGCATATCTACAACTATCTGATCTTTGACAAACCTGACAAAAACAAGCAATGGGGAAAGGACTCCCTATTTAATAAATGGTGCTGGGAAAACTGGCTAGCCATATGTAGAAAGCTGAAACTGGATCCCTTCCTTACACCTTATACAAAAATTAATTCCAGATGGATTAAAGACTTAAACGTTAGACCTAAAACCATAAAAACCCTAGAAGAAAACCTAGGCATTACCATTCAGGACATAGGCATGGGCAAGGACTTCATGTCTAAAACACCAAAAGCAATGGCAACAAAAGCCAAAATTGACAAATGGGATCTAATTAAACTAAAGAGCTTCTGCACAGCAAAAGAAACTACCATCAGAGTGAACAAGCAACCTACAAAATGGGAGAAAATTTTCGCAACCTACTCATCTGACAAAGGGCTAATATCCAGAATCTACAGTGAACTCAAACAAATTTACAAGAAACAAACAAACAACCCCATCAAAAAGTGGGCAAAGGACATGAACAGACACTTCTCAAAAGAAGACATTTATGCAGCCAAAAAACACATGAAAAAATGCTCACCATCACTGGTCATCAGAGAAATGCAAATCAAAACCACAATAAGATACCATCTCACACCAGTTAGAATGGCAACCATTAAAAAGTCAGGAAACAACAGGTGCTGGAGAGGATGTGGAGAAATAGGAACACTTTTACACTGTTGGTGGGACTGTAAACTAGTTCAACCATTGTGGAAGTCAGTGTGGCAATTCCTCAGGGATCTAGAACTAGAAATACCATTTGACCCAGCCATCCCATTACTGGGTATATACCCAAAGGACTATAAATCATGCTGCTATAAAAACACATGCACACGTATGTTTATTGCGGCACTATTCACAATAGCAAAGACTTGGAACCAACCCAAATGTCCAACAATGATAGACTAGATTAAGAAAATGTGGAACATATACACCATGGAATACTATGCAGCCATAAAAAATGATGAGCTCATGTCCTTTTTAGGGACATGGATGAAATTGGAAATCATCATTCTCAGTAAACTATCACAAGAACAAAAAACCAAACACCGCATATTCTCAGTCATAGGTGGGAATTGAACAATGAGAACACATGGACACAGGAAGGGGAACATCACACTCTGGGGACTGTTGTGGGGTGGGGGGAGGGGGGAGGGATAGCTTTAGGAGATATACCTAATGCTAAATGACAAGTTAATGGGTGCAGCACACCAGCATGGCACACGTGTACATATGTAACTAACCTGCACATTGTGCACATGTACCCTAAAACTTAAAGTATAATAATAATAAAATTAAATTAAATTAAATTAAAAAAGAAAAAAAGAAAAAATGCTCAACATCACTAATTATCGGAAAAATAAATTAAAACCACAATGCAATGCAAATTAAAACCACAATGAGATATCACCTTACTCCTGCAAGAATGGTCATAATTAAAAAGTAAAAAAAAAACAATACATGCTGGCATGAATGTGGTGAAAAGGGAATACTTTTACATTGCTGGTAAGAATGTAAATTAGTACAACCACTGTGGAAAACAGTATGGAGATTCCTTAAAAACTAAAAGTAGATCTACCATTCAATCCAGCAATCCCACTACTGAGTAGCCACCCAAAGGAAAAGAAGTTATTTTATGAAAAAGATACATACACATGCATGTTTATAGCAGCACAATTTGTAATTGTAAAGATATGGAACCAATCTAAGTGCCCATCAACCAACAAGTGGATAAAGAAAATGTGGTATGTATACACCATGGAATACTACTCAGCCATGAAAAGGAATGAAATAATGTCTTTTGCAGCAACTTGGCTGGAGCTAGAGGCCATTATTCTAAGTGAAGTAACTCAGGAATGGAAAACTAAATATTGTATGTTCTCACGTATAAGTTGGAGCTAAACTATGATGATGCAAAGGCCTAAGAATGGTACTTGGACTTTGGGGACTTGTGTGGGGGAAACGTTAGGAGAGGGTGAGGGATAAAAGACTACATATTGAGTACAGTGTACACTGCTCCAGTGGCAGGTGCATTAAATCTCAGAAATCACCACTAAAGAACTTACCCATGTTATAATACCAAAAAACCACCTGTACCTCAAAAGCTATTAAAATAAACATAAATTTTTTTAATAGTAAATATTTGGGTAGATAACAGCCATTTTTCCTCAAGTTATTTAAAATACATATGTCTTTAAAACGAAAATTATAACATCACTTTGCCAATTTATAATGTATGAAAATGTAATACGGTTAACAAATACAGTGTAAAAATTATGGGAAATAACTAAAACTATATTGTAAGGTTTTTATGTTTCACATAAATTATTTTAATACCAATTCTAAGTAGGCTATGAACATATGCTATATGTTACATGAACAAAATTAAAAATTTTAGGGAGATTTTACAAATATTTTGATTCCATCCATCATGAGTCAAGAAAAGTCTTCATTATCCCCTTTTTCAGAGTTTTTTTTTTTTTTTTTTTTTTTTTTTTTTTTAGAAAATGGCTCAGAGCCATTAAGCAATGAGCCTCAAGCTACATGGTTAGAAAGAATATAGATCTAAATAATACAGACCTAAATCGGGATTTGGAGCCCAGCAAGTTCATCTTTCCTCTCACATAGCATTTTCTTGCCTGAGGTTTATTATGGATTTTTCTGTAATGTGACTCCATCATCAGAGGTTATTGAAGTCTGTTATGGGTGGAATTATGTCCCCCCAGAATTCATATGTTGAAGTCCTAATTCCCAGTGTCTCAGAATATGACCTTATTTGTCATTGCAGATGACAAATAGCTAAGATGTGATTATATTAAAGTAGGGCGGGTCCCTAATTCAGTATGACCAGGAAAATGTGGACCCAGGTATGCACACAGAGAGAATGCCATGTGAAGTCTTATGTTATGCTGCCACAAGCTAAGGAACTACCAAAAGCTAAGAGACAGTGGGGCATGGATCCTTTCTTATTCTCTTATTCTCAAGGTGAGCATGGCCAACCTCGATATCAGACATGTAAGGTCCAGAACTGTAAGATGATAATTTCTGTTGTTTAGGCCACTCAGTTTGTGGTACTTTGTTACAGTGGCCTTAGCAAACTGGAAAAAAAAAAAAAGTCTGTCCCTCCCCTCTTCCCTGTTTTCTTGTCTACTACCATCATTCCACCGCTTCCTTCCTTCCTTTCTTTCTTTCTCTCTCTTTCTTTTTCTTTTCTTTCTTTTCTTTCTTTCTTTCTTTTCTTTCTTTCTTTCTTTCTTTCTTCTTTCTTTCCTTTTTTTGGAGATAGGGTCTTGCTGTGTTGCTCAGGCTGGAGTGCAATGGCACAATCATAGCTCATGAAACCTTGAACTCTTGCACTCAAACCAGCCTCCCACCTCAGCCTCCCAAGTAGCTAGGACTACAGTTGCATGCCACTATGCCCAGTTAGTTTTGTTGTTTGTTTTTTTCTGTAGAGACCATGTCTTTCTATGTTGCCCAGACTGGTCTCAAACTCCTGGCCTCAATGATCCTCCTGCCTTGGTCTTCCAAAATGCTGAGATTACAGGCATGAACCACCATGCCTGGCCCACATCCTCTATTTCTAATGTGCTTCTGAGTGGGCCAGGAAGTCACAGAGCCAGGCTTGTTAAATTTATCTGAAAATACAGAGGATAAATAGGCTCTGAGTGGGAAGATGACAGACTCAGGAATTTAAATTAAGTTTTTATAAGAGAAGCAAGAAGAGATAAGTATAATCAGATACTGGTTGACAGATGCAGATGGTTTAGATTTGAAAGAGTTAGTGACCACCTTTCAGTTAATGATGCCCTATGCTCTCCCAACTACTAAGGCAGAATTGGGACCAATCAAGTGTCTGGAATCCAACCTCTGCTTTCTTGTCCTCTCTTGATACTTACTTTTGATAATAAATGTCAGAAAATATTTAGAGCTTGCTCAGAAACTAAAATGCATACACATCAGAAGGAGTATGCATGGAGCCCAAACTTGGAAATTCAGAGACCTGGAGAAACAAGGAGAGAATGTCCCAAAAGGTAATTGTGTGCACACTTGGTTTATTCCTCGAATCTCAAAGACTGGTTGGCCTTATTCACAGGACAGCTTTAATAAGGTCTTGATGGAGATATAACTAAGTCCATTCAGCCACTTCTTTATTAGATTATTTTAACAGATAGATCAATGATTTCTTGTCTAGCAGGTGCTTCCAGTGGCAACCATCAAAATAACTTTGCATGACCAGTAACCATGTCAGTTTTCACTAGCTGCCACTGCTTCAAAAATACTTTGAGCTGATGGAGTACCTGTCATCTATGACCTGCATGCTTAGAGAATAATGCATCCTTAACATCTAGGAGTTTTTGGAAGTCTTTTCTCTTAATTAATGAGTTAATAAAATGGTGCATTAAGACTTTTCATCTGTAAACATAAACATTTGGCATATTTGAGAAAAAAGTCAACAGCAAACATTCTGGGTTTAATATTTGCCCCATATCTCCCCTTTTATTTTGACATACACCACACGTCCTCTCCAAACATGTTCTATTGCCTATTCTAACTCACCACTCTATGTGATGTGTTTCCCAGATCTAAGGTGCTTTACATCTGCTTAATGATGCCATGCTTGTGGTCATGTCAAAGACCATATAGGAGGCAGAGGGGGTGCCTAACAGAGGTCTAGACTGAGTATTCAGAGATTCAGAATTCTAGTCTCTGCATGAACTTGGAGTAAAGTCTTAGGATTGAGGTCTATGTCCTTGCAGTGAATTTGGGCGATATCAGATATTCTATTACTATTTTCCATCTGTTATCTCAGGTGCTACTGAGATGCTTCCTTTTCCAGGGAAAAGGAAGAGGAACAGGGAAAGACACAGCTGGCTGCCTTCTGCATATAACACAATCATTTACACATCTTAGGTGGAAAAAGTTCACATTCTATTCTTTAAAAAAAAAAAAGGAGCATGCATGGATTCCTTGGAAACTGTTCAATTTATAATGCCATATTTAAAAACCATGGATCTTAATGATCAAGAGCTTGTTTGATTAAGGTTTTAGGGATGTTATGACCAAACTTCATTTATAGACTAAAATGTTTGCCTTGAATGAAACAGACTAATTGACTTAAGATTTTCCAAGGTATCTGTCCTGGAAGGAAGGGAAACCTCCCCCTCCCTTTATTTAGGCATTATCTGATCTCCAATAGCATAAAGAATCAGAGGAACGAGTTTCTTCTGGGGAGAATGTCAGCATCCCTGAAAGCCTCTCCACATATGTACTCTCCTTGCACTAGGTGATTATGATTCTTTGAGGCAATGCAAAGCAGCTCCTCAAAGAAAGGCTGTATTGCCAATTCAAGTCATAACTAGCCCCATAAGTCTTTCTTAACTTTGTGTAATTATCATGCTGGATCTCTTTCATTCCCCTTCTGAATCACTCTCTACATTTTGCTCTCTTTCCCAAGAGGCTGACGTCTGTGGATTACCTTAGTTGGGTTTGACCAGTGGGATTTCCTGGAGATTAGATTCCTGGAGGGAGAACAGATAAGGGAGGGGAGATGGGCAGGAGTCATGCAGGACCTTGTGGGCCATGAGAATGACTTTGGGTTTTAGTGTAATATAACGTCAAGCTGTGGTATAATTTCAAGTTAGAGAGCTAATGATCTCACTTGCATATGACAAAGATCACCCTAGTGCTGAACCTGGTTGAGTGAGGGAGCCAGTAACAATGGTGGCTGGCAGATGGCAAGCCTCTACGCATTCTCCTCCTTCATAATTCAAAATGTCTCCCTCCCTGGTGCAGTGCTTGTGTCTCTTACAAGGAGAAGGTGAAAGCTCTGGGCAGTGGTAATTCAACGGTAATGGTCGCCTGAGAAACTTGGGAAAGATGCTAGTAAGGGTGAGTCAAACTCAGATTGCAACACATATTCTTCTCCTCTTCATCTTGAGATGCTCCTCCCTCCTGACCCATTTCTTAACTCAGATAGAGTTGCTCAAATTAATATTTAGGCTTACTATCTTCCTCCTGAGTCATATTATCAGCCATGTTAATTCATAAGGCAAAATAACCCAATGTCAAAGAAATATAAGCACTCCTAAAGAAAAACACGCTGAATGAACTATACTAAAGGAGGCCAAATTGAAGGCCCTGTGGAATAAAATTTAAAGTATGTTTAATGCATATCCTCAGAGTGATAAGAAAGAGTTTTTGAAACAAGAAGCTCAAATAAGCTGTTACAGAAAAGAATCAATTAGAAAAAATAAGGATGAATTTTAAAAATTGTCTCAAATCTGGTCTAAGACAAAACTACTTTGTATAATATAGTTAAAAATTTCCTTCTGGGGAGAAATTAGCATTCTCCAAAAAATGCTCTAACAATTTGCGTATAAACTTGAATGTGATTAAGGCATCTTCTGGGAAAATAGTGATTCATCCTCACTCGATATGGGTTTGCCACCTTGTGTCCAAAGTCTTCATCAGCACCACTATCTGTCTAAGACTTATGGAAGGCTTGATCTGGCTTAGTATCTCACACTACATTACCTGTGATCAAGACATCCATTTGACTGAAAGAGAGACCATGAGCATGTGATAAGAGAGTTCACTGCTCTTACCACCATCCAGAGAAGCAGATTGCATTTAAAATAAAAAAAGGTTTAACTAAGGTGCCACTTTAAAGATACAACTTAGGAGGTTAGAGCCATGTCTTCTGGGATATGTTATATGCACTGAATCAATAAATATATGATACTGTCTTCCTAATAGCCCGAAAATATGGATCTGGGAACCAATGAATGGAAGTAGAATTAGTCCTTCTAATTATTACCCAGTCATGAAATGTATGCTTCCCATTCCCACAACCTTAGACTTTCCTGGTAAAATGTCCTGGCTCCGAGAGGGAGAGTGCTTTCTCACAAGGACAGACATAGTAAGAATTTCACCAAACTGGAAGCCGAAGACAAAGAACGAAGTTTCTGTGCTGACAGGGTTCATCAATTCTCATTACCATAAGGAGCTAATACACAATAGAAGCATACACAATAGAATGTCTGGAACCTAGGGCATTCACTGGGTATGGTAGCTCATGTCCAAATATGCTCTCCCCTTGAGCCTTTTCCTGCAATATTCACAACCTTGTGTAGTCTCTTTCCATGTTAAACATGGACCAGCACTGTGTAACATATAGAGTGCAATGGAAGTAACACTGCATGACTTTCAAGAGTAGGTCATAAAAAGCCTTGTAGCTTCTGAGTTGGCTTCTTGGAACACTGGTTCTTAGAGCCTGAGCCTCCATCTAAGAAGCCCTACTACCCTGCTAGAGATCATATAAAGAGGCCCTGAAACAACATGGAGAAAAAGAATGGCCCAATGGAGCTGAGCATTTCAGATGTCCCCAGCAAGTCACCATTCTTGAGTGAGGCTGTCTTAGACCCTCAAAACAAGCTCAGCCACCAGCTGAAGACCACCAAGTGACTTTAGTTGATATCACATAGAAAAGAAGAATTTCTGAGCTTAACTCTGACAAAATTTTTGATCCACAGATAAATGTGCCAAAATAAAGGTAATGTTGTTTTAAACCATTAAGTTTTGGGATAGTATGTTACACAACAATAGATAACTGGAATACTGGGACATCTCTTGATGTTTCCATTATTATCTGGTGATAGTAGCAAATGGACAGTTGTGAAAAAGCACAGTCTAAGTGTCACAACCATGATCTGACAATAGAAAAACAGCTAAGGGTTGAGACTCTTCTGAGATAAAAGTTGAAATAACCCCATCAGACAAGCAACTGAGATCACTCCAAATGCTGTCTGCTAGGAAAGTCTAAACTGAGTGGTAGAGGAGGGGAGTGATGAATAATATAAATCATGACGTCTGGACCACTTGCCACAACAGAAGTGATAACTTGTTTCACTAACCCTCTTGCCTTAAATCTTTCCAGAGATTCCGACTCGCTTCAATCTCAAGGGGACTCTCTGAAGTTTGGACTTCTACTTCCCCTCAAAGGAAGGCAGTGTGGACACCTTTTTCCTCTTGTATTTAAGGGTGGCCAGATATAATGGGAGATTACCAAATATCTGAGAAGGATAAACTATATCAGATGCTTCCTATGTACCACTTCAGAATCCCTTGGCCTCATCTGTCTTCAGGGGAATTAGCCACTTGTTCCAGTTCCTGTTGCCTCTGTAGACATCAACTTTAGGTGGACTTTTAAAACTTCTTGCAGGCAAAAGTCAAGCCACAAAGTCCTAGCTTATGCCCACACTATCACTTGCTGCTTCCTGCCCCAAAACTTTCGTGTTGACACTAAAGCATGAAACATCACAGGCCATGCTCAGTACCAACACATGCCAATTCAAAAGTGCAGAAAATTTATGGCCACTGAGACAAATCTTGGACCGGTGGGAGATAGGAGCCAGTGCATAAATAATTTTTCCTTCATTCTCCAGATACACTATCCTAAAATAGCTTTTATATGGATTATCACAATAAAGGCACATGAGGATGAATAATTTGTCATGTTTAGTGCCAAGCAACGGCCAATTCGGTGATGCTTTATTGTATCATCTCTCTTTTCTTGCCTCACTATGCTTTACGTTCACTACTGCCCCCTGGTGTACTGAAGAAAGAGAACACAAACGTCTGCCTCAGACTGTGCTTTCCAGAAACCCAGGCTAAGACGAGTAAAGAATATATTAACATACTATGTCAAATGGATACACAAAAAATTTTGAGTTAAAACTACAGGTGATGTCAACATGGCAGATCAAAGAATAGACAAGAAGAAAGTGAGAAGGCTGAGGTTTCATCTGGTTCAGATGGGAGATTTGGTATTGATAATCCTCAAAAACTGGTAGAAAAAAACCATGAATATGGGTCTTAATAAATTATAGTAAACCTTAAGAATAATTAAAAATTATATACCTACTTCCCAGAAGAAAGTAATATCTAGCCAATGTAAATGAGGGGAAATTTAAAATTACACTGAAATAAAGTGTAGTAAATTTTTTCAAGAAGTGATTATGTTTATCTTTATGCATGGTCAGGGCTTTCTGGGAAATTTTTACTAAGACCTGGGTTAAAACCTTGGAGTTTAAATGATCATTAAGTGGAGATTTACAACCTGGGAGGTATGTGTTATATTTCAGAAAGGCAATGAAACTCAGGAGCATGAAGATATCACAGGGGTTGTAATTCAGAGATACTTGTCTTATCTTCCCCCTGAAAACATTTACTTACCTTCCAAATAGTAAAAACTCTTTGGATACATTTTCTTTTCCTCCCAACTTTGGAGGATGCTTTCCTTTATTTACATTTGAGATCAATTCCTTCTCAGAGAGAAGAGGGAAAAGCTGTCTCTCTCCTATATAAACCCAAGATTTATATTTTGTGGGTTCTTTACTTATATACAGATCCCAGTATGTAGAGAATGACATCTAACTCTTACCACATCACCCTGAGGGGAAGAATCTGGGAAAAAATGAAATTGAGGTGGTTACAGCTGTGAATAAGTAATAACCTGTCTTTGCTAGAGAAAGCACATATCTCCCTGTCAGGATAATATAAATACATATAAAATATTGAAAACTTATCAATAACATGTATAAATTAAGATAGCAACAATAAGTTCTAATATAACAGCGTAGTAACAATAATTATAATACATATAAAAGGTGAAACCTAATAGTCACCTAAGTATAATTTAATGTAAATAAAACACAGTTTTGCTACATATTTTTCTTTTTCTTTCTTTCTTATTATTTTTTTTTGAGATGGAGTCTTGCTCTGTCGCCCAGGTTGGAGTGCAGTGGCACGATATCCGTTCACTGCAACCTCCAGCTCCCTGGTTCAAGCGATTCTCTTCCCTCAGCCTCCGGAGCAGCTGGGATTTCAGGCACCCGCCACCACGCCCAGCTAATTTTTGTATTTTTAGTAGAGATGTGGTTTCACCATGTTGGCCAGGATGGTCTCGATTTCCTGACCTCAAGATCCACCCGCCTTGGCCTCCCAAAGTGCTGGGATTACAGGTGTGAGCCACCGCGGCCATGCTATATATTTTTCTATGACACATACCATAATGGCATTTGCTTTTAATGGACATTTGAGTTGTTAAAACAATTCTGCTATTATAAAGAGTGAAGTTATTATCATCTTTTAGTCAAATCCCTTCACATAGTCTTAATTTTAGCCCATGCTCTTTCCACTGTACCATGTTGCCAAATCTGTATCTCACATATATATAGCACTATAGGTGCTAATAAGGAAATATGTTCAAGACACAGTGTTAAGTGATAAAAACATGTTTCAGAACAGTATGTATATTAAATCCTGCATCTGTTAACTATATTTATATATCTTCATATAGGCATAGAATATTTCTGAAGTAACACTTTAGATTAGTTACTTCTGGGGAGTGGTTCTTGGGTATCCAAGGTAAGAGGAAGGAAACTTCATTTTACACACTTTTGTACAGTTATACTTTTACCTCTTGTTTATACTGCTTTTATGATAATTCATTGGAAATTATTTAAAAAGAACTAATGGCCACAAATACTAGTAGTATTAGAAGCAGTAGTAGCAGCAATATCATTACAACCATCAACACTTGTAAAAATTATAAGTATAAAAAGCAATACTCACAAGGCAATTGGTAGCTCTCTTCCCCGTTCTCTAAGAGTTTTGACAAACTCTGTTACTTCTCTAGCTTCTTGGCAAGAGTGCTCTGTATCTTCAAGCTTGGGCTACAGAACTAAGTTAACCTGGCCAGAGGATATCTTCCTCCTCTCAACTCTGCATCCCCCAAGCCTATCTGAGCCCCGAAAAGATCAAACTATTATTTAAACTGTCCATATAATTTGAGAAATGTATTTCTTCCAATGCTGTATTCATTACTTTTGAAAGATTTCCTATTCTTTAGACATATGGACATTATTCATTCTAAAAGTTGGGAAGGTAAGGGGTTAGCTGAGAGTGGACAATGTGGGGTGACTCATGTGAGACCATCCCCTTCAAAAAAATGATATCTTGCATTTAGTTTTTAAACATTTATTTCCAATCCCCATTTATGAATTTTCTGTGCATTATCAAGATGCCCTCTTACATACAGCTGATATCTGAAGTTTCTACCCAGATCATCTTTACCAGGTTGGCCTCAAAGGGAGAATCTAAAGAACCTCCTTCCCCTACAGCCATACTTTTCCTTTATATACGCAAAAGGATGCATGTTGTGCCAACTGTGACCTTTACCTGCAGGTTTCAGGCAGCTATTTGATTTTCTGTTCAAGGAGAGCATTGTAACCCTAGCAACAGATACCATGGTGCAGATGGCAGATCTAATATCCAAAGTCTGTTTGATGGGGACACATACTAACACTGCAAGCAGAGGAACCTTTTTTAATACTTTAACAAGACTTTAAATTGAGCTGCTCTGCAAAGCAGAATCTTCCTCTTTCTTAGACACAATAGGACTGCCAGTGGCATACCAGGTTTATCAGCTCTTCTCTTCATCACCCCCAAACTTAGCTGGAGTTCAATCTTTAATCTCCTCCTAAGTCACAGAATCCAGAGAGCTAGCATCCAAAATACTGAGATAACATACCATGGTCTCACACCAGGACAATGAGCTGTAGGTAAGTTAGTCAAATGTAGGAGCTTCTGTGGTTAGGTAACTTTGTCTCTCTTATCAGTACCTCATGGAACTTAGAAATTTGGTCTAGTGTTGAGGAGACTTGGAGTGTCAGTATCACACTAGCTGTGTGAATGTGAGTGTGTTGATATGTCTGTCTTAACATTCCTGTATTGCAGTATTTTATCTAAGTCAAGTCTAAAATGGAGTATTAAAATATGGAAATATGTACATCTTAAGATTGACGAAATAATGATAGATAGGGTAGGCTAAATCCCGTAACAGGTAACTTCCAAATCTCAGAAGCATAACACAGTAGATTATTTCTTGTTCATATAACTCAGTAATTCAGCGATTCATGGTCTATGCTCTTTCCATGATGCAGTTCTACCCTCATGCAGATCCTCAGACCCCTCCCCATTCAGCTAAGACATGTATAATTTCTGCTTACCTTTGGTTGGCCAGAACTAGTCATGTGACCATGCCGAATTGCAAGCGAGTCTGGGAAATGTTGTCTCACTGTGTGCTTTGGAGAAAAAGGAAAGAGACTGTGGTGAATACTTAGTTGTCACCACTACAGTCTGGCCCTCTATCAAATCCCCATTGATTTTTCTTCCCAAGTAGAGAACACCTTTCAACCTCTTACTCAAGAGAAACCACCAAAGTCCCATCATGACCACGAAGACAGCTCAAAGTCCAGGATCTCAGGGTAATGTGAAGTTCTCCCTATCAGTCCCATTCTTTCACGATTGTGGCACCTAACATCCAGTACAGCAGAGACACTGGTTTCAAGTTCTATGTGAGTCACCCAGATATCTTTCTTAAGAAGATTCAGAAGTGTCTTAGGAGAGGGAATAATCTAGAAAAGGGATTGGAGTCTTGGATATACAACTGGCAGCTCTAAATCATTTATCCATTAAAATTCCCATGACCTCAACTATAGTCCCATGCTGGTGAGGATTTGGGATCAGACAACATAATCAGAAATGAAAGTGAAGAAGGGGTTGTCAAGCGACTTTTTTTTCTCTTGTAACTCCCCTATTCTGAGAATCAATCAAATGACTTTCTTGAGGACACATGGGCAGATAAAAACCTTCCAGACCCTTGCAACTCCTCACATATCCGTTTCTTTTTTCCATCCAGCATCACCACTCATCCTCTTCAGTGATCTTCTAAACATACATTCTCCTTGCTGAGCTGACCAAACACCTCTTTCCCATAGAGCCCTCCATGACAGATAACAACAGGCTACAACCCTGTGTAATGTAAATGTTCATGTGTAAATGTGTGTGTGTTTGTGCGCGTGCTTCATTCCATGCTCCTAATGGGTACGCATCATGGTTGTGCCATCTCTATGGCACCCTCTCTATCTTCTTGTCCTCGTAATGCACTGAGGATTGGGTCAATGCCTTGCTTTGCCTGGCACCTAGCGCAGGATTTATTTACATAGGCATTCCATAAAGAAGAATCAGCAGTATCTCCAAGGGCAAAGAGGGCCCTACTTTCTCAGAAACAGGAGACTGGGAATGTTCTAGTCCCACTTCTTTCCATGTGTTGTGTGACCTTGGGAAATTCCCTTCCCTTCTCTGAGCGTTAGTGTTGTTTTGTTTTTTGCTTTAAAAATGAGAAAATTTGACACAATTAATTTGAAAATATATTTCAAGTGGAATATACTATGACCCGATAATTAGGTTCAAGTGACCCATTAAAAATGGGTTGGCTGTTTTTCTTTTTTACAACTTTTACTCTTGGAGTCTAGAAACCTCTTTTCCAGATCTTATAGACTTCCGTTTCACCTCTAATTACATATCCACAGCATCCCACATGATTCTTTCTGATTACTACTCCTAATACAGTCATGCTTACAGGCACACACATACACACTCACAACCCTGTTGTTCTCTCTAGAAGAGTTGGCTAGGCTGCCTTATGGTTTTTCGCAAAACAACTTCTGAAACTCTGTGGAAAAGAGTAACATTTCATTAAGTGCCTATTACATAAGAGGCACTTTGCATTTACCCCAGTTAATCCCCATAATTTTCAAAGGTAGGTCTTATTATTTCCCTTGCTACATATGAAGATATTGGGACTCAAAGAAATTAAACTTTTTGTTAGCACCAATTCTGGATAGAAGTGGGATTCAACCTCAGATTTATCTGATTTCATAGCCCTGCTGCCTTCTTTTTTTTTTTTTTATTATACTTTAAGTTTTAGGGTACATGTGCACAACGTGCAGGTTAGTTACATATGTATACATGTGCCATGTTGGTGTGCTGAATCCAGTAACTCATCATTTAACATTAGGTATATCTCCAAATGCTCTCCCTCTGCCCTGCTGCCTTCTGACAGTTTGTTGGTGTCAGAAGTTTTGGGCTTTCTATCTCTCATTGGATCACAGAACACGTATTGACTCAAAGAAAATTATCCTTCAGAAAAGTTTAGGTTATCCTTGTTTCTTGCTCAGTTCAAACCATCCTTTAACCGCACAGGCACTGAGACTGAATCTGGGCCATGGTGATACTAGACAAGGAAAAGTTAAAATATATTATTCTTCATAGATCTCTGTGAGAACAAATAAGAGGTTACTTTCTAGGGCTGATTGCCGCATAGTTTTCTGTTGGCTAGTGCTATGGAAACAGACTTGGGCTAGTGGAGATTCTTTATTGGGCATGTTGTCATAGATATGGTGAGTGAGAGTGTGGCTCACATAAAAATGTTGTCTAGTAATAGGAGAACTATACTGTTCTCATTAAGAAGGGAAAGGTGAGGCTGTAGAAAATAGTTGATTGAGAATATGAATTAAAGTCCACACATGAAAATAAACACTCTTGTTTTTACAAACACACCTTTTCCACCTACTCTGAATTAGCTGCTATTTATTTATTTTGTTTTCAGTGTGAGAACTTATTTATTTTGCTTCAGGGTGAGTAGCAAAAATACTAAACAGATTTCTCTCATTTTGCAGAAAAGCAAACTAAAGCCACAAAACCTAATGACTTATTTACGAAATGAATGTCTTACTTAGACCAATACACTTTGAGAAAATTTTTATATTTGAAAAGAATTATTCTGACTCCCATATAGTCCTTTTATTAAATGTAATATGTCATTTTTCTTGTGAAAAACAAAGTATACTTATTAATATAATTTAAAAATAGAAAATGAAAAGCAAAAAAAATCATCCCTGTCCTCACCCCCAATCATAAAGGATTACTCTTGACATTTTGGCTAACTTTTTTCTATCTTTTTGAGCTAATATGTGAAGATTTTTAAACACAGTATTTGTATTTCTACTACAGTTATAAATATATAACATAATCACTTGTTTTTTTCACATGTTATAAATATGTCTCCATGCTTTTACAGCTTTGGTAAACACACTTTAAAATAAGGGTACTTTATATTAATTTAGCATATTGAGCAGTTTTTCAAAACTTATTTTTAAAACTTTTTATTAAGGTAAGATTTACATACAGAAAAAGTCACCCTATTGTCAAAATTCTGAGTTTTGACAAGTACATATATGACAAATGCATGGCAAATGCAACCATCACCACAATCAATACATAATCTATCACCAAAAAAATTACCTTGTGCCCTTTTATAGTCAAGTTTTCCCCTATGCCAACTTCTGGAAACCATTAATCTGTATTTTATCTCTGTAGTTTTGCCTATTCCAGAATGGCATGTTGAGGGCATCAAACAGTATATAGCTTTTTGAGTCTAGCTGCCTTTACTTAACTGAAGGAATTTAAGATTCACCCCTGTTGCTGCATGTATTCATGTTCTCCTCTTTTTATTTTTGAATAGTATTCCATCGTGTGGCTGTACCACAGTTTGTTTATCCATTCCCCAGCTGAAGGACATTTAGGTTGTTTCCTTTGGGGAGCTTATGAATAAAGCTACTATAAACATTCATGTACAGGTTTCTGTGTGAATATAAGTTTTCATATCTCCCACATCATATGGCAAGCATATGTTTTTGTTTTTGTTTTTTGAGACAGAGTCTCGTTCTGTTGCCCAGGCTAGAGTGCAGTGGCACAATCTTGGCTTAATGCAACCTCCGCTTCCCAGGTTCAAGCGATTCTCTTGCCTCAGCCTGCTGAGTAGCTGGGATTACAGGTGTGTGCCACCACGTCTGGCTAATTTTTGTATTTTTAGTAGAGATGGGGTTTCATCATGTTGGCCTGGATGGTCTCAAACTCCTGACCTCAGGTCATCTGCCACCTCAGCCTCCCAAAGTGCTGGGATTACAGGTGTGAGCCACCATGCCCGGCCACAAGCATATGTTTATAAGAAATTGCAAATCTGTTTCCAAAGTGATTGTGTATCATTTTGCATTCCCACCTGCAAAGTATGAGAGTTCCAGTTGCTCTGCTTCTTCATCAGTACTTGGTAGTGTCATTTTCCCCATTTTAATCATTCTAATAAATATGCACTGGTATTCATTATGGTTTTAATTTGCATTTCCCTAATAACTAATGATGTTGACTGCCTTTTTATATAGTGCCTTATGAGTTTGGCAAGTACAGCTATAATTCTAATATTTTCAAATTTTTGAAAATTTATTTATGATATTAACTATTAACAGTAAAGTGATATACATCTTTCTTCATAAATGGACCAAAAGACATACAACAGTTTGATGAAACTAAGTTAGTTGTATCAAATTTTATTTTCATTGAAAATATACAAGAAGACTAGAGCACTGGCTTCAATATTACATCTTAAAAATTTTCTTAACAGCTCTTTCAGATAATTCACATACCATGTAATTCGCTCATTTAAGGTGTACAGTTCAGTAACTCCTAATTGATAAAATAGGATCCATTAGCACATTCGATTTTAGGACATTTTCATTATTCTCCCTCCAAAAAAAAAATTCATATTTCTTAGCTGTCAACATCCCGCTTCCACACTCCTCAGACTTAGGCAACCACTAATCTGTTTTCTGTCTCTATTGATTTGCCTTTTCTGGAGATTTTGCATAAATGTGATCATGGTTCTTTGTGACTGGCTTTTTTCACTTAGCATAATGTTTTCAACATTCATCCATATTTTAGCCTGCATTAGTGTTTCATTTCTTTTTATTGTTGAATAATATACCATTGTATGGATATCACATTTTATTTATCCATTCATTAGTTGATGGACATTTGGATGCTTCTGCTTGTTATTATGAATAATACAGCCATGAATATTTGTGTACAAGTGTTTGTGTAGACATGTTCTTACTTCCCTTGGATATATAACTAAGAGTAAAATTTCTGGATCACATTTTAACTGTATGTTTAACCATTTGAGTAACTATCGGACTGTTTTCCAAAGTGGCTGCACCATTTTACATTCCCACCAGCAATGTATGAATGTTTCAATTTCTCCATATTCTTGTCAATATCTTGTTATTATCTGACTTTTTTGTTATAATTATCTGAGTAGGTGTGAGGTAATGTCTCTTTGTGGCTTTGATTTGTATTTCCCTTTGAGCTAATAATTTTAAGCATATTTTCTTTCTTTTTTTTTTTTTGGAGTTGCAAGATTTAATAGAGTGAAATAGAGTGAAAACAGAGCTCCCATACAAAGGGAGAGGACCCAAAGGGGGGTGCCATTGCCAGTTCAAATGCCTGGGTTTATATCCCGATCCTTGTCCCACCCACTGTGCTCTCAGGCAATAGATGATTGGCTATTTCTTTACCTCCTGTTTTTGCCTAATTAGCATTTTAGTGAGCTCTCTGGTCGGGTGTGAGCTAAGTTGCAAGCCCCATGTTTAAAGGTGGATGTGGTCACCTTCCCAGCTAGGCTTAGGGATTCTTAGTCAGCCTAGGAAATCCAGCTAGTCCTGTCTCTCAATCCCCCCTCTCAACAGGAAAACCCAAGTGCTGTTGGGGAGGTTGGCCAATGACCACTCTAACTGCTTCCTGCTGAATTGGGGTGTAGTAGGTGTTGTGCAGTTGAGATTTCCTCGGGAGGGGTGCCTTCGATGTCATTAACATCAAAGCATGGGCTAGCAGGCCAGTCCAGGGGTCTGCAGTAGATCTTAGTCATGGACTGCATCTGGGGCTCCATTTGAAGAATGATTTGTAGTTTTACAGCTTCGATTCTGGAAGAAACAAACTTAATAAGGAGATTAAAGATACAGGGATTGAAATGTATGGCCTGCAGTGCAGGGGATTACTTCTTTGGCACACTTTACAGGCCCTGACTATCTGCTTGATAGTTTTGAAAAGGCCTGGTCCAGTAAATAATAATTTGGCCATCTGATGGGTGCTATCAATGCCTAAGTGAAAGGTTTGGTGAAGGATTTTAAGTAATTTCCATTGGCTAGCTGCAGGCAAAAGTATTTTTCCTTCTTTGGTGGCTAGCCATCCTGAGGGGAAGGAACTATGTCTTCATGAGTTTCCTCATTCTATTTCTTCTTCTGAGTACTGGGGCTTGGTTTCCTGGAGGAGATTACCCCATAGTAGATGTCCTTCTATAAGCATTTCTAATGGAGGGTCCTGCCTTGCAGCTCTTTTGGCTTCAATATCCGCTTGGTGGTTCCTTTTTATTTCCCTTTCCTTTTCTTTCTGGTGACCCAGGCCGTGTAAGACTGCCACCTCTTTAGGTTTCTGTACAGCCAATAGTAATCTCCTAATGGCTTCCTGATGTTTGATAGGTGTTCCCTCGGAAGTTAGGAATTCCCTTTCTCTCCATATTGCCGCATGGGCATGGAGGACTAGGTAAGCATACTTAGAGTCTGTATATATATATTTACCTTTTTTCCTTTTCCTAATTGTAGTGCCCGAGTGAGGGCTATTATTTCTGCCAGCTGAGCACTAGTTCCTGGAGTGAGGGAATTACTTTCAAGTATTCCATTATCACTGACCACTGCATACCCTGCTTTTCGAAGTCCTTTTTCTACAAAGGAACTTCCATCAGTATACAAGTTGAGATCGGGATCAGTCAAGGGAACCTCTAAAAGATCCCCTTGAGCGGCATAGGTTTGAGCAATTACTTGTTGACAGTTATGTTCTATCTTTTCTTCATTGTCTGGAAGAAATGTGTCTGGATTAAGAGTTGTACAAGTGTGCATTCGCAGCACTGGCCCTTCAAGTAATAGAGCCTGATATTTAAGTAAACGGTTGTCTGACAGCCACAAGTCTCCTTTAGCAGTGAGTATGCCATTCACATCATACTCACTGAGATGTCCACACAGTAAGATCTCTTCCCTGTATTATTTTAACTGTTAAGCATATTTTCATGTGCTTATTAGGCATTTGTATATCTTCTTTGGAGAACTGTGTATTCAAGTGTGTTGCCCAATTTTAATTGGGTAATTTGTCTTTTTATTATTGATTTGCAAGGGTTTATTACACATTCTAGATATAAGTCCCACATCTGATACGTGATTTACAAAATTTCTCTTATTCTTTAGGTTGTCTTTTCACTTTCTTGATGGTGTCCTTTGAAGCACAAGTTTTAAATTTTGATGATGTCTAATTTATCTGTTGTTTTTTCTGTTGCCTGTGCTGTTTCTTCCAAGAGTTTCAAAGTTTTAGCACTTATGTTTAGGTCTTTGATCCATTTTGAGTGTTTCTTTACAGTGTGAGGTAGGGTGTCCATGTTTTTCTTTGCATGTAAATAGTAGATTCAGCAAATTTTTTGCCCACCTGAATCTTTGTTAATTTTATCAATAAAAAATATTATGTCAGTTAGTTTCACTTTTACTTCTATTTGCTAAGAAAATTGAACATACATATTTTCAAGGTAAGAGCGAGTGTTGACCTCCCTAGATGTTGATATTCATAAATGGATTGCTAGGCTAGATTTATCAGGAAAGAATTGTTTCATGTAGAGGGTAGTGGGAATTTGGACCAGGTGATATGAAGGCACACCTCATCTTAGGTATAAAATGAGCAAATAAAGTACTTCCCTCATCTTATGTTTTCTAGAGAAAAAAAAGAGAGTAAAACAAACAGAATAAATCACTCAGGCCCACATTCTATATTATTTTACCATTCAATCCAGTTCAGAGTATATTTACTAAATTTTGACTATGTGCCAGACAGTATACTCAGGACTGGGATACAATAGAAGACTCCAGGAACTCACAGTTTAATAGGAAGACAAACAAATAAGCAATTATATTCTAGTATGCAACATTCTTTAATGGGGGGTAACTAACAGGTTCTAGTGATCCTAATAGTAGAGACATCTAGGTCTGGCAAACAGGCCCTCATAAATGAGATTAGTGCAGTTATCAAAGAGACTCCAGAGAGATGTCTCAGCCATTCCACTATGTGAGGTTACAGCAAAAAGATGGCCATTTATGAGGAAGTGGACCCTCACAAGACAATGAATCTGTCAGCACCTTGGTTTTAGACTTCCCAGCCTCCAGAACTGTGAGAAATAAATTTCTGTTATTTATAAACTACCCAGGCTATGGTATTCTATCATAACAACTCAAACCAACTAAAACAGTAGACCTGTTCCTGGACTTGTTACTTTGTTCCACTGATCTATTTGCCTATCTTTGTAGAAATACCATATTACTTTATTAGTGTAGTGTTTTAATAAAAATTGATAGGTGGGGATTCCTCTAACTTTGTTCTTCTTTGAGATATTCATGTTCTTTTGAATTTTGATATACACTTTTTGGAATACACTTATCAATTTCCAAAATGAAACATTCTTTTATTTTAGATGAGACTACTTATCCATTCTGACACCAACACATACCTAGAAGTACAAGAAAGTTAAATTCCCCTGGACCAACTTTTAACCAGTGGGGGATGGAAGCCAGCAGATAACTATTTTCCTCTTCCATTTCTTATGGGGTCTATTCTGAGGTAATGTCTACTTCTCTCAGAATATCATCAGCAGAGCAGAACCCCAGTTGTTCATAGTATCAATTAGCTTAATAAGGTACATTTGAATTTGCTTTCCATTCTTCCTTGGTTCATTTTTTTTTTAATTTTTTTAGTATTTATTGATCATTCTTGGGTGTTTCTCGGAGAGGGGGATTTGGCAGGGTCATAGGACAATAGTGGAGAGAAGGTCAGCAGATAAACATGTGAACAAAGGTCTCTGGTTTTCCTAGGCAGAGGACCCTGCGGCCTTCCGCAGTGTCTGTGTCCCTGGGTACTTGAGATTAGGGAGTGGTGATGACTCTTAACCAGCATGCTGCCTTCAAGCATCTGTTTAACAAGGCACATCTTGCACCGCCCTTAATCCATTTAACCCTGAGTTGACACAGCACATGTTTCAGAGAGCACGGGGTTGGGGATAAGGTTATAGATTAACAGCATCCCAAGGCAGAATTTTTCTCAGTACAGAACAAAATGGAGTCTCCTATGTCTACCTTCTACACAGACATAGTAACAATCTGATCTCTTTCTTTTCCCCACATTTCCCCCTTTTCTATTTGACAAAACCGCCATCATCATCATGGCCCGTTCTCAATGAGCTGTTGGGTACACCTCCCAGACAGGGTGGCAGCCAGGCAGAGGGGCTCCTCACTTCCCAGACGTGGCAGCCGGGCAGAGGGGCCCCCCACCTCCCAGACGGGGCGGCTGCTGGGCGGGGGCACCCCCCACCTCCCAGACGGGGCAGCTGCCGGACGGGGGCGCCCCCCACCTCCCAGACGGGGCGGCTGCCGGGCGGGGGCGCTCCCCACCTCCCAGATGGGGCGGCAGGGCGGGGACGCTCCTCACTTCCCAGACGGGGCAGCTGCTGCTGGGTGGAGGGGCTCCTCACTTCTCAGACGGGGCGGCCAGGCAGAGGTGCTCCCCACATCCCAGACGATGGGTGGCCGGGAAGAGATGCTCCTCACTTCCTAGAGGAGATGAAGGCCGGGCAGAGGGGCTCCTCACATCCCAGACGATGGGCGGCCAGGCAGAGACGCTCCTCACTTCCTAGACGGGGTGGCAGCTGGGCAGAGGCTGCAATCTCAGCACTTTGGGAGGCCAAGGCAGGCGGCTGGGAGGTGGAGGTTCGGGCCACTGCACTCCAGCCTGGGCAACATTGAGCACTGAGTGAGCGAGACTCCGTCTGCAATCCCGGCACCTCGGGAGGCCGAGGCGGGCAGATCACTCAAGGTCAGGAGCTGGAGACCAGCCCAGCCAACATGGCAAAACCCCATCTCCACCAAAAAATACAAAAACCAGTCAGGCATGGCGGCGCGCGCCTGCAATCCGAGGCACTCGGCAGGCTGAGGCAGGAGAATCAGGCAGGGAGGTTGCAGTGAGCCGAGATCGCGGCAGTACACTCCAGCCTCGGCAACAGAGGGAGACCGTGGAAAGCGGGAGACGGAGACGAGGGAGAGGGGGAGACCGTGGAAAGCGGGAGGAGGGAGAGGGAGAGGGAGAGGGAGAGGGAGAGGGAGAGGGAGAGGGAGAGGTTTCATTTTTTCAATCAGCCTACTCCTGTTCACTAGGATCATTTCCCAAAATAAATTTAAAAGGCCTAGTCTGAGGCTATGCTATTCAACACAACTTACAACAAGTGGTCCCCAACTTGCAATGGTTTGACTTAATGATTTTTGAACTTTACAATGTTGTGTAAGTGACATTCATTCAGTAGAAAACATACTTCAGGTACCATACAACCACTCTGTTTTTTACTTTCAGTATAGTATTCAATAAATTACATTAGAAATTCAACACTTTGCTATAAAATAAGCTTTGTGTTAGGTGATTTTGCCCAGTTGTAGGGTTCTGAGCATGTTTAAGGTAGGCTAGGCTAAGCTATGATGTTTATTAGGTTTGTTGTATTAAATGCGTTTTCGAGAGACTGGGGGATCATGGCAGACAGAAGGCAGGACTAGATTGCAGTTCTGGACAGAGCAACATGCAGAGGCTTGCATTGTGAATTTTAGCTCCAGATCTACTGCAAGAACAAACCAGCAATCCCAAGAGGACCTACAGGACCTCTCAAAAAAGTGGACTGCTCCTGCAGGACCTGGGAAACACCCCAAATACTGTGAGTGCCCAAATGCAGAAGTGAGAAAGGGAGACCCTCCTCTCCCAAACACACACCCCCACTGGAGAAGCTGAAGATCTGTTTGTGGGAGAAGTTTCTGACTTTTACCTGAAGCTGAGTCAAGTTAGAGAGCTGAGTGAAATACAGGCACAGAGGAAGCAGCAGAAAGGCCCTGGGAGCTTGCTGGTTCCCCAGGCAGCCCATTCCTGCCTGGCACCACAGGGATCCATTGGGAGGGTGGCCAGAGGAGCAGGGGGTAAAACTCCACAGGGAGAAGGAATTCTCTAGTTGAACTTTCTAATAATTTGAAAGGGGCAAGAATCCTCCTGGCCGGAACTCGGGGAAGGGTGTGAATCGAGAAGTTTTATTAAAATGTGGTGAGGTGGCTCATGCCTGTAATCCCAGCACTTTGGGAGGCAGAAATGGGCAGATCACTTAAGACTAGGAGTTCCAGACCAGCCTGGCCAACATGATGAAACCCTTTCTCTACTAAAAACACAGAAATTAGCTGGGCATGGTGGCACACACCTGTAATCCCAGCTACTCGGGAGGCTGAGGCACAAGAATCGCTTGAACCAGGAGGCAGAGATTGCAGTGAGCTGAGATCACGCCACTGCACTCCAGCCTGAGCAACAGAGTGAGACTCTATCTAAAAAATAATAATAATTTTAAAAAGGTGTTCTAATGCAGGTATTTCTAAGGCACCTCCCCACCTACCCTCAGAGATATGATCTCCTCTCACCTCCCTAGATGGGTTTCTTCTATAATGTTAGTCTCATATGGTGAGGGGACTTTAAAGTCATAAGAAAAAAGCTTTTCCCAGGGGGTTGGTGTGGCAAGTGGGCAAAGCAGGGCAGAGAAACCCTCCCCGAATGGGAAGCCAGGCTATTGAACAGATTGGTTTAAATTTTCAAGGTTTCAACCTGCAAGGTGTTACTAGTCTATGTTCTGTTCCTGCCACCTGCAGCTCTAAGTCCTTTAAGAAGGACTATGATTTTAGGTAATTGCTCCTCTAGTCTAGCCTCCTGCCTCCACTCCCTTTAAACCCTCCCTCCACACACGCCCCCACACACACATATACACAAAATTTGGGTGTCAAGATGTTCTATTCTGGCTTTTGTGGAGAACAAACTCAGATTAGGCTTCCTAGAGCTCCAGTTCTCATGGAAAATGGAGGAGTCTTAGCTTTGGAATAAACACTACAGATGAAAACTCTTACAGATGCTGGATTTCCTTATCTTTGTGGAGCAAGATAAAACCCCTCATGACACTAATATATTGGCCACAACTTAGGGTCTAGATAATTGCCTCCTTGTAACAATTCTGCCCATTATGGCCCAAAGATCCTATATGGAAAACCCACGTCCCTACTTGTGTTCCCCACAACCCTCTCTTATAATAAGAAATATTTATTTTGAGGTTAGGCTGTGGCATTAAACACATCTCCCCAAACCAGTGAAAATCAGCCCCTTCACGATGACCCCACCCCGTACCTCCATGGGCCTCTGTCCATTGACGTCTTCGGTTGCATGCGGGAATGCCAAGACAACTCTGCCACTGCGTTAGCTCCTCTCTTCTGGCTATCCTAGCATTATTTAACCCAAAAACCTCATTTCTAGAAATCTTTTCCAAGCATACAAGATCACACCTATAATCCCAGCACTTTGGGAGGTGGAGTGGGCAGATCACTTAAGACTAGGAGTTCGAGACCAGCCTGGCAAAAAAAAAAAAAAAAAGATGAGATAATCTAGTAATATTGGTAGCAAAATCTTTAAGTAGGGTTCATATTTCCACTGACTGTGTGTGCAAAGCTCCAAGCATATGTTAGGTACTCAAGAAAGAGCAGCTATTAACATTGTCAGGCAAGATTAGACAGCAGAAATGTCTTGGAAGTAGGCTATTTGGAAGTGGAATAAGAACAGAAATATAAAGCTTTAAAACTCCACTAAATTTCTTCCTTCTCCTTTCCTAAAGCCTTGAAAGTCCTCCTTGGAATGCCCTTTCTGATACTGCTTAGCAGCCACCATTACATTTTTAAATAGCCATATTGATTTTTCCTTGTCTTTACCAGCAAAATCCTCCAGGCTCTGTTGACAGAGCAAAACACTCACTCTGCCTCTTTCAAGCTCTTTTCAAATGCAGTACACTGCACCAGCTTTTCATGCATCAGTCTGGGGAAAAATCAACCCAAGAAAGCTATGGGATCTCTGCAGATTACCTGTCTGTTCTTGGCCAATGTCTGCAAATCAGAATCATGCAAGTCAGGGACAGGCTGGAATTGAGTCAGTCAGGCCCTTGCGAGAGTTGTAGGTTCTTTTTTTTTATGCTAGAGAAAGGGAAATGGATAAAATTCCAGGGATCTGGTTCACTTGTCTTTGCCCTTCATACATGTGTTGCTTCTCCCATACTTATCCTGGCTGGGAGGGCAGGTGGTGGCTGCCAGCTCTTATCAAGACAATGCCTGGGAAGCCAGATGCTGAATCCTACCTGCAGTGCTTGTAGCCCTGCCAGAGCCCAGACATGTAGACAGTGGCAACATGGCCCAGCAATGACATTTCATGAAGACTGACTCCAGTGGTCTGGACTGATGCTTTGTTCCTCGTGTTTCCTAGAAACACCTGCCCATTGCTCTCGCTCTCGCTCTCCCTCTCCCTCTCCCTCTCCCTCTCTCTTTCCACGGTCTCCCTCTGATGCCGAGCCGAAGCTGGACTGTGCTGCTGCCATCTCAGCTCACTGCAACCTCCCTGCCTGATTCTCCTGCCTCAGCCTGCCGAGTGCCTGCGATTGCAGGTGCGCGCCGCCACGCCTGACTGGTTTTCGTATTTTTTTGGTGGAGACGGGGTTTCACCCTGTTGGCCGGGCTGGTCTCCAGCTCCTAACCGCGAGTGATCTGCCAGCCTTGGCCTCCCGAGGTGCCGGGATTGCAGATGGAGTCTCGTTCACTCAGTGCTCAATGTTGCCCAGGCTGGAGTGCAGTGGCGTGATCTCGGCTAGCTACAACCTCCACCCCCCAGACACCTGCCTTGGCCTCCCAAAGTGCTGGGATTGCAGCCTCTGCCCAGCCACCACCCCGTCTGGGAAGTGAGGAGCGTCTCTGCCTGGCCGCCCATCGTCTGGGATGTGAGGAGCCCCTCTGCCCGGCCGCCCAGTCTGGGAAGTGAGGAGCGCCTCTTCCTGGCCGCGACCCCGTCTGGGAAGTGAGGAGCGTCTCTGCCCGGCCGCCACCCCGTCTGGGAGGTGTACCCAACAGCTCATTGAGAACAGGTCATGATGACGATGGCGGTTTTGTCGAATAGAGAAGGGGGAAATGTGGGGAAAAGATACAGAAATCAGATTGTTGCTGTGTCTGTGTAGAAAGAAGTAGACATAGGAGACTCCGTTTTGTTCTGTACTAAGAAAAATTCTTCTGCCTTGGGATGCTGTTGATATATGACCTTACCCCCAACCCGGTGCTCTCTGAAACATGTGCTGTGTCCACTCAGGGTTAAATGGATTAAGGGCGGTGCAAGATGTGCTTTGTTAAACAGATGCTTGAAGGCAGCATGCTCGTTAAGAGTCATCACCACTCCCTAATCTCAAGTACCCAGGGACACAAACACTGCGGAAGGCCGCAGGGTCCTCTGCCTAGGAAAACCAGAGACCTTTGTTCACTTGTTTATCTGCTGACCTTCCCTCCACTATTGTCCTATGACCCTGCCAAATCCCCCTCTGTGAGAAACACCCAAGAACGATCAATAAAAAAAAAAAAAAAAAAAAAAAGAAACACCTGCCCATTGAATAATGCCCTGCTAGGAGTGATGGAAAGAAAGGGTCACCCTTCAGTGCCCTCACAACCTGAAAGGACTTTTCCTCTGTGGTCAGCAGCCCCTGGGCAGACCAGCATGGCAGCTCTTCAACTCTCTGAGACAGGTGGGGAGGCAGGGAATGGGAGGACACAGCAAAGTAAGTATGTGGTAGGGAAAGCCCCAAAGAGAGAAGGATAGGACCTCTTATCTGAATACCTTTCCTCACTTTCCACCCCAGAAGTGTGGGATTAGGGAAAGGTTAGAGAAACCTTCTAGGGACTAGAAAGAACTTTGGGTTTTTATTCATGAATTCACTTGAATTCTGGTGTGCTTAATGTTTAATATTATGATATATAGCAAGATATACAGAACAATGTTCTATCATGTAGTAAATACCTATGTAATCATCATGAAGGCCAACAAACAACATTACCAACAGACCAGAAGCTTCCTTAGTGCTCCATTCCAATCTCTGTTCTACCTCCTTCCCAAAGGCAATTACTACACTGATTTTTGAGGCAATTTATTCTTGTTTCTCTTAATTTTGTCTATCTCCTGGTGTGGGAAAAACTTTAGAATGTAAGTATCTTCTTGTCTCCAGCTTCTTTGGTTCAATATAATGTTTACAAGAATCATCATGTTACCCATAACTGTTGTTTGTCCAATGCTATTTTTCTACTGTATTTAAGTAAATGAATATACCATGAATTACTTATCTATTTTACTGTTGATGGACATTTGGGTTTTTTTCCAGCTTTTGTCTACTAAGAATAGTGCCATTATCAACATTGGTGTTATGTCTGTTGATTCACGTGGCATATTTATAGAAGTTTATACTCAGGATTGGAATCACTGAGCTTAAGTTATGTGTATCTTTAAATTTTATAGATAATTTTAAACATTACAAAGTGAATGAGAATTCCTGTTGCTCCATATCCTCATCAACATTGGCTATTGTCAGTCTCTTTACTTTTGGCCATTCTGGCTCATGTTCATTAGTTTTAACAAATATTTTCCTAAGTACTGATGAGGGTAAACACTTTTTCTTTTTTTCTTGGGCACTTGTTCACATACAGATATAGATGTAGCTAGATAGAGAGAGATAAAGATAGAGATCGAGAAAGAGATAGAGATAGAGATGATAGAGAGATAGAATCTGTTCAGGTCTCTTGCCCATTGTTCTTTGGGTTATCTTTTTCTTATTCATTTGTGAGAGGTTTTTTTTTAATATGCTGGATATGAGCAGGTTATGATATGAGCTGGATATGAGTGCTATGTATTACAAAAATCTCCTTTCACTCTGTGACTTGACTTCTGTACCTTTGTCTTCTTTATATTCTTATTCTATTTATCTTCTGTAATTTCTTATTTGATTTTTTTAGAGATAATTTCTTTTTAAATTATTTCTTCTGCAATTTATGTCTTTTAAATTATCTTAAGCTCTTCTTTAATTCATATCAATAATAATGTATTGGATTGTACTTAGGCCTTTTTCCCATCTTTTGTTAGATTTATTCCTATGTATTTTATATGTTTATGTCATTATGAAGTATATTTTGTATTTTTATATCATTACAGAAAAACAGTTGTTTTTTGCTTATTTAATGGTATCTTTTGGTGAACAGAAGTTTTCAGTTTGACTGTAGTGTAATTTATCTTCTACCTATTATTAGTTCTTTCAATATTTTATTTATGAAGTTTTTAATCTCTTTTCTGAAATCATAAAGCTATGTTCTCTTACCTTCTAAAAGTTTATTGATTCATGTTTCACAATTAGATCTACAATTCTCCTGGAGTTAATTTTTAGGTATAGTATGATGTAGAAGGCTAATTTTATATTGTCCAGCACAATGTTTTGAAAAGATTAACATTTCCTCCACTATTCTGCAGTGATCCATTTGTTATAAAGCAAGGGTCTTTATGTATGTGAGTTTGCCTTGTGTAAATAACCCATTTATTAGTTTATACTAAATGTTGATATTTTGTTGGACAAATTTTTCTAACTTGCTTACTTTTTCAAAACTCTTGTCTATTTTTGGTTCTTTATACTTCCACATAAATTTTAGAACTGCTTTGTCATTTCTCACAAAATGTGGGGGTTTTATTAGAACTGCATTGCATTTATAGACAAGTTTTAAGAAAACTGATAATTTTATATTACTGAATCTCCTCATCCATAAACATGGTTTATTCTTTCATTTATTTAGCTATTCTTTATCTCAATAATAATGTATTGTTTTCAACATTGACTTCTTGCCCATTGTTTATTAGATTGCTACTAGCCATTTCATATTTTTGTGTCATTATGAATGGTTGCTGTGACACAGATAAACAGTTGATTTTTGCTTATTAATGTTTATTTAATAAAGTTGTCAAACTATGATGGCTTTTTCCTTTGTCACCCTCCTAGTTTGAACTATAGTCCCCAGTTCCTCAATCAAATGCTAATCTTTCTGTTATTGTGAAAGGATTTTGCATATGTGCATCAAGTCTCTGATTAACTGACTTTAAGTTAATCTAAAGGAAGCTTATCCTTAGTGGGCCAGGATCAAAGGAGCCCTTCACTAGATGGATTGTGGCCTTCCCTTAGTTCAGAGAGATTCTCCTGTTTGCCTCAAAAAATAAGCAATCTGCTGTTTACTTATACAATTGCAAGGAAATGAATTACGGTGCATGAGCATGGAAGAAGCCCTCAGATGAGACCACAGCCCACCTGACACCTTTTTTTTTTTCCTTTTTTTCTTTTTTTTGAGACAGAGTCTCACTCTGTCACCCAGGCCGGAGTGCAATGGCGTGATCTTGGCTCACTGCAACCTCCACCTCCCAGGTTCAAGCGATTCTCCTGCCTCAGGCTCCTGAGTAGCTGGGACTACAGGCACGCACCACCACGCCCGGCTTGTTTTTACATTTTTTAGTAGAGACAGGGTTTCACTATATTGGCCAGGCTGGTCTCAAACTCCTGACCTTGTGATCCACTCACCTTGGCCTCCCAAAGTGCTGGGATAACAGATGTGAGCCACTGCGCCCAGCCCCAGATTTTACCTTTACTGCAGCCTTTCAAGATCTGGAGCAGGGGACCCAGCTGAGCTGTAACTGGACTCCTGACCAAAGGAAATTGTGAGATAAAAAATGTAGGTCGTTTAAGCACAAATGTAGATTTGTGATAATCTGTTACACAGCAAGAGGAAACTAACAGAAATTTTAGATTCTTAGAGTGTTAGACTTTTTTTTTTTTTTTTAAGTTGGAGTCTCACTCTGTCACCAGGCTGGAGTGCAGTGGTGCGATCTCAGCTCACCGCAACCTCCACCTCCCAGGTTCAAGCGATTCTCCTGCCTCAGCCTCCCGAGTAGCTGGGACTACAGAGACACATGCATGTCCCCCTGCCCAGATAATTTTTGTATTTTTAATAGAGACGGGTTTTCACCATGTTGGCCAGGATGGTCTCAATCTCTTGACCTCGTGATCCACCCACCTCGGCCTCCCAAAGTGCTGGGATTACAGGCACGCACCACCGTGCCCGGCAGAGTGTTAGACATTTTTACATAAATTATATTACTTGTGAATAATACTAATTTTATTTAATCATATTTAATCTTCTTAACTTTTCTTTGTTCTACAGCCATTAATTAGGACTTCCAAAACAATGTTGAATGTATGGTTTTTTTTTTTCGCTTTATTCTGTTAATGTGGAGGATTTCACTGTTTGATTTTCAAATGTTAAATTAACCCTGTATTTCTAGAACAAAACCATTTGTTCAATGTGTATTACCACTTTAAAATATTGCTGAATTTGCTAATATGCAGGCTATTTCCATCTTTATTAAAGAGTGAAATTTACCTGTAAATTTTCTTTTTTTTTTTTTTTTTTTTTTTTTGAGATGGAGTCTCGCTCTGTCGCCCAGGCCGGACTGCGGACTGCAGTGGCGCAATCTCGGCTTACTGCAAGCTCCGCTTCCCGGGTTCACGCCATTCTCCTGCCTCAGCCTCCCCAGTAGGTGGGACTACAGGCGCCCGCCATACCTGTAAATTTTCTTTCTTGTAGTACCCATACCAGACTTTGGTATCAAGGTTATGGTGACCTCCTAAAATGAGCTGAGCTCATATGTCTAGACCTCCACTGCCCGCTGGCTCTTGGTCTAGTCATTCTTCAATATCTTGCTAGTTCTTCTGTGCCTTCAAGATTTTTTTCTTTTTTTCAGGTTTTCTAGTTGTCATCAGTTGGGGGCAGGAGTGCAATTCAAATTACCTCATATTTAAATTTCATTCATTCCTTAAACATCTATTTATTTGGCCTTCCTGTGTGCTTGCCCCTAATGAGTCAAGAGTCCTATGGTGAAGGCACAAAAGGAACCATCAATTGCTGTCTAGCGTGATGAGTTCTCTGATAGAAGAGCTATGTGAATACATTAAAACTGCACCTCAGTGATTTGGAAGAAGATAAATAAAAAGCAGTTGGACAGAGAAAAGAGAAAAACATTCCAAGCAGAGGGAAAGCATATGCAAAGTTCTAGAGCTGAGAAGAGGTTGTTTCATTTGGAGAGCTGCCCTGATTCATGCTGGTAGGAGGAGAGAGTACAGGTGCAGAAAAAGCTGGGTCCTAGCTGTGAAGTGTTTGGCTGCCATATATTTTCATTTGGACTTTATTCTTAAGGTGACAAGGAGCCTATGGTGGGTCTGAGCTGCAGAGTGACACCATATGGCATTTGCATTTCAGATTGATTATTCTGCTTGTTGTGTGGAGAATGGATTGGATAAGGAAGAGATGGAGGTTGGAGAGCTTTTGGAAGATTGTTTTAGTGATTAGATAACAGATGATGGTGGCTTCTCTTGGGTAATGGTGAAAGGTTGTATCAAAGACAACTGTCATGAGATATTTAAGAAGCACAAATTGATGTGCATAAATATAGGGGGAGTGAGAGGAAAAAGAGGAGCTTAATGATTCTGATATTTATAGCTTAGACAAGTGCATGGGATAGGGAAAACAAAGCCAGCCCTTTTCTTTCTATTACAAGAGGTGGGTTTTGCCAGAGACTAGTCAAAGCTAAAAATAAACAACATGCATGAAAATAAACAACATGCATTATTGGCCTTTTTATAAACATGAGGTTGGGTGTATAAATATATAGTTGCCAGATATAGCTTTCACAGAGATCATTCTGCTCCCACTACACAGAGCCCCAAGATCAGGAAGAATAAGTTTTGTTTTAAATTCCAAACATACTGAGCACTCGCATCATTCAGGGTACTTGATGTCAGTCACCTGCCACATGGTAAAGGATCACTAGCAACAATAACAATGGCAGAAAGCTGGCCACCACCTCGGCCCTGGGTCAATTTGCTGAAGCTCAATTTGTGATAAATGAATAGCTTTTAATTAGCTCATCCAATTATCTACTGATCACTCAATGATATTTTAACTAAATAACAATTGACTCTAAACTTTTGGGCAAATAAACTAGAATAAGACAGCTTACTGCATGATCTTCCTGCAAGGGGCTGTGCAAGTGCCAGGGCAGTCATAAGCATAGAATACCATGAAACACTGGATTTTGTGCATAAGAGAAATGTCATCTTTTCTTATATAAAATGTATAGACAGGAAAATGTAAAAGCCAAGGCAAGAGCGGGGATGATGCTGATGCAAAATTGAATGTAAAAATAAAATTCTTAAATATTCAGCAAGTTGCTCTTTTAGTGAAATTATTTTGGAAAATGAATTTTCAGAGACTTGACCCTCTTACTCTTTTAATCTTTCTGAACCTGCTCCCTCAACGTAAAATGAAGATAATAAAGAATGCCTACATTGTAGGGTTATTGTAAGGATTACATAAAATAATAAATAGTATCAAGCACTGTGCCTAGAACATGGACAGTGATCAACAAATAAGTTACAGCTGATATTATTGACTCAATACATGCTTTTTGAATTAATGATATAAAAACCAGATGGTCAAATAAAATCAGTCAGTGGAAAATGATTGGCTATAGTGTGCCAGACATTTCCATAAGTTCTTCATTCGATCTTTTTTTTGGACTCTGAAGAAATGGCATATTTTATTAATCTTCAAGTTCTTCAGCATATTAATAATAACAGCTTGGTATATATTATCGATAAGTCCGACTATTGTACCCAAAGAATATCCAGATTATTTTAAGGTGAGTTTGCTTCCTTTTCATCTGATTCATCATCCATACCCTGTTCTACACCTTCTACCTCTGGAATATAAACTGCAGCATGTTCTGAATTCCATTTTTCAGAGTAATGATTGAACTAGGGCAGCTGGTACAAGAACCCTGGAGTTTCAGTCATACGATACCATCTTCAAAACCTTTGTAGATTACGTCTCCTCCATCTTCTTGCACAGTTGGCCACATTCTAGTATCTAACACTTCCTTAATCAATGCCACAACTTCATCATCTTCACATCCTGCTTCTCCTTGAAGATGTTTCCTCAGTAACTAGGGGTAAACCAGATGCAAAGAAGTCCGTGGTTGTTGCGTAAATATCTGGTTTCAGTAAATTCCAGTCTAATTTTTCATTTTCCTTTGTGGCAGTGATGAAATCTGGCCCAAAGAAAACACTTTTTACTCCTTCAATCCTAAATAACTGCCTAGCCAAAGGGGAGCAAAATGCTGCAGCTGGGGTGGGAAAATCCATGGGCCTTGTCTCAAAAACTGGTTTTCATGGTATAAACTTTAAACTGTTAGGATTTGAGATATCTTGTGTTTGAATAAACATGTATCTCACTGGGTTACAAAAGGCTGCAGGTAGTGGGAAGAGTAGTCTTTCTACAAATTGATGCAGAGGCTGTTTCTCTTTTTTTTGAGACAGAGTCTCACTCTGTTGCCTAGGCTGGAGTGCAGTGGCACGATCTCGGCTCACTGCAACCTCTGCCTCCCGGGTTCAAGCAATTCTCTGCCTCAGCCTCCCGAGTAGCGGGGATTACAGGCAACTGCCACCACGCCTGGCTAATTTTCGTATTTTTAGTAGAGATGGGGTTTCACCATCTTGGCCAAGCTGGTCTTGAACTCCTGACCTCGTGATCCACCCACCTCGGCCTCCCAAAGTGCTGGGATTACAGGCGTGAGCCACCATGCCCGGCCCAGAGGCTGTTTCTTAATGGTGTATAGATTGATTCTTCAACAAATGATAGAATCACCTGCGCAGCCCCACGGCAACAGTCACAGCTCCCCAGCCATGCCGGGCCTCTGCTGCCATCTTAGTCCCAGAGTCTCCATCTTCATGCCATTGCGTAAAGTAGATACTATTATCTCTGCTTTCAGATGAAGCATGTGAGGTTGAAACAGGTAAAGCATCTGTTCAAATAGTGAAGCATCTGCCTTTTGAATCCAATGGTGGATCCCAGGGCAGTTTAACATGTTGGTTAAGTCATGGCTGTGGATTCAGACAAACTTAGGTTCCTTCTGGGCTCCAACACCTACTTGACTTCTTAGGGTGCATAATTTATTATCCTCTTTTAGTCTCAGTTTCCTTATCAACAAGGCTGGTATAATTACACCCATCTAAAAGGTGTGTGAGGCTCAAAGAAGATGATGGGTTGTCAGTTCCCACTTGGCTCCCCTTCTTCAGCACCCCACCACTTGCTCAGTCCAGTGTGTTCCCATGAGTGTAGATTGACCTTTATTGTCAATAGTGTGTTCTGCCACAGCTTCTCTGGGTGAAAGACTTTGATTGGCCTTTCCATGGTTTCTAGGGTATGTAGAGGAGCAGGTTGCCCTTTCCTGATACCATGTTCTGGCATATAGACAAAAATATAGTTCTTAGACTTATAATCAGGTTTTGTCCCCAGCAGAGTCACAATAACATGATCACCCACTCGTCACTTGAGTACTGTCATTTTCCTTTGTCCTTTACAGGAGACCAGAGGGTCAGGTTTGTTTTCTAAATGCCTTGGAGGAAACATGCGGTTCCCCAGATCTTTAAATTAATTCTTCTCCCTTCTTGTTCCCTATATCCTATGGTTTTATGAATTACCTCATGAGCCCACCAAATGTGTCAGGAATGACAGACTGTACAACTTGTGGTCAGTGACTCGAAAGTGTCAGTAACCACTAAGACAGACATGAGCTTGATGCAAAGGCCCCCTCCCATAATTAAGCAACTATAATTCCTAATATTTATGAGCACAGTGCCATTATCATTGAGTTAAAATGAATTGAAGATTAACTTAATCTGCTTTAATTACAGATTTTGAGAAATCTAATGGACAATGTGTATTTGTCTGAGAATGAAGAAACAAATTATAAGTCTAGTTTTCTCAGATAGATCTTCAACAAGTGACTTCACTGCTGTTGGCCTTAGTTTTATACTGTGAAAACTAAAATACTTTTTTAAGAATGTCTACCCAGCTTAGCTCAATAAAAATGGGTCTGATGAGAAAATGGATTTGAAAGGGTTTATGGAAAAAGGTGAAAGCATTATATTTATGCTAAGAAGCATCATGATTAGAAAAGTTTTCTTATTTTTGTGTAAAGAGCACTAGACCAGATATTCAGAAGGGCATTTAAAATTTGCTAATGTAGACAGAAGCTTATGGAAGCCAATTACTGTAGTAAGGAGCAAGAGGGAGTGCTGTAGAGTCATTTTTAGCAGATCTAGACACAGAGCCTTCAGTAAGCAAAGATTATGAACAGGAAGCATTATAAAGCTGTTTCAGGAAAAGAATTTTATCTAGCAGAATGAAAATTGCTCATGCCAATTAGGGATTTTAGTTTAGCCCACTAATAGGGGTACACAATACACAGTAATGAATTCCTCTCTACACCCCACTTCTTGTGTCTCAAAAGATTGCTTACAAAAAAATCTAGAGTACAAAGAAAATGAGGAAAATCCAAGAATTATCAATGGACAAGATTGCACATAATACTGTTCCAGTTGACTGAATCTTCTTGTTAATTAAGCATTAATGGAATGCCCATGATTTATTTAATTATAGAATATCAGGACTTGGAAGGATCATAGAGAATGTCAAGTCCAAGGATCTGTATAATGCTCCCTGGAGACCTTCTATTGATCCCCTTCAAGGGCCATCCCAAGAATAGGGGAAAAAACTGAGCAGGCAAGGTTTTGAGGCCCCTAACATACTATGCTCCCAACTTTATGCTACAGTAGTTCTATTTTATATCTGATTAACACTTGGGCTTCTCTGAAAGATGTTGATGCCCTCAAAAATTACATGAATAGAGCTTACAGGTTTTTGGAGGATAATGGCAGCTGTCTAAATTAGAATCAATTCCTACATCCTCCAGAAAATGTACAGACCATTAAAGAAAGCAAGGGAAACCACCCTCAACCATGCTATAGCATAATTAGGAGACAGAGATGACTAACATCATCAGCTCATATGTAAGTAGGGGAATAAATATTCAAAACAGCAAAGTCGGAGCCAGCTTCAGAACTCACACCCAAATGGAGCATCGGGCAGAGACTGCGTGGGAAAGAAGAGGACAGCAGGAGCCTAGCTGTGATGAAAAACAAAATAAAGCACACCAGAGGGAAATGGCCTCACCCTCCGTGGAGCAAAATGAGAGCATCTAAAACCTGGTGAACCACAACACAGGCTATGGATGGGGTTGGGGTGGTTATAAGGAAATTGAAAGGAAATGATCTGAGAGTGCACTGCTTCTGGGGAATAAGGAGGCAACCAACAGGGAAGATGTCTTTTGGAATCTTCATGGTAAATGAAAAGACAGAAGCACAAGTTTGAATGTAAGGGTCTTAGAGAAACAAAAAGCTCATAAAATTAGGAAGCTAATTATTTTTCCCCTCCCCCAAGCAGCCACCATTAAAGAAACTGTACTTCAGCATGTCAACAAAGAATGTGGTCTTGAACTAAGCAAGCTCGTAAAATATCCAAACTCCTTAACCAAAGTGCTCTGGGGTACGGAGCAGGGAGAGAGAAATCTCAAGCAGCAAAAGGAGTCTACAAAATCTCCATGAAGAAGGTGATACTGGAGATGAGACAAGAAATTGTAATGGAAATTCTATTTGATGCCAGGTGCTGTGGCTCACACCTGTAATCAATCCCAGCAATTTGAGGGGCTGAGGTGGGGGGATCACTTGAGGTCAGGAGTTTGAGATCAGCCTGGCCAACATGGGGAAACCCTGTCTCTGCTAAAAATTCAAAAAGTAGCTGGGTGTGGTGGCATGCACCCTATAGTCTCAGCTACTTGGGAGGCTGAGGCACGAGAATCACTTGAACTTGGGAGGTGGAGGTTGCAGTGAGCTGAGATCATGCCACTGCAATTCAACCTAGGCGACAGAGTGAGACTCTGAAAACATTCTATTTGATGTATTTTTAAAAGCCATGGGCTTTAGAATTACGTAGATGATGAGGAGATTCTACCTATTATGCTGTGTTATGTTACACACATATTTTGTTACTTTTTTCCAACAATGTATTGTGAACATTATTTCACCATGTCATTATTTTTCTACATAACCATTTTAAATGATTTAATAGCATTTTATTATATTTATTGCACTGCTTTTACTTTATTTAATTTCCTCTTATTATAGAATCAAGTCATTTCTATTTTTTCTGTTATTAATAGCGTCATAAAAGATATCCTTGTGATATTTTTGTGCTCATCCACATTTTGCAGACACCAAAGGCAAATTTGAATATTATTGAATTGTGCTCCAAGAAAGCTGTGCTCATTTGCACTCTGGCTAACTGTGTAAGTAAGATAACAACTCTTTTCTGCTTGGCAATGGGTCCCATGTTTCTACAGTTATAGGACACTTTACTGAGCACTATCGTTAAAAAGGGCAATGTCATTTTATCACTTCCTGCCCAACACATAAGCTTCATCATAATTCTCATGAGTGTTGAAGATTAAATAGAATGATATATGCAGTACACCACATAGTAAGTGCTTACTAATATTTTCCATCCCTCTAGTTTTCTTGAACCCAATTGTATTTCTTGCCTTACCATCTCTTAAAAACAGGTATTTTCATTTTTATAAACACTTTGTTGAAAACGTGTTAATAAGTATTCTATTGTACCAATAAAATAGAAATTGTGCTGCTTTTATTTCCAGATTTCACAAACAAGCCCGCATCAGACAGATTCATGCTTCTGCTGTTTCTGCAAAACTTCCCTCGCCTGCTTCTTAGCCTTTTGGCTATCCTGGTGAAAGCCCTCTTGATTTCATTGGCTGCTCTGCAGAGGTCCAAGTATCTCTGTAAGCAACAGAGCTTCCATTCCCTGGTCCTATTCATTGACCTGCTCCCCTGTTCCATAGTGGCAACTCATGAAGCAGAAATCTGCCTGCCCCCTTTGTCATACTTACAATCTCTAGTCAGGGCCCAACTGACTCACTGGCCTGCTAAGTCAATGAATCATACACCACTGTGACTCAGCCCTTTTCCTTTTATTAAGATAATGAGGAAGTCTCTTCATAGAGTCATGGCATTTGTTATCAGAAAGAAAATTCACCGAGATCAGTTGATGAATATATTTTTATTCATTACAGAGAAAGGTCACATTAAGCTGAAAAATAGAAAATCAGAAACTATTTTATAGGTGATATTGGAGGAGACAAAATAGACCAATGTGCCCTTTTTGAGTGAAACAGAATTATTCTCTCCTCCCAAGTGAGATGTAATGACTGCAGTAGTGGGTGAATTATTGAACTGAAAATGTGGCTGGATGGTGTGAAAATAACAAAAAGCTATTAAATGTAATTTTAATCTCTGACACACTAAGAGGAATGACATAAAATTGAGCATCTAATGGTTTTATATTTGTATAAAGTAGTCAATCTCCTAGAGTTAAGCTGCTTATGAACAAACTCTTTTTTTGAATTTCAAACTTTGATAATATATTATAAAACATTTTTGGAAACTGTAGTATAATATAAAATATAGTTCATCTTTATCCCAGGCTCCTGTCACAGAGATCCTAAAACCCCTGGAATTTCCTGAGTGATAAGAGTGTCTTGTTATCCATAAGGAGCCCCTTTTGATCACACTCGAATTTATGTTAATGGAGGTACTTAGGTTGGGGTCTCTAGATAGCTTCAAGATGGGGGCTGGATACCAGAAAGACTAAGAGTTAAAGGGTTGGAACTTTCAGCCCCACCCACCTACCTCTGGGAAGGGGTAAGGAGGCCTGGAGATTAAACTCTATAAAAAAAAAAACAAAACTCTTGAACAACAAGATTTGATTTGATGAGCTTCTGGGTTTCTGAATAGGTGGAGGTTCTGGGAGGGTGGCACACTCAGATAAGGCGTGGAAGCTCCACTCCACCCGCCTCAATACCCTGCCCTATGCACCTCTTCCATCTGGCTCTTTTGTTTTCTTTATAATAAAGCAGGAAACATAAGTGATGTGTTTCCCCGAGTTCCGTGAGCCATTCTAACAAGTCATCAAAACTAAGGAGAGGGTCATGGGAACGTGTGATTTATAGCTGCTCTGTCAGAAGCACTGGAGGCCCAGACTCGTGATTGGCATCTGAAGTGGGCAGTCTTGTAGGATTAAGCCCTTAACTTGTGGGATCTGAACCTAACTCCAGGTAGATAGTGTAAGAATTGAGTTAAATTGTAGGATATTCAGTTGGTGTTTGGAGAGTTAGAGAATTGCTTGATATCTGATATCAGAAGTGTTGTGTGAGAGTATAGATTGTGTTTCCCAGAGAAGCTTAATATGTGAATATGGCATTATGTTAAGCATAGGAAGACAAAATATGTTATCTACTTTTTAAAAGCTCATAATTAGTTGGGCCCCAAATTCATGCATATGTTTCGTCATTCAATGTGTCTTCAATGTCTATCATGTAGCAGGTGCACTGGAGGAAATCAAAATGAAGAAAGTGCATCTTGTGCCCTCTGGAGGCACACAATGAAATGATCTCTCATTTTGAAGTCACATTGTAGAGGCCTTGGCATGACTCACATCTTTCAAACACTCTTTCACATTTTTTTCATTTATATTTTACAGCAACAGTGAGGGAGATGTTGTCATCCTGTTTTACAGGTGAGAAAAGTAAGATTCAGGGATCTTAAATCATGTGCTCAATGTGGTACAGCTAGCAAGTGTCAAGGCTGGGATTTGAACTCATGTCATATCACCACAAATCCAAACTCAATATTGGCCCAAGAAAATGCTCTAAAATTTCATTTGATACAAGTTGAAGTGTAAGCTGCTCCTTCCCTCTGACTTCAGAATTTACCATTTTGGAGAGGAAATGAAATCACAGGTGAAATTTTAGTAGCTAGACTGATGGGGTGTGTACTTATGCTGCTTCCAAATGTCACAATCACTAGTGTTAATATTAACTAAGTATTAACTAAGTTAAGTAACTAAGGTTGGGGTGATAGTGAATTTTATGTGTCAACTTGACTGGGTCATCCGGTGCTCAGAGATTTGATCAGACTTTATTCTAGGTATTTGTGTGATTTGGGGCAGGGATGGGCAGTAGAGTAAAGCAGATTGCTCTCCCTAATGTGGGTGGGCCTCATCCAATCTGTTGAAGCCCTGAAATGAACAAAAAGACTGCCCATCCTCCAAGTAAGACAAAATCCTTCCTGCCTGACAGCCGTCATACTGGGACATCAGCTTTTTTCGGCTTTCAAACTGAAAAATTGGCTCTTCATGGCCTTCAACCCTGCTGGCCTTCAGACTGGAACCACACCATTGAGTTTCATGGTTCTCAGGCTTTCAGAATCCAACTAGAACTACAACACTGGTTCTCCTGGGTTTCCAGACTGGACTCATCCTGGGATCTTGGGATTTTTTCAGCCTGTATAATTACCTGAGCCAATACTTTTATAATAAATCTTACACACACACACACACACACACACACACACACACACACACACACACACTATTGGATCTATTTCTCTGAAGATCCCTGACTAATATAATCAGCATGGCTTAATATTAAAGGAGAATGAAATTAGCCATGCAGACAGCTAAGCTGGGGCAGTGCCGTTCAGAACTTTCTGTGATGATAGAATTGTTTTATAGCTGCACTATCCAGTATAGTAAGCACTAACCACATATGGCTATTAAACAACTGAAATGGCTAATGAGACTAAGGAACTGAATTTTTAAAATTTTTATTTTAATAAATTTAAATGTGTATTTAAATAGCCCCATATGACCAGTGGCTACCATACTGGACAACCCAAATTTAGAATTTCTCCACTTTATACTAATGATTCCTACTAACTGTGTGAGATGATAGATAGATAGATAGATAGATAGATAGATACATACATACATACATACATACATACATACATGATACATAGATTTAGACAGAAAGAGAGAGGGACAAACAGACAGAGATGGTCATTGTTTATTTTATATCTTTTGCACTAAAATGCAAAGCCATTTAGGGGAGAGAAACTGTTCATTTCATTCCCACTGTATCCTCAGCACCTAGAAAAGGACCTTGAAGGAAATTAGACCTCAATTAATATTTGTTAAATTAGTGATTTTGCCTACAAGTATTTAATAACAAGTAATCTTGAGGCAACGTGCTTTGACTAGCCAGATATACATTGGTCTAATTAGGGTTTTATTATTTTATGTTATTTTTGAGACAAAGTCTCGCAGTGTTGCCCAGGCTGGAGTGCAGTGGTGCAATCATAACTCACTGCAACCTCTGGGGATCAAGTGATCCTCCCACCTCAGCCTCCTGAGTAGCTGGGTTTACAGGTTCACCCCACCATACCCAGCTAATTTTTGTATTTTGTATAGATAATGGGTTTCACTATGTTGCCCAGGCTGGTCTCAAACTCCTGAGCTCAAGCAGTCCACCCACTCTGCCTCCCAACATGCTGGGATACAGGCATGAGCCACCTCGCCCAGCCAAGAATATCACTGCCTACCTATTACATATTTTTTGTCTTTATTTGCCCTGCATGGTCTGAGCCATCATTCTAGTTTGTTAAATTTAGGCAAGACTTTGGGATTTTCAAATGTGAGATGCTGTCTTCAGCTCTGGAAGGTCTGAGCTGAGAAAACATTTGGGGAAGCAGCTGAGTGGCATGAACATACTGAGGAATATGTGAATCCAAGTACATGGGCCACAAAAGGGTGATATGTAAAAGCCTGGTCCCAGTGTGCTCTTTGAGAAAAGATTGAGACATCACTTTGCTCTATCAGCTGGAGCCTCTTGACTTCATAAGGATAAAAGTGTTTCTAAGTGGTTATAGCTGGCTGGCTGTGTGGCTTTCCTGCTTCCTCCTCCTCTGCGTGGAACTTTATAGCTTTGTAGTGGAAGGGTAATTACTCCAGAGAGTAATGACCACAGGCTGTGATACTGTTATTTCAAATAGAAAACCAATGCCAGCTTGCACAGGTGCAGCAGATCTGGGAGCCAAACATGGGGCTTCTCTGACTGGGTCCCCCACGTGGAGGAAGCAGGGAGCAAGGGATGACTCCACCTGCTGAGAAAGATGCCCCTCAGCCTCTTTTTTTCTTCTTCTATTCATAGTACCAGCCCCATTCCCCCAGTCCTTTCTAAGAGACCAGAAATTACAGATCTGGGAAGTGGCCTGTATTAGTCCATTTCCATACTGCTATGAAGAAATACCTGAGACTGGGTAATTTATAAAGAAAAAGAGGTTTAGTTGAGTTATAGTTCCACATGGCTGGGGAGGCCTCACAATCATGGCAGAAAGTGAAGGAGGAGCAAAGGCACATCTTACATGGCTGCAGGTAAGAGCATGTGCAGGGGAACTGCCCTTTATAAAACCATCAGATCTCATGAGACTTAGTCACTATCATGAAAACAGCACAGGAAAACCTGTCCCCATGATTCAATTACCTCCCACTGGGTCCCTCTTATGACGTACAGGGATTATGGGAGCTACAATTCAATATGAGATTTAGGTGGGGACACAGCCCACCATATCATGACCCTTCTGGTATTAACCCAGAGGACCTGAAATCACCAGCATCATGCACAGTTCTATTTCTCTGGGAAGCCTGGAATGAGACAAACATGGATAGGGAGTTTTGCCTGGGCAGAATAGTGATGGCTGATATTCTGAGTGTTTGCATTTATTTTATAACTCATCATAATGAAGACAGAATTGTTTGGGTGTGCAAGACAAGATGGAAAACCAAGATCTGATATGCTGTGGAGTTATCGGGTCCTTTGTTGTCCCATGCATGGTGACCTCAAGAAAATGGGAAAGAGGAGAGTCATTAGTAGTGCTTCCACATTCTCCTTTGGTTCTTTCTTTCTTTTGTTTTGTTTTGAGATGGAGTCTCACTCTGTTGCTCAGGCTGGAGTGTAGTGGCATGATCTTGGCTCACTGGAACCTCTGCCTCCCAAGTTCAAGCGATTCTCCTGCCTCAGCCTCCCGAGTAGCTGGGATTACAAGCATGTTCCACCACACCCAGCTACTTTTTGTATTTTTAGTAGAGATGGGGTTTTGCCATGTTGGCCAGGCTGGTCTCAAACTCCTGACCTCAAGTGATTCACCTGTCTCAGCCTCCCAAAGTGCTAGGATTACAGACATGAGCCACCATGCCTGGCATGTTATTTCTTTATTGTCAAAGGCCTTCAAACATCCATTCCCTTGAAAGTCACCTAATTAACTCATTCACATTAAGGAATTGAGGCACTGAGATATTACTTCTTCCAGATAAGGAAATAGCAGGTGTAAAAACTCTTCAACATTAGGGAGAAGTTGACTAATGGTGGATCATAGGCATCCACTCATGGACAGGTGGGGTGAGCCAGGCTTTCCCAGGGCCTTTACTCACAGGTATGCTGGGATGCCCATTGCACATTCCCACTAGATATGACCTTTACCAATACCTGCTCTGCACCTACAAAAGTGTATTTTTCTCCCAGCCCTCCTTGAAGGCTCAAATTTTCAGGTCACTGGGATGCTCCTTCATATCAATCACAACCCAGCTAGGGCCACAGGAGCTGTTCAGAAGGCTAGATGGCATTTGCTGGCCAAAAGGAAACTGGTCCCATCACTTTGAACCTATCCCATTGAGAAGATTTAATCTTATTACCAAATATAAAAAGGAGAACAAGTACATCTATGTATACATACATACATACAATAATAAGGACAGTTGGAACTCCCTACTTAGGTTCTAAAGAATATTCATTTATACTTTTTCAAAGTGGCACAGATACAAAAATTGGACAGGCTGCATGGAGGCCCCATGCTGGCCATTAAAAACAATTCTGCTCCAGATGCTCTTAACAGAGATCACTCAGTGATAATCAGCCAGTGGATAGCTGGTATGGAGGGTCCCAGATTTCTTCATTCTACATCCTGTGCCTGAGAGGAATAGATGGAAAGCTTGGCTCAGCTAAGACCATCAGCCAGAGCACCTGCACATGGCCTCTCCTGCATGGCACATTCAGGGTAGTCAGATTTCTTCAATGGTAGCTAATGACTCTTGGAAGCTGCAAGTCTTCTTATGATCTAATCCCGGAATATCACTTATTCTGCCTTTCACTGGTCAAACAAGTCACCAAAGCAAGTCACTGGGATGCTTCCAGTGGAATTAGAAGGCAATTCTCAAAGAGTAGCAAACAATCTGTGACTTTAAAGAAAAAGTCTGGTTTATTGTGGTAAGAAAACACATAGCATAAAATTTACCATCTCAACCATTTTTAAATAGTTCAATTAAATACATTCACATTGTTGTGAAACAGATCTCTAGAACTTTTTTGTCTTGCAAAAATGAAGCTCTATATCCACTAAATATTTATTCCCCCTCTTCCCTCCCCAGTATTTGACACTCGCCTTTCTACTTTCTGTTGGTATGATTTGGACTACTTTAGATACTTCATATACATGGAATCATATAGTATGTGTCCTTTTGTTACTGGCGTATTCAGCAAATTTCATCCATGTTGTAAAACATGACAAGATTTCTTCCTTTTTAAGGCTGCATAATATTCTATTGCATGTATATACCACATTTTCTTTATCCATTCATTTGTCAGTGGACATTTGGACTGCTTTCACTTCTTGGTTATTGTGAGTAGCGCTGTGATGAACATGGGTATACAAATATCTCTTTGAGGTCCTGCTTTGAACCCTTTTGGATATATACCCAGAAGTAGGATTGCTGGGTCATGTGGTAATTCTATTTTCAGTTTTTTTGAGGACTTCTGTCATGACTGCTCTTACTCTACAAAATCAGCTTCATTATTTTGGGCATGCTACTTAACTTTCTGAGCCTCTGTCCTCCCTGTGCATTATTTACTTTACAGGGTTTAGATAACAATTAACCAAATAGCATATGTAAAATGTGATTATAAAGACACACTGGAAAGTCTGGGCACGGTGACTCATGCCTGTAATCCCAGCACTTTGGGAGGCCGAGGTGGGTGGATCACCCAAAGCCAGGAGTTCGAGACCAGCCAAACTGACCAACATGGTGAAACCCCGTCTTTACTAAAAGTACAAAAAATTAGCCGGGCATGGTGGCAGGCACCTGTAATCTCAGCTACTCTGGAGGCTGAGACAGGAGAATCGCTTAAACCTGGGAGGCGGAGGTTGAAGTGAGCCGAGATCGTGCCACTGCACTCCAGCCTGGGCGACAAGAGCAAGACTCTGTCGAAAGAAAGGAAGAAAGAAAGAAAGAGAGAAGGAGAGAGAGAGAGGAGAGAGAGGAGGAGAGAGAGAGAGAAAGAGGGAGGAAGGAAGGAAGGAAGGAGGGAAGGAGGGAAGGAGAGAAGGAGGGAGGAAAGAGAAAGACACACTGGAAGCTTTCAATAACTAAACATTTCCTCCCCTCTTCATTACCCATTCTTTCCCCCTTTTCTACACCTGTTCTCCTATTAACTGGGCATGTGTTCTTCCTCACCTGCCAAGTTGGGAAAATGACATTTTCTCCTAGAAGCAATGAGAACCTGCTTGGTGCAGGAAGGAAGACAGCAAGGCAGAAAGGAAGGCCCAGGACTTTTCTCAGTTGCCACCATATAAAAAAGAGGCTGTCAGCAAGGAAAGGCCAGCAGAGAGTCTCTTCACAAGATGCCTTGCTTTTCCGTGTGTTATACCATTCCTTACCTCCCCTCTTCTATCTCAGGTAGTTGGAGAACTTCCATTCTGGCCTTCCCAGGGGCTACTGACCAGAGGCTCTGGGAAATAACTCGCTCAGGGTATGAGGTCACTAGAGGGTGGCCTCTTTCTTTCCATCACTCCCACTGGGGCATTATTTAATGGGCATATGTTTCTAGAAAACATGCAGAGGGAAATATCAGGCCAGACCCCCAGGGTCGTTCCTTACAATATGTCATTGCTGGGCTGTGTTGCCACCTTCTGCACATCTGGACTCTGGTGAGGCTACAAGCACTAAAGGTAGAATTCCACATCTGGCCTCCTAAGCATTGTTTTAGCAAGAGCTGGAAACAGCCACCTTCCCTCCCAGCCAGGGTAAGTGTGGGAAATACAACGCATGTCTGAAGGGCAAAGACAAATGAACCAGAGCCCTGGAATTTTATCTATCTTCCTTTCTCGAACATAAAAAAAGACAGTCTATAAATCTCTCCAAGGCCTAATCCCAGGTCTATTCCAACTGCCCCTAACTTGCACAATTCTGATTTACACACATTGGCCAAGCATGGACAGGTTCTCTGCAGAGATACTGCGGCATTCTTGAGTTGATTTCCTCCCAAACGAAGGCATAAAGAGCTAATGCAGTGCACTTGCATTTGAAGAGAGCTTGAAAGAGGCAGAGCGAGTGCTTTGCTCTGTCAACAGAGCCTGGAGGATTTTGCTGGTAAAGACAAGGAAAAATCAATATGGCTATTTAAAAATGTAATGGTGGCTGCTAAGCAGTATCAGAAAGGGCATTCCAAGGAGGAACTTCAAGGCTTTAGAGGATGCTGTGTCCCAGCTACTAGAGGAGGAGACAAGAAACAAGGAGGAGAAAGCAGATTTTCAGAAAAGGTGAGATGCTTTAACATTTGCCTTTTCTCTACTTCTAAATCACCTTTTACAGAAGCATTCTTCCCACTCTCATTCTACTCGCCATCAGCAATAGCTCCCAGATCTTGAGTATCTACTGTGTCAGATTTATTGAGCACTTACCCTGTCTCGGGAAATATGCTAAATACTCTACACAAAAACATAGATGCAAATAATATCACCATTTTACATTTCAGGAAACTCACACTCAGAGAGGTTAAGTAACTTATCCATCTTTGCACAACTGGTGAGGGGCAAGATTCAATTTAAACCCAGGTTTACCATGATTTCAAAGCACATACTTTTTACATCTTATCATATTGCTCCAGTGAGAATCACCCATGAGTAGGTTTAACCTGCTTCCAGGGGTTGGAGTTGATTAGTAATTTTGGGGCTTCTCATAAGGGTATCACATGGATATTCAACCTCTAAGCTACATATGAGTCAACTCACTGGTCATTTTGGCAAGGATAATGTGTGTATGGAGCCCAGGCTGCACAGTGGTGACATTTTTAAGGAGAAAGTCCACAGTTTTCATCCTTGGTGCCTCATCTGAGTTGCCTGTAGTCTTTGGTGCTGCAGATACTAGTCAGTTTTCCATTTAGGGGAGGGGCTGGTACACACTGAGAATTTCATGTTCAACTCAGAATTTGAAAGGAGATACATGAGTGCTTTCCAATGGACATTTTTTTGTAGTTTTTCCATATTTTTAAAGAAGTTCTAAGAATGAGGTTGTAAGTAGGGGTGAAGAAAAGATAGGAAACTGCAGCAGCAAAACTAATGTGCTTCCAGAGAGAAGAGGGAGAGAAGGAGAAGTAACAGGCAGGTCCGGGAGATGGTCAGGATCTGCTTTTATGGCTGTGGGATGGGGAAAGCAGGACAGTACTGAAAGCATTAATTTGAAGGTTGAAAGAAATGATGTGTGTGTCACAAGGAAATATTTGTTGTGAAGCCTCTTGCATGAGTTAAACTAAAGAATTCCAGTGCTATGTTATTTTGATGACAATTTTAATCTGGATGAATCTCTGTAGTGATGAATTAACCATATGTGTGGAAGAGTAGAATCCACTAAACTCCACTTTAATGTAACAACTTCATTTAATTTATGTCATTATTATTATTTTATTTTATTTTATTTTATTTTTTTGAGATGGAGTCTCGCTGTATCTCCAGGCTGGAGTGCAATGGCCCCATCTTGGCTCACTGCAACCACCGGCTCCTAGGTTCAAGCGATTCTCCTGCTGCAGCCTCCCGAGTAGCTGGGACTACAGGCGCATGCCACCACGGCCAGCTAATTTTTGTATTTTTAGTAGAAACAGGGTTTCACCATGTTGGCCAGGATGGTCTCGATCTCTTGACCTTGTGATCTGCCCATCTCAGCGTCCCAAAGTGCTGGTATTACAGGCATGAACCACTGCCCTTGACCTAATTAGTAACCATAACCCAGAATATGAAACAATGTTGTTGGGTGCCCCTTTCTATAAGATAGCTATTGTGAGATTTGGTTTCCAGGGGAAAGGATTTCACATAATACAGCTAGACTCACAAATTTTTTAAGGTATTTTTTATAAGTTTCCTCTACCCTCCCGAATATAATTCCTGGTAGACTGACTAAATTGGTGTTCTTCCTCACTGTTCATTTGCTAGGGTAAGGCTTCTTTTAAGAAAGGCTGGTCAGACTGGGTGGGGTGGCTTGTACCTGTAATCCCAGCACTTTGGGAGGCCGAGGCGAGTGGATCACGAGGTCAAGTGTCGAGACCAGCCTGGCCAAAATGGTGAAACCTTGTCTCTACTAAAAATACAGCTGGGCGTGGTGGCTGGTGCCTGTAATCCCAGCTACTTGGGAGACTGAGGCAGGAGAATCATTTGAACCCAGGAAGCGGAGGTTGCTGTGAGCCAAGATCACACCATTGCACTCCAGCCTGGGCAACAGCGTGAGACTCCATCTGAAAAATAAATAAATAAATAAATAAGAAAAGCAGGTCAGGGAGCACTCTGCAGGGCCTTCCCAGAGATAAGAAAGAGAGACAGGGAAGCATTTCCCTGGAAACCCAAGAAGGAATTTCCAGAGTGGGGCTGATCTTTGCCCAGAGGACCATTCTTGGGTTCCCCTCTGGGCCCTAAGTGATCCTCTAAGCCACAGGCTTCCCATCAGGCATCAGGGAGGTAACTAAGCTTGTTGGCTCCCCAGCATTTGGTGAGAACCTGCACATGCTCTGTCTATCATCATCTCTCAAACTGCCAAGCACAGTGTGATGCCCAATTTGTGATTGTAGATTGGATGATTCCTTTTATGTGAATGAGAAACAGTGGGACTCTGTAAAGGAAAAATTTTTCTATTTGCAAAATTTAAGCTCCTTTTTCTTTAAAAATTTTTATTGATATATATTTGTACAGATTTATGGGGGTACATGTGATATTTTAATGCATATAATGTTTTATATAATGATCACATCGGAGTATTTGAGAGATCTATTACCTCGAGTATTTATTATTTCTATGTGTTGGGAATATTTCGAGTCTTCTAGCTATTTTGAAATATATGATACACTGTTGTTAACTATAGTCACCCTACTCTGCTATCAAACGTTGGAACTTATTTCTTATCTAACTATATGTTTGTACGCATTAACCAACCTCTGTTCAACTGCCCCCACCCATACCCGTCCTTTCCTCTAGTGTTCATCATTCTACTCTCTATATCCATGAGGTCAACTTTTTTAGCTCCCACATATGAGTGAGAACATGTGACATTTGTCTTTCTGTGCCTGTTTTATTGCACATAACACAATATCCTCCAGTTCCATCCATGTTGTTGCGAATGACATGATTTCCTTCTTTTATATAGCTGAATAGTATTCCATTGTGTAATATATCACTGTTTTTATTTATTCACTTGTTGATGGACACTTAGGTTGATTCCTTATCTTTGCTGTTGTAAATAGTGCTGCAATAAATATGGGGGTGCAGGTATCCCTTTGATATACTGATTTCTTTTGGATAAATGCCCAGTAGTGGGATTGCTGAATCATATAGAAGTTCTATTATTAGTTTTTGGAGAAATCTTTGTACTGTCTTCCATAGTGGCTATGCTGATTTACATATCACATTGTGCTTTTGCTTTGCATTTTCCTGGTGATCAGTGATGTTGAGATTTTTGCATATACCTGTTGGCCATTTGTATGTCTTTTGAGAAATGTCTATTCATGTCCTTTGCCCATTTTTTTATGGGAATATTTGTCCTTGTACTATTGAGTTGTTTGAATTCCTTGTATATTCTGGATATTAATTCCTAATCAAAAGATTATCATTGTCAACTATCATTATCAATTATTATCAGTAATTGATCTATAATATAATATATAATTGATATATCAATTTTTATCAATTATCAATGATAATGATAGTTAATGAAATTATCATTATCTTTTTTTTTACTTAAACTCTGTTTTATCTGATATAAGTATAGCTTCTCCTGCTCACTTTTGGTTTCTGTTTCCTTAGAATATCCTTTTCCACTCGTTTACAATCTATATGTCTTTATAGGTGAGGTGAGCTCTTACAGGCAGGAATAGTTTGATCATGTTTTTTAATCCATTCAGCTAGTCTATATCTTTTAAGTGGAAAGTTTAGACCATTTACATTCAAAGTTATTATTGATATGAGAGGGTTTTTTCCTGTCACTTTATTAACTAATTTCTAAATATTTAATATATTCTTTCTTTCTCTTTTATTGTTTGTCATTGGAGTTTGGTGGTTTTCTGTAGTGGTAACATTTGAATTCTTTCTCTTACTTATTTGTTTGTTTTCTCTACCAGTGTGTTTTATACTCTCATGTATTTTCATGATGGTAGATACCATTCATTCACTTCCAGGTGTAGGACTCCCTTAAACATTTCTTATAGAACTTGTCTAGTGGTGATGAATTCCTTCAGCTTTTGCTTGTCTGCCAAAGATGTTATTTTTCCTTTATTTATGAAAGAACTTTGCTGGGTATGGTATTCTTAGCTGCCAGGGTGTTTTTTTTTTTCCTTTTAGCACTTTAAATATATCATTCTATTCATCTATTCTCTCCTGGCCTGTAAGGTTTCTGCTGAGAAATCTGCTATAAATCTGATAGGAGTTCACTTATATGTGAGTAAATGCTTTTCTCTTGTTTTTAGAATTCCCTCTTTGTGTTTGACTTTTGACAGTTTAGCTATAATACGCCATGGAGAGGAACTTCTTGAATTTTATCTGTTTGGAAATCTCTGAGCTTCCTGTATCTAGATGTATAAATCTCTTGCTAGAGTTGGAAAGTTTTCAGCAATTATGCATTAAATAGGTTTTCTATCTCTTTTGTTTTCTCTTTGCCTTCTGGAACACCAAAAATTTAAACACATTTGGTCACTCTATTGTGTTCTATATATTACATAGGCTTTGTTCGTTCTTTTATATTCTTTTTTCTTTATTTTTGTCTGACTGAATTATTTCCAAACACCTGTCTTTAAGTTCTAAAAGTCTTTCTCCTGCTTGATTTAGTCTATTATTGAAGCTTTCAAATGTATTTTGTTTTGTAGTAAGTGAATTCTTCAGCTCCAGAATTTCTGTTTGGTTCTTTTTTATGGTATCTACCTCTTTGGTAAATTTCTCTTTCATATCTTGAATTGTTTTCTGATTTTTTGGTATTATCTTTCTGTGTTATCATGTATTTCACTGAGCTTCTTGAATGTCAATATTATGGATTTTTTATCCAGGAGTTCATAAATGTCTTTTTCATTGGACTCTATTGCTAGATTCCAATGAGCCTATTCTCCAGCAATAGAGAACGTTCCTTTAGAGGTGTTACATTTTCTTGCTTTTTTATGTTTCTAAAGTTTTTACACTGCTATCTATACCTGGTATGACAATCACTTCTTCCAGTTTTTTGGATTTGCTTTTGTAGGCAAGGACTTTTTCCTGAAGACCTATCTGTGATGTTGGTTGAGTAGGATACTTTGCCTTTGATTCTGATTGTGTGCAGTAGTGTAATCTTCATATACTTTCTTTGACTGTAAGTAGCATCAGTAGTGTTTGTGATTTCCTTTGTGTCTAAGAATGTGGTTGTTAGTGGAGGCTGTGTGAAATTTTGCTGGGGACTGGTACATTAGTGCTCCTAGGCTGAGGGCTTCATTCTTCAGGGTGATTGGCTGTGCTCCCTCCACAGCATCTGGAGCTTGGTGAGGGAAAGAATGAAATGCCAAGTGTGGCTGGGCCCAGAAAGAGAAGCAACCACCCTCAGAACATTCCTTCTTGGAGGATAAGCAAGAGAGGGTATAATAGGAGGTATGAATGGGGATGCCAGATAGGAAGAAGTTTGGGGCTGGATGCTCTGAGGTGGAAGGAGCCATTTAAAGTGTAGTTCATGAGCTGGCATGATCAGCACCACCTGGTAAAAATACAATATCCAGGGCTTCACCCTAGACCAATTTGAAGCAGAAGCTATATTTGACAAAGGTCTCCAAGTAGTTTGAGTGAATACTAAAGTTTGAGCAGCACTGCCCTAGAGCTTGTGAAGGCATACTGACTTCACAAGGCTGGTGGGGTAGAGACCCAGCTACTTTCATTTTCTGTGTTTCCCAGGTGGAAGGGTGCTCTCCCTAGCAGAAAGATATTTTTTTCTGGAAGCCTCTCCAGGTCTCAGGGTGTGGCTTAAGGTCCAAGTGGGAGATTGATGAAGCAGCCAAGAGATTGTAAGAGGAAGAAGAGAAGGAGGAAAAGGATTGCATTTGTTGGGTAAAGATTCTACTGTGTCCAGTATATATTTTACAGAGTTATATTATTAATCTCACAGTAACCCTCTGAGTAGGTCACTATGTTTTCACCATTTTGTAGACAAAGAAAAGAGATTCAGAGAGGTAAAGTGCCTTGCCTGGGGTCACATAACTGACTAGTTCTCTCTGAAGATGCTCCCAAATGCAGCCTTTCGTGTTCTTGCCATCAAGTGTCGGGTTTGATGTTCAAGTCTCAGGCTCAAGTGCCCTGCCTCATGGTCTTAGGACACTCAGGCAGGGACTACACAGTCAGCTCTCACTCCAGGGCTGGAAGCAAAAGGTGTTTGAAGGAAGTAAAATGGTGACTAACAAGTATAGGGGAGCCTGGGTCTGTGTCCCCTGATGAGTGAGTTCTAGGCATGTGTGGGACACTCAGTGGACATGTGCTAAATGAATGAACAAAGAATAGATGACCAGCCATTCTCTTCCACTTAGCCCCTTGGAGACACTTGTGGGTCTGTTCCAACTTCCCCTGTATTCCTGGAGCTGATGCTGACAAGCAGGGGATGTCTCAGAGGCTAACGGTCCACTCCTTCCAACACTGTGGCAGCTCCCAGCTCTCTGAGAAATTGGCTGCCAGCTCAGAAACCATTGCTTGAGGATTAAAAAAAAAAAAAAGATTCTGAAAGTGGAAACATTTAAGAAAAGCTTTAGATACAGAGTCCAAAGAGTCAATCCGATGCAATCATATCCCCCTCTCATTTTTTGTCTATTAGGAAGCAACAAATAAATTCAATGTCAATTATAGGTTTTATTTTTGACTAAGTTTGTGCTATGATTATTCTGTCTAACCAGTTTATATGCATTCCATACAGTTTCCATACTTCCATATTGCTATAGGGGGAAGTTTGTGTATTGTTTTAGCTTTGTTTTATTTTATTTTCACTTTATTTCCCAGTCCTCTGGTTAGAGAGATGGATGTTCTCTCAGGGAAGGACTTGAAATGGGAAGATTCCTTTTATTTACTTTTTTCTTTTATCTTTTTTTCTCACTGATTTGCCCAGAAGGCAACTCAGGTTGCATGGACCATGCCTTTCTGACCAGAGGTACTGGGAAAGGGGCCCCCTAGGAGCTGGAGAATATGAAGGAGATGTGGGGAAGGAGAGAGCATTTCTGTGGGACATATATCTAGCAATGGAATTACTGGGTCATAGAGTTTGAGTTCTTGTGGTTTTAATTTGCATTTTTCCTGATGCTGAGCATATTTCATATGTCTTATATCCCCTTTTGTGAACTGCCCATTTTTCTATTGAATTGTCTATCTTTTTACAATGATATCTCAAAATTCATTATGTTGTTAATACATGCATTGCAAATATTTTCTTCCACTCTGGGGTATCTTTCACTTCCTTAATGGAATTTTCATAATGAAACAGTTCTTAATTTTAATAAATCTCAATTTATCAATCATTTCCTTAAGTATTCATGCTTTCTGTGTCCCATTCAAGAAACCTTTACCTATACTAAAGTCATGAAGATATTCTTCTATGCTATCTCCTAGAAACATTAAGCTTGGCCATTTAAGTTTAAATCAATAATCTAACTGGAATTGGGTTTTGTGAATAGTGTGAAGTAGGGGCTCAAGTATCATTTATTGAAAGGACCCTCCTCTCTCCATTCCACTGTGGTGTTATTTTTGTGACAATCAGGTGATGCTTATATATAGGTCTGTTTCAGACCTCTACATTCTGTTCCATGGATCTATTTGCTGTAACTTATATTGATTAATATAATTGTATAATAATCTCAATATCTCTCAACCTCATCTTCAACATTGGCTTGGCTATACTGGTCCTTTTGCATTTCCCTATAATACTTTAAATCAGCCTATCAAATGTCCCCAAGACACAGCCTTATGTAATTTGACTTGAGTTGCATTGAATCTGTAGGTCAGTTTGGGGAGAAGTGACACCTTTGCAATATTGAGTGCTCTATTTAATAAACAGTGTATATTTTCCCTATTTGTATAGGTACTCTTTGAAGTCTTCCTGTTGTGATTTTTAGTTTTCAACATAGAGGTCTTGCACATCTTTCATTATATTTATTCCTAAATCTTTGATACATTTTATACAATTGTAAATTGCATTCATAAAATAAAATTTAAATTTTATTTTCCATATTGTTTTTTCCTAATATAAAGAAATATCATTGGCATTTATATATTGACCATTTAGCTCAAGTACTTTTTTAATTTACTTATTAATTCTAAAAGTTCACTTATTCTAAGTCTGTCTATAGATGCTTTGGGCCAGCCAATAATGACAAATAATAACAATTTTTTTTCTAATACTTCCACTTTTCTTCTTACATTGTTACAATGCCTAAAATCTTTAGTGCAATGTTGATTACAGGCAATGAGATCAAGCATCTTCGTCACACTGCAGGTCTCAGGGGCAGAACGTTCACTATTTCACTATTTAGTATGATTTGTACAAGTTTTGTGTAATATATTCTACTAGATTAAGTCTGTTTATATTCCTACTTTTCTAGGGTTTCATTATAAGTGAGTGTTTACTTTTATTAAATTATTTTTCTACAATTATTAAAATAGTTTATTGTTATTCCTTTTTCTGTTGATGTAGTTAAATTATGTTAATCAATTTTTGAATTTCAAACCAGCGCTGAATTTCTAGGAAACACTCAACTTCAGATTAACCTTTTTTATATATTGTTGAACATGATTTATCAGTATTTTTAATAGGATTTTTGCACCTATAGTATTAAGAGATATTGGCCTGTAATTTTCCTTTTTTGATGTTAGGTCTTAATATCAATATTAAGTTGAACAAATCAAGATTTGGAAAGTGAAGTATTCCTCCTTTTCTGTTCTCAGGAAGAATCTGTGAAAGATTTGTATTATTTCTTAAAAGTTTAAAAGAATTCAGCAGTGAAGCCATCTGTGCTTTCTTTTGGTTGGTATTTGCATGGTACAGCTTTCTTCCTGCCCCCATCCCCTCCCCCATATATTTACCTTCAACTTTTCTGTTTTTTTACACAAAGTAAAAATATATAGTTGTTTTTTTTCTTTTTTCCCAGTCTGAGAATCTAATTTTTATATTGAAATTACCTAGTCCCTTTGCATTAAATATAAACTGAGTTTAGATATACTTTTTAGGTTATTTTTATTTGAACTATTTGTTTCAGATTCTTTTTAATCATCTTTCTTGACTTCTTTTGGAGTGATGAAATATTTTCATTCCAATTTTAAACTCTATTAGCTTGTGCATTATAAATTTGGCCAGCCAATAATGGATATACTAGAGATTTTACCATGAATTCTTGACTTATTTCATTCTAAAATAAATACTTATACCATTTCCCTGATGATACTAAGAAATTTTAGCAGTTTACCTCCATTCTCATCTTTTGTATTATTGTTGTCATGCATTTTGAACTCCACATATATTTTTATTCTCAAAATAAATTGTTTTTGCACAGTCATTATTCCGTCATGTTAATGTACTTGTTTCCCCTTTCTGATGATTTTTATCTCTTCTTGTATTTTCATATTTCCTTCCCAGATCATCTTCTTTCTGTCATAAAACCTCCCTTTAGTATTTCTTTTACTATAGGCTTATGTGTGACAAATTTTCTACTTTTGTCAAAAAATGTTTTTATTTCATTTTTATTTTTGAGGAATATTATCACTAGGTATATAATTCTAGGCTGGCAGTTATTCTTTTCCAGAAGTTTAAAGATAACATCATGTCTTGTTGTGGCCTGTATTATTTCTATTGAAAAGTTAGATATCAGCCCGATTGTTGTTCTTTTGAATACAAGTGTCTTTCCTTTCTGGTTACTTTTATAGTTTTCTGCTCATATTTGATTTTTCAGCAGGCCTACTATGTGGGATGGACTCTGTTTTACCTCCTGAAATTCATATGCTGAAGTCCTAGGCCCCAATATGATCATATTTGGAGACAAAGCCCTTGGGAAATAATTAGGTTTAAATGAGTTCATGAGAATGGGGTCTTCATGATGGGATTAGTGCTCTTAGAAGAAAAGACTAGATAGCTTGCTCTTCCCATCCCCACTCCCACCGCCATCCCCACCTCCCATTCCACCAATCCCCGCACTTTCCTCACTTCCCTCCCCATCATGTGAGGACACAGCAGGAAGACAGTCATCTGCAAGCCAAGAAGCAGGCCCTAACCAGGAACCAAATAAACCCAGCACCTGGATCTTGAAATTTCCAGCCTCCAGAACTATGAGATAAGTGTCTGTTGTTTAAGCCACCAGTCTACGGTATTTTGTTATAGTAGCCAAAACAGACTAATACACTATGGTACGCCTAGGTCTGGTTTTCTTTGTATTCATTCTGTTTGTGGTTACAGAACACTTGGATCAATGAATCATTAAACCCTTTAATCAGTTTTGTCATATTTTTAGCCATATCTTTTCAAATATTTCTTCTATCATATTCTTTTTTTAAACAATTATTTCAATAGGGGTACAAGTGGTTTTTTGTTACATGGATGAATTTTATAGTGGAGAATTCTGAGATTTTAGTGCACTCATCATCCAAGTAGTGTACATTTACCTAATGTGTAGTTTTTTATCCCTACCCCTCCTCTCACCCTCCCATTTCTGGGTCTCTAAAGTCTATCATATCATTCTGTAAGCCTTTGAGTATTCATAGCTTAGTTCCTACTTATAAATGAAAACATAGGGCATTTGGTTTTCCACTTGTGTGTTACTTTACTTAGAATAATGGCCTCCAGCAGTCCATTCCAAAATGGCTGAATAGGAACAGCTCTGGTCTGCAGCTCCTAGCATGATCATTGCAGAAGACAGGTGATTTCTGCATTTCCAACTGAGCCTCCCCTGGTGATACCCAAGCAAACAGGGTCTGGAGTGGACCTCCTGCAAACTCTAACAGGCCTGCAGCTGAGGGACCTGACTGTTAGAAGGAAAACTAACAAACAAAGTAATAGCATCAACATCAACAAAAAGGACATCTACACCAAAACCACATCTGTAGATCACCAACATCAAAGACCAAAGGTAGATAAAACCACAAAGATGGGTAGAAAACAGAAAAAGCTGAAAATTCTAAAAACCAGAGCACCTCTTCTCCTCCAAAGGATCACAGCTCCTTGCCAGCAACAAAACAAAGCTGGACGGAGAACGACTTTGATAAGTTGACAGAAGTAGGCTTTGGAAGGTCGTTAATAACAAACCTCTCTGAGCTAAAGGAGCATGTTCTAACCCATTGCAAGGAAGCTACAAACCTTGAAAAAAGGTTAAATGAATGGCTAACTAGAATAAACAGTGTAGAGAAGAACTTAAATGATCAGATGGAGCTAAAAACCATGGCACGAGAACTTCATGACACATGCACAAGCTTCAATACCTGGTTCAACCAAGTGGAAGAAAGGGTATCAGTGATTGAAGATCAAATTAATGAAATAAAGCAAGAAAACAAGTTTAAAGAAAAAAGAGTAAAAGGAAATGAACAAAGCCTCCAATAAATATGGGACTATGTGAAAAGACCAAATCTATGTTTGATTGGTGTACCTGAAAGTGACAGGGAAAATAGAACCAAGTTGGAAAACACTCTTTAGGATATTATCCAGGAGAACTTCCCCAAAAGGCCAACATTCAAATTCAGGAAATACAGAGAACACCACAAAGATACACCTCGAGAAGAGCAACCCCAAGACACATAATTGTCAGATTCACTAAGGTTGAAATGAAGGAAAAAAATGTCAAAGGCAGCCAGAGAGAAAAGTCAGGTTACCCACAAAGCGAAGCCCATCAGACTAACAGCAGATCTCTGCAGAAACCCTACAAGCCACAAGAGAGTGGGGACCAATATTGAACATTTTTAAAGAAAAGAATTTTCAACCCAGAATTTCATGTCCAGCCAAACTAAGCTTCATAAGTGAAGGAGAAATAAAATCCTTTACAGACAAGCAAATGCTGAGAGACTTTGTCACCACCAGGCCTGCCTTACCAGAGCTCCTGAAGGAAGCACTAAACATGGAAAGGAACAACTGGTACCAGCCACTGCAAAAACATGCCAAATTGTAAAGACCATCGATGCTCTGAAAAACTGCATCAATTAACGGGCAAAATAACCAGCTAACATCACAATGACAGGATCAAATTCACACATAACAACATTAACCTTAAATGTAAATGGGCTAAATGCCCCAGTTAAAAGACACAGACTGGCAAATTAGATAAAGAGTCAAGACCCATCAGTGTGCTATATTCAGGAGACCCATCTCATGTGCAGAGACACACATAGGCTCAAAATAAAGGGATGGAGGAAGATCTACCAAGCAAATGGAAAACAAAAAAAAGCAGGGGTTGCAATCCTAGTCTCTGATAAAACAGACTTTAAACCAACAAAGATCAAAAGAGAGAAAGAAGGCCATTACATAATGGTAAAGAGATCAATTCAACAAGAAGAGCTAACTATCCTAAATATATATGCACCCAATACAGAGGCACCCAGATTCATAAAACAAGACCTTAGAGACCTACAAAGAGACTTAGACTCCCACACAATAATAATGGGAGACTTTAACACCCCACTGTCAATATTAGATAGACAAGACAGAAGATTAACAAGGATATCCAGGACTTGAACTCAGCTCTGCATCAAGCGGACCTAATAGACATCTACAGAACTCTCCATCCCAAATCAACAGAATATACATTATTCTGAGCACCACATCACACTTATTCTGAAATTGACCACATAATTGGAAGTAAAGCACTCCTCATCAAATGTAAAAGAACAAAAACCACAACAAACTGTCTCTCAGACCACAGTGCAATCAAATTAGAACTCAGGATTAAGAAACTCACTCAAAATCGCACAACTACATGGAAACTGAACAACCTGCTCCTGAATGACTTCTCAGTAAATAAAGAAATGAAGGCAGAAATAAAGATGTTCTTTGAAACCAACGAGATCAAAGATACAACGTACCAGAATCTCTGGGACACATTTAAAGCAATGTATAGAGGGAAATTTATAGCATTAAATGCCCACAAGAGAAAGCAGGAAAGATCTAAAATCGACAACCTAACATCACAATGAAAAGAACTAGAGAAGCAAGAGCAAACAAATTCAAAAGCTAGCAGAAGGCAAGAAATAACTAAGAGCAGAGCAGAACTGAAAGACATAGAGACACAAAAAATCCTTCAAAAAATCAGTGAATCCAGGAGCTGGTTTTTTTGAAAAGATCAGCCAAATTGATAGACTGCTAGCAAGACTAATAAAGAAGAAAGAGAGAAGAATCAAATAGATGCAATAAAAAATGATAAAGAGGATATCACCACTGATCCCACAGATATACAAACTACCATCAGAGAATACTATAAAAACCTCTATGCAAATAAACTCAAAAATCTGGAAGACATGGATAAATTCCTAGACACATACACCCTCCCAAGACTAAACCAGGAAGAAGTTGAATTGCTGAATAGATCAATAACAGGCTCTGAAATTGAGGCAATAATTAATACCCTACCACCAAAAAAAAGTCCAGGACCAGACGGATTCACAGCCGAATTCTACCAGAGGTACAAAGAGGAGCTGGTACCATTCCTTCTGAAACTATTCCAATCAATAGAAAAAGAAGGAATCCTCCCTAACTCATTTTATGAGGCCAGCATCATCCTGATACCAAACCCTGGCAGAGACACAACAAAAAAAGAGAATTTTAGACCAATATCCCTGATGAACATCGACACAAAAATCCTCAATAAAATACTGGCAAACCAAATCCAGCAGCACATCCAAAAGCTTATCCACCATGATCAAGTGGGCTTCATCCCTGGGATGCAAGGCTAGTTCAACATACACAAATCAATAAATGTAATTCATCACATAAACAGAACCAAAGACAAAACCCACATGATTATCTCAATAGATAGAGAAAAGGCCTTCGACAAAATTCAGCAGCCCTTCATGCTAAAAACTCTCAATAAACTAGGTATTGATGGAACATATCTCAAAATAATAAGAGCTATTTATGACAAACCCACAGCAAGTATCATACTGAATGGGCAAAAACTGGAAGCATTCCCTTTGAAAACTGGAACAAGACAAGGATGCCCTCTCTCACCATTCCTATTCAACATAGTGTTGGAAGTTCTGGCCAGGGCAATCAGGCAAGAGAAAGAAATAAAGGGTATTCAACTAGGAAAACAGGAAATCAAATTGTCCCTGTTGGCAGATGACATGATTGTATATTTAGGAAACCCCACCATCTCAGCTCAAAATCTCCTTAACCTGATAAGCAACTTCAGCAAAGTCTCAGGTTACAAAATCAATGTACAAAAATCACAAGCATTCCTATACACCAATAATAAACAAACAGAGAGCCAAATCATGAGTGAACTCCCATTCACAATTGCCACAAAGAGAATAAAATACCTAGGAATCCAACTTACAAGGGATTTGAAGAACCTCTTCAAGGAGAACTACAAACCACTGCTCCACAAAATAAAAGAGGACACAAACAAATGGAAGAACATTCCATGCTCATGGATAGGAAGAATCAATATCATGAAAATGACCATACTGACCAATCTAATTTATAGATTCAATGCCAGCCCCATCAAGCTACCAATGACTTTCTTCACAGAATTGGAAAAATCTACTTTAAAGTTCATATGGAACCAAAAAAGAGCCCACATAGCCAAGACGATCCTAAGCAAAAAGAACAAAGCTGGAGGCATCATGCTACCTGACTTCAAACTATACTACAAGGCTACAGTAACCAAAACAGCATGGTACTGGTACCAAAACAGATATACAGACCAATGGAACAGAACAGAGGCCTCAGAAATAACACCACACATCTACCACCATCTGATCTTTGACAAACACGACAAAATCAAGAAATGGGGAAAGGATTCCCTATTTAATAAATGGTGCTGGGAAAACTGGCTAGCATATGTAGAAAGCTGAAACTGGATCCCTTCCTTACACCTTATACAAAATTAATTCAAGATGGATTAAAGACTTAAATGTAAGACCTAAAACCATAAAAACCCTAGAAGAAAACCTAGGCAATACCATTCAGGACATAGACATGGGCAAAGACTTCATGGCTAAAACACCAAAAGCAATAGCAACAAAAGCCAAAATAGACAAATGGGATCTAATTAAACTAAAGAGCTTCTGCACAGCAAAAGAAACTACCATCAGAGTGAACAGGCAACCTACAGAATGGGAGAAAATTTTTGCCATCTACCCATCTGACAAAGGGCTAATATCCAGAATCTACAAGGAACTTAAACAAATTTACAAGAAAAAAACAACCCCACCAAAAAGTGGGCAAGGGATATGAACAGACACTTCTCAAAAGAAGATATTTATGCAGCCAACAGACAGAGGAAAAAATGCTCATCATCACTGGTCATCACAGAAATGAAAATCAAAACCACAATGAGATACCATCTCACACCAATTAGAATGGTGATCACTAAAAAGTCAGGAAACAACAGATGCTGGAGAGGATGTGGAGAAATAAGGACGCTTTTTCACTGTTGGTGGGAGTGTAAATTAGTTCAACCATTGTGGAAGACAGTGTGGCGATTCCTCAAGGATCTAGAACTAGAAATACCATTTGACCCAGGGATCCCATTACTGGTTATATACCCAAAGGATTATAAATCACGTTACTATAAAGACACATGCACATGTGTGTTTATTGTGGCACTGTTCACAATAGCAAAGACTTGGAACCAACCAAAATGTTCATTAATGATAGACTGGATTAAGAAAATGTGGCACATATATGCCATGGAATACTAGGCAGCCATAAAAAAGGATGAGTTCATGTCCTTTGCAGGGACATGGATGAAGCTGGAAACCATCATTCTCAGCAAATTATCACAAGGATGGAAAACCAAACACTGCATGTTCTCAGTCACAGGTGGGAATTGAACAATGAGAACACCTGGACACAGGGTGGGGAACATCACACACTAGGGCCTGTTGGGGAGTGGGGGGCTGGGGGAGGGATAGCATTAGGAGAAATACCTCATGTAAATGATGAGTTGATGAGTGCAGCAAACCATCATGGCACACGTACACCTGTGTAACAAACCTGCACATTGTGCACGTGTACCCTAAAACTTAAAGTATAATTTCAAAAAAAAAAGAATAATGGCCTCCAGCTCCATCCAAGTTTCTGCAAAAGATATTATTTTGTTCCTTTTATGGCTGAGTAGCATTCCCCGTGGTATATATTCCAAATGTGTATATATACCACATTTTCTTTATCCACTCAGTCAATGGGCATTTAGGTTGGCTCTATATCTTTGCAATTGTAAATTGTGCTGCTATAAACATGCATGTGTAAGTGTCTTTTTCATATAATGACTTATTTTCCTTTGGGTAGTAAGATTGCTAGATCAAATGGTAGATCTACTTTCAGATTTTTAAGGAATCTCCGTACTGTTTTTCATAAAGATTGTACTAATTTACATTCCCACCAACGGTGTATAAGCATTCCCTTTTCCCCACATCCACACCAACATCTGTTGTTTTTCTGACTTTTTAATAATGGCTATTCTTTATTTATTTATTTTTATTTATTTATTTATTTATTTATTTATTTATTTATTGAGACAGAGTCTAGCTCTGTCACCCAAGCTGGAGTGCAGTGGCGCAATCTCGGCTCACTGCAAGCTCTGCCTCCCGAGTTCACGCCATTCTCCTGCCTCAGCCTCCCCAGTAGCTGGGACTACAGGCGCCTGCCACCATGCTCGGCTAATTTTTTGCATTTTTAGTAGAGACGGGGTTTCACCGTGTTAGCCAGGATGATCTTGATCTCCTGACCTCAAGATCCGCCTGCCTCGGCCTCCCAAAGTGCTGGGATTACAGGCGTGAGCCACCGTGCCCGGCCTTTAATCGCCATTCTTGCAGAAGTAAGGTGGTATCTGATTGTGGTTTTAATTTTCATTTCTCTGATGATCAGTGATGTTGAACTTCTTTTCTTGTTTGTTAGCCATGTGTATATCTTCTTTTGAGAAATGTCAATTCATGTACTTTGCCCACTTTTTGATGGAATTATTTGGTTTTTTCTTGCTGATTTGTTTGAGTTCCTTATAGATTCTGAATACTTGTCCTTTGTTGGATATGTAGTTTGCAAATATTTTCTCCTATTCTGTGGTTTGTCTTTTTATGTTGATTATTATTTCTTTTTCTGTGCAGAAGCTTTTTAGTTTAATTGGGTTCCATTTATTTATTTTTGTTTTTGTTGCATTTGCTTTCGGGGTCGTAGTCATGAATTCTTTGCCTAGGCTAATGTCTAGAAGCATTTTCCCAACATTGTCTTCTAGGATTTTTATGGTTTCAGGTTTTCTGTTTAATTCTTTGTCCATCTTGAATTGATTTTTGTATAAAGTGAGGAGTCCAGTTTCATTCTTCTATGTGTGGCTTGCCAGTTTTCCCAGCACCATTTATTACACATTCTTCCATTATATTCTCCTCTTTCTTTCTGAAATTCCAAGTACTTATATATTAAAACTTTTCACTGTGTTCCATTTGTACCTTACTCTCTTCTCAGTGTTTTGCATCTTTTTTCTCTTTGCTTCAGTCTAAATCTTTTCTACTGTTTTGTTTTCCAGTCACTCTTTATTCTTCTGCATCTAGTCTGATTAAAGTAATAATGATTTATGTTTTTCTCATAATTCTGTGGTTTAGCTAGGTAGATTTTTTTCTCCTGGGGCAGCTTTTCTGGGGCCTAGTGGTCTCCAATGGACTTACATATCTAGGGTCTTAGTTAGGCCCAAGTGGGATGGCTGGCATGGCTGAGGTCTTGCTATCTCTGTGGTCTCTCATCACTAAGAAGGCTGACTTAGAGTTTTTCTATAACAGGCTCAGGGTTCACAGAAGCAAGAGAGAGCAAGACTAATCTGCAAGTGCTTTCAATTGCTGTTTATATCACATTTGCTGATGTCCTATTGGCCAGAACATGTGACCCATCCAACACCAAATTCAAGGGGTAAAGAAATAGACTCCACTTTTTGATGGAAGGTGGTGCAAAGAATGTATGTCTGCCTTTGGCGATCTATCAACAAAATGAAGTGTTAATTGAAGAAAAGCTTCTAGGGATAAGAGGCTGTTTTCTCTAAAGGAAGACTACTGGAAGCTGCCATAAGACACTTTGCATCTCATTGGCCAGAACTTAATCACATGAGCATACCTAGTTGCAACATAGACAGAGAAAAATAGAAAACAAATGCCCAGCTAAAAGATCTAATACCTTTATAAGCAGAGAAGTGTGAATTTTGAAGGACAGCCAATGGTCTTTTCCACATCTATGTCCTTGCCTTGTCTTCCTTATCCCTTATCTCTGGCCAATATGGAGGCAATGCAAAAAAAAAAAAAATGAAATAAAGTTCAACTTACCCTACATTCCCTGTTAAATCAAAAGATTAATGGATGTTGGGGCAAAACATAGTCTAAAATGAGTTGGGTATTTATAAACAAATTTAATTTGTCTATCATATCTTATTAGTATTCTAAATTATAAGTGAATTTATGGGGCTGTACTCTATAATGCTTCCTTATATTCTGAGTGATGTGACATGGGAGATATTTTGTGTGACGGTTATTACTCTTGGTCAAATTTTTTTTAGGATTTGATGAAGAATCTGAAATAGACACGGGAGCTTGATGCTGCCACAAATATCAAAGCAGGTAACCTTACCCTGTGTACTACAGACCAAGACAGAGACCATTTCTTTAAATTGGCTGCAGATTTCCAGCTTGCGCTTGCTTCATTAGTAGAAGCAGCCGAAACTCACGCAAGCCTAACTCTCATCTATTCTGGTTTCTTAACAGCCTGTGACTCAAGCAAGAGATGCATTTCTATTTCCAATTAAGGCCTGATTAGCTCCTAGACAAGAAACCTGAGTGAAAAGCTGGTAATAGAGAAGCAAGAGGATTAAACCTGGTAGAGGAGAACTGAAAGCATCTACCAAACTCAGCCCTTTTTTTAATCTGAATTTGCCCTGTGTCTGTGGCTCTGTCTCATAATAGCAATAGAAAGAAACAGCAGATATAAATTATCCAGATTTCCAGGGAGACTCTGCATACCTCCTCCTGCCATGACCTAGAGGTGGTACATCCGCAGAGACAATATAGAGGAAAGGTCTTAGATTTAGAATTAGACCCTTTAGATTTTGGAGTTAGACCCTTTAGAATCTGAGCTCTTTCACCTGCTGGGTGAGGTACCTTTAGCCCATTATCTACCCTCACTGAGCCCTGTTTCTTTACCTATAGAAAGATAACAATGATGGCTTGTTGACAACACTGGCCCCACTCTAGCATGGCATCAGTTGTGTGAACTGTGTTTCTGTGGGCTCTCTGGCCTCCTTCACTCATCTTCACTGACTACCTGGACACTTCCAGGATTTCAGTTTGCCAGCCCTGTCTTGGTTAAAGCATGAAGCCATGTACAATTCTGTGGGGAAACTGAGATCCTGGTGAGTAAGGAAGATGGCTGCAGCCATCTTTCTCTCAAGTTCCATCTTAAGTATCTCCATTATCTGTGTGCTGTGTATGTCCACCAGTGCAGAAACTGTTGGCAAGAAGAGGATCAGTAATAAAAGTATTCCTGAAGGATTATTCTAAGGGTGGTTACCAGACTAGCAGCAACAGCTCCACCTTATGTTTGTTAAAAATGCAGATTCTCGGGCCTATCTGAAACACTGGTAGAGCCAGCAATCTGTGTTTCAGCCAGCCCCTTGTGTTGTTCTAATACATGCTGACATTTGAGAACCATTGGTATAAGTAAAGACTGGAGAGAACACAGATCCAAAATGATGGTCTCTTGACTGGGAAAGAGGAATGATGACTCTGTTATGCATGCCAAGGACCATGGGCAGCTTCTTACAAAGCTCACAGGTTTCTCGGGAGGAGGCCCATTAAGAACTATGAGGCAGGGCTTCCTCCTGTAAGTCCAGTTCCTTTGGCCTGGCATTCAAGGCTTTCGACAGCTAACACCTTCTCCCTTTATAAACTTATCTGCGAGACTGCTGTGCACCAGCTCCTTTTCTTCTCTGTTGTGTGGACACTCCCCGATTTGCTCATGTCTCCACTGACCTCTTATTGTGTGCTGCCACTTTGCACAGAAATGTCACACCTGTGACAATCCTTCCACAGTATCAAGATCTGGATCAGCTTTTCTAAAATGTGTTCCTCTTCAGGTCAACAGGTGTTACTGAAAATCAGTTCTTTGGTCAAGTCAGTGTAGGAAATTGTGGCTTACATGGGTTACCTGCTACAGGATTCATGAACATTTTTAATTAATCACTAGCCATTGTAAATTCCCAAGGGAATGAATATAAAATACAGAACTTTCCAAATAGATTTAAACATAAAACTTCTTTTCATGAAGTATTCTCAGTGGTCTTTTCTGTAGGTCACACTTTCAAAAAGGCAGCCCTAGGCACACATTATATTTTCATGTACTCCCTTGCACAGTTATTTAGGTTTTATTCATGAATCCAGTCCTCCAATCTCTGTTGATTATACAGCTGTTCTCACTGAGCTAACACTTTCTGTATTTTAGGTGCTCAGTAAGAGTTTGCTGCTGTTCCTGCTGCTTTCCATTTGAATAACATTTCAGAAGTAATCATTTAATCTTCACAACATCTCTCTTTAATTACCGTATGATAATCTTTAAGGTGCTTTAAGATCCAAATAGGACAGTAGAGCCTCTCAAATGTTAAAAGTGATGTTTGCAAGATGAGCTGGACCCGAATCTAGGTGCCCCAATTCCCAGCCCAGGTCCGTCGGAGTCTTATCCGGCTTTAGGAGGAGAAACAAGGTGGCTGGGCGCAGTGGCTCATGCCTGTAATCCCAGCACTTTGGGAGGCCAAGGCAGGTGAATCACGAGGTCAGGAGTTCGAGAGCAGCCTGGCCAACATGATGAAACCTCATCTCTACTAAAAATACAAAAAATTAGCTGGGCATAGTGGTGGGCACCTGCAATCCCAGCTACTCAGGGGTGCTGAGACAGGGGAATCGCTTGAACCCAGGAGGCGGAGGTTGCAGTGAGCCGAGATCGCACCACTGCACTCCAGCCCTGGCGACAGAGTGAGACTCCATCTCAAAAAAAAAAGGAGAAACAAGTCTTGGCATTTTTCCATATGCCCAAGTAACCACTGTTAATAGAGCAGAAGCACAAGGAGGTAGACGACAGCAGGAGCAGCACCAGCACCAGTAGGAATGGCCTAATTAGAAACTGATTTGGTGGCTTTTTCTCTCATTGTTGTTTCTGTTGTTCACTATCCAACATTGAAAACAGTTGAATTTCAGTAAGCACAACACAGTAATTCTGGCTTGTCCAGAAGCCTAGAAGAAGAGTTTCTTTAAAAAAATACAATCAGAAAAGCTGTTTGGCCCATCAGTGAAAAAGTAAAGAGACAGAACAGTGATGGGATGACTGCATAAAGCCATTCCTGATACCCAACTGGTCCACAGACTTGGTTGACCTTCCAAACCACAAAACATTTGTCACCAAGTCACGAACCACTCGATAAGCAACATGACATCTCAGCATCTGAAAAGAGGGGTACTATGGGCGCTAGGGGCTTGAGGTCTAGTCAGGATACTGACACTGCCATTAGGTTCATCTGCCTTGATTTCACTAAGACAAAATGGTGATGATGTTTAAAGCATTATTTGGATTACTGAAATGAACCTATTATTAACACAATGATATACTAGATACTTTGCAAATCACCACCATTTACTTCACAACACCTAGATCATAAAGAAAACTTACTTTTTGAATTGTTGTGCTTGCAGGAAGTTGAAAAAATCTTCAAAGAACTCTCTTTCTTAAAAAAAAAAGTGGGGGTGATGGGGGGTGGCAAGATGGTGAACTAGAAGCAGCTCATATGCACCATTTCATGGAAAGGAAAGAAAAGGGCTAATGAACACTGACCTTGCAGGCCGATCCTCTGAGAAACCACATTGAGATCCATCAAGGCAGCAGGGGACACAGAGAGCAGAGAGGAGTAAAACTGGGCACCAGCCCATCTGGGCTCAGCATGAAGCCAGGAGACTCTCTCCAATGTGGGAAAGGGTGAGTAAGTGAAAGCCACCAGGGGGATTTACGGTCTCTACCTGTGCAAAACTGGGAATGGGAGAATCCCCCTGGCTAGAGCTTCTGGCCCAGCAGCCCCATCTCTGTGTGAACTCAGCCACGGGGTGCACCTTCCTGGTATCCCAGGAAACACCCAGATGACAGGGCATGTGACATTCCACCCACACCTGCCACTGGTAGCCAGGCAGGCAACACCTGCTAGAACTTTTGGCCCAGTGGCCCTGCTTCTGCATGAACCCAGCTGATGGGCACAGCCTCCTGTTGTCCCAGGAAGCACCCAGATGGCGTGGCAGGCAACCCAACCAACTCCCACTGCTTATAGCCAGGCAGGCAATGCCTACTAGAGCTTCTGGCCCAGTGTTCCTGCTTCTATGGGAATTCAGCTGGAGCGTGCAGCTTTGTGTTGTCTTGAGAAATACCCAGATGGCAAGGGACATGACTCCACCTACCCCCATCACTGATAGCCAGACGGGCAACACCTGCTAGAGCTTCTGGCCCAGTGGCCCCACTTCTGTGTGAACTCAGCTAGAGGGTGCAGCTTCCTGTTGTCCCAGAAAACACCCAGATGTCAGATCATGCAACCCTGCACACCCCTGCCACTGGTAGTCTGGTGAGCAACACTTTCTAGAGCTTCCAGACTAGTGATCCTGCTTCTGAGGGAACTCAGCCAGTGAGCACAGTCAGCTATTATCCCAGGAAGCATCTGGATGGCAGGGTGGGCATCCCCACCCACTCCTGCTGCTGGTACCAGGAAACCCATTCCTACTAGAACTTCTGCCTCAGCAGTCCTATTTCTGCCTGAATTTACCAAGGGGCACAGCCTCCTATCACCCTGGAAGTACCCAGATGGTAGGGCAGGCAACTACCCCACCCCCACCACCTGTAGTCAGATAGGCCACAACCACTTGAGCTTCCAACCCAGCATTCTGCCGGAGCTCTGTGAAGAGACACAACCTGTCTTTCCCTAGGAAGCAAACAGACAGCAGATTGGGGCTGACCTAGGAAGGATACAGCTTTCTTGCCAACTGTAGCCTGTGTCTGAGGAAGCCCCATGGGCCAGAACACCCGACTAAAGAAATATGAGCATGAAGACAGTAATTGAAGGAGAGTCTTCCAAGACCCATGAGTGGACTAGAATCAAAGCCAGTCACCCAAACCCACATTATACCATAATCAAATCCCCTGAAGCATCAAAGAAAAAAAACAAACAACAACAAACCAAAGGACAGCAACTTCAAAAATTGAAGAAACATCAGCCTGCACAAATAAGAGAAAACCAACACAAGAACTCTGGCAACTCAAAAAGCCAGAGTGCCTTATTTCCTCCAAACGACCAGACTAGTTCCCAAACAAGGCGTCTTAACCAGGCTGAAATGGCTGAAATGAAAGAAATAGAATTCAATTCAGAGTATGGATAAGAATGAAGATGATTGAGATTCAGGAGAACATCAAAATGCAATCCAAGGATGCTAAGAATCACAATAAAACAATACAGGAGCTGATAGATTAAATAGCCATTATAAGAAAGGACCAAACTGATCTAACAGAGCAGAAAAACACCTTACAAGAATTGCACGATGCAAGTGCAAGTATTAATAGCAGAATAGACCAAGCTGAGGAAAGAATATCAGAGCTCAATGACTGGCTCTCTGAAAAAACTCAGTCAGAAAAAATAATGAAAAAAGAATAAAAACGAATGAATAAAATCTCTGAGAAATATGGGATTATGTAAAGAGACTAAATCTGCAACTCATTGGTGTCTCTGAAACAGATGAGGAGAAAGCAAGTAACTTGGAAATTATATTTCAGGATATCGTCCATGAAAACTTTCCTAACCTCAACATTCAAATCCAGGAAATACAGAGAACCTCTGCAAGATATTACATAAGAAGACCATCCCCAAGAAACATAATCATCAGATTCTCCAAGGTCAAAATCAAAGAAAAAATGTTAAAGACAGCTAAAGAGATGGGCCAGGTCACCTACAAAGGGAACCCCATCAGGTTAACAGTGGAGCTTTCAGCAGAAATTCTACAAACCAGAAGCTACTGGGGCCTATTTTCAGCATTCTTTATGAAAAAGATTTCCAGCAAAGAATTTCATATTCAGCCAAACTAAGCTTCATAAGTGAAGGAGAAATAAGATCCTTTTCAGACCAGCAAATGCTAACAGAATTTGTTACCATCAGAACTGCCTTACAAGAGGTCCTGAAAGGAGCACTAAATATGGAAAGGAAAGAACATTACCAGCCACTACAAAAACATACCTAAGTATACAGACCAGTGACACTATAAAGAAACCACACAAACAAGTCTGCATAATAACCAGCTAACAACAGGATGACAGAATCAAATATGCATATATTAGTACTACCCTTGAATGTAAATGACCTAAATGCCCCAATTAAAGGCACAGAGTGGCAAACTGGATAAAAAAGCAAGACCCAATGGTATGCTGTCTTAAAGAGACCCACCTCACATGCAGAGACATCCATAGTCTCAAAATAAAGGGACAGAGAAAAATCTATCAAGCAAACAAACAAACAAACAAAAAACAGACAAAAGCAGAGGTTGCAATTCTAGTTTCTGATGAAACAGACTTTAAACCAACAAAGATCAAAAAAGACAAAGAAGGAAATTACGTAATGGTACATGTATAATGTACACAGGGTTCAATTCAACAAGAAGATCTAACTATCCTAAATAAATATGCACCCAACATGGGAGCACCCAGATTCATAAAGCAAGTTCTTAGAGACTACAAAAACCGACCCCCACACAATGATAGTGGGAGACTTTAACATCCCACTGGGAATATTAGACAAATCATTGAGGCAGAAAATTAACAAAGATATTCAGGACTTGAACTCAGCACTGGATCTGATAGATATCTACAGAACTCTCCACCCCCAAACAATAGAATATACATTCTTCTCATTGCCACATGGCACATACTCCAGAACTGACCTCAAAATCGACAGAAAACAATACTCAGCAAATTAAAAAAAAAACCTTCCAATCACACTCTCAGACCAAAGCACAATATAAATAGAAATCAATACTAAGAAAATCACTCAAAACCATAAAGTTCTATGGAAATAAAACAACTTGCTCCTGAATGACTTTGGGTGTACAATGAAATTAAGGCAGAAATTGAGAAATTCTTTGAAACTAATGAGAACAAAGATACAAGATATCAGAATCCCTGGGACACAGTTAAGGTAGTGTTAAGAGGAAAGTTTATAGCACTAAATGTCCACATCAAAAAGTTAGAAAGATCTCAAATTAATAACATAACATCACAACTAAAAGAACTACAAAAGCAAGAGCAAACCAACTACCGGAAGACAATAAATAACAAAAATTAGAGCTAAAGTGAAGGAAATTGAGACATGAAAAAACCACACAGAAGACCAACAAATCCAGCAGCGTGTTTTTTGAAAAAAATAATAAGATATATGGACCACTGGCTAGGATAATACAGAAAAAAAGAGAGAAGAGCCAAATAAACACAATTAGAAATGATAAAGGGGATGTTACCACTCACCTCACATAAATACAAAAAAAAAAAAATCAAAGACTATGATGAATACCTCTACATACATAAACTAGAAAGTTTAGAAGAAATAGAAAAATTTCTGGACAAATACACCCTCCCAAGACTGAACCAGGAAGAAACTGAATTCCTGAACAGAATAAAAACAAGTTCTGAAATCAAATCAGTAATATAAAGCCTACCAACTAAAAAAAAATCCCAGGACCAGATGGATTCACAGTCACATTCTACCAGATGTATAAGGAAGAGCTAGTGCCATTCCTACTGACCCTATTCCAAAAAATTGAGGATGAAGGGCTCCTTCTCAACTCATTCTATGAGTTGGTATCATTATCTTGATACCAAAACCTAAAAGAGACACAACAAAAAAGAAAACTTCAGGCCAATATCCTTTATTAATATAGATGTAAAGATACTCAACAAAATACTACCAAACAGAATCCAGTAGCACATCAAAAATCTAATCCACCACGATCACATAGGCTTTATCCCTGGGATGCAAGGTTGGTTCAACATATACAAATCAATAAGTGTGATTAATGACATAAATAGCACTAACCCACATAATTATCCCAACAGATGCAGAAAAAGGCTTTCAATAAAATTCAACATCCCTTCATGCTAAAATACGCTCAATAAACTAGGCATCAAAGGAATATCAAACTGGCTAGCCATGTGCAGAAGTTTGAAACTGGACCCCTACCTTATACCACATAACAAAAGTCAACTCAAGATGGATTAAAGATTTAAATGTAAAACCCCAAACTATAAAAATCCTGGAAGAAAATCTAGGAACTGCCATTCTGAACAAAGATTTCATGACTAAGACACCAAAAGTAATTGCAATAAATACAAAAGTTGACAAAGGGGATTTAATTAAACTAAAGAGCTTCTGCACAGCAAAAAACAAAACTATCAGCAGAGTAAATAGACAACCTACAAAATGGGAGAAAATATTTGCAAATTATGCATCCACCAAAGGTCTAATATCCAGACTCTTTATGGAGCTTAAACAAATTTACAAGCAAAACACAAACAACCTCATTAAAAAGTGGGCAAAGATCTGAGCAGACAATTTTCAAAAGAAGACATACATGTGGCCGAGAAGCATATGAAAAACTACTCAACATCACTGATCATTAGACAAATGCAAATCAAAACCACAATGAGATATCATCTCACACAATTCAGAATGACTATTAAAAAATCAAAAAATAACAGATGCTGGTAAGGTTGCAGAGAAAAAGGGAACACTTACATAGTGCTGGTGGGAATGTAAATTAGTTCAGCCATTGTGGAAAGCACTGTGGTGATTCCTCAAAGAACTTAAAACAGAATTACCATTCAACCCAGCAATCCAATTATTGGGTATATACCCAAAGGAATATAAATCATTCTACTATAAAGACATATGCATGTGTATCTTTATTGCAGCATTATTCACAATAGCAAAGACATGAGATCAATCTAAAAGTCCATTAATGGTAGACTGGATAAAGAAAATGTGGTATATATACACCATGGAATACTATGCAGTCATAAAAAGGAATGAGATCACGTCCTTTGCAGCAACGTGGTTGGAGCTGGAGGCCATTATCCTAAGCAAACTAATGCAGAAACAGAAAACCAAATACCACATGTTCTCACTTATGAGTAGGAGGTATAACAAGAAAACATAGATACATAGAGGTGAACAATAGACATTGGGACCTTCTTGAGGGTGGAGGGTGGGAGGAGGGAGATGATCAGAAAAAATACCTATCGGGTGCTATGCTTATTACCTGAGTGACAAAATTATCTGTATACCAAACCCCCATGACATACAGTTTACCTATATAACAAACCTGCAATGTACCCCTGAACCCAAAATAAAAGTTTAAAAAAGAGAGAAAAAGGCACGGTGGCTCACATCTGTAATCCCAGCACTTTGGGAGGCCGAGGTGGGCGGATCACGAGGTCAGGAGATCCAGACGGTGAAACCCTGTCTCTACTAAAAATACAAAAAAATTAGCCAGGCGTGGTGGCGGGCGCCTGTAGTCCCAGCTACTCGGGAGGCTGAGGCAGGAGAATGGCTTGAACCCGGGAGGCGGAGCTTGCAGTGAGCCGAGATCGTGCCACTGCACTCCAGCCTGGGCGACAGATGGAGCCTCCGTCTCAAAAAAAAAAAAAGAAAAAGAAAAAGAAAAAAGAAAAAAGAAAAGAAAAGAAAAGAAAAACAACCCATAGACCAGAACCAGAGCTGGAAGCAATGAATAGCAAATAAGTAGAAGAAACAAGGTTTCCCCAAGGATAAATGCTAATAGCAGCACTATGATTTGTAATTGTGACGTTAAACCTCAGGCCACAGCAAGGAAGGGGTACTGAACAAAACCATCTGCATCATACCGGGTCAGCAGTGCCCCTCTGGCTTCCAGTAAAGGCAGCTGTATACCATTTTAACAGGTTTCAATTGCTTAGAAATAGTCTTCCTGTGCCCAACTCCTCTTTCTTTCCAGGAATTGTGTGTCTGTTCCCACAGCATTATTTTTTAGATAAATTTTATATTGTGGTATCAGATAACTCCAACATAATTTTAAAGATTCTTTTAGGAAAAATTGACATCTGTAGAATGTTGAGTGTTCCCCATGTGTGGACAGGATGTGTTGGGAAGCACTGTCTTCAGGTACAACAGTTTCTCAACCCTTATGTAGATCACCACTGTGCACTGTCAAAGATGGCTTTGTTGAGGGTGAGCAGGGTGACCTGTAGGAGAGTAGTTTCAATATGTTATTGAAACTAAAGAGCACTCCATTTAAAAGCCACTTATTGTGGCCATCCCATAGGCCAGGTAATGCATCATATGCTGTTGTGGAGAGTACAAATATGAGAACCCATTAGGATGGCCACTACCAGAAAACAGAATATAACAAGTGATAGTTAGGATGTAGGGAAACTGGAAACCTTATGTACTGTTGTCGAGGATGTAAAATGGTACAGCTGCTGTGGAAAACGGCATGATGTTTCCTCAAAAAAATAAAAAATATAATTACTATATGATCCAGCAGTTCCACTTCTGGGTATACACCCAAAAGAATTGAAAGTGGGGTCCCTAAGAGATATTTGTATATCCATATTCCTAGTAACATTATTTATAATAGCCAAAAGGTGGAAGCAACCCAAGTGTCCATTGACATGTAAATAGATAAACAAAATGTGGTGTGTGTGTATCTGTATCTATATAAAAAGTATTATTCAACCCTAAAAAGGAATCAGATTTTGACATGTGCTATAATATAAATGAACCTTATATGTGAACGTTATGCTAAGTGAAATAAGCCATTCACAAAAAGACAAATACTGTATAAGTCCACTTAAATTTGGTACCTAGAATAGTCAAACTCATAAAGACAGAAAGTAGCAGGGTGGTTGCCAGAGGCTGGGGGAGGGAAAGGAATGGAAAGCTATTGATGAGTGGATATAGAGTTTCAGTTTTGCAGGGTGAAAAACTTCTGAAGATTGGTTGCAAAACAATGTAAATGTACTTAGCACTACTGAGCTGTATACTTAAAAATTAAGGTGATAAATTTTATATGACATGTATTTCATCACAATGAAAAATAGAAATAATAAGATTTAATAATAAATGATGAGTGAGAAAATATTTGTATGCTCAGGAACACAGTAGGGGAAGGCAAGAAACACAGGACAAAGGCCAGCAGGTCAGAGAAGTCTATGAAGAACAGCTTTGTGACATAGACCTCCGCTAATGGATGACTAATTTCCTGGGCTCATGGTGGCAGGGTGGCTTAGGGACAACAGGCTAACAGAATCATTTTCAGAAGAGGCTTCCTCAAAGCACACTCCAAAGACCATAACAAACATTATTTTGTTATTTGATATGTTCATTGGCTTTCTGAAACATATAAATAACTCCCTATTAGTGAATTTTATCCCTTTCTCCATCCCTGTTTGCTCTCACAAGTCTCAAGCACCCTGACTTATTGCCTGATGCGATGCTGCAGCCCAGGCTTGGCTCTGGCAGCCATCCACAGCACTCAGGGGGCACAATGCACATTTTCCCTGCTCCAGAGCTCTCTCCTATTTCAGGAAGTCACATTATTAATTACAATGGGCCAAAGCACATTTTGGAAGGTAAATCTGTTAGCCTGCAGGAAATGCAGAGTTGACAATTAATTGAAAGCATCGGTGCTGGCATTAAGCATCCAAAGAAATCCATAAAAAATGTATCTAAATGTTATCTAAATACTGGACAAAGAGGTTGAAATACTTTCAGTAGAATTCCTGCAAAATCATGACCTGTGATGCCAAGCTCTGCATCCCAGAACCAACATTAGTTCATAAATGTGAAATGGCGAATCTTCTTAGTAAAGCTTTTCGTTTGGGAAAATACAGTCATTTATGATGCAAATATATTACTTACGTTAACATCTTATTGTTAAAGTGAATTAATACATAATATTTTTAATATATTGCTGTTAATTTCTAATGTAGTAAAGTATCAATAGATATAGCCCATATAAACAAGCTCTTTTTGGGATCTTCAATAACTTATAAGAGTATAACAAGGTCCTAAGGCCCAAAATAATTTTTTTTTCAACCTCCTGGGCTCAGGCGATCTTCCCGCCTCAGCCTCCCAAGTAGCTGGGAATACAGGTGCACACTACCACACCTGGCTAATTTTTTATTTTTTGTAGAGACAAGGTCCTGCCTTGCTAAGGCCAAAAATTTGAGGAAACACTTGTGTAGAAGTTCCCCAAACAAGAAGAACGATGCAAACAATGACTATAGCAGCTCAGTGTGCTGGTGGTGATTCCCCGGTTTGCACTGATTCCACAGAAGACAAACAACCCAAGCTAGGTATGAGAATTACCACCTGACAAATGAGGACCATTAGGAAGATGCTAGCCCCTGTATGCATTGCAATTTGTGTCATCAATATGGTCAATCAGCCTCTGCTAGTTTACTCCCACCTGTCCTACCAGGTTGCCTCTGGGAATTAAAACAGCAGGCTGCTAGTTCTCTCTGCCCACATCTTCTGCCTCTGGAGAGTCCCCTGGAGTCCTGATCAAATTTTTCTCTTAGATGAGTATCTGTGTGACCTTGGCTGTTGCACTCACTATCCAATGGAGTCCTCCTGGCCAGGCCAGCATGCTTGGCAGGGTGTGTTAGCCACTCAATGGAGAGTCACTATTATTGTTGTCATTATTAATACTTAGATAATAATGGCCCCTCAAGTTTAATTTTCCTACCTTCAAAATAAGGATAATATTCCCTAAATTCTCTATTTCCAAGGTACAAATTAGCTAATGTGTCTGCCAAAGATGTGCAACTACCAGGCATCTCTACTCTATGCCCATAGCCCACCCATTGAAGGTTGTCAGCACAGAGCACAGAAAAGAAGGCACAGGTGTCTCTTGAGAGTCAGGCTGCTTGGTTTGACTGCTGATGCCATGACTTACCAGTGAGTTAATCTGAGTGGCATTATAAAACTTCCCTTTGCACCTCCATCTGACAAATGGGAATGGTATAAGTTCCTAAAGTTCAGATTTGTGGTGGGAATCAAATAAGATAAGGCATAGAGTACTTTGTGCCCAGGCCTTGAATACAGTAAGCATTCAGAAGCTCTTTTTGTAATGTGAGTGCAGAAACCTTTTTTTAAAATTATTATGAAGCTTAACTAGAATGGGATACTGGTTTCTGTTTCTGAAACTCTTAGCTCAATGAAGGCAGAATAACCTGGTTTGGGCTAAACATACCTCTTCTGCGACATCCTACGCAAGTCTTGTTCCCCTCCCATATCCTCTGTCTCACCTCCATGTCTATGCATGTTGTACTTCCCACCTGAAATGCTATCCCTCATCCCTATCCAACCCACACAAATAAAACCCAGTTTCAGTCATGCCTTACCATGAATGGAAAATGAAGAACTCAATTCTAAAACTAACGTCCAGGCCATACTGGCTAAACACTGAAGCGTATTTGTAACTCCCAACAATTGTACTTGAACTCAATCCTCTTTCATGTTGTTAGTGTCTTGAATGGGGCTTATTAAGCCTCTCTCCCCAATAGAATGACAAATTCTTTAAAGGCAAGCACTGCCTAGGGTGTCTTCTATATCCCAGCTGCTGGCATTCTGGAAGGTCCTTGTTTCCTCAGCTCTGTCTTTGCCAGCTCTCCCAGCTGAGCCTACAGAAGCACTCCAGCCCCGACCCCTGGAGGCCCAAGACCAGCCCAACTAGTGAGCCCATCCTGCCTAGACCAAAACTATTTCTAAAATTTGCAGTTCCTCCATTGGGAAGGCCTGTTGTAAAGTCCTGCTGGCCTTTAACAAGGACATGGCCAAGCGAATCCTGTGCACCTAAAAACATAGCTCAGTGGAGAGGCCTTGAATCAGATGGAAGTTAGTCTGTGTCCCAGATCTGCCAATAACTAACACTGTGACTGGCAAGCTACTTAATGTCTCCAGGCCTGCTTCTTCACATCTAAGAAGAGACAATAGTGCCTACCTTATATATTGTATATTTCAGATTAATGACTATGTAATACTTAAGCCTGGCACATTTTCAGTGCCCAATTAATGGGTGCTCTCTTTCTTTCCATCATTCCCTCTCTCTCTTCCTCAGAATTGGATACCATATTCCAGGAAATATTTTACATGTTGTATATACATTAATCAATGAGAAAGATATGAACTCTGTCCACATTGCTCACAGTCTAATGAGACAGACAACAAATAATTGCACAACCAAGTAATTAAAAATAAATAGTGGCAAATATTTTAAAGGCAAAGCACAAGGTGCTATGAAAGTGTGTAACAGGGAACTTAATACCCCTGAGGAAATTAACTTTCAATGAGACCTGATGTTGGCCAGGTTGTATGGGGTCAGGATAAAGAGGGCCTCCCAGGAGAGGGGACAGCATGTGCTAAAGCTCCCAGTGGTGAGAAGAAGCTTGGAGTACACAACGAACTGAAAAAATAAAATAAATAGAATAAACTGCTATTGGAGCTCTGGGAAAGAGGGTGGAGAGAAGCTAGTCCAAGGGCAGGGCCTGCTCATGCAGGTCACAATTGAGCAATTGGAGAATCATGGAAGAGCCTCAGCAGGGGAATGGGTTTTTTTTAAGATAAATCATGCTCCTGTGCACGAGGACTGTATTATGTGGGAACCATGCATTGAGAAGACAGACAGGAAGCTGTTGCAATGTTATAAGTGACAGTGAAGAGGGAGAGAAGTGGATGGATTCCAGCAGTCTTTAGGAAGTGGAAATGATGCACCTCAATGACTGACTGAATGATGTGGAAGGTGAGGACAGGAAGGGCCTAGGACAGCTTCAGATTTTGAATGAGAATAGATATGGCTGTCCTTTCCTGACTTTGGCTCTGGACTTGGTGATACAGGAGGACAGGTCCCAGATGACCTTGGCCAACTTGGCCTCCTGTCTCCTGTTTGTAGTTCTCAGAATAACTGCAGAGTACAACATCCTGAGATGGGGAGAAAGTGTTAGAACAATCCAGATTGTGACCTTATTTCTCCCAGAGAGGGGTAAAACACTGCAACACTTCTTCTTAATGAGCCCAGCTGTGCCCAGATATAAAATCCAGAATGGGGTGGTTTCAGGGTTCCTCAGCTGCCCTGCGTCTGGGGCATGAACAGACAAGACGCCCTCTTCCCTGGGCAGCTTTCCTGAGCCTTGGAGGACCAACATGCTATGAATCCTGGGCTTTGTTTAACTTTGCTGTCAATCTGTGAGTAATAAAGTTGTTTTGTCTGATTTGTGAGTGTTTGTCTCACTGGACTCAAGTGGTAGAAAACTTTTGCAAGTGGAGAGATACATGCTTAGTTTTGACCTTGTGGAACTTAAGACTTTGCCAGGTGGCCCCTACCGGCATTTCTCCTTCTCAACTTTGCTCCGCACAACTCCAGGTTTCCAGCTACCTAGGAAGAAGAGCCCCTTATAAAATATTTGGGAGCATGAACTCCTTTCTTATGGGCAATTGGGTCAACTCACAAACAAGTGGTGGCCACTTCTGTCTCACTCAGCTGACTCTTAGCCCTACACTTCTGCCCAAACAAAGGGGATTGTGAGATTTGCCCATTGAAGACCCTTGCCTAGGAAAGAGGAGCACCCAGAATGACCTCTTCTAGGAAGGCCACATGTCACTAATCCACTTTTCAGAATGATGAGTTTGCAGAGGGCTTTGCTTTCGCGTGATGTATACCACTCAGTTTTATGAGGCTGTCTTCACTTGGGTTTCCCTAAAAACAGCCTGAAATAAGGCCTTCAGTGCAGATAATTCAGATAGGTGGTTCCGGGAAGCAGAAATGATAAAACTTGGTGAGGGAGAGAGGGAAAGGGGAAAACCCAGTATCAGATTGTGTTACTGAGGCCACAGCTACATGGGGGTCAAATTCTATCAAGACCCGCTAAGAGGCTCCCCAGATGCATCATCTGAATGTCATAGGTAAGAGCATTTGTGCACTTCTGGGGTACCTGTGGGTTGTTGTTCTAGTTGCCTGGAGCAGAAAGACTAAACCTTGGAGTGGGAAGCTGTCAGTGGAAGATGAACTTGAGCTTGCACAGAACTGCCCTTCATAGCAGCAGCTGAAATCGGAGGCTGCCAGGGACCAAGGGGATGTAGCACACAACACAAAAGGTAACTAGATCACCCAGCTGCTAAATGAAAGAGCCACAATTCCAAGTCAAGGCAGTTGGACTCCAAAACCTTCCTCCTTCTCGCCTCAGCCTTGAGTGCAGGATTCTCCCTAAATCCTTTGTTTCTGAACCACTAGTGACCTCAGCTGCCCCCTAAATCCACCCCATCTACCCAGTTCTTTATAGATTCTCTATCATAGGAAACACCTCACAGGGAAGAGCATATGTTCTTTGGTTTGCTCCTGGGGACAGAGAAATTCCTGCCCCTGTTCAACATTCAGTCATTCAGCACATGTCCGCTAAGGGCCTACTGTGTGGTAGTGTGGCAGGCCCTAAGTGTAATAGTGAACCACACACACTTTCACAGCACACACTCTCACACACTCACATACAGACACAAACTTGCACACAAGCACACAAAGTCTGTTTATTTTCCTTCCTCTATTGATTTGTGCAAGCCCAAATCAACCTGGGTTTACTCTTAGAGAAAGAACTCTATTTTCCCATCATCTTTCAAAAGAGAGCAACCAAGCCATATTAAATTTGAGCCTATTCATAACATTTAAAAGTAGTCCAAGATGCAGTTTACTTTGAGGGCAGGTCCATGGTTCATTTCTGTCCAACATTCCCCCACAGCATCTAGCAAACACCTTTATAAAAGAAATAGTTTGCTGAGCAATATAATAGTGTAAATGAGATTAAAGGGAAGCCGTTTAACCTACTCTACAGAATAACTCCCCTTCAGCATTCTTAAACTAAGTATTTTATAGAAAAAATTATGCTAATTATGTCAGCCTTATCTATTTCTTAATGCATTTTCAAAAATTTTACCCAATTCTTTTAGGATATAGGATTATCCAGGCTTTTTCTAATTTGGTTTCTATTGCAGAATTGGTGTAATTTCTATGTTTGCACATAGCATTCATCTTCAGAAAAGGATATTCAGTCTTTATCCTCCATTACCTCCATATCAGCTGATACTCTGTTGTGTGAAACCTTCCTGGGATCCCATCACCGCCAAGAAAACAAAGCAATTCCACATAAAGAGCAGATGGCGAGGGAGTTGGCCAAGACATGGAAAAAACTCATCAGATAAACGTTTTCTTCTTTGCTACTCTTTTCCTCATCCACAACTGTCTCCTTAATGAGTAAAAGTGAAATACGAGTACTATTAGATAAGTTTCCAACAAAAACTGTTGCCAGGTCTCTGAGAGCATGGCTTTCCATGTATGGCTCTCCTCATGAGAACAGTATTCATTCTCTCATTGCAAGGGGGGAATAACATTGTCCTAACAATGTTGCACTACGAAGAATTAGTAATTTCCTGGAAGTCGATGCTACTCTTTTTATTAATGTTTGTTAAAGTAGTAGCAATAGCTTATGTTCATTGAGCACTTACAATGACAATCGGAATTCTAAACACCTTTCATATACCAGCCATTGAATCCCCCCGAAATGTGTAAAGAATTTAACTATGATTATTCTCATTTTCAAGAGGAGGAAACTGAGACTAAAGGAAGTTTGGAAACTTGCCCAAAATAAATGAAAGAGCCCTCTCTGCCACACTCCAACCATTAAGCATCATGCAACTCTACTTCTCTGGCAGATCTCTTAGTCTATCTCTTCTTCCAGTACCGGGATGCTAACTTACCAATCAATCAAAAGTTTCTGTGTTCAGGTTGATTCAACTAACTCACTAGATTCTTATAAATAAGTTATGGTCATGTTAACTAGGCCCTAGTATGCATTACTATTTGACTTAAAGATATCTACCTTCTCAGACAGGTCATTTTAGCTTCATCTAAAATAGTTTTGAGAAGACTGACCAGTTTGCTCCATGTCACTGTCTTAGTCCATTGTGTTGCCATAAAGGAATACCTGATTGCTCACGCCTATAATCCCAGCACTTTTGGAGGCAAAGGCATGAGATTACTTGAGGCCAGGAGTTTGAAACCAGCCTGGTCAACATAGCAAGACCACGTCTCTACAAAAGAAAAATTTAAAAAATCAGCCAGGCGTGGTGGCACATGCTTGTGGGGAGGCTGAGGCAGGAGGATCACTTGAGCCTGGGAGGTTGAGACTGCAGTGACAGAATGAGACCCTGTGTCAAAAAAAAAAAAAAAAAAGAAAAAAGGAATACTTGTGGCTGGCTGGGTATTTATCAAAAAAAAAGAGGTTCATTTGGCCCACAGATCTGCAGGCTGTCTAAGAAGCATGGTTCCATGGTTCCAGCATTTGTTCCCGGGGAAGGCTTCAGGCTACTTCTACTTATGGCAAAGGGCAAAGAGGAGCCAGCGTGTGCAGTGATCACATGGTGAGAAATGAGGCAAAAGAGAGAGAGACATGCCAGACTCTTTTTAAAAAACAGTTCTCACCAGCCATGGTGGTTCACGCCTATAATCCCAGCACTTTGGGAGGCCGAGGCAGGAGGATTGCTTGAACCTAGGAGTTTGAGACCAGCCTGGGCAACATGGCAAAACTCTGTGCCTATAAAAAATATATACAAAAATTAGGCGGGTGTAGTAACACATGTCTGTGGTCCCAGCTACTGGAGAGGCTGAGGAGGGAGGATCGCTTGAGCCCAGGAGGTCAAGGCTACAGTGAGCTAAGATAGCGCCACTGCACTTCAGCCTGGAAGACAGAGTGTCTTAAAACAAAACAAACAAACAAACAAACAAACAGCTCTTGCAGGTGTTTTAAGCCCTTCCTGAGGGATCTACCCCCATGATCCAAACATCTTCCATTAGGCTCCACCTGCAAAACTTGGGATCCAATTTCAACATAAGGCTTGGAGAGGTCAAATATCCAAACCATAGCAGTCACATAGCTAGAAAGCTGCAGTGAATACTTTACAGAGTTAGGCCTTCACTGTCCATCCCTGGTGGACTTGGAAGCTGCATGAAAGGGCCACCTACACACTTTCCCCAGCCCTTTGACACCAGCAGCCACAGCCATGTCAGAAAAGGACACACTAGGAGCAGATTGGCTGGTACAGAGCTCCTGGCTTTTCTCCTTACCAGGCCCCAAATAGGATGCTGGGGTTCTGAATCTGACCAGCCCTCTGACTGTACTCTGGGGGGTTTTCTGACATCATCCTTCAGGTGATGAGCAGCAGTCCACTTACTTCCTGGAGGAACAGGGGTGGTCAGGAGACATGAAAGTGGGAGAGAGGGGAGAACTGACCCCAGATGCAACACAGAACTGCCTTTAGCTAGTCTCTCTGCCTCCCCACCCTCCCAGGGTCCGGGCAAGGTCATATCTGTGTCCTCCTCATGAAAGAAAAGCCATCAAGCACCCGTGAACACAAGCAATGTTTTCAGAGTCATCAGGGAAAACACATTGTGCGCTGGCATTTCCCCATCAGCCTTCACATTTTTTCCTACTCTCATTTTTCTTTGTTCTGAGTCTCTTTTGTTTTTCTTCTTTTTTTAATTTTCTATTTTCTTTTTATTCTTCTTTGTTGGCCCATATTTCTCTAGCTGCTTTCAAATCTCTTTTGTGTACAAGACGAGATGTTGAATAAATGAGAATGAGGAAGGTTCTCCTTCACTCCCAGCACACTCTAAACTTGGGCTTCTTTGTCTCCTCAGAGAAACATCTCAGAGAGTCAGAAAGGGCTTGACCCTAGAATTAACTGCCATTGGAGGAAGGAGGAAATAGCTAGTGGTGAAACCAGCTATTTGCATCCTTTCAAGAACTCAGCCAAAGGGTATTTAGGAAATCTGTTTCCAGTAGCCCAGCTAGGAGGAATTGCCCAGAACAGGGGAGCCCCAGATCCCCATGAACCCAGAAACTTATGGCCATGGGTGCTGGAGGCATATTTCTGGTTGACTATCTTTGGATTTCTGGTCAAGTTGTCTCCGCTGGTGAAGACCTGAAAGTTGAATATGAATTTGGTTCTTCTCTTAGCACAAGTATCTGCAGGAAACACGTGGCAGTCTGTTAGGTCTGTTAGGCCAAAGAGAGCCTGCTTGGTTTCTTCTGCCTCTGCCAGCAGCAAAATGTACTGTCGATACAAAACAGTCTTTGGGGAGAGAATGCCTTGGGTACCCTAAATAAATTCTAAAATGGGCAGGGCTGTCAGCCAAGACATATCTGCATAGTGTCGATAATAGTGTGTGCACTTTTGTTTCCTAATGCAGCAGCATTCTTTGTAAGCAGGGAGCCTGCCCACTAGGCAAGAAGCCACAATCCACCCCACATTTTATGGAGAGGGAGTTTGAAGTGTGGACTCACCCAGGGAACTAACCAAAGTCACATCATTGGTCTATGATAGAGGTCACTTTCTTCTGTAAGACTAGTGTCCTATTTACCCTATGAGGACACCTGCCTTCAGGCAATATAAGTGCTGCATTCTGTTTGTGACATGACTCACTCTGAAAATATACTGATTTAAAGAAACCCTATGATAAATCCCTAAAAAAAAATATTCTGGACCAGGCACGGTGGCCCACATCTGTAATCCCAGCACTGTGGGAGGCCAAGGTTGGTGGATCAATTGAGGTCAGGAGTTCGAGGCCAGCCTGGCCAACATGGCAAAACCCTGTCTCTACTAAAAATACAAAAAAAAAAAAAACAACATTAGCTAGGCATGGTGGCGCATGCCTGTAGTTCTAGCTACTCAGGAGGCTGAGGCAGGAGAATTGCTTGAACCTGGGAGCAGAGGTTGTAGTGAGCTAAGATAGTGCCACTGCCTTCCACCCTGGGTGACAGAGTGAAACTCCATATCAAAAAAAAAGAAAAGAAAAGAAAAGAAAGAAAGAAATATTCTGTAAAGTACATCTCTCCATCCACACATTGATGCACATCTACCCATGGAAGTAACTTTCCTTCCCCTATACCCATCCTATTCTTACTTTTGCACTATTTATCACTTATGGGATCATAGAATTCCAAACAGAGGCTCTAACAGGCTTAGTAGGTTGTCATTAGGTACCTTAGATGCCTGTTTGGTTCATAGGGAATGCACTCTAAGCTTGATAGGTTTACATGGAACTTTAGCAAACAAAAAGTGGCAATATTAAAACTAGGGATAAAATTGAACCCGTGTCTCATCTTCTTTTCTTTTTTCATGACTGGACAGCCAGATATAACCTGGCTACTATGGTTAGGCTCCTGAGGAAGTTGAAATTTTCCTTAAGATTCACAAATTAACAAAATATTGAGCCAGGCCCATGCAGCATCTTCCAGGAGTTCTAATAACAATTAAAAAGCTCCTGCCCTGGGTGGGCCAGTTGTTAATTCTCTACTCACATCATTTGAGGTGGAAAGAGCGACCCCATTCATGGTTCCTACTGAAGGGCTAGCCTGAGATTGGTCACAGTTGACTAAAGATGGACATCTGAGGAGGGGTGGGATGGGACTGAAAGCAAATCCATGGGCTGGGCTGAGCCAGTTTCTCTGTCAAGAATGTGAATTACAAAACCAAGTCCCTGTGCTTAGACCCTGTGTCGTATAGAGTTGGGACCCTGCTACCACTATAGTGAGCCACAGCCAAAGTTATCCAAGTAGCTATTGAGTGTTTACTATGCAGAGGAATCAGAAGATGCAGAAATAGGAGAAGTCTTATGGCCCAAGAGTTAGAGACCTCATGTTCTGACTTCACAGGCCCTGTCCATGAGCCTGACTGTACTTTATTTTCAGCCCTTGGATGCCTGTGCAATTGCCTGTTGGGGCCTCACGAACAAACTGCCTTTTCTTAATCCTGCACAAGAGGGATCCTGCTTCTTGATGCTCTGTGTATCCCAAACAAGACAGCTCTTTATCCCCACTGTGAAGGTGCAATGACAGTGGGATGTGTTGTCGGCCAGTGCTGGTGCTTCCGCTGACAGCATGAGCCTGCCTGAGCCACTGCTGTTCCCTGAACCAATGCTATGTCTTCAGGATGCAGGCCCACACTGGCCTGTTTGTGGGAGGCACAGCTGCTACAGAAAGTGCTCAAAAAGGAAAAAAAGAACTGTTAGAAATGAGGCAACTTAATGTAACTCATTGATTCTAGAACATACCTTTTAAAATGTTTTCATAGTGTTTGTTTGTTTGTTTGTTTGTTGTTTGTTTTTGAGACAGTCTCACTCTATCACCCAGGCTGGAGTGTGGTGGCACAATCTTGGCTCATTGCAACCTCCACTTCCTGGGTTCAAGTAATTCTTATGCCTCAGCCTCCTGAGTAGCTGGGAATATAGGCGCAAGCCACCATGCCAAGCTACATAGTTTAACTTTTGTAAAATCAGAAGGACAATCACTGTCAGTGAGGTAGAACTGACATGAGCAAACTCGGTAGTAGTCGTGAGCAAACTCGGTCATGGCTGTTCATAATGCTGTCACTTCAACTGAGTTATATGCATTGTTAGAGCAATGAGAATTTGTTATTGAAAACATCTTCAGAAAGATTTCATTATGATTTAGCAATCAAACAAAAAGTCATTGTGTGTGCAGAAAGCATGGAAATGGAGCAGCAGAGCATATACTTTATGTTAATGAAGCAAATATTTGTTGTTGAAGGAATGATTGCAATCTCACATATCTTTCAAAGCAATAACCAAGTATTTTAGAAACCCACAGGTAGAAGAAATTGTGGTACATTTTGTTACTGAGAGAAACGCATGAGAATGGCTTATCATCCACCAACACAATGCAACTAAAGAACAGGAGAAACTGCCAAATCCTTCAGAACAGATGAAAGACATTTTGAAGAATCAAGAAGCTGGTATGCCCAATCCATGCCAACTCTGCCAAGGTACATGCCTTGGCACTCCTTTTCTCTTCCTTTCTTTTTCATTCCCTTTCTTCTTCCACAACTCCCTTCCTTTTACCTCCCTGCAGCAGCAGCATGTACATACTGGAAAGACAAGAGCGTTTACGTAAGATGAGAAAATACCTAGGGATAAGTTCAGTATGTTTGCATGTGTCTCAGTGCACACATTCATGTGTACATGTGTGTGCAGAGCCAGTGTTTCTTCTCTCATTCCCAAATTTGGGATTTTACAAAGGCATGCAGCATAGGGTCTTCAAAAGTGGCAATACAAAACCATGAGTTCCTCTCAATGTATCAAAAAAAAATATGTATATGTGTCCTTGATAAAACTTCCCAACCTAAAATATCTCCATTTTCATCTATCATCAAGAATCCATTTTCATCCTCCATTTTCTTCTATCATCAAGAATGTATTTTTATGTATGTTAAGACTTAGAATCCCAATATTGCATTCTTGCAGGTAAAGTACACGTTAGGCCAGCATCATATATTAATATTAAATAAACCCCTGAATTGAAATGCCAACTTTGTCATAAATACATTCTGGGATTTACATACAGACTCTTCACTCTGCCTCTCAGTTTCATGTTTACTATTCTGACAATATGCATTTCAAATTTCAATAAGTTTTATATAATAAATTTTAATGGCTGATAAAGCAAATATGCAATCATCATTTTACTTTTCAAAACCATTTTAGCTATTCTTCCATATGAATTGTAAATAAATTTGAAGCAGGTAACCAAAAATGTTAGGATTGTGATTGGAATTGTGTTAAGTATGTATGTATATGTATGCATATGAAAGGGTAATATTTTTATGATATGTTTTCCCAACCAGGTATATAGCATACCTCAGTTTAGAGTTTATCTTAGCTCTAATAATATTTTGTGGCTTTCTCCATGTGCTTTTTATAGCTATTTAAGCTATTTTATACTTTTTAAATTTAAATTGGATTTTTAAAATTTCTATTCTAACTATGGTTTATATAGAGAAAGCCACTAGCATGTGTATAGTCACAGTTAATCCAGTCACATCTTTTTATTTTTAATTAATTTATCATATTGTCAAATAGAGTCTCTGGAGTTTTCTGGATGTGCAGTTTATCACCAGCAAATATCTTTTTTGTCTTCTTTTCCATAACTTGTGCAGTTTCAATTTCCTGTGTATTGAATTAGCTAAAATCTTCAAAGAGATTTTGAATCCCAGAGCACCCTTTCTAGTTTCTGATTTTAATAGAATTGGCTTTAAATTTTTATAATTTATTATGATTGCTTTTGGGTTTTCACAACTATATAATACTCTGATGGTTTGCTTTTACTTATAAATATTTTTACTGAGGTTAACATGCAGGAAAATGCTCAGATCATAAATGTACAATCCTATGAATTTTGCCACATGTATATGCCCATGGAACTAATAGCCCCAAGGTTTTGGTTACTTACTGCTACATAAATATTGCCCCAAAGCTGACTAACTTAAAATATGAACAATTCGTTATTCCTCAAGGTTCTATAAGCTGACAGGTGTACTATGAGTTGAGCTCTTTGATGTCAGTTGGTGGCTGGAATGGCTGGACAGCCCTAAAAGGCTGGCAACCGAGACTGGATACCAGCTGAGACTACTGATGTAGGGCCTCGGTTTTCTTGATGTGGGCCTCTCCAGGCAGCTGCATGGGAGCTGGATGCCAAAGAGGAGTGCTTTAAGGGACAAAGATGGGAATGGCAGTCTGAGAAGGCACAGGTCTGAAAGTTTATACATCATCACTTCTTCATTTGGTTGGTCAAAAAAGGTCACAGCACTAGGCCACATTCAATGGGAGGAGAAAGCTTGTGGTGGTGGGAGAGTGGAAAAGTCACACTGGAAAAGCACATACAGGATGGGAGGGATTATTACAACCATCTTTGGAAACATTTACCACCCTGATCTACATATAGAACATACCTGTAGCCCTAGAAAGTTCCCATGTGCTTCCGTCTAGTCACTCACCACCTCACATGGGCAGGTAATGTTCTAGCACAAGTTAGCTTTATCTGTTTTTTTGTTTGTTTGGTTTTTCTGTTTTTTGTTTGTTTGTTTGTTTGTTTTGTTTTTGAGGCAGAGTCTTGTTCTGTCACCCAGGCTGGAGTGCAGTGGCACGATCTTGGCTCACTGCAACCTCTGCCTCCTGTGTTCAAGCGATTCTCCTGTCTCAGCCTCCGGAGTAGCTGGGATTACAGGAGCCTGCCTCCATGCCCAGCTAATTTTTGTATCTTTAGTAGAAACGGTGTTTCACCATGTTGCCCAGGCTGGTCTCAAACTCCTGGCCTCAAGTGATCCACCTGCCTCGGCCTCCCAAAGTGCTAGGATTACAGGCGTGAGCCGCCACGCCTGGCCTAATTTTTGTATTTTTAGTAGAGGCAGGGTTTCACTGTGTTAGCCAGGCTGGTCTTGAACTCCTGACCTCGTGAGCCATTCTTTTATTCCTTTACTTTCTTAATAAACTTGCTTTCACTTTGAACTGTGGACTGACCCTGAATTCTGTCTTGCATGAGATCCAAGAACCCTCTCTTGGGGTCTGGATTGGGACCACTTTCCTGTAACAAAAAGAAAAGTTATCCATCAAGGAACAAGGATAAGAATTAAGCCATGTCTCATCAGAAACCATGACACCCGGAAGACAATGAGATGACCTCTCTAAAGTGCTGAGAGAAAAAAGTTTCCAATGCAGAATTCTTCTGTACTCTCCAAAAATATCTTTCAAAAGTGAAAAAGAAAGAAAGACTTTCTCAGACAATCAAAAATGAAAGACATTTATTGTCAGGGACTTACTCTGTAAGAAATGTTTAAGGAAGTTCTTCAGACAGAGGAAATTTGGTGTAGTCAGAAACTAGAAGCCACACAAAGAAATGAAGAGCATTGGAAATAGAATAAATGAAAAGAAAATACAATATTTATTTTTAATTTATTTCTCTTGTTTAAAAAAATCTGTTTAAAGCAGAAATTATAACAATGTAGTATATCTTTATAGCATGTGTAAAAGTAAAATATGTGGCACAAGGAATGAGTGGGAGGATTGGAAATATGCAAAGTGTGTATATATTATATGAAGCTAGATTCATATTTTTAATGCTTATTCTAAACCCTAGATTAATCACTAAAAACACTTAAAAAGAAGTATAATAATAAGTCCATGAAGGAGATAAAGTGGCATCATAATGTCAGGCTTCTGAGCCCAAACTAAGCCATCATATCCCCTGTGATCTGCACGTATACATCCAGATGGCCTGAAGCAACTGAAGATACACAAAAAAGTGAAAATAGCCTTAACTGATGACATTCCACCATTGTGGTTTGTTCCTGCCCCACCCTAACTGATACATATATTCTCCCCGACCCTTAAGAAGATACTTTGTAATATTCTCCCCGCCCTTTAGAATGTACTTAGTACGCCTATCCCAAACCTATAAGAACTAATGATAATCCCACCACCCTTTGCTGACTCCTTTTTCTGACTCAGCCCGCCTGCACCAGGTGAAATAAACAGCCTTGTTGCTCACACAAAGCCTGTTTGGTGGTCTCTTCACACAGATGCGTGTGACACATAAAATACTCAAACTCAGAAAAAAAGCAAAAATTTTGAAAATAAAAAACAAAACTGTAGTTTTGATTTGCATTTCTCTGATGGCCAGTGATGATGAGCATTTTTTCATGTGTTTTTTGGCTGCATAAATGTCTTCTTTTGAGAAGTGTCTGTTCATGTCCTTTGCCCACTTTTTGATGGGGTTGTTTGTTTTTTTCTTGTAAATTTGTTTGAGTTCATTGTAGATTCTGGATATTAGCCCTTTGTCAGACGAGTAGGTTGCGAAAATTTTCTCCCATTTTGTAGGTTGCCTGTTCACTCTGATGGTAGTTTCTTTTGCTGTGCAGAAGCTCTTTAGTTTAATTAGATCCCATTTGTCAATTTTGGCTTTTGTTGCCATTGCTTTTGGTGTTTTAGACATGAAGTCCTTGCCCATGCCTATGTTCTGAATGGTAATGCCTAGGTTTTCTTCTAGGGTTTTTATGGTTTTAGGTCTAACGTTTAAGTCTTTAATCCATCTTGAATTAATTTTGTATAAGGTGTAAGGAAGGGATCCAGTTTCTGCTTTCTACATATGGCTAGCCAGTTTTCCCAGCACCATTTATTAAATAGGGAATCCTTTCCCCATTGCTTGTTTTTCTCAGGTTTGTCAAAGATCAGATAGTTGTAGATATGCGGCGTTATTTCTGAGGGCTCTGTTCTGTTCCATTGATCTATATCTCTGTTTTGGTACCAGTACCATGCTGTTTTGGTTATTGTAGCCTTGTAGTATAGTTTGAAGTCAGGTAGTGTGATGCCTCCAGCTTTGTTCTTTTGGCTTAGGATTGACTTGGCAATGCGGGCTCTTTTTTGGTTCCATATGAACTTTAAAGTAGTTTTTTCCTATTCTGTGAAGAAAGTCATTGGTAGCTTGATGGGGATGGCACTGAATCTGTAAATTACCTTGGGCAGTATGGCCATTTTCACGATATTGATTCTTCCTGCCCATGAGCATGGAATGTTCTTCCATTTGTTTGTATCCTCTTTTATTTCCTTGAGCAGTGGTTTGTAGTTCTCCTTGAAGAGGTCCTTCACATCCCTTATAAGTTGGATTCCTAGGTATTTTATTCTCTTTGAAGCAATTGTGAATGGGAGTTCACTCATGATTTGGCTCTCTGTTTGTCTGTTGTTGGTGTATAAGAATGCTTGTGATTTTTGTACATTGATTTTGTATCCTGAGACTTTGCTGAAGTTGCTTATCAGCTTAAGGAGATTTTGGGCTGAGACAATGGGGTTTTCTAGATATACAATCATGTTGTCTGCAAACAGGGACAATTTGACTTCCTCTTTTCCTAATTGAATACCCTTTATTTCCTTCTCCTGCCTAATTGCCCTGGCCAGAACTTCCAACACTATGTTGAATAGGAGTGGTGAGAGAGGGCATCCCAATCAAAACCACAATGAGATACCATCTCACACCAGTTAGAATGGCAATCATTAAAAAGTCAGGAAACAACAGGTGCTGGAGAGGATGTGGGGAAATAGGAACACTTTTACACTGTTGGTGGGACTGTAAACTAGTTCAACCATTGTGGAAGTCAGTGTGGCGATTCCTCAGGGATCTAGAACTAGAAATACCATTTGACCCAGCCATCCCATTACTGGGTATATACCCAAAGGACTATAAATCATGCTGCTATAAAGACACATGCACACGTATGTTTATTGCGGCATTATTCACAACAGCAAAGACTTGGAACCAACCCAAATGTCCAACAATGATAGACTGGATCAAGAAAATGTGGCACGTATACACCATGGAATACTATGCAGCCATAAAAAATGATGAGTTCATGTCCTTTGTAGGGACATAGATGAAATTGGAAATCATCATTCTCAGTAAACTATCGCAAGAACAAAAAACCAAACACCACATATTCTCACTCATAGGTGGGAATTGAACAATGAGATCACATGGACACAGGAAGGGGAACATCACACTCTGGGGACTGTTGTGGGGTGGGGGGAGGGGGGAGGGATAGCATCGGGAGATATACCTAATGCTAGATGACGAGTTAGTGGGTGCAGCGCACCAGCATGGCACATGTATACATATGTTGCTAACCTGCACAACGTGCACATGTACCCTAAAACTTAAAGTTAATAAAAAATAAAAATAAAAATAAAAAAATAAAAAAAATAAAAAATAAAAAACAAAACTGTAAAGAAAAATAATCTCAGGACCCTCAAACTTGTTATGCCAAAGGGCAAAGTTACACCAGAAGAAACTGGAAACAGAGTCATGCAACATTTCCATCTTTTCCCCAAATTAATAGCTATTGCTTCACAACCTTGTGTCAGAGCATTGACATTACCCAGGCCCCACAGAAAGGCAAGAGGCCTCAGGCATCTCTGGATGACTGCCCTCATCAATTGTTCTTTGGTGGCCTCTAAACCTTTCAAGATGTATATTCTCCCATAAAACAATGATATGTCTATTGGACTTCACACTAATAATCCTTATTTTCTCACGTACAGAACAAAGACAATGTGAGAGCAATCATTCTTCTGCCTATCCTACACGCCTTTTCTCCCTTAAGGAAATGTATAAATACTGAGCCTCCTGAAAACCCCTTCAGGGAGAATATAAGCCACAGAAGATTTCTGTGACTCCTGTTTATCTTGGGCATGCCCTCAAGCTCGAGCTCAATAAACATCAATTGATAGAGACTCTTGCCTTAGTCACTCATTTTGGTTAACAGAACAAATAGAAAACAGCCAGCGACATGGTACATTTCAATTCAAATATATTAGTAATCAGTTTAAATGTAAATGGTGTAAATATGCCAGTTAAACATCAGATTATCGGATTGGATTAAAAAGCTAGACTCTACTATAAATACATGCTGTCTGTTAGGCCTCTGAGCCCAAGCTAAGCCATCATATCCCCTGTAACCTGCACATACACATCCAGATGGCCGGTTCCTGCCTTAACTGATGACATTCCACACAAAAGAAGTGAAAATGGCCTGTTCCTGCCTTAACTGATGACATTGTCTTGTGAAATTCCTTCTCCTGGCTCATCCTGGCTCAAAAGCTCCCCTACTGAGCACCTTGTGACTCCCACTCTGCCAGCCAGAGAACAACCCCCCTTTGACTGTAATTTTCCTTTACCTACCCAAATCCTGTAAAACAGCCCCACCCCTATCTCCCTTCGCTGACTCTCTTTTCAGACTCAGCCCACCTGCACCCAGGTGAAATAAATAGCCATGTTGCTCACACAAAGGCTGTTTGGTGGTCTCTTCACAGGGACGCGCATGAAATTTGGTGCCATGACTCAGATCGGGGGACCTCCCTTGGGAGATCAATCTCCTGTCCTCCTGCTCTTTGCTCCGTGAGAAAGATCCACCTATGACCTCAGGTCCTCAGACCAACCAGCCCAAGAAACATCTCACCAATTTCAAATCCAGTAAGCGGCTTCTTTTTACTCTCTTCTCCAACCTCTCTCACTGTCCCTCAACCACTTTCTCCTTTCCAATCTTCAATCTCTCCCTTCTTTTAATTTCAATTCCTTTCATTTTCTGGTAGAGACAAAGGAGACACATTTTATCCATGGACCCAAAACTCCGGCGCCAGTCACGGACTAGGGAAGGCAGCCTTCCCTTGGTGTTTAATCATTGCAGGGACACCTCTCTGATTATTCACCCAGGTTTCAGAGGTGTCAGACCACGCAGGGATGCCTGCCTTGGTCCTTCACCCTTAGAGGCAAATCCCTCTTTTCTGGGGTAGGGGCAAGTACCCCAACCCCTTCTCTCCATGTCTCTACCCCTTCTCCACCTTTCTGGGGGGCAAGAAACCCCCAACCCCTTCTCCCTCACTCTTAGCAGCAAGTCCCGCTTTTCTAGAGGAGGGGCAAGTACCCCAACCTCGTATCTCTGCATCCCAATCCCTTATTTCTGTGCCCCAACCTCTTATATCTCTGCACCCCAATCCCTTATTTCCACGCACCAACCTCTTATCTCTGCACCCCAATCCCTTATTTCCATGCCCCGACCTCATATCTCTGTGCCCCGATCCCTTATTTCCGCACCCCAACCTCTTATATCTCTGTGCCCTGATCCCTTATTTCCATGCCCCAACCTCGTATCTCTGCACCCCGACCCCTTTCCCACTTTTCTGGAGGGTAAGAACCCCCAAACCGCTTCCCTCCTTGTCTCTACTCTCCCTTTTCTTTAAACTTGCCTCCTTCACTATGGGCAACCTTCCACCCTCCATTCCTCCTTCTTCTCCCTTAGCCTCTGTTCTTAAGAACTTAAAACCTCTTCAACTCTCACCTGACCTAAAATCTAAGTGTCTTATTTTCTTCTGCAATGCTGCTTGACCCCAATACAAACTCAACAGTAGTTCCAAATAGCCAGAAAACAGCACTTTCAATTTTTTCATCCTGCAAGATCTAAATAATTCTTGTCATAAAATGGACAAACGGTCTGAGATGCCTGACGTCCAGGCATTCTTCTACACATCGGTCCCTCCCTAGTCTCTGTGCCCAGTGCAACTCGTCCCAAATCTTCCTTCTTTCCCTCCCATCTGTCCCCCCAGTCCCAACCCCAGGTGTCACTGAGTCTTTCTAATCTTCCTTTTCTACAGACCCTTCTGACCTCTCCTCTCCTCCCCAGGCTGCTCCTCACCAGGCTGAGCTAGGTCCCAATTCTTCCTCAGCCTCCGCTCCTCCACCCTATAATCCTTTTATCACCTCCCCTCCTCACACCTGGTCTGGCTTACAGTTTCGTTCCATGACTAGCCCTCCCCGACCTGCCCAGCAATTTATTCTTAAAAAGGTGGCTGGAACTAAAGGCATAGTCAAGGTTAATGCTCCTTTTTCTTTATCCCAAATCAGATAGCGTTTAGGCTCTTTTTCATCAAATATAAAAATCCAGCCCAGTTCACGACTCGTTTGGCAGCAACCCTGAGACACTTTACAGCCCTAGACCCTAAAAGGTCAAAAGGCCGTCTTATTCTCAAAATACATTGTATTACCCAATCTGCTCCTGACATTAAATAAAACTCCAAAAATTAAATTCTGGCCCTCAAACCCCACAACAGGATTTAATTAACCTCGCCTTCAAGGTGTACAATAATAGAAAAAAGTAGCAATTCCTTGCCTCCACTGTGAGACAAACCCCAGCCACATCTCCAGCACACAAGAACTTCCAAATGCCTGAACCGGAGCAGCCAGGCGTTTCTCCAGAACCTCCTCCCCCAGGAGCTTGCTACAAGTGCCAGAAATCTGGCCACCAGGCCAAGGAATGCCTGCAGCCCAGGATTCCTCCTAAGCCGCGTCCCATCTGTGCGGGACCCCACTGGAAATTGGACTGTCCAACTCACCTGGCAGCCACTCCCAGAGCCCCTGGAACTCTGGCCCAAGGCTCTCTGACTTCTTCCCAGTTCTTCTTGGCTTAGCGGCTGAAGATTGACACTGCCCGATCACCTCGGAAGCCCCCTAGACCATCACGGATGCCGAGCTTCGGGTAACTCTCACAGTGGAAGGTAAGTCCGTCCCCTTCTTAATCAATACGGAGGCTACCCACTCCACATTACCTTCTTTTCAAGGGCCTGTTTCCCTTGCCTCCATGACTGTTGTGGGTATTGACGGCCAGGCTTCTAAACCCCTGAAAACTCCCCCACTCTGGTGCCAACTTGGACAACACTCTTTTATGAACTCTTTTTTAGTTATCCCCACCTGCCCAGTTCCCTTATTAGGCTGAGATATTTTAACCAAATTATCTGCTTCCCTGACTATTCCTGGACTACAGCCACATCTCATTGCTGCACTTCTCCCCAACCCAAAGCCTCCTTCGCGTCTTCCTCTCGTATCCCCCCACCTTAACCCACAAGTATGGGACATCTCTACTCCTTCCCTGGCAACCGATCACATGCCCATTACCATCCCATTAAAACCTAATCACCCTTACCCCGCTCAACACCAATATCCAATCCCACAGCACGCTTTAAAAGGATTAAAACCTGTTATCACTCGCCTGCTACAGCATGGGCTTCTAAAACCTATAAACTCTCCTTACAATTCCCCCATTTTACCTATCCAAAAACCAGACAAGTCTTACAGATTAGTTCAGGATCTGCGCCTTATCAACCAAATTGTTTTTCCATCCATCCTATGGTGCCCAACCCGTACACTCTTTTGTCCTCAATACCTTCCTCCACAACTCACTATTCTGTTCTCGATCTTAAAGATGCTTTTTTCACTATTCCCCTGCACCCCTCGTCCCAGCCTCTCTTTGCTTTCACTTAGACTGACCCTGACACCCATTAGGCTCAGCAAATTACCTGGGCTGTACTGCCGCAAGGCTTCACAGACAGCCCCCATTACTTCAGTCAAGCTGAAATTTCTTCCTTATCTGTTACCTATCTCAGCATAATTCTCATAAAAACACACGTGCTCTCCCTGCTGATCATGTCTGATTAATCTCCCAAACCTCAATCCCTAATAAAACAACTCCTTTCCTCCCTAGGCATGGTTAGTGCGGTCAGAATTCTTACACAAGAGCCAGGACCACACCCTGTAGCCTTTCTGTCCAAACAACTTGACCTTACTGTTTTAGCATAGCCATCATGTCTCCGTGCAGTGGCTGCTGCCGCCCTAATACTTTTAGAGGCCCTCAAAATCACAACCTATGCTCAACTTACTCTCTACATTTCTCATAACTTCCAAAATCTATTTTCTTCCTCATACCTGACGCAGATACTTTCTGCTCCCCGGCTCCTTCAGCTGTACTCACTCTTTGTTAAGTCCCACAATTACCATTGTTCCTGGCCCGGACTTCAATCCGGCCTCCCACATTATTCTGGATACCACACCTGAGCCTCATTACTGTATCTCTCTGATCCACCTGAGATTCACCCCACTTCCCCATACTTCTTTCTTTCCTGTTCCTCACCCTGATCACGCTTGATTTATTAATGGCAGTTCCACCAGGCCTAATTGCCACACACCAGCAAAGGCAGGCTATGCTATAGTACAAGTCACTAGCCCGCCTCTTAAAATCTCTCATTTCCTTTCCATCGTGGAAATCTATCCTCAAGGAAATAACTTCTCAGTGTTCCGTCTGCTATTCTACTACTCCTCAAGATTATTCAGGCCCCCCTCCCTTCCCTCCACATCAAGCTTGAGGATTTGCCCCCACCCAGGACTGGCAAATTAGCTTTACTCAACATGCGAGTCAGATAACTAAAATACCTCTTAGTCTAGGTAGACACTTTCACTGGATAGGTAGAGTCCTTTCCTACAGGGTCTGAGAAGGCCACTGCAGTCATTTCTTCCCTTCCTTCAGGCATAATTCCTCAGTTTAGCCTTCTCACCTCTATACAGTCTGATAACAGACTAGCCTTTATTAGTCAAATCAGCCAAGCAGTTTTTCAGGCTCTTAGTATTCAGTGAAACCTTTATATCCCTTACAGTCCTCAGTCTTCAGGAAAAGTAGAACAGACTAATGGTCTTTTAAAAATACACCTCACCAAGCTCAGCCACCAACTTAAAAAGGACTAGACAATACTTTTACCACTTTCCCTTCTCAGAAGTCAGACCTGTCCTCAGAATGCTACAGGGTACAGCCCATTTGAGCTCCTGTATAGATGCTCCTTTTTGTTAGGCCCCAGTCTCATTCCAGACACCAGACTAACTTAGACTGTGCCCCAAAAAAACTTGTCATCCCTACTATCTTCTGTCTAGTCATACTCCTATTCACCGTTCTCAACTACTCATACATGCCCTGCTCTTGTTTACACTGCCGGTTTACACTGTTTCTCCAAGCCATCACAGCTGATATCTCCTGGTGCTATCCCCAAACTGCCACTCTTAACTCTTGAAGTAAATAAATAATCTTTGCTGACAGGACTATGCTGAATTTCCTTAGGCACTCTAATTAGATGTCGTAGGTCCTCCCAATTCTTAGACCTTTAATACCTGTTTTTCTCCTTCTCTTATTCCATTTAGTTTTTCAATTCATATAAAACTGTATCCAGGCCATCACCAATAATTCTAAATGACAAATGTTTCTTCTAACAGTCCCACAACATCACCCCTTACCACAAAATCTTCCTTCAGCTTAATCTCTCCCATTCTAGGTTCCCACGCCGCCCCTAATCCCACTCGAAGCAGCCCTGAGAAACATCGCCCATTATCTCTCCATACCACCCCCAAAAATTTTCACCGTCCTAACACTTTACCACTATTTCATTTTATTTTTCTTATTAATATAAGAAGACAGGAATGTTAGGCCTCTGAGACCAAGCTAAGCCATCATATCCCCTGTGACCTGCATGTATACATCCAGATGGCCGGTTCCTGCCTTAACTGATGACATTCCACACAAAAGAAGTGAAAATGGCCTGTTCCTGCCTTAACTGATGACATTGTCTTGTGAAATACCTTCTCCTGGCTCATCCTGGCTCAAAAGCTCCCCTGCTGAGCACCTTGTGACTCCCACTCTGCCCGCCAGAGAACAACCCCCCTTTGACTGTAATTTTCCTTTACCTACCCAAATCCTATAAAATGGCCCCACCCCTATCTCCCTTCACTGACTCTATTTTCGGACTCAGCCTGCCTGCACCCAGGTAAAATAAACAGCCATGTTGCTCACACAAAGCCTGTTTGGTGGTCTCTTTACACGGACGCACATGAAACTGTCTACAAGAAAACCCACTTAGATATGAAGACATAGCTAGGTTATTGCCCCCACATGTGCCTGGCAACATGGCCGCCCCCACATATCCCCACATGTGTAGGACATCATGGTGCCCTGTATTTGCATATTAAAAGGTTAGGGTGGGAGGGCCAGTTTTTCGTTGGCTATGTGAATGACATACCAGGTCAAACTAATCCCCTGAGCCCTATGCAAACCAGACACCACCTCCTCCAGCCTCCTCATATTACTGGCTGATTTCCATGGCACTCGGGGTTTCCTCTCTCAGCTTTGGAGCCCCTCTTCCTGTGTCTCTGTACAGGGGAGTTTCTTCCTTCTTTCTTGCCTATTAAACTCTCTGCTCTTTAAAACCGGAAAAAAAATATATATATATAGCTAGCTAGGTTAAAAGTAAAAGGGTGGAAGAAAGATACCATTATATAATATACTCACCAAAATAAAGCTAGAATAGCTGAATTTCTGGCAAAATAGATTTTAGAATGAGAAAGACAATCATTCATCATATAAAGCAAAAAATAATTTGAAGCCTAATTTTAAAATAATTATCACAGAAGAAAAGAAAAAATGAGTTTCAGGAAATCTTACTGTTTAAACTGAACTTTAATTTCATATATGCTTTTACTTAGATGTTCTGACTGTGAACATACATTTATTAAATGAAGAACTCCTGATATTTTGCTTAAATAGAAATATTGCTTAAAGCCACATATCTTTCTGATTCCCACAAATAGCTTTTTACTTTGCAGAAGGGTTTTGTCTTTTCAGACCATTTGGTAGAGGGGCATACCAACATTTCATTAAAAATGTTATATAGGCTGTATGCATTTAACATATTCTTTTCTCATTGTTGTATGATGAAGTCCAGGTGGAAATCCAAGTAGGAGTGAATTAAATTACATTTTTTGGCTACTGGTAATACTTTTCATGCTTGGGCTGAATGTAGATGAGAGAAGGGAATCTGTGAGTTTGTTTTCTTTTCTTACAGTGTTTCTCTGCTTGGGAGACACTAGAATTGGTGCAAGAGCATTTAAACACATCTGCTCAGTCGGTTTTAAGTCACTTTATCTTTAAGTTAGAAGGTGATATTGCTTTATGAACTTACATAGGGTAAATTGGCTAAAAATCTTTGATTTCAAAGCTGGATTGATGATATATTTATATTTATTGCTAATGTATAGTCATAATCAAAGGACTCAAAAATAACAAAACATACATTTGCAACCAAGAACTATTATAATGCACTAGTGACCATTTTAAATAATCTGATTTAATTTATGTTATGCTAAGAGTTTTGAAGCTCTTAATAAATAGCTGAGAATAAAGTCTTTCCAAGGGCAATAACTATAGGTAGAAGTGATTGTAATATGCTCACTAATCCATTTGTACTGAAATTGTTATTGGCTAGATATTATGAATGATTAAAAATCCGAAAAGAAAATAATGCGTGTGGCCAAACTGTTACCTTGGTGCACCTTAAAATAGATGCATGGGTGTTTATAACATTAATATTAACATGATTAATGCATGACTATGTGCAAATACTTACTGCAAATGGCATAGCATTTAAGGTGTCTGTAGCTCCTCTGGGGATTAAAAAAACCTATCTAGCACTGGTGAGCCTTGGATTCTTTGGGCAAGACACTAAAGCTGGGTATGCGTCTTTTGTGTCTTTTTGTGTCTCAGTTTCCTTGACTGTAACAACAAAAAAAAAGTATCAAACAATTTCCTAAAGTGGTCTGGGAGGGTCAAATTAAATCAGCTGACAGATAAGAACATATTTTGGAGAAGATTAAAGAGTAATATTACATATGTGAATGAAGAACATGAGATCACCTCATAATTTAGAAGAACAAATGCTTTAATTTCATTTATTCTTCTGCCTGCCTAAGCAATACAGTAGATGCGATGTTGAGGTTTTATATACTAATGGTCTCTTTCCCAAACCAGCAAATATTTGATAAATGTCAAAACATGATAGTAATGTTCATGACAAATTATCCTCAAATAAAGGAACTTTTCTTATCTCTGGGATTATGTATAGACTAGAAACTGATCCAAAGTACCCGATTTGAAAAAGATGAGATGTGATGATATTGATGGGTCAAAGAATAAAAGTGACTAAAAATAAAAGAAGATAAAGGTGCTGCAAAAGGAAAAAATTAACACCTGCTGACAACTTTATGTATGTTGTATCTTGAATCCTGATATCGTCGCCCACATTTTTCTGTTAAGCAAAGTTCAAAGAGAAGTAAAATCAATTGATCTAAACTCTTTTGATTGGATTCCATTCTTGTTTTTACCAGCTTCAAGCTCATCCATTTTCCAACTATCACAACCTGTGAAAGAACATAAACAGAAGGCCAACAGCACAAACACTTCAGAAAAATATTCAGTTTTCCCTACTAAGAACACTGCCCCTAAAATATTTACTTTTAATATTTTCAGTCTTCATTTCCCATGGCATATGCTGAGTCTTGAAATTATTAAAGGTCCTGTTAAACTTGACCTATTTCTAAAATTCATAAAGTCAATTTTACAGTCAACAGACTCTTTAGAAAGATGCCAACATGAATGCTGACATTTCGGAGAGCCCTTATCATGAAGTTACTTTACATCATGAAGTTATTGCTGTTGAGTCTCAATTAATTAGAGCTGTATGTCCAAAACTTCACCTGCCCAAATTCATGTGCAAAGGAAGAGGGAAGCCAGGACAGTAACAATGCCTTTCATTTGCTAATGATATTCATAGTTTTAAGTTTAGACATTGTAGCTACAAACCTCAAAATATGCTGAAGAACTAGGAATTATATTTATGATTAAATCTAGTGAGAAACACTCAATAGAGATTTCCCCAAACTATAAATAACCCCCCAAATTAAGAAACTCACAGCCACGCTGAAACCACAATTTGTAGTCAATAGCCAAAATCTAGTAACATTTTTCACTAAAAAGGTAGATGGATATAGATAAATAAATGACAATAGGTGGTCCATGCCTCATCCCATCACCCAGCCCTGCTTTTTTGAAAGAAAGAAAAAAAAATTTCCCTCTCCCACTGCATATCTTCTGTAGCAATCAGACTTCTGAGTAGCTGTCTGCTGGTTGGGCACATATCCTGTAGTGGCCAAGGTGTTAGACCCTGTCCCTGCACCTTTATCCCATGTAAGACTTATATACCCATTTGGAGCCTAGAACTTCTAGAGAATATCAGGGCAGGAAGTCATAGAGAGAAAATGGTGAAGCTTATGACTTTCTGAGAAGTTTGGGATACATAATGAGAGAACATGAGAATGACAGAAATATTTTTTCTTGACAGTCAAGTTGTAAATTCAATTTGTAATGAAATGGAGAAAACATACCTCAAGAAGTCAGAAGGGATTTCTATTTAGCAGGACCTATCTAAACAGATTAAACATATTGGTATCTAAAGAAGAAACTTCCTTAGAAAAGGGCCTGTATCAGCCATGCAAAAACCAGAGAGATCCCCTGAACACTGGAATGTTAAGAAGCTAAACACTGTCCAGTGAAGATAAGATCATGCCCAACAGAAGTAGTGCATTTAGGTTGTGGTGCAAAGACAGCTTTAATATGAAGATGGAGAAAGACATGGTGAATCCTTGATAATGGACTCTGAGTATTCCAATGCCATTCTAAGACCATCCCAACTGTAAGAGAACAGCATCCAGCTATGATGTCGTGATGGTATTGATAGTGACAGGAGACAGACAAATTCCTAGGCAGACAGGGATGGGTCCCCAGTGAAACCCCACCTTCAAGCCAAGGACAGTTTAAAGCCTGAAAACCAAGCTGCCAGTTCCAAACAGAGTCCACAACTGAGTGAGAACTTCTATCCCGGTTTTACCCACTCTCTGGATTGGTTCCTTCTTAATTATGCCTTTTACCCAATTGAATGGTGCTTTTTCCAAGACCATCCATGGACCAATCAACACACACTACCCCATTCTAGACCCATGAAAAACCCTGGACTCAGCCTCACAGATAGCAACCCACTTTTGGGTCCCCTCTTGATACTGAGAGCTGTCTTTCTGTCGCTCAATAAAATTCTACTCTGCTTTACTCACTCTCCAGTGTCCACGTGTGTTATTCCTCTTGGTCGTGGGACAAGAACCTGGAACTCGCCGAACTGTGGGAGTGAAAGAGCTTAGTACTCCTGCCCGCTGAGCTGTAGGCAGCAGAGTACAAGAGCTGTAACACTCCCTCCCACTCAGCAAACAACAGGAGAGAAGCAGCTGCTGGGCGCCACTCTCGTTCGCTGAACTACAGGAGTGAAAAAGCCACAAGTATTGAACATTTATTTAATTCCCCTGGTTCTGATTCCACCCTTACCAATCAACCTTTGGATTATTTGGCTTCCTGCATGGCTGACTACAGGGAATATCTGTGGACCCCTTGGGCTTCAGAATGTTCTCTCCGTGGCAGAGATTTCACTGCAAATGAGAGTTGGGATTCTGATTACGATTTGAATTTCAACTAACTCTGAAAACAGGGAAAGACTGTGCTACTAATTTGAACTTTAAACATTTTGCTTCTTGAGACAGTTCTTGTAAATGATGGATTTGGCCTATTTACATTATACGTTAGTCTTATTCATGAGCTTTATTAATGTAAAATTTGCCTGAGAAATGAATCCATTCTCAGGGTGCTCAAAAACTAAACACACACAAAAAAGCTAAGGACAGGGCAACAGGAAGAACACCACTGGGTAAGGTCTGTTTGGGCAGGACTTGTGCTCTATCCTTTAATACAACCTGACATCACCACAGGCCTGGGAGCATATTCACAAGTAGAGGTGCCTCTCTATAGGTGGAGGCAGAAAGAGAAAGAGCCTGGGGAGCAGCAGGTGCTCAGATTGTCATTTCTCTTACCTTTCATCAGTTCAGATTGTCAGAGTCAGGCACTGGGATAGAAGAAACTTCTATATCACCGAGTGGTAATGTAGGGAAACCTCCCAGTGGAGAAGTCGGCTTCTATTCAGGCCTCAAGGCTATAGCACAGGTGTGCAGCTGCACGTAGATAAAAAATATTACATATTGAGACTACAGAGTGTCTGCTCAGAGTAAGTTATTGTTAGACAGAAGATCAGGAAAAAAATCTCATAATTGGTAAAAGGAGCACACGTGCTTCAACAGAGATGCAGAAGAGAAAGAATAAATATGTCATTGGAGAATCCAGGACCCTTGCTGAGAGCCTCCAACAATTCTTGCTACTGTAGGATGGAGGCCGAGCTCCTTTGCTCTAAGGACCTCAGGATTTCCGAATGCAGTTTCACTCTTTGCACTCACACATCTCAACCTGGAGAACCTAATATAGGAGTTCAGTGCCCTGGTGGGAGCTCCCTCTGTGCTAATTCCCCCTGTCCCTCAGGTGACAAGCTAATTCACCACAACCAAGTGATTTCCCATTTCTGCCTATGCCCTCTGCACTGCCAGAAGTCCCATCTCCACAGTCCTCTGCATTCCTTCACTGATAAAATACAGGTAAGAGGAAAATAAAGCAAACTAAGGCCCCTACCCCTAGTGCAACCAGATTGAGGTCAGGGAGAGGGCAGAAGAAATGACGGCCCTTGGAAAGCTCAACAGACTTCATAAATCTTTACATCAGTGTGGATCTGAAGTATGGGTGGTCATATGGAAAAAATTCATGACATTCCCAGCACAAGTCACCACCAGGATAGACAGTGAGTGTGCACATTATTTATGTGAAACTTGGGTATATTTGTTTCCATTGCTGCTGTAACAAATTACTACAAATTTGGCAGCTTAAAAAAATACATATTATTATCTCACAGTTCTACAGGTCAAAAGAAAGAACTACGACTGGGCACAGTGGCTCATGCCTGTAATCCCAGCACTTTGGGAGGCTGAGGCAGGCAGATTGCTTGAGCCCAGGAGTTCGAGATCAGCCTGGCCAACAAAGGGAAAACCCGTCTCTACAAAAAGTGCAAAAATTAGTTGGGCATGGTGGCATATGCCTGTACTCCCAGCTACTCGGGAGGCTGAGGTGGGAGTATTGCTTGAGCCTGGGAAGTAGAGGCTGCAGTGAACTGTGATCGCACCACTGCACTCCAGCATGGATAACAGAGTGACACTCTGTCTCAAAAAGAAATAAAGAAAAAGGAAGGAAGGAAGGAAGGAAGGAAGGAAAGAAAGAAAGAAAGAAAGAAAGAAAGAAAGAAAGAAAGAAAGAAAGAAAGAAAGAAAGAAGAAAGAAAGAAAGAAGAAAGGAAGGAAGGAGAGAGAGGGAGAGAGGAAAGAAAGAAAGAGAAAGAAAGAAGGAAAGAGAGAAAGAAAAAGGAAGGAAAGAAAGGAAAAGAAAGAAAGAAAGAAAGAAAGAAAGAAAGAAAGAAAGAAAGAAAGAAAGAAAGAAAGAAAGAAAGAAAGAAAGAAAAGAAAGAAAAAAGTTTTTAAGAGTGGACTTGACTGGTCTCGTTGCTCTGGGTTTCATAGGTGGAAATTAAGGTGTCAGCCTGTGGGAGGCACTGGAAAGAATCTGTTTCTAACTCATTCAAAATGTTGGCTAAATTAAGTTCCTTGCAGCTATAGGATGGAAGCCTCTGTTTTCCTTACCAGATGTCAACTCCTAGAGGCCACTCTCAGGTCCTTGCACTTGGCCCATGCATCTCAGAGGCAACAAACGTGTGTCAAATCCTTCTTATGCTTCCAATCTCTCTGATTGCTTCTTCTGCTGCATCTTCCTGCCTCCTTCCAGAGAGTTATCTGCTTTTAAGAGTTCACATGATTAGATTAGGCCCACCCAGGTAACCCAAGATGATCTCTCTGTCTTAAGATCTACAACCTTAGTTACACCTGCAAAGCCCCCTTTGCTGTATTCATAAGCCCTAAGGGTGAGGATGTGAACACTTTGAAGGGGGCATTATGTTGCCTACCAGACTTGGCTTATGTCTTAGTTGGATTCCACAGAAGCAGACCTTGAGATGAAAGTTTGAGTGATAGTAATTTATTAGGAAGTAATTTTCTCTAGGGAAAACCTGGAGAAGTGAAGGGGAAGTGGGATCAGGAAAGAAAAAAGGTCAAGCAATGTATGATGCCCAGCTAAGTCCCCAGAGGAAACTTTGGCTTAACCTCACAATGTCTCTGGAGGCAGGTTAGGCACATGTCGGGGACAACGAAAGTAGAGTACTTCTACTTTACATCCATCTATCACCAGTCAAGGGCTGACCCTGGGAAGGACATAAATTCCCAGGCATATCTTGGTCTTCATGGGCACAGGCCAAGCAGGCCCCTCAGCCTTGGGGCAGTCATCGACAAAGGTGCATTTGCTGGCCATTGGGAGGGAAAGCATGTGGGGGGCCAGTATGCACGAAAATGGTAAAGGAATCAAAAGATACAGAGAGAGTGCACTAAGAAAGTCAGCAACAACTTTTATGCAGAGGATTTCCACCAGGGAACAGGACTCAATACCCTGGAAATCAACTCTGTAGAATTATTTCGCGGGTAACTAACAAGCTAAGAACCAAGTAGCCATAAAGCTCCAGAATCATATAGAAATAGAAACCCTTAGCCACCAGCCACAGGAGCAGGGGTTAAAATCCACAGAAGCAACAGAGAAGGCCAGATTACCTAGAGCTGCCAGGTTCCCTATTCCTGAGTTTTGAAGAACTTTTAGCAACAGATTCCTTGCCATGAATCCTAGCTCTTGATTTTATATATGCAATTATTTCATTCTGGAATGTTCTTACTCTCTGTTTATCCAAGTCTACATATAAGTCTAAGCCCAGTTGAAATGTCTTGTCATAATTCTCATTATATTAATGCTGCTGCAACATCTTTCTTGTTATCCTGTCCCTGCTTGTCACAGTTGACCTACATATTTCAAGACGGTCTTCACCCAGTTCCCATCTTCATTTTTTAGACAGATAAGGCCCTGTACCCTGAACCACTTAACCACCTTACTTCTGCTTCAAGCCTGGTGAACTTGACAAGGTAACCCTAAGTTCCCACACTTAGCTTCATACTCCCTTCAAATTAAGCAATCCAACCCTCCTATGGGAAACCCCTATAGGCAATGCCCTGAATCCCAGTCAAGGCTTCAGCCCACAGTTTCCTCCCTCTCTTTTGTTTCCAATCTGCTGGTTGAGCTCATGTGTTCTGGATGTCCCCTTCCCCTTCCTGTTGACCTGAAAGGTGTACTGTTCTCATGTCTCAGGGTCTGTGAGTAATAAATGTAATTGTTTTGCCATTCCAGTTTGAATGTTTCTTACTATGCCACACCTGACTACACCAAAACTAACTTAAATACCTAACCTAACAGGTCACAATATCCCTCTTCCCTCATGAAGAAGGCCCCTGGTTCCCTCCACTCTAGATGCCCCAGGACCTTGTAAAAATCTCTTTTGTGAAATGTATGACTTTGTATTTTGCACCATGCTATTTATGTGCACAGCTTATCTGCTTGGCTACACTATGCGGCTAGGAAGCAGGGATTGTGCTGCGTCAGCTCCATGCCCAGTGCCTGGCACAGGGCCTCACACACAGTGGTGCTCAGTGTGCACCCACTGAGAGCCACATGAGTGAAATCTTCCTGCTCCCCATCAGCAGTGCTACACATGGTGCCTAGGGAAGATGTGGGCCCACTCCAGAGCTCAGGCCACCTGCAGTGTTATTTGAGATGTGCTCCCATTCTTTTCTTCCACTATCTGTGCCCATCCACAGCCTATTTCCTGGCATCAAAGCTGACTGCAGCAATTCTTCTTGCATCCTGTGATTACTCACAATTCTGAATTTTCTGCCCTTACCAAATAGATTTCATCAACAGCATTTCTGCATTTCCAGCAGTTTTGGTTTCCAGAAAGCAAACTAAGGACAGAGAGCAAGAGAGAGAGAGAGAGAGCACATCGTTCCTAACATCTCCAGCAGTAATCTGGAAGAGACAGCCATAACTACTGATGACAGTGAGGCAAGGAAGAGCCTCAAGCCCAAGTTCCAGGCCTTCCTTCACTTGCCCCTCTCCCAGGCTCCACAGGCTATGAGCATGAGGTGTCAGGCCTCTAGTCAGCAGAGGCTCAGAAGTTTTCATTCAGCTCCACTGGCCTACAGTATCCCCTTGCCAGAGCTACTCTCTGAGGAGCAAGCTTTCCACTGAGTGAGAGATCCAAGCCTGCTCCAGTGAGTCTGAGGCCAAATTTAGCCAAACTGGTCTAGCCTTTGTAGACTGCATGCTTTGACCTGAGCCCTGCCTCTTCTCCTTGCCACCTTGCTAACTCTGGGAAAATGATTTAGACTCTGTAACTCTGCAAAAAAGAGACTCAGCTACCAAAGGGAGTTCTCAAGGTCATTTATTTCATAGGGGAATGTGAAACTTAACCGACATGACTGATCTACAAATGTGTTGAAAGCTTCTGGGTGCTACATATGTTAAGAAAACTATTCAAGTCTTCAATTCAAAAACAAACAGCTCTAAAGTCATTTCCTGGGTCGTTCCATCAGGAAGCGAGTGGACATTTTCAAACAGATGAGGTTCCTTTGAGCGTGGCTGCGCCAGATGTGAACTCATCTATGCACAGCCATTGATTGATTCATTCAATATACATTTATTGAGTACTTGCAACATGCCAGATACTTTTCTGGGAGCTGGAGGCAAGTCTGAAGACAAGGAGACACCAAAGGATTTAATTTCTGTAATCTAGGCAAGAGATGATGATGTCCTGAGATAATGGCAGTAGGGATAAAGTACACAGATTTAATTGATCTTTGAGAAGCAGAAGTAATACATCAGTTTGTTTGGATGAGGGAGAGGAATGTCGGCAAAAGAGGGGATGTAGTCAAGGATAACTCCCACTCTCTGGATTGAGCAGCTGGATAGATGATGATGTCAAATACAGAGATAGGGACTCTAGAAGAAGCAGGTTGGGTAGGGGAGGAAGTGAGTTCAAGTTAAGTCACAATGAGCTTTAAGTCCCTGTGGAACATCAGATGAGAGATATTTGTCAGATGATTGGATCTGGAACTGGGGGAGAAAGCTGAGTTCAGCAGATAGACCTGGGAAACACCAATATATAGATGAGAATGGATGGGACCATCCACTGAGCATCTACTACACATAGAGATACAAAGATGGACAGTCTCTGTCCTCAAGAAGTTCACAGTCTAAAGCAGGAGACAACCACAAGAGTTGACTCTAACATAATAGTAATAATGGTACTGTATAGTGGACAAAGTCGGTACAAAGGATTACAGAAACCCAGAGAAGGAAGATATTAATTCTTCCTAGGAAGTTTGGAGGAAGTTTGGATGAAGCTTTCAATAGAGTCGACATTTGCTCTGAGCCCAAAGGCTTTGCTAGAAGATAAAGGGGGTGAGTGATTTAGAGGTGATGGAAAGAGCCAGAAGAGAGGATCTGAGAAAACAAGACCCAAGAAGTGCTGAGTTGTGGCATTTGAGCAGGTGCTGGGTGCAGTGTGGAAGAGGAAAAACCCAACCTGCTTCTTCCAGAGATTGCAGATGGAGAGGAAAGAAATAAGGCTGGGATGGCATATCAATGTCCACTTATGCAGACTAAAGGGATTGGTTGTAATTCGATGGCCAGTGAAGATTGGCTTGTGTTTGTTTGTTTTATAGCGAATACATATAAACAAGTCTGCATTTTCAAAGGATAACTCGGGCAACATTGTGAAAACTGGATTGGAGGAGAAACTGGTTAGAGCTATTGTGTAAGAGTGTGAGCACATTTTCTGTTGTTTTCTACACTTGCTGTAGAGAACCAGGGGTCCTGGAAGAGAATTAGGGCTTATGACCTAATTCTATGATTAGCCCTTTCTGAGTCTTTGTGCAAAACACTTTACATTTTGGGAACTATAGCTATAAAATGAGCTTTATAATAGATCTACTTTATTCAATGTATTCTGTGAGGATGCAGTAAGAAAATACATGGAATACATTGAAAAGTATTCGGTGGGTTTTATGGAGAGTTATTTTGCATGCATGGTAGGACAGGATATCTGGTGGAATCAAGTCAGGAGTCTGAGATCATATTAGCATCAGAGCTCTTCAAAACTTGGCCATGGAAGGTCATCAAAATTAGTAGGAGGACAGTTTGTTTGTATGGTTAATGTACCTATCTGAAGACTTTAAAAGAGCTAAATCAATTCTGCTACAAGGGAGACTATAGATCTCTCAATGCCCTTCCAAGAAAGAGTAAAAAACCATGATCCATTTGGTCTTTAGCATCTTAAAGAGTGTCACCCATAATGAGAGACAAATGGAAGGTGGTGGAGTGTTGAGGTTAGAGGATACCCAGGGGAACTGGCATGGAAGAGAGGAGAAGGGAGAGTGATGGATCCCTGAATATTTATCCTGGGTAGACTTCACAGGGACTGAAAGGTGATGCAATGAAAAGGGTAGTGTTTTCTTCCGTCTTCTAGAGCAGTGCTGCCCAACAGAAATACAATGTAAGCCACATACACATTTCTAAACTTTCTAGTAGCCACATTTTTAACTTCAAAAATGGTGAAAATTAATATTACTAATAGATTTTATATAATATATCCAAAATATATCATCTTGACATGCAACCAATATTTTAAACTTGTTAATTAGATATTTTAAAAGTTTTTTCATGCTAATTCTTTGAAATCCAGTGTATGTTTTGCACTAACAGCACTTCTCAATTTGGACTAGGCACATTTTGAATGCTCAGTAGCCACATATGGCTCATGGTCACTGGGTTGGACAATGCAGCTCTAGACTGAGTGGGGTCTTATATCATGATTAGTGAACTCTACTTTTGATAATGGACGGGTCCATACTTCTAGGCATTGCAGACACAACTGAAGATTACACATATTTCCTTCCAAGCAGAATTGTTTCTGGGAATTTTCATTAATGTAACTGGAAAGTGCTACATCCCATTCCTTAATTAAAACATACCTCAGCAAGCTTTTGGTGGAAATTACCCTTCACCTTTCCACCACAAAGAGGCCACTGCGTGAATGTTGCAGGAAACAGAAATCCATCTGGGAGGACGATCAGGGAGGGTATATGTTGGTATAAAGCAAATACTTCAGAGCTTGTTTCCATTTCAGGGATACCAAGTCAGAGATAATTGGACAGTATAGAAAATGGGGCAATGAGAAAAGGAAGGGACCTAAAAAGGGCAAGGCTTCAAACATGGGCAATTAATCACCTCACATTTGTTTTACAATTTCCCAAATTTACCAACTGTGACATTAGGAAAAAGATGGAACAATTTATCAATCAAAAGTTGGCTTGAGCTGGGTGCAGTGGCTTACGCCTCTAATCCTAGCACTTTGGGAGGCCGAGGCTGGCAGACTGCCTGAGCTCAGAAGTTCGAGACCAGCCTGGGCAACACGGTGAAACCCCATCTCTACTAAAATACAAAAAATTAGCCGGGCGTGGCAGTGTGCGCCTGTACTCCCAGGTACTCAGAAGGCTAAGGCAGGAGAATTGCTTGAACCCGGGAGGTGGAGGTTGCAGTGAGCTAAGATCGTGCCACTGCACTCCAGCCTGGGCAACAGAGTGAGACTCCATCTCAAATTAAAAAAAAAAAAAAAGTTAGCTTGATACCTTTTCTGTCTTTCAGACCATTAGAAGCTATTGAATAACTCTTTATGCTTGGGATCTTAGTTAATTTTGTGAATGTCTAATATCTAATTTCAGTGCTCCTTCTCCACTGAATTCCTATGGTGAAAATCCTGCACAGTTTTCCACCTATTTATAAATCCACTGGCTCCTTTGCTCTGTGGAAGGAGAAACTCCATCTTCCACTCTTTCAGCTCAGAGCTGAATGTGTGGAAAATGCAAATTTCCATTTTAATCTTGCACTAGCCAGGGACTCTTTGCTCACTGACCATGCTCCCTTCACCCAAATAGTTTGGCCACTGCAGTCTTGATAGTGAGGAGGGCAGCCACATCAGGAGTAGAGAAGAAAAAATAAATGGAAAAGGGCCTAGCACTCAGGATGTTAGTAGAAGAACAGATATTCAACAGCATTTTATGAACTAGAGAGGAAGAAAAGCTGCCTGAGCATATGGCCTTGGCCCATCCTTAGGAAGAACAAATAACCTCACACATCTCCTCCTAGGGCTGGGCCAGTGAGGCTTTCCCTCCTTGCCTGTGGCCAATTGATGCTCAGAATGTCATCGCCACTCCAGCCTGGGTAGCAAAGAACTAACCTTGACTGACCCGCAGTACAGCTACCCTCCCTGCTTCCCAGAGCACACAACGAAGGCTGTTTAAACTTCTCAGGTCTGGGTGTGAGAGCATTTTTGAAAGACAGCTTACCTGGAGACTGTGTAGCCCATCCATTTATCAGACTCCCAGTAGCAAGTAAAATGCCTGCCAGATAAAGTACCTGGGAATTGCAGCCTGGGGTGGCCCATGATGGACTGGGCATATGCCATGAAAAGAGGCTGCCACTCCCCAGCCCTAATGATCTTCCCCCAGCAGTTTGTGGACTCACGCTACCACTTTCTTCCAATTTTTCAAGAGAAGTAGAAAATTCTGTCTTTTATATGAAGTCATCCCATTTTTACAGACTGGCATGCATTTACCTTTAAAATAGTGCTATGCAAGTTAAACAAAATGAATCTGTAGGCCAAATATGAGTGTATGAGTGGCGTCTGCTTATGCCTGGAATTCGACCCAGTATGCAGAAGGTAGCAGGCCACAGCCACTTTGCTTGGGCCATGGTAGGGCTGTTGCTTCTGAACTGCCCTTTGGCATGGCAAATTGGCTTACACTGTACCAGACTTGTGTGTGTGTGTGTGTGTGTGTGTGTACATGTATTTTGTCAACTGTAAAGTGAGACATCTTGTCCATGAAAGCATTACTCATTGTCCTCACAAACCTCAAAGCATGAACAAAGTATTATTATTGCAATTTCACAGAGAAAGTTCTATAACTTGCTCAGTGACCAAGTCAAGATTTACATTCAGGTCTGGCTCACTCTAAACCCATTTTTCAATTAGGTCTCCTAGCACCGTACACATTTCCACAGAGCAGAACACAGCAAGAAAGTGACTGAACAAAATCAGGAAATATTAGCAGTTGCCAGTTCTGTAGAAAACCAGAAAAATATGCTTGGGACAGTTAACAGAATAACCAAAAATAATAAAGATAAAGTAGGATCTAGCCTAGGGGTGTCATCTTGGTATTATAGATGCAAAACATTTCATAGCTCATATTCAATTTTTTAATAATCTTAGTTTATCTTTTTCCTTTCCAAACTGTACATTTTGAGCTTCTAAAATGTGGGGTTTTTTCCTTCTTCTTGGTGCAAATTAATGGAATTCTAGCATTTGGCCTTGATATTAACAGGCTTTTCTAACAAATGGTGAAATAAATCTCAATAAGGAGAAAATGTTCATTTTATCCAAAAGCTGCTGAAATGTGATAGTGCCTGCTTCATAAAATTGTTCTTGCAGATGTTATTTTTGACAAAGGAGTTTATGTAAGAAATTTGAACTTCAATATTTATTGCTATGGTCTATAATGAGTTGTCGACTTAATATTTTGTTGCCTTGATAAAAATAGTTAAGTTGACATTCTGTGGGAAGGGGGTTGGCTATAAAAGTGCCACACATGGTGAATTTTAGGATGTATAGTGCTGTGGTGGTCTAGAGACCTTGAGTATAAATTGGCTTACAAAAAGGTAGTGGGCTTTATCATTGAATAGATAGAAAGAAATAACATTCCATATTGACTCAAGTGGAAGCAGAAGCTATGTCACTAGGCAATTCAGCCCCGTGCTGGAAGAGAGTGGCAATGAAGAGGTTTTTAATAAGCAAAGTAAGAAAGATTAAACAGTGCCAACAGTAAAGATATATAAATTTTGCAAAACAAAGCAACAAAAACAGGAATGTCTGAAATTCCCTTTTTCTGAGAGAATTTATAATAACTGGGTTTTACCTATTAAATATAACAAACTTAATATCACAACTAACTCTGGGGCAAAATATTTCCGCAGGTCAAATTTAAGTTCATAGAGTAAAATGCAATATCTGGGGAAACGCAAGTATAAAGAAATTGGAGAGAAAGGAAGAGAGTCTCGATTTCAGTCTTTGGGATACCAGGCAATTTTGCATCCTTTAAAATACATTATATACTAATACAACCACGCTATATGTATTCTTTTGTCTCTTATTCCTTTCACTTATTTATTATGCTAATGAGACTCAACCACGACATATCAATCCACAATTAGTTTATTATCAGCTCTACTGTGGATTAACATTCAGGTCATTTCCATTGAGGCTGTTAAGAGCAACACTATCATAAGCATTCTTATTCTTATCTGTTGGTACACATGCAGATAATTGTTTCTAGGATATGTACTAAGGAGTGATAATGCTGTATTATAGAGGTTGCATCTCTTCAAATGTACTAGATAATGCCAAACTGTTTTCTAAAGTGGTGGTACAAATTCATGCCCTTTCAGCAATAAGTGAAAGTTTGTCAGGCTGCCCACTGACTTTAACACTCAAAGTCTTTTGGACCTTTCAACCTGTACCAATCTGTTGGCTGTGTAATATATATCTATATGTTTAACTGTATTTAATTATAGTTCCATTTATAGTTTAATTAGTTTAAGGTTAAGAGAGTTATTCTGTTTCTCAGCAATTTACCTTTCCTCTCTTGTGAAGTGTCTATCTGAGACTTTTGCCCAGTTTTCAGTTAGGCTTTTGGATTTGTGGAAGTTCTTTATACATCTTTGACTTCAGCCCTTTCTTAGTTATTCACATCTCTCGCTTCGCGGCTCAAACATTCACTCTCTTTGCAGTGACTGATGAACAGAAGTTCTTTAATGTAGTCAGATTTATTAATCATTACATTGTTGATTAACATTTTTGTGTCTCATATTTTTAAATATTTTCTTATGCAGGGTCATCAAAATAGTCTCCATCATATCTTCTAAACTCTTCACAGTTTTTTAATTAATCGATCTGGAATTGATTTTTGTGTTTAGTGTCAAAAGGTGTCGGATTTCTTTCCTTTATTTATTTATTTTTTTGAGATGGAGTCCAGGCTGGAGTGCAATGGCTCGATCTCAGCTCACTGCAAACTCCGCCTCCCGGGTTCAAGCAATTCTCCTGCCTCAGCCTCCCAAGTAGCTGGGATTACAGGCACCCACTACCATGCCAGGCTAATTTTTGTAATTTTTTTTTTTAAGTAGTGATAGGGTTTCATCATGTTGGCCAGGCTGGTCTCAAACTCCTGATCTCAAGGGATCCACACACCTTGGCCTCCCAAAGTGCTGGGATTACAGGCATGAGCCACCACGTCCAGTCTCTTTTTATTTTCTTAGATGAATAGCTGTATACTATGTATGGACCCAAAGGCTATTTTTTAAAATTCTTTCTTCTTCTAGTGATCTTCAATGCCTGTTTTCTCATAAGTAAAATGTTAATATAAGAAAGGATCTGTGTCTAGACTTTCTAGTCCCTTCCATCGGGTATTTGTATTAGTCTGTTTTCACACTGCTGATAAAGACATACCCGAGACTAGGTAATTTATAAAGAAAAAGAGGTTTAATGGACTCAGTTCCACGTGGCTAGGGAGGCCTCACTATCACGGTGGAAGGCAAAAGACACATCTCACGTAGTGGCAGGCAAGAGAGAATGAGAGTCAAGCAAAAGGTGTTTCCCCTTATAAAACCATCAGATCTCATGAGACGTATTCACCACCATAACAGTATGGAGGAAACCACCCCCAGGACTCCATAATCTCCCACTGGGTTCCTCTCACAACACGTGGGAATACAATTCAAGTTGAGATTTGGGTGGGAACACAGCCAAATCATATCAGTATTGTTCTGTACTTGTTTTCATACCACACTATCTTGACTACCAAAGCTTTATATCAATCTTGATATCCGGTAAGGTGAGTCCATACCTCATTCTTCTTCTTCACGACTATCTTGGCTATTCTTAGCCCTTTGCAATTTTACATAAATTTTAAAGTCAATATGTCAAGTTCTGCAAAATAAGTTTGTTCGAGTTTATAAATCTATTTGAAGCAAAGACATATATACTTATATTATATTCTATTATACATTCTGTATCCAGCAAATTATAAAATTTGCTTATTCTAACGTATCTGTAGATTCTTCAGACTTGTCTGTGTAAATATCTGCAAAAATGTCAACTTTGTTTCTTTATTTTCATACCTGGCTAAGAGCTCCAGAACAAAATTGAAGGTCCTTGGTGATGGTGGGCATCTTTGCCTTTTTCGGGACTTCAAAGGAGAAGATTTTAACCTTCCACTATTGATGATGCCATTTGCTGTGGGTTATTTGTAGACACTCCTTATCAGATTAAGGAAGTTCTTTGTCATCTAGGTTTGCCTATTTTTTTAATCGCAAATTAATGCTGAATTTTATCAGATGCTTCTGTATTAACTGAAACAATCATATGATTATTCTTCCTTAATCAGTTAGTGTGGTGGTTACATATTACATGAATTCTTACACTGAATCAACGTTATTTTGCTGGATTAGCTGTACTTAATCATTACGTAGTATTCTTGTCATGCACTAGTGGATTTAGTTTGCTAGTAATATAAATCTATGTTCATGACTGATAACTGGCCTGAAATTTTCCTTGCCCATGCTGTCCTGTTTTTTGGTATTAAAGTTAAGCTATCACCTTTAAATGAGTTGAGAAGCAGCCCTTCTCTTTATATTATCTCAAATAGGTCATATAGATTAGGATTATATGTGCCTTGACTGTTTGATAGAAGTTAACCAAAAAAGGTTTTTGGATACCTAGTCTTCTTTGTGGTTATAGGACTATTTAGTTATTTGCTATCATATTTCTGAATAATATGTTTACACTGCCATTTCTGAATATACCAGTTTTAGAGCATTATGCCTTAACTTCCTTTTGAGGTAGTTGAGGATTTAACTCTTACATTCTTCAGTCTTACCCCTTGTGCCCTCTCTTCTGTCTTCCCAATAGATATATCACTATTTTTGTTGGCATTTTAATAAATAAAATTTTCTCAAACATACTATTATTTCTGCAGTGAAGCATGTAAATGTGCACATTCAGTGGAAAAATTAAAGGTTATAAATAGCCTTGTGTCAGTTCAAGTTAGCTTCTCTCCAAATGAGTGAAGTCAGACCACTTTATGCAACTAAATGAGCTTTCCAAAAAAGAATTGGTCTGTTTTCCAACCTTCATGGATTTTGGAATTGCAAGTATCTTCAAGTGTTCAATTTCTCAGGGGTTCCAGGTCTGGCACATGTTTTGTCAGTAATCACCCAACAGGCACTACATTGTATTATCCTTTGTGATACTAATCTGTTCCCTCTTGTCTATCTACATATCCAAAAAATTGGTGAACTCTCTTTTCAAAGAATATTTCCCTTGCAATTCTCTTTGTTCTTACTAGTTGATACCATTTTAAAACTTTTGCTATTATTTTAGCAGTGTTTGTGGAGGGTTCAAACCTCCATTTTTAATGTAAAATCCTGGAATTTAGTCTTACTAACCTCTAACTTTTTATTTTATTTTATTTTATTTTATTTTATTTTATTTTTGTAGAGACAGGATCTCAATATGTTACCCAGGCTGGACTCCAACTCCTAGCTTCAAGCAATCCTCCCACCTATGTCAGCGACTCCATCTTGAATAGGGACTGGGTAAAATAAGGCTGAGGCCTACTGGGCTGCATTCCCAGGAGGTTAGTTATTCTTAATCACAGCATGAGATATGAGGTCAGCACAAGATACAGGTCACAAAAACCCTGCTAATAAAATAGGATGCGGTAAAGAAGCCAGCCAAAACCTACCAAAACCAAGATGAGGATGAAAGTGACCTCTGGTCATCCTCACTGCTCATTATACTCTAATTATAATGCATTAGCCAGTGCCATGACAGTTTACAAATGCCATGGCCATGCCTGGAAGTTACCCTATAAAGTCTAAAAAGGGGAGGAACTCTCAGTTCTGGGAAATCTCAGCCCCTTTCCCAGAAAATATATGAATAGTCCGCCTCTTGTTTAGTATATATTCAAGAAACAACTCTAAGTACACTCAGTTGAGCAGCCCATGTTGCTGTTCTGCCTTTGGAGTAGCCTTTCTTTTATTCCTTTACTTAATACACTTGCTTTCACCTTACTCTATGAACTCTCCCCAAATTCTTTCTTGTGTGAGGTCCGAGAACCTTCTCTTGGGGTCTGGATTGGGACCCCCTTCCAGTAACACCTAGACCTCCCAAAGAGCTGAAATTGCAGATGTGAACCACCGTGTCTGGCCCAGACTGTAAACCTTGATGCTTTACTTTCCGAATGTGTAAGAACACTCAGAACCAATGCCATGCTAGTCTGAAAGAATCCTCAAAGAGGACCAGGCGCAGTGGCTCACGCCTATAATCCCAGCACTTTGGGAGGCCGAGGCGGGTGGATCACCTGAGGTCAGGAGTTCAAGACCAGCCTGGCCAACATGCTGAAACCCCATCTCTACTAAAAATACAAAAATTAACCAGGCACGGTGGTGGGCACCTGTAATTCTAGCTTCTAAGGAGGCTGAGGCAGGAGAATTTCTTGAACCCGGGAGTGCAGTGAGCTGAGATTTTGCCACTGCACTCCAGCCTGGGCAACAGAGCAAAACTCCGTCTCAAAAAAAAAAAAAAAATCCTCAAAGAGAACTTTCCTTAAAGTGCCGTTTCAGCAGGACTTTGTGAACCTAATGCTGTTTTTCACAGACTTATCCTCCAATGTTGAGATTCTCCATACCTATTTTAAAGACAAAAGGCCTGGTTACCTATGGTATCTGTCGGGAGACCGCAGGTAAAACTTTCCAGTCTACTGGGTCTTGGGGCTGACCTCCAGAGGGAAATGAGTTGCTCTTGTGAAAAAGTCCTCCTGTGAGGGAGTATTAAAGAAAACCTCAAGGTGGAGGGGAAAGAAATGAGGCAGGTGGCAATGAGGAGAAGGGAACAGGGCAACTGAAAAACAGGATAGGACAGGCTCCATGGCTAAGCCTGTAACCTCAGCATTTTGGGGGGCTGATGCAGGAGAATTGTTTGAACCCAGGAGTTTGAGACCAGCCTGGGCAATATAGTGAGACCTTATCTCTACAAAAAATTAGCAGGGCATGGTGGCATGCACATGTGGTTCCAGATACAGGGGAAGCTGGGATGAGAGGATCACTTGAGACCAGGGTTTGGAGGCTGCAGTGAGCCATGATGGAGCCACTGCACTCCAGCCTGAGTGACAGAGTGAGACCCTGTCTCAAAAAAAAGAAAGAAAAAGAGAAGAAAAGAAAAGAAAAGAAAAAATAGGACAGATGGGTTGCAGAGGTAGCTAGTGAATCACAGCAACCAAGGCTTAGGGGTCAGGAAGAAACTTTTAAACTATTTGACCATATGCCAATCTCTATGAGTGGTTCAGTCAAAGGGGTTGAGCAGATAGGGCTGCGTGAAGGCAAATAACTTGGTTCCCCTTCAAAATAATATTTTTTATTATACTTTAAGTTCTGGGGTACATGTGAGGAATGTGCAGATTTGTTACATCGATATACATATGCCATGGTGGTTTGCTGCACTCATCAACCCGTCATCTACATTAGGTATTTCTCCTAATGCTATCCCTCCCCTTGCCCTCCACCCCTCGACAGGCCCCAGTGTGTGATGTTCCCGTCCCTGTACCCATAGGTTCTCATTGTTCATCTCCCACTTATAAGTGAGAACATGCAGTGACTGGTTTTCTGTTCCTGTGTTAGTTTGCTGAGAATGATGGTTTCCAGCTTCATCCACGGCCCTGCAAAGGACATGAACTCATGATTTTTTATGGTTGCATAGTATTCCATGGTGGATATGTGCCACATTTTCTTTATCCAGTCTAACATTGATGGGCATTTGGGTTGGTTTCAAGTCTTTGCTATTGTGAATAGTGCTGCAATAAACATACATGTGCCTGTGTCTTTATAGTAGAATGATTTATAATCCTTTGGTGATATACCCAGTAATGGGATTCCTTGGTCAAATGGTTTTTCTATTTCTAGATCCTTGAGGAATCACCACACTGTCTTCCACAATGGTTGAACTAATTTACACTCCCACCAACAGTGTAAAAGTGTTCTTATTTCTCCACATCCTCTCCAGCATCTGTTGTTTCCTGACTTCTTAATGATCACCATTCTAGCTGGCGTGAGGTGGTATCTCATTGTGGTTTTGATTTGCATTTCTCCCATGACCAGTGATGATGAGCATTTTTTCATATGCTTGTTGGCCACATAAATATCTTCTTTTGAAAAGTGTCTGTTCACATCCATCACATACTTTTTGACGGGGTTGTTTGTTTTTTTCTTGTAAATTTGTTTAAGTTCCTTGTAGATTCTGGATATTAGCTCCTTGCCAGATGGATAAATTGCAAAAATTTTCTCCCATTCTGTAGGTTGCCCATTCACTCTGATGATAGTTTCTTTTGCTCTGCAAAAGCTCTTTAGTTTAATTAGATCCCATTTGTCAATTTTGGCTTTTGTTGCCATTGCTTTTGGTGTTTTAGTCATGAAGTCTTTGCCCATGTCTACATCCTGAATGGTATTGCCTAGGTTTTCTTCTAGGGTTTTTATGGTTTTTAGGTCTCACATTTAAATCTTTAATCCATCTTGAGTTAATTTTTGTATAAGGTGTAAGGAAGGGACCCAGTTTCAGCTTTCTACATATGGCTAGCCAGTTTTCCCAACACCATTTATTAAATAGGGAATCCTTTCCCCATGGCTTATTTTTGTTAGGTTTGTCAAAGATCAGATGGTTGTAGATGTGTGGTGTTATTTCTGAGGCCTCTGTTCTGTTCCATTGGTCTATATATCTGTTTTGGTACCAGTACCATGCCATTTTGGTTACTGTAACCTTGTAGTATAGTTCAAAGTCAGGTAGCATGATGCCTCCAGCTTTGTTTTTCTTGCTTAGGGTTGTCTTGGCTACATGGGCTCTTTTTTGGTTCCATACGAAATTTAAAGTAGTTTTTTCTAATTCTGTGAATAAAGTAACTCATAGCTTGATGGGAATAGCATTGAATCTATAAATTACTTTAGGTAGGATGGCCATTTTCACAATCTTGATTCTTCCTATCCATGAGCATGAAATATTTTTCCAATTGTTTGTGTCCTCTCTTATTTCCTTGAGCAGTGGTTTGTAGTTCTCCTTGGAGAGGTCCTTCACATCCCTTGTAAATTGTATTCCTAGGTATTCTATTCTCTTTGTAGCAATTGTGAATAAGAGTTTGCTCATGATTTGGCTCTCTGTTTATCTATTATTGGTGGTTAGGAATGCTTGTGATTTCTGCACATTGATTTTGTATCCCGAGAGTTTGCTGAAGTTGCTTATCAGCTTAAGAAGTTTTGGGGCTGAGATGATGGGTTTTCTAAATATACACTTATGTCACCTGCAAACAGAGATCATTTGACTTCCTCTCTTCCTATTTGAATACCCTTTATTTCTTTCTCTTGCCTGATTGCCCTGGCCAGAACTTCCAATACTATGTTGAATAGGAGTGGTGAGAGAGGGCATACTTGTCTTGTGCCAGTTTTCAAAGGGAATGCTTCCAGCTTTTCCCATTCAGTATGATATTGGCTGTGGGTTTTTTCATAAATAGCTCTTATTATTTTGAGAAATGTTCCATTAATACCTAGTTTATTGAGTGTTTTTAGCCCATGAAGTAGTGTTGAATTTTATTGAAGCCCTTTTCTGTAATCTATTGAGATAATCGTGTGGTTTTTGTTTTTGGTTCTGTTTAGGTATTGGATTACATTTATTGATTTGCATATGTTGAACTAGCCGTGCAACCCAGGGATGAAGCCAACTTGACTGTGGTAGATAAGCTTTTTAATGTGCTGCTGGATTCAGTTTGCCAGTATTTTATTGAGGATTTTTGCATCAATATTCATCAGGGATATTGGCCTGAAATTTTCTTTTTTTGTTGTGTCTCTGCCAGGTTTTGGTATCAGGATAATGCTGGCCTCATAAAATGAGTTAGTGAGGAGTCTCTCTTTTTCTATTGTTTGGAATAGTTTTAGAAGGAATGGTACCAGCTTCTCTTTGTACCTGTAGTAGAATTCAGCTGTGAATCCATCTGGTCATGGGCTCTTTTTTGTTGGTAGGCTATTAATTACTGCCTCAATTTCAGAACTTGTATTGGTTTATTCAGGGATTTGACTTCTTCCTGGTTTAGTCTTGGGAGGGTGTATGTGTCCAGGAATTTATCTGTCTTCTAGATTTTCTAGTTTATTTTGTAGAGGTGTTTATAGTATTCTCTGATGGTAGTTTGCATTTCTGTGGGATCTGTGGTGATCTCCCCTTTATCATCTTTTATTGTTCCTATTTGATTCTTCTCTCTTTTCTTCTTTATTAGTCTGGCTAGCAGTCTATATATTTTGTTAACCTCTTCAAAAAACCAGCTTCTGGATTCATTGATTTTTTGAACAGTTTTTCATGTCTCTATCTCCTTCAGTTCTGCTCTGGTCTTAGTTATTTCTTGTCTTCTGCTAGCTTTTGAATTTGTTTGGTCTTGCTTCTCTAGTTCTTTTAATTGTGATGTTAGGGTGTCAATTTTAGATCTTTCCTGCTTTCTCCTGTGGGCATTTAGTGCTATAAATTTCCCTCTAAACACTGCTTTAGCTGTGTCCCAGAGATTCTGGTACATTGTGTCTTTGTTCTCATTGGTTTCAAAGAACATCTTTATTTCTGCCTTCATTTCATTATTTACCCAGTAGTCATTCAGGAGCAGGTTGTTCAGTTTCCATGTAGTTGAGCAGTTTTGAGTGAGTTTCTTAATCCTGAGTTCTAATTTGATTGCACTGTGGTCTGAGAGACTGTTATCATTTCCATTCTTTTGCATTTGCTGAGGAGTATTTTACTTCCAATTATGTGGTCAATTTTAGCATAAGTGCAATGTGGTGCTGAGAAGAACGAATATTCTATTGATTTGGGGTGGAGAGTTCTGTAGATGTCTATTAGATCTGTTTGGTCCAGAGTTGAGTTCAAGTCCTGAATATCCTTGTTAATTTTCTGTCTCATTGTTCTGTCTAATATTGACAGTGGGGTGTTAAAGTCTCCCACTATTATGGTGTGGGAGTCTAAGTATCTTTGTAGGTCTCTAAGAACTTGCTTTATGAATCTGGGTACACCTGTATTGGGTGCATATATATTTAGAATAGTTAGCTCTTCTTGCTGCATTGATTCCTTTACCATTATATAATACCCTTCTTTGTCTTTTTTGATCTTTGTTAGCTTAAAGTCTGTATTATCAGAGACTAGAATTGCAACTCCTGCTTTTTTTGCTTTCCATTTGCTTGGTAAATCTTCCTCAGTCCCTTTATTTTGAGCCTATGAGTGTCTTTGCACATGAGATGGGGCTCCTGAATACAGCACACTGATGGGTCTTGACTCTTTATCCAATTTTCCAGTCTATGTCTTTTAATTAGGGCATTTAGCCCATTTACATTTAATGTTAATATTGTTATGTGTGAATTTGATCCTGTCATCATGATGCTAGCTGGTTATTTTGCCCATTAGTTGATGGAGTTTCTTCATAGTGTCGATGGTCTTTATATTTTGGTTTCTTTTTGCAGTGGCTGGTACTGATTTTTCCTTTCCATATTTAGCACTTCCTTCAGGAGCTCTTTTAAGGCAGACCTGGTGGTAACAAAATCCCTCAGCATTTGCTTGTGTGTAAAGGATTTTATTTCTCCTTCACTTATGAAGCTTAGTTTGGCTGGATATGATATTCTGGGTTGAAAATTCTTTTCTTTAAGAATGTTGAATATTGGCCCCCATCTCTTATGGCTTGTAGGGTTTCTGCAGAGAGATCCACTGTTAGTCTGATGGGCTTCCTTTGTGGGTAACCCGACCTTTCTCTCTGGCTGCCCTTAACATGTTTTCCTTCATTTAATCCTTGGTGAATCTGATGATTATGTGTCTTGGGGTTGCTCTTCTTGAGGAGCATCTTTGTGGTGTTCTTTGTATTTCCTGAATTTGGATGTTGGCCTGTCTTGATAGGTTGGGGAAGTTCTCCTGGATAATATCCTGAAGAGAGTTTTCCAACTTGGTTCCATTCTCCCCGTCACTTTCAGGTACACCAATCAAACATAGGTTTGGTTTTTTCACATAGTCCCACATTTCTTGGAGGCTTTGTTCATTCCTTTTCATTTTTTTTTTCTCTAATCTTGTCTTCATGCTTTATTTCATTAAGTCAATCTTCAATCTCTGATGTCCTTTCTTCCGCTTGATCAGTTCGGCTATTGATACTCGTGTATGCTTCACAAAGTTCTTGTGCTGTGTTTTTCAGCTTCATCAGGTCATTTATTTTCTTCTCTAAACTGGTTATTCTAGTTAGTAATTCCTCTAACATTTTATCAAGGTTCTTAGCTTCCTTGCATTGGGTTAGAACATGCTCCTTTAGCTCAGACGAGTTTGTTATTACCCAGCTTCTGAAGTCTACTTCTGTCCATTCGTCAAATTCATTCCTCGTCCAGTTTTGTTCCCTTGCTGGCAAGGAGTTGTGATCCTTTGGAGGAGAAGAGGCATTCTGGTTTTTGGGATTTTCAGCCTTTTTGCTCTGGTTTTTCCTCATCTTCATGGATTTATCTACCTTTGGTCTTTGATGTTGGTCACCTTCAGATGGAGTTTTTGTGTGGTCTTTTTTTTCTGTTGATGTTGATGCTATTGCTTTCTGTTTGTTAGTTTTCCTTCTAACAGGCATGCCCCTCTTCTGCAGGTCTGCTGGAGTTTGCTGGGGGTCCACTTCAGACCCTGTTTGCCTGGGTATCACCAGCAGAGGCTGCAGAACAGCAAAAATTGCTGCCTGCTCCTTCCTCTAGAAGCTTCATCCCAGGGGGGCACCTGCCAGATGCCAGCCAGAGCTCTCCATGTATAAGGTGTCTGTCGACCCTGGCTGGGAGGTGTCTCCCAGTCAGGAGGCACAGGCATCAGGGTCCCACTTAAGGAGGCAGTCTGTCTCTTAGCAGAGCTTGAGCACTGTGCTGGGAGATCTGCTGCTCTCCTCAGAGCCAGCAGGCAGGAATATTTAAGTCTGCTGAAGCTGCACCTACAGTCACCCCTTCCCCCAGGTACTCAGTCCCAGGGAGATGGGAGTTTTATCTATAAACCCCTGACTGCAGCTGCTGCCTTTCTTTCAGAGATGCACTGCCCAGAGGAGAGGAACATAGAGAGGCAGTCTGGCTATGGAGACTTTACGGAGCTGTGGTGGGCTCCACCCAGTCTGAACATCCCAGTGGCTTTATTTACACTGTGAGAGGAAAACTGCCTACTCAAGCCTCAGTAATGGTGAAGGCCCCTCCCCCCACCAAGCTTGAGCATCCCAGGTAGACTTCAGACTGCTATGCTGGCAGCAAGAATTTCAAGCCAGTGGATCTTAGCTTGCTGGGCTCCATGGGGGTGGTATCTGCTGAGCTAGACCACTTGGCTCCCTGTCTTCAGGGGAGTGAATGGTTCTGTCTCGCTGGTGTTCCAGGCGCTATTGGGGTACAATAAAAAAACTCTTGCAGCTAGCTCAGTGTCTGCCCAAATGGCCACCCATCTTTGTGCTTGAAACCCAGGGCCCTTGTGGTGTAGGCACCTGAGGGAATCTCCTGGACTGTGGGTTAGAAAGACCATGTGAAAAGAGTAGCATCTGGGCTGGAGTGCACCGTTGCTCATAGCACAATCCCTCAGGGTTTCCCTTGGCTAGGGGAGGAAGTTCCCTGAGCCCTTGCACTTCCCAGGTAAGACGACACCCCACCCTGCTTCTACTGGCCCTCCGTGGGCTGCACCCACTGTCTAACTAGTCCTAGTGAGATGAACTGGGTACATCAGTTAGAAATGCAGAAGTCACCCACCTTCTGCATTGGTCTCACTGGGAGCGGCAGACCAGAGCTGCTCCTATTTGGCCATCTTGCCCGGGGCAGGCAAATGAATATTTTTTAAACATTTATTCCATGTGTGCACAGAGGAAACGCTGAGTGTGAGGGCAGGGCAGAGAAAATGGCTAGAACTGGTGGCCTAAGGCTGTCTTCCTAGGGTCTGGAGACATGCAGCCCCTGCCACAAATTTGCAGAACTTATTTAGTTAAACAAAACTCTGTAGGTAACGCAATCCATCATTTTTATTGGTCTTCTGTGAGAGCATAGTGCAGATCTCAGTCCCTTCTCAAACTGCAATTAGCATATTTCTTTCTTTTTAATTACTCGTCACACTCCAATGATTCTGGTTGCAGTTGCACAGGGTGCATCTCCACCCTGACTCAGGATGGGACACAGCCCTGAGTGAACTGGCAAGCAAGGTCTAATCAGCTACAGATGGGTTGTTATCTGAGGCATCACGTCCACCCTCTTTAAGTGAGTCTAGAAGGAATTGGGCCTAAGATATTGAACTAAAGGAATAAGACAGGAGTAAGAAACTCCTTCTACAACACAGGCACAGAGCTTTTTTCTTTGGGCTCACATGTCACGAGACCAGAGAGGAGGCACCAGTTTGAAGGCTGATTAGTTGTGAACCAGGATAGGAGATTGCAGGATTGGGGAAGGCATTTGAGTCTTAGGGGATGGCATGAGTAAAACCCTAGGAGCATGGACTGCCTAGCTTGTGCAGTTTGGTGTGGTCAGAGGGCTAACTGTCAGGTGGGGTGACTGGAGGGGCCCGCCAAGGCCAAACCATGACTTCATGCTTTCTTGAACTGTGGAAAGATTTTAAGCAGAGGGAAAATAGGCTTAGACCCACAGCCTGACTCCCAGAGTGCTGGCAGTGGGAGACAATTTGGGGAGCTCCTGCTGACAAGTAATTAGATACTGTGGTTTCTGTTATTTTTCAGCCTGTTCATCCTTGAGTAGAAGCAACAGAAGATAATACCCAAATGCTGACTGCCGTTGTGGAAAAAACTCACCCATATCCTGCCTGTAGTTAACGGCAGAGGTACTGCATCCTGCAGTGTTGGAATGGTCTAAGGAGGCTGCTGAGTTGGATCTCACTGGCTTACATGTTCATCTAAACCTCTTTCCTATGGATTCATGCGTATGCCTGGTTTTTGTCTAATGCCAGATCTGAGGTAGAGTGAATGTGTGCCCTTCCCCATTACAAACACTTGGATTGATATCTTCTCTTGGGTTAGAGAATAGAATTTCCTTCTGAGGATAAAGTGGACAGTGTGCATTAGATCTATCCCATGAAGTTCCTGCTGGTTATGGTGAATGGGAACCAACCTCACTAGGGTGAAAGTTAAAATTCACCACTGATTGAATTAGAACAATTGTTCATGCTGTTCAAGAGCAGAGAACAGTCTGATATCTAAAGAGTTTAGTTAAGCCCCAAGGAGCAATTTTTCTCTCCTGTTCTAAGTTTTCCTCTTGAGTTTTTCCCCTGTGGGAATTATTATCGTGTTTGCAACATTGAAAGTTTTGATTGACATTTCCTACACTTGCAGGTTTTTAACACAAACTTCAGTTTGATGACAATATAACCAAATCCCAGGGACATGAATAAAACACTCCTTTTAAATTTTTATGAGATTGCCTGAGTCCTTTATTTCATTCTAGTTAACCTGAGAATTTAGATAAATAACATTCAAGTCATGTTTATTGGGAATGAACTCATCTATAAATAATCATTGCCCTTGAAAATAAAACACATTTGAATAGTGTGCTCTAATATTTTAGCAAAAAGATGGAAATTCCTAGTTCTTGGATGAAAGCTGTTAGGTGATTCTTTTGCACAAGCTAGAAGCCTAGCAAACAAGCAAATGTAAAACTAGGAGGTGAAATCCTAACCAAGCCTCAAGGAGTAGCCAAAACCAGCTGTGCTTGTGTCAGGAAATCACTTACACCAGTATGCTTCTGGAATAATTGTGTTGATTGATTTACTCTTTTTTGGAGGAACTAGGGAGAAAATTAGACCTAATTTTCTTAGCATAATCTTGTAGAGTAGCAAAGGCCAAGAACACAGTTACTGAGGGATTATACTCTATCTGGATAGCCTGAGCCAGAACAGTCTGCCATGCAGCTATACTCAACTCATCTTGCCCACTCAGAAGATCTCATTACCATGGAGAGAGTAAATGGTGATGCAGTAAAGCAGAGATCTAGAGAGGGCTCTGGGATAGGTTTATTTTGTACAGAGAATTGGGTGTGTTAAGGTATTCCTGCATGCAAGTTTTTAGAGTTTTTTTTTTTATGGAAAGAATTATTATGAAGCCTTCATGGTCTAGAGGATTATTTCCCAATCATTTTCCAGTAAGCTCTGAGGACATGGGAGATGGATTCACGTGTAAGGAAGCAGAGTTCAACTCAATTCAGTTTCGACAAGTGTTTGTTGTTCATACAGAATGTACACAGCTGTGTGTTTGATTCATAGGAGATTAGGAAATGAGCTACACATAGTCCTTACTCTTCCCCCTGGGGCTCAGTCTAAATGGGAAGAGAAGGACACACAAGAATATTTGACTTTTTTGACGAAGGTGTCTGTACCTGTCTGTTCAGAGGCTCTGGAAGCCCAAGGCAGAGCAATTATTTAAGACATAGAGGGAGGAGTCTGTCTTGGCTTTCTCCTTATACTGCATCACCCCAAGCTCTCACAAGCCATGGGAGAAACCTAAAGACAGAAAATGTTTATAGGACCATGCTAAATTTAAAACTCCTTACCCTATGCCCCATCTGCCAAGCTGGAAAAGGTCATGGGAAGCAAAAGTGAAGAGGAAATATTTGGGAGCCCATTAATACTTCCTTAAAAATACACAATTTTATGATGGTGGAAAGGCCCCCTCAGATGCAAATGTTTTATGTAACATAATCAAAATACAAATTGTAGATAACTCTTGAGAAACACATAGTTGGATTCAAATTTTTCTTCAGTCACTTTCTAGCTACAATATACTGGACAACATACTGAAACTAACCAACCTCAGTTTTCTTACCTATAAAATGGGGAAGATAAAAATGCTAATCTCACAAGATTAATTGATGAATTAAATAAGACCTTGTATATGAGCCTAAGTGTCCCCAATTCTTCCAGCTGCAAATTTCCATAGCAGAGGAGGGAGATAACAACCAATCCCTCCAAATTCCTCCTGCCAATAGCCCTGTTTGCTGTCTTGCCTCCTCTGTTCACCCCACTTGGGCCTAAACAAGAAACAGCTCAAATCTGAGAGTTCTCAGAGCATCATTAGCCCAAACAGATGTATGACAGGTCTTTATTACATTACTAAAGATTCTGGAATTATGGTGGGTAAGGAGTCAGGGAGAGGAAGTTTATCTACCTTTGGCTTCCCCTTATCCTGAGAGCCTGTTCTCTTGACTCCCCATCACCCTAAATGCCCCAGTCTTTTTTCCCTCTCTCCTCCCTGCTTTGTTTTTAGTGTGGAATAGCCTCTCCCCCTTCATTTCCCAGAGTACCAACCCCAAACTATTAGGTGGTTAACTAGGGAAAATGAAAGATTTTTTCAGCAGAGCAGGGAATAGGAAACATCAATAATAGAATGTTTGACATTTTCCCCTTCCTCCCTGTATTAGTCCATTCTCATGCTGCTATGAAGAAATACCCAAGACAGGGTAATTTATAAAGGAAAGTAAGAACGCACTCATTATCACAAGAACAGCATGGGGGGACTGCCCCCATAACCTAATAACCTCCCATGAGGTTCCCTCCCTCAACACATGGGGATTACAATTCAGATTACAATTCAAGGTGAGATTTGGGTGGGGACACAGAGCCAGACGATATCATTCACTCACCCCCACCACAAAGAACCATCTGAGTGATGCCCTTTTCCCTGGGACACTGCTCACCAGTAATCTTCTCTTCAAGATTTCCTCCATCTCAATGCTTCTTCTTTCCCCAGGACCTCTCAAACTCCCCCCATCTTGAGCAGTCAGGGGGCAATTCTGAGATTTATGTTATTTATATCCCAGTGCAATTAAATTTTCTTCTATTCTAATTAACTAAGACATCCTTACATTTCAAAATCCTAAAATCCATCAAGATATTTTCCTAAACATAGGAATTCTAGCACTTACATTTTTTTTTTATTATTCCTTTACAGTCATTCTGGGGATTTTGGGGGAAATGGAAATAAACCTGTGTGTTCAATATGCTTTATTTAACCAAAAGCCCAAAGTTTCATTTTCCTAGAACGCTCATATTACCAGAACTCTGAAATAACATTTGATCACTTCTTGGAAATCCTAAAGGCTTTTAAGATCCTAGCATATTTGATGTTGTTTATTATGGGGACTGCTTCCTGATGACAGGAAGAATGTACTTTATTTCTATGTATAGACATCTCCAAATCACATTACAAAATAGAATGGATTTCACCTGCCCAGTGGACTCTGGTGCTTGTCAGCTCAGCCATAGAGGCTACTGTTTGCTGCCCTTGCCATGTGACTTGAGCATGAGCTTCACTTTTGAGACTATGATTCCTACATCTTGTAATTCCCTGGAATTACAGAATTAATCTTCTGGACCCATCCTCCCTAGGGTAAACTTTGTGCCTGATCACTAGTCAGAGAAGAACTGACGTGGAGCCTGCAATTGTGGTTCAAGTTCCTTCCTTGGCACTCACTAATTTTAAGACTTGAAGTTATTCCGCCTCTCTAGGCCTCAATTTTCTTACTTGCAACGTAGAGACTTACTGATGTCACAAGGATTTTGTGGGGAGTAAATGAGGTCAAATACGTACCTTTCACACAGGAGGTGTTCAACAAACAGTGATCTGGATAGTCTCCGTGCAAGTCCATTAACATCACAACTGCCTCGTACCCTTTTATAGAAACCAATCTAATCCGTTGTACTTGTTAATTGAGATGGTAAGCTTTTAAACTGATGGCCTTTTTCTCTCTTTCCTTTTTTTCCTCCAAGACAGAGTCTTGCTCTGTTGCCCAAGCTGGAGTGCAGTGGCACGATCTCGGCTTACTGCAACCTCTGCCTCCTGGGTTCAAGCAATTCTCCTGCCTGGGCCTCCCGAGTAGCTGGAACTACAGGCACGTGCCACCACACCTGGCTAATTTTTTTGTGTTTTTAGTAGAGACAGGGTTTCACCATGCTTGCCAGGCTGTCTCAAACTCCTGACCTCGTGATCCCCTCGCCTCGGCCTCTCAAAGTGCTGGGATTACAGGCATGAGCCACTGCGCCTGGCATTCTCTCCTTTCTTTTTTCCTTTTTTTTTTAGAGACTGGGGCTTGCTCTGTCACCAAGGCTGGAGTGCAGTGGCATGACCATAGCTCACTGCAGCCTCGAATTCCTGGGCTCAAGTGATTCTCTCACCTCTGCCTTTCAAAGTGCTGGGATTATAGGCATAAGCCACTATGCCCACCCTTTTCTTTCTATTTTTAAAAGATAATGATGAAACTCTAAAATTTGTATCTCCATGTAGTGATTTACCTGAGTAGGTTTGGGCAGTACTTCTCAGGCCTTGATGTTTATGATAGTCCCCCCAAGGATCTTGCTAAAATGGACATTCTAATTTAGTACACATGGGATGGGGCAGAGCATGTTGCTATAGACCTATGGGTCATGGATTTTGACCACTGCTAGCATCTCCCAGTTACAGAGTTTCAGGCTGTGCCCAAACTGTCTTTCATGTGTTCCATCAGTCACAATGGATCCAGGGGAGAGAGTGAAGAATGCAGATAGAGAGTTTGGGAGATAGACATAGAGAATAGCGGGGGAAGGATGGTGTGAAGGGAAAAGTGCCAACCAACCTGAATATCAGATAGATTTGGGGTCTGTATTAGTCTGTATTCACAATGCTGATAAAGACATACACAAGACTGGATAACTTATAAAGAAAAAGAGGTTTAATGGACTCACAGTTCCACATGGCTGGGGAGGCCTCACAATTATGGCAGAAGGCAAAAGGCCGCAGACAAGACAGAAAGAGAGCCAAACTAAAGGGGAAACCCCTTATAAAACCATCAGATCTCATGAGACTCATTCACTGCCATGAGAACAGTATGGGGGAAATCACCCCCATGATTCAATTATCTCCCACCGGGTCCCTCCCACGACATGTGGGAATTATGGGAGCTACAATTCAAGATGAGATTTGAGTGGGGACACAGCCAAAGCATATAAGGGTCGAAGTCTCACCCTGTCACTTGCTAGTTGTATGACCTTTAGTAAATCACCTCATCTCTTTGAGGCTCAGTTTCCTCAACTCTAAAATGGGAATGGGAAAATTTACTAAAACTTGTGTCTTTCCTCCTCATGATTTATACACCTTTGTTTTAAAAGAAATACATATAAAAAGCCTTATTCATCTTTCCTCCTAAAACTTAAGAAATAACCAGTAATAATCCCTACCTCACTGTATTGCTGTGAAACTTAAATAAGACCACACTCCCACAACTCTGTCATTATGTTCCAAAGAGTTTTGATATCAAATGAATATTCTCAGAGCCCTGAAGATGGAACAAAGCTTTCTTTACTATTCCCCTCTGGTCAGCTTCAACCCATACAGAATTTATCTCAAATGGGCACCCAATGCCTTCTTCTCCCTTGGTTTCCTCCTTCTTTTACTATTCAAGTGCTTCCTCCACAGCGACCCAGTTCCATCTTGCTGACATCCCTTGGTGAGGGCTGATAAGACCTAATCCCAACTTCTTCCTGAGAGGGGTAGAGTAGAGATTCTAGGAGACAAAAACACTGTCTTGATAGGATTGACTGCCACCCTTAGCAAAAATTTAATATAAAAATTCTCAAGAGGTTAAGAATGGGAAATAATAAAGGCAGTGGAAGGCAGAAAGGGACCCTCTCTTAAAATGTAAATGTCACTGCACATAGGAAGTCCCAGTAAACTGTGGCCCACTACACTTGTCCTCTCATTTTCAGTCTCAAACCATGACCACACTTGAGAGTGGGGGAGGGGTGCAAAGCTTTTTCTCTAATTCAAAGGTTTTGCTTAACACCTTCCTGCATATCCTTTTCTTAATATGTCTGTGTGTATCAAGACTTTGTTGAGTTAAGGCTAAGCTAGCAAAAGGAGCACAAAGCTATGTCTGCCCACAAAACATCTTCCACTGTTGTCTACGGAATCATGTACTTTCGCAAAAAAATACCAGACTGCCAAGTTAGCATAACACAAACCATTCCCAGTGATCTGTAAATGGATTAACCATTTTGTAGAACTTTCTTGCTGACCCCAGTATTTCCTCTTTTTCTAGCATTTAGCAGGTTCTAAAAAGTTTTATCATTAGGGGAGCTAGTCAAGTGTCTCACTTTAAGGCTTTTTGTAGCCCATTAAGAGTCCAGCTGGCCTCAGGAAGTGCCTGCTCTGTGGTCTTAACACTCTTTCTGCTCAGTGGCCTACAAAAAGCCTTGAAGTGAAACGCCTGACTAGCCCCTTCCCCTGGATATGATGTATTTTCAGAGTGATTGTCCAGAGGCAAAACTACAAAACTGTTTTAATTCAAATTAACAAGTATAATGTAATGGATAGTGCCGTTTTGCTAAAATTGAAAGCTTGGTGTTGATTTAATAATACAAAGATGAATTTGCTGGGGTTTTGCTTTGTTTTGGTTTTTTACTTGTTGACCTACCTTATTTTTATTTTTAAGCATGCTGAGTCATTGCTATTTTTTTCATTTAACAATGATCCATTATTACGATGAACAAATCAATAAAACTGTACAGTCAGAAATAATGAGAATGTATTGAAAAATCTTCACAGCTACTGCTGCTAAACTGTTTGGAGTTGATAGCACACAAACAGGATCTGCACAAGCCTTTTACTTTCCATTGGTATATTTCTGCCTGCTGTGATCCAGGTCTTTCGAGTTCAGCTTGTCCATCATTTAGGTGAGGGCTCAATCTACTACCTCTTTTCTCTTTCCAAACCACCACAGCGTGGCTTATTCGGCACACTATATTGTCATGCAGCTTTCATTTGCACGTGCGAATTACTAGTTATGCATTATTGTTCTGTTCCCTTCTCAAGCCCAGGAAATGAAAGCACCAAGTACATTCTTCCACTGCAGTAATTTTCATTACGTCAAATCAGAACCTCAGTTTGCAAAATGACTTGTTTCTAAAACCTTATTCTGTAACAATGCTTTCAGTTGCATGTTATCCCTGCTGAAGAGAAAATTTGTCTTTATGAGTACAATGGTAATGATAAGTCAACTGTTGTCATTTTGACAACACCAACCTAATGTCAGCCAGAAAGACTTAGCAACACATTAAAACTTCAATGCTGTCACTTCAAGACAGGGATCACTTGGTACCAATATAACTGTCAACACAAATGCCAGCACAGCCCTGAAACCTCATGGCAGGTGCTGGTTTTGAGTATATTATCCACATGACTGAGAATATGGTTAAAATAATCCTTTTCGGACCATCAGCTTTTGAGAATGTAACATTCTCAAGATGGTTGCCTTTGAAAAAAGAAAATTAAAAAATTTTTAAATTCTCCTAGAATTCTCCAGTCCCTAGGAAATGTCCGCGGGCTCCAATGTGATAAATTCTAATCTCTGTTACCTTCATTGTTCTGGAGAGGAAATAGACTAGGAGAGAGAGCAAGCAATTGACTCAAGGGCATGAAGCCACTTTCGTGGCGTGGCTGAAATGCACACCCCTGCCTTTTGCCTTCCACCAGCTTTGTCTCTGTATCATTCAGCTCTTGTATTCCACGAAGCACATTTGGTTTCTACTGAGTTCAGATATACAAAATGGTGTTGTTAAAGGATACTTCATACTTTTTGGTTTAAAGAAAATAATTTCTGTGTCTCTATTAAAACACGGACACTTGGCATTCCAAGTAAACATTGTCAATTCACAGAGGTTAATTTTGTTTTTAAACTGCAACCAGAGCTCCCTCTAATGGCTGTTTATTTTGACAGCAAATCCTTAGGGAAATAAAATAACCGTTGTTCATTTAAAACTAGAAAGGGCTATTTTTTTATTGTTTTTACTGCTTCATGGGTCATTATTGATCTTTACAAGTGGACCATTTGTATCTCACTCAGTCTATAGTTTCTAGAAAAATCATAGTATTCCCACCTCTGAAAAATCACATCAGTAGAAGTGAAAATAAAACTTAATTGATGTGGTTAATTTTACATGTGAACTTGACTGGGTCATGGGGTGCCCAGAAATTTGGTGAAACATTTTTCTGGGTGTTTTTATGAGGAAGTTTCTGGATGAGATTAGCATTTGAGTCTATAGACTGAGCAGAGCAGATTGTCCTAATGTGGATGGGCCTCATTTCATCAGTTGAAGGCCAAACTAGAACAAAAGAGTTGACGATCCTGAAAACAAGAGAGAACTCGTCCAGCCTGACTGCCTTGAACTAAGACATCAGCTACCTTTTAACTGGAACTGAAACATCGTCTTTTTTGGGGTCTCAAGACTACTGGCTTTTGGACCAGAACTGACACCATCAACTCTTCCGGTTCTCAGGCCTTCAGATTCCGACTAGAACTACACCATTGGCTTTCCTGGGTCTCTAGCTTGCCAAATGCAGATCTTGAAACTTCACATTCAAAATCATATGAACCAATTCCTTTTAATAAATCTCTCTCTCTCTCTCTCCACACACACACACACACACACACACACACACATATGCACACGTCCAATTGGTTCTGTTTCTCTGGAGACCCCTAACTAATACACTTGCTTTCAAGGAGTTTAAAGAAAACATAAATTTTTTTTAATGTTTAGATCCTGCTATTACAGTCAGTAAGAGTATACGGTAGTTCGTGCAGCTTCAGTCTATCTACCATTATGGATGGTTTCAACTAATTAGTTGTCAAGTCACCCTGACAGTGAAGAACAAAAAAAATTTAGATCTTTGATCACTGATCTTAAAAAGTGTCATATACAATGATATAAAATAGTAAATGTATTCAATAAAAGTAATATCTACTCTACTGGTATTGCATTTTACATTTCACATTTACCATCACCTTTGATTTTATCCTCACAGCAATTCTGAAAGATAGAGCAAATATCCTAAGCTTAACACACAGATTCATAATCTAATACCCACAGATTGTAACTGCTTCTAACATTTTGCCTTTTTCATTACAACCACAATATCACTCTGAGTCATTCTGTGCCACAATCCAGCAAGACAGCACGTCTAACCAGTTATTTCTCTAACCACAAAGGCTATTGATGATCTTCAATTCAAAAGGTGCTACCCAATGGCTATTTTCTAGCTGACTTGGCAAAATAGACTAGAGTAGAATGTAAATAATCTGAGGCTGAAAGCTGGGATTTTTGTTTCAAACAAATGACTTTCTCCCATTGGATGGACATTGAATGTACCCCACCACTGTACAAATAGGGGATTGGATCTCAACAGTCTGTGTGAAACTGTTGTTATATTTCCCCAACTAAAATGAAATTTTCCCATTCCAAAGCTGGTGGAATGGGAAAGGGGGGAGGTGTGCACTTCAGTCATGCCACAAAGTAGCTTCATGCCCTTGAGTCATATCACTAAATGTCATTTCATATTAGTAAGATATGTCAAGAGGCATATCTTAGTAATCTTTGCCCTCCAAAGCCCTTCCACAGAGCAGGTGCTCTATAAACATTGTTATATAAATTAATGAATGCATAAATAATTATCTGGTTATCATTTGTTGTGTACCTACTAGATGTCAGGGCCTGTGCTAAGCATCTTACATTCATTACTTCTAATTCTTCAAACCATCCTTTTGAGCAGAGAATGTTTTCATTACACAGAAGAGGAAACTGAGGGTCACATCAGTTAAGTGATGTGTTCAACATCTCACAGCTGAAAGTGATGGTGCTGAGACCAGTCCCTCAACCTCTCGCTTCTAAAGCCCACATAGTCTCAGCACCACCCTGAAAGTTGCCCACTATTGATTAAAAAAAAAAATGGAAAGTTCACAGCCCATAGGAAGTAGATTAGGAGCCTCATGCTACATAATCTGCAGAAATAACCAAATAAGCTGAAGGGTTAGGACTAGAGGTATCCTATCATCTCAGTACCCTAAATAGCTGTTCCCTTCACTTCATCTACCTGAGAATGGTGTAAGAGCTGCACATATAGCTGGAATACCAAGAAGAAGATTACGTATCCTCCCTGGGATACAGGGACATCACACATGTTCCAAGCAGCAGGAGCAGGATAGGGCTGTTTTCTTTCGCATTTGTGTGCTCTAGGTCTTCACTTGTTCTGAATGCTCCCAGCAATGATGTCTATGGCTTTGGGTAGTTGCTCTTAGAATCCTGCTTTATAATATAAAAAAGAAAGCCTTTGTAAGATAATATTCAGTTTTTATGATTTCATTTGCAACCTGTAAATAAATCTAGCTTTATTTTGGGAGATTTTATATATATATATATATGCGTATATATATATGTATATATATGTGTGTGTATATATATATATATATATCTCCTCAATGTTCATTTACTAAGGGATCTTTTAGTTTCTAATATTTCTCTTCCAAATCACACTTGGCTACTAAGGTTATGGTAATCAGCAAATGTCAGTACATTTCACTGTTTTTGAAATCACATTCATAGCTGGGATTACAGGCATCCACCACTACACCTGTAGAGACAGGGTTTCCCCATGTTGGCCAGGCTGGTCTCAAACTCCTGACCTTGTGATCCACCTGCCTTGGCCTCCCAAAGTGCTGGGATTACAGGCGTGAGCCGCTGTGCCTGGCTGACAATTATCTTTTGTGGTGTTTTATATTTGCTTTAATTTTATTTATTTCTGGAGATTTTCTTTTTCTTTTTTTTTTTTTTTTTGTACTTCATTTAACCAGATTCCTATTGATGAACATTTGGGTTATTTTCAGTCTTTTGCTATTTCAAACATCTTGTAATGAATATCTTGTACATACAGATTTCCCAAAAATGTAACTGATGAATACAAAGTGCAGTTGATGAATCCATATGTATTTGTAATTTTAATTGTTATAGCCAAAATCTCTCAATAATGACTGTATCAACTTACACTGCCACCATAAATAAAATGTAGCAATTTTATTTTGCTAAGGCATATTTACCTCTATTATTGGAATCAAATAGAAGGAATAACTTCACAAAGGTAGGATTTACATCTTTATGATGTCAATATTTCTATCAATAAATATATCTTTTCATTTGTTCAGGTCTTCTTTTGTTCCCAAAAAGAGTACTTTTCAAATGTTCTTCATATACTTCTTAAACAATTTTTGTTAAATTTATTTGTAGGCATTTTATTTTATTTTTATTTTAAATTTATTTGTAGGCATTTTATTTTGTTGCTACTATAAATGGTTTTATAGTGTATATTTTTATTTTATTTTATATGAAATTATTTGTCAACTTAAAAGCTATTGATTTCTGTATATTAATTTTGCATCTATCTTACTCTGAACTCTTTTTATTGTTGGTAGTACATAGGTTTCAGTTGATAGTATTGGTTTTCCTAGTATCATCTAGAAATAGTGATAGTTTTCTATCCTCCTTTCCTATTTTAATAACTAATTTTTTATTTGATTATTTGCATTTCCTTCTGTATTAGTTGTCTACTTTTGCTGTGAAACAAATTACCTCAAGATTTAGCAGCTTAAAACAACACATATTTATTATCTTACAATTCCTACAGGTCAGGAATCTAGGCATGGCTTAACTAGGCCCTTGGCTTCAGTTTCCATGAGGTGGCAATCACCATATTCTCCAGGGTGAGCTGGGGCCTCATATGATGAACTGACTGAAAAAGAATCCATTTCCAAGCTTGCTTTCATGATTGTTGGCAAGATTCAGCTTCTTAAGTGTTGTTGGACTAAGAATCTCAGTACCTTGGTGACTGTTGGTTGGAGGCAAGGTCAGTTCCTTGCCACATAGGCCTCCCCAATATGACAAGATAATTGTCAGAGAGAAATAAAGAGAGAGAGAAATAAGTCATGATCTTACATAACCTTATCATGGTCCATCTTCTCACTTTTGCTGTATTCTGTTGGTGAGAAGCAAGTCAATGAGCCAGCCCACACCTAAGGGAGGGAACTGCACAAGGGCATAAATACTAGGAGGAGGGGATCACTGGGGGCCATCTTAGAGCCAGCCTGCCACTCTGATCAACTAGAACACAAGCAAGAGATGATGTAAAATATCAATGTATTTGTAATTTCACATTTGTAATTTTACATTTACAAATTTACAAATGTAAATGTAAAATTACAAATACATTGATATTTTACATTGACAGGGGATTGCAGGACGAGAGCAAGGAAGTAAATGTTTACTAATCTACAAACTTTTTGTAACTCAGGTGGTTTTCCATTCTTTGCTTTTAATAAAATGAAAGGAGGATTTCATGGAACTGACTACTACTAGATCCTTAAAAATAATTTTGGTTGATAGATCAAAATATAGCTTTTAGCTTGTAATTCAAGTTTTCAAAAAATCAAGTAACAATGGTCTTTTGAAAACTCCTTTTTTAAAATCTATTTATATGAATGAAACTTATCAGTGCTTTTCTATATAAAAACAAAAGATAAAGCCAGGCTCAGTGGCTCACATCTGTAATCCCTGTGGTCTGGGAGGCCAAGGAGGGAGGATCACATAAGGCCAAGAATTTGAGGCCAGCCTGGGCAACACAGCAAGACTCTGTCTCTTAAAAAAAATTTAAAAAAATTAGCCAGACATAGTGACATGCACCTGTAGTCCTAGCTACTCAGGAGGCTGAGGGGGAGGATCCCTTGAGCCCAGGAGTTAGGGGTTGCAGTGAGCCTATGTGACAAAATAAAACCCTATCTCAAAAAAAAAACAGAAAGAAAAGAAATTAAACTCATGCTTAGTCCTGTCTTGTTCTGAGTTTAACTAGCATTTATTGACAAAAATGTGTAGTAATAGAAAAAAAGAGCTATTTTCATCTTACGAAAATATATGGTCCTGATTTTTAAAATTTTAGAACTTATGTTTAATAACTAGGTTTTAAATACAGTATATTTATGTTGTTTTATCAAGTTAAAGTACTAATAATTATAATGATGACTCAATCACAAGAAATTTTGAAATTTTGAAATTTTATCTTGTATAATATGTGTTTTGCACAGAAGCATTATAGAATGCTGAATAAAAGACCATAAAGCAGTAAGTTTATTACATTAGAAAAAAATGTGAAAGGAGTGAAATGAAAACATTAGTCCAAAGGAAAAGGGAACTGATATAAAATTTCTAACTGTTAAAGAATAGCTTATCTAGGGCCGGGCACGGTGGCTCACGCCTGTAATCCCAGCACTTTGGGAGGCCAAGACGGGCGGATCACAAGGTCAGGAGATCAAGACCATCCTGGCTAACATGGTGAAACCCCATCTCTACTAAAAATACAAAAAAATTAGCCAGGTGTGGTGGCGGGCACCTGTAGTCCCAGCTACTTGGGAGGCTGAGGCAGGAGAATGGCATGAACCTGGGAGGCAGAGCTCACAGTGAGCCGAGATTGTCCAGCCTGGGCGACAGAGCAAGACTCCGTCTCAAAACAAACAAACAAACAAACAAAAAGAATAGCTTATCTATGTATTTTTCATGAATTATAAAGTTGATATGGTATTTAGATTTCATTTAACACAATAGAAGAGTGATATAAGTGTTTTACTTTAAAATATCAGTATTTACAATATGTTGTATCATAGTCTTTGCAACTATTTAAACTTATTTAAAATGTCAGGGTTATAAACTTTTTAAATATACTTTAGGTTTATGAGCAAAAAGGATGAAGAAATTGCTCCATGAGGAAGGAAATAGCATGAACTGAGTTGCAGAGATAACCAAGAACATGATGTATTTGGGGAATCACAGGTAGTTTTAGTATCACTGGGATAAAAGGGCACCTTGGATAGCACTGACAGAAGGGTTTGGAGAAATAAGGTGTACAGCCATGAAGGGCCTTGTGTGCTAAATCTAAAAGATTTGAACTTTATCCAAATGGGTTGGGGACTAAATGAAGGATTTCAATCTGAGGAGAGGTGTGATTGCATCTGCAATTTGGAAAGAGCACTTGGATAACCTTTTGTAGCAAGAATTGAAGAGGAAGTACGGCAGCTAGGAATACCAATTAAAAGTCCACTGCAGAAATTCAGGGTACAATTATGAGGCTCTAGAGCAGAGACAGGTGAGGGAGAAGATGAAACCGATGAGGAAGTGGAACACAAGAGGCTTTAGCAACTGAATAGCTGTATGAATTGAGAGGGGATTGCAGATTTCTGGCTTGCAAATGCAAGAGGAACAAGGTTGAAGAAAAAGGGATGACATCTGTTTAGGAAGAAGATTGACTGGCGATATCTGTGGAATGGTTGGATTTATGGTTCTCTGAAGCCCAGGAAATAGATCTGAGCAGGAGATAAAAATGTGGGAGCTGGAGTCTGATTGTTAATCCGTATTATTTTGTGTGATTGTTCATAGGAGAAACTTGCATGTACTTTTTATTTTATGCAAGATCTGTCAGGTTTTAGCATTAATGTTATATCTCCAGATATAATATTTGAGAGACTTCTTTATCTTTCAAACCCTAGAACAGTTTACAGAACATTGAAATTTACTGCTCCTTAAAAGTTTGGTAGAATCATATGGTCAAACTATCATGCCTCACTGAATTCTTAAAGAAGCAGCTCTTTGGTGACTTTATTTATTCTATTAAAATAATGTGTTTATGTTCTTAATTATTCTGGAGTCAGTTTTGGTAAATTATATTTTTCTAAAAATATTTTCATTTTACTCAGATTTTCAAAGATTTTCCTCAGATTTGAGAAAAGTGGTCTGTTATGATTGTTTTAATTTTTTGTTTTTGTCATTATTTTTCTCATATCAGTTTTTATTTCATTAACCTGTTTCTTCTTTTTTTTATTATATCAACTAGTAGTTTTCTTTTACATAAGTACAAAAGAAAGAGCGAGAAAGAAAGAACAAAAGAAAGAAAGGAGAGAGGGAGGGAGAAAGGAAGGAGGGAAGGGAGGAAGGAAGGAAGGAACGAAGGAAGGAACGAAGGAAGGAAGGAAGTTAGTTGCTGAGTGGGCACCAATCACTAAACTGACTTTTCTGACTAGTAGGTTGGACGCTGAGACAGTGGATCTTCACTAAGGTAGCCGACATGTGCCCTCCACTCACAGCTGTGGCAAACTTTCTCCTTCCTCAGTAGAAACAGCCTCTCTCAGAGGCTGCTCCAGAGAACAGTGTGGTACTTTGCAAGATGGAATCAAAGATCTGGGTTTGAAAAAAATAAGAGATAAACTTTCAGATTTATTAAGTTTTCTCTTTTCTACTTCATAAACTTGTTTTCATATTCATTTTTCTTTTCTTCTTTATTTCTTTGGATTATTTTGCTGTTTTTTTTAACATTTTCAGTGGGGTGCTTATTTCGTGTACTTTCACTATTTATTTTTTCATTGATATGAGAACCGGTGTGGTTCGAATGATATCTCCCCTCCAGATCTCATATTGAAAAGTGATCCCTGGAAGGTGTTTGGGCCACAGGGGTGAGCCCCTCATAAATGGGTTGGTGCCTTCCTGCACTAATGAGTGAGTTCTCACTCTATGAGTTAGCACTAGATCTGGTTTGAAAGATCTGGCATCTCTCTCTTGCTCCCTCTCTCACCAAATGATACCCTGGCTCCCCTTTGCCTTCTGCCATGATTGGAAGTTTCCTGAGGCCTTCCCAGAAGCAGATGCCAGCCCTATGCTTCCTGTACAGCCTGCACAACCATGAGCCAAATAAACCTCTTTTCTTTATAAATTATCCAGTCTCAGGTATTCCTTTACAGCAACACAAGCAGACTAACACAAGAACTTAAGGCTTTTAACTTTCATCTCAACACAGCTTAGCTATATTCCTTATGATTTGTTGTGTTTTCATTTTCTCTGAATATTATAATTTTGGTTTGTATTTCCTCTTTAACAAAAAAAAAAGTTGCTTAAAGAGAAGTGATGGTGATGGTGATGTTTCTAATACCCAGGGGAAAAGATCCTTTTGAGTTTCATTGTTATTATTAATTTCTTCTTTGTTTCCTTCTTTTTTTTTTCATTGTGGAATTTATTAAGGTTTTATTTGAGGGCTAATATATGGTCATTTTCTCAAATCTACCATTGTCACTTATATTCACAGGGATAATAGATTCATAAATGTCCATCACATCTATCTTACTACTTTTGTTATTAAGACTTCTACCTCTTTGCTTTTTTGCCTAGTACTACTGTATTTTGATCTTTATTTTCTTTCATATCCTGTAATTTCTGTATAATAAATGTTGGTGTTGTGTTATTTGTGCACAGATATTCATTACCTTTGTATCAATTGCATACCAGCGTTATATAAAGAGCACTAGTCTCATTTCATAGTTTTTGGCATTAACTAATATTCTTGTTTGATATTAAGATTGTGACCTTCCTTGTCTTTTGTGTGCGTGTGAATGGGGTTATTTTTCAGATACACTTTGCCCATTCTTTTATTTTTAGTCTTTGTGAGTCACTCTGCTCTAGATGTTTCTCTTGTGTACAGTTTGCTTTGTGATCCAATTTGAAAATCTTTTTCATTTAATAGGTTAATTGAATCCATTTACACTTAATAATATAACAAATGTAATTGGCCTTTGCTCTGTTATTATTAAACATATAAGCTCTCTCCTTTTTAAATTTTGAAGCTTGTGGTCTGTTTACTTTTTGCATATTTTCTTCTTTAGAAGGCTTGTGGGAAGGGTAGGGTTAAAGTGGGTCTACCGTCCCTCCATCTTTGGGGTTGCCTGAGGTAGTTTTGACCCTGGTCAGAACTCTTAGAAATATTAACTGATCAAATGTACCAATTAAAAGATAAATGAGGGTGTTGCTGGGTTGCTTTGTACTGAGGTATTGCTTTTTATTTTTTGTTTGTTTTGGACAGCTCACATTTTGTCTCCTGCCTTGGGTCCTTTCATTTCTGCTTGGTAATCTTCCTTCATAGTGGCAATTGATTTCTTAAGGGTTTCTCTTTTTTTTTTAACTCATGGCAAAGTATTGGGATACAAAGATTTTCTGGTATTCTTCATCTGATAGGTTTTGCTGACTTTTTAAATTATACCTTTCCACTGATGCTTGGTCAGCTACCTTTCATTTTCTCAGCACTGAATTAGTTGGATTTTCCCAACTGTCTGTGTGCAAGTGATGGATATCTTTGTTATTTTAAGTTTTTTTGTATGTTCATTTTGGTGTTTTCTGAGGTTTGTCATTGCTTGCTCTTCACCATGCATTTTCATTGCTTTCTCTCTCCCACCCCCTCATAGTTTCAACTCAATCTCCACTGTCTTCCCAGATCCTTCAGCTCCTAAGGGCACCTTAAGACCTGCTGGCCCTGCAGGAGGACACCACAGTGTTTCTTTTTCTACAGAAAATATATTTCTGAAATCCACTGCCAACAGTCCATCTTTCTATTCACTTCACCCAAGCAGCTCCTGAGCTTATTTTAATTGTTTCTGGCAGCCCTAATTTTTGGAAACTTACATCTTATCTGTCTTTAATTTTGCTAAAATGGTGTTTAATTTTAGCATTTAACAACTCATTTGTTGCTTTCTTATGACATACAAAAGAAAGAGAAGGTTACTGATTCACACAAACATGTTTACATTGGAATTCCAACGTAATTTCTTTTCTAGAATAGCCAAAATAATACATGCCATTGACACAAAGAACAATAAACCTATATTTTATATAGGTGCATTTCTACAGGTCTTTTAACAGGTAGGAAATAGTATAGATAGACATTGACCCAAAAAATAGCAATTTAGGCCCTGTCTGGCTTTAGAAATTAGTTAGCCCTGGTTTTCAACATAGGAGTTGAAACCTATGTTTCAACATAGGAGTAGGTCTCAGTGGGAACAAGGAGTCCATTTATTTTCCAAAGGATTAAGCTCAGAACATTTGGGTGGTGTTGCCAATGGGATCAGGAAACTTCCAAGTCAGGAAATGTCTGGCTGAATGATATCATCAGTTCAAAAAACACAAAACTGTAGCTGGAAATTGAGTAACCCACAATGCCTGTGAGTCATTAAGTTGACACAAGGAAGAAGAGGTGTGCTCAATGTCTGGAGTCAGACAAGGTGGCAAAATCAAGAACCCCAGGGGACAGCAGGTCAATACGCAAGTCAAGAAAGCCAGTGACTCGGGCTGCTGGTTCAAATCCCTGCCACATTTCGTACTAATTTTGAAATCTTGGGCCACTTATTAATGGCTTGGAGCTGATTTATTTCTTCTACAAAATTTAGATAATAAAGCTATATATCTGAAAATGTTGTCAAAATTAAACATCTGAAGGGCTTCAGTGTCTGGCACATAGTAAACACTCAGTAAATGGTGACCACATTTTATTAAGCTGAATGAGAAGGATGATGGAGTAAATCTGGGGGGAATCAGGATCCAGCACAAGCCGAAACCTGACCAGAAAAGGTTGAGAACCAGCGTTTTGCTCAATTCAGAGATTCCATCAAGCTGTGGCCTATGACATTTGGTCTTGTTCTGCCTGGATTTGAAGGGTCCAAATGTGGAGTAGCTGCATTATGCCACTTTCTCTACAAGCCTCTGTGACTCACCAAGTGGCCAACACTGGCCAGACAACACATAGAAGCATCCTGGCCACTCACACGCGGGAGAGGGCAGCAACAGCAGGAGCCACTCATCCGTTAGGAAGGGCGCCTCAAGACCTGCCAGCCCTGCAGGGGAACACCAGGCAGTTTCAATTCAAGATTTACTAGGAAATGAGGGATGAGAAGTAGAGTTTGCATAGGTGTCAGAATCTCAAGTGCTCTGAACATCAGCTGTGTCACTTTTAGGTAGGTCTCTAAACCTTATTTTTTTCTCATCTGTAAGCTATTATTGCATTATGGGTAAATAAGATAACATGTTGTCTTATAAAATACCTAACAGCACATAACAAAGTAAATCTTTAACACATGTCAATGGAAGTGGGAAAATGGTATTTAAGGATCTGTGGTGATGGGTAAGTGACTGGATGAGAACAATTCAGTTTTTTCTACAACAACAATTGGAAGCATTGGTGGTTGTGCCTGAACACTTAACAATGATGTCCATTGCATGGTGAGTTTGCTCTGGTGCGGTCAAGCACCTTTAGGAGCCTGTGAACAAGTGTACGCTCCATCCAGTTGGGACGCTCTCAGAACTGTTGTGCTTTAGGGACTACTCCCCTGAGTCCTTGTCTCCCATTTCCTCAGCATTATCCCCTTGTCCCCAGAGACACCTTATGTCCCCAGGAACCTTATGGGTGCCATAAGGTTCAGATAGTGATAGCAAGAGACAGGAAGAAGTAAAGCAGCATCAAAAAGCTACATGATAGAAATCCTTGACATCTGAGTAAGGAAGCAAAGCCAGGGAGATAGAAGAGTGAGTAGCAGGAATGAGTGAATTGTATATGGAACATGATTTTGACTATAAACTCACCTGCCTGTGACTATAGAAATTGACTTCAAGTCCCCAACCTGTGAAGAGAGGAATTTGAACTCCTCAAAATACCCCTAAGTTGTTTTCAGGCATTCACAATGAGGCCAACAAACCAACACACCCCAGTAATTATCATTGAAGTCCCCCTTTTCTTCTCCTCAAGCTGACATTCACTGTCTGCAAAGGCAAGACAAGTCTCTTGTCTCATCCAGGCCCCTGTCACTCCTGTTTACTGAAGATCTAAAGATAGAACCTTCTGGATTTTTTACATACATCCAGGATTTTTTACATACATCCAGGCAATAGGTTTTCAATGGTGTCCAGAGCAGAATGTCCCAAATCCCCACAAGTTACCTGCAGTTATTTAAAGAGCCAGTAAAGGACAGATGCTCCTATGTTGACAGCCTCCCTTTTCACCCTCTCTCCAAGGGTCTCATCTTTTCTTCATAGATATTATGAGCAAGGAGAGCAGTTTGTTTGGAGAAGGAGGCTGTCTTGATTGCTGCGAACCCATTTTAGCTCCTAAGCCCCAGGGTGCGTTGTCCCAGTGACATGCGAGAGAAGAGCGAAGTGACTCAGCGAGGCAACACTGACCATGGCAGGGCTCTGATCTCTCACACACCCATTCAGGATTTATGCACGTATACAACACCAAAGCCCTGCTTCCTGTGTTCCTCGCTTGATCCCACCCAGTTCCCACTTCCATCACGCTGTCCTCTGGACCATCCCACAGTGCTGCCCACTTCTTGCTAACACCAGGTTCCTCCTGCCACCTCCTTCGGGGAAAGTGATTTGACCTCCTAGTTGCACATGTTCAGTGCTGTGCTAACCTGTGTTGATGACAGACCTGTTGTTAGTTGGTTTCCTTCAAATTTTGTGTAAACCATAGTGTGTGTGTAAAATACAGACTTTGCAAATAAACATGTTATTATGGGCACCAATTGGTGTTAAACTGGCCATTTTTTTTGCTCATTTTATTATACATTTAGTTCTTACAGACATCAACTGGCATTATTTTGACCTGTTTTTCCACTTGATTTTTGCATATTTGGTTGTTTTAGTGCAAGTATGTTTTTCCCTAGATATTCATGGTCAAACTTACACCTTGGCATTTTACTTTGTTTCTTCATGTATTTCCTATACTTTATTTTTAAATCTCTTTAGGAGAAGAAGCTCAGTTACAATCTAAATTTTTGTGGAGTATTGTCCCTTTACATTTCTCCTGTTACTTTTTTAACTAGCTTTGATACTTCTCCTTCACCAACATACTGTTTTTCTCTTTGATACTGACCACTTGCTGTTTTGTGTTTATCACTGTCCACTTACCTAACATTTTCTGACATCTGTAAGATTTTCTTCCCTTATAGTGAGTCATAGTGAGCCCTGCTGAGGGTAGAGAAGCTGATTCTGCTTTGCCACCTGAGGCGCACAGACACGTGGTAATAAAAATAACATAGAACGAGGCTGCAGAGCCCCGCACAGAGGAAAGCACTGTTGGATAAATGGCCATAAACAACACAACATAACTTGCAATAGTGCCCACACACTACTAGTTGATAAAACTCAGTGTGGCTTTCATGGGAAGAAGCAGGCCTACTCTGTGCAGCTGCTGCTGAAAGACTAGGAAAAAGTGTGATTTACAAACAATGCTTAAGGTCATCCCTAGCATCACTAGAAGCCCTGATTCTCTCCAATAGGCTTGCATTATTTTCTAGCAAATGAACCACATTTCATGGAGAACTTTGATTTTGTGATAATGTCCTGTGACACTCCCTTCTGACTGTTTTGTCTCCTTATAGAAAGAAACAACACCCTGCATTTTCAAACTGTTGATTATAAACTCTTAAATGTAGACCTCACATAATTGGGGTTCATCAATACACAGCCTTTTCAGTAAACAATGCCAGAAATTCAGGTGCGTTTTTCAGGCAATTTTATTTCATCTTCCTTTTTGCATCCTATGGACTTGTGACTCTCCGATGCCCTAATGAAACCCTGCTTTCTCTCAACATCTAGAATTCACAGACTAATTCTGATTTTTTTTCCCTAGCTTGAGGTATGGAATCAACTATTCTTCCAACAGGCAGTGGTTTCTCTTTTCAGAAAATTGCTTTAGAAGCCACAGGCACTAGGTCTACAAATAAGCTTGTTCCATATTCCAACTAGAATTTGTCAGGATGACAGCAAAAATATCCAAGAGCATAAATCACTGTAGGGACAGAACAGATAAAGTCTCCTTATAAAAAATGTCCATGGGTTCTTATTGACATTTCTAATTTACCTCTATTTTAATATGTTCTTTTGCCTTACTCTAATAAAAAGTTTATGAATCCATTTTTCAACTTTTGAGCAACTAATTTTTCTTGTTTTCATTAATGTTAACAATCACAAAAAGCCATATATTGTCATACCAAATCACAAGTCTAAATTTCACTGCCACCACCCCAAAATGCAGGCGGCTCATATCTTCTCTTCTTTCTTGACCGTCAGCTCAGCCATCCTGAAACCGGCTTTACAGTGTGCAGATCCCATCAATTCTTTGGTCAGCTTCATGTTAGCACCAATATCTGAAAGGAAGGAAGCCCCAGCTTCCATCTAGATGAACACCAAAGAAACTAACAGCTCAGAACACTCAGTATGATACATAGATACGCTGTTTGCTTAATAAAAGATAATAACAGGCCGGGCGCGGTGGCTCATGCCTGTAATCCCAGCACTTTGGGAGGCCCAGGTGGGTGGATCACCTGAGGTCAGGGGTTCAAGACCAGCCTGGCCAACATGGTGAAACCCCATCTCCACTAAAAATACAAAGAATTAGCTGGGCATGGTGGTGGGTGCCTGTAATCCCAGCTACTCGGAAGGCTGAGGCAGGAGAATCATTTGAACACGGAAGGTGAAGGTTACAGTGAGCCGAGGTTGCAATGAGCTGAGATTGCGTGCCATTGCACTCCAGCCTGGGTAACAAGAGAGAAACTCCGTCTCAAAAAAAAAAAAAAAAGGAAAAGAAAAAAAGGAAAAGGTAATAAAAGGTGAATCTAGACAAATACTACTTTTCAAAGTTTCAAAAATATTATCTGTCAATTTTCTCCATTTGAGCTCCCTAATTTGAATTTAGTTTATATTCTCTTTATATTTTTTCTCTTACTAGTGCCTTTGTATATTTATGGAGCACAAATTTTAGTAGTAAACTCTAGCTTCACAGAGGGCCATGGATATATACAGTGGTGCACTGGCACCAGCTTGTGCCAGCTGACGAGAGTCAATTGTGTGCTTCTCTTCCCAATTCTGCATCAAATTTGCCAATTAAAAGACAAATGGTAAACTCCAGAGAATCATGTTCATAGCTTGAAATCTGCATCATGGTCCGGGCGTGGTGGCTCATGCCTGTAATCTCCAGCACTTTAGGAGGCCGAGGCGGGTGGATCACCTGAGGTCCAGAGGTTGAGACCAGCCTGGCCAACATGGTGAATCCCTATCTCTACTAAAAATACAAAATTAGCCAGGCATGGTCGTGGGCACCTGTAATCCCAGCTACTTGGGAGGCTGAGGCAGGAGAATGGCTTGAACCCGGGAGGTGAAGATTGCAGTGAGCCAAGGTCGCACCTTTGCACTCCAGTCTGGGTAACAAGAGTGAAACTCCATCTCAAAAAAAAAAAAAAAAAAAAGGAAGGAAGGAATCTGCATTGTGGAAATATTTACACCATGGAAATTAGCAATCTCTATAAATTAGGCCTTTTTACCCAGAGACCCAGTTGTTGGGTATTTACGAGGAAAACTCTTTTTTCCCAAAATTTTTCCCAAAACCAGTCAAAACATCAGAACATAAAATCAGTTAACATCCAGAATTATCAGTCATATTCCAGATATTATGGTTGAGAATTCCCACTCAAGAAGTTTACACAGAGTAGCTTTTGGAGCTTTATGTAATTTTTGCAATATTTACTGGTAGTGCTCCTCAGAACCAATCCTTAAAAGATAAAAAATATAACTGGATTATAGCACCTTTTAGTTATAATATCCAAGGCACATTACATTTAGCTATTCACCCATTTCAAGTAATTGTCAGATAGTTTTGATTCATCCCCAGAAGGTTTTATTTCCACAACAGACAAACAGAGAATTCAGTAGTTTCTTGTTACTAACATTTCTGGGCTAATATCTAACTTTTTGCATGAATTAATATGCACTATACTCTCACCTCCACAATCATTCCATAGCAAATGTGTGTCTTCTGGATGATGTGGAAGAGAGAGCCCAGCAAGCACTATGGGCCTGGCTTTGCCAAAATCTAAAACAGGCCAAAGGGATATTAAATTTCTTATTTGGTGTGGGTTGGGCTGGGCCAGTAATTTGTTCTCACTTACAGTGGTCTGTCGTATGTTTCACCACCACCACCACCCTGCACCTCACCATGTTATTCCCAGGAATGTAATGGCCTCAGATATCCCATCATTGGAAACACTTCATAGTAGAGGTTACCATTTTGTTGTTTATTTAGCACCTGAATTTAGGCAAGAGAAACATTTCTACCTGAAGACTCCATGCAGTCAAATTTCCCTGCCTTTATATTGGAATTTCTACAGAGACCCATGGTCTCCCCAAGTGAGGAAGCCAGGGCACTCAGCCCTCACCCTCCAGCTGCCTTGGGACAGTACTTGCCTGATTCCTCTTTCTGGGGGCGTGGCACTCTGAGCTGTATCTCATCTGGATCTATCACTCTTCCTTCATACTCTGTGGCATTCTCTCTCATCCTAGCCCCATACCCTGAACAAGACTTCATCTGACATTGCCCCTATATTTTTACTTGCCTCTTAAACTTGGCTAGGAATGGTTGTGCCCACTCAAGGACACAGAGCCATGGCCTTGTTGGATCTTTGGGCATCCGACTGTGCTTGGCCACACCAGCTCCTAGCACAAGACTGTTCCTGATGCTCTTTCTTTCCTCTAATCTGACTTCCCCTCTACCCTAGTACTGTCCATTTTACATCCCTCCACATTCTGCAACATTCTATTTTCTTCTTCATTTTCCTACCTATTACTAAACAAAGGTTTGGGTGGAAGGACGTATTTCAACTCTTCCCCATTTTTCCCCAAGTCAGAAATCATCAGAAGCCACAAGAACAAGCCCAGATCCAAAACTGAACCCAAACAAGTATTTTTGTTTTCTAAGACATATAACCTTGAATATACCCCCAGGCTTTTCAACTATCTTTCACCTATCTCTTCAAACAAATATGTCCACCTAATATTGTTAACCGTTTATATATAGCTTTTAATTTGTTATTTCTTCAAACCAGGAATTATTTTAAATCTTTTTTTTTCCAAAAGGATAGTTTTATTTTTGGGATACCCTTTTACTTTGTTGTCATTTTTATTCTATTGCATTATAAGAAAAGTGTGAGACCTTATGGCTTCTGCTTATTGGGCAATATGCAATATAATATTGTGTGTTGTTAAAATTTATGCATAGTATATTATATTACATTTGCCATCTACTATTTGCTTTTCATGTTCCTTATTTTGTCCTCTAAATTTATCTATCTAATGTGTGTATGTCTGATTTGTTTTACCTTCTATTTAATATTTTTATTTATAAATATACCACAGGTGATTCACTCATTCTATTGGTGGACATTTTGGTAATTTCTCATGATCTCTCTCCTATTTTCAATGCCAAACAATGATTCCTTGAACAGATTTACGTGTACCTACTTTTTCTATGAATTCAAGTTTTCTCTAGGATGGGTGCCTAAAATTATTATTGCTTGATCACAGGTTGTACAATTTTCTGCTTTGCCAGTATCCCCAGATTGCAACCCAAAGGTGTCATAATAATTTATAAATTCTCATCAGTAGCTTATGAGAATTTTCCCCACATCTTTGCCAATACTTGATTTTTTTTATTTTTGCCACTTTGATGGTTGTATAACATCTTTTTTTTTTCCACATGTCCCTGGAGAAAGACATGTATCTTCAGATTGAAGAAACTTGAGTCCTGAAGAGAATAAATAAAAATAAATCTGTACTTAGTGACATTATAGTGAAACTTCAGAACACCAAAGACAAAGAGGAAAATCTTAAAAGCAACAAGGAGAAAACACAATTTACTTACCGTGGAAGGATAAGCAGACTGACAGCAGATCTCTCAGTGGCAATTATAGAGGTCAGAAGACAATGGGATGACATCTTCAAAGTACTAATGGGCAGGAAAACCTGTCAAACTACAATTCTATATGCAGCTGTTCAACCCACAGTTATTCCCCCAGTGGTTGTATCTGTGCATCCCCAATTGGCCTCCCTCCTTTCTTCACAAATGGATACTGCTCCTTGACCAAGAGGGTGAGAGGTGTCTGAAGGGTGGCAATCCCAGCCCCTCCCTCTCTTTATGATATTCCCTCAGAAAACATATTTCCATCTAGGTGTGCTAAACCTTTAGATTATAATTTTTTTCTTAGCCATCAGGATGCTGCAGGGATAAATTAAAACTTTCATTTCCCTCGGTTTGTACAATTGCGCTGTGGGGGAGGCAAGTCAGTCATTAATTAAGAAACTGAGGCACAGATGGGTTAAATGACTTTCCCAAACTCACACAGCTAGTGAGAAATAAAACCATGTCTCAGCCCAGTTTTTGTTACATAACTCCATGTCTTTTCCAAGATTGCAGTGTTCTTGCCCATTTTCCTGACACTTTCTTTGAGCCAATACTCTCAAAATGCCAACAACTGGAAGGTGTATTAATTTACTAAATTTGCTCTTATGGGAAGGTATTAAAATTAAGCAAAATAATCAAGATTTAGGCCATAAGTTAAGAAGAAATATCAAGAAATTGAGTGTATGTTTACAAATCAGATGATTTCTTTTAAAAATAAAAAAAAGAAATTATGAAAGAATTAAATTAGTGGGGAGATAAACCTTGTCATGGATCAGAAGAGTTGTTATGTTTAAAAAGTCAGTTCTTCATAAATTGATCTCCAGATCCAATGCAATTCTGATAGAAATTCCAACTGGCATTTTGGTAGAAATTTACAAGTTGATTCTACCATTTATATGGCAATGTCAATGATCAAGAATAATAAAAGAGCAATATTATAAAAGAAAAAATCAAGATATGTATCAGATTATACTGAGAGGCGAATATACTCCAATGAAATCTTACTTTATAAATATTAACTGTAGATAATCCTATATAGAAATACCCATAGAAATATTGCTCAGGGCAGAGGAAAAATGATTTGTAACATCCAAGGATTTTTGATTAGTTGATTGTTTTGTGAAAGCAATTTTTTGTTAGCTTAAGTAGGACCAGGCACCTTGATCATGAGAGTTACTCTGTGGAATAGTGGCAAGGGTTCTTGTGGAAGATCTGACATTGTGTCATCTACTTCTAGATACTCTGAATAATGAAGGCAGAAGACTGCAGTGCATCCAAAATTCACTGGTCACAGAGGAAGGACTCTGCCTATTTCTTTTGCTCTAAATGGATGGCATTAGTTTGCACTTGGTCCTAGGCTAGCACAGGGTCTCTGGCTGCAGCCCTTCAAGTGCTTTATTTCCCACTAGGAAGAAAGTCATATTTTTGCCTAAATCACAGATGAAATTATTGAATAACTGATTGAGCTGGAGGGCAAAACCAACCTGAAAGTTTTAGGACAGGGGTCAGCAACTTACTGCAAATCTTACAGTATACGGAACCTTTTGTGTAAAAGTTGATACTGTGTACATCTTAAGAAAGAGAATGAGATATTTACTTTGATAATAATGACTTTTCTTACTATTATAATTATCTTTTTTAAATGAATTACAAAAATGGGACATTTCTAGGCAAAGTCTGTTTGTTGTAGCAGAGTAGAAAGTAAGCCAAGTCCATACTCTGCCAAATCAATAGCATGATGGCTTAAAAAGTAGATCAGAGGGGGATTTAAGGCCATGGTTTCAAGACTGTTTCCATACATTCCAGAAAACAACAGTTGTCCATATCAAATAATTGGGGGGAGAAATGAGGGACAACATCAAGGTGTAAAGCCATGGTTCTTGCTCTTATGAGGTTTACATTCTAGTGGTGGAGACAAGTAATAATCAAGTACACAAATAAGTATAAGAGCAAATGCAAATAGTGAATAGTGCTATGAACATGTGAATAAGCAACTTTTTTTGTTTTACTGTATGAGCTCTATCTACATGCAAGCTTTATGCTAATTGCTTAATGTGTTTGTTTTTAATTTGTCTTCACTTGTAAAATGAAGCTTAGAGACCTTCATTCCCTTGTCCAAGATCACACAAGTAATAACCTTCAAACAGGAATTCCACTAGAGGGATGTCTGTTTCCAGGTTGCTTTCTCTGAACCACCTTACATACCACCTCTCCCAGTGATGGAGAAGCAATAGCTGCTGTGGTCAACTCCTATTTCTGGTGAGAATGTGAGAGCTAGCCTGATTCCATACCTTTAGTCCAGACCCACCCTCCTCCCATACCCACTCACCACCACAAGACCATCAACCAATTAAAATGAGCACTTGTCAACACAGGTTATGCGCAATGTACCTGTGATTCTTGGTATCAAGCCCCATGTGGGTGGAAGAGATAGTAGCATAAGAGGAGAAGACGGTATTATACACTTAGGTGTGCTCACCTGTCCTCTGAGGTAGTTGCATGAGTTTTGGCATCAAAAGTTATGGTTCGGACACTCTGCTTTTTAGTCGGACATTTTCATTTTTGAGTCTTTACATACTCAGTAAAACCCTAAATGACTTTATCTTTAATACTGTTTCATTTTTTACCCAGTCAGCAAATATTAACCCTGTTGGCCAGCAACACTTGTGATGAGTAGACTTGCCCATGAATTTAGGAGCAGACACTTTCATTTTTATCTTTTAAATATATTACAAATATAAAAGTGTTTAGTGCTGCAGGGTTCCATGAAAGGGGCTCCAAAAGAAAAAGCATTAAGAGTGAAGAGCAAAAGTTGGTTAGTCCCTTAAAAAACTTTAAACGGGGGCTCAGATTTTAAGACAAAATAAATTCTATATTCACATACACACACAAGCCTGATTTTTCCCCTGTATAAAAAATGTCCTGGTATAACAAAACTGGCTGTTGCATTCCCTGTATGAGAAAGTCACTATATAACATTGTTCTAAATTAGTTCTATCCTAATGGTGGCTTTAATGTTTAGAATATACAGCTGTCTGGCCAGGCATTGTGGCTCACACCTATAATCCCAGCACTTTGGGAGGCTGAGGCGGGAGGATTAACTTGAGGCCAGGAGTTCAAGGCGAACCTGGCTAACATGGTGAATCCCTGTCTCTACTAAAAATACAAAAAATTCGCTGGGTGTGGTGGCACACACCCATAATCCCAGCTCCTCGGGAGCTGAGGCATGAGAATTGCTTGAGCCTGGGAGGCAGAGGTTGTTGCAGTGAGCCGAGATTGTGCCACTGCACTCCAGCCTGAGTAACAGAGCAAGACTCTGTCAAAAAGAAAAAAAAAAAAGAATATAGAGCTGCCTTAAGAAGCAGCTTTATAAAGCCTTGTTGGGTGAGATATGTACACTAAAGTTTTTTCATTTTCACAGACAACTTGAGTTTTTCAAGTCAGAAGGGAGAAGAAATTAACGTGAATTGCCAGCCAAACCTCTTGCATGGGCAAAGACCATCCTGAGGTTTACTGTATCAGGAGCCATGACCTCCTGTCAGCATGATTTTTGAGCAAGGAGACATACGGAATTGAAGGGAGGAAACCCACCTTTCCCAAAACACAAGAAGCGGTAGAAAGAAGAAAGCTACAAAAAGTAAAAAGGGAAGACCAATCTCTTTTCCTCTGTCTCTCTCTTCTCTCTCTCTCTGTCTCTCTCTCTCTCTCTCTCATACACACACACACACATACACACACACACACACACACTCATGAACACATTTGGTACTTTGGTACCAGATGTTCCCTCCTCCTTCTCTGGACTGCAGAAATTCTCTTATTAGGACCCCAAGAGCTCACCAAAAAGAAACTTAGACCAGAAGAGGAAAAGTGTCACAAGAGAAGCTGTGTTCAAGTAGACTGAGGACTTTTGAAGACTTAAAAACAATGCAAGCAATAGTAAGTTAAAATTGTAGGTGAACACAAGTTAAGGAAGCAGATTCAGCAGTGATAGAACTTATCCAACATAATCTAATGTAACTGTGTCATCAGGCCATTTGGGAATTAGAGAGACTTGGAGACAGAATGCACTTGGCTATGGGTCAGCACACTTATCAGGGGTCATTGCTGGTGGCTTGATGGTGGGAAACTGCATAAGTCAGAGCAGAGCTGGTTTGGGAAAAATCAGAGTTAGCAGCCAGGGACAAGATCTGGAGAGAGAAAGCAGTGAAGAGGGTATAAAGTCCAGAGCAATAAGAATATGGAAAGGTTGTTAAGTAGCTCTGCTACAAATCTATAAACCAAGATCTTCTTGGTTTAAATTTAAGTTGTAAAAAAAAAAAAAAAAACAGATGTCATGATCAGAGATGTACGCATTGAGGTGAAGAAAGAGATGGAAGATAGGAGTTAGAAGAAGAGAAAGAGGTGGCAGTACAGATTGTTTGGAGGGGCATGGGGAGGCTGCAGTAAATAGAAGGCTGTGGTCTCTTTCTGCCCCTAACTGCTCCTGCCCCAGCCCCTACCTACTGAGGCAGTGAGCAAATCAGATAAGATCTCAAGTCTCAGAAAGAAGCTGCGGTTTAGGAAAATAATGCAGTTGTAGTAATGAATAAATATACTAGACAGCTGAAAGCACTTGATCTTTGAGTCAGAGGAGAAAACGCATAGAAAAGGAAATGAACTAGATGATTTGAAAATAAAGAGTCAACTGGCAGATTACCATGGTAAAAAGATGAAAAGTTAGGGTCATCAGACAATGCCAAAACCCACATTAACAAGAATTGGAAAAAAAAAAAAAAAAAAGATGCCATTTATAGTCTAAGCCAAATAATGAAGTGTCAGCAAGGCATCAGCTGGAAGAAAAAAATTTTAAACTTGGAAAATGATTTTTTAACTGCTGCCAGCCACCAAAGCTCTAGTTGAAAATAAATGCAAAATCTGGCAGCTGGTAGTAGAGATCCTTAATGATCTCCATGAGCAGAAAACTAAGGCTTTGCTAAAAGATCTGACTCAGAAAGCTCATAAGCCCCAAGAGAAAGAACAGAAGCTGTCAGCTACAGGAGAAAGGGATGTTCACAAAGAATTCAAGAAACGCAGGGTGAATTATAGTAAAAAGAGATTACGTAAAAATCTGTTGAATCTCCATGAGAACAAAAACAGGGCAGGATACCAGGCTTTTTCTTCTTCCTGCATCAAGATTTCTTCCTGGAGAGAATAGAGATGCTGCCTTCCTAAGACAAAAATTACAGGTAGCAAACCCAAAGATTGATGTACTTAAGAGATCAAAGAAATAAAATCAAATCCAGGAAGATCCACTAAATAACTTCCATCCATAAGAGGTCCTAGAAGCCAGCCTGGCTCCCATAGGATGCCCCTGTGAGTGCTGAGGTGTTCTAATCCCCACTATGCCATCCATCTGTACTTGTTAGGAAAGAGGTCTGCCTAGCAGTGAATTGGTTGTGAATGGACTTCCACCTTGGAAGAGAAGGATATATAAGGTGTAAAGAAAAACTTTACCCTTTGATCTGCATGTAAACATGATTGAATTAATAGTCAGAATGTCTATTGAGTCCCACTTTCTCTGAATGACTGCCCAACTCTCCTTGATGGTGGATGCAATAGGATTATCTCCATTGCATCATTAATCAAGTAGAACTGCCTGGAGGTAGCATGGGCCACCACCTGAGCCAGGGAAGTATTTTCAGTGTATTTCAGAGACACTGTAATATTGACCCTGGTATGGTTTCATTAATAGAGAATGGCCCAAGAGCTCTTTCTTTCTGCATGAAGGGTAGATTTGGTTAATGTCGATGTAAATAACTTCCCATCTTTATCAGAAATACGCATCATTAACTCATCACAGGAAGGACTTCCACCACCATCAGTCACCTTCTCAAACATGGACCCAGACTTTCTTCCTCACCCTTACTTCCTGGTGATTTTAAACCTCCTAACTAAAGGACCAACATCCCTGCTGAAGAAACTTAGGAAACTCACACTCTCTTGATCCAAGAGAAAACTTTCTTTCTAGACCCCAGTAACTTGGCATTATTTACCTTTCCCTCTACAAAATCCTTGCACCTTTTGGGTTCTAGGGAGGAGCCCACCAGCCTCTCCAGATACCACTACTGGGTCCCACAGATCCCCAGCCTGAAGTTGTGAATTGACTCTTAAGAGAGTGCATATGCTTCGAAATCCAATATGAATGTTGGTAATTAGATTTAATACTTTTTTAGAACTTAATTTTATTAAGAGATCTTTTTGAGCCAAATGATCAAATTATGATAGATAACTGATTTGCTATGAAGTAAGGCCACTACTTAAGCTGTAGCTTCCTGTTTTCTCCCCTCTCCTCAAACCTATTTTATGTTTACCAATGTCGTTTATATGTCAATGTACCTTATGCAACAGAAATTGATTTTAGTGCCATGTAAAATATAATACTTTTACATAAATTTGTTTAAAACTAAAAATATAGGAATAATTATCAGGACTGTTTCCTCATCTGTGTTCTTCTGCTCACCTGTACTTTGGATAAACCCAGTCAGTTGATCAAAGTCAAAGCACTGAACTTGATGGTAGTAAACTGTTGCCTAAGAGGAAATGAGTAGTCACTGAAATACCAGTCAATTAAACTCAAACCTATGATATCAAATAGTACACTCTTTAATTCAGTAAACCATTTAGAAAACCACTAACACAAGGATTCTATCAATATTTGTTGCATTCGTGAAAATGTAGTCAGACTCTTTTTGTTCCAGTGGAATCCTTTATCTATATGAAGTCAGAAGTCAACATAGACACTAAACATTACTTTTGTTGATGTGAAGGTGTGGCCTGGAGTCCTGCTGGCTCTACCTTCCTCTTATCTCATACAGTGGGATCTCCAAGTACCCCAGGGTACTCTAAACCAATCTCTGTTTAGAAAATTCTAGGCTGCCGCATCATGGTAGTAAGGTAAAGGTCATGGTTTCAGTGGCCATGGGGGTCATGACAACCTCTCTCATTTCCCATTTACAAACACAAAGCATCCTGTGATGTAAGGTGAATGCATAGTTGATGCTCAACAAGAAGAAGTTATTTTATCACTCCCCTTACCCAACCATCCCTGCAAGTGTATACCTCTACTACAATAGAAAGAGTGAGTATGCAAATTCTCTCCAAGTAACAACTGCACACCTGACCCTTGGGTCAACAGTATCATCTTTGCCCACTAAGGACACTTCCTTTTATTCAAGCAGAGATACTAAGTACCTGGTAATGGTGTTATTAGCTGGACAGAGACATGTGTGATGGAGTCAGGCAGGAAGCCCTCCCAGGGCCCCTCCAGCCCTGAGTTTCCACGTTCTCTGGTGTAAGCACAGCAGCCTAGATGGACAGGGAGCAAATTACTGTCTCAGAGTACAGGTCCATCTCCCTGTAATCTGTTGGAATTTTTACAGCTTCCCTTCATCAAAATTTCCTCATGAATCTTTATTTGCTGGGAAAATTAGACTCTGCATTTCTTTCTCCAACTCTTATTCCTTCCACCTGAAACCATATGAGCCTCAAGTTTAGATCTGGGATTTAGATCTAAATATGAAGTTGTAGGCAAAACTGTAGTGGCAAAATGTTATCTTGAATTTTAAATAAATGAATAAAAATATAAATTCATCTGGAGAAAGAATTATATAGGTCATTTCAAAGATGTGAGTTGAAATGATTTCTTTATAACTCTCTCTCCCATCCTCATGCCTCTGACCCCAACACCATCACCCACATTGTGAACAGGCCACCTCATCTCCTACTTTACAGAGGAAATCAAAACCACAGGCAGAAAATGCCTCAAGGTCCTGCTACTAAGTCTGCAAATCCACCAGAATCTATACTCTCCTTTTCTCCTTCCCTCTTTTCCAGTGAAAAGGCACCCCTGCTCCATGCCTGATCCTCTCATCTGAGCCTGATTTGGCCCCCTCAACTCCTCAGCTGCTGGCTCCATCAGTGATCCACTCCTCCTTCTTCACACACCCACTGTGCCACCGCCCTCCCCGCAGCACTTTCACATGCTCAGGTGCCTCCTCAGTAAGTGCAACACTCCAGCCCTTGCCCTACTCCTCTGCCTTCCTTCGTGGTCAAGCCTAGTGGAGAAAATTGCATCTACAATTGCAAATTTCTGTTCCTCGCCTCCCATTTACTTCACACAGAGAGTATCCTACACGGTCGCCAACAGTTCCTTGTTGCTAAAAACAACAGACACCTTTGACTTCTTAAAAATATCTGAACTTTTGAAAAAATATTCCTATAAAAAACAACAAACAAACATTCATTCCGTCAACAAGTGTTTATTGGTTCTTACTAGTGTCAGGAATGTGGGGGGAGGGGGAACTGTAGTAAGTAAACAGGTGTTGGCAATCATGGAGTTTACGTTAGGAGGGGAAAAGAGCCAAGCATTAAACAAGTAAATAAATGAATAGAATAGTTCCAGAGGGTGACAAGTGCTATGAAGACAACCAAACTTAGAGTGATCAAATAGAGTAACTATGGAAACAGCACCGAGTTTTCAAGGGAAGCACCTCTGAGACGATATTTGAGCAGAAGGCACCTGGCCAAGATCTTGGACCAGAGTATCACATGCGGAATGAAGAGCAAGAACAGAGTTCCAAGGTGGGCACAAGCACTGAGAATATATCACAACATACCATTTATACGCACAAAAAGAAAAAATAGAAAGAAGGCAAGAAAGTGTAGTCTTGCTGGGTAGGGAAAGAGCTTCTGAATCAAAAGCAGAGTGAACCAAGCCTGGAAGAACAATGAACCTTGTCCCCTGTGGGCTAGGGCATGGCCTCTCCTCCCTTCCACTGGCCTCCTAAGTAGAAAAGCGCTGGAAAGGTTGGGGAGGAGTGTGCAGAAGGATTCATTGCCTGCATCTTTTCACTCTTCAATCCCGACTTTGGGAGCCAATAAACAATGTAGCTAAGTTTGGGCCCAAAACAAGCCAGGAAGACTCCTAGAGTAATCCCAGCTGGAATTTGAATAGAGATGGATTCACTCCAACCCCTCTTCTCCCACCACCCCAACTCTGGGCTGAATAGGGAAAGCAGTCCAAAAGGGGCTCCTGCAAGGCCGTTGCTGAGGATACAGTGCAGCCCTAAGTCAAGGCCAGGCCCCTGAAGGGGGTGTGTCAGCATACAGTCATCTCATGATCAGCTTCAGTGGTCAGGCTCCTCAGGGACTTGGAGAAGTCCCGAGTATTTTTGTGTGAGAGAGAAAATGAGAGCCCATAGACATTCTCTGAAAGCTAAGTTTCCCAACATACACACACACACACACACACACACACACACACACACACACACACACACACGCACACACCAGTCCACAGGAGCACAAGGTGATCTAAGGATCCTCAACTTGACCCAGGGGAAAACTCCCTCCCCACAGCATGTGTTTGTGTGTAGGGGATGTGGTAGATCCTGGTGGAGTGAGGATCGGGGTTAGTTCCTATGGCCCTGACCAATAGCCTATACTAAAGATCAAAGTCCTCCATAAGAGTTTTGGGCTACAGATAGTGGGAGAAAAACAGAGAGAAGAGATGGGAAGTCAATGCCCAACCCTGTCCCATCATAATTGGGTTCAGACCCCTCACATCAGGAAATGGCCTCCTACACAGAGAGAGAAATCTTGGACTGCTTAACCTCCTATAACTCACCCCTTTCCACACTTAACTCTCTTCTCCCCCAAGGCAAAGCTCCTGTCCTATTTTTCCTGATCTCACTCCACCATCAGATGAAAATGTGGAGAGGCCAGCCAGGGAAAGCACTGGGGGGACCAGGCCTCAGACTTTCCCAGGAATTAGGGGGTTAGATGTGGAAATAGGAACTCTGAGCACCACTTCTGGTGGTGAAGTGCCATGAGGCCATGAGCCTGTGTCCCGAGGTGGGGTAGGGTCGGGGGGAAGCAGCCCTGTATCTAGGATCATTTGGGAGAGGAGCTGGGGGTAGGGCATTGTGGTTGAAGCCAGATAACATTCCCAAGGTCACACAATTCGAAAGCAGTCAATTCTAGAGTTGGGATAGTTCAGATGGGCTGAGCAAGGCTCAAAGGCAGTGCCTTCGAGGACTTGCTCTCACCCCAGCTGGGCCAGGAGGAGATGTTCAAAAAGCCTCATGTAAGGTTGGAGACAAGGGCCTGAGGAGTGGGAGAGAGCTGCTTTTCAGGCCTTTTCTCTCTGCTTCTGACATAATTCGTTGGCTACATCTGACACATGGATTTAGACAACTCCTACACTCTCTAGGGATTTCTTTGCATCTCTGGATCATATGGAAGCCTAATATCTTACTCAGAAAATAACTTGGATCTTCCCCAGAGCCAATTATGGCTCTGACTATGGGCTGGCACAGGGAACTAATTAAGGAAACCAAATGGCACAGAGAAAGAGAGAAACCCAGATAGAGATTAATTACAAAGGAGAAAGTCAAAAATTAAAAGTTGAGCTCAGCAACAGCATGCCAGGGATAGAAGGGAATATTTGGAGGACAACATGTGGGTTGGCACTTGAGCCACCCTGACCCTGAGCCATGAAAGACCCTGGAGGCCTGTGCATATCCTGGAGAAGAAAGGACTGCAGGTGAAACAAAAAGAACTGTGCATTGAGCTCTAGAGCCTGCGGGTGCTGCTGGAACCCCCTGACTGGAGTACAACACACAGAGATAGCCCTGCTCACCTCCAGGCAGGCTGCCCTGAGGCCCCCATGCCATGGGGACCATGAGCATCAGCAGTTGCCACATCAGCAGGTGTTTGCCCCTGCATAATATTTGAAGCCAGATAACTTCATCCAGGGGTAGATGGGTTGTGAAGCAATGAGTCCAGGAGCCGAGGTTGTTCATTCAGTTTAAACTCCTCCTTGGTCACTTCTTCTTTGGGGTTGGCCTGATCTTCCTTTTCAATCTGGTTTACAAAGAGAAAAAGAAAAACACATGACATAGGTAGGTGATGTATACTCTCTCTCTTTCTCTGTGTTCAGTTAGTATAATTGTGGATTTTGAGACTACCTTTGAGGTTATTCTGCAAAATCCTTCTCTTTAATTTCTTAATTCTGGTAGTCTCTGGCCAAAAATAATATGATATTTTTTTCTTGGCCCGAGCCTAGGAAAGATATTCTTTAAGAGTTCTATTTTATGTATGATAATTATTGCTTTTCTGGTTAATCATTGTAGATAATTTTGAAACATAGAAAAACACAAAGGAAATTAAAGTACACCCACTCCTGGAAAAAATATTTTACTACTTATAGACGTAAAGATGTGAATGTACATACATATACACATAGAGTATATGCACTTATAAAATTGTGAACATACTGACATGTTTCCACTTTGATGAGGGAACAAATCGTGTTCAAGAAGGAGATAAACAACATCCAATAAAGACATTAGACATTATAAATATGTGGCCCAGACAAGCATTGCCTGCAAGCTTACCCAACTGAAATGTTGTGTGATATCAGCTTTAATTTATTTAGATAGCAGAACTCTATGTGACTGCCTTTGAAATGAGGCTATGTCAAATAGTTTCAGTGCATCATCAAAGTTCTTAGTTTAAAAAACAAATACACAAAAAACAAAATGCATGCATTAGGAATGTCACATAATTTTATTCTAGAGACAAAACTTATGAGGATCACAGCTTTTGTGTAATTTGGAAAGTTTTTAATATTAGAAATAAAATTTATACTCAGATATTAGCAATACCATTTTTAAAATCCCAAATGATGTATCACGCTAGCAAAGCTGATACCCTTCAAACTGGATTGAGGATACCAGAAAAAAATAAATGCAGAAATATGTTATTAAAACTTGTAGAGTGAATTGTAGCCTGAAAGGTTGGAACACATCCCTTGAAATTTGAGGAAGGAATCTCTTTACACTTTCTGGATTGCCTGTATGACCTCCAGACATGTGGCAGCCTGCATGTTTTCGAACTCCCCATAGATACTGCTGAATATAAAACCCAGGTGCTGAGACTAGCACGGAGGCCCACAGATCCCAGGCATCACCCTCAGCAAGTATCTCTGCAATCAGCCACTGTGGCATCCTAGGTAATATGAGCATCTAATTTTCTAATTGGCATTTTACTAGCAATAGCAGCCACATTGATGGTAATGGGGATGACCAGTTTATATAGCAACAGCCCTGAACTCCCAATCAACCAGGGAAGGCAATTGAGTTGGAGATAATATGCTAGTAGATAGGGTTAAGTGACACAATGTATTCATTAAATAATTGTTCCAATAATATCCACTTACCTAGTCCTATAATATGATGAACTAATGAAATAGATAATACCCTCATTTTACAGATGGGAAAAATGTGACTTAGAATAAGTACTTAAGACACAGGAAATCCACAGGCAGCAGAGCTCAGATTCAAACCTTTTCAATTCATGCCTTTTTTTTTCCATTTTAATTTCCAATTGTTGGAATGATGCCAGAGCCCTTACCCTTCTCACTGTGCCAGACTGACTGCAAGTGTATTTATAGGGCTCATTCAGTCAACATCATCAGCCAGGCCCTGAGTGAGGCCCTGGGGGGATGAGTGTAAGATTCTCTGACCCTGACTTATGCACACTCCATCCAGCAAGGAAGATGGACAAGTAAGTGATGATCAGCAAAGATGTCCAAATTATAGCAGTGGAAGTATCAAGGGAGCTCACAGAAAGGGCGACCATCTGCTCAGCAAGAAGTGTGAAGGCTCTTAAGTCAGAGGGCTATGCCAGGACCCCTTATCACTGCCAATAATGATGACTCTTTAGACTCTGCTTCCACAAAATACCCCACATCAATCACCCTGACAAACCCAAAACAGGAAAATAACAGGTCACTAGTACACAAAAGTCATGTCCTATATAAAATGCTCTAGTCATCGTATTGTAGCACAGCTTTGAAAGGTTAAATTATAAAGACTGCCCACATAGCTGAATAGAGGAAACAGATAATTCAGGGCCATGTAGGGTTTGAGAAGAAAGTGCCATAGTCTTTGGTCCACACATGGACAACTACCACATGACTGTTCTTCAAGATGTTAACTCCCTCCAAGACTGAGATTGTCCCCAAATGTGAACTGAAATTGAATCCACCTTGTAAATCCAATCCCTAGAGCTTTGGTAACCATCTCTCATAACCATTAAGATGACATTAGGCAATTTTGAACAATTACCACCATAGTAATTCTAATAGTATTTAGGACCTCTGTGATTTTTTACATCCAAAGAATGCTCGTGCCAATTTTCTATTTTGATGATACAGTACATCAGTCAATAGGCCATGAGGAAAGTTGAGCCATATCTTGAAATAAGGATATAAAGAAAGCACAGGAATAAACTAACAACCTAACCTAAGCATCTTGTGTTATTAGGCTTGGGCCTTCAGGCTGTAATCCCTTGTAATAAGCCAGAGAGCCAATTTGGCAAGAATTTAATCTTGTTAAAATATTTCTCTAAAAATTAAATGTTTTGAACAAAATAGCAGTTCGAAACATATACAAAAAATAGGCATACAGATTGAAAAGAAAAATATCAAACCGTCTCTATTCAAAGACAACATAATTTGCAGTATAGAAAACCCTAGAGTCTACCACAAAAAATCTAGAATAGGTAAGTTTAGCAAAATCACAGGATACATGATCAATATACAAAATTCACTTATATTTTTGTATACTAGCAATGAACAATTAGAAATCAAAATTGAAAAAGAATGCTATTTTTGATATCACCAAAAAGCATAAAATCTTAGGTACAAACCAAACAAAATATGTGCAAGATCTATGTACTAGAAACTACAAAACAAAAAAAGACCTAAATAAATAGAGAGATATACCATGTTCATGAATTATCAGACTCAGTATTGTTATAGTTTTCCCCAAATTGATTTATAAGGTCAACACAGCTCCTTTCAAAATCCTACCATAATATATTGTAGAATCTGACACAATGAAAATTTATATGGAAAAGTAAAAAAACTCGAATAATTTTTTACCAGAACAATTTTTTTAAATGAAGAACAATGTTGGAGAATTCACACTAACTGATTTCAATACTTACTACTAAGCTACAGTAATAAAGTATGGCTTTGGTGAAAGGAAAGATATATAAATTAATAGAAAAAATAGAAAGTCTAGAAATAAACCCATAAATATATGATCAACTGATTTTTGGCCAAATTGCAAAGGTAATTCAGTGGAGAAACTTTTCAACAAATGATGTTGAAATAATTACAAAAAAATTGAGCCATATGCAAACCATATACAAAAAAATTGAACCTCAATTCATACGTCACACCATTACAAAAAATTAACTTAAAATGGATAATACTGTAAAAGTAAAACCTAGAATTTAAAATTTCTACAAGAAAATATCTTTGTGACCTTGAATTAGAAAAAGATTTCTTAAATACAACACAAAAAGTATGACCCTGCTGGGGGTCCCTGGGGAACAGTGTAGACCTGTACATCAGTATCTCATCTGTATCTCATCAGAGAGGTGAAGAAACTGGGGTATCAAAAATAAAAAATAATAATTTTTTATTTTTAAAGACCAGTGTGATAGTAAAATTTGATAAATTTGACTTTGTCAAAACTTTGGCTCTTCACAAAACACTGTGAATAAAATAAAAAGGCAAGTCACAGACCTGGAGAAAATGCTTGCAAAACATATTGTTTATAAATGTCTTGTATCTAGAATATTTTTAGACCCCTCAAAATACAATAATAAAACAATCCGATTTTTATATGTAGAAGATTTAAGCAGAGATTTCACCAAATAAGTGTCTTTAGTGGATTATCTTTATACTCATTAAAAGATGCTCAACTTCACTAGTCATTAGGAAAATGCAAAATTAAAACTACAATGAATACCATTACATACCTATCAGAATGAATAAAATTTTTAAAGCTGATAGTACCAAGTGTTAACAATAAGCCCAGGTTACTGGTAGGAATGAAAAATGTTACAACTTCTTTGGAAAATAATTTAGCTGTTTCTTAGAAGTTTAAACAAATAACTACCATATTACCCAGCATTACCAGTCCCAATTATTTACCCAATAGAAAGGAAAACTTATGTTCACATAATGTTCACAGCTTTATTCATAATCACCAAAACTGGAAACAAACATCTTTCAACCGGTGAGTAGCAAACTGTGGCATGTGAATCCATATATATATATATATACACACACACACACAAACACTCTCACACACATATGTGCACGTATGTATATACATATATGCACATACATATAAACATACACATATATAGAGAGAGACTATATGGATGCATATGTATATATACTATATACATATATACTGTATAGGGATGCCTGTATATATAGTTGTGTTCATCCAAGGCTGGGGTTTTCCCAGGGGTATAAGACAGATATTCAGAAGGCAAGGGATTCTAGGGTATTTGTGAAAGAGATTAAAATGTTGGGGCCAGGCGCGGTGGCTTATGCCTGTAATCCCAGCACTTTGAAAGTCCGAGGTGGGCAGATCATGAGGTCAGGAGTTCAAGACCAGCCTGACCAACATAGTGAAAGCCCTCTCTACTAAAAATACAAAAATTAGCCAGGCATGGTGGCGCATGCCTGTAATCCCAGCTACTCAGGAGGCTGAGGCAGGAGAATCACTTGAACCCAGAAGGCAGAGGTTGCAGTGAGCCGAGATCATGCCATTGCACTCCAGCCTGGGCAACAGAGTGAGACTCCGTCTCAAAAAAAAAAAAAAAATGCAACAATATGGTTCAAAAGCACTATGTTAAGTAAAAGAAGCCAGGCTCAAAAGGCTATAATATTACATAATTCCACTTATATGGAATCTTAGAAAAGGCAAAAGTTAGGGACAGAAGATAGGTCAGTGGTTACTATGGGCTGGGGAGTTGACTGCATAGGTGAAATATAAGGAAATTTTGAAGGGTAATGAAAATATTCTATATCTTACTTGTGGCAGTAGTCACAGGACTATGTGCGTAGAAATGTATGCCAAAAGAGTTTAATTTTACCACATGTAAATTATACTTCAGTAAGCCTGATACATATGAAGTATGTGTGTGAGCATATAAACTACACATGCATACATGACACTTTTGAGGTACATGCTTCCTTTTTTGTCTGAATGCATGCAATTGAACTATAACTGCCCAAAGGAAACTGCTTAGTGATAGGATAAACACAATTCTGCTTATACCCAGCTACTATCGTCCTGCTGTGTGCTGTTCTCCAGTGATGCTTAGCTGCCCAAAAACAAACATGGTGAAGCCAGTTAGCTGGGTTCATCAAAGGCTGGGGTTTTCCCAGGGGTGTAAGACAAATATTCAGAAGGCAGGGGATTCTAGGGTATTTGTGAACGACATTAAAATGTTGGGATATCATTTCTAATTTGGAAAGCGAGGAAAGTGGAGTCTGATAGATGGAGATAAAAATGGAGGAGTCAGAACACTGGAGGCACATGGTAAAGTTTAAGAACAGTTGCTGTGAGGGCATTTGGCAAACAAGTTGGAAGAGAAGCAGAGTGTGGATGTGGAGTTGTGTGATTCCACTGATAATTTCAGAGGTGGCAATCTGTTTCCTTTCATTGGAGAAGGAGCTCCTTAAGAACAAATGATTTATATACAGCTCTGTTGAGCTCAGCTCAGCCAGCCCTAACTACTGCCTAGAAGCCTGGTCTCTAACATTCCAGGTGTACCCTAACCTTCTCAAACTTCTAGCTCGCTCATTCTCGGGCATGACCTCTATCTTAATGCCTATTAATGGGTCTCTCTCTACTTTGCACAATCTAACAGCTTTTCTTGTTCCCATCAAAGGCCAATCCCTCCATATGTGCTATGGAGGAGACTTATTTTATCAACTACCTCCATTCCCTCTACTTTGTTTCTAGCTTGATCTCAATCCTGCACCCCTTCCCATCAGAAAGTCAAATTGGCCAGCATTTATATGCAGGGGAAAATTGGAAGTTACAATGTGCTTAGGTTTCCAACTTGGGGGATTAGTTGGACAGCTGTGTTATTTGCTGAGATAGCAAACAAAAAGAAGAACAAGTTTTGTAGGAAAGAAATCAAGTGTAGACAGATTAGGTTTTCCAACATCAAATTGATCTGCTGAGTGAATAGGCTCACATATTAATGTCAATGATGAATTAAGGTTTAGAAGTCATCACACGTGAGTCATAATTAAAACCACAAGAGAAGGCAAAATCATATAAGCAGAGAGCTCAGTAGGGAACCCTAGGGGACCTCAAGGTTGAGCAATTGGCAGAAAAGGAAGCACTCACAAGAAGATGAAGAAGGAAAGTTCCTGCAGAGAAAAGGAAGAAGAGAGTCACAGAAACCAAGAGAACAGAGAGTTTAAAGACTGAATGAGAGAACAGCCCAACAAATCCAACAGAAAGCACCACTGATATACAGATTGGGTTCAGCACTCATTAGGAAAAGCAGCATGAAGGCCACAGGTAACCATTAGAGCAAACACTACTGGTGCCTTGCCCATAACCCCTTGCCCTTACCACTCTTGTGCTCAGCCCCACTTCCAGGTGCCAGCACTTGCCTTTCTTTTCCTGAGGGCTTTTATCTTGCTGCTGCAGTCCACTTTGCCATCTCCTTAACAAGCTAGACGTGTCAAAGAATGAATGCCCCCATCCTTGAAGCAGCGTTGGCTGACTAATGTCTGACGAGAACTGGTGTATAAATATCCCAGTTCCTCCACCCCTCTGGTAAGATAACTGACGCACATGTCTACACTGTTCCCCAGAGGTCCTCGGCAGGACTAAGTCCCAGGAACCCACGGTGAGAATTGGTTAGATAATGCTTTTTTTTAATTGGCTCTTTCCCTTCCTTATCTTGCTTCCCACATTCCTCCAGTGTCCCCTTCACCTCCCAAATAAACTTCTTGCCCTTGCATTGTTACTTCTGGAGGAATCTGCACAAGAGGAATTCCAGGGGCGGGGGTGCTAAGGGAAGAAATTAGAACACAATGAATTGAAGAGCAAATGGGATTTGAGGAAGTAAAGATGACGAGTTTACACTATTCTTTTTAAAATTTGTCTAAGGTAGAGAGAAAAGAGGATAGGGCCAGACGTGAACAAACAGTCAATATGAGAGAGCAAAACACGTCAAAATGCTAATGAGAAAGAGACAAGATACAAAGGCTGAAGTGGTTAGGGGGGTTGCTAAGTTGTACAGCAAGACCTCAAAGGAGATAAGAGGTTGGAAGATCACAGGGAGGGGTGGGGGACTGGCCTCATCAGCGAATGAATGCTTCAACCTCTGAGGCTGAGGGGAAGGATTTAAAGACAGATGCATATTCTGATGAACGTGTGGGGGCTGGTGGAGCCAGGACAGTCTGGGGAGTGGCTGGGGTTCATCCATTTGTGGTGGCACCAACCCACCAGGCTATAAAGCTTTTCCCAAACTGCACTCAGCAGCTCTATGCACACATGACCATCCTCAGCAGCTGGAAAACCAATGCAGGCAGGTTGTGAGCTTGATCTAGAATCAGGGATTTATAAAACGAGTGTTGAAGGAGAATGAGAGACAATTGGGTTAAGGCTATCAGAGAAGGCGTAGTTAACCATGTGGTCTGGACCAGGTAAGGACCTGTGACCAGGCAGAGGCTGTCACACTCCAAAACAACACACAGCTCCCAGGACTGGAAGCCTCTCTGGCTAACCTAGGCCTCTGCAAAAGCATCTGTTCTGCATAAGCATTGTGCTATAGGGACCACCAGGATGTATAAAGGACTGCTCCCAGATAGGAAAGAGTATATGCCACAGATAGGGCAAAATTCAAGAGTTCAGTCACCCAAACTAATAAAAGCAATAATGCAACCTGAGACACAGGCAGAACAAGAGCCTGAACAGAAAGCAAAGAGCTCAGGCCTTTTCTCTAGCTCTGCTGTTACCTGGAAAATCATAGTCTTCCAGGCTGCTTGTGTGCAGGGCTCAATTTAATAATATAAAACATGCTGTGCAGAAAAAAATGAGTCAAAGGCACACACAGCACTTCCCAATATATGTGACTGATTGACTCCAAATTAACCACCCACAGCCATGGTGGTTTTCAAAGAACCACAGATCCCCAGCTCCCAAAAGCAGAACACTGAAACCAAAAGAGGCCCAGGACATACCTGTTAAACCCAAAGGCAAGGACAACCTTGTGAAATCCTAAAATCTTAGAACTGGGAGGACAGAATAAACTAAGAGGGAGATGCCACGGTTTCCTCCTATCAAATATTATGAATGCTACCATGTTTAATCAGGATGCTGGAAATCGTACAATCAGTTTCTAAGATTAAATCATTCTCTGGTTTTTGAGAAGACCTATCCAAGGGAGTTATTAAGAATCCAATTAGGCCTTTGCCAAAATTATTTAACCTCTAAAAGCAATACCTCAGAAATAGCACTGTTTCAGAAAGCAAGTTGGCTTCAGAAAATCTTTTTTACCCTTTCTTCATGTGCAAGTTAGTAGCTCTGCTTAAGAGCAAATATTTCCCATCACATCAACCTGCCTCCCACTCCTTTGATTCAAAATAGTCAATCAGTATCAATAAAAGGAATAGACAATATGATGAAGAAGTGGCTCCAATATATTACCTGAAGACCTTTGGGAATCTAAGAAGGAAAAATGAATATCTCAAATAGGACTCAAGACAGTGCATAAGTGAAGTCAGGGGACATTACGAATGAAGACTTTCAGATCCTCTGTTCCCAGGTAAGGGACAATGGCTGAGGAGGTAATAACGGCCTGTGGAGGCACCTTCTGATACCCACTGAAATTAGTTAACTGAGGGAGTCAAAGCACACCAACACTAGGGTATCTCCTGAATTTAGGTGAATACACTGATCCAGGTTAGGTCCAGACAAATCTGTGGGTATGGTGAAGTTTGCTTTCATTGTCTTCTAACTCCTTTCCATGTCCTGATTGAACTCCAGCCACCCAAAGCCACCACTATAGGTGGCATGCCTTTTATACAATTAATTTCCTCTGTTTCATACATTTTCTAACTACTTCCATATATCAATACTTACCTGTCCTAGGACCCTTCTACTCAGGGTCCTTAAGAGGGACTCAGTTAATGACTAGGTAACCTGTCATACAACTTGCTATTAAAGTTTTAGTGACTAGTTACTTCCTTCACAAATTAAACTTGCCTAATCTTGTGCCTTTTTAATGCTTTCACTTTTGGTACCATAAATTTATCACTCTCCACATTTCTTTACCTCACATCACAAATAATCTGGATTATTCATTTATGGATTGTTTAGGTCAGCATTGCTCATTGTGTAGTCTGCGTACTGTCTACATAACTGTACCTTTGCGGGGTGAATGCTTACTAAAAAGGCACATACCCAGGCCTTAGTGGTGACCCAAAAATCACATTTTCTAGGGGCATCTTTAACATTCTTCCCCATTGACTCTTCTTCCTACTAAATCAGTAAACATCATGTGATACCTACACATAGTAGATGCTACACAAGTGCTGGGTATCAGAGTAGATATGAGAATCTCAAATACAATTAACACCCACTACTAACTTATAAACAGATTCAGTTCCAAATAGTAAAAGGTCTAAAAAGTTGGCATGCTGATATACCTTCAGAACAGTAAAATAAATAAATAAATAAATAAAAAATTGGCCAGGCATGTGTGTATTGGGGCAAGAATATAGAGGAAATCTCTGTACCTTCCCCTTAATTTTGCTGTGAACCTAAAACTGCTCAAAAAAAAAAAAAAATAGCCTACAGAGCCAATAACTCCCTGCTTATGGTTCTCATGGTCCCATGTACATGCATATTATGAAAACATTAGGGCACTGATCCCTACACGATGACACCTATTCTCTTATTTGGTCCTGGTAAATCTCAAACAACACGGCTTCCTCACTGCCATATTCCCTTCCCCCAGCACATCAAATGGAACTTTACAGGTATGCAATAGGATTTGTTGAGTAAGTGAATGAGTGAATGAATGAATGGTATTGCCACTGAGATTGACATCAGATGAAGTGTGTTGGGAGATGGATGGGTCCAATGGATTACCCTCTCCTTTTACTTATACGGATATTGATTAGAGTCACCATTCGTTATCTCCCTGAGGCATAGGCATTGAGGAACTCATTTATTCAATCTGTTACCATGGTCAATAATCTCAATTGATAGATTAACAACTTCCAGTCCTATTAGACAACGGAAGCAATGGCCACAGCCACCTGAAGTATGCACCAATAGCACCTAGGAGGAAACCAGAAGCCACACTAGGTATTTCAAACAGAGGGGATTTAATGGAGGGAGCTGATTACACAGGTTGGGTAATAAGGCTGAAGAGGGCCATGGAGACAGCCCGGTGTTAGTAAACACAGGAAGCAACTACTAACCTTAGGGCTGGGGAACAAAAGGGAAGAGATGGTGTTACCAGAACCTAGAAGCTTTGACGGGGGACCCCCCACGGCTGGCGCCTGGCCCTCTGAGGGGGCTGCTGCGCGGCTGTTGCTTGGACTTCTGAGGGGGACGCTGCTTGGCTGGCGGTGGTCGGACCTCTGGGCGGGGACGTGGCTGACGCTCAGACCTCGGAGGGGACCGTGGCTGACGCTCAGACCTCGGAGGGGACCGTGGCTGACGCTCAGACCTCGGAGGGGACCGTGGCTGACGCTCAGACCTCGGAGGGGACCGTGGCTTGGCTGGCGCTCTGACCACCGCGGGGGGCGCAGCTGGCTGTTGCTTGGGCCTCTGAGGGGACTTGGCACGGCGGCTGGTTCTGAGAGGGCCAAAAGAAGCTGGAGGCGGGAGCCAGGGCTCTCCTCTGCTGCTTAAGCGACGCTGGCAGGAGCTGGAAACAGGTAGGAAGGCCCTGCTCCCCCACCCACCTTCCAGTCTCCCTGGAGTGCCTTCCGGTGTCGGAGCCTAACCCGGAGCCGACTAGGGGGAAGAGTGGGGTGCGGAGCGGGAGGGGCGTGCTGGGAGCCGAGACCACGCGCTGTGCCCAACTGGTGCCGCGGGGCTGGGCGGCCGCTTACCTGGTCTTCTGGCAGGCGCAGCAGATCCAGTCCTCCTCTTTCTTCTGGTAGAAGCAGCCGCTCTTACAGATGCTGTATTTCCGATCCACTATCTCCTTCTTGGAATTGAGGAAGGTGAACGGCGGGCAGCAGTGTATGCTGAAGTGTTCGGAGTACTTCTGGTTTTTGGAGAGTCTGGGACCCTCCTTGGCCGGTTTCTGACTCATCTCACTGGAAATCGCCGATGCAAGGAGACAGGAGGAGACATAAACGCACATCAGGAAAGGGAGCCCTCTACTCTGGAAGCCCCCTGCTACTCCCATAATCCAAGGTAACATTCAGGGGGGCCCTACAGAGCAACACCCTGGAAGACCAACTTCCCCCCAACTCTGTGGAAAGGAACTCAACTAACAGTTCATTAATTTTCATTTGTGTATTTTTAAAAATCGTGTTTTTAAGGAGAAAAAGAAACATGGGCTCTTGTTTTCCTTATGTTTTAGAGACCCATGTAAGATAGGAAAACATTTAAAACCAAACATATCCTTGACTAAATAATATTCTAGAGTTAGGAAAAGCCTTTTCTCTAAAAAGCAAAATAAAAAATTTATTATTATTTATTATTAAAACAATCATCATTCATGCAATAAAATACTACACAAGGAAAAAGAACAAACTGCTGACCTGCTGACATACATCAACACATTTTGATCTCACAGACATACCATTGAACAAAAGAAGTCAGACACAAGAAAACAAGCTGTGTGTACAGGAGGTTCAAGAACAGGCAAAACTAATCGATGGTGCTAGAAATCAGAGCATAGTTATATTTGGAGAAGGTGGGTTCCGACTCAGAAGGGGCAACAGGGGAGCTTGCTGGAGACTGAAAACAGTCCTTCTAGGAATGTGACAGATGCAGAAATAGTCCTACCTAACACTGCAAAACACCGAAGCCCACAGGGGACTTACGTGACTATCAATCAACAGGAATCAACTTAGTTAATGGGCATAAACTGGATACTGAGAATGTCTCTGCTCTCAACAAACTCAGGGTCAGGTTGGAGATGCATATGTGCAGTATGTAATTACAAAACACTGTTATGTTGGCCAATACAAGTGTGTACAAAGCATGGAAAAAGGATGGATTCCTTGAAGACAGAACCTATAATCTGGGTTTTTAAGGATGAGTACAGAACAATAACTAAATAACTTTGAGGGGATATTTTAATTTTTTTGTCTGTTGGTGTGGTTGTCTTCTACTACAAATAGAAATGACAGCTGAGAAGCAGGTAGAATGCAGTTACAAATACGTTGTTTTTGCACCTCTGTTTGTGATCATCAAAATTGTGTGTCACATCTGTTATGTATGTTAAAAATATTCTTTCCCAATGTTTCACTTGATTTTATCATGCAAAAATAGTTTTATGTAATTAAGTATCTTAGATCTTATTAAAGGTTTTGTATTTTTCCCAGAAAGTTTTCCCCATTCTGTCAGCTTTTAACATACTCATGATGCCCCATTTTAAAAGAAAATCCTCTCTGGATCCTGCTCCCGTGTCTTTTTGCTTCCCTATTACCCTCCTCTTTTGTATAGGTAAAGTTCTTGAAAAGGTATTAATATTTTTTCCCTCCATCTTTACATCTTCCACTCACTCACTCATCAGTGCACCCCACTGTGGCTCCTGGCCCTTTCCTCCCAAGGAAAAATGACTCTACATAGCTCCCCACAGACCTCCATGCTGCTAAACCAATTGCCTTCATATTTGGTCTCTCTCCATCTAAAGTCTTTCCTTTCCTGTGACACCACATTCTCCTAGATCTCCTCCTCTATCTCTAGTCTCTCCTTGTCCATTTCCCTTATAGGCTCATCTGCTTTTGGCAAATCTTTCATTTTTTTAACACTAAACTTTTAATGTTAGAGTTATTTAAGGTGTAATAAATACTAAATAATAAATGAAGTTACCTTCACCCATTTAATTTAACATTTACTATACACTTTGGTTTTGCCTGGCACAGTGCTCAGTTCACATACTGGACACAAAGCTAAATCATGCTGAGTCCAGTCCTCAAGAAACTTATCCACCAGTGGGAGATACAGGCAAGTAAGTGATTAGAATGCACATAATGTGCTAATGGCCAGAAAAACTTCATTTACTGAGACCAAATAAGTACAAGTCACTGAGATGAGGAAGTGGGTAGAGCAGATAAACATCCTGCTCACAATGAGCTCACCTTGTAGGTAGAGGAATGTCCACAGACATCAGTGAGTGTCATACAAGGCCAGCATGCTCTGCAACATGAGAATGTGCTGGTGCAATGGCATGAAAAGTCCACAGAAGAGAGGGCAATATGTTGGGCTAGAGAACAAGGTGAAACTTCATGGGCAGAGGCATTTCATCTGGCCAAAGATGAGGGCTTGGGAATGACTGATACCTAAGCAGATACACAGTGAATTGCATTACCCCCGAGAGCCCTCATCCTATCTGCATTGCAGAATTGGAAGACATAATAGAGCCAGGACACAGGCAATGAGGCAGGTGAAGTGTCTAGCCCATGTGACTGGGAACACAGTCATGCCATCAGCTAATCAGAGGTCGAAGTAGATGAGAAGGAGGGAGATCATCTCATGGGTCTGAGACACAATGAGTTTAAAGAGCCAAGGACATCCATGAAGAAACAGGCATTCTAAACTCAGGACCTAAAGCTCTCATTTTGAGAGCGCTTCACCTCATGGAAGGGGGCACAACGTCGGGCACGGATGAGATACCTGTGAACTCAGCGAGGAGTCAGTCAAGGGAAGGCTTCCAGGAGGAGGCGTGGACCTGCCTTCAAGCTGCAGGAAGAAGGAGTAATGGGTATTCAGAAAGGTAGGATGAGTAGCAGTCTCCTAGGAGAGAAATTGCTGAATTTTCAAAAGGAGATGATCAGATATATTCAAAGGAGCCCTTTACCCAGACAGGTATGTATAGACCAATGAGAAGCTGCAGCTGACTTATAGGGTCAGATTCATTGCAAAGACCCTAAACGTCTGCTAAGCCCTTCCCCAAGTCCTACATAGGTCGCGAAGTTCAGCTAGAGTTTCTCCTCCCATGGGAAATAATGAAGTGAAACACTTTAGGATTAACCTTCAGGAGTAATTTCTTCAGGTGCCCAGCACATGGAGACTGTTACTCAACTCTCCACAGGCAACCCAGGCATTCCCAATTCCTCTGGCCTTCTAGGGTCACCTTTTCCCAAACGGCTCAGGCACCCGTCACAAATAACAGAAAATTTAGCTCTTACTCCAACTGTTTGAGAAATAACTAGTATGTGATAAGAAGGAGATTTGAAGCCCACTGTGACTCTGAATTCCTTCCCTAATTGAATTCTCAAATCCCACTCACTGCTCCAGCTGATGTAATGCCTGGGTCACTGTATGCCCATCTGCACCCCCGCCCAGTCATTTCTTCCCCCAGCACTTCAGGGGAAAATTGTTTCTTACTCCATGACAACTTCCCTCACTCCCTGTCTCCCCCGACCATGTCCGGCAGGGGGCAGCATCACCTCTAGTTATCCATCGATGCATGGTCCTGAAGGAAAAAGTAATTCTCTTCCCTGGAAGAACCTCGCCATTCCTAACACAACCACCTGAAAATGCATCCAACTTTCAAAATAATGTTTTCTCCCTCCTTTAGTAAAATGTTTATATTTTTGAAAAGACTGGCGGGCGGATCACGAGGTCAGGAGATTGAGACCATCCTGGCCAACATGGTGAAACCCGGTGTCTACTAAAAATACAAAAATTAGCTGAGTGTGGTGGCACGTGCCTGTAATCCCAGCTACTCGGGCAGCTGAGGCAAGAGAATCGCTGGAACCCGGGAGGCGGAGATTGCAGCGAGCTGAGGTCGCGCCACTGCACTCCAGCCTGAGAGATAGAGCAAGACTCCGTCTCCAAAAACAAAAAAATAAAAACAAAAACAACAACAACAAAAAACTGCCCTCCTAACTCTTTTCCCAGGTGGCAGAAATACAGCACTTAGTTGGGGTACCTGCTTAAGCAGTTCTATATACTGCTTCCCCAACTATCGGCCCCATGCCACCCTCCAATTTAAAAACGCTAAGCCTCACATGCTAAATCAGAGTCATCGTTTTATAACACACCAGGATTGCTAGTAAATTCCTTGGAAATACAGGCTGTTAAATTAAGTTTAGCCTAAAGCCACATCCTTACATATTTTAAGTTCCACCTAACGGTTTATTTGTACATAGTAAACCGTAACCTAACCGGATGGGTACATTGTAACCCAGTCTTATACCAATCACAGAGTTTTAGTCAATCACAGACAGCCAACAGTGTTCAAATAGGCAAATTCCAGCTGTAAGCAGTCCAGCTGTTTCTGTACCTCACTTTTGGTTTCTATTTGTCACTTTCCTTTCTCTGTCCATCGATGTTTTCTGACCGTGTGGTGGCCCTGGAGTCCCTCTGAAACTAATCTGGTTCTGGGGACTGTCTGATCTGTGAATTGTTCTTTGCTGAATTAAACTCTGTTAAATTGAATTTGTTTTATTAAAGTTTTTCCTTTAATAAAGCAAATAACTAACAGCGAAGAAGTAACAGTTTACTGAGCACCATTGTGTATAGTTGTTTTGCATACTTTATCTCATTTTTTAATGTGGCATTATTAACAAACTAAAGATGGAAAATCTACAGAACATGACTAAGTCCATAAGCCAGTAAGAGGCAGCAAGGGATTTGAATCCACATCTGTGTGACTCCAGCATCCCAAGCACTTTAGACAGGTCCAACACTGTTTTGTGCTTCCTATAGACTCAACCCTCCTCCCAAGGAATAGGAGTCCAGGTGCTGGGCCCAGACTAGACTTCAGAGGACTAGAGATGGACCCAGGGGTGGGATAAGTCTCAAAGATCCATGAGTCTATGTCCTAGGGTGACAAAGACTGAAAGTTGGGGAAACAAATCACTCCAGAAGAGAAAGATAGAGAATGGAGTTTGGAGACTTCACAACAACAGAAACCAGGACTTCTCTGCCAGCGCCAGAAGGGTCCCTGTCCGGGACTGATAGTAAACTTGGGATGGGCCCTGAGGGAAGTGTGACCTACAGGCACTTCTGCAGCTCCTCCCCTCCAGTGAATTAGTGGATTAAAAAAATCTATATTCACTGCTGAAAGTTAGAAAACTCAGATGGATGAAAATAATATGCCCAGTGCGGTGGCTCATGCCTGTAATCCCAGCTCTTTGGGAGGCCGAGGCAGACAGATTACTTGAGGTCAGGAGTTCGAGACCAGGCTGGTCAACATGGTGAAACCCCATCTCTACTAAAAGTATAAAAATTAGCCAGGCCGGGCGAGGTGGCTAACGCCTGTAATCCCAACACTTTGGGAGACTGAGGCAGGCGAATCACCCAAGGTTGGGAGTTCGAGACCAGCAGGACCAACATGGAGAAACCCCATCTCTACTTTTTATACAAAATTAGTTGGGCATGGTGGTGCATTCCTGTAATCCCAACTACTTGAGAGGCTGAGGCAGGAGAATCGCTTGAACCCGGGAGGCAGAGGTTGTGGTGAGCCGAGATTGCACTATTGCAATCCAGCCTGGGCAACAAGAGCGAAACTCCGTCTCAAAAAAAAGAAAAAAAAAAATTAGCCGGGCGTGGTGGTGGGAGCCTGTAATCCCAGCTACTCAGGAGGCTGAGCCAGGAGAGCTGATTGAACCCAGGAGGCAGAGTTTGCAGTGAGCCAACATCACTGCACTCCAGCCTGGGCAACACAGCGAGACTCTGTCTCAAAAAAAAAAGAAAAGGAAGCCAGGCGTGGTGGCTCACGCCTGTAATCCCAGCACTTTGGGAGGCCAAGGTGGGCGGATCATGAGGTTAGGAGATCAAGACCATCCTGGCTAACACGGTGAAACCCCGTCTCTACTGAAAATACAAAAAAATTAGCTGGGTGTGGTGGCGGGCACCTGTAGTCCCAGCTACTCAGGAGGCTGAGGCAGGAGAATGGCGTGAACCTGGGAGGCAGAGCTTGCACTGAGCCGAGATCGGGCCACTGCACTCCAGCCTGGGCGACAGAGCAAGATCCGTCTCAAAAAACAAAAAAAAAAAGAAAAAAAAGAAAAAGAAAATAATACAAATTCATAAATTCTTACCCCATGGTTAGCCACTTGTAAAATATGTTAACTTTTTTCTTTGAAAATATTTACCTGTAAATATACAGTTAATAAAAAGTAGGACCACACCTTACATATTTTTCAAATTTATATTATTGAAAAAATCATTCACTTTTCAAGTTCATGTTGTCTGTAGTGTTCTCTTACCGTTTTTAAAATTTGTAATAAATCTGTAATTATAATCTTCTCTATAGTTTATATTCTATATTTGTATCTTCTCTCATTTTTTTTGAGTACTTTTGTCAGAAGCTATCTACTTCATTTTTTTTCAAAAGTAAGGAAGTGGTTTTCTTGTCTTTGTTCTTTTTTCCCCCAGTTTATTCATTTCTGTATGCACTTATAATTTCTTTTTTTCCTCTTTCTTTTCTTTTTTTTTTTTTTTTTGACAAGGTCTCACTCTGTAGCCCATTCTAGAGTACAGTGGTGCAATCACAGTTCACTGCAGCCTCAACCACCTGGGCTCAAGCAATCCTCCTGCCTCAGCCTCTCAAGTAGCTGGGACTACAGGTGCGTGCTACTACACCCAGCTAATTTTTTTTTTCTTCTGTAGAGACAGGCTCTCCCTGGGCTCAAGTGATCCTCCCACCTCAGACTCCCAAAGTGCTGGGATTACAGGTGTGAGCCACCACGCCTGGCCTATAATTTCTTTTCTTCCATTTTCTTTATATTTGTGTTATTTTTTTTTTCCTTATTGAGTCAAATGCTTCATATATGTACATTTATGGCTATAACCTTTTCCATTGTGCAACTTCAGCTGCATGCCACAAATATTAAAATAATTTTTAATCTTCATTTTAATTATGGATGAGTTCTTCTTCAATTCATCAGTTATTACAAAATCTATTGTAAAATTTCCAAATATATGGAGATATTTTTGTTACATTGGCTTCTCATTTTAATGCAGTTAGAGAAAGCAGTCGCTATGACAGTGACTCCAACAGTTGTTCAAATTTGCTTTATGACCTTGTTCTACGTGTGCTTGCAAAGACTGTGCATTTCTGGAAACAATTTGGGATTGTCTAGTGAGGATAAAAATGTGCACAAACTGTAGTCTAGCAGTTTACTCCTGGGTACAGGAGCCATCTTGGACCACAGCTCAACTTCACAGGTGAAGCCACTTCCTGTGAGGTGGTGGAGCAAAAATACCAGAGGAGCCTGAATCCTGGAGGACTGTGGAGTTTGTTGTTTCAGGCCTGGACTCTTGAACTCTGAACACCTCTTATATGAGAGACAAACTTCCACCTTGCATAAACCACTATTATTTCAGTTACAAGTAACCAAATACATTCCTAATTGGTTAGACTCAGTTTCCTGTAATAATAACAACACGTAACTCGGGGGGCGGGGGGGGGCTTTGAAAATATGAAATGAAATAAAGTAAATAAAAAATTGTAACTAATGTAAATAACTTGCTTAATAAATTATATTTTCCTTTCACAGATGAGAATTCATTTAAATGACCTATCTAATCCTGCTGAGTTTTTTAGACACACTCTATTTATCTCACTGTGTATCTCTGATGATACTTAAGCATTAATCACATCTTTATTTACTTTAGTGGTTAAAAACAAATTATAAACACTGCATGACGTTTTCACAAAAGATACCACCTAATTGCAAGCAAAGATAACTATGAACTCTCTGGCAGGATGAGGAAAAAAAAAACAAATTTGAAACTGCAAAATATAATCTTCTCCAGGTTTCCATATAACTTAAAACTAAACAGGAGAGAAAAGTGAAGTAAGCATTCAAAGAAGGAGAAGAAAGTGAAGGGAAGGATCCAAAGAAAGGAAAACAAAAACCTCTCCACCATTTATTGAGCACCTAGTATGTTCCATATGTTTTATATCTAATATTTGTAATTCCCCAAACAACCCTCCAGATAGTTCCTACTATCCCCATTTTACAGATGAGAAAATTGGGGAAGAATTTAAGTGAAATCCCCAACATCATACAATAATAATTTTAAAATAGCAAACTCATAATGGTTAATAGGACTAGTAGACTGCCTAATAACTCAGTAACGAACCTTGATTTTGTTTGGCAGTGCTATATGCCTTGTTTAATCTATATAATTCCCCCATGTGACCACATTCTAGTCAATGAAAGGTAGGCAAAAAGTCTATGGGAAGATGACCTTTCTTCAATAATAAGGCTTTTTATTCAAGAAGGAACCCTCCTCTGGTAAGTGCATCCAGCCCAACCCAGTCATTCCTAGCCCCCAAGAGACAGGATTATTTCAAGCCTTTGGAACTTGTCCCATAGGGTTCCTTCCCCTGTCTTTTACCACTCAACAGTTGCACAGCAAATGCCTCCATTGCCTTGAGGTTCAGCTCAAAGTCAAGACACTCCTTGGGGAGCCTTTCCAGATCCTTCCCTTCCCCCAAAGAGTAATGATCATACCTCCTTCCTTTGTGTTCTGTGAATAATTCTAGGAAAGCATCTAGAACTTTAGTGCTACCCTTACTGTTTCACTGTCTCCTTAAAATTTTTGTCCTTAAGCCTGTTCAATGCCTGATACAGAACAGGTGCTCAGAAGATGTTTGATTAAAAATGAGAGAATGAACAAAGGGTGCCTTTCACAACAGCTGCAGAGCCCTTAGCCACTTATGTCCTGTCCCCAGATGCTCTCTAGCAGTCCCATGTTCCAATGGGGATTCAGGCAAAAATGTCTGTTCAGTAGAGGAAGGGACCTTTCTCACTAACCTTGAAAGTTCTAAAACTGGGCTCTTTAGGGAAAAAAAAAAAAGATTTTGTGAACACAATATATCTTTTTCTAATTCATACAAATTAATTTGCTATCTTTAATCATTACATACACATTTCATTACACGTCCTAGGGGTGGCATTAAGCTCTATGTAACCACTAGTGTCATAGTATCTATAAACACAGCTTCGCCATTCCCTAAAAAGGCTACAGGAAGAAATTAAAACCATGAGTATAAAGTGGATTTTTTGCCCTTCTTCCCACCCTTCCTCCTTTCTTTTTATCATCTTTTCTGAAAAAAGCAATCGGGATGTGGCATAATCATGTCATGAAAGCCACAGGTGGCCCTCAATTCTGGGCAGTCCTCTGGAAAGGAAAGAAAATGCAAGTGGTAAGTTGACATGCTGCAGCCCACTTGCCCCTTCATATCTGCATGGTATCACAGGAAGTCAGACATGCAAACGGGTATAGAGTTTGCAGAATGAAGGGTAGATGCAGGTCAATATTTTGAAAGCAGAATAGGTCTTCAATTCTTTCACTCGGCTCCCTCACAACCTTGAGCAAGGGTCTGTTCTTCCCTTGGTATAAAGAACTCAACATGGGAAGAACAGGAGACAAGCTTTGACCTTGACTGTGCACCCAGGACCTGAACCCTATGTGAGAATAACACACTGGCTTCAGATATCAAAACTCCAAAGGAAAATAATGATCAGTCTCCAGATCTATTATATGAATTAAGGAATGGGATGTTTAATATATACTTAAGAAAGAAATTTCAGGTTAATAAAGCAAGAAATTTCAAATTTATTCAAATCGAGATTGATTTTACCAAAAAAAGCACAACTTTTTTTTATTTCTCTGTAACTGTAGAATTGATGTGATATTACAAGCCCAACCCATGATGAATATTGGCTGAGAAAGAAAGTGGAAAGAAGAGAGCAACCAAAACTCTAAATTTATAGTGGCCTGGTCACTTCTAGCTGAAACCATCCCTTCCTACTTTGTAGTCAGAGTTCAGTTCCCTAACATGACTATTTCTCACCTCCCTCTCTTCCTTCTCAAGGTGGATAAGAGTATGAAAAACCTGAGTATCTTCATGGCAGTGAGGGAAGGGGTGGCTGGTCTGGGTGGTGTCCTCTGCTAGGCCTTGCCATGGGGTACCTCATCTGGTCTCACCCACCTTTTAGCATGAATGACACACATTGCTACTGACCACTTGATCCAACCAAAGCCACTGGTCATCAGGCTCCTGACTCAGTAGCCTCCTATTCTGGTCCAGCTGTCCTCTCAGCTCCTTCACATCTATTCTAGGAAATGTTTGGTTCCCATGCATTACGAGTAGGGAACCAAGAGCGTTATTCTGGGCCATTGGCTTAGACAGCCTCCCAGCCAAAGCTGTGCAGTCACTCATAGTCATGCTGGATGAGGCTGAGGGCAGCCTTTTCTAGAGGCTTGCAGGGCCCCCACTACACTATTCCTGTTGAAGTGTGTCACTGCCCCTCATACACACACAAAAAATTTTAAACCTATCTGGATGATTCTACTACACCATACCCACATCCCCCACCATGGTTTTGAGGTTTCGCCTAGAAAAAGGAGAAAACAAGTATCTGCCTCCTTAGCTTCCTCTCTCTCTCTTGCTTTTTCTCTTCTTTCCTATTCTTTTGGCTAGAAAAACTCTTCTTTCTGCTTCCTCCTTCTCTCTGGCAAAGACTTGGCCTCTAGCCTACTCTCTTTTCACCTCCAGGCACCAAACCTGAGGCTCAGCTTTCTTTGCAGAAAGGACATGCATTTTACACCATAGAGGAAACTCAATGGTCTGAGTTGTCTGGTATGATTCTTGGTATGTAAGCTGCCAGTCCATTTGAAATTAAGAATTACAAAAACCCAAAATATATTATTTTGCTATTTCCTAAATCATACCCATTGAGAAGCATAAGTTATAAATAATAGCTAATAATAGTACTACTGATGGAGAGCTCACTGTAAGTCAGGCACTCTTCCAAGTTCATAACATTTATTCATCTATTTAACCCTGGTAATAATCCTAGGAGATAGATTACATTTATCCTTATTTTACAGATGAAGAAACTGAGGCCCAGAGAAGATAAAAAAGAATTGGCACAATTTATGAGTGACCGGTGAGATTAATTGTCTGTTATAATCCGTACCACACTGTTTATACAGGGGAGATGGGGCCTCAGTGACATCATCAATTTGTCATTCACAGTCCAGAGGATGACATCACTGCGACATACCTAACACTAGAGAAAGGGTGAAGATAGTCATAATAAATTACCTATCCCAAGCCTCTTTCTTTGTTCCCACTTTAAGGAACAGAATGGAAAAGTGTTCCCTTCAGTGACCTAAGAATGTACTCCATAGGACACAGAATTTCCCCCATAAATTCACAAAGTAGAAAAGACTTGAGCAAATAAGGTCATGTTCTTCCTAAACCTTCCCTTTCCTTTTTCCTAATTCCTTCCGGTACATGGCTGTAATTTCTCAAAACCCACACCATCACCCCCTGTGCCTTCAAATGATTAGAAAAAACTGTAAGGAAGAGGCCAGGCACGGTGGCTCACACCTGTAATCCCAGCACTTTGGAAGGCTGAGGCAGGCAGATCACCCAAGGTCAAGCGTTCGAGACCAGCCTGGCCAACATGGTGAAACCTCATCTCTACTAAAAGTACAAAAATTAGCCAAGGGTGGTGGTGCATGCCTGTAATCCCAGCTATTTGGGAGGCCAAGGCATGAGAATCGCTTGAGCCCGGGAGGTGAAGGTTGCAGTGAGCCAAGATCACGCCACTGCACTCCAGCCTGGGTGACAGAGCAAGACTCTGTCTCAAAAAAAATGAAAAAATTGTAAGGAAGAGATGGAAACAACTGGGAATTACAATTTTCATAATCTGGTTTTAAGAACAAGAGGAAGTGTCTAACATTTAAAATACTGAATTTTTTCAAAGCATGAAAAATTAACTTTGAGTCTTAAAATATTTATCAATCTTCAATGAGTTTTTGTTAAACCTTGCCTCCATTTCACAATTTAATATTTACTCTCTGAATATCAATGCCCTTGAGAGCAATAAAATCTTTTAACCTTTCATTCTGTGAAGAGAAACAGAAATAAAATATATTTTCAGTAATAATAATAATATGCATGAAAAACTGTAACTTGAATTTTACTAATTGATGAGGACAGGGGGAGGATAGTAGGAAAATCTCAAACTTAATTTCTGCATATACCCCAGAAACAGGAGTGGTAATGAAACAGAAAAAGTGAAGCATTCACTATTCTTTATCTTTCCTAAAGTCAGCCTAGCTTATTAAAGAAGAGAAGATAAGTGGGGAGATCTTGCATATTTACAAAGTGTGCAAATACAATGTAAGCAGTAAAGATTTGATTCTTATTTAATTATTGATATTCTTATAATTAGCTAACTACAGAAATATTATGGAGTCATTTGAAGACCAACTGAATATTAGACATCCATTTTTAAAGGTGCTTATGAAGAGGTTGTATTGACATAAGAAAATACTTCTCTAATAGCAACTGAAAGCAGCAGGAAGCTAGGTCATTAATTATATGGCAGAAACTCGGAGTGGCCAGCCATCCCAGCTGAAGCCAGTTAACCGTCAATGTGGCAGTCGGCTCGAAGGAACTTATAGCTCCCTCTGTTATCCTCAGTCACCTCCAGAGGTAGCACTCTCACCAGGGGCTGGGACAGGAGCTGGGCGGGGAACAATACACCCAGCTCCTGCCTTGAGTAGGTAAGATATATTAGTACCCTGGAGAGCAATTCTTGGTGCTAATTTTAAGACTGACAAGGACCCCCTGAACAGTAGATAGGAGCTACTGAGACAATTTATTTATGACCACAATAGATCCCACTGACAGGAAAGGCAGATGATATCAGTCTATATGTGCAAAGAATATACACATAAGATGACTGAAGGTAAAGGCAGCCAAATACAATCCTAACAGTCATCCATTTGAAGATTTATTGAGTACCTTTAAGTGCCAGTGGTGAGTAAGACAAAGAAGGTCCCTATGCTCACAGAGCTTAGGGTACAGAGAAGAAGACATTAACAGACTATCTCTTACCCCATGAGTAGTATATCCAATGTATGACTGAAATGTGATTAGGGCTCTAAAAGGAAGGAACTGGGTGCTAGGAGACAATATAGCAATGAGACAAATTTAGATTAGAAGGCTAAGGAAGGATTCCTGAAGAAATGAAATTTAATTTGAGATCCAAAAGATATGTGGGAGCCACCCATACATGAGGGAGGAAACAGTTACAGACAGAGGCCTTGAGACTTGATGTCTCCAAGAAACCAGAGAACAGAGTGGCTGAAGCACAGTGAGGGAGGGGAACATTGAGGCTAGGGGCAAGGCATGAGAAAGACCAGGCAGGCCCTTGAAAGTGAGCTAAGGAATGGGAAGGATAGGAAGGTGTTGAAAGATCTTCACTAAAGGAGATAAATCTTCATATTTAGCTTCCATGAAGATCACTCAAGCTCCTTGCAACATAGATTAGAAGTAAGCAGGAGAGGAAATAGGAAAACCAGGGAGACATGACAGAGACTTTGACAAGGGCAGCAGCAGTGGAGGTGGATTTTAGAGGCAAAATTAATAGCACATGAGGACAAACTGGATGTGCGATTTGTTGTAAAGAATAAGGCAAGGATGACTGCCACACTTATGACTTAAGCGAATGCCCAATGAAGCAATTTACTGAGGTGGGGAAGGCTGGGGGGAAAAAGGTAAGAGTACAGTTCTAAACATTTATGTATTCAACAAATATTAATTGAGCACCTACTATGTTCCACACAGGTTAAGCCTGAGATGCTTCTAAAGGTCTAAGTGCTGATGGTGCCACCTAATAGACTAGTCTGGGGTAGGTCAGAGTACAGCATTAGCAAGAAAAGAAACCTAACAATGAACAGGACATGCAGACAGACTGAATGTCAGCAAGGAAGCACAGACATCCAGGATGTCTCCAAGAGAAATTAGGTAGACAGCCAATCATGTTTCTAAGGTGGGGGAATGGTTTAGGGATGGGGAAGAAAAGAATCAAGAGTTCAATCTTAGACATGTTCAGTCTGAGATACTTCTGAAACCTCCAAGTGTCTGTAAAAGGGAATGACTGGTCATGTGGATTGAGAAATCACAAGAGAGAAAGGCAGAAATCAATTGCACTGTATTTGACATAAAAATGAGATTTACAGCCAAGGGAACACAGGAGAACACCCAGGAAGAGAGGGAGTATGGAAAAAAATAATTACTGAAAAAAATTTTATTCACAATAGCAACAAGAATCCTGAAGTACCTAGAAATAAATCAAAGACTAAAATGTATGGATTGTTTTGAGAAAAAATTTCAAAACTTCAGTGAAAGTATAAAAGAATGCATGAATAAATAGAAGGAAAAATTGTGCATAGATAGAAAAAAACTTTATCATAAAAGATGTAAACTTTTCCAAAGTGAGTTCAGAACTTCATGCATTTCTTACTAAAATCACCAACAGTCTTTTGTGGCATGTGATGATCTGATTCGATGGAAGGGCAAAGGACCAACAATCAAAGGACTAAGAAAATTCTGGGGCCGGGCGCGGTGGCTCACACCTGTAATCCCAGCACTTTGGGAGGCCGATGCGGGCAGATCACGAGGTCAGGAGATCAAGACCATCCTGACTAACACGGTGAAACCTGTCTCTACTAAAAATACAAAAAATTAGCCAGGCGTGGTGGCTGGCACCTGTAGTTCCAGCTACTCGGGAGGCTGAGGCAGAAGAATGGCGTGAACCTGGGATATGGGGCTTGCAGTGAGCAGAGATCACACCACTGCACTCCAGCCTGGGCGACAGAATGAGACTCCATCTCAAAAAAAAAAAAAAAAAAAAAAAGAAAGAAAATTCTGAAAAGAATGACAGGACTTTTCATACCCAGATATCCAAACACATTACTAAGCAATAGTAATTAAAATAGTGTGGCATTGCCCAGAAATAGACAAGTGGAACAGTTCTATTCAAAAATAGAAACACAACCATATTAACAAGAGAACTTGATATATGATAGGGATGTTATTATAAATTGGTAGGGGGCAGATAGATTCTTCAACAAATAATGTTGATAAAATTAACTTGCAAGGAAAAGTGATTACATCAAAATTAAAAACTACAGGCTGGGCATGGTAGCTCATGCCTGTAATCCCAGTATTTTGGGAGGCTGAGGCAGAATCATTTGAGGTCCAAGATGGAGTTCGAGACCAGCCTGGGCAACACAGCAAGACTATCCCTACATTTTTTTTTTTTTAATTAGCTGGGCATGATGTCACATGCCTATAGTCCCAGCTACTCAGAAGGCTGAGATGAAAGGATCTCTTGAGCCTGGGAGTTGGAGGTTGCAGTGAGCTATGATCACACCACTGCACTCTAGCCTGGGCAGCAAAGCCAGACCCTGTCTCTAAAAACAGAAGTTAAAAAAAAAAAAAAAAGCTACTGTACATCAAAAGACACAATAAACATAGTCAAAAGTTAAGGAACACTGGGAGAATGCAACACATATAATATACAAATAATTCCTATTCAGAATATTTAAAGAACTCGTACAAATCATTAGGAAAAAACAACCCGAAAGAAAATTGGGCAAATCATATGAAAATGCAGTTTACAGAGGAGGAAGTCATGGATGACCCATAAGCATATAAAAATACATTCAAACTCACCAATTATCAAAAAGACACAGGTTATAACAATTGATACCATTCTACAAGAATCAGATGGGTAAAAGTTAAATAGCCTGACATTAACTTAAGAGAGTCCGTAGACAAACAGGAACTCTCACACATAGTTGGTGAAGAGCCACTTCGGAGGGTAAGCTGGAAGTATAGTATGAACTTCCATACTATACACTACATATATACTATACATATGTATAGTAGCATGGATCACAACACAGGGAGCATTTTTATTTATTTTATTTTATTTAATAGAGTCGGGAAATGGATGGACTACCCTAAAAAAAGACAAGAAGAAATTAGAACAAATACCCTAGAAAAAAATTACAATAGCAAACACGTGGAATGAGATACAAACCAGGCACTGTTCAAGGGCTTCACGTATTTAACTTATTTCATCCTCATAACCTCATAATAGCCCCGTTTTGCAAATGAGAGAGTCAGAGAAGTCAGATAACTCAACCAAGATCACAGAGCTAGTAAATGGAGTCCCAGGACCCCAACCAAGGTAAACTAGAATGTATGCCTAACCCTGACACCATGCTCCTTCTAACACAACAAACTTGAACAGGAGGAAAGCAAATCATAGAGACTCTTTTATAAACTAAAAAGATTATTTTATACAACTTGAGGTTACAAGTTAAAAGACCAGTGCTTGTATAGAAGAAAATATTCCAACATATAAACGTATGAAGTTTTAGTAACCAGGATGTTTACATTAAAAACAAACTATACATTTTTTTAAAAAGTAGACAAACAGGGAAATAATAGAAAAAGAGGTATCTTTTATAGCTAGCAATCATATTACAAATATTCTTAACTATGTAGTACTCAGAGAAAGGCAAAGGACAGTAAGGAAGCATCGTTTGTGTCCATCTTGATTGATCCTCAAAAACAGGGGAAATGACGTCAGGTAGGGGGAAAGCAGCCAATCAGAGGCACTGGCGAGGGAGGTGGGTCCATTCAACCACCATTGACTGGACTCGCACTTGGTGAGAGGAACGCCCACAGGCCGGTGAGCCCCAGGCTGTCAGAAAGAACCCATGATTTCCTGCAAGTGAGGAGTGCACACGGGTGCTTCTACAAGAGCTATTTTGGAATAATAACTGGGGGTCCAAAGATTCCATTACCGGCCCAGGTTTTCACATATGCCTAACCACAGCCTTCCAAAAACTGCTCAGCCCCAACTCCTTAGCTGTGATAAAAATCATCCATGTTTCCCAAAGAGTAATTTCATTCCACATTCACCAGCTCCCGTAGAGACCTTAGTCTCTAAAACCTTGCTAATCCTCTCAGGCCAGCGGCTGACGACCCTTTCTTCTGAGTGTAGATTTACACAGTAAAAAACAATGGCTTCTGTGTTCATCAGTCCACAGCAGCAAAAACACAAAAATGTAGGACCCCAAGGTTGGCTGTAACTACTACATGCTGTCTCTAAGGATGTCATTATCTGTCTGTCCTTGTTTATCCATTTGTCTCCGTGACAACTATTATGTTTACAAATTAGTACAATAAATGTTGAACAGTAGATTGTTGGTGACAAACCAGTGCCAGGTAATGGAAAATTTCATACACATATTTATTTGGAATCTGGGTGCTTTTCCACAGAAAGCAGCAAGATGTCAAAATCTAATACTGTTGTGGGGACCTGCCAAGACTATGAAAAAATGAAAACATAAGAGAGTCCTTAATTATTTTGAAGGCCCATGTGGGGACACAAAACAAAGCCATGTTAAATGCCCTCATTGTTTTGCTTTGTTTTAGGCAACAAGGACAAACTAATGTGGTCCAAGAACCACACTGCCCACCTGCAACTATCTCATAAAGTTGTGCAAAAGTCCTTTCTGATGAACAAACTCTACCTGCTTCCAGCTATTCTAAGGGAAAGGAAAGGGTGTGACCTACGGTTGTTATCTTTAGCACACAGATAATTTATTTAGCAATTATTTCAGGAGTAAAACCTTCACTTATTGTAGTGGGGCCAGATAAACATTCAAGAAGTGCAGTAGTTTTCTGAATGTTATGTAAATAACATGATACCCTTCAGTTTCTTGTATCTAAAATTATACAATACATGGTTTTAGTTTATGGACACTCAAATTTACCCTGGAATTGTATGTGGATGAATATTCCCACAATTTTCTACAGGCCAAGGGGACAGGCGGGCCCAGCTGGTCTCTCCGTTTATCTGCTGGCTGGCCCTGACTCTAGACTCACTTTCCCCTTATCTATCCTCCACGTTGCCACAGAGATGATGTGAAATTGATTATACCTGTCCCTACTCAAAAACTTTAAGGGTCGCCTCAGTTACAGAACCAAGTCCTTGTTTCTCAATTAATACGGCACATAGACCCCTCAGGGTTTGGTCTCTGTCCTTCACCTCCCACACCATTTCTTGCTGGTACAGGCCAGAAGCATTATCCTGTCATCAGAAGATGGACCTTTCCCTGGAATGCCTTTTCCCTATCATGTCTGTGTGGTAAATACCTATTCATCCTTAACAACCCAGCTGAGGTCTTACCTCATCAGGATTTGATCCCCCAAAAAGATTTGTCCCTCTCTGGGCTATCTTTATAACTTGTACATACTTCTATTTGTGGACTATGTTATAATAATGTGGCTATATGTCTGTGATCTCAGCGTGAGCTCTTTGAGGACAGAGTTTCTGTCTGAATCCTCAGGGTTCTGTTTCACCATCCACTTAATGAACGAACGTTGACACTGATTGGGTTGAAAGTGTCTTAAAATTCCCCAGGTGCTTCTGTCCTCTGGGATGTTATGTAGGACTCGGGCTGCTTTTGTCAGGTTCTCAGCAAGGGTAGTTTAAAAAATTAAGGTTTTAGCATAAAATTGTCTCTCCATAGAAAGCATTATAATTTCAAAGTGTACTAGGTTTTACAATTATTTGCCTTTCTTAATCCAGTGTTTGTGGTGTAAGAAATAAGGAAATAAGGATGATTTGTTTCTCCCTATGAAAATGATGGGATTTTGAATGTACACATACGTAGGTAAAACAAATTCTCTTATAATTTTTTCCTGAATGATGGGGAAGACAACCAATCTCCCAAATTGTATTGTTTTATAGAAAAACCTAAATGATCTGTGGTCATAGCAGGGGACTTAAGAAGAGAACTCAGATTATCTGATGGGCTAATGTATTGCTCCACCTACAACTAGTGAGTGGTGATAGCTACTAAGCTGCCTTGGGTTTTCCAGGGGTTCCATTCTTTGAGAGACAAAGAAGAGGCCAAGCTGGAGACACAAGCTGAAATAAGCACTAGATTGCTGACCACCCTATTCCCAAATTTTGTGTCCAAGACCATCATCTGAGTCACACAATAGCAATTACACTGGTAGACTTCCTCAGCTGAGTGAAATGCCACTTATCTCTGTTCCATTTTGCAATCTCTATGCCTCCATCTTTATATTTACCATGTTATATTAAAACCATTCATTCATTCAAAAAAGCAGTCACTGAGTACATATGATGAGCCAAACATAATGTTAGCCCCTGACAATATGACAATGAACAAAGACAATGAACAATGATCTCAGGAGTGCACATTCTAGCAAGGAGGACACACATTAAACAAGTACCATCTTTAGAAGTAATTGTTTAGAGTCTTGACTAGCACCTTGAAGGAAAAGTACAGGTGGCAATGAGTCCATATAGTTGAGGATCTTAACTAGGATAATAGGTCAGGGAAGGCTTTTTGGAGGGTAGGAGCTGAAGAGTGAGTCAATGTTATTGCAGCAGAGAAAGGAGTAGGCCGAGAGTGTTTGGGACAGAAGGCTCTGAGTTGGGGTTGGGGAGGTATATTTGAGGACTTAGGACAAGGCCAGTGCGGCTGTAACAATGTATATAAGAAGGAGTGGAGCAGGATGGGCTGGAGAGGAAATCAGAGGCTGAGCTGTGAACTGACATGCTAGGTAGATCAAAAAATACTATAAGGGAGGGAAATCCTTAATATACTGAAGGATATTAAAGTAGAAATATGTCATAGTCAGAGGTGCTTTTTTTTTTTTTTTTTTTTGAGACAGAGTGTCGCTCTGTTGCCCAGGCTGGAGTGCAGTGGCGCGATCTCTGCTCACTGCAAGCTCCACCTCCTGGGTTCACGCCATTCTCCTGCCTCAGCCTCCCAAGTAGGTGGGACCACAGGTGTCTGCCACCACGGCCGGCTAATTTTTTTATATTTTTAGTAGAGACGGGGTTTCACCATGTTTGCCAGGATGGTCTTGATCTCATGACCTCATGATCCGCCCACCTCGGCCTCCCAAAGTGCTGGGATTACAGGCATGAGCCACCGTGCCCGACCCAGAGGTGCGTTTTTGTAAGATCACTTCCATAGCTTTGAGGAAAATTGTTTTCATGGGCAAAGCCCATTCCAGGAGGCCATGTGATTAATGAAGGTGGTGACAAAATATTCCAAGAGTAGAATTAACAAGACTTGGTAATTCGTTGCACATAAGAAGTGGTAATGAGGAGGAGTCAAGGGTATATCCAAGGTGTGTCGTTTGAGCAACTAGATGGGTGTTGGAAGTATCTACTAGAGAAAAAGAAGGTTTGGGCGAAAAACAGAAGCATGAGTTCACTTTTAATGGATTCAAGTTGAGGTGTTTGAAGGCTTCTAGATGAAGATGTCATGTGAATAGTTCAGAGGAGAAGTTGGCTCGAGATAGAATTTGAAAGTTGTTGGAGTATAGGTAGCAATTGAAGCCATGAGAGTGGAAGGGATTGCTTTGATGGCTGAATGGGAGAGGTAGAAGAGAAACTAGGAGCATGTGACATCATAGGAATCAAAGGGAAAAAGTATTTCAAAAGACGGAATGCTCAACTTTGTAGAATGATTCTGAGAGGTGGCATGATATGAGGACTACTCGAGTACAGTTGATTAAGTGGTAAGAAAATAATTGGTGGCTTTAGTAAGAGTTGATTCCATGGAGTTGTTGAAACAGAAGTTGAATTTGAGGGTTTATGGAGGGAATAGTGACTAAAGATAGACAGAGAAACTATAGGCAACTCAGCCCAGAAATTTGAGAACAGTGGGAGAGAAGTAGCTAGAGAATCACGTGGTTTGCAAAGGGTTCTTTGTGGGGGCAGAGGGAGATGTTTGGCTGGTTTGTTGAGCTGTTTGTAGTAATGAGATAAATTGGACTATGCATAAGTGCTAATAGGAAGTAGAGAGGAAGAAATAGAAATAATATCAAAAAAGAGAGGAAATAATTAATATTCTTGAGAAAAACCTGAGGAGCTAGAGTGCAGAGCACATGCAAAATGGTTGGTCTTTGTTAGAAGAGAGAAGACTTTTGACAGTATGAAGTCTCCGTCTAATAGTTTCCATTTTTCCAGTGAAATGGAAAGATGCTGAGAATAAGAGAGTTTGAGGCTTGAGAGGAATAGAATGGGTTTAAGAGAGATTTTGTAGAAATTAGACCAGTCAGTTTTGGGAGTCTAGTTGAAGTCACTGACCATTAATTTGCAGAAATACAAATCTGCTCCACTCTGTTTTTCTTTAGTTTTTCTTAGCAGCCTGGGTGTAGACATAGAGGAGATGGATAGGTTCACCCTGGGGTGGAATTCACCAGACAATTTTCAAGAGAAGAATTGAAGTAATGGATCTTAGAATCTATCAGTAATGTGAAGAAAATAGAAGGTAGAAAAAGGTGATAGATGAATGGATAGGTAAATGAATGGGAGGTGAAAGGGCAAGTCAACTAGAAGCACCTAGTGAAAGAAGACTTGTAATGGGATATATATAACAAATGAAAAGAAAGGAAGTTGTGAATGAGATGCTAGACGTTTGCACTGTTTGCTTGATGGAGTAGTTTGAGGTACTGACAATGGTCACAGAATGACAATAGATGGATGAGCAGAGTGGATAATTCACTGGAGTGGTGAACACTTCATTCAAGTAAATAGTAAAGTCACCTAAGTGGAGAGGGAGTGGGCAGCCCAGTAAAAAACCATCAGCGAAGGAGGAGATGTGACTTGGAGGCCCGGTGAAGGCTGCCACAGGAATGGAGCACAAGCTTCAAATTGCAGAGGTTTAACTAGAGGGTGAAGGCACAGTGGCCTAAGGTGGCAGTGGGGAAGACACTGACCCCCCTCTCAAACCTGGAGCTACCTGGAGTGTAAAGTGGCCGCCATTTGAGAGGCTAACAGATAAAGCCTTGTTCTCAGAGAACTGGCTAGATTCAGTTAACACAAAAAGATGGAAGGGCTCTCCTGCAGAAAGTTTGGGAATATAAAGGGAGGAAGTCTGTTTATCAGAGAATGGCTGTTCCGCTGTGCATGATATGTGGGTTTGCCAAGCACAGACACTCGGTGGCTTGGGTCATAGTCCCTCTGGGGTAGAGAAAATTTTTTTTTATATTTCTGCTCCCAGAACCTAGAATAGGGTGAGCCATGTGGACATACTAAAGAAGTGTTTAACTCTTACTGAAAATTTGATTGCTCATTCTTTTGCTGATTCTGCATTCTATTGTGACATTCTGAATACTAGTCATCATTATGCAAAAATTTAGATGCAGATCCAAAAGGCTATAAGAGATTCATTTGTACCTGTATTTTCATCCGTACACATCTGCTGATTGGATCTCTGTTATGAGCTTGTCTTGGTATCATTTGCTTCTTTTTTTTTTTTTCCTAAAAGTGAAGCAGTAGAATATGCTCTGGTTAATATAGTGTTTTGGTTTCTCAGGTTGCAGTTAATTCAAGTGTGTTATACATGGAGCTTCACTCTCATAATCCTAGGGAGGATTATGACGTTTGATCTAGATGCCATCTGCCAGCTGAGGGATGGGGGAAAGATACAGTCACAAAATCACGTGTAAACTTTTAATAACCGCCTTAACATTATACAGAAAAAAAAAAAGCTATATGTCCAGTTAATTCACTGTCATTATATAGAAAATCTGTAGTTCTTTTTTTCATTTCTCCCAGTAAATTTGAGCTTTACAAGCCGAATTTTTGCTTATAAACTTGATAAATGAAATTCCAGAGTCTGGCTCTAAAAATATAAATCTTCACAATCAAATAAATCATCCCAAGAAAGGAGCCTAAGGAATATCCTCCTCCTTTTCTACGGCTCTCAAAGAAGAGATGTGTTCTTTGTGCTGTATATCACATGAAAAAATCTAATTTGATAAAGCATTAAATTGAGAACTTCCAGAGGATATTAATACTGTTTTCATATGAAATATGGAAGTTCATGTGTATTCATAACCTTTGGTCCCATTCCTTATTAATACATATCAGATCTCAGAAGGGCTATTTGAAAAAAAAAAAAAAAGGTCTTATAAGATTATAAAGATTCTAGACACAAAAATAGCTTCCAAAAGAACCCTGTAATTCTAGTTGGTTCTCTTAGTTGATCATTTTTATTCTAGTAATAAGGATGTAATTGAAAACTTTGTGTAATGAACTATAGAAATCTTTGTAAGAGTTTTAAGTGAAATCAGATAAGGATCACTAGCATGTTTCTTTTCTCCCCTCTGCTTGACAGAATAATTGAAATCCTATGAATCTACAAGCTTTCTTATTTAGAAAAATGATCAGGGCCGTGCGCGGTGGCTCAGGCCTATAATCCCAACACTTTGGGAGGCCGAGGCGGGTGGATCACAAGGTCAGGAGTTCGAGACCAGCTTGACCAAGATGGTGAAGCCCCGTCTCTACTAAAAATACAAAAATTAGCCAGGCGTGGTGGCAGGCGCCTGTAATCCCAGCTACTCAGGAGGCTGAGGCAGGAGAATTGCTTGAACCCGGGAGGTGAGGGTTGCAGTGAGCTGAGATTGTGCCACTGCACTTTAGCCTGGGTGACAAAGTGAGACTCCATCTCAAGAAAAAAAAAGAAGAAGAAAAAAAAAGACAAATGATCAGTAGTGATATAGAAGCAAGTATTGAATTTAAACTCCTGCTGAAACAATAAAGCTGAAAAAATATACAGAAGAATTATTCTCAGGCACTGGATGGCAACGATTGCAGGGCTATGATCCTTGAGAGAAAGGAAGCAAAGCAGTTAAACCCCACATTCATCCTGGTTTTTTCTGTGAAGATATTTTTCAATCTGCTGTACAGGGAAAAAAAGAGTCCAAGGAGAGACAGAAAGAAACAGAGGTAGGAGTTAGGGGATGCTAAGGCCGTGGGAATCTGGAAGGGTGGAGGGGAGAATAACAGACAATAGGGAACCACTGGGAAAATATACAGTCATGTGTTGCTTAATGACAGGGCTAAATCCTGAGAACTGAGTCAATAGGCAATTTTGTCATTGCACAAACATCATAGATGCTTTAGCCTGCTACACACCTAGACTATATGGTATAGCCTATTGCTCCCAGGCTACAAACCTGCACAGTATGTAACTGTACTGAATACTGTAGGCAACTGTAACACAATAGTAATTTAAGTATTTGCATATTGAAACATATCTAAAATAGAAAATGTACAGTAAAATACAATATAAAAGATTTAAAATGGTACAGCTATATAGGGCACTTACCATGAATGGAGCTTGCAGACCCAAAAGTTGCTCTGGGTGAATCAGTAAATGAGTGGTGAGTAAATGTGAAGGCCTAGGACATTACAGTGTACCACCATAGACTTTATAAATGCTATATACTTAGGCTACACTAGAATTATTTTTTAAATTTTTTCTTTCTTCAAAAATAAATGTTAGCTTACTGTAACATTTTACTTTATAAACTTAAATTTTCTTAAGTTTTTGACTCTTTTGTAATAACACTTAGCTTAAAACCCATTATATAGCTATAGAAAAGTATTTTGTCTTTATATTCTTATTCTATAAGCTTTTTTCTATTTTTAAAATTTTTAATTTTTAATTTTTTAAACTTTTTTCTTAAAAACTAAGATGCAAACAGACACATTAGCTTAGGCCTACACAGGGTCAAGATAGTCAATATCACTGTCTTCTACCTCCACCTCTCATCCCACTGGAAGTTCTTCAGGGACTATAACACACATGGAGCTGTCATCTCCTATGACAACAATGTCTTCTTCTGGAACACCTCAGGAAGAACCTGCCTGAGGCTGTTTTACAGCTACCTTTTTTTTAATACAAGCAGAAGGAGCACACTCTAAAATAACAATAAAAAGTGTATTATAATAAATACATAAACTAGTAACATATTCATTTATCAGCATTACCAAGTATTATGTACTGTACATAATTGTATGTGCTGTACTTTTATACAATTGGCAGCACAGTAGATTTGTTTACACCAGCATTACCACAAACAGATGAGTAATGTGTTGTGCTATGATGTTATGACAGCCATGGCATCACTAGATGACACGAATTTTTCAGCTCCATTATAATCTTATGGGACCACCACTGTCATTGACCAAAACATTGTTATGCAGTGCATGACTGTATATAATTTCTCTCAGATCCTTGGCCAAATCCAAAGTTGCACAACTGCAGGGTGAAACTATGGGAAGCCCCTTAAAAATTTTTGCTAAGAGGCTGTTAACCAAGTAGAAATATCTGAATTCACATATTAATGAGGAGACACTGTGAGACCTTGGTGAACATCCCAATCTTTCAGTTGAGACCCCAGAAAGCTCTCACCCTAGAATAGGGACAACTCATAGAAGTAAATGCAAAGATAAAATAGGTCTGACCTAGCAAGGCCTAAAACCAAGACTTGACTGGGTCAGAGTGTCTCTGGTAATTTAACATAATCCAGAACCTCTACAATCTATTATCCACAATGTCCAGCATACAATAAGAATTACCAGACACCTAAAGAAACAGGAAAAGGATACCAAATTTTTTTTAATGGTCAATGGAAGCAGACCCAGAGATTATCATTATTGATATGTTAAAATAGAGAAAAGATAAGCATAATGTATGACAAAATGAGGCTTTTCCATAAAGAATAAGAATTTTTTTAAAAAATCAAACAAAATAAATCAATCACAATGTGGGGAAGCAGAGGGAATCCAAGATGAAATGCAGGCTGTGAATAATGAAACTGACTACAATAAATAAATCAAATGAAATGAATCACATAACCACACTGAAGGGAAGGGGGGAAGAAAGGATATGGCTGAAGTAACTTTGAAAAATAGTGTAGATAATCCTACAATAGTAGAATTAAGCAAATAAATACATTATAGATAGTGAGAATCCAGTTTCTTACTATCCAAAGAATGAAGTCACAAAAAAGGAAAGGAAGAAGGCTAGAATGAAACTTGTGCTGCTAGATTGGAGTCAGAAATACAGAAATAAACATAGGTGTGTGCATATGTAAGTTAGTATACACACACAGATTTCCTAGCTCTGTCTGATGAGAAGCTTTAGAAGAAGTAACACCCCAATAGCAAGAAATACACCAGATATGGTTTGGCTTTGTATCCCCACCAAATCTCATGTTAAAATGCAATCCCCAGAGTTGGAGATGGACCCTGGTGGGAGGCGATTGGATCATGGTTTCTCATGAATGGTTTAGCATCATCCCCCTTGGTACTGTCCTCACGATAGTGAGTTCTCATGATATCTGGTTGCTTAAAAGTGTGCAGCACCTCCTCCCTCTCTCTCTCCTGCTCCCACCATCTGAGATGTCTCACTTCCCCTTTGCCTTCTGTGATGATTGGAAGCTTCCTGAGGCCTCTCCAGAAACAGAAGCTGCTATGCTTCCTGTACAGCCTGCAAAACCATGAGCCAACTAAGCTTCTTTTTTCTATAAATTACTCAGTGTCAGATATTTCTTTATAGCAACGTAAGAATGAACTGATACAACAAGTAATAACCAAATTTTGTTTTTTAATTATCATCAGTGTACTAGGCTACACTGGTAAAGTGTCCAATAAAAGGAACCATGGCTCATTAAAGAGGTGATTGATTTGAGACTGAGACAGAGAAAATAGAAGTTTATCCTGGAAAAAATTGTGATGTCAGAAAATGCTCAGAGGGGTTGGCAACATGTGAAAAAGGCACAGGAGCTAACCTAAAAGAGCTCCTACCAAAGTTATTTGAGCAAGAAGGTAAATAAGAATAGTATTGGATTATAAACCAAGGAATAAAATAAATATTGTTGGGCTTATACTGATATAAATAAATAACTGAATAAATAAATAAATGGAGTAGAAGAGATAATCTTCCTTAAAGAATCATTCCAATTAATGAATGTAGAAGTAATGAGAGAAATAGAAAATCACTATTAGAGTACCACAATAATAATTTCTGCAAGCATCATTGACTAATGGATGCTAAAATTAGTAGGTGAAAGTGTAAGGAGAAACACAATATTTGTATCATCTCAAAATATTCCCCCAAGAAATATTTACTAATTAAAAAGAAAAGAATAATCACTTTAAAGTGGAGAAATCTGGGAAGTATCATCTCAGCCAAATGATCAAGGTTAACATCACCAGTAATAAGACAGATCATCCTCGTTTATTCTCTGATATGAGAAGCACACATCATCCCTGTGTAATTCTTTTCAATAATATATAACTTCAACCTAATCATGAGAAGACTTCAGAAAAATTCAAATTGAAGGACACTATACATAACTTTTCAATGTTTTTAAAAAGTCTAAAGGTCATGAAAGACAACGAAAAACTGAGGAATTGTCACAGGTTAGAGAAAATTAAAGAGACCTGATAACTAAATGCAATGCAAGATCCTGGATTAGTACCTGACAGAAATAGGACTTTAGTGGTAAAACTTGTAAAATATGATTAGAGTCTACAGTTAATTAATAATGTATCAATGTTAATTTATTAGTTTTATTAGTTGTGCTACACAGTTACGTAAGATGTTAACATTAAAGAAAGCAATGTAAAGGGCACACTGCATGTATTTGCAACGTGGGTAATATCCCCTCCAAGAAGTAAAAACTGGATCTTGAGGGGAGGCAAAAAAACCTTACTTGTTTTATTTTATTTTTTTAAATCTCAGACCTATGTGAGAATTCTCACTCTTTTTATGTGCAAAGCACAGATATGTACAATACATAAACAGACATACTATACATATGTAGTATTAAAATTTAATGGATGGGGAGAAGCAATTAGGGAAAAATGGCTTTTTAGAGGGATGATGTGTATAAGTTAGGAGTTCCATGTATAGTCGTCTGCCATATAACAACATTTCAGTCAATGAGGGATCATTTAAACAACAGTGGCCCCAGGAAATTATAATGTTGTATTTTTACTGTATCTTTTCTGTTTAGACATACAAATATTTACCGTTGTATTAAGTAGCCTGTACCATCTAGGTTTGTGTAAGTACACTCTATGACGTTCACACAATGACTAAATCGTCTAATATCTCATTTCTCAGAACGTATCTTTGTTGTTAACCAACACATCACTGTAATTTGAGTCTGTGTTTCATTTAAGTTAATGCCATCCATGTGTTTTTATTACAGTAACTTACATAAACCATCAAGAGCCAGTGATTGGAATTTGAGTAATTTGAGTCAGTGTTTCATTTAAGTTAATGCCATTTATATGTTTTTATTACAATAACTTACATAAACCATCAAGTATCAGTGATTGGAGTAGGAACTCTCAAATCCCTTGTTTGGAGCATTCAGAAAACCAGCCAAGTGAAGAAAAATAGAGCTAAAAATAGAGCTAAAAAACATATTTAGCTCCTGTCTCTCTGTGTTTCAACCATATTCAATTGTCTCAATGCGCTATGGTTCCTTCTACCTTGGACTGGTATTTCCAGAAATACCTCCCCAGCTCACTTTACTTGTGTAACACCTGCCCAAGAATACAAGATTTCAAGTCAAATATGCCTCCCTCAGGGAAAACTTTCTTAGCCAGTCTAGTTTAACTCTCAAGCACCCTTATTACACAACCTTATAGCTTCCTGTGCTGCTTTTCCTTTGTTTTTATGGTGTACAGTGTGTGATGTTTTGATACATATATTCTGTGGGAAATGATCTTATTTTCTGTATTCTTTCTTGATGCTCTGGCATCTGGGGCATTGCTGACCCTGGAGACGCTGCCCCTCCCAGGGCTAGCTGATTCCTAGAGATAGCAATTGCCTCCCCTGTGAGCTGCCATTTATATGCAAATCAACCAATCCAGAACCCAAATTCACCAACTACCTCCTTTATTGAGCTCTTACAAGTTGAACTAATATTCTTCTGCCCTTATCCCTCCAGGACCAGATACCAGACAGCTCCTACGCCTCAGAGCCCCATGAAATTATTCAAACTAGCCAATCTTAAGCACGCCTCTCCTGCTTACTCTGCCTAGACCATTTCTCCCAACAAAAACCACAATAAAGGCTCTCACCCATGCTTTTTCACCCTCACTCCTTCTGACTCCTGACCTAAGACCTTAGCGCTTCCCCATGTGGCCAGGTGGCCCTTCCCCATGTTCCCCCTCCTCCTGGGAGTGATGGGTAAAACACTGTCTTTTCAATGGCAACTATCTCCTGATCTGGTTGGCCTCACCATACCTGAACAAAAATAAAATCAGAAGTACCTTTTAAAACGAAGATTCCTTAACCACCCAGAGCACAGCTGACACCAGGTATTTACCTAATGCTTTAAGGGTGACAGAAGCAACAGAAGCCAGAGTGGCCTGCACAGTTATTATAAGAAGTCACTCTTGGAGCACACATGATGGGATCTAATCCCAGGGGCCCAGTCCAGCCCCGCAGATTTCCAGGTTGTGGAAAGCAGCTTAACCCCTATCCACAAGACTCTCTGGCCTCCCAACCCTTCCATGTCCTGGCCCCCAATTATTTTTTTTTCCTTTTTGAGACAAGAGTCCCAGTCTTCTTTTCGAGACAGTCACCCAGGCTCGAGTGCAATGGCACGAATATGTCTTCATACTGCCTTGACCTCCCAGGCTTAAATGATCCTCAAGCCTCAGCCTCCTAAGTAGCTGGAACTGTAGGCACGCACCACCACGCTTGGTTAATTTTTGTATTTTTTGTGGAGATGGGGTCCCCCCATGTTGCCCAGGCTGGTCTTAAACTCCTGAGCTCAAGTGATCTGCCTGCCTCAGCCTCCCAAAGTGCTAGGATTACAGGCATGAGCCACCATGCCTGGCCAGTGGCGCCCAATTTTTTGGCTGAGTGAGAGAAGGGGGCCCTCATTTTTCACTCCAGGATGGTCCATCATGGGAATATCCTTCGAGTAGTCTTTTAAGTAGAAAACACTTTATCAAACTACAGAGTGACTTTTACGGCCCAGATGAAACAGTCATAATAGCTAATGCTACATTTTCCCAGTAGTTGAGTTCCTCAATATTAAATAGCACTATGTACAGAACCCCAAAATTTTAACCTAATTCGATATTTAGGAGAAAAAAGTTAATCTATGTCATCCAGGGAACAGTACTATTAAAGCCACAATATGTTCACTGTACTACAAAGATCATACAATAGGTTAACCAACTGCCCTGCATTTAAGTTTTTTGTGACTTCAGTGTTTTCTCTGCAAAAAATGAAAACAAAAACAAAAAAATGGATATTTTATATTTGTTAATCTAAGGAATTCATTTTAGTAATCTTCTCAAAGTAAAGGAAGTCTGCTGGGAAGTCAAAGCCTCTATCTCCACAATGATAAAACTGCCAGCCACTTCCAAACAGAGGTTCTCTTACTTACAAAGGAAATGAGAGTTCTGTCTCTACCAGGCACCCAAGGGGTAGGGACTTGAAGTTAACCTTGGTGATTCTGAGGAAACCACCACAAGGTTCTCTATAGTAGTTATAGAAAACCCTTTGGACTTGAAGACACCAGAAGCCCTCATCCACCTGCGTGCAAACATTGTGTGGAGAAATGAACTCTGCTCTGCGCTTGCAGAGGTGGTGGATCTGGTAGCTGAGTCAATGCCTCCACACACCTGTTGCTTCTTGGGAGCGCTGTGGTGTCTATATCTCAGTACATGTTAGATTCCTTCTATGCGTAATTACTAGCTCTCTGGATGTGGCCACTGGGCCATTGTAGCAGGTAATGCAGAGCTGAATGGAAACAAGTGCAGGAGGGGCATGCCGGCATGCCAGAAGAGGAGCTGGGAAAGGACTCATGCCTCATGCCAGAGGAGGAGCTGGAAAAGAACTTGGAATGGAGACGTTCCAGACTTGGGGTTGACAGAGACTGAAATACCAAGAGGAGTTTGGTGTCAGCCCATCATATCCTGGTGTAATTGAATTGTTAAGGTGGAAGGGTCAGCCCAGTGGTCTCCAAAGCAGATGTGCCTACCCATGGGAGTTCCCAAGATGTTTCACTGAGGTTCAGAAAGATGAGGTATAAGACTTTTCTTTTGCTGGGTGCAGTGGCTCACGTCTGTAATCCCAGCACTTTGAGAGGCTGAGGCAGGCAGATCACGAGGTCAGGAGATTGAGACCATCCTGGCTAACATGGTGAAACCCCGTCTCTACTAAAAATACAAAAAATTAGCTGGGCGTGGTGGCACGAGCCTGCAGTCCCAGGTACTTGGGAGGCTGAGACAGGAGAATCGCTTGAACCTGGGAGGCAGAGGTTGCAGTGAGCCACTAGGCTGGTGCACTGCACTCCAGCCTAGTGACAGAGTGAGACTCCATCGCAAAAAAAAAAAAAAAGACTTTTCTTTTCATATGTGTTATCTACAAAGATAAAAATGAGATTGTTACATTTAACATTTAATGCATGGGTTGATCCTGCCACCCTCATTCAGCACAAGTTAGCTAGCCACGCCCTGAACAATGGATGGTCATCTGGGTGCCTTCACTTGTCCCTTTGCTCTCAGTATACTGAAAATTATTGAAGATTGAGCCTGGTGAGTGGATTTGTTGATTATATCTTCTGGTTTTTAGCTGTTTTAGCTGAACTTATTCTTTCATAAGGAACTAGTGAATAACTTAAGACTTTTAAGATCATACTGGTAGTAATATAAGCCCAAATTAATTTTTTAATAGGCAGAGCTAACTCTGCCCCTACTACTAGGAAGATCTTTTTATTAAATTAACAAAGAGGAGGAAAAACTAAATTTGACATTGAACTCAATTACTCTCATTAAAAATACAACTGATATTTTTAGTGAGTACAAATAATTTTATACCATTAATAAAAATTATTTTAAAATATTGCTTAGTTCATTTTCAGCTCATCTTTTTAACTTAAATTTTTGTAACTTTAAAGTAAAGTGTGTGATGTATTAGTAAAAAAGAATAATGCATCTCATCCATAAATTCAATAGGCTTATATCATACTTGAGTTCCAGGCTCTGTCATTCACTAGCTGTGTGTAATCATAGGCTAGTCTCTGGATCTCAATTTTCTTCTCTGTAAAATGTGAATGATAGTTCCTACCTCACAGATTTTGTTGAGAAGACTTGTTTTACGAATGTCTGGTACAGCTGAAGGATCTCAGAGTTTTGATTCCTGTCCCCATAAGGGGACAGTTTTTAACAGTTTTGGCCAGTTATTTTGCTAGTTGTCCCTCAATATGGGTGTGGTCTGTAGTTCAGTGCTGAGGTGTGAGTACTAGAACATGTAGGAAACACTTTTGATCAGGAGACTTTTTGCAGCGTTGCCAGAGGTCCGCCTCCTCCACTAGGGCAGACGTCCCCGTCAACCCGCGAAAGGATGCCAGCCAGCCTGGAGTGGCTACCCAGGGAAACTCTATTGAGTTGTATCTGCTTTCAGCAGATGGTTGCACTTAGAAAGGAATTATTATATTTATGAAACTAATACTCAGAGAGCAGTAGACATGACTCCAACACACACAAAGAATCTAAATTGAATACCTCACTTTAAGCCTATAAGATCACATACAGGTCACTGTAATTGCTATTTATAATCCAAGGGCAATACTTACACACTTTTGGTGATTCCTTGGAAATTATCTGTAAAAGCTCTAGATTTTTAATTTTTGGCAATTTGGTGTACAAAGATTTTAGGTACTCATTTAAAATCCTAGTAACTATTAGGTAAACAAGATCTTGAATTTAAAAATTGTATACTCAGATTCAAGTATGAATTTGGATATGTATGATCTAAAATGCAAGCCTATTCCTTTGAAAACTGCATAATTGTGAGAAAACTGCAGACCAAACCCATATTGAGGGACATTTAGCAAAATAACTGGCTTATACTCTCCAAAACTGTCTAGGTCAAAGCTGCCTCAGGTGTGGTTCCAGACTAAAGGAGGCTGAGGGGACAGGACAACAAAAGGTCATGCATGGTTCTCAATTCGCTCCTTGGACAATTGATGAAATCTAGATATCTCTAGATTTAAAAACAGTATTTTCTCAATAGTAATTTTCTAATTTTAATTAATTCCAATTAAAATAAATTTTAATTAATTCCAATTAAAATAAATTTTAATTAATTCCAATTAAAATAAATTTTAGTTAATTCCAATTAAAATAAATTTTAATTAAAATTAATTAGATATAAATATGTGTATATATACATATACACACATATGTATATATATCTATACATATACACACACATATATGTATATATACACACACATATGTATATATGTATATACACACACATGTATATATGTATATACACACACACACATGTATATATGTATACACACACACATATGTATATATGTATATACACACACATATGTATATATGTATATATACACACACATATGTATATATGTATATACACACACACATATGTATATATGTATATACACACACATATGTATATATGTATATATATACACACATATGTATATATGTATATATACACACACATATGTATATATGTATATATACACACACATATGTATATATGTATATATACACACAATGTATATATGTATATATACACACTCATATGTATATATGTATATATACACACACATATGTATATATGTATATATACACACTCATGTATATATGTATATATACACACATATGTAATATGTATACACACACATATGTATATATACACACACATGTATATATGTATATATACACACACATGTATATATGTATATATACACACACATATGTATATATGTATATACACACACATATGTATATATGTATATACACACACATATTTTTATATATACACCCATATGTATGGATACAGAGAGAGAGAAAGAGAATGATAAAGGAAATATGGTAAAACAGGAACATCTGGGTAATTTGGCTGCACCTGAAATTTTCTGTATTGTTTGCAACTTTTCTGAAAATCTGAAACAATTTTTAAAACTCACTCACCAACAAGTTTCCTGTCATTCTAAATACGAAACAGCATATCCGCACACCTGGCAGCAGCCTGCTCTCTGCCTCCCTGATTTATTCACAAAGAATTAAAAAGTCCTTTCCCCGTTTTCCTGCTAGTACTGTAGGCCAAGTTCATTACTCGCCTCCCTGACACATAATATTTTTTCCTTTCTCTGTCATCCATAGAACTGAAAACTCCCTGTTGTTTCTAAGATATTCTGTATCAGACAAAGCATTAGCGCCTTTCCATTTAAGGTTGTTGGTCTACAGGGGGCAGAATTCCGAAAAGATTTGGGCTTTGTTGTTCCATTAAGATCCCCCACACATAAATCCAACTGTATGAGGAAAAAAATTGTTCCTAGATAAGAAGAAAAACTCATTTTTAAATCATGACAAATAATAAAAGAAGAAATAAATTAAAAAAAAAAAAGCAGCAGCAGCAGCAGCATGTACTACCATCCATCTAGCTCCAGGAACATGGGGCTTTGAATCTGAGGAAATCTGAGTAAGGGCTCAGAGCCTCTCTCTGGGCTCAGACGATTTCCAAACATTAGCAGGAACATTCCAGGAGGCCCCCTGCCCACATCAGAATAAACATGGTGTCCTCTGTTCTTGTTTTCTCCATCCTTGTATGTCCTCTCAATCTTGACTATTCTTACAGAAAGTTTTCCCTGGGATATAATGAAATGGCCCATACAAAAAAGTACACTTGTCATTTAAAGATGAAAGTATAAAATGAAGTAAAATAAAAACCAATGGAATCCTCTTACCTTCAAATAGCAGTTGTTGTGTGAAACAGATTCTGCGTCTATACCAGGTCCCTGAGGGTTTGAGCCTACTTCAATGCATGCAGAATATATAGGGAGAGGTTATAGATCTGGGTTTTTCATTACACAAGGTGTTTTTGATGAGTCCTCAGCGAAGATCCACTTAAAAACAAAAGCTACACAAAGACTACAAAAAGGCCACACAAAGTTTAAACAAAAGGCTAAAGAAAGACCAAACAAAAGCCAAAGAAAGTTTAAACAAAGAGCGAAACAAAGATAAAACAAAGGCCAAAGACAAAAACAAAGAGCAAAAGAAAATCTAAACAAAAGCTAAGCTAAGCTATAACCATATCTCACACACACATACACACGCACCCCACATTCACTCTACAGCCCCCCAACATTCACATATTCCAGCCTCCCACCTCCCACATAATCAACACCCCATGTGAAAACTCACCCCTCAAGGTTCATTCCACATAAACTCCAGTTAAGTTCCATGCCAGGTCCAACCACACCACACACCAGCTCACCCTACCAAACCACACACCCTTCCACCAACATGCTATGCCACCACAGCGCCATCCCACCCAGCACCCCATACCTCACTCACACATCACAAGCCATACCCATAAGCCATGAACACAGCTGCAATCACATTGACAAATTCCAGGAGTTTTTATACTCCATGTAGATTAAATACCGATCACACTTCCTTCCCTAAAACACTCATGTATACCCATAGATACACCCCAAAACTAAAATTCACACAAGCATGCCCTTGTACACTTGATTAGCAAGAGTCTAATCCAGTCTAGTTACAACTAACATTGAATTTGGAAGTTTCCATGACAATTACCCTATGCATTCACATTTATGAAAACACGTATAAATCATCTCTTATGTTGAACAGTTTCTGCGAATGATAAATCTCATTCAATTAACATTTTATTGGCTTCAGTCTTAGACACCGGCATTTTCTTATAATTTTCCTAACCTAAAATGTGGGGCCACACCTTTCTGTGCTCTGTTAAATGCCATGGGTCCTGTAACTCTGCTTCTGCTATTTATTTTATATATGTAGAACTAGAACTACCCACTAATGATTTGAAAGATGAAAGCTTACTTCTGAAACCAATCCAACCAACAGCAGCCTTGCCTTTTGAATTCCCAGCGCCCCCTCCATGACAGTGTAATATAAATGTCAACATTACCACCAAGTTTCTCTTTAGGCTCTTGTCTCAGTAAAGAATCAGCCAGGGAACCTTGAAAAGGTAATCCAGTGAGACTACAAACATTGACTATAAATCTCTTTGTACACTAACATTTTTGTTTTTGTTTTTGTTTTGAGACGGAATCTGGTTCTGTCCCCCAGGCTGGAGTGCAGTGGCGCTCTCACCTCACTGCAACCTCCACCTCCTGGGTTCAAGCTATTCTTCTGCCTCGGCCTCCCGAGCAGCTGGGACTACAGGCACCCACCATCATGCCTGAATAATTTTTGTATTTTTTAGTAGAGACAGGGTTTCGCCATGTTGCCCAGGCTGGTCTCAAACTCCTGACCACAGGTGATCCGCCTGCCTTGGCTTCCCAAAGTGCTGGGATTACATGCTTGAGCCACCGTGCCTGGCCTCTTCGTATACTAACTTTATAGTTAATTAAACATTCTCTGAGTAATGAGTTATAGACGTATGCTGGTTGATTCACTCCCACTGTGATGCCAGTATTTTGCTTGTGTTGTACTGACTGTGACTGAGGGCTGGGGAGTAGGGTAAGATGGTTTAGAGCTTGAGCTCTGGAGGCACTGACACTAGGATCATCACAGGACCCACCTCAAGGATTTGAGTGAGGACTAAATCAGTTAATATGTGTTCACTGGTGGAAAGAATGCCTGGCACACAGAGTCCTGCACCAATGTCACTCTTATGGCCCTGGCCCTAAAGAAGGTTACCAACAGGGGTGGGTGGCAGTTGTAAGGACTTGTTTTCTATTCACAAAATAACTGGAGACTAATTCAGGCTATTTAAAAAATACAAGATCTAGTAGATATATTATAAAGCTCTATCTTTATTAAAAGACCCTCTGCTTCTCAAATCTTTCCAACAAAAGTTCTTAATGACACATTTTGGGGAAGTCCCATCTTTGATCTTCTACTCCACCATATATAGAGTGATATACAATTTACACAACCAAAGTATGGAGGTTCCACAAAATGCTTGTAATGCCATCTTTTTCTATTTCTACTTAAATGTTAGTGTTTGCCCTTAGTGCGGTGGCACCCTCACTCCCAGAACCACTGGGGAGGCCACGTCTGAGTCAGTGTCACTCTTCTTGAATGGCAGCCTGTGTTCCACACAGAGCAAGACCTCCCAGGACTCACAGTCACAATTAAGAAACTTGCTAACACTACAGAGGATTTTCCCACAGAAACTTTGGCTACAATTGACAATCCCCACATGTTATGAGTTAAAATGTGTCCCATCCCTCATCTCTCAAATTCCTTTGTTGAAGTCCTAACCCTTAGTATCTCAGAATTTGGAATGAGGCCGGGTGCAGTGGCTCACTCCGGTAAGGCCAGCACTTTGGCCAGGAATTTGAGACCAGCCTGGCCAACAGGGCAAAACCCCATCTCTACTAAAAATACAAAGAAATTAGCCAGGTGTGGTGGCATGTGCCTAACATTACAGAGGATTTTAATTCCCAGCTACTCAGGAGGCTGAGAATCGAGAATCGCTTGAACCTGAGAGGCAAAGGTTGCAGTGAGCCAAGATTGCACCACTGCACTCCAGCCTGGGTGACAGAGCAAGACTCTGTCTCAAAAAAAAAAAAAAAAAAAGAATTTGGATTCAAATAAGGATTTGAAGACAGACCACAGAGGTGATCAAGTTATGAAGTCATTAGGGTGGGCTCTGATGCAACATGACTAGTGTCCTTACACAAAGAAGAAATTTGGACAGAAAGACACATTTGGAGGGAGGACAATGTGAAGCCACAGGGAGAAGATGGTCATCCACAAGCCAAGGAAGGAGGCCTGGAACAGATCCTTCATTCACAGCCCTCGGAAGAAACCAGCCCTGCCCATACCTTGACCTCAAACTTCAAGTTTTGAGAACTGTGAGACAATTCATTTCTGTTGTGTACGTCACCCAGTTGGTGGTACTTTACTTCAGCAGCCCTAACAAACTAATACGCCACAGTGACAATAAGTACTATTTCAATTGGTTTCTACATTTATCAAAATAACACTTGTGCAAAGTTATAATAATATTAAAAGGCTTCTGTTGGAAAACAATAGTCCCTTATGCTGCCTCACCAGTCAACATCCCAGCCACCAGAGGCAACCATTTTAAACCTTTTCTTAGCTATCTTTTCTCTATTTATTTCCATATATCTAAATAATTCACACAAATAGCCATTTATATACCTATTTATGGTAGGTTATTGGTTTCCTCTTAAGGGTATAGTTTTCTTACATTCTACTTTTTCCTCTCCCTTTTCCCTTACCTACTGAATGTAGTTAGTATTTATATTATTATAAATATGTAAATATTATTTCCTTCAGAACCTTGTGATTAACTACAATTGTTTCCTTTCTTTGTACAAATTTCTTGTTCCTGGAGTTAATAATCACCCCATTTTTAATTTTATTCATTTATTTTAATCTGCTTAGTTTTAAATTTTACACTACATCCTTTTTTCCAAATATTCCAACAGATCTGTCAACTATCTGTTAATAATTTTTAAGCATTCCAATATACTGAATGATCTTTCACATCTATTGTCTTCTGTAATCCTCTGTCATCTCATTCAGATTTCAGGCTGGTTGCTCTGTAGACCCGGCGCAGCCCTGGCTCTTCCCTTCATTGCTTTGCTGGAAAGAGATCACCTTGTCCTGGATCCCATGCCATCCTCATCTTTGGTTTGCTCCCTCATTTTTCTGAAGCATGCCTTACAATACTTTTCCTAGAAAGAGTATATATTAAGTGAATTTTTCTAAGTGTTTGCGTCCCTGAAAACTCCTTTATTCTGCCCTCACACTTGATTGCCTGTTTGTGTATAGAATTCTAAGTTGAAAAGTATTTTCCCTTAGAAAAACAATGTGGATGATACATTGGTTTTCTGTATCTTCCCCTCCAGTGTTGTTTTTGAGGAGTTCCAGACCTTTCAGATGCCCACTGCTTTTTCTGTGATTTTTTGTAAGCCTCTGGAAATGTTCAAGATCTTATTTTGACCCCAGTTGTTCTGAAACTTCACCATTCAAAGTGAATGTTTCTTCATCCCCACTTGGTGGAGCATTTTCATCTGGAAATTCACAAAATTCCACTCTAAAAATTCTTCCTTTTTGTTGCTGGTTTTATTAATTCATTTTTCTCCATTCTCTTTCTTGTTTCTGAAATTTCTGTTATTTGGCTTTTGAACGATCTAAATTGATCTTCTAAATTGTTACTCATTCTTCTCTTTCCTAGTTTCCAATTCTTTGACTTCTTGTTTTACCTTTCATGAAGTTTTCTTATTTTATTTATTATAACCCTCTTTTTGAATTTGATACTTCATTTTGACAATTATATTGTTAAATTTCAAGACTTCATTCTTGTTTGCTGACTTTTCTTTTCTCAAAGCACATAGCATTTTCTGTAAACTAGCAAACTAGGAAAACAGTAACTACTACACTGGGGGATGTTGCTTGGTTTTGGTTTTGTTTGTGTCTTTGTTAGTTTTGCTCCTAGTTTTGCTCCTTGCATTGAATCAGTTTGCTTACTCCACGTTTCTTCATCCTGGTTATTTGTTTCCATCTCTCCCCTTCTGACCAAAAGTTGTCCTCTTTATCTGGCGATCTTGCACTGTCCATTACTGCTTAATAGTCAGCCATTCAAGAGATAACTGGAGGCTCCAGGTACAAGGATGGGTTTGTTGCTGGAGAATGCAGTGGGTACCCATGTTGGCTTTTACAATGACGAACCTAGAAATATAAGTAGCTGGAGATTTTTCCATAGGGTCATTCAGTTTCTTCAAAGAAAAGCAATCTATTTTTCAGCCTGATAGAGGCAGGGAAGATACAGAAGTTTTAACACCGTGCTATTGATATTCTGTGATCAAAGTAGACAAGGGATCTGAGGGACCCACATGAGTGTTCCTCACTGTTCCTGAATCAGGAAATTTCTCCATAATAAACTTCCAGTGACCACAGCAAGTTAGTGCAATGACCCTGAGAGTCCATTCTGAGTGTGCGGCTTGTCTATGCCTGATCCTTGCTTTCCACTATACCTGGATGCTCCAAGTGTAGAGACCCTCAGCGTTTTAACAGATAACTTTTGATGTGCTTTTTTCTCAGGCATCGCTCCTGCAAGCACTCAGACTGAAACTTCCTCCACTCTGTTTACATCCTCCGTCCACTTTCCTAAAATTGTGTTATCATCTCTCATCTTGTTGTCTCCTTTTCTTTGGGAGTTAAAGTCGTTTTTAAAATGCTCTACTGCCTTTGTGGAGGAAAATATTTTTTAATCCTTTACCTTTTACAAATATTTTACTACTATAATTTTAGTAATTTTTTGGAAAGGAGAGTAGATAAAATAACCATATGTAGTTAACCTGCCACTTTTTACCAAAGAACAGTAATTGTAGCAAGATATAATTTATAGATCATAAAACTCATCATTTTAAGCTGCAAAATGTATAGAATTTTTAGTATATTCACAGGGGTGTGGAGCCATTACCACCATCTAATTCTGTAACGTGTTCATCACTCTGAAAAGAAACCCCAGGCTGGGTGTTGTGGCTCATGCCTGTAATCCTAGCACTTTGGGAAGCTGAGGCCAGCGGATCACTTGAGGTTAGGAGTTCGAGACCAGCCTAGCCAACATGGTGAAACCCTGTCTCTACTAAAAATAGAAAAATTGGCCGGGCATCGTGGTGCACGCCTGTAATCCCAGCTACTCAGGAGGCTGAGGCATGAGAACTGCTTGAACCCAGGAGGCACAGGTTGCAGTGAGCTGAGATCGAGCCACTGCACTCCATCCTGAACAACAGAGCAAGACTCTATCTCAAAAAAAAAAAGAAAAGAAACCCCAAACTCATTAGCAGTCACAATACTATTTTATATTAGCACAGAGAGAAAGTCAACCATAAAAAAGGTTAGAAGGAATAGCCAACATTTTGTTAGGGAGATTACTGAAAATTAATATAAATGAGTAAATTATTTACAAAAGAACATTTTCTTAGAAAGGAGATGTGCATGTCACTGGTAAGAACATCTCCCATATTTCACCTAAAAGCTTAAATATACATCAAGTCATATCCACAATTAGACAATTATTGTTTACTTAACAAAATTATGTATCAAATATGTGTTGTAAAAGTTGATTTTCAAGTAGAAAGACAGAAGATAGGCCAGAGAGTTTCTGATTCACGCCAATGCTATTTTTCCTGATATATATGAAAAATCAGTGTTTTGTTTTATAAATAATTATAAGACCAGCTGGGCATGGTGGCTCAGGCCTATAATCCCAGCACTCTGGGAGGCCAAGGCGGGAGGATAACTTGAGCTCAGGAGTTTAAGACCAGCCTGGGCAACATAGAGACCTTGTCTCTTAAAAAAAAAAAGTAATAATAAGACCACTTAATTATTGTAAAGTAAATAATAATGGACTGGTTGATCAAACCTGAAAGAAAATATTCCTAAATGGTTCCTCATTTGCCCTTCAATCCTCTCTTTCAGTGTAAACCTGTCTCATCCAAGATTTTGACCTCAATCTTACACATTTTTAGCACCACATTCTCCAGCATTCAATCGTAAACAGAGGAATATGATACCAACTGAGCTGCCAGCCACTCAGACAAAGCCTCTGTGTGTTCCCAAGCTCCACACCCAACATCTCCGTCTCTCTCCCTCTGCTCTGCTAGGGCCCAGTCACAATTGTGTTCTGGCCAGTGGTGACCTGTATAATAATGTACATAGTGTTCCCTAATTAAGAGACTGGGTTTTATTCAATTTTCAGTGTTAAAACTCACTCTATAGGAGCCATACCACCACTGTTAAACTTCCTGTGCCCAATCCATGTTTGGAACTCTGTGTAATTTGCCATTAGAGAAGGAAAGTGTGGATATGGGGTAGCAATATGCAAGGATTCTAGCAAAAGGGGAGACCCAGAATAAGAATGTAACAATGTGATGTCAGCCCGCAGCAGTGGAGGAAGCCTAATTCTAATTCCTAATACAAGTTTTCACTAGACAAGAAATATGCACCATGGAGCAGGACCCAACATTGATGGAACTAACCTTTGAAAGGAGAATTACCATTATTTTAATTCTATGCTTACCAAGCAGCCAAACATTTGTCACTTTGTGATCTGGTAGTTTATTAAGAAAGTGTCTTGAGAAAATCACATATCCCAAGTAATTGACAACCCTTGTGAGTTAATATATTGGAATTTATTATCAGGCTCTGTTTTTTGTTGTTGTTGTTTTTTAAGGCTCTTTTTTAACACTGCCTGGGCACAATAAGATGTTTATAAATAAAAGCTACCTTCTCTAATTTATTGCACCTTGATAAACTAAAAATCTGATTTCTGATCTTATTGATCTGAAATCCACAATAAGGTGTAGACAACACATGTGGCTGAGCTGACAATAGCCTGTTTTCAACTTAATCTTTTTTTACCTAAAGTTTCCATTAACCCTCTCCCATTTACTCCAAATATCGCTTCTCAGCTGTTGACCAAATTTGAGAAAGATTAACTTCATTGGGAGGATTTCTCAAAGAGGGCTCTGACTACAACACAACTCCAGCAAGATTTCTTTTTAATAAAAAGGATCCCCACCAATTAAAATTGTCCCAAGAGGCCGGGCACAGTGGCTCATGCCTGTAATCCCAGCACTTTGGGAGGCCGAGGCAGGCGGATCATGAGGTCAGGAGTTCAAGACAAGCCTGGCCAACTGAAAGGTTCTTCTATCAGTTCCAACCCCGGGAGTGCGCCAACAGACAACACAAGGCGGTGTGGAGCAACATACTGGTTTTCGTTTTTGTTTTTGTTTTTGAGACGGAGACTCGTTCTGTTGCCCAGGCTGGAGTGCAGTGACACGATCTCGGCTCGCTGCAAGCTCCGCCTCCCGGGTTCACACCATTCTCCTGCCTCAGCCTCCCAAGTAGCTAGGACTATAGGGGCCTGCCACCACGCCCAGCTAATTTTTTGTATTTTTAGTCAAGACGGGGTTTCACAGTATTAGCCAGGATGGTCTCCATCTCCTGACCTTGTGATCCGCCCGCCTTGGCCTCCCAAAGTGCTGGTATTACAGGCATGAGCCAGCAACATGCTGTTTTTATGAGCACCTCGGTAGAGGTGGGCTGAGGCCTAAAATGGCATCAGCCCCAGGTGAGGAGGGGAAAGGATTTTATAGTCTCCTGTAAAGAGGAAGTGTCCCAATCTGACGTAACTGCTACGTGGTACCTGGATGGCCTCTTTCTCAATCTTCAAGGGTAGGTGTCTTCTGGCCAGCTCTCTTCCTGCTTCTGCTATCTTGCTGACGCAGGCTGCTGGTGCAAGTGGCTTTGCGCCCTGGGACTGTGCCTGAGAAGGGAGGAGTTACTCATCCCTTCAAGCTTTCAGGCCTCGGGAGAATCTTTCACCAACATGGTGAAACCCCATCTCTACAAAAAATACAAAAATTAGTCAGGCATGGTGGCAGACCCCTGTAATCCCAGCTACTTGGGAGGCTGAAGCAGGAGAACAGCTTGAACCCGGGAGGAGGAGGTTGCAGTGAGCTGCTGAGACATGAAGCCAGCTGGGCTTCTGGATTGGGTGGGGACTTGGAGAACTTTTCTGTCTAGCTAAAGGATTGTAAATGCACCACTCAGTCCTCTGTGTCTAGCTAAAGGTTTGTAAACACACCAATCAGCACTCAGTAAAAACAGACCAATCAGCACTCTGTAAAATGGGCCAATCAGCACTCTATCAAACGGACCAATCAACTCTCTGTAAAATGGACCTATCAGCAACATGTGGGTGGGGCCAAATAAGGGAATAAAAGCAGGCCACCTGAACTAGCAGGGCAAACAGCTGTTTGTTGTTTTGCTGTTCGTGATAAGTGTTGCCGCTGCGCACTGTTTGGGTCTGCCCTGCGTTCATGAGCTGTAATACCAGGAAGGTCTGCAGCTTCCCTTGTGAAGCCAGGAGTCTATGATTTTTTTCAAATCACTTCTAACTTGTTAGAACATAAAAGTTATGTAAGTTATTAAAGCGAGCTATTAAGTATTTCTTTTGACTGTGGCCGTGAAGAATTGAATCGAGAATGTTTAAAATCTGTTCTGCTGTGGTAACAAAAAATAAGACCAAAAAAAGAATGTTTAAGAATCTCTGATATAAATTATAAAAATTAATAGTTGTGCTCCATGGGAACATTAAACCTTCCTTTTTTTTTTTTTTTTTTTTGAGACAGAGTCTTGCTCTGTTCCCTAGGCTGGAGGGTAGTGGCGTAATCTCGGCTCAGTGCAACCTCCACCCTCCACCTCCCTGGTTTAAGTGATTCTCCTGCCTCAGCCTCCTGAGTAGCTGGGATTACAGGCACGTGGCACCACACCTGGATAATTTTTGTGTTTATAGGAGAGATGGGGTTTCACCATGTTGGCCAGGCTGGTCTCAAACTCCTGACCTCAAGTGACTCGCCCACCGTGGCCTCCTAGAAGTGCAGGGATTAAGCATGTAACCCCACTGCGCCCAGCCTAAACCTTCATATTTAAAAGAAAAATATATATTGTCTGTGGAATCCCTAAAGCAGTTCTGAAAAACCTCTGTGTTTCCTCAAAGAACAGTATGAACAACTAATAAACGTGAATTTTTCTCAACCTGTCATCCAGACACACCAGTCTCACCCAAGTTTAGGTAGCAGGAGGGCAGGAGAGAGCATCCAAATACCCTGAGCTGTCTGGAAAGAACAGCACATCAGAAACCACTAATTGCCTACCTGATGCCTCCTCTACCTTTTCTTCTAAGTCCCAGAGCCCCTCTGATACTTGAGTGGCAACGCACTTAGCTTTACAAAGAACCTACACTGCCTAGTTTTCCCTGCACGTGCTGGTGCCCAGTGATGACGTGCACGTGGGAGCCTTGCTGGGCCTTCAGGAACATTCTTTCAGGGTTAGACTTGCTCCACCGGCAGGCACCTTTTTATCCTTCCCTTTTTCCCCTCTTCCTGCCTGTAATATGGGATGTTTCTTATGGCGCTAAGGTGGACATCTTGTAACCATGAGAATTAAAAACTAAGGCAGGCAGAGCACACGTAGGACTCTGAAACACGGAAAATATCTGGAGCATCTGTGCAATCTCTGGATTGCCTACCTGTGAATCACTTTTTACGAGTGAAAAATATGCCCCTATCTTAACTAAGCCCCTGTTAGTTTAGGCCTCTGTAACTAGCAGCCAGACCATTTCCAATGATACAAACAGGTCTCCAGGAGGAATGAAAAAGACATGGTTGGAATTAACCCCTATTTGTATTAAATATTCATGCCATAAAACTTTAACACTTCAATTATTAAATCGAGTGTGTCTTACCCAGAATTCTGTAATCTAGGTCAGTGGACAGAGTAAATGATGAAAAAGCAATCACAGTTACGTTCAATGTGTTTCTGAGGTGATTCTCATATGGTAGCCAGCTACAATAGTGATCTACTGTGTACACATAGTTTGTTTTTTGTTTTTTTGCCTTATCATATAACAAGGAGTATATTGATTAGTGTATTAGTTTCTTATTGTTGATGCCACAAAGTGCCACAAATTTAATGGCTTAAAACAGCACAACCTAAAACAGCTATATTATCTTACAGTTCTGAAGGTCGGAAGTCCAAAATTGGCTTCACTGGGCTAAAATCAGGATACCGGCAGGACTGCGTTTCTTCTGGAGACTGGGAAATAATATGTTCCCCTTTTCAACTTGCATTTCTTCAGGAGGCGCTACCTACACTGCTGCTGTAAAGGCAGTACAAATTGAAAATAAGAAAGAAAAAGAGCCAGGCGCAGTGGCTCATGCCTTGGGAGGCTAACGGGGGAGGATTGCTTGAGGCCAGGAGTTTGAGACGAGCCTGGGCAACATAGTAAGACCTCGTCTTCATAAAAATTTAAAAATAAAAATTAGCCAGGCGTGGTGGTGCGTGCCTGTAGTCCTAGCCATTCAGGAGGCTTGAACGGGGAGGATCGCTTGAGCCCAGAAGTTCAAGGACGTAGTGAGCCATGATCACACTACTGCACTCCAGCCGGGGTGACAAAACGAAACCTTGTCTCTAAAAAAAGAAAGAAAAGAGAAGAAAAAGAGGTTCAGTTCTCCCTTTTGAAAATAGGGGAGATCAGTCAAAGCGGCGCGGCCCGGGACGGGGAGGGCTGCGGCCGGGCTGGCGAGGAAGTGGCGGTGCTGCCTGGTGCGGGGATGGGGACTGCGCCGTCCCCATCCCTGTCACCACCGGCCTGCACACCGGCTTAACCATCACTTGGAGGTGGCAGATGTGTGATGGAGACATAGGCGAGGTTTTCACTAAGTTGGCGACAACAGGGTTAACTAGGAGTGAATTGGGGGGCGATGCTATAAGGATGGGATCCCCCCGGCGCCCCCACCACCCTTATGTCCTATTCATGCTGTCGCAGATTCTGGGAGGTCCCAGGTAGCCTAGAAATGGGAGATGTCAGACTGGGGGGTCCTGGGCCCCGAGCCTAAATCTTGCACCTCCCTACACCCAGAGCTAAGTGACCATGCCCAGGCTTCATTTGACCACGTGGACAAAGAAACAGGCTCCTTTCCATTAGTGAGAGCTGCAATTAATGCAGTCGTCTTCGGAAAGCAAACACATAACCCCGTGTCCAGGATCCGATCTGCGACCATCTCACCCAGCAGTGACTGCTCCCTTTAAACACCGAGAAGGGAATTAGCTTGATTCCAATTAGGAATCCCCCAGCCATGTTTGAAGTCTGCAAGTCCAAACAGCAGACGTGGCTCAAGATGGTGGAATCCAACCACCCTCCATCTCCATCTCCAGCATTCTTCCATTATTGCCCGCTGTCTTCCAGATCAAACAGAACCAGACTGCTACATGGATTTTTCCCCCCTTTTGTCTCTTCCTTTCGCTCCAGGGCCCCCAGTTTTCTGAGTAACTTAAGTAATTACTGAAAGATGTCTAGGTTCATAGACAAAACCCTTTCAAAGCAAGGCATGAGCACCCAAAAGTTGAGCTCAGAAAAGCACCAAAAAAACTTTCCCAGTCCCAAGGTTTAGCCAGCCACACATTCAGGGAAACAATCAGCCAATTTGCCTGGTCTCACCTTCCTTTCCTGCCACCTCCTTGGGGCCTGGCTGGTCCCCAGGGTCTTATTTCTCAATTCTCTTTGGACCCCAACACTTCCGTATGAACTTCACTGTGCTATAGGCAGGTCCTGTCTCCTCAGTAAACCACCTGTTCTATCTTACCCATCAGGCCAGTCACAGTGGCTCACACTTATAATCCCAGCATTCTAGGAGTCCGAGGTGGGAGGATCGCTTGAGGCCAGGGGTTCAAAACCAGCCTGGGCAACATAGCAAGACCCTGCCTCTACAAAAAAATAAAAAACTTAGCCAGGTGTGATGGCATGGACCTGTAGTTCTTGCTACTCGCGAGACTGAGATAGGAGGATTCCTTGAGCCCAGGAGTTCCAGGCTGCAGTGAGCTAGAATTTCATAGCTAGGAGACTGAAATAAATAAATAAATAAATAAATAAATAAATAAATACAAATGAAGAAAAAAAAGAAAAAGAAAATCAGGGAAGAGACTTCCCCCTATTTAAGAACATTTAGTTTAGAAAACTTACCATTCTAAGTTCTTTCTCTGCCTCTTTGGGATGTGTATAAATCTTTTTAAAAGCTTAAATAAGCCCTCTTGCAGACTTCATAGCCCAGGAATGTCCTTCTCAAGGATCTGGGCTTCATCTCTTTGAAATGTTAGCATCAAGGGACATGGCCCCCCTGTCTCCCAGTTCCTGTGGGAGGATGGGAGCCTACCTTCAGTGGGTGCCTCACTCCAAGTTGCAAAACAACCTCCTGTCTTAAAGATAAGAGAAGTTTATTTGTCCTTTGGATACGGCAGTTAGCTACATAGATGGCTACTCCAATTATCAGGTGAATTTAGGATGAACTATGTGTGACAAAGTCTGTAAACAAATTGTATTCATGATATCTTTGAAAGTTTTGTGACAGTGTTATTTTCTTCTGAAGTATGTGGAGAGGGAGAGAAGCACTGAATCATTGCCGCTGAAGTCAATCAAATGTCTTTTTTTTTTTTTGGCTGAAAGTCATTGAAGTGTCTATCTTAAGAGGTGCTGTCCGGTCCTCTTGCTAGAGGACTAGCTATTGTTTATCTTGAGAATATCTGATCTGGCCGGGCGTGGTGGCTCACGCCTGTAATCCCAGCACTTTGGGAGGCCAAGGCAGGCGGATCACCTGAGGTCAGGAGTTTAAGACCAGACTGGCCAACATGGCGAAACTCGGTCTCTACTAAAAATACAAAAATTAGCCAGGCATGATGGCGCACGCCTGTAATTCCAGCTACTCAGGAGGGTGAGGCAGGAGAATCTCTTGAACCGGGAAGGCAGAGGTTGCAGTGAGCCGAGATCACACCACTGCACTTCAGCCTGGGTGACAGAGTGAGACTCCACCTCAAAAAAAAAAAAAAAGAAAGAAAACATCTCTGTATATGTCTACCTGACACATACATAGAGGGTGTAAAAGGCATACACAGAGGTATAAAAGGGTGAAATATCTTTCTATCCTCATAATCTCTTTAGTAGATTGCTTGTGATGTGCATTACATCCTGCTTTAATGCTTATTCGATAATAAAACTATTTTCTTTTTCTTTTACTTTTTGGATATGTTTTCTAGGGTGGTAGGAGATTTTATTTTTAATTGTATTTCCCCAGCACTTGACTTGCGACCTCTTTCTCTGTCTTCAAAGCTAGCATTGTACCCATCTTCTCTGTTTTCTCCCTGTCTCTCTGCTTTGCCCGCACATGCCTCTGCTTTGCATCTTTTTCTCTCTCCCACCCCTAATTCCCTCTTACATGCACTCCTCTGATTATATTGGACCCACCTAGATAATCCAGAATAATCTTCCCATCTCAAGATCTTTAAGTTAATCACATCTGCAAAATGCCTTTTGCCCCATAAGGTAACATACTCACAGGTTCCAGGAATGAGGACATGGGTATCTTTGGGAACCAACTATTTAGCCCACCACAGCACTTTCACCAGGCTAAGGGAACAAAAGTTTGATTAGAGCCCATTAATAATGATAAATCTCCCAAATTTTTGGGCTATGAGCACAAGTGTCTGCCCTAAGAAAAAGGGCAAACAGGAAGTAAAATCGTCCTTGCACAGTCTTGCAGTCACCTGGTTGACTCAGAAAATTCTGTTTCTGGAGGTAAATATAGGTTAATAGTTTACCCAAGCAAGGAGAAATGACTATGTTTTCTGGAGAGAGGTAACAGTCTCCAAGTTATCAAGTTATTTCTTCAAACAACTTTTTAAATGAAATCCCTACCCATATTCAAAGACTATAAAGCATGTGAATAGACAATATAAATGGGAAGTTGCAGGAAAAAATGTACACCAGAAACAAAAACATAAAGGATCCTAATAATGGAATTATCTAACACAGATTTCAAAGTAGCTATGCTTATTATGAACAAGGAGATGAAAGACAAAACTGAAAACTTTGGCTGTGACCTGAAAACTATAAAAACTTCCTGGCAAATTGGACAAAAAAAAAAAACACAATAAAAATTTTAAAACTCAGAAGTTTTAAAATGCAAATTACCAACTAAACGGATTAGTATAAAATCAGATTAGACACAGCTGAATAGGGAATTAGTGAATCAAAAAGCTAGTTGAGGCAGGGTGTGGTAGCTCATGCCTGTAATCCCAGAACTTTGGGAGGCTGAGGCAAGAGGATTGCTTGAGCCCAAGAGTTTAAGACCAGACTGGCAACATGGCAAAGCCACATCTCTACAAAAAAATACAAAAAATTAGCCTGGCGTGGTGGCACATGCCTATAGTCCCAGCTACTGAGGAGGCTGAGAGGTAGGAGGATCACCTGGGCCCAGGTGGTTGAGGCTGCAGTGAGCCAAGATCTCCAGCCTAGGTAACTCCAACCTAGCAACTCACTGCTCTCCAGCCTAGGCAACAAAGTGAGACCCTGTCTCAAAAGAAAAAAAAAAGAAAAGAAAAAGCTAGTTTAAATAAAATATCCAGAATGCAGCACAGAGGGAAAAAAGAATGAAACACACAAAAGAAAAACTAAAGAAAATAGTAAGGAAGTCCAGCATGTAGTTAACCGGAATCCCAGAGGGATAGGAGAAAGAATAGAGGAGACAATCAACGCTTGAAAAAATGCTGGATAAAAATTGTATCTCAAAATATTGGAAGACATCAATTCAAAGTCTAAAGATGTGGTAAGACCCTCAGCATGATAAATAAAAAGAAATTCACACATCGACACACTTATAAAAATTTTTTAGGAAAAAAAATACATGAAGAGAAGCAGCCAAAGGAAAAAAGACAGATTATCTTCAAGGAAGAAATAATTAGGATAAAAGCTGCTGAATAATGCCTTCTAAAACAAACCCCCCAAATGTTCTCCAGAGGACTAACAAGACTGAGAATCAACACAACATACCAACCAACCCAGCACTTTGGGAGGCTAAGGCGGGTGGATCACTAGAGGCCAAAAGTTCAAGACCAGCCTGGCCAACATGGAGAAACCCTGTCTCTAAAAAAAATAAAATAAAAAGTCCAAGATGCAATCCAAAATTACTTGCCATATAAAGAAATAGAAAAATATGACCAAGTTTCAAATGAAAACACAATTGAAAGACACTTTACGAATGAAGATTAATATAGGTGGCAAATACAAAAAAGATGCTCAACATCATTAATAATTAGGGGCATATAATTATGTCTACAATGATGTTGCATTATTAACCCATTAAATGGGTTTTTGAAAATTTCTGACAATACCAAATGCAGGTGAGGTTGCAGAGCAACCTGTCACCAAGGCTGGAATGCAGTGGCACAGTCTCGGCTCACTGCAACCTCTGCCTCCCAGGTTCAAGTGATTCTCCTGCCTCAGCCTCCTGAGTAGCTGGGACTACAGGTGTGCACCACCACACCCGGCTAATTTTTGTGTTTTTAGTAGAGAGGAGGTTTCACCACGTTGGCCAAACTGGTCTCGAATGCCTGGCCCAAAGTGATCCGCCCACCTCAGCCTCCCAAAGTACTGGGATTACAGGTGTGAGCCACCACACCTGGCCCAGAACTCTTAAACATTGTTAGTGGGGTTGGAAAATAGGACAGCCACTTTGGAAGACAATTTGGCAGTTTCTCAAAAAGTTAAACTAGGTGTACTTACTATATGACTCAGAAATCCCACTGCTTAACTACCCTAAAGAAATAAACTCAACTGATACACAAATGTTTATTATCACCTCATTTATAATTACCAAATACTGAAACTAGGACTGGAAACTCAATGTCTTTCAACTAGTGAGAGAATAAACAAACTCTGGTACGTTCATTCAATGGAATACTACTCAACAGTAAGGAGGAAGAAACTATTGGAACTTTCAACAACAGGAATTAATTTCAAATGCATTATGTTAACTGAAAGAAGCCAGACACAAAAGTCTGCATTGTGCATCATTCCATTTATATGACATTCTGGAAAAGGCAAAACTAAAGTGATGGAGAAATATTGGCAGTTGCCAGGGGCAGGGGTAGGAGGAGGTTGGGGAAGGCTATAAAAGAGCACGGGAGAATTCTTTGGGTGATGGAACTATTGTGTATGTTGATCATGGTGGTGGTAATGACCTGTATGTGTTGTCAAAACTCATAGAACTAGGCTGGGCATGGTGGCTTATGCTTGTGATCCCAGCACTTTGGGAGGCCAAGGTAGGAGCCCAGGAGTCACTTGAGCCCAGGAGTTTGAGACCAGCCTGGGCAACATAGTGAGACCCCCATGTCTACAAAAAATAAATAAAAATTAGCTGAGCATAGTGGTGTGTGTTGGTGGTCCCAGCTACTCAGGAGGCAAAGGTGAGAGGATTTCCTGAGCCCAGGACGTCAAGGTTGCTCTGAGCTATGATTAAACCACTGCACTCCAGCCCAGACAGTAGAGTGAGATCTGTCTTAAAATACTCATGCCTGTAATCCAAGCATTTGGGGAGGCCAAGGCAGGAGGATCACTTGAGCCTGGGCAACATGGTGAAACCTTGTCTCTACAAAAAAATACAAAAATTAGCTGGGTGTGATGGTGCACACCTGTAGTCCCAGCTACTTGGAAGGCTGAAGTGGGAGGGTCACTTGAGCCAGGGAGGTTGAAGCTGCAGTAAGCCATGATCACGTCACTGCACTCTATCCTGGATGACAGAGTGGGACTGTGTCTCAAAAACAATTTTAAATATTTTTTAAAAAAATTAAAAACTTACAGAAGTAAACAAAAAAAGGTGAAATTTTACTGTAAATAAATCATATCTCAATTTTAAATTTTTAAATTAAAGATTAATTCTAAAACAGTGGATAAAGAAAAACAGGCAAGACAAATAGAACATAGTGAGATGAACAAAATATATTCTCACCATCCATTCAGGCTGCCATAATAAAGCATCGCAGAGTGGATGGCTTACAAACAACAGGAATTCATTTCTCACAGTTATGGATGCTGGAAGTCGGAGATAAGGATGCCCGCATGGCCCCAGGTTCTGATGAGGGCCTTCTTCTGGCTTACAGACTGCTGACTGTTTTTTATGCCTCATATACCAGAAAGAGAGCAAGAGAGCTTCCTGGTGTTCCTTTTATCAGGGCACTAATCCCATTCATGAAGTCTTCTCCCTTATGACCTAATCACCTCTCAAAGGCCCCACCTCCTAATACTGTCATGCTGGGGTAAGGATATCCACATATGAATTGGTGGGAGTCGGGGAACACAAATATTCAGTCCATTGCATCAATCAGTAATTACACTATCTTAAATGAAGTAAATGTTTCAATTGAGGCAAAAATTTCAAATTGGAAATAACATTCAATGACACACGTCTTCTCCTCCTGTTCTTCATTCTGACTCTTCAGCTACTTGCAGAGAGAAGGTGGGACTGTGAGAACCTCAGAGCAGGACTGCTAGAGGCCAGGCGCAGTGGCTCAAGCCTGTAATCCCAACACCTTGGGAGGCGGAGGAGGATGGATCACTTGAAGTCAGGAGTTCAAGACCAGCCTGGGCAACATAGTAAAACCTCATCTCTACAAAAAATACAAAAATTAGGCCAGGCGCGGTGGCTCACACCTGTAATCCCAGCACTTTGGGAGGCCAAGGGGGTGGATCACCTGAGGTCAGGAGTTCGAGACCAGCCTGGCCAACATAGTAAAACCCCATCTCTACTAAAAATACAGAAATTTGCTGGGTGTGGTGGCATGTGCCTATAGTCCCAGCTGCTCAGGAGGCTGAGGCAGGAGAATCGCTTGGACCCAGGAGGTGGAGGTTGCAGTGAGCTGAGATCACAACACTGCACTCCAGCCTGGGCAACAGAGTGAGACTCTGCCTCAATAAATAAATAAATCAATTTAGTGTAGTCTAAATGTACAGTGTTTATAAAGTCAAGAGCAGAGTACAGTAATGTCCTGGGACTTCACACTCACTCACTGACTTACTCACAGTGACTTCCAGTGCTGCAAGCTCCATTTATGTTAAGTGCCCCATACAGGTGTACTATTTTTTATCTTTTTTATTGCATTTTTACTGCCGCTTTTTTGTTTAAATATGTTTTTATACACAAACGCCATTGTGTTTGAATTGCCTACAGTATTCGGTACAGTAACATGTTGTAAACATTTATAGTGGCTATGGTTTGGATATTTGTCCCCTCCAAGCCTCAGGTTGAAATTTGATCTCCAGTGTTGGAGGTGAAGCCTAACGAGAGGCCTTCGGGCCATGGTGTGGGGAATCCCTCATGAACGGCTTGGTGCCAGCCTCGCAGTAATAAGTGAGTTCTCACTCTATGAGTTTCCTTGAGATCTGCCTGTTAAAAAGAGCCTGCCACCTTGCCCTCCCACTCTTTTGCTGCTTCTCTATTGCCATGTGATCTCCGCCCATGAGGGCTCCCCTTCTTTTTCCGCCATGAGTGGAAGCAGTCTGAGGCCCTCACCAGCAGCAGATGCTGGCACCATGCTTCAAGCCTGCAGAACCATGAGCCAAATAAACTTCTTTTCTTCATAAATTACTGAGCCTTAGGTGTTCCTTTATTACAACACAATCAGACTAAGACAGTAACCTAGGAGCAGTAGGCTATGTCATATAGCCTAGGTGTGTAAAAGCTATGCCATCTTTATTTGTGTAAGTACACTCTGTGATGTTTGCACAATGATGAAATGGCCTCAACCACACATTTCTCAGAAAGTATTCCCATCGTTAAGTTTTATATGACTATATTCTTCAAGCACTTCATGCATTTATCTCATCTGTTCCCCCACGACACCCCTATTTGATGTTTTTATTATTCTCATTTTATAGATGTTGAAACTCAAACTCAAAGATCTTCAGTAACTTGCCCAGTCACAAAGTCAGGGGAAGAAATGTGATCTTAATTCGGGAAGCCTGACCTGTCTGTGCTCATACTCACTACGCTATACTGCCCTCTTGTGGCCAGAATGAGTCAGTAGAAACAGCTGAAAGTGATCACAGGCTGGAGGTGTCATGTATGCAACGAGTACGGGCTTGGGAGTGGGATTTTCCAAGATTTCAGTCCTCGCTGCCGCATCGCAACTGGAGACTGAGATATTAACCAAATCAGCTTCCACACTCCACCAAGGCCCACAAGCCGCTGGAGCTGGATGGCATGCTTGACAGAGGTGAGCAAACATCCCAACGGTCTGGGACAGACCCATTTTAGGTCTCTTTTCCCTGTGTCCTTTCCAGTTTATCATTTGTCCAAGATTGTCCATTTTGTGACAAAGTTTTTATTTTTATTTTTATTTATTTTTTATTTTTGAGACGGAGTCTCACTCTGTCACCCAGGCTTGAATGCAGTGGCTCAATCTTAGCTTACCGCAACCTCCAACTCCTGGGTTCAAGTGAGTCTCCTGCCTCAGCCTCCTGAGTAGCTGGGATTACAGTCACATGCCACCAGACCTGGCTAATTTTTTTGTGTATTTTTAGTAGAGAAGGGGTTTTGCCATGTTGGCCAGGCTGGTCTTGAACTCCTGACCTCAAGTGATCTGCCTGCCTTGGCCTCCCAAAGTGCTGGGATTACAGGCGTGAGCCACCGTGCCCAGCCCAAAGTATTATTTAATTGCTGCATTAAAATAAGTCAGGCTGGGTTTGGTAAGCATCCACTGTGTCCACCCCACTTGGGCCATTATCTCTTCTGGTCATGGCACGTGACACACACGTGCAGTAAAAGGAACTCTCACTTAGACATGCTTAGTGAAAGATGATCAGCAGTAATCATATCTGCTTGCTCTGCTCTTTCCAAATGCAGCAGCTTAACCAATACCTGCATTTCAAAGACAGCATTCAAGGCACTTGCTAAAATTATAGAATGTGCTGGGACATGAGGCCCAGAGACAGTCAGTTCCTACTTGTCTCGGATGCTGATAAAAGCAATCCCAGCTGCTGCTCCTGCTAACAACGTGAGTACCAACAAGATACACAGTGACAATTAACTGCAGCATGTGAAATGCAAAAAGCTGGACTGTCAGTTGCTGGGGTAGGTGGGAAATTACAGGTAAGAAAGAAGCTGAGAAATCCTCCCATCAAGAACACGGAGTACTCTGCTTTTGCTGCACTGGCTTTATCATTTTTCTACATAATGTAAATCTGCAACTACTGATTCAATTATTTGACAATGATTTTGCATTCTGCAATAAAGCTTTTGGTAGCAATGAGCTCAAATAAATGAAAATCAAGGTTAATAGAAAATTAGGTGTTAAATCCGTTTCTCCAAAAAGTTGGAGATGACTATGGAACTTGCACAAATTGTCTATAAGCTTTTACTTTCCATGTGGGAGCTGTGGTGATTCACTGATCCTCCCACCTCCCACATTCCCCAAAAGAGATAGAAATCTGCTGAGGAAGCCTCAATGTCCACTCCAAAAATAAGTAGGTATTTTAAGAAGACTGTGCCCTAAAATGACAGTTTAAAATGTGCAGCTACAGAACACGCATTTACAGATCACACCAGGAAGGTGACTTTCTATTTAATGACTGTTCTTTTAAATGAATTTTGCTCACTTTTTATTTGAAGTTTGGTACTGATCATCAGATTTTAGAAATTTTTGAACCTTTGAAAAACTACTGTGTAAATCAAACTGTGCCCCTACTCATTTTTATAAAATATTTATTTTAATTTTTGATTTGTTTTTGCTTAAAACCCATTGAAACCATTTAATCAAAATATTCAGTGAATGGAGCACCCAAAAACTTCCATTTTTGAAGCTTTCAGTACAACACAATGATCACCAAATCGAAGGAACTTGTTCATCATTTTCCCCATCTGCCCACTCGCTGCTTGCTTTCAATTCTGCATGGCTTCCCTGAGCTCCCAGTGTGTGAAACCCCAGTTGACCACAGCTTTACTGTCTCAGAAATGTACCCTTTATTGGCCTATTTCCACCCTTGTCTCACTTCCCCACTTAACTTATTTAAGGAGTAAGTTTTGAGATGTACTGCACATCAGGGTGATTATAGTCAATAATAATGTATATTTCAAAATAACTAAGAGGGTAAATTTCAAATATCTCCTCTGAAAAAATAAGTGAGATGACAGATATGTTAATTAGCTTGATTTAATTATTCCACATGGTATACCTATATCAAAACATCACAGTGTATCCCTTAAATGTATACAACTGTAATTTATTTAAAATAATATTAATTTTTTAAAAAATTGTTCTTACAGGTATCTAGGGACTATTCCAGGCCAAGCAACTTATTTTTCAATATAGAATTAAGTTGGAAAAGTTAGAAAATATTCACATGGTGATACTGTGATCAGATGAGCTATTTAAACATTTCTAAAAGACTTGTGTTTTGGCCTGGCGCAGTGGCTCACGTCTGTAGTCCCAGCACTTTGGGAGGCTGAGGAGGGAGGATCACTTGAGGTCAAGAGTTCGAGACCAGCCTGGCCAATAGGGTGGAACCCCAACTCTACTAAAAATACAAAAATTAGCACTATGTAGAATTGATATGAGAAATCCCTACCTTAATGTGGCAGATGATATTTACACACTTAAAATAGGGTTTCTCCTCTTCTGTTGCCTATATATTATATAGTACCAAGTGTCTTGAATATTTTATGTTGATGGTCAAAATTTGAAATTTTAAAAGATGACTTTTCAAAGTTATAAAAAAGGAAAGAAAAGGGTATATGTGAGCCCTTCACTCAAAGCAGTTGTATCAGGGACTTCTCTCATGTCTTATCTCCCCACTTGCTAGGACACAATACCTTATGAAATGGGGGTCATCAATTTGGTCAGCCAATCTTCTGTCTGGAATTTGCCCATTTCTGGCCCTTTATGCAGCACTCTCAACTCATCTGTCATTTATCCTTGCAGCCTAAGTAACATTCGTTTTTATCTTGGGAAGGAGTCTACTGTTTTATCATTAAGTAAGAGGTTTACACTCATTTTCTTGAAGCTTCCTTTAATCAAGTTAAGACAGTCTCTCATTTATTACTCTCTGGAGGAAATTATCTAATTTTGAGTGAAACAGGTTTTCTTTTCTTTTTCTTTTCATGGTTGAACTGTGTTTAGTGATAAACTATGAAGGAGAGTGCAGTTCCTGGCCTAACCCTCATCTCTGCTTGGGCATTAAGAATGATCGCATATTGGCCGGGCACGGTGGCTCATGCCTGTAATCCCAGCACTTTGGGAGGCCGAGGTGGGTGGATCATGAGGTCAGGAGTTTAAGACCAGCCTGGCCAATATGGTGAAACCCCGTCTCTATTCAAAATACAAAAATTACCTGGGAGTGGTGGCATGTGCCTGTAGTCTCAGCTGCTCTGGAGGCTGAGGCAGGAGAATCACTTGAACCTGGGAGGCGGAGGTTGCAGTGAGCCGAGATTACGCTACTGCACTCCAGCCTAGGCAACAGAGCAAGACTTCATCTCAAAAAAAAAAGAATGATCGCGTATTAAAAACTGTAGTGCAGCAACAGCTGACATGTTTGGAGCGCTGCTGCATGCCAGAAAATATTCTAAGGGCTCTAGATATATTAATTCATTTGATTCTCCTGACAACCCCATGATATGGCACTACTATTCTCTAATTTACACAAGGAGAAACCAAGCACAGAGAAGTTAGATCACGTCCCAAGGATCACAAGACCAAACGGCAACACCTGGATTTAAACCTGAGCTTTTTGGCTCCTGAGCCCACACTGAATCCTGTACTGCTTCTGCCACTGAAATGGGCACATCGGGACATACCTCTGGGTTTCCAGGACTGGTGGCCTTTTAAATTTCAAATCACTTTCTTCCTTCCTTTCTTATGGCAAAGGACAAAAAGCAAGTCATTGGATTATATTCATTCATTCATTCGTTTGTTTGTTTTTCCATCGGCAATCAAAAAAAGGACCATGGACTAAGTCTTATGTGAATCTCTGGGGACAAAGAGATGAATACCACAAAGTTTTTGGCCTCAAAGAGCCAGAGACAGCTCATGTGCCAGGTTAAAGGCTTTCAAAAGTGTTAGCAAAGGATGCTGTAAGAACGTAGAAGAGGGCATTTCATTCAGCAGGGAGCTGGGAGCCTGAAAATCTTCTTGGGAAAAGATTTCCAAGCTGGGTCTGAAGGAATGAGTAGGGACACAGATTCCCCATTCCAGTTCTGGCCTCTGGAGCCCTATTCAGGGGTTGATGGGAAGAGAGGAGTGGGTGCAGAGAGGACCCAGTGCCCAGGACAGAGGTGCTCACAGGATAGACCCAGTTCTCTCTCTCTCTCCCTGCCCCATTCCCTCCCTGCAGAGGGAGCCCTGGCTCCCCTGATGTCCTCAACTAGGCATCAGGATGCCCTTCAGTGAAGCGTTGCATCACAGTGCTGCTCTTGACCGCAGACCCAGGTAAGAACTATGGGCTCAGGGAACTCTTCCAGCCTCTGCAGAGCTCCAACAGATGCCTCTTCCAACAGCACTGTGAAATGGCGACCACGCCACTGTCCTCCAGCAATGAGGGAGTCTGCCCTGTTTTCCTCATCTCAGACTTCCATCACTTTCCAGTGCAGGACCAGCAATGCTCTACAGGTCACCCCCTTCTGCACACAACCCCAGGAGTCCAGGGGTGACAGGCCCACAACTTCCAATGCCAAGGGAGCAAAGGACCACATTTGGGTATTAGTGGCTTTGTTCTAACACTGGAAATTTTATGTAGCCTCTGTATGAGACATTATATTTTTTTCTTTTTCTTTTTTCGAAACAGAGTCTCACTGTGTCGCCCAGGCTGGAGTGCAGTGGTGCAATCATAGCTCATGGCAACCTTTGCCTCTCGGGTTCAAGCTATTCTTCTGCCTCAGCCTCCCTAGTAGCTGGGATTACAGGTACCCACCAACACGCCCGGCTTTTTTTTTTTTTTAGTAGAAACAGGATTTCACCTTATTGGACAGGCTGGTCTCGAACTTCTGACCTCAAGTGATCTGCCCGCCTCGACCTCCAAAGTGTTGGGTTTATAGGCCTGAGCCACCGCACCTGGCCTATGTTTTCTAAAAGAGAGATTATGAATGGAATCATTAACAAACATGATACTTTTATTAAAGGAAAATCATTCAGAGACTAAATCAATAAGAAATTGAATGTTATCCAGTCTTTCCATTTTAGTTTATTATTAGTTGTGAGAAATATTCTATTTTTAATAATAACATGGACAGATTATGCACATAGCATATAATAGATTGTATAAATGTGTAACAGTCTCTTTGATTACTAAAGGAAAAAAAATGTTATGCTTGAACATTTGGAGATTTCAAATATATTCATGCCCAATTCCAGTGATACATAGTAGAGCAAAGTCATTATAGGTGAAGCTAAAGACTTGGTCTCATGGAACCAGAGATTGGAAAAACTAAACAGTGAAAGGGAGGGCTAGCATCCAGGCATGCAAATAAGGAGCTTGTCACATCTATCAGCATCTGCAGCATCTTTGTTAATCACACAGAGTATAACTTTGCATTCTAATTACCAATCCCACTAACCTTTGTACAGATTTGAGCACTGCAGGTCCCAATCATGCTTAGGGCTGTGAGTTGTATCAGAACTTGTCCCATCATCTGTCAGCTGCTGTTGAAGGCACAGCTAGGGATAAATGAACCAGGCTGCATCAGTGTGATCCATGCCTGGAAGTGCAATGCAAAGAAGGCTTTGCCCTTCTTTTCAGAGGTGCAGGCACCAGCCTCCATCCTGTCACCATGCAGCTGAGTGACCCTGGGAGGCAGCCTTACTTCTTTGTCCATTCCCACATTGGGTTTCATCAGACCATTTGGGGAACTCTGAAGCCTGGTTACCCACGGACTATTTGGCAGAAAATAAAACTTGGAGATCATGTAACCAAATCCCTTATTTTGCAAATACAGTGAAACTCTCAGAGGCCTACTGGTTTCATAGCTAGGCATTCAATTCCTGCTTCCATTTTTCAAAGCTAGGCATTCAATTCCTGCTTCCATTTTTTCCCTGCAAAATACATTGCAAATTATAATGTCTTTTTAATAAATATTTTATGGTATTTAAGGTTTTTTTCTTGACTTGTTTAGTGTCTTGATTTCCTTTCACTTCAAACCAGTCAGGATTTGTGAAATAGAACAGAAGGCTTCTGTAATATTTGTTTTTCTAGAAGTTTGAAGATAGAAAATGCTTTAAGTAGTCAGTGCTTTAGATCTGTTCCTCTGGCTTGTGGCTTTAAAGAATTCAGATGTTGCATTTCTTTACTCTTTGTTTAACAAGTCTAACTTATTGATTATACTATCAGTATTTTCAGTTCAGCCAGATCTTGTTTTCTAGGAATATTTGAAAAAACTGTGGCTGCAAAGGGCTCTTTAGCTATAGAAAACATAATGTTTTAGCATGTATTAGTGCTTCCTTAGGCAGTCATTCAAATTATTTTGCATGCTCTGAGAATACATTAACTTGAAAATAGAGAAAGAGTTCCAGATGTTGAGTCTACAGAGTTACGCCAGGAGCAACCTAGGATTTAAATTTTTTCCACACATATTACATAGAATAAAGAATATGAGCATAATAACTGAGAGCTGGCAACACAACAATGTAAACAACTGCAATTATGATTTTTTCAAGAATATCTTTAGGACTGGGTGCAGTGGCTCACGCTTGTAATCCCAACACTTTGGGAGGCCGAGGCGAGTGGATCACCTAAGGTCAGAAGTTTGAGACCAGCCTGGCTAACATGGCGAAAACCCATCTGTACTAAAAATACAAAAATTACCCAGGCGTGGTGACACATACCTATAATCCCAGCTACTCGGGTGGCTGAGGCAGGAAAATCGCTTGAACCCGGGAGGCAGAGGTTGCAGTGAGCCGAGATTGCACCACTGCACTCCAGCGTGGGGAACAGAGTGAAACCCTGCCTCAAAAAAAAAAAAAAAAAAAAAAAAAAACAATCTTTAAAGCAAATACCTATTATATATTTTTCTTTTTATTAGAGTTATCAGCAGGTGGTATTTCATTTTTGTTGAAACTTTAAAAAAAACAGAAAAAAAAAAAAGACAAGGTCTCCGCCGGGCGCAGTGGTTCACGCCTGTAATCCCAGTACTTTGGGAAGCCGAGGTGGGTGGATCACGAGGTCAGGAGTTCCAGACCAGCCTGACCAACATGGTGAAACCCTGTCTCTACTAAAAATACAAAAAATTAGCTGGGCATGGTCGTGGGCGCCTGTAATCCCAGCTACTCGGGAGGCTGAGGCAGAGAATTACTTGAACCCAGGAGGCGGAGGTTGCAGTGAGCCAAGGTTGCACCACAGCACTCCAGTCTGGGCGACAGAGCAAGACGCCGTCTCAAAAAAAAAAAAAAGACAAGTTCTCACTCTCCCACTCAGGCTGGAGTGCAGTAGTGCAGTCATAGCTCACAGCAACCTCAAACTCCTGGGCTCCAGCGATCCTCCCGCCTCAGCCTCCCAAGTAGCTGGGACTACAGGTATGCACCACCACACTGCCTAATTTTTAAGTTTTTGTAGAGACCGGGTTTCCCTGTGTTGCCCAAGCTGGCCTCAAACTCCCAGGCTCAAGCAATCTTCCTACCTCAGCCTCCCAAAGTGTTGAGATTATAGACATGAGCCACTGCACTGGACAATGTTTTGTTTTGTTTTGTTTTTGAGACAGTCTCACTCTGTCGCCCAGGCTGGAGTACGATGGCGCAATCTCAGCTCACTGCAATCTCTGCCTCCTGGGCTCAAGTGATTCTCCTGCCTCAGCCTCCCGAGTAGCTGGGACTACAGGCAGCTGCCACCACGCCCGGCTAACTTTTGTATTTTTAGTAGAGACGGGGTTTCACCATGTTGGCCAGGCTGGTCTCGAACTCCTGCCCTCAAATGATCTACCCACCTCAGCCTCCCAAAGTGCTGGGATTACAGGCGTAAGCCACTGCACCTGGCCTGGACAATGTATTTTTTAATAATAAAACAAAAATATGTTATTCTTCCCACTCTCCAAAGAAAACTGTCCAAGCTGCCATATGCAAAAATGGAACAAAAAGCTGCAGAGAAAAGAGGAGAGTGTCTGTGAAGTCCTAGAAGGGAGAGTGATCAGGGACCCTCAAGGTGAGCTGCATGCCTAGAGGGTAGAATTTTAATAGGAAGAAAATGGAATGAATCTGGAGAGGGAAGCAGGAGAAAATGATGACATTGTCTGCTGGTTTCACAGAGGGTTTAGTCCCAAAGCTGAGCAAAGGTGATTTATTATCTGAAATTACTTAATTCTGGCCATTATTGCCCTAGTAATTAGCAAAAAGTTTGGCTCATTATGGGTTCCCAGTTGCATAGATTTGGGGTAAATGAATGATTGAATCAATAACTATTACATTATTATATAATCCATAAGCTGTAGGCCTTACAGTTTTTTCAATCACAACATTAAGCATCCTCTCGTTACAATGATTATCTTCTGGAGCCCACATTAGATTAGCATGGATGATGAGAAACATGCACAGTTCAAGGACTCATAAAAAACAGCACTGACCTGATGTGACTGAGAAGAGCTCCCCGAGTGTGTGGGCCATCTGAGCAGGCTTGGAGGCCGGTGTAGTCAGAGGTTTTTCAGACCTCGACAACCTTTGCTCTACCCTGCAGCCTGACCCCCATATGAAATTTTTTAGAGACCTTGTCCCATCACCTGTCAGCTGCTGTTGAAGGCACAGCTAGGGAGAAATGAACCAGGCTGCATTAGTGTGATCCATGCCTGGAAGTGCAATGCACAGAAGGCTTTGCCCTTCTTTTCAGAGGTGCAGGTACCAGTCTTCATCCTGCCTCCATGCAGCTGACTGACCCTGGGAGGCAGCCTTACTTTCTTCGCTGGTTCCCACATGAAGTTTTATCAGATCATTTGGGGAACTCTGTTGCCCGGTCATCCACGTACTATTTGGGAGGAAATAAAACTTGGAGATCACATAAACAAATCCCTTATCTTGCAAATAAAGTGAAACTCTCGGAGGCCTACCAGTTTCATTTTAAATTCTGACAAAATATGCAATGTTTATAAATAAATCATTGCCATTGTCTGGAATTGAACTTGACTATGGCTGTCTTTCTTTCTTTCTTTTCCTTCTTCCTTCCTTTTTTTTTTTTTCTTTTGAGACAGAGTCTCACTCTGTCACCCAGGCTGCAACCTCTGTCTCCCAGATTCAAGCTATTTTGTGCCTTAGCCACTCAAGTAGCTAGGATTACAGGCATGCGACACTACGCCTGGCTAATTTTTGTATTTTTCATAGAGACGGGGCTTTGTCACATTCCCAGGCTGGTCTCAAACTCCTGACCTCAAGTGATCCACCCACCTTGGCTTCCCAAATTGCTGGGATTATAGGCGTGAGCCACTGTGCCTGGCCCCTCCCTCCCTCCCTCCCTTTCTTCCTTCCTTCCTCCCTCCCTCCCTCCCTCCCTCCCTCCCTCCCTCCCTCCCTCCCTTCCTTCCTTCCTTCCTTCCTTCCCTCCCTCCTTCCTTCCTTCCTCTCTTCCTTCCTTCTTTTCTTTTCTTTTCTTTTCTTTCCGGAGTTTCATTCTTGTCGCCCAGGGAGGGAGGGAGGGAGGGAGGGAGAGAGGGAGGAACTTAGGGGGAAAAAGGACAAATGAATGATGATTCTCCATTCTCACTCAACAGATAGCAAAGATAACATTAATCTTTTATGTATCCTGCTGCAGTAAGCATGTTTTGTACATTATGAAACTGTTTTCCAAATAGAAAAGAAGGTGTTAGAAGGAGTGCTTTTGAGTTCGTTAGTCACTGCTCTCAGCTAAGCAGTAAAAGCTTTAAGTCCTTGAGGAAGGGCCTATTGGTGGAAGCCATTCCAAAGTTCCAGACCAAGCAGGAAAGAATCCTGCCATAAGATTGTCTTTGGGAGACAAACTTCAACTGTTTCCTAGCAGCCTACCCTGCAGATTTTGGACTTGTACCCGCACATGAGCCAATTCCTTAAAATAAAGGACTTTTTAAGCCAAATCCTTAAAAAAATATTCCCACACCAAGAGCAGGCCCATTTATTTTATTCCTTATTTTAAGGAGTAAAAATCTATCTAATCTAATCTATCAAAAATGTTCAAAGTGACCAAGTTAATAATGGCCAAAAACTGGAACAGTCCAAATGGCCATTGCAGTACACTGATGTCATGAAGACCCTGCAGGAGCATGGTGACCAGGAATGAAAAGCACAGAGACAACACTGAGGGAAAGAGGCAAGTCACACAAAAAGATGTGCAATTATTCCATTTATAGGAAGGTGAAAAACCAGCTGGCCCAACTAAAAAATGCCAAAGAGTCTGAATAGACAGTTCTCTAAGACATACACATGACCAATAAGCACACAGTCATCAGGAAAATGTAAATCAAAGCCATAATGAGAGAACACTCACACTCACTAGCCTGCATAGAATCAGAAAGACAGATAGTAACAAGTGTTGACGAGGATGTGGAGAAATGGTAACCCTCATACACTGCTGGTAGGAATGTAAAATGGTATAGCCACTTTGGAAAACAGTCTGGTAATTCAAGTGGTTAAACATAGAGTTACCATATGACCCAGCAATTCCACTCCTAAGTATATATGCAAAAGAAAGGACAATGTCCACACAAACACTTGTACACTAATATTCATAGCAGCATTGTTCATAACAGCGAAAAAACAGAAACAACCCAACAAATGTCTATCAAATGACAAACAGATTTTTTTTTTTTTTTTTGAGGCAGAGTCTCACTCTGCCACCCAGGCTGGAGTGTAATGGCATGGCCTCAGATCACTGCAACCTCCACCTCCCAGATTCAAGCAATTCTCCTGCCTCAGTCTCCCAGGTAGTTGGGATTACAGGCATGAGCCATTACGACCGGCTAATTTTTGTATTTTTAGGATAGACAGGGTTTCACCACATTGGCCAGGTTGGTCTTGAACTCCTGACCTCAGGTGATCCACCCACTTCAGCCTCCCAAAGTGCTGGGATTACAGGCGTGTGCCACCACGCCCAGCCAACAGATTTTTTATTTTTTAATGTAATATATCAGCCAGGCACAGTAGCTGATGCCTGTAATCCCAACACTCTGGGAGGCCGAGGTGAGAGAATTGCTTGAGCCAAGGAGGTTGAGGCTGTAGTGAGCTATGATCGCACCACTATGCTCCAGCCTGGGTAAGAGAGCAAGACCCTGTCTCAAAAAAGAAAAAAGTAGTATATCCATACGGTGCAGTATTGTTCAGCCAGAAAAAGAAATAAAATATCCATTCCTGCTATAAAGGACCATATGCTGTATCATTCCATTTAGGCATGTATGTAGAGACCAAAAGTAGAAGAGTGGTTGCCTAACTGCTAATGGTCATAAGGTTCCTTTGTGGAGGAAAATATTCAAATTGATTATGGAGGTGATTTCATAACTCTGTGAATATATTAAAAACTACTGAGTTGTACACTTTAAATGGGTAAGTTGTATGGCATGTCACATGTCATATGTCAATAAAGTTGTTTTTTTAAAAAAACAGGAAAATAAAACAATGTATGAATTGAAGAGGCATACTCAGGTGATAAAATGATAAAGTCAACCAAGGTGTCAAAAGAACAAAAACTCTACGACCTCAGGGAGGAAGGAAATATCAAAAACAGTTCAACACATAGCATTATTTTAGAAAATTATGTATGTGTGCGTATATATATTTATATACTTAAACTCTATGAGGATATATCACATACTTCTTAGTTATATGTGGGTTGAGATCTTCTAAATTGTATAATAAGTGAATTTCAAAAATGACTCAAAAGTCTTCTGGTACCTGCAGATGGGCCTGCTCTTGGTGTAGGAATTTTTTTGCGGGGTGGCTGGAGGACGGAGTCTCACTCAGTTGCCCAGGCTGGAGTGCAGTGGCATGATCTCAGCTCACTGCAACCTCCACCTCCCAGGTTCAAGTGACTCTCCTGCCTCAGCCTCCTGAGTGGCTGAGATTACAGGCATGTGCCACCTCACCCGGCTAATTTTTGTGTTTTTAGCAGAGACGGGGTTTCATCATCCTGACCAGGCAGTCTCAAACTCCTGACCTCAAGTGATCAGCCCGCCTCAGCCTCCCAAAATCCTGGGAATGCAGGCATGAGCCATCGCGCCCGGCCATGGTGTAGGAATATTTCTGAAGTTTCAGGGAAAACATCTCCCCTCACCAGGCCCTGTGTGGATTTGTTGATGCCTGTGGCACAGGGAGTCTCTTGATACACCCTAAGGGGGTCATGGAGTCTTCTCCCCTACTGATGGAGAGCTGGAAGACACACTTGTCTCAATTTTCTCTCTTCTACATTTGTCTAGAGTCTGTTTGCAGCAGGGAAGAGGCCTCTGAATGCACTTCTGTGGGTCATTGAGAGATCTAAAGAAATAACTTCAGCCCTGCCGGGCAGACATGGCCCCCACCACACCTCCCCTCCTATTATGAGTCACAGAGACAGGCCCAGAGCATTAGTGGGGGTGCAGAGGGGCCTAACACCCTTCCCAGGGGCTGTTGGGTACCTGGGACAGATGCTTGCACCCCCACACACTGGTGCAAGAAGCTCCCACCCTTCCAGACAGCTGGCCTGACCAGCTGGAGCTGAGAACCCCACCCTTCTCAGAAATCCCTGCCACCATTCCTCAGGGCTACTGGACCAGCTCCTTGGCCAACAGCCTCCACACTGGGCCTTCTCTGCCACATTTAAAAACACCCCTCTAGGAATAACAAGTGTTGCTTTGAACCCCTCTGAGTAGTCACCCTCCTCTCCTGACTCAGATCCTGTGAATTTCCCACCTGCCTCTCACAGATGCACACTGGCCTCTCCACAGGGTTCCTATAAGGATATTCTCCCTGGAGATGAGTGTGACAGTTGATGTTTTCCAGAACTTCCTGTGCTTCACCTGCTGCCCCAGTATGGTGCTCTTTTGAGACAAACAACACAATTCTGATGTTGGTAGCAAAAGCACATGTTTATTTCCCAGCCAGAGCCAGATAGCAGCCTCCTTGGATGGGATGGGAACTAGCTAAAATATCACATGGGACATAAGGGCTCAAGGGAGAAGGGGGAGGCCTGAAGAAACGAGGAGATGCTGGGGATCCAGAGGAGGCACCACCAGGCAGATGCAGGAGGTAGAGAGAGACCAGCACCCCGCCTACTGGGGGTTCCCCAAGAGTGCCTCTCTCATCCCCTGGGGGCACGGTAAGCTCAACCAAACCCCACCAACCACACCCTCCCCTTCTACTATGAGTGAGTCACAGAGACAGGCCCAGAGTATTGGCGGGGATACAGAGGGACCTCATACACACACATTCATGAAATAAACATCTCCTCACAAAAATTCAGGGATCCAGCTCCTCCCCGAGCCCAGCCCTGTCTTGCCTGAGATCAGAGCCCTTCCCTGAGGCCTCAGGCATTACAATCCAAGTCAGTGTCCCCTGAACCCAGTCCTACCTTACAGGAGGGGCTCTGGCTTTATCAACACCCCTACCCTACCACACCTCAGAAGGCTAAACACCTCCTTTATGTCTTCCCCCAACACCACACCTCTCAGACTAGCACTGTGGAATGGACCCAGCGAAGGAGGAGAAGAGCAAATGAAGTCTCAGTCCTCCTGGGTGAGGTGGGGGCAGTGAGGGTGGCGGGTCTCTTCCCTGTGAAAACCTGAGGACTGAGAAAGTAAGCAACTTGGGGCCTGTTGGGCAAAGTCACCTCTCCAGGAGCCTTTTGGGCAGCACTGTGAGCTTGTTCTTGGGAAAGGCAGCATCATCTCTCTCCTCCGCTCCACCAGAGGCTCCACCTGGGCTCCTGCCACACCCACGTCTGCGACACTTTCCCTCTCCACTAATTGGAGGCCCAAGACTTGCAGGGAAGCAGAAGACAGAAGATGTCTCTCAGCTTCCAAGTGGAAGCACCCAGTCTCATCACTGGAATTTGAGCTTTCTTGATTTGGGGTGCACCTGGAGAATGAGCAGGGGGCACAGGCCTGTTCGGGGAAGGACAGGAGGGGTGTTCCAGGGTTCAGTTTATAATCGTGAAGATCTCCCTGTTTTCCTTTCTTTCTTAGGGACAGAGAATTCAAAACTCTCAGCCTTTTGCAATGGTCGGCAAGGGTTTTGGTGTGGACAGAGGGGCCGTCATCAAGGAGACCCACATCCCACTGCAGGGATTGGCCTGGAGAGGAAGACACTGTTGCCAACTTTCAGTTTCAGTTTAAATTCCAGAAAGGAAAAGTGGACCTTAAGGAAGCTGACTCACATTGCTAGCAAATCATTGCCAGAAAGAAAATTTGAATTGTTAAAACACAATATTTGTGCCTCTTTAAAGCCAAATTCAAAAATGGCAGAAAGGGTCTGAAGTTCCTACCTCCATGAGCCCTAGCTCAGCTCAGCCTGCCTGACAGCTTGTCAATCCATGCCCAGCAAGCAAGAGCTGATGGGGTCTGGACAGGGCTAGGGCAAGTGGGCTGGGAGAGGAGGTTACTTTGGGCAAGGTGGGCCAGTGCATTCTCACAGGGCATAGGACACAGGAGGAGAAGCTGGCAGCACCTCCCAAAGGGTGGGACACTTCCTGAGTCTTACCTCTGCTTCTTGCCCCCTGAACTAAGTACATCTTACAGGTGGAGTTGGAAATCCCTCTTCCCAGCCGCGCGCTGTGGCTCAGGCCTGTAATCCCAGCACTTTGGAAGGCCGAGGCAGGTGGATTTACAAGGTCAGGAGTTCAAGACCAGCCTGGCCAAGATGGTGAAACCCCGTCTCTACTAAAAATACAAAAATTAGCCAAGCGTGGTGGCAAGTGTCTGTAATCCCAGCTACTTGGGAGGCCGAGGCAGGAGAATTGCTTGAACCCAGGGTGTGGAGATTGCAGTGAGCCGAGATCGCATCACTGCACTTCAGCCTGAGTGACAGAGTAAGACTCCATCTCAAAAAAAAAAAAAAAAAAAAGAAATCCCTCTTCCCTTCCAGTAAGCAGTGGCCTGGAGCAGAGCCCTGACCCAAGCAGCCATTTCCACATGACACCTGGGCCCTGCTTAGAGCCCCTGGAAACAGTAGGGCTGGAGAGAGCCCTCAAAGGCAATGAACACCTCGCATGTGCAGGTGGCAGCATAAGTCAGTGGGATGTCCCCACCATGATGATCCTGTGTCCCTAAAGTGGCGAGGCCAGAGGAAGATCAGCAGGCCCAGACATAAGAAAATGAAGGGAGGAAGGACTCAAATCAAATACTTTACTTTCTTTTTTTTTTTTTTTTTTTGAGACAGAGTCTCGCCCTGTTGCCCAGGCTGGAGTGCAGTGGCACGATCTCTGCAACCTCGTTCAAACGATTCTCATGCCTCAGCCTCCTAAATAGCTGGGATTACAGGTGTGTGCCACCACCTTAGTTAATTTTTTTGTATTTTTAGTAGAGATGGGGATTCCCCATGTTGGCCAGGCTGATCTTGAACTCCCGACCTCATGTGATCCGCCTGTCTCAGCCTCCCAAAGTGCCAGGATTACAGGTGTGAGTCACCGTGACTGGCCAAATAGTTTACTTTCTAAACAATGTAGAGGTTTGTGTCTTTTTTCTCCATGATAGGTACTTAAAAATTATTGTTTACTTTCAGTTGTATAACTTTTACCAATTACTTTATATTTGCCTTTGTTCTTTTTTTAATTATAAGTCTCTCAAGTTGCCTTTGACACCACCCCCAGCCCCAGTGCCCTCAAGCCCTTCCCAGGAGTAGCTGCTACTGAGACATACCTTTCCAGTCTTTTCATACACTTTTGTGTCTGTATATGTATTCCTTAATACATGTGAAGTATTGTCCTTCTTTAAAATGAAAGGTGTCAATATGAATATATTAGTGCACTTTTGATTTCTCAGCAATGTTTTTAGGATCCATTCAGCTAGATATATAGGTATGTAAATTCTTTTATTTTTGAATTTGTTTAACTTGACAGATAATGTTGTTTGTTGTTATTGTGTACAAATGATGTTTTGAAGTATATATACATTGAGGAGTGGTTTGAAAATTCCTTTTAACTGCTATATGCATGTGCTGCTTCATCATAGCATGTAACACCTTTGATTTTGCCTTTCACCTCTATCAATAGATTTTAGGTTTCTCCTGTAGCTCCTCCACTATAAACAATGCTGTAATAATTCCAGGACACAATTCTGTGCCCAGAAGGAGGGGTATGGCAGTAGTCACTACAGTGGGGAGGGGTAGTTTATCAATGACTTTTTTAGAATTTCTATTACATGTTGATAACAAGAAACAGACAGATTTTTAGTCAGATGACTTTTTAAAAATTCTCCGCCAAGGCTGGGCGTGGTGGCTCATGCCTGTAGTTCCAGCTCTTTGGGAGGCTGAAGCAGGAGGATCACCTGAGGTTGGGAGTTCAAGGCCAGTCTGACCAACATGGAGAAACCCCAACCCTACTAAAAATACAAATTTAGCTGGGAGTGGTGGCGCATGCATGTAATCCCAGCTACTCAGGAGGCTGAGGGAGGAGAATCGCTTGGACCCAGGAGGCGGAGGTTGCGGTGAGCCGAGATCACGCCATTGCACTCCAGCCTGGGCAACAAGAGCAAAACTCCATCTTAAAGAAAAAAAAATGTCAGCTAGGTGTGGTGGCTCACACCTGTAATCCCAGCACTTTGGGAGGCTGAGGCAGGTGGATCACCTGACCTCAGGAATTTGAGACCAGCCTGGGCAACATGGTAAAACTCTACCTATACAAAAATTTGCCAGGCACGGTGGTGCGCATCTGTAGTTCCAGCTACTCGGAAGGCTGAGGTGTCAGATTGCCTGAGCCCAACAGGCAGAAGTTGCAATAAGCCAAGATCACACCACTGCACTCCAGCCTGGATGACACAGCTCTCTCGCTCTAAAAAAAAAAAAAAAAAAAACTGCTCTCCCCACCCCAAAACTCTGCTTTTACATCCCTTTACATGCCTACTCTTTCCTGGTAGATACTGAGAAGTGGAATTACATTTCACTTTTGATAAGCACTGCCATTCACTCCAAGCTCCATTCCAAACTTCTTTTTGCCATCTGCCTTCAAGATTCCTTTATTTATTATTTTCTTCATCTTTCCTGGCCTGGCCTCTTCTGACTCTTTCGAAGTTTCTCTCCATCTACTTATACTTTGGACAGACTTGACCACAGATTTCCGAGCTCCCCTCTAATTTCAACCAATTCAGTGGTTCCACATACATGTGGATGAATCCAATCCATATCTCTCTGTCGCCTCCAGACCCCATGTCCGCACACTGGACACCTCCATATGAACTTGCATCTCCCTTTACAAACTAAACTCCCCAGAATTGAACTGGTCACCCCTTTCTCCTCCTGCTTTTAACTCACTTTGTTCCTGTGTCCCCACCTCAGTTAAGGGCCGGGGCACTGACCAACTCCTATGCTCAGCCACCTCCACCTTGGCCAGCATCTTCACAGCCCTGCCCCACCATCCTGACTGGTCTGGGACTAACCTTTTGTACGGCCAAAAAAGAGAGACAAAAAGGCTGCAATTCTCCACCCTCATAGGCACCCCCTAACCCAGGTCACTTTCCTTCCTTCCTAGGTCGCCCATGTAATGTCCTGGCTAACTCCCTGCCCCAGACTTGCCTAGGAACTTGCTTCCATTGTCCCAGCCGCAGCCAGACAGAGCTTCCTTCCACGTCGCACATCTGATGGCACCCCAGGTCCTCTTCATCAGACATGGAGGCCTCATGGTCCCCTCTGCTTTCCTCCCCAGCATAGTCTCTCTCCACCCTCTCCTCCAGCTCCAAGGCTCCCAAAGTTATGGCTCTGCCCAGTCTCCTCTCCAAGATTTCACACCTTTGTTGCCCCCGGCCTCCTACAGCCTCCCCACCCTCTTGTCAGCTCCCACTCAAGCTTCCCACCTCCCTTAAACACGGCTGTCTCTAGGGAGCCCTCCCAGGCCAGCCCCACCAGACGAGGGTGTTAGGTTTTGAAGGGAAGGTGAGAGTTAAAGAAACACAGAGATATACATGTACACATATGTAACAAACATCCACGTTGTGCACATGTACCCTAGAACTTAAAGTATTAAAAAAGAAAAGAAAAGAAAAGAAAAGAAAAGAAACACAGAGGGAGAGAGAGTGGAGGCACTACAGCAAACACAGGCATATTGCAAAAACCTACGGAGGTAGGGGACCAGCTTAATGCCAGAGCCCACGCGGCTTACAGGCTGGGGTACTTATAGGTATGGGTGGGAGGGGTGTGTGCAGTATGGCCCTTTTTGCGGCAGAATGTGATAGTGATGTTCTTTGGATCTTTGCGCAGCAGGGTGTATAGGGATGTTCCTTTAGCTGGGCCTTTGCCGGGTAGGGTATGATAAGAATGTTCCTGTGCCTTGTGGTCAGGTTAGGCGGGATGTTTCTCGTGGCCAGAACCCCGTGGAATGTTTCCCTTTGACCAGGGTCTGTGAAATGGCAGGAGGCTTACAAAATAGTGCAGTTTGCACTAACACAGGGGAGTAGGTTGAGACCCAAATGCAAGCGAATGGCCACCTTGGGGAGGTCGGTGAGGGCGGTTGGAGAGAGGCTGGGGGTTCTTGAGGAGGAGGCTGGGAGTAGTGAGGGGATGGCTGGGAGCCGTTGGGAGTTGACTGGGGACTGCTGGGGGCTGGCCGGGTACAACTGGGGGCACAGGTGGTCACCGTGTGCACTGAAGGGAAGCCACAAGTGCACACAAGTTGGGACACTCGGGACAACTGGGACCAGAAGGTGGGGGCCAAAGAATAGGGGGGCCAGACTTAGTCCCCATCAGGCACCCCAAGGGAATCCGACTGGAAACTTCCAACCACTCGCTCTTCTGCGGATTCAGCCAGTGGGTGGCAGAGGCCCAGGCTGAGTGAGAGCCACATCGCCAGGGTGCAGCTTCCTGCCTTGGCCCCTCTGCGATCCTTGGGGCGAGAGCGCAGCGCAGGCTGGTCCCGCTCCGCAGAACACGTAGAGTCCTTGGAAAAGTCTGGCCTGCGCGGGGCTCAGCTTGTCCTCAAGTCCCGGGCCGTGACTGCTCAAAACAAGGAGGCCCTCACCGACGGGCCGCTGCGTCTGCAGGAGGATCCTGGGATGCTGGACTGGATACAGTTTCCTGTCTTTCTGTGGCTGTTTCCGGACCTGTTTGAGCACAGGCTACAAATTTAGAGGTCGCGGAGAACCTTGGCAGGGAGCGTCTCTGATTTCCCACAGCTCTGCTTTCTCCACTGGCTCATTGCCAGGGAACTGCGGTCCACGTGGCCTCTCTCCACACTCTGCTTTCTTCCTGAAGTCCAGGCCTCCATCACTGTGCCATCCAATATCAGGAAATGCCCTTTTATGATTGCCTTTTGTCTTTTCCCATTCCCGGCATGGAGCAGATTGTTGCCTATTATTTGCTTAGGCTTTCCTTTATCCACACTCTTGGATAAACCCTTACATCCTGATGCTGGGCTTGAACAGGTGACTTGCTTTGGTCAAGGGTAAAGGTAATGCAAGAGGAAACTTGAAGATTGCATGCTGCTCCTGGAAACCTGACTCTATATGAGCATGCCGTGACTATCCTGATAGATGACATGGCCCAGCACCCCTAAAGAACACTGAGAGACAGGCCATGGGGATCAGCCAGCTCCCAGCCAACCTGACCCCAGGCATATGAGTAAGTCCAGATCAGCTGAGCCTGGTAGAATCTTAAACTAAATAAGTGCTGTTGATTTGAGGGAGACTGTTATATAGCAGTAGATCACTTACTTACGTGCTACCCAAAACTTCAGATCAAATCTCTTTTCTTTGTTCTCCCTCTACCCCTACCCCTATCTCTCTTTTTGCTTTTCTTTAATTTATTATTATTATTATTATTATGGAGATGGGGTCTCCCTATGTTGCCCAGGCTGGTCTTGAACTCCTGGGCTCAAGTGACCCTCTTGCCTTGGCTTCCCAAAGTGCTGGAATTACAGGTATGAGCCATTGCGCCCAGCCAGTACCTCTGTCTCTCTGTCTTGACCCTGTTACTCTGAACACCAAGCCTGGAGGAGGCCCAGTAAGGTTTCTAAAGAAGTATTTCCTAACATTTTTCACATGGACCCCCTGCATCAGAATTGCCTGGAGAACTTTTTGGAAATACTGAATCCTGGGAATTCTGGGAATCTTTGGAAATGCAATATGAGAATCTTCAATTTGACCAGTCCCATTTTCCCCTAGGACACATTTTAACAGTTCTCCTTCCTCATTTACAGTTGTTGCTCCAGTCCCTTGGCACCATCCAGACATTGACCTAAGAAGATAACCTTGGGGAATCTGGAGGATGTCAATACAGCATGGTCTGATGAGAGCTGGGAAAGTCCGTCTTCCCATCTCCTCCCCTTCTCAGGTTCAAGCCACTCCAGGGCTGACTCACAGAACCAACTTTCTCTCCAGTTGATCCTTATGACACAGGAACTTCTGAAGCCTGAAAATGATGCTGGAGGAACAATCAAGGTAAGGTCTTGAGAAATGCTCTTCCCATGCTTGTCTTTGCATTCAGATATTAACTAAAGGGAAATCAATTTTACAATAAATCCCCCTCTGCAGTGCTCCAGAGCTTGTTCTTCTGAGAAAAAAAGCTCAGGACTCAGGCCCTAAAAAGAATAAAATCAACCTTCTCACCACCTTATATTTCTCACCACCCCACCTCCCTCCTACAGAAAGTGAGCTCCTTGGAGAGAATTTAGCCTAGGACTTTCTGCCCCTGCTTTACCTCACATGGGCTCTTCCCAGTACTGATTAAGGATGAGTGCTAAAAAGGCCTTGCAGCTCCACAGCCAAGTTCTTACCCCACAGGCTATGTGTTTATGGCTGGACCACCGAGGATGAACGGCTGACCTCAATGACTTGGAACAAAGATTATATGAGCCTGTGAAGGTCCTGAGATGTCCTGACCCTCAAAATCCAACTCCTGTGTAGGGTTTCTCTACATCAGACTTAGATTACTCAGTCGTGTTCACTTTAACCGAGAACTTTTCTTCCAAAGGCTTTGACAGACACCACTGGGCTGTGTCCTTAACCACTAAGATTTAGCCACAACTGAGGTGGCACAAGGCAGCTTTTTAAACCCCCACAAGTTGCATACAAAGACATAAAAACAAGCAAGAAAAATAGAATTATGATGAAGGCCTGGTTGTGGTGATGGCCACAGGTCATGGAGGACCAGGGACCACCCTTTTTGGTTTTTATTTTTCTGAGACAGCATCTCACTGTTACCCAGACTGGTGCGCAGTGACATGATCTTGGCTCACTGAAACCTCCATCTCCTGGGCTCAAGTGATCCTCCTGCCCCAAACTCCAGAGTTGCTGAGACTATAGGCACGCACCACCACACTGAGCTAAGTTAAAAAAATTTTTTTGAAGAGATGAAGTCTCATTATATCACCCAAGCTGGTCTTGAACTCATGGCCTCAAGCTATCTTCCTGCCTCAGCCTCCCAAAGTGCTGGGATTATAGGTATGAGCCATCCCGCCCAGCCTAGGGCTGGGCCCATTTTTAAATCATCCATGGATGTCCCAAGGCTAAATGTCTTAAGCCTGCCAGTCCCAGTCCTGTGTCTGCATAAAAGGAGAAGCCTTTGCTGTCTATTTCTTCAAGCAGTTACAAGTTCCTTTTCCCTTTGAGTATTAAATATTCCCCCAAAGCTATTTTGTTCTACTAAATTCCTCCATGCTTTTTTTTTTTTTTTTTTCTAGCAATGACTTGGACCTTGAGATTTCATCATGTTTGAAGGCTCTCTGCTTGGTAATATTTATGAGACCATTATTCACAGACAGACAACCTTCTTTTAGGTTTTATTAGACAATATTAAGTCCAGATAAGAGACCAACAGAGGAATTTGAGAATGAAATCTGAATTCTGAGAGTATTATTACTGTTTCTTGAGAAGGAAGAGGAGAAAGGAAGGAAACATTCATTGCCACATGCTATACCTTGTGCTCAGTCATTTCACAAAGATGTCCTTTATCCTTGAACAAGATCGGGTTCACATTATCATCTTTGTACACGTGTGAACAGGGACAAGAAATGTATTTGTTTCCTTGTTTGAGATGATTACCAATGGGTGCCAGAGGGGCCTATAGGTGATTTTAATTAAATTGCTTCAAATTACTTCTCGTTCTTCAAGCAAGAAGACCACTGGATTCTATCCAGGTTTTAGCTACCCAGCTTGGGGTGGACTGAGGTTGACCAAAGGATAAAAGCTGCAAAATATAGCAAACTCACCTAGTGACTTTCTCCTTATAGGACTCAACTCTCCTCTAGAAACCACCTTCTTTTGTTTTCTCCTCACTATCATCCAACGATCATTTGTATATTTCTCCCAGAGTTTTTAGTGGTTGTCCATGAGAAGATGTGTCTGAAAGAAGCTACCTGACCACTACAAAAGTAGTTCCAATTTGTTAGCAATGTTTGAGGAAATATGGGTAAAGTTTCATGACTGACTTGTAAATTAAAGGCTGCACTTGGGCCAGGCGTGGTGGCTCATGCCTATAATCCCAGCACTTTGGGAGGCCAAGGTGGACAGATCACCTGAGGTCAGGAGTTCAAGACCAGCCTGGCCAACATGGCGAAACCCCGTCTCTACTAAAAATAAAAAAATTAGCCAGGCGTGGTGGTGCACACCTGTAATCCCAGCTACTCGGGAGGCTGAGGCAGGAGAATTGCTCCAACCCAGGAGGCAGAGGTTGCAGTAAGCCAAGATCACACCACTGTACTCCAGCCTGGGTGACAGAGTGAGACTCTGTCTCAAAAAAAAAAAAAAAAAAAAAAAAAGGCTGCACTTGAACAGTAATGTTGCCCTTTAGGTGATCAACTCAGGAAGGTATACATAAATTCTAGGAATGCTGCCATTGCTCAAAACATGTTTGGAACTCCTTGCTGGAAACTACCTTTGGAGTCAGCAGCCTCATTCCTGTGGAGTCAGTTTCCATTTTCCACCTCAAATGGTAAATGGTGTTAATGCAGTTTGGCTGTGCCTTTTTTCACCTTCATGAAATGACAAATGCATTTCTGTGTTTGTCTTCTCTCCAAATTACAGAGTAAGTTCCTGGAGGATGGGGAAAGTTTCTAGTTATCTGTCGAATCCCACATTCTTGGCCTAACACAAGGCACGTGGTCAGTTTTCAACAAATATTGTTGAATAGTGAAATTACAAGGTATAAGAGTTTACTGTATTTTTGTTTTTGTGGTAAACATGTCAGGCAGTAGCTTTTTTATTTGATTATTGCATGCATAGACTATTGCTGGCAGAAGGGACCTTAACAACTTCTAGAATAACTTTCCAGTTCATGGAAAAAAGCTTTCTGGCAAGTTAAACCTTGAAGCTTCTTCCTGAATATTCAAATCAAAGCAGGTTAGCAATTGCTCTTTACCTAACTGAAATGCACATAAACAACACTGCATTGCAATTTTTCACTAATCAGATTGTCAAAGAATGATAATTATTATGAGTGATAATAAATTCAAATCTGCAGTCTCTTTTGTTGCTACTAAAAATTCAATTTAGGGAAATTTAATGTTTTTATTTTAACATCTTAAAATGTTCCCTGCCATGTGATTCAGTTAACCACAAGGATGTTAATGACAGCCATGTTTATAATAGTTGAAATTTTATAAAATATTAAAACTAGGAAAATAGATATATAAACTATTTTGCAGCCACTTAATAGCTTACTGTGTAGCTAATGTATACAATCGATATAAAAGCTTATTGTAAATTCTAAGAGCATTTAGAGAAATGCTTATTGTTAATTCTAAAGAGAAGGTCAGTTGGCCATATATTGTGTATATAAAAAGTTACTTTCACCTAGTTACATTACCTGATAAGTTCACTGCTATGATATAGAGGAGTGGTGATAGTGGGTTATCCATGTCTTGTTTCTGACTTTAGTGAAAATGCCTCTAGAATTTTTCCATTGTATCAGTTATCTATTGCTCAGTAACAAACTCCCTGAAAGCTAAGTTGATTAAAACAAAAACAATTATTTCTTTTGCTCACAAATAAGCACAGAGTTTGACAGGAATGACTTGCATCTGCTCCACATGGCAACTGCTGAGATGGCTCCAACTGGGGCTGGACAATCCACTTTCAATACAGGTCATTCTCTTGGCTGGCAAGTTAGTGCTGGATGTTAGCTGGGAATTCAGCTGGTCTGGGGCTGGGGACTGGGGACTTTGGTTCTTCTCCATATGGGCCTCTCCCCAGCTGCTCAGGCTTCCTCACTGGAAGATGGCTGAGTTTCAAGAGCAAATGTCCCAAGGGACCCAGACAAAAGGGAATGGCATTTTTATGGCATATCTTTGAAAAACACATAGCATCATTTCCATTCTATCTTATTACTTGAGGAAGTTGGAACTTCTACCAAGGCTGAAAGGGAGGGGACATAGATTCCACCCATTGGATAGTGACAATGTCATGTTAAGATAAGCATGTAGAATGAGAGACATTTATGGTCTGAAGTTGATATTTTAAACTCTCTCATTAACAAAGACCTCAAAACACTTTATCTTTCACATAACCTCCATACCCGTTTTAAAATTTTTATCATTATTATTAGAGACAGGGTCTTGCTACATTGCCAAGGCTGATCTGGAACTCCTGGGCTCAGGAGATTCTCCTGCTTTGGCCTCCTGAAGTGTTGGAGTTACAGGCATGAGCCACCACACCCAGCCTATACTCTTTGTAAATATTTTGTTGATTGCTTTTATCTTGCTTGTTTTTTACCCCATATATTAGAAATCTTGTTACTGATTTACACAGTCTAATGTTTGCCACCAAGGAATATATCTCTAAAGAATATAGCTAGGCTGGGTGCAGTGGCTCACACCTGTAATCCCAACACTTTGGGAGGCCAAGGCAGGTGAATCACCTGAGGTAAAGAGTTTGAGACCAGCCTGGCCATCATGGTGAAACACCGTCTCTACTAAAGATACAAAAATCAGCCAGGCATGGTGGTGCACACCTGTAGTCCCAGCTATTTGGGAGGCTGAGGCAGAAGAACCGCTTGAACCTGGGAGGTGAAGGTTGCAGTAAGCTGAGATTGTACCACTGTACTCCAGCCTGGGCAATAAAGCAAAACTCCATCTCAAAAAAATAGATAGATAGATAGATATAGATATAGACATAGACATAGACATAGACATAGATATAGATATAGATATAGATATAGATATAGCTTACCTTTGCTTGTTTTTGAACTTTTCACAAATGGAATCACATATTAGGAATAATATTGTTACACTTATTTTGCCCAAATTTGTACGATTCATACATGTCATTGCATGTAGCCATGATATGTTTAATTTCATCACTGATTGGCACTTTGTGGTATAAATATACAATAGTTTATCAACAGTACTGTAGATGGACCCAGAGCTACTTCCAAGTTTGTCAATTAGAATTCTTGTCCACATACCCTAGTGCAAATGTGCATGATTTTCTTTAGTGTATACCTTCAAGGGCAATAATATAGATGCTTATGTTACTAAAGAATGCCAAACTGTACCAATTTATACTCCCACCACCTAGTATAGGAGTTCTTGTTCCAAATCCTTGTTACCATTATCTGATTTTGCCAGACTTTTTTCATTTTTTTTTTTTTGAGACGAAGTCTTGCTCTGTCGCCCAGGCTGGAGTGCAGTGGCGCAGTGTCAGCTCATTGCAACCTTCGCCTCCCAGGTTCAAGTGATTCTCCTGCCTTAGCCTCCCGAGTAGCTGGGATTACAGGTGCCTGCCACCACACTTGCGTTAATTTTGTTATGCTTATGTAGAGATGGGGTTTTGTCATGTTGGCCAGGCTGGGGCTTTTTTCTTGTTTATGGTAGGTTTGGAATGGAAAACAACTCCTTTAACCCTACCTTAATCTCACCTTAATGCATGCTACCTTTCCAAAGGGCAAGAGTGTTATCTCCTGTGGAGTCTGTCCCTTCAGATACGTAGCTCATAACTGCTTGAGGTGGGTAAATAGTGTTTGACTCTGTATATTGCGGACCAAGACAGAAAATGCCTGCATTAGCACAATTCTAGGTCCTTTCACTTCTGCTTGTAGGCTGGCCAGATCTAGCCAGAGTTCTTGTCTCTCATAGGACTATGCTTAAAGCAGCCAAGAGTCACACAGACCGTCACTCTGGATCTCTCCTACCATTTTCCTAATGCCACAGATTTGATCAAATTTTGGTCTACCCTCCAAAGCAATGCAGGCTCCAAAACCTGACCCAACATTTTACCACCATGTAATGTGAGGCACCAGCTTTTCAGCCTGTGCTCAGTGAAAACTCACAGGCTCTGTTAGTATGGAAGAAAGGAGGATGAACATGGGTGTTCAATAGATATGACTGAGAAATCCTCATAAACATTGGTGTTCATCCTGGCCGCAGCTTTCTTTTGCCTTCATTTTCTTTTTTCCTTACTAACTTTTGTTTTTTGGAAAAGTCATTATATTGTCCTAATTCTTCAATGACAGAGTCAGTTAGCCATTTGTTTTTCTCATTCTACTGTCCCCTAGCTGTCACCATTGATGGGGAACAGTCAGGTGTCCTTCCTTTTCTCCTTGGCTTCTTTCAAGAACACTTTTGGTTTTGGCATTTCAGGATTCTTTAACAATGTAAATAAGAATGGGGTTTTAAAAACCATTTCCACTTACTACACATTGGAATTCCTGAATTTGTAGATTCATGAGAATTTCGGATCATATCTATTTGTAGATTCATGAGAATTTCTTAGTCATATCTATTTGACACTGACTTCTTTATTCTCTCTTCTCTCTCTCTGGAACTCCAATTAGACAGTTTGACTCTCTAATTTTACTCTCTTTGTATCTCCTCTTTTGTATTTTTTTTCCTCCTCTCTCTGTTCTCCTTATGAATAATTGTTTTCATATATTTTTTCTAATTCATCAAACCTTTCTACAACAGTGTCTTATTATTTTTTCTGCTCATTGGGTTTTAAATTGCAATGATCATATTCTTTATTTCTAAATGGCAAAAGCACATTGTCAATAACTAGATATTGTCTTAAAAAGACAACTTACTTAAAAGAAATATATCTATATGAAATGATATACAGTAATACCAAAAAAATTTCCCTGTAAGGGATTTTGAAACAAATGTCAAACTAGCCCATTCATTTCTTCAGACTTGATGGCCTGTGCAGAGTCTTGTGTGCCACCATGATGGTCTAAGGGACTACTTTCTCATGCTAAAGACTGTACCTTTCTTTTGCACATCATAAATGGAAGACACCCCTTGGGTTGAGATAAGAGTATCGGATGGAAGAAAATGCAGAGCTGAGTCACTGAGGAGAGGTGGTGAGAGGGCCTTACCATGGGGACATGATGATGCACACTTCTGGCAATGTCGAGTGCTCTTTGCACCAATGTGAACCTAGCTAGCCAGCCATGGAGAGGGGAGAGTGCTTCTTGGACCATTGTCTCTCAGTGAGAGTGCAGCAGGAGGCAGAATTGGGGTAGATGTCTGTGCAATGATAGCTTTTTCCTTGTCCCCAACTCATTTCCAAAAATATCTATAGAAGAGAAAAGAGAAAACTTAGGTGAGTTTTCTATGGGTTGGGCAGTGGAGATGTGCACCACTCACATAGCATGGACTCCAAGAGACTTCATGGCCTCTGGTACAGGCCCCCAACTCCCTATGAGAACAGAACGTTTTGATGAGGCTCTACTTGGTGTGAGGCTGGACTGAGACCTCTTCTCTCTGGAGGGGTTTCTTTGCTGTCATTCTCTCCAGTGATTTTCTCCATTTGTCCTGTTTCTATAGGCTGATGCCTGTGATTCTTGCTTTAGACAAAAGCTTTCCTCATGTTTCCATCATCCTCACTTCTGTTTCCATAGTAAATAAATTGTTCACTTGTTATCTGCCTCTCCAGATAACTGCCACAAGGTCACAGGCTTTGTCTTCATTCACTGCTCTATCCCCATTGCTTGTAATAATACCTGGTCCAGAGTAAGTGCTTAATAAATATTTGCTGAATGTTGAGTTCTTATTATTTTACTTGAGATTTTTTTCAAAGTAGAATTGGCTAATTCTGGCACTATTCCTAAAAGAAGCCTGCTGAACTTAGCATTTTCAGAAGTACAGCTTGCCCTGCCCTATTAAACAAATAGAATGTTTTACCTGTAGGCTTAAAAGCAGGTTTTTCATGGATGGAGTTTAGCAATCTCATCCCTGCCTTGTAGAAAAACTCTGGATTGCTCAGGCTGGGTCAGAAACCCCACGGAAATAGTGACATTTACCACTGGATATCACGTTATTTAGAACATGAGGTTGAGTTTTTCCAACAGGATCCTTAATAGTTTCCCAAAAGGGAACAATTTTAAAATGTCTCAATTACCTACAAATAAATTTACCAAAGGACATGCAAAACTTCTACAGGAAAAATTATAAAACCTTATTGAGGGACATAAAAATGAGAAAATGGAGTAACACACAGATTGCTCACGGGTTGAAAAACTCAGTAGTGTAAATCAGTCAGTACTGCTCTATAGAATCAATGTAATCCCAACAGGGTTTATAGTGGAACTGGACTAACCGATTGGATTTGGCTTGAAAATGTATATGACAATGCAAAATCATCAATAATAGCCAAGACTCTCTTGGAGGAAAGGAGGAAGATAGGAGGATTGCCCTACTTGATACCACAATAGATTATAGAGTTCTAGTAAATAGGCTAGTGTAGCATTGACTCAGGGACACTCATAGAGCAGGGAGAAAAATGGAGAGGTCAGGATCAGACTGCATAGATGGACCCTGTGGGGAAAAGAAAGAGAGATCAGATTGTTACTGTGTCTGTATAGAAAGAAGTGACACAAGAGACTCCATTTTGTTCTGTACTAAGAAAAATTCTTCTGCCTTGAGATGCTGTTAATCTGTAACCTTACCCCCAACCCTGTGCTCCCTGAAACACGTGCTGTGTCAACTCAGGGTTAAATGGATTAAGGGCTGTGCAAGATGTGCTTTGTTAAACAAAGCTTGAAGGCAGCATGCTCTTTAAGAGTCATCACCACTCCCTAATCTCAAGTACCCAGGGACACAAAACACTGCGGAAGGCGGAAGGCCGCAGGGACCCCTGCCTAGGAAAGCCAGGTATTGTCCAAGGTTTCTCCCCATGTGATAGTCTGAAATATGGCCTCGTGAGAAGGGAAAGACCTGACCGTCCCCCAGCCTGACACCCGTAAATGGTCTGTGCTGAGGAGGATTAGTAAAAGAGGAAGGAACGCCTCTTTGCAGTTGAGACAAGAGGAAGGCATCTGTCTCCTGCCCGTACCCGGGCAATGGAATGTCTCGGTGTAAAACCCGACTGTATATTCCATCTACTGAGATAGGGGAAAACCGCCTTAGGGCTGGAGGTGGGACATGCAGGCAGCAATACTGCTCTTTAAGGCATTGAGATGTTTATGTGTATACATATCTAAAGCACAGCACTTACTTCTTTACCTTGTTTATGATGCAGAGACCTTTGTTCACGTGTTTACCTGCTGACCTTCTCTCCCCTATTATCCTATGACCCTGCCACCTCCCCCTCTCTGAGAAACACCCAATAATGATCAATAAATACTAAGGGAACTCAGAGGCCGGCAGGATCCTCCGTATACTGAACGCCGGTCCCCTGGGCCCCCTTTTTTCTTTCTCTATACTTTGTCTCTGTGTCTCTTTCTTTTCCAAGTCTCTCGTTCCACCTAACGAGAAAAGCCCACAGGTGTGGAGGGGCAACCCACCCCTTCAGACCCAATTTTTGAGAAGCAGCAATTCTGAACAGTGAAGACAGTGTTTTCAACAGAAAGTCCTAAGGGTTATTGTAGGGTCCAGCCCCACAGGGTCGGTGAGTTTTCTCCTCGTGTGCAGAGAGAGCGTAGAAATAAAGCACAAGACAAAGAGATAAAAGAAAAGATAGCTGGGCCCGGGGGACCACTACCACCAAGACGCGGAGACCGGTAGTGGCCCTGAATGCCAGGCTGCGCTGATATTTATTGGATACAAGACAAAGGGGCAGGATAAGGAGTGTGAGCCATTTCCAATGATAGGTAAGGCCACATGGGTCACGTGTCCACTGGACAGGGGGCCCTTCCCTGCCTGGCAGCCGAGGCAGAGAGAGAGAGAGGAGAAAGAGAGAAACAGCTTATACTATTATTTCTGCTTATCAGAGACTTTTAGTACTTTCACTAATTTGCTACTGCTAACTAAAAGGCAGAGCAAGGTGTACAAGATGGAACATGAAGGCAGACTAGGAGCGTGACCACTGAAGCACAGCCACAGCATCACAGGGAGACGGTTAGGCCTCCGGATAACTGCAGGCAGGCCTGCTTCCACAAGAGGTGGAGGAGTAGAGTCTTCTCTAAACTCCCCTGGGGAAAGGGAGACTCCCTTTCCCGGTCTGCTAAGTAGCGGGTGTTTTTCCTTGACACTGAGGCTACCACTAGACTACAGTTCACTTGGCAACAGGAGTCTTCCCAGACGCTGGCGTTACCGCTAGACCAAGGAGCCCTCTGGTGGCCCTGTCTGGGCATAACAGAAGGCTCGCACTCTTGTCTTCTGGTCACGTCTCACTATGTCCCCTCAGCTCCTATCTCTGTACGGCCTGGTTTTTCCTAGGTTATGATTATAGAGCGAGGATTATTATAATATTGGAATAAAGAGTAATTGCTACAAACTAATGATTAATGATATTCATATATAATCATATCTAAGATCTATATCTGGTATAACTATTCTTATTTTATATTTTATTATACTGGAACAGCTCACATCCTTGGTCTCTTGCCTTGGCACCTGGGTGGCTTGCTGCCCACAGGTTATGGCTATGTTTTTGTAGGATTTTATATGTGATTGCGAAACCATTTGACGTTATCTGGTGAAACTAGAGTTTAAAACCGACAGGGGAAAACTTTGCACAAGGATCTATCAAAAATGTTCCAAATGGTGGGCCACAGTGGCTCATGCCTATAGTCCCAGGCTGAAACAGAAAGGTCACTTGAGCTCAGGAGTTTGAGACCAGCCTGGGCAATATAGTGAACCCTCCTCTCTACAAAAAAAAAATTTTTTAATTGGCTGAGCATGGTGACACGCACCTGTAATCCCAGCTACTTGAAAGACTGAGGTGGGAGGATCGTTTGAGCCCAGTAGGTAAAGGCTGCAGAGAGCCATGATCACACCACTGCACTCCAGCCTGGGCAACAGAGACTCTGTCTCAAAAAAGAAAACAAAAAGCAGAGACAATATTGAGGGAAAGAAGCAGATCACACAGAAGACGTGCTAAGATTCCATTTATGGGAAGCTCAAAAACAGGAAAATTAAATAATTCATGATTAAAAGCACAAACGTAAGTGGGGAAACAATAAAGTCAACCAGTTTATCACAGGAGCAGGAGCTCTCTGACCTGAGAGGAGCAGGGAGGGACACACAGATGCTTTCTCTGGTCCCGGCACTTTTCCCTTTCATAACCTGCATCACAGTTGCAGAGGCTTTAACTTGATTCTTACTCTTTAAGAATGCATGGATATGTCTCTTAAACTATCTGCATGTATGATCCATTTTACATAAAAATTATTTTTAAAGTAAGTACTAAGGAAAGACAATGCAATGCATACGAGCAGTATTCACTACATGCCAAACCCAGACTAATTGCTGTGCAGGATGATCTCAATGAATCACAGCAGCCCACAATCATCCCATTTGATGGTGAGGCCACTTGGGCTAGAGACATAGTCCCTTGCCCAGAACCACACACTAGGAGTGGCCCAAGCAGGGCTGTCATCACCCCAGTATGTCCAATTCTGCAGCCCACACTATCCACCTCACTATGCAGCCCATCATCTCAATGGTGACAGTGGGCCAGTCCCTTCACAGGACAACTGGTTATGCAAAGGTGTCCTTGGTGCTGGGCCATGGCGCAGACCAGACCCAGTCCCAACTACACCAACTAGCACACCAGGAGACCACACCCAAGCTGACCTCAGGGAGTGCAGTGCATTCTCAAAACACTATGTGAAGCTGTTGTCTTTGACCAAGCAGGGAACTTGATCAAACACCCAAGTTGAGAGCAGGTGATGTGGCCACCCGTTAATCATGCTGATGTGCTCCTGAACAACAAGCAAGAGTGGGCACCTTGAATCCTGTTGGGAGCTTCAGGTTTGCCAAATGAAACTTACCTCTCCCACTTTTTTTGAATATTAACATTAAGTCTCTTGATTTATCCTTTTTTTTTTTTTTTTTTTGAGTCAGTTTTGCTCTGTTGCCTAGGCTGGAGTGTGGTGGCACTCACAACTCACTGCTGCCTCCAACTCCTGGGCCCAAGTGATCCTCCTGCCTCAGGCCCCCAAGTAGCTGGGAACCAGGTGCACACCACCACACCCAGCTAATTTTTAAAATTTTTTGTAGACATGGGGTCTTGCTATGTTGCCCAGTCTGGTCTTAAACTCCAGGCCTCAAGTGATCCTCTTACCTCAGCCTCCCAAAGTGCTGGGATTACAAACATGAGCTACTGCACTCAGCCTCCGATTTATTGATTGATTGATTTTTTTGAGACAGTTTTGCTCTGTTGCCCAGGCTGGAGTGCAATGGCAGGATCTCGGCTCACTGCAAACTCCACCTCCCAGATTTAAGCGATTCTCCTGCCTCAGCTTCCTGAGTAGCTGGGATTACAGGCACACACCACCAGGCCTGGCTAATTTTTTGTATTTTTAGTAGAGATGGGGTTTCTCCATTTTGGCCAGGTTGGTCTCAAACTCCTGTCCTCAGGTGACCCGCCCACCTCGGTCTCCCAAAGTGCTGAGATTACAGGCATGAGCCACCTGGCCCTCAGATTTATTCTTAACTTTTTCTTTTCACTCAGTACTTACTAGCATTTACCAAGTGCCAGCTTTTGTGATAGGCTGATTCCAATGAGGATGCTCAGATTTGCCCTCATACTAGGAATGTACTAGAAAAAATGTGTTTATTGCACACAGTCCTAAGAAAGGAGTCCCTAAGCTACTTAGGAAAGTAGAGGAAAACTAGAGTTCTGTGTGGGATTCAGTTTCTATTAAGCATAGAAGACAAACTGCCCAAAAGTGTATGAAGAGCTTGAAGTTGTGAACAAGTAAAATATTTAGAGCAAGCTACATTTGTAAGATCAGGCTGAACAAGGAAATTGAATAACTTACTGAGAGAAATGCAATTCCTGTGTAGAAGGAAATGGAGATGTGCCAGGGCAAGAAGGGAGGCGGCTCACAGGGCCAAAGCAAGAGCAGTGCCTAGCAGTGAAGGAGGCAACGGCTTCTCCCTCACCTTAAAAATGGCCTCATGCTAGGAATTGAGTCAGGAAGACTCAATTCTGCAAACACCACTGGGGGTAAGTTACTAGTAGCAGGCTGCTGAACACCCAGGGGGCACAGATTGTCACTGATTCAGCAGTGCTTATGAGCTGCCCTACATCAGGTGGGCACCACCAGGCAAGAGAAAACTGTTTGAACTGGCTAGTTTAAGATGGCTATTCCAGATGGTGACAGCTTGGGGACACTGACTCTGTGGCCATGGGCAGCTGCTGGGTCCCATGAGAGCATGGTGATCCCAAACCTGAGCCAGAATCCACTAGCAGTTGGTGATATGGTACAGGGCCAGGGGAGTGGAGTTGGGGAGAGGATCCTATTTTCAGATATACAAGGTTATAAAAAGGTTAAGGCCTGTCAGGGAAGGCTAACCCCAGCTGAGTGGGTCTGAGAGAAATCCCCTCTAGTATTTGCTGGCTTCCACTTAGCTGAACATGAATGAACCCTGCCAAGGGAGACTACCTCCTCCCTAACCTCAGAATCTAGAAAAAGAGACTTTCTGGAACTGCTTTGAGAATGCTACCAAGGTCTCCTGATTGGAGGTGCTTGGCACTAGGACACAAGTCTATGGAGAGGCTGGGTTTGCATGGGACCCCAGTAAGATGGGGTAATCCTGGAGGTTGCTGGATAGTCACAACGGATGTTTTCCACAGTATCTTCAAGTGTCCAGAAATGCCAAGGTTCTCTGTTCGCTGAACAGACTCCACCCAGAACCCGCTCATAAATGAGCTTAGTATACCTTACTCCAGGCTCACACCACCTCGCAATGCTTCTCCAACTCCCCTGTTGACCAGTAGCCTTCTGGTAAACTGTCCCTGCTTCCCACCATCCTGATTCCAGCAATCTCTACCAGTGTTGCTAACCACTTGCAACTTCAGGATCCATAAATCTCACTGAATGCCATTCAACTTGGAGACATTATAGGGCAGATTTTCCCAGCCTCGCTTACAGCCATAAGCAGGCTTCCCATGAAGACAATGCTTGAGGCTGCAGTGTTCCCATTGCCTCAGCACCACCGGAAGGAGCCCTAGGAATGTGGTCACATGTACATGTATTTTGTAAATTTTCCAAGAGAATGTATGAATCCATGTAAATCAGTTCAGGCCATCTCAAAATCTGCATTCAATCCAATCTATGGAAATGTCTCTATAATCTTTTTGAGACAGGGCCTCACTTCGTCACCCAGGCTAGAGTATACAGGGGCTCAATCACAGCTCACTGCAGCCTCCAACTCCTGGCCTCAGGTGATTCTCCCACCTCAGTCTCCTGTGTAGCTGAGGTACTACAGGAGTATGCCATCACACCCTGCCAATTTTTTGTATCTTTTGGAGAGAGATGGGGTTTTACCACATTGCCCAGGCTGGTCCTGAACTCCTGAGCTCAAGCAATCGCTTTGCCTCTGCCTCCCAAAGTGCTGGGATCATGGGTGAGCCAACATGACAGCCACGAGTATTTTTTTAATAGGCAATGAAAATCTTGAAATCCGTTTAGGATGAAGCCACCAGCATTAATACATAAAAAACAAATATGGTCAGGCTCAGGCCTGTAATCCCAGCATTTTGGGGCGGGTCACATGAGGCCAGGAGTTGGAGACCAGCCTGGCAGAACCATCTCTACTACAAATACAAAAATTAGCTAGGTGTGGCAGTGCACACCTGAAATCCCAGCTACGAAGGAGCCTGAGGCACAAGAATCGCTTGAACCCAGGAGGCAGAGGTTGCAGTGAACTGAGATCACGCCACTGTACTCCAGCCTGGGCAACAGGGAAAGACTGTCTCCCCAACCCCCTCCCCGGCAAAGACAAATATGGAGAACATCACATTTTTAAATACATACATACCTCTCCTCTCCCAGAACCTGTAGGCAAGCTGACAAGAGGGGCAATTAATGTCTCTCAATGTGGGGAAGGACCATCGCCTCTCCAGGGCTTCCAGGAATAGTTAACCTAAGTGACAGGAAGACTCTCAAAAATAAAAACCTAAGCTCTATAGAACTTACCTACGCAAATGGTAATAAAAGCAAGATCATCAGGGCCTCGGAAAAGTATTCCTGAGGTTACCAACTAAGTATGTGTAACCACTTACATCTATTTTCACAGCACACATGTTCTCCACACAGGAAGGAAGCTCAGGGAAATTCTGAAGTGAAAAGCAATATACACTATCTACAGTGGGCTTTAGAAGTACAACTCATGTCGAGACATGTATTTATTATTATGCTTTGATATGCAATCCCAGGTATTCTGATCTGGAGTAAAAAGCAAACTAAATGAAGACAACTTTTAGAAACTGATGTTTATTTTCCATCAACCATTTTTCCATGCTGCTTAAGAGCCTATGCAAGAACAGCTTAAGACCAGTCAGTGGTTGCTCCTACCCATTCAGTGGCCTGAGCAGTGGGAGCTGCAGACCAGTCTTCCGTGGCAGGCTGAGCGCTCCAGTCTTCTGTTAAGAGAATACCAAAAAAAGCCATCAGCTCTGTCCTCAATGTAGTATTTTTCCTTACCCCACTCCCAACAGCAGTCTATCAGATGCTGTAGCACACTGGAATGAAAACCTCTTAAAGCTAGTATAAAAGTCACAGAGATCATTAAAGTTAGAATAAAACTGAGAAGTTGCAAAATATCAGCTTGATTCACCTCTATCCTGATACATACCAGTAGGGAATTGCTGAATAGGCACAGAGGGCACCTGTACACCTTCAGACCAGTCTGCAACCTCAGGCTGAGTAGCAGTGAACTCAGGAGCGGGAGCAGTCCATTCACCCTGAAATTCCTCCTTGGTCACTGCCTTCTCAGCAGCAGCCTGCTCTTCTTTTTCAATCTGGGTTACAAAAAAAAAAGAGGAAAGACTTACAGGGACTGACAAGTTTTGCTTCCTAGAAGCACAGTCCAAGTCGTCCAATTTGCTTATGTAACCACAAGCCTTTGGAGAAGCTTACCTCTTCAGGATCTCTGTAGAAGTACAGATCAGGCATGACCTCCCATGGGTGTTCACGGGAAATGGTGCCACGCATGCGCAGAACTTCCCGAGCCAGCATCCACCACATCAAACCCACTGAGTGAGCTCCCTGCCAAGAGTGGCAGATTATTAAAAAGTGACACTTGGTCAAACCCAAACAGCAAGCACCTTCCTGGCTCTTACATCATCTAGGTACCAAAAGTACAGACATCTCTTAGTTGAAAAGCAATTGTAACAGGGAGCATTATAAATAGGGATTTTCAACCTTGTCTGCACACTGGAATCATAGGGATTGAAAAAAAAATGCCTGGACACTGGCATTTAAAAAAAATATCTGGGCAATTCTTATGCACAACTAGGGTTACAAATCAACCAATCTGAACCACACACAACCCACCTTTTTAGCATCTTATAGTAGAACCCATCAAGTTGGTGTGAAAACAAAGGCCAAGTGCCTGAGGCCTGAGCAAGAAACATGGACAAAGGCAGAAGAACACACTATTTTCCAAATGTTTTCATTTCTCCACAAAGCTGTCATGCAGTAATGTTATACTTGTAGCAAGAATTACTATCAAACTCCACTCATTGGGCCAGAGACCCTTGTGGTGTTAGCGAAAACTTGCCCCTCATGTAGCACACTACCTACACTTGCGAGTTCATCGGCCAGTCAGTAGCCTCAACTCCAAGCTCTAACAATGTGCACAGGAATGTTTTTTCTAGAGCACGCATTCACAAACTCTAGATCCTAAAATCATTACCTTGTTGTTGCATGGGATGGCAATGTCCACATAGCGCAGAGGAGAATCTGTGTTACACAGCGCAATGGTAGGTAGGTTAACATAAGATGCCTCCGTGAGAGGCTGGTGGTCAGCCCTGGGGTCAGTAACCACAAGAAGCCGTGGCTCCCGGAAGGCTGCCTGGATCTGGTTAGTGAAGGTTCCAGGAGTGAAGCGGCCAGCAATTGGAGTGGCTCCAGTGGCAGCAGCAAACTTCAGCACAGCCCTCTTTGAAGAATTTAAAAGTTAGTGGTACTCGATATTCCACAGCAACAATCCTGGCACCCAGTAAGCACTTCTGGGCACTGGCCAACTTAATCACTACTACTCCATGTAAAGCAGGCACATACCCAGCTTTCCTTAACCTCTCTTACTTCTCCAGAGATTTCCTGCATACATTAAAAAAGACAGGCTTGTTTTTCTACTATATATCCCGAGCACCTAGCAACACTACCTGGCCCAATCTAGATGCTCAGTATATTTTTCTCAAGCAAGCAAGAACTGTCACTCAGTTCATTCTACAGCAATAACTAACTGCCTTTTTTCTACTGTGTACCAAACTATGTGGTCCTAGTAACAAGTCAGTTTCAGGAATAACCCTCTGCAAAAACACACATGGGAACCCGTCCTGTCAACATTGAAATAAAGTCTTACTACATAATTTTTAAATCTGTCAAAATAGTTAAGATGAATAAAATCCCTGTTAGAACTCTTAGAATTCAAGAAATCTACTAGTTTTCTCAACAGAAAAATTATTAAAATAGAGCTGTGGCAAAAAAGATTCAAGTTTTACTAACTAGTCATTTCTTAAAAATACAAATTAAGGTATTTTTCATTCAAGTTGGCAGAGGTTCTCTTTGAGACAAGGCCTCACTCTGTCACTCAGGCTGGGATGCAGTGGACAGTCTTGGCTCCCTGCTGCCTCAACCTCCTGTGTTCTAGCAATCTTCCCACCTTAGCCTCAGCTGAGACTACAGGCACGCCAACACCACACCCAGCTCGTTTTTGTTAATTTTGGTAGAGACGGAGTTTTGCCACGTTGCCCACCCTGGTCTCGAACTTCTGGGCTCAAGCAAGCCACCAGCCTCAGCCTCACAAAGTACCCCATATTACAAAAGCATGAGCCACCCATGACTGGCTTTTTTAAGAAACAGGATCTCACTCTGTGCCCCAGGCTTGGAGTGCAGTGGCAAAATCATAACTTACTGCAGCCCCCAGCTCCTGGACTTGAGGGATCTCCTGGCTCAGACTCCCAATTAACGGGAACTATGGGTGCATGCCGTCATGACTGGCTAAGATTCTTAAAAAATTTCTGTCCCAGTATTTCATTGTTTTAAGGTAAAAACTTTGACTATGGGAAAATGTGATAAGCCACTTTAATAGAATTTCTAGATATTTAGTGGCACAAGTCTACACAAAATGAAATTATAAAGTTCAACATACTGCCAGATGCCCAGCATGTATGTTGAAAAGGTCTTACAGGCTGGGCGCAGTGGCTTACGCCTGTAATCCCAACACTTTGGGAGGCCGAGGTGGGAGGATCACTTGAGATCAGGCGTTTAAGACCAGCCTGGCCAAATGGTAAAACCATGTCTCTACTAAAAATACAAAAATCAGTCAGGCATGGTGGCACATGCCTGTAATTCCAGCTACTCGGGAGGATGAGGCAGGAGAATCCCTTGAGCTTAGGAGGCAAAGGCTGCAATGAGCCGATATCACACCACTGCAGTCCAGGATGGACAACAGGCAACAGAGCGAGAGACTGTCTTGAAGGAAAAAAAAAAAAAAAAAAAAAAAGGAAGGTCATAGGTCATAAGGGCGATTTCTATGGCTCAGTCCAACTTAAGATCTCTTAACAGTGGAGTTTGAGTTTTCTATTTTCTTTTTTTTTTTTTTTGAGACAGAGTCTCGGCTCTGTCACCCAGGCTGGAGTACAGTGGCGCATCTCAGCTCACTGCAAGCTCCGCCCACCGGGTTCACGCCATTCTCCACTTTGGCCTCCTGAGTAGCTGGGACTACAGGCACCCGCCCCCACGCCCAACTAATTTTTTGTATTTTTAGTAGAGATGGGGCTTCACCGTGGTGTGGATCTCCTGACCTCGTAATACGCCGGACTCCACCTCCCAAAGTGCTGGGATTACAGGCGTAGCCACCGCGCCCGGCCTGAGTTATTTCTGTTTTCTTATGTCTTTCTATGTCTCACAATGTCTGTAAGCTTTATTTCTATAATATAAAAACTAACCACTGTTCCACAAACCTGGCCAGTATTCCTGGAGGATATAACACTGACATCAGCAGGGTTTTCAATGGCAACAATTGCACGAGCTGCCAGCAGAAGCTTCTCCCAGGTCCTCTTGAGATTTATGATATAGATGCCTAAGTGAGGGCAGAAGGATTTGTAACACTTGACCTGGCTGTGCAAACATTCTTCTCAAGTTTACTCTATGTGGCAGCGAGTACTACCAAACTCCAGTCATAGAGGCAAGCTCTACTGGTGTTAGCGAAAATCCTGCCATTGATATAGCACACTTCCGACACTCAGAAGTTCATGAGCCAAGACTGGCCTCCACCCTGAGCTTTAATAGTGTGCAGCCTAGATTCAGTTGGCTAAATCCATCTTTCCTTTCTCTTTCCCTGTACTTATTCCATCATTGGTTCTTAATAATCCACTTCCTGGCTTTCTGCCACTCTTTCCCTTTTATAATCTGCACTGATGCAAGATTCATCCTAAAACTCCTTTACAGCATGTCACTCCCAAGTCCTTGGTAGCTTTATCTCTAAAATAAGTAAGTGCCTTAGCCAACTTAATGCCTTCCATCCTCTGGTTCTTCCAAACCATATTGTTCATTCCCACCTCTTACCCCACTTTCCACTCAAAATTCAGTTCAATAGCCTGTGTAAGTACCTATGAAGTTGAAGGCACTATGCGAGCTATTAGAAACTCAGCCAATGAACTTTCTCATGTTCATGACCCAACCCAAGTCCCGTAACTCAGACAACTGACATATTCCTCCCCTGGAGCAGAAATCTTTTCTCTCAATAACAAGAACATTTATTTAAAGTATGTTTTCAACGTAGGGGTCTGGCTTCATTTAAGGAAGATAGAAAGAAATTACCCAGAACTAACCACGAGAATAGCAAGCTCAAAATTTGTACTTACAGCTGGAGTAACAAAAAATTAAAGCAATGACTAACCATCACTTTTCCTTTTATAGATGTACTGTTCCATCTGGAAGTCAAGATTGGTGCCACCTAAGTGGGTTCCTGCTGCAAGGAACTTAAGGACATCCTCCTCCTTCATTTGCAGGACATCAAGGGCTCCGGACATTGTGAAAATTTCCCTTTAAGTTACGACGGGAATCTGAAATAAGAGAGCAACCTATTTCTTTTCATTCCATTGAGTTAAGTAGGGCACACCCTTAAAAGCAACCAAAAACTCCATCTGCTATAGTGTCAGGCATTGAGCTTACAGTGTAGTGAAGGGTAAACAGAAAGTTAACCCATACATGTCGTGTATTACGGAACAGCGCACATCTTACTGAGGAAATAGTGTGGACGGCAGAGTAACCGAGTAATAAAACTACACGAAATTAGCGAATGGAAATTCAACACTTCTCAAGATAGGAATTAAGGAAAAGTTGTGGATGCGCCAAGTTAACAACTAGATACAAAAGAGCAGCCATGTTTGGAATATGCAAACTAAAGGCAAAAAAGGCATGAATTGTTTTCAGACATTTTCAAGCAGATTGTAGGCGGATGCTTTGGAATTACTTCGCTGTGCTGTCACCACTTGTTTGTCTAAAAACCCGAGAACCTTAACTCCTGACCCGCACGGCGCGAAGGGAAAACCCGACCAGCCCAAGTAGCTGGTGTAAATCAGCGCCTGGGCCTAGACTCACCGCCGTGTGGGACTCCGAAGGGATAGCAACACAGGATGTTAGCCCGCTTTCTGCACTCCCGCCCACCCGCGGCCTGGTCCGAACCCCAGCTCGGAGCCTCCGCTGGAGGGCGGCCTCCACCCGCTCCCGGGGCACTCTGGGAACCCGCCAGCCCGAGCCTGGCCACGTGCGGGCCGCAGGCCTAAGGTGGGGCGCGCCGGGCGGGAGACAGATCCAGTCTGACCGGCTTTCATCACTAGTCTTCTCACCCTTCATTTGAGCAGGAAAAGCTCATTTTTCTAGCCCTGGAAGGCGCCAGGGACGCTACACGGAACTCACCCAGAACAACGCCGTATGGACCCCTCTGCAGGTAGCACGGAAAAGACAGGCGGCAGGAAATGACGTCCTTATGTACTCCGTTGTCAGCCAATGGCAAAGAAAGTCGAGCGGAAGAAGGGCGGAGCCGGAGAAGAACGCTGCCGGGACTGGGCTTTTTCTTCAGGAAGGCGGGCTTGCGCCGCAGGAGCGGGCCTCTGGGCTGTAGCCGGTAGCGGCATCCTGGTCGGATCTGGGGCGCTTGTGACTTTGGGGTTTCTAGTGCCACAGCGACGCCCTGTGCATAATTCCTGTCCAGAGCGCGGAACTCAAGTTAGTCAGCCAGGCGGGGCGTTCTTACCCAGCCCTTGTACCTGCGAATATGAGCGGCTTTCTAGCCTAAGCTGCCATTTTGTTACCTGAAAAGTAGGAAGGTTTGTTCGACACAACAAATTGTTAGGTAAACAAAAACTTGAAGATTTATTTTATTTTATTTTCCTGGAGAACAGTTTAACAGGACGTAATTCAGATTTAAATGTTCACTTAAGGGAAGTTTTCTCTGAAAAAGTTAAAAAAGATAAGATTGAACTGATCGTATGCGTTATGTCTATCTCATGTATCTATCCATCTATCACCTGGGGGAAGTTTCCCTGAAAAAGTTAAAAAGGACAAGATTGAACAGATGGTATGGATTATATCTATCTTTTTTTTTTTTTTTTTTTTGGTAGAAGAAAAATTTTGCAATATCCATCAGTAGGAGATAAGTTTGCCGGGCGCGGTGGCTTGTGCCTGTAATCCCAGCACTTTGGGAGGCCGAGGTGGGTGGATTGCCTGAGCTCAGAAGTTCAAGACTAGCCTGGGAAACATGGGGAGACCCCCATCTCCACAAAAAATACAAAAATTAACCAATCATGATGGTGCGTCCCTGTAGTCTCAGCTACTCAGGAGGCTGAGGCAGGAGGATAGCTTGAGCCTAGAGGTCAAGTCTGCAGTGAATGTGATTGCACCGCTGCACTCCAGCCTGGGCAATAGAGCGAAATTCTGTCTCCAAAAAACAAACAAAAAAATAGGAGTTAATTGAAGGGGCGCGGTGGCTGTAATCCCAGCACTTTCGGAGGCTGACGCGGGCGGATCCCTTGAGGCCAGGAGTTCAAGAGACCAGCCTGGCCAACATGGCGAAACCCGGTATCTACTAAAAATTCAAAAATTAGCCAGGCATGCCTGTAATCCCAGCTACTGGGGAGGCTGAGGCGGGAGAATTGCTTGAACCCAGGAGGCAGAGGTTGTAGTGAGTGGAGATTGCGCCACTTGCACTCCAGCCTGGGCGACAGAGTAAGACTCCGTCAAAAAAAAAAAAAGTGCAGGTTCCTCTCTGGGGCCTGCTGAGTCAATCTGATTTCTGAGCCCACCCTAAAATGAACTCGTAGACCCTTATGGCCACTCTTCCAAAGGACAGCACATCCAGGTTCTCCTGCAAGTGGCTCTGCAGCTCCACTGAAGCCAGTATGATTTTCTGAGGAGCTTGGAAACCCTTGGACCCTAGCACAGGTCACCCCCAGGCTGCTCTGCTTCATCACCCACCAAGGCTGAAGCACCTGGGGCTTGAGGGACAAATTCAGAGAAGTCACAGCCCCTTGCGGCAAATGCAAATGCCTCCCGCTTCTACGCTTTGTTATGGGAAGAGGAGGCATTCAGTTTGTTGGCAGAAACTCAGGCCACAAGCCTCCTCAGAGGCCCCTGAGTCCCAAAACAATGCCCTGCCCCCTGCACCCAAATGTACTCCTGCTTAACCCTTCACGTGTGGATTGGGATTGCTGAGTAGTGAGTGCAGCTCTGCAGGGTTCCTCCAGGGGCCTCAGCCTTGGCATTAGGATCACCTGGGCAGCTTTTAAAATCTTACACCTGGGCTGAATATATCAGAATCTCTGAGTGAGACCCAAGCATCAGTAGCTTTTAAAGCTCTTGTAGGGGCTTCCCCTCCACCCTCTGAGTGTTCACTGCTAAAATGAACTGACAATAGACAAATTAACAGGAGAAGAAACATACACTTTTTTTTTTTGAGACGGAGTTTTGCTCTTGTTGCCCAGGCTGGAGTGCAGTGGCTCAATCTCGGCTCAACGAAACCTCCACCTCTCGGGTTCAAGCAATTCTCCTGCCTCAGCCTCTCGAGTAGCTGGGATTATAGGCATGCGCCACCACACCCGGCTAATTTTGTATTTTTAGTAGAAATGGGGTTGCTCCATGTTGGTCAGGCTGGACTTGAACTCCTGACCTCAGGTTATCTGCCCACCTCGGCCTCCCAAAGTGCTGGGATTACAGGCGTGAGCCACCACACCAGGCCAAACATACACATTTATTAATGTGCTTATGCACAGGAGCCACACGAAATATAAGACTCAAAGAAGGGCCAGATGGCTGAAGCTTAAATAGCATCTACTTCACAGGGAAGGGAGATGGGATGGTAAACAATTTAGAGGGCTAGTAAGTGATTTTTGGAAGGATAGGAATGAGTTCAAAGAACAGAAAATTTGCCTGAGACAAAGTTCCTGTGAGCTCTGGGGGAAACAGCAGCAAAGGGTAAGGGGAGGAACTTCACTGTGACCAAAGGTTGCCTTATTAGGCAAATAATGTCTCCTGGAAAATCTCTCAAAAGCTGCCCTCAGAAAAATAGATGAAGAGTCTGTCTGGGCATGGTGATGACTTTTAGTCTTTTCTCTTCCCAGTGGTTAATATTTCCTGGTTACCTGATGAGATTCTTAGGGAGGAAGTTTTAAGACTATTGTATTTTATTCTGGAGGAACCTACCTTATTCAGATAAGGGAACTTCAGACAAAGCCCCTCCGGATGCTTTGGGAAAAGGGGATTGAGAGATGGGGTTAGGGGAAGGTCAGAAAGAAACCTTGGTTCTGACGCTATTTCAGAAGCCTTTCAATTTTCTTTAATTCAAAGCATGCAGCATGCCAAAGTGCCTTATTCAGTCAGGGGTATCATTTTCTGAGCCCCAACATTTTCCAGATGATTCCAATGTGCAGCCATATTGAGTTTAAAAACCACGATCCTAGACTCTAGAGTATTTCTTCTTTATTTTATGTAATTTTTTTTTTTTTGAGACAGTCTCATTCTGTCACCCAGGCTGGAGTGCAGTAGTGTGATCTCAGCTCACTGCAACCTCTGCTCCCAGGCTCAAGCAATTCTCCAGCTTCAGCCTCCCGAGTAGCTGGGACTACAGGCCCGCACCACCACATCTGGCCAGTTTTTGTATTTTTGGTAGAGACAGGGTTTTGCTTTGTCGGCCAGGCTGGTCTTGAACTCCTTACCTCAAGTGATCAGCCCGCCTCGGCCTCCCGAAGTGCTAGGATTACAGGCATGAGCCACTGCACCCGGCCTAGGGTATTTCCTGACTACCTAAGCTAATGGCTCCCAGGAGCAGAGAAGAACTTAGAAGCTAGTTCTACCTAGAGGCTGTTGCATTGAGGCACCTTTTTTTGGAGGGAGTGGTGACAAAAGCTGAAATTTAAGACACAGTGGATTGTTAAATTTTTTTTTCTTCTTCTTCTTTTTTTTGTTTTTTTTTTTGAGACAGAGTTGCTGTCTCCCAGGCTGGAGTGCAGTGGTGCAATTGCAACTCACTGCAACCTCTGCCTCCCAGATTCAAGCAATTCTTGTGCCTCAGCTACCCGAATAGCTGGGACTACAGGTGCACACCACTACATCTGGCTGATTTTTTGTAATTTTAGTAGAGACAGGGCTTTGCCATGTTGGCCAGGATGGTCTTGAACTCCTGACCTCAAGTGATCTCACTGGCCTTGGCCTCCCAAAGTGCTGGGATTATAGGTGTGACCCACTGTGCCCTGCTGCTTGTTAAATGTATTTATTTATTTTTTGAGACAGAGTCTCCCTCTGGTGTGCAATGGCATGATCTCAGCTCACTGCAACCTCTGCCTCCCAGGTTCAAACGATTCTCCTGCCTTGGCCTCCCAAGTAACTGGGATTACAGGCGCGTGCCACCATGCCCAGCTAATTTTTGTATTTTTAGTAGAGATAGGTTTTCACCATGTTGGTCAGGCTAGTCTCGAACTCCTGACCTTGTGATCTGCCCGCCTCAGCCTCCCGAAGGGCTGGGATTATAGGCATAAGCCACCGTGCCCAGCCTGGTTGTTACATTTAATATCAACAATAAGTTAGAAGGCCAGGCGTGATGACACACACCTGTAATCCCAGCACTTTGGGAGGCTGAGGTGGGCAGATCCCTTGAGCCCAGGAGTTCGAGACTAGCCTGGGCAACATGGCGAAACCCTGTCTCTACTAAAAATACAAAAATATTAGCTGGGTGTGGTAATGCATGCCTGTAGTCCCAGCTACTTGGGAGGCTGAGGTGGGAGGATTGCTTGAGCCTGGGAGGTCGAGGCTGCAGTGAGCTGAGAGCAGTGAGCTGAGATTGCCAGTGTACTCCAGCCTGTGGAATAGAGTGAGACCCTGTCTCAAAAAAACAAAAAACCCAACAAGTTATAAATGCACTGCTCAGCCAGAAGTATATGGAAGGGGCATAAGGCATAACCTTGGTGAGCAGGTTTCAGTTTTGCAACCTCCCAGAGTCAGTGCTGGGTTCCCTGTCTTGATTGGGCCCTCAGAACTGACTCACTCTAACCTTGGTTTGCCTCAAAATTATTTATCCTTTCTAACTGCTGGTTAAAGAAATTTCAGCCTCTCCTCATTTCTCTTGGGAGGAAGTAACTGAATGAAGTGAATAGAACGTTTCATTTGCACTCACTCATTTGCTAAGTGAGAGACCCTCGTATGCCTTTTCAGACTTTCTACCACTTAGAATCTATAGCTCTGGTCTTTCCTTTGCCTAAGAAATTGGATAGACCTAAATGTAATCAAGCCATCCAAGGTAACATCCAGTTTATAGAACATGTGTGAAACAGAAATGAGCTAAAACCATCAGAAAACAAATTCAGAAAATGGGACATTTTACAGGATACTGGGGCTGAGGATGTGTTACCTCAAAGACTAGCCCTTTGATATGCCAAGAGAGGCCTTAGACACTGCTTCAGAATCAAGTTTCCTCTAACTTTGTCTTGTTCCCCCGTCCCCTCAGTCCCTACAAAGACAATGTAGAACAAAAAAATTGGGGAGAATGGTGGTGTCCTGGAATAAAGAGGTTTTTTTTTGAGACAGGGCTTTGCTCTGTCACCTGGGCTGGAGTGCAGTGGCCTGATCACGGCTCACTGCAGCCTTGACTTTCAGGGCTTAAGTGATTCTCCTGCCTCAGCCTTCTGAGTAGCTGGGACTACAGATGTGCCTCACCACACCTGGCAAATTTTTAAATTTTTCTGTAGAGACAGAGTTTGACTATGTTGCCTAGGCTGGTCTCAAACTACTGGGCTCAAGCGATCTATCAGCCTTGGCTTTCCAAAGGGCTGGGCCTACAGGCATGAGCCACTGTGCCCAGCCTAGAGATTTTCAAAACCAACTGCCGGCAAAGTGTGGTGGCTCATACCTGTAATCCCAATCCTTTGGGAGGCTGAGGCTGGAGGATCACTTGAGGCTAGGAGTTTGAGACCAGCCTGGGCAACATTGCGAGATCTTGTCTCTGCAAAAAAATTTTTTAAAAACTGGCTGGGTGTGGTGGCGTGCACCTGTAGTCCCAGCTACTTGGGAGGCTGAGGTGGGAGGATGGCTTGAGCCTAGAAGTTCAAGGTTGCAGTGAACCATGATCATACCACTGCACTGCATCCTGGGTGACGAGCAAGACCTTGTTTCTAAAACATCAATAAAAGACCAAATGCCTTGTATGGACCTTGTTTGAATTCTAATTGAAATAAACCAACTGTAAAAAATCATTGTTGGGACAGTCTGGGAAATGTGAATATGGATGATATGCAAAAAATGTGTTAAATTTTTCCAGGTGGGGTAATGACATACTTATGTTAAAAAAAAGTCCATAATTTTTAAGAGATGCATATTGAAGTAAGCAAGGGTGAAATTATATGATGTCTGGGATCTGTCTCTAAAAGCTTCATAAAAGAAAAAGGAGGCCAGGCGTGGTGGCTCACACCTGTAATCCCAGCACTTTGAGAGGCCGAGGCAGGTGGATCACGAGGTCAGGAGATCGAGACCATCCTGGCTAACACAGTGAAACCCCATCTCTACTAAAAATAAAAAAAAATTACCCAGTCGTGGTGGCTGGCGCCTGTAGTCCCAGCTACTCGGGAAGCTGAGGCAGAAGAATGGCGTGAACCCAGGAGGCAGAGCTTGCAGTGAGCCGAGACTGCGCTACTGCACTCCAGCCTGGGTGACAGAGCGAGACTCCGTCTCAAAAAAAAAAAAAAGAAAAAAAAAAGAAAAAGGAGTGGCAGGAGCAGGGGACACAGTTAGGGGAGAGAAGCAAGTGTGGCAAAATCTTGGCAATTGCTCCATCTGAGCGATATGAATGAAGGGCCAGTAGACCATTGGCTTTCCTATTGTGATGGCTTGAAAGATTTCATAATCATGTATTCTTAGAAAGTGAGTGTAATACAGCTTGAAACCTTTGCTTCTGTGTCTTCTTTTGGCTTTAGCCCTACACTGCCTTATCTTTAGTCACCATCTGACTATTTTTCTCCCACAGAGCCCCACCTCTAATGTGCTTTAATAAGTCTAAGGCAGCCAAGAAGGAACCATTTAAAAAAAAAAAAAGGCCAATGTGGTGGCTCACACCTGTAATCCCAGCACTTTGGGAGGCCAAGGCGGATGGATCATGAGGTCAGGAGTTCGAGACCAGCCTGGCCAAGATGGTGAAACCTCGTTTCTACTAAAAAATACAAAAATTAGCCGGGCGCGGTGGCAGGTACCTGTAATCCCAGCTATTTGGGAGGCTGAGGCAGGAGAATCGCTTGAACCCGGGAGGCGGAGGTTGCAGCGAGCCAAGATCATACCACTGCACTCTAGCCTGGGCAACAGAGCAAGACTCTGTCTCAAAAAAAAAAAAAAGTGGGCAATGCTTCCAAAGCCAGCTAACGCTCACTAGCCAATTGCTTTCCAAGCTTTAATACTGAGACTGTGAGAGAGGAAAAAACAGGCTACTTGCCGCAGGACTCGAGATTCACAAAGACAAATTTTCTACCTCATGTTTAGAGAAAACTAGATGATTTCTCCTGATTTTATCATATTTATTTGCTCCCCTAAAAAACAAATGAAGAAAATGTGAGGGGGAATCTGGTGGCAGAAATTCATCTGCCAATGTGAGGCCAGGAAATTCGCATTGGGAAGAAGCCCAACTCTCTCGGCCTTATCTCTGCCCCTCCTCCCTAAGAGTCCTCACTGGCATTAGGTTCCCTGCACTCAGGATGAGGGTCAAAGGAGGCTGAGGAGGCAAGGGACATGGAACACCTACTCCAGAGTCTAAGTTCTTAGGAAGCAGCCACTCCATCCAACTGTCCCTCCCTTCTCTCCTTTCCCATCCTGACCTCTCCCCTGCTTCCTACAGCACGAGGCCTCACAACACACAGGTCACAGCATTGGAGGCTTGGGTGCCACTGTAAGCTTAGGACCCTGCTTCATCCTCTCCCACACCCCTACCCAAATTACTATTTTAAATATGGTGTTTTAACCTAAAGCCTAAAGTATAAACTGATTTTAACTTATACATCAGCTTAATCTGTGTTGTGGGTTGAATTGTGTCCCCCCAAAAGATATATTGGCGTTCTAACCCCTAATACCTGCGAATGTGACCCTATTTGGAAATAGGGTCTAACATAGAGAGAAACAGATACACAAGGGAAAAGGCATGTGAAGACAGGCAGAGATTAGAGTGATGTTTTTACAAGCCAAGGAATGCTAGCCACCACTAGAAGGTGCAACAGACAAAGCATGACTCTCCTAGAGCCTTCAGAGGTGCAATGCTGCTGACACATTGATTTCAGACTTCTGGCCTCCAGATTGAGTTATAAACCATTCTGACTGTGGTAACTTGTTGTGGCTGTCCTATGAAGCTAATACCACATTTCAGAAACATTTATTAATTAACCCTCACCACCACCTGAAGAGGCAGGAAACATTACTAACCCTATTTCCGGCTGGGGGCGCTGGCTCACACCCGTAATCCCAGCACTCTGGGAGGCTGAGGCAGGTGGATCACTTGAGATCAAGAGTTCAAGACAAGCCTGGCCAGCATGGTGAAACCCTGTCTCTACTAAAAATACAAAAAATTAGCCCAGCGTGTAGTCCCAGCTACTTGGAAGGCTGAGGTGGGAGAATTGCTTGAACCCAGGAGTGGAGGTTGCAGTCAGCTGAGATTGCACGATTGCACTCCAGCCTGGGCAACAGGGCGACACTTTGTTCTCCGCCCCCTAAAAAACCCCCAAAACAAACTAACCCCATTTCCTAGGCATAGTTTCAGTGCCATGCCTAGGTAGTGGAGAGCAAGCAGCTTTCAACCTGGGCTGCCTGGATTAGAGCCCATGTTCTTAACCACAAGACTAAATATCCCCCCAACTTGTGCTTCTTGTATAAAGTAATGGCTGTTTCCTGATTTTTTTTTTTCTGATATGGAGTCTCATTCTGTCATCCAGACTGGAGGGCAGTGGTGTGATCTGCAACCTGCATCTCCTGGGTTCAAGTGGTTCTCCTGCCTCAGCCTCCTGAGTAGCTAGAATTACAGGCGTGCCCCACGATGCCTGGCTAATTTTTGTATTTTTAGTAGAGATGGGGTTTTGCTGTTTTGGCCAGGCTGATCTTGAACTCCTGGCCTCAAGTAATCTGCCTGCCTCACCCTCCCAAAATGCTGGAATTACAGGCAGGAGCCACCTTGCCTGGCCATCTTTCCTGAATTTTCAAGAAAAGATTTGAGTGCACAATAAGAATAGCTATAAAAGAGATAATAACAAGTGTTGACAAGGATGTGGAGAAATTGGAACTCTCATATACTGTGGCTGAGAATGGAAAATGGTATAGTCACTTTGTTTTTTTGTTTTTTGAGACAGGGTCTCACTCTGTCACCCAGGCTGGAGTGCAGTGGCATGATTTCAGCTCACTTTAACCTCTGCCTCCTCGGTTCAAGTGATTCTCGTGCCTCAGCCTCCCAAGTAGCTGGGATTACAGGCACATGCCACCACGCCCAGCTAATGTTTGTATTTTTAGTAGAGACGGGGTTTCACCATGTTGGCCAGGCTGCTCTTGAACTCCTGACCTCATGTGATCCACCCGCTTCGGTCTCCCAAAGTGCTGGGGTTACAGGCTTGAGCCACCGCACCCGGCCTACAGACTGCATTTATATGAAGTATCCAGAAAAGGCAAATTTATGAAGACAGAAAGCCTATCAGTGGTGGCCTGGGGCTGAGAATGAGGATTAATTACAAAAGGCATGAGAGATCTGTTTGGGGAATAAAAATGTTCTTAAACTGATTTATAGTGATGGTTGCATCATTCAGTAAAGCTGCTTTTTTGAACAGAAATTAGGTTTTAGGGACCTACATAGGTCAATAACCAGCCACCCTAGAACTATTTTATTTTAGAAAAGGGTTTGGTCCATTTTTATAAGGCACAGGTAAAGAAAACAGAAGTGTGACAACATCTTTTAGGTTTTCCAAACAGCTTTCAATGATAAAGTTCAATAAATAAAGTACAGCACTTTAATTGCAGGGAAAAAAAAATGCCAGAATTTAGAGGTAAAACAGTACAGGGGCCAAGACCAAAAAATTTTATTTGGAACATTCAGAGGCTAGAAAGCCACTGTCCCGTTCTCCAGAGCCTCTGAGAAGTTAACTGAGAACCAATTAAAGAAGGGCATCTGTTCCTCCTCATCCTACCATCACCTCAGTCAGTCTGTGACCTGGTGACAGTGACTCCTCTCCTCACATCCAGTCTTCCCTGGTTGGAGCTCCTCAGGCCCGGCAGGCAGCTTACAGCTTCTCTGGCTTTGTGATTGCTTGCCCAAGAACATACCCAAGGAGACCCTGTGGTGTAGGGGTGGGGCTGAAGCGCAGCCACCTGACAGAGCTCTCCTGGGAAAATGCCTTTCCAAGTAGCCTCTCAGAGTATGCAAAGCTCTCTCCTAACACCCTAGTGTGCTCTATGAATTGATGACTCCTCTTTTGGAGATTCTGAAGGCTGAAATCAGGTCCATATATTTTCTCCTTAAGGGGATTACTGAAGGCAAAGGCAACACAATTTCTGCCTGGTTTTCCAGGTAGGACTTCATCTTACTGCAGAATAGTAAGAAGCAGCAGCCCTTGGCAGAAACCAAGCAGGGCAACAGATTTCACCCGTTCCCAGTCCTCTCTTGGTCAGGACTTCAGGCCCATCTTGGCCATCATCTCTTCATACACCGTCCACGCCATTGCTGCCATTAGAGTTCTGCGGAGGGCTCGGGGGATGCCACCTTGGAAGAAGCCACGTAGTCCATAGTCCTATGGTGAAAATAAATGTCAGAACTCTGGAAGCAAAGTAGCAATACAATTAATTATCCACTTGGTACCACAGTGAGGGTCTCTGTTATCCCATGTTTAAGACTTAGTTTCTAAACTTTATGCCCAAAGTAAGAATAATGGGTCCAAGGAGACAACCAAAGAACTTAAAAAAAATTTTTTTTTTTTCCGAGGCAGAGTCTGGCTCTGTCGCCCAGGCTATAGTGCAGTGGCGCGATCTCGGCTCACTGCAACCTCTGCCTCCTGGGTTCAAGCGATTCTCCTGCCTCAGCCTTCCGAGTAGGTGGGACTACAGGCGCCCACCACCACGCCCGGCTAATTTTCGTATTTTTAGTTGAGATGGGGTTTTCACCATATTGGCCAGGCTGGTCTCGAACTCCTGACCTTGTGATCTGCCCACCTCAACCTCCCAAAGTGCTGGGATTACAGGCGTGAGCTACCGCGCTTGGCCAAAAACCATTTTTTTTTTTTGTAGTTGCTGGGCTTACCTTTTTAGGCTGCTCTATCTAGGGGGATTTCTTAGCTGAAAGTCTTTATGCAGGGTTGCTGTGTACTTGTGCAGTTTGTATACTGTACAGAAGCACTAAGCCCCAAGTAGCAGATGAAATCCAGGCAGAAACCTGCTTGCCAAACCCTGGATCCTGGATCCAGGCTGAAGGAAAAGGTGCCTTCTTGTCATTTGTCTTATCTTTTTGTAATTCACTGTATGCTCTTGGTGGCCCTCTCTTCATATTAATTAAAGAAAAAATGCCCCTTCCTCCTCCCTCATAATCTGGGTTGATTTGCGATTTCACATAAAGAAAATATTATTTTAAAACTTTCTGATTTTAGATATAGAGATAAGAACACAAATTCACATTTACCTTTAGCAAGAATATCTGCTTTGTGATAACAATACATGTTCTAAAAGAGCCAACAGAGTGGCTTATGGATAGTATACATCTATTGTAATTTATTTATTTTTTTTTTAATTTAAATAAAGTCTCCTTACATTGCCCATGCTGGTCTTCAGCTCCTGGGCTCAAGGGATCCTCCTGCTTCAGCCTCCCAAAATGCTGGGATTACCAGCATGAGCCACCGCACCCAGCCTCTACTATACTTTTTATCTTCAATACCACCATTTGTCCATTTATATTAGAGCAAGCTTGTTCAACCCACAGCCCGCAGGCTGCATGTGGCCCAGGACAGCTTTGAATGCAGCCCAAAACAAATTTGTAAACTTTCTTAAAACATTATGAGATTTTTTTGGTGACATTTTTTCTTTAGCTCATCAGCTATCATTAGTGTTAGTGTATTTTATGTGTGGCCCAAGACAATTCTTCTTCCAATGTGGCCCAGGGAAGCCAAAAGACTAGACACCTGTATATTAGAGCAAACTGCTAGAATAAAACAATGTGTTTGTGTGGGTTTTTTTTTTCCCTCTGACTAAATAGTACTTTACCCTAGGTCCTCAATTAGAGTACTAATTTCACCCCGATTTCCTGATTCAGTAAGTCTGGGGTAGAGTTCAGCAATCTGCAGTGTTTAACAAATATCACAGGTGTTCCTAATGTAAGTGTCTCCACCCCTCAAAGAAATATCAATTTTGTGGTTTTCAACCTTAAAACATATTAAAATCACTGGGGAACATTAAAAAAAAAATCTCACTAGACATTCTGATATAGTTGGCCTAGATTTTAACCTGGGCATGGGGATTTTTAAAAGCTCTCTAGGCAATTTTAATGTGAGTGAAGGGTAAGAACTACTGCTCTAGAAAGAGATCCTTAAACACCACAAGAACCAGTACTTATTTTGTAGTCTTACTTTGAAAATAAGTGTCACTGCTTGGCCAATCCATTGAAACTTCAGTGGATAAAGCTGCATATGAGTTTTGATAACATCCGCAGGTTGAGTTACCAGTGAGGCCAGAATACCAGCAAATATCCCACAGCTGAAATTTGTAATAGGAATAAGGGTTGCATCCACCTGGTCTGAAATAGAACAAAGGTAACATGTGGACATAGATCTTATATTAATCAGATAAAGGTCAGTGCAAGTTGCCCACCAATTCTTCCCCAAACCAAGAAAGGTCTGGATTCAAATGAGGCTACGAATTCAAAACTTAAAGGTGCAACTAGTAAATTTATGTGGATGGAATGATAGAGTTAGAAAAGCACCTTTTTCAAACCACCATCACAATAACTGACTCAGGCAAGAATCATTGACTGATTTTAAAACATGTGGGAAAAAGAAACAGGATGTTTATACAGATTCAAAGTTATCTTCCCACAAAGATACTTAGACATTACAATGGGAAAAATAGGTGAGTTTTCAGGGAAGATACCTGTCAGTATCTTATCCAAGTGATAAAGTGTTACTATCACTCATAATGGGTCAAATTGATGTCATGACCCTCCCGATATAAAGCAGTGAGGATACAACATCACTTATGTGGTCCTCTTGCTAAAAATCTAATCATGAAGAAACTGCAGATAAACCCACAATGAGGTATATAACTGGCCTATACTCTTGAAAATAAAACACAGGACTACTACGAAGTACATTATTGGGACAATTAGAGAAATCAGAATATGGACTGTAGGTTAAAGAATTGGGCCACATGCCTGTAATCCCAACACTTTCGGAGGCCGAGGCGGGAGGATCACTTGAGCCTGGGAGTTCAAGACCAGCCTGGGCAACATGGTGCAACTCTGTCTCTACTAAAAATACAAAATTAGCCAGGCATGGTGGCATGCACCTGTAATCCCAGCTACTCCAGAGGCTGAGGCACAAGAATCACTTGAACCAGGGAGGAGGAGATTGCAGTGAACCAAGATCACGTTGCTGCACTCCAGCCTGAGTGACAGGGCAAGACTCTGTCTCAAAAAAAAGAAAAAATTATCTAGGTTAAACTTCCTGAATTTCATAAGATGGTTATATGACAGGATGTCCTTATTCATAGGAAATAGACACTGAGGTACTTAAAGTTAAAAGGGCATCATGTTTCCAACTTACCCTCAAAGGGCAGGAAAAAAATATGTACATTGTACTATTCTTGTGGCTTTTTTGCAAGTTTATTTCCAAATACCAGATCGATTTTTTTTTTTGAGACGGAGTCTCACTTTGTCACCCAGGCTGGAGTGCTGGAGTGCAGTGGCATGATCTCAACTCACCGCAACCTCCACCTCCCAGGCTTAAGCGATTCTCGTGCCTCAGCCTCCCAAGCAGCTGGGATTACAGGCATGTGCCACCCATGCCCAGCTAATTTTTGTATTTTTAGTAAAGACCAGGTTTCACCACGTTGGCCAGGCTGGTCTCGAACTCCTGGCCTCAAGAGATCTGCCCACCTCGGCCTCCCAAAGTGCTGAGATTACAGGCATAAGCCATCGCACCAGGCCTCAGAAATTTGTACACTTGATCTTAGCCAAAAGGCCAAGAAGTGATGGGCCTCAGAAATTTTTAAAGATGGATTGAGAAGTTAAAAATTGCCCATCTATGCTTCCTTATTGCCTTAACTTTCTGTCACAAAATAAGGCTGTGACCTGCAGAGTTACACCTTCTGGTGCCTGGGTAGAAGCAGCAAATCTCCCAAGGCACTCCAGCTGTAGCTGGTCCCCATAGTCATGATGGCGGGCATGCTGACATTCCTAATTAAAGGACCTTGGTTGCAATTCCTTGCTCAAATTATCCATAGACACTTTATTACATGCAGGTTCATTCTATGGATGTGTTTCTAGCAATACCTTGTTCTGCTTGGGTCGTTGTTTACTGCCTACCAATTTTGTCCATGTCTAGCCCAACCTGAGCTAACTGGTGGGGTGGGGTGGGCCTCCCCCACTGACTGAAGTTTGACACCTTCATCTCCACCTAAATGGAGGGCTCAAAACCATGTTAACTGGGAACACAGCAAGGGAGATGAAAATATTATTTTTCTTTAAACTCCTAACTTACTACTGTTTCCCTGACTTTAACAAGAATCACATCAAGTGCGTCTTGAAAAATACAGACTCCTAGGTTGTACCCCAAGGTTTCTCATCTAAGAGGCCTTGGATGGGACCCAGCAATCTTAAGATCAAATTTGGGAAGTACTGTTGCAGAAACTCTGCAAAGCATGCTTTATTTCCCTCCCACCCACCCTATCCTCACCCCGCCAAATTATAGTGGTGTAAATACTGTTTGCCTTAATAGGATGTAAACTCCAAAGGGCAGGGATCAAGTTTGTCATATCCACCTTTGCATCCCAGTTCCTGACACAATCATGATATGGCTCAGTTCCTAACACTCTGCTAAGAGAAACACATAGTCTCATATCCCAGAGAAAATGGTGAGGATCTGATGTCTCAAGGATAGCTCTTCCCCAGATCTTCCTTTATCCCTACCATGAGGCACTATATTTTTGGTCTGGTTGTAAAACATCAGGTAGATTCCTGAGAAGGGCGCATCTCGAAGGAGAGTTGCTGTCAGGCCACTGAAGAGGCCCCGGTGCCCCTCACTGTGATAGATGCTCCTCAGGGCAGCGTAGATACTCTCATAGCCATATTTCCCACTCTGCAAAGAGAGCACAGAACCAGTGACTCGCATGGAGGCGCTGCATTTCAGCACTGAACAAGCAGACTGCAGGTTATGGGGCATTACCATGGGATCTAGTTCACATATGGCTTGTCTGACCACATCAGACTCTATGTTAGATTACAAATCAGGAGTTGACATCGGTGGTCACTCCCCAGGAGCCCAGTGGCTAAGCCGAACTATCCTGAGGCCCTAAAGTGGTTGAACTCACCTCATAGCGCGTCTTGATTACAGTGATAGGTGACATACAGACCCCTGCAACAGAGCGAGAGCCCACCCCCAGCATGACTGACTCCAGGGCGGTTGGGGGATGGCCTCGCAAGAAATACTGCTTCAAAGAGTAGAGAGTGCCAAAGTAGATTCCAACGCCAGGGACACATCTCACAATGGACTGCAGAGAAGGTCAGGGAGAAAAGAAAATCAAAGACCAAACACTTTAAGTATTATCTTAGCTGGGTTTTCCCAAAAGACCCCAAGATGATTCGCATGCAAGTGCTTTGTTTAAGGTGTGGAAGGAACACCAATAGGGAAGTGGGGGACATGAGATAGGAGAGAAGGCAGTCAATAAACGATGTTATAAAACCAGTTTCTGCTGTGGGCAACTTAATCCCACTGGGGAACTCTGGGAATCGGTGTAGAACACACCTCAGAGTTATCCCTCCAACTGAGTGGGGAGGGACATGGGATTTTAAACACCAACTCTCATCTTTCAGTGGTTGAGGACTCTGTGGGTTTGGAAATGCACAGTGCTGTGGGTTAGGAAATCAACATCACTTCTGTGGTCTCCTTGCTAAAAATGTAGAACTAAATCTAATCACAAAGAAACTGCAAATAAACCTACAGTGAGTTATATAACTGGCCTATACTCTTGAAAACAAAACACAAAATTACTCTGAAGTACATTACTGGGATAATAGAGAAATCAGTGTATGGATTTCTGATTTGGGTTTGGGCTGGGCACTAATTCCTTGGCGTGAGTCCCTAAGGCCAGAAAAAGCCTTTGAGCAAAGAAATGCTGGTGTGGAGGTACCATCCCACTTTTACTGAAGTGATAAGAGCAAGGGCATTCTGACAGGTGGGACATTAGGTACCTATGCTGTAGAGACTATGCTGCACTAATAAATCACATCTAAGCATAATGTGCAAATGCAACATATCCCTGAGCCTTCAAACAGAAGTTAGTTGTAGTATGAGAGATAAGACCACATAGGTACTCCCACCACTTCTGACTCTCACATATCCTTAAGAGCTGGTAAGGTAGATGAGAAATAGCTGGTTATTAAGGAGTGGATGCTAGGGAACCTAGACCCAGATGGCAGCTTACAGGGGACATCCCTTTCCAAAGGCCCAAAAGACTCTCCGTGCGAACCACCTTCAAGAGTACAGCCAACATCCCAACACGTCTAGACCTGAAAGCAGACAAAATGGAGACAGGAAGGAAAAAATCACTTAGATCACTTCCTCATAAAACAATTCCCCACTCAAACACTTCCTTTATAGACTCATTTTTAGGACACTTAACAATCTCTACAATGCACCTTGGAGATACTCTATGTGTTCGTAGGTTGGCACACACAAAACAGACAATAGAGGCTGGGTGCAGTGGCTCATGCCTGTAATCTCAGCACTTTGGAAGGCTGAGGTGGGCAGATCACTCGAGGCCAGAAGTTTGAGACCAGCCTGGCCAACATGGCGAAACCCCATCTCTACCAAAATTACAAAAATTAGCTGGGTATGGTGGCGAGCACCTGCAATCCCAGCTACCTGGGAGGCTGAGGCAGGAGAATCCCTTGAACCTGGGAGGCAGAGGTTGCAGTGAGCTGAGATCGCACCTCTGCACTCCAATCTGGGCAACAGAGCGAGCATCTGCCTCAAAAAACAAATAAAACAAAAACAAAAACAGATAATACTGATGTTATTTCCAGAAAATCCCCTGGTACTCTCATGCCAGGCAATACAGTTATAACATCACAAGCTAACACAATAAAGTGTAAATGTCACTGAGCCGATTCCAGGAAGCTGCTCAGGAACGGACCCCATTTAATTAAAAAGAAATGTCAAATATAAAAACAATTCAGAGAACATATGAAAGTTGGGCATGGCCTGTGTTTCTCTCTGAACATCCAACAGAATGGAAGTTGACTTAACACAGTAAAGATGTTCCTGTGTCTGAGAAGTTGCTGAAATCAGTTCCCCAATGAAATGCAGGGCCTACCCATGATCTGAGGGCTGGAGGGTTTGCAGGCGTGTTTTAAGGAGATCCAGAGGTTGGAAAAGGAGGGTAGAGCAGGTCCCACTGATGGAGCCACACAGGAAAGCCTTGATCACCGGATGTAACTGCAGGATAAGACAATATTGTGTCAGTAGCTCTGCCTGTGTGAGCCTCACCTTTCTCTATACCTGACCAGCAAATTCCTTTATAATGGTCTCTTAGACACTTACCTGGTGGTGCCTCATGTTTTCTTCATACCTCGGAGAAGGAAAAAGTATAGCCAGAAATTAAAAATACTGCAATGTTATTGAGGACATTGGATGCTGCAAGAGGTATCTCTGGTCTTCGTATTGCTGATAGACATATTGCTCAGTGGGAGCAAAACTATTTCCATGCCACTGACCACTCTTCCCTATTTGTTCTGACTCAAAAAGTTACTGGTCATCTCCCTATCTTTGCAAAAGCAAAGTCAATTGAATGCAGTGCTTTCACTTTGAACTGATGATGTGCAGACTCCCTTCGCTCTAAGACCTATAGGTATTTATAGGACCAAGCCAAAGCAAATGAAACCTTAAGCTCAACCACTGTGTAAAATGTAAGTGCCACTTCCTGTAGAACCTAGTATTTCCTTCATTTAAAACTTTCCCCTTACCATCTCACTGGGCCCTAAGCAGATCACACAGTCCTACAGACCAGTAGCCTCCCCTGGCTTTGCTGCTTCTCCTTCAACCCATGAACCGTCATATACACTGGCTAATCTACAGACACCACCTGGAAGGGTGGAACTCCTTCAAAGACTAAATATACCTCCCTTAGTTCCAGGAGCTGCAGCTTCCAGCACTGGTGCTATCATTACAGGACAGCATCCTTTCTCCAGACCCCTAGAACCCAGTAGTATCACAAATGACTGTGAAAAGGTACTTAAAATCCAACCAGTGACCTTCTTCCCCTTCCCTAAAATAAATAAATAAATAAATAAACAAATAGCTATCTTCTCCAAAAATGTTTGGCAAATTCATCCCCAAAGACCTCTTCCCTTATTAAGTGGCATTTGCACTATTATTTTTTAAATAAATGACACATTGTGGCCCTAAAACATTAAGATGAATATATATAAAGTTTCCATTACACATCACATAACTACTTACCTGGAACTGAAATATTTGTAATCTGCAGTATTTGCTTAACAGAGAAGAGAGTGTATCTCAAATTCCACCAAAGAAGCCAGTTATAACTGGAATTCCTCATAAGACTGTTGGAGGCAGGGGGTGGGGGGAACTAAGGTCATTAAAAACTGGAGTTTACAACCACGATGCAATAACTTCTGAAGTACCAAAGGGTGGTCTGATAAGACAACAGGTAAAACCAAGTAAGGTGTGCGTATTTTAGCAAGTCTGTATCTACATCAACTCCCTCTCCCCAAGAGGTGTCCTGCTCTTCTGCCAACCAATATTCTCATGAGTTCTGTGTTTCTAGTCTCTCCCCAAGACTTTGTGGCATTAATGAGCCCCCCTTCTTCACACACTGGGTCTCTCGCTCCCACTGGCATCTCCTCTTCTGCCAGGCAACAGGCTCCAAAGCATCCATCTTTCCAGCCTGACGCTACACCATCTCCACTTGCTCTGTGCCAGTCCCTCCGCAGGCCCCCCCAGTTTGCTATCCAGCTAAATCTCCTCCACTAACACAGCCTCTGAGGGCTCACCAAGCACCTGCTGCACCCCAGGACCCCGTTCCTGTCCCTGCCCTTATCTTACTTGGCCTCTCTGGTACATGCCATATAGCTGAGTGCCTCTCCTCACAGTTTCTGGTTTCTCTCTCCTTCTCTTCTTTGGCCTGCCCTTCACATAGGACTGCTCCTCTTATCTCCTTTCAGAGTAACCTCACCCATATCCAGGCTTCACACACATGCTGGTAATGCCCACATCTCCAGCCCAGGCTGGCCTCTCCCCAGACTCTGCTAATGTCTCCTTGTCTTCCCTCAAATGGCCCACAGGCATCTCAAATTCAACATGTCCAAAATGGAAACTTGGTCAACAGTTCTCCACACACTTGCCTCTTCTCCAATCCACACTGGGATACTCCAGGAATCCAGGTTGGAAACCTCAGAGACACATAAAACTCACCATGCCTGCTGCTACATGACCAAGTCCCACTGACCAAGCCCTCAATCTTCCCAGTCTGGCCTCCACTGATCCATCCTAATGACCTCTGCAGCAGTCTCCAGCCTCAACTATGCCAACCCACCCTCCACTCTGCTCCCAGAGTAGCACTGGGCGAGGCATCTATAGACACCACCTCAAAATCTCATAGCATCTTATGAGCTAGGTATTTTAAACCCGTTTTACAGATTAAACTGGAGCTCACAGAGGTTACAAATGTGTCCTATGTCACAGGGGTTGAAGCCACTGGCCAGGACTTAAAGTTCATACTCTTTTCACCATACCACCCAGTCTAAAGTGAAAATCCAGGATACTTAGGCCACTCAGTGCATTCCACTATTCACCACCACTCCCTCCTTGAAATGCTCTCTTCCTTTGGCTTCAGAGATTAATACTGTCCTGGGTTTCCTCCCACTTCTCTGGCCTCTCCCTTAAATGAACCATACTCCCATGGCTCTTCATCCACTTCCAAGGGTTCCATTTCCACCCTCCCCTCCACACTCTCAGCCTCTCGCTGGAGCTCAGTCTCACACAGCCACGTACTCAGATGGCCACCTCAGATGATGTTTCCAAACCTGAACTTACCTTTCTCCCACACCTCCGACCAGCTCCTCCTCCAAGGTGCCCCATCCCAGTGAATGCCATGCCATTTCTCTAGCACCCCAGCCAGAAACCTGAGCACCATCCTTGGACTTGGCCTCTCCACACTTGTTCACTCTATCTCCAAAACAGCTCTCAAATCCACCAATCCATTCCAGCTGAGAACCCTGTTATCTCTTGCCTTGGTGACGGCCACCAATTTTTTACCCATTTGTCATCTATATGACCCCTCTAATCCACTCTTTACCCTGAAGCCATAGTCATCTTCTGTTTTATTATTTATTTAGAGACAAGGTCTTGCTCTGATGCCTAGGCTGGAGTGTAGTGGCACAATCATGGCTCACTGCCAACCATGACCTCTCAGGCTCAGGTGATCCTCCCACCTCAGCCTCACGAGTAGCTGGGACCACAGGTGTGTGTCACCGTGCCCAGCTAATTTTTTTGTAGAGACGGGGTTTCGCTATGTTGCACAGGCTGGTCTCAAACTCCTGGACTCAAGCAATCTGCTCACCTCTGCCTCCCAAAGTGTTAGCATTATAGGTGTGGGCCACCATGCCCCGCCTGAGTCATCTTTTAAAACTGCAAATTTGATCATGCTGCTTTCAGAAATAAAACCCTTCAATGAAAGATAATGTTTTGTGAAATTTGAAGTTACTAGCTTAAAAACAAGACCAAAAAAAAAGATGGAATAAAAATACAAGTAATGACAAATGTATTAGGAGCTACAGAGTATCCCACAAATTTGTCATTAATACTAATTGAATTATAATTTTAAAAAACCCAACCAAACCAATACCCTTTAATTGGTTCATATTCCTCTCAGGATAAAGTCCAAACTGCTGGTTGCAGGGCCTTTCATGTATCACAGGGCTCCTGCTAACCGTTTTGGCCTATGTTCTCACCCTCCCACTAACACACTCTGCAGCCATACTGGAGGACTCCGCCTTACTTTCACCTCTGAAAACTCTGACATGTTGTTATGCCCTAGCACCGGTCTTGCTCCCTAACTCCCCCATGTCCAAGTTCAGTGCCTCTCCTTCCGGCTTCTACAGCAACACCTGTCCCCATCTCCCTTATGACTGCGTGTCAAAGACAGAATAGTCACAACTCCTGCCTGTCTTGTTCATGGTGATATCTCAAGAACTGACCTCGGAGCCTGGTGCACAGTAGGTGTTCAGCAGTGACAGCGGAATGAATCTTACCACCTAACAGGAAACCTTATGCTCTCCCTTTGAGCACAATCCCACATGATAGGGCTCGGTGGGCCCTGCATGACTCATCCCAGGATGGGTTAATCTCCCCCACCTCTCTCCAGGCCCCTTGCTCCAGCAAGGCTATAGGAATGACCTGCAGTTAGTTTCTGGGCAGTTATGTTAGGCGCTGCTTCCCCAGTGCTCACACAGGTGCTGTGTGGAATTTGTTTTAAAACAAATTTGCTGCTGTCCTTGACCTTCCCACCCTTGATTGCAGGAAATATCTTCTTAACGTCTTTTATTTCACAGCACAGTGATTAGACATGTTATTGGCTCAAGTTATTGAGCCAATAACTTTTTTAGCTTTGTACTTTTCCCAGTCCATTAGCACAGAGCAGATGTTATTTATACTAGCAGTATAGATCAACTTCTAATAGGCAAAAACAAGACAACAACAACAACAAAAACCATCCCAACAGGTAATACTGAATGGTCTTAAGATTTTTGTCAATGGTGAATGGCACACATCCTTTGCGAGTGAACTTAACTTTTAAAAAGTAGCTCAAGGCCAAGCGCGGTGGCTCACACTTGTAATCCTAGCACTTTAGGAGGCCGAGGCAGACGGATCACTTGAGGTCAGGAGTTCAAGACCAGCCTGGCCAACATGGTGAAACCCTCTCTCTACTAAAAATACAAAAACTAGCCGGGCGTGGTGGCGCACGCCTGTAATCCCAGCAACGTGGGAGACTGAGACAGGAAAAATACTTGAACCCGGGAGTCAGAGGTTGCAGTTGAGCCGAGATCACGCCACTGCACTCCAGCGCGGGCGACAGGGCGAGACTCTGTCTCAAAAAAAAAAAAAAAGAAAAAAGAAAAGAAAGCTCAAAAATATATTCAAGGTAAATAAAAAAGTAGTTTCTTTTTAAGGGGAGAAAGAAGAGGGCATAAACAATAATACGCACACGAAATAAGTAGCACATAAGAGTACAAACTGGATCCACAAGCAATTCCTACTGCCCTGAAAAAACTATCCTAAGTCCAATTCACATCTGGAGGCGAGGGCTGGAGAGCCCTGAAAAAGGTAAGCAGGTTTTCAAAGACGTCAACGTAAAGTCGCCACCGCCGCCGTCTCCGCCTTTAAGGATTAAAAAAAAAAATAAAAGCCGCCCCTACCTCGGGCGCAAGACCTCAGAGGGAGAGCTGCGGCAGCTGCAGTGGCCTCAGGCCTTTAGCGTCTAAAGACTGGTTGCACCCCGACTCCACCTACCGGGCAACCACGCCGCCAGCCCCGCCTCCGCCTCCACCAATAGCGGCCCGGCGGCCCGGGCACGATGACCAATCGAACGCCGGAGGAGGCGTGGCGTCGCTGGGGGACCACGCGCCGTCCCAACAGGCTGGAAGGGTGCCGCCACGACTGGCCCCTCCAGGTAGGCCGCCGCCCGCGGGCGCACAGCGCTACCCGGCCAGCTCGCTGCGGCATCAACGGCTTCTCAGCGTCAGCGCTATTATCAGGCCTTGTGACCGTCCCAAATCTGCCCGGGTGCCCTTCCACCTGGCAGCCTACTCGCACCTTGTGGGGGCCGCGCGGGCACACTCCCCGGCACGCGTCCAGTCCAGGCCCCGGCAATTCCGCCCTTTACCGGGACATCGGCCCTACAGCGCCTGCCCCCAGGGCTGGCCTGCAGCTCCTGGCCTCTCCTCACTCCCTGCCCCCTTCTCAATTCCCTTAGTCAGACTCCTCTCCCGCCGCATCCTAAATCCTGAGCGCACCCTGGGGCGCGGAAAAGGGTAGCCGAGCCTTAGCAACGCCCCGAATTCTCCGGCCCGAGCCCGCGGTTCGGACCCCTGCCCTTCCTTCCCCGCAGTGCCCTCACCATAAGCGTTTCCACCGTGTCTCCGACATCTTGGGGTTGCAGCAGCGACGGACGTGAGTTCTGAATCATTGGAGATGAGGCCCGCGAGTCCTCTGGGCCCAGGGTGCCGTCGACGGGCGCTTGGGCCCAGCCCTGGAGGCCTTGAAGAAGGCTAGGGGGTGGCGCTAGCCAGGCGACGCGCTTTAAGCCGCGGGCTCTCTGACGTCTGCGCCTATAAGCACGCAGCCGCCGGGGTTCGGATCCTGCTAGTCCAGGGGCTGCGGGCGCGGAACAATCTTGCTGCGGGAATTACGCGCCGCTCTTCACCCGCGCCGCAGACTCCGCGGCTCTGCTCTCCTGCCCATCCTGCCCTGCTGCAGGCTTCAGCACCGTAGGAGATGAGGTTCTGTGTATCCCGGGGTGGAGGAAGCGCCGGAGGAACTCTGTAGAAGGGGAGATTTCGCTTCCGGGTGGGACGCTTGTCACGTGAGGGTGTTCTGAGTGCCACCTGGTGAAAACGCCCAGAACTGAAGGATCCGCGCTTCCTTGCACCCAGAACTTAATGGAGCGTCTGCAGGGAACTTTGCTTTTGCGTGGAACGTCTGAACGTATTTACAATCCAGACCTGGTCTGCCCAGTAAGGCAGCCACTAGCCAACGTGGGCTATTGATTTATTAATTGATACATTAATTTTAATTATATTAAAACAAGCAGTGTGGAATGCTTTCTCCTTAAACAGGCGTTTTTTTGTTTTGTTGTTTTTTTTTCAGGACCATATTTCCCTTTAAATGCTGAAAATTTAGTGTGGAATTGATATGTACTGTATGCATAAACCACACGCTGGATGTCTAAGACTGGTGAGGTAAAATCTCAATAATTTTTATATGTTGAAATGATATTTTGGATATATTGGGTTAGGTGAAATATTAAAATTAACTTCAGGCCGGGGGCAGTGGCCCAGGCCTGTAATCTCAGCACTTTGTGAGGCCTAGTCTGGAGGATTGCTTGAGGGAGCCAAGGAGTTGGAGACCAGCGTGGACGACAAAGCAAGACCCCGTCTCTAAAACAAATAATAATAACTTCATGTGTTTCTTTTTAAATGTGGCTAGTAAAACATTTAAACTTTAACATGTGGCTCCCATTACATTTCTGTAGGACAGCGCTGGTCTAGTTGGTCAAAATTCTGGTTTATTGCTCACCTGGAATCTGTCAATGGCTTTTTTGGTCTCCCAACTTCCCCTTATGCCTGTCTGGCTGATCCATGGAAAAGCATTACTGCTGGGATCCTGACACTCCTGTTGAAAATGCAGTGGCCCTGGTAATAAAGTCCAAGCTTTTCATAGCAACCTTCGCTACTTTCCACCTTCATTCATCACCCAAGAACTAGATCAGAAAGGAAAGTGACTTAGGGAGCAAGATAATATTTTTTCAGGCTTCATTCCTGTGCTTCTGAGGTACATAGAACAGGAAGGAAAGTGGTCCCAGAGGAGGTTATTCCCAGAAAGGATTAAGGAAAGTATAAACATTAAAAAAAAAAAAAAAATTACAGGCCGGGTGCGGTGGCTCACGCCTGTAATCCCAGCACTTTGGGAGGCCGAGGCGAGCCGATCACGAGGTCAGGAGATCGAGACCATCCTGGCTAACATGGTGAAATCCCGTCTCTGCTAAAAATATAGCCGGGTGTGGTGGCAGGCGCCTGTAGTCCCAGCTACTCGGGAGGCTGAAGCAGGAGAATGGCGTGAACCCAGGAAGTGGAGCTTGCAGTGGGCCGAGATCGTGCCACTGCACTGCAGCCTGGGCGACAGAGCGAGACTCCATCTCAAAAAACAAAACGAAACAAAATTACAAACCTGCCTGGTGATTGAATACTTTGCTACCCTTTGTTCTAAGCTGCAAGGCTTATTTTTCTTTGTGCAGTAGTGATGTTGATAACTATGCACTGAAACTTCTTTTTAAAGGAAGACCTAATTCCACCCTGACACCCACCCCCGCTGCACTGATTCCATAAGACAAGAATCCCTACTTTTGAGAAATCATGGGTTGGCGTATTTTAGAGACTGCTCTTGGCCACTCTGGGTGTGGGAACACAGGTGGGATCTAGAGTGAAAGCCGGCCCTCCACTCCCTCACCCTTCCAGGTATGCCTGCTTGGCTGTGGGCTCAGAAGAAATGGGCTGGCTTTCAAGGGTGGCAGCTGGCAGATTTCCCTCCTCTGTATCTGCTCCTGCCATGCTTACTCATAACTCTAAAGCCCACAGGCCCTTCTTTTCCCACATCTCCTCCCCTGGATGTTTGTGGGGATGCAGAGATATATAATGATCATGGGGAAAGAGCATCACCCATTGGCAGATGAGTGGGGGGTTTGGAGCAGTACTTAATGGCAAAGTTGGAGGAGTGAATTTTTTTTTTTAAAAAGAAAACATTGTGACTTTAATTCAAAACAAGGTCATTAGCATAAGGCAAGCCTTAATGGATTTATCTGCAGTCAAGGGAAGGTGATTTGGCTCTTATGACCTAACTTCCCTCAATTACACACTGGTCCCTCAAAGATCCAAAGTGGCCCATGTTTTCTGGATTGTATGATCAGGTTACATGATGTTTTCCCATCCCAAGGATTGTAGACACCCTCTACCCAGGAAGAAATACACATGTATCAGTTTGGATACATGACCTCCTCTTAAAACTTTATTCACAGCAAGTCTTGACATCTGGAGGAGTTTCCACCATCCAAGAAGGAAAAGGCAAAGGTCCACATGGGAAGCTGGAGGTGAATGGGAGAGACAGAGGCTGCTCAGATAGGGGCTTTGGTTTCCTGTCTGCCTGTCAGAGCAGGAGGAGGTGGGCCTTGCAGCACCTTGCATCTGCGTCACTTCATTTGTAAGAAGATGGCTGGAATGGTGAAAAGCACACAGGTAAATCACTGCCCCCACCTCCATGTTTCCAGCAGACCAGCTCAGCAAGATCTTTCTACCTGCCTGGAGCCAGAGCTGCTTCTGGAAATATCTAAATTTTCTCTTCTACTGATGCCAAAACAATGAGGCCAGCCTTTGCCTTTTGGAAACCAATAGGGGATTGAGAGGGGAGATACCATGCATTCTCTCTGCTACAACCTCCCTTACCGCCCATCTTCATCAGTCTCTCTATGCCTACTGGCCTCTCAGGTCTAATGGGCATCTTATGATAGTCTTCGTCCTGTAACTAATGGAGGCTCCTCTCCATCTGAATATCTGCTCCCATCCTAAACATGCACAACCTGAAAGAGAAGCCTTAAGAGTCTCCAAGGGCACTGTCTTCACCAGTGGGGGAAGCCACTCTTTGCCTGATCACAAGAATGGGTGAATACTGCAGAAAAAAAGGGAATTCTAATGGCTTTACCCAGAAACTTCCACAAAGAGGATGGTCCTGTCACTGCTTTTGGCTTCACAAGAAGGAAACACCTTTCTTCCTTCTGTGCCAGTGACTATTGCCTGTAACCTCACCCCTGAGCCAAGGGTGACCAGGCTACGAGAGAACAATGAGTTAGAGCGGCTTACAAGCTGGTATCCGAGGGAGGGGCAGATGGCTCTGTGGGGTGGACTGCGTTCCTGCAGGAGTGGGATCTTCACATTCTACTCCAAGGACCAAGTTGTTAGGGGCAGTGGAAGGGAGAGGAGCCATGGTGCGTGCCCAGGCAGTGTGGTGTTTTGTGTTTTGTCATATGGAAGCCACAAGTCACTCCATCAATATTTTGACAAAGCAGTTCCCCATCTTATGGAAAAAATCAAACTCTTCTTGTTTTCCTGCTTTCTTCACAATGAGGAAACGGGCAACATTTTGGCTAAAAGTTTATAAACATAAGCACATATTTTCTGGTCACAAATCTTCTAGGTCCTGATTGATCTGAATTTCCCACAGGGGTAAGCAGGACCCACTTGTGGTTTTGTGGTTTGCTTATAGCTCTATCCATATGTGGAAGGTTTTTTTTTTTTTTTTTTTGGAGACAGAGTTTCACTCTCGTTGTCCAGGCTGGAGTGCAATGCTGCGATCCCGGCTCACCACAACCTCCGCCTCCTGGGTTCATGCAATTCTCCTGCTTTAGCCTCCTGAGTAGCTGGGATTATAGGCATGCGCCACCACGCCTGGCTAATTTTGCATTTAGCAAAATTAGCAAAATGTTGGTCAGGCTGGTCTCAAACTCCCGACCTCAGGTGATCCGCCCACTTTGGCCTCCCAAAGTGCTGGGATTCCAGGCATGAGCCACCATGCCAGGCCAGCTTTTCTTTATCTTGGACAGAATGACTTCATTTATAAGCAGCATCTTGTGTAACAGTCAGTTTTATGTGTCAACTTGGCTAGGCTATAATACCCAGTTTTCAATTAAACACTAATCCAGGTGTTGCTGTGAAGGTATTTTGTAGATGTGGTTAACCTCTGTAATCAGTTGACTTTAAGTAAAGGAGATTATCTTTCATAATCTGGATGAAAGAAAATCAGGACACATATTTCCCTGACAAATACACCTTGTTTCCCTTCCTTAAAGGGTAGAGGCTATCTCCTGCTTTTTTCTGTGTGTCTTTGAGAGACCACTGAGGCAGAGTAATGCTGTAAAAAGAAAGTGGACTTTGGAATCAGGCATTGATTCTGTATTTGATCCTGGATTTGTCACCTGCTAGCTGTGTATTCACCTCAACTTTCTTGTTTGTTATTTTGAGATAAGTCTTGTGCTATTGCCCAGGCTGGAGTGCAATGGTGTAATCTCAGCTCACTGCAACCGCCGCCTCCCGGGCTCAAGTGATTCTCCTGCCTCAGCCTCCTGAGTAGCTGGGATTACAGGCGCACATCACCACGCCCAGCTAATTTTTGTTTTTTTAGTAGAGATGGAGTTTCACCATGTTGGCCAGGCTGGTCTCAAACTCCTTACCTCAGGTGATTGCCTGCCTCGGCCTCCCAAATTGCTGGGATTACAGATGTGAGCCACTGCGCCTGGCCAGTTTATGGGCCTTAATTAGAGGTCAAGAGTGAAGCCTCCCATATATAAAATTAAATACTTAGGGTAGATTCAGTGGCTCCGGCTTGTAATCCCAGCATTTTGGGAGGACGAGACAGCAGGATCTCTTGAGCCCAAGAGTTCAAGACCAGCCTGGGCAACATAACAAGACCTTGTCTCTACAAAAATAAAAACAGTAGCCAGGTGTGGTGGAATGAGCCTGTAGTCCCAGCTACTCGGAAGGTGGAGGCAGGACAGTCTCTTGAGCCCAGGAGTTCAAGGCTGCAGCAAACTATGACTGCACCACTGCACTCCAGCCTGGGTGACAGAGCAAGACCCTGTGTCTATGTTTTTTTAATTCCAAATACTTACCAAACATCTGCATTTTTACCAAAAATCTCAAAGCAGAATTTCTAATGACAGATTAGGTATGTAAATTAGAAGTCTTTCCCTCTGGCCCCTTTGTTTCTTAACACGCGTGGCACTCCATCATCTGCCATTCTTTCCCATCTGTTCTCTTTCACCCAGTCAGAAGCTCAGCTCAAACTGGCCACTAGAGGGAACACGTGTCCTGTTCCCAACAGGTTCTGGGTCCTGGCTTCAGGTGTCTGTAAATTACCTGATAGTCCCACTGGCATTGTCACTGAGCTACTGGCCTTGGGTGTACCAGGGTGAAGGCACTGGCCCTTGGTCCCAGACGCTGCCCCTTTCCAATTCCTCATGTATGCTTCATCTGTCTGGTCTATACAGGAGACCAGCTGTGGTGGGAAAGTATAAGGAGATGCCAGGAGTGGCTTCGGATAGAAGTGGAGAGAACACTGAACTAAAAGTCAGGAGTTTCTGATGCTAGTCCAATATCTGACAAAAACTCATTGTCACCTCTCTAGGCTTCAGCTTTCTCACGTGTAAGATGAGGGCCTTGAACTAAGTGGCTCCAAGTTCCTTTTCTGGGCTAATATCATATGAATCAGGGATCATGATCTCCAGACTCCCTTGGTCCTGACTTTCAGGCTAATGCAAGCCACAGAGGAGATATAGGAGATAGGCTGGGGCACAGATTGCACTGAGGAAAATGCATATGCATAAACAAAGTTTTGCCAACAGTTCTGTATTATTTAGAGCACCCCTGCAAGCCCAGTTAAACCCTACTGGTGTAGGGGGTTTCAACATACCAGGGACAGCTTTAGCAATCTTAGTAAGGTCTGCTTCTTTAAGGAATTGCACAGAGCACCAACAACCTGGAAGTCTTGTCCATGACCCATCCACAGTCTTCTCCATGAACTCATTGTAGAGCCTCACCATGATGGGGCTCCAGCTGGCACTGGGGAGGGAGTAATCCTTTGTATCAGACTGGAGGTGGCTACTGCTTGAGACCTGAAAAGTCCAAAAGGGGTGGTGGACTGTCCCCAGTACCTTCCGATTTGACTCATTCATTCAAGCATTTACTAATAGATGAGTCTGTTTTCATCTTGCAGAGCATGTACAAATACCCAGAGGTAAGAGAGAGCATGTCAGATTCCTAGAACTGTAAATGTGGAAACGTCTAGTAGGAGGGAAGGAATGGAAGGGAGGAGGCCAGAGGGAGAGCCTGGGGCCCTCCATCAACCATGTAGGAGAATGTAGGCTTTATGCTGAAGAGGTTTAAGCAGGAGAATGAAAGGGTCAGATTTGCATGTTAGAAGGATTTCCGTACACGGGAAGTTACAAACTGGTCAAGTCTCACTCACACTGGAGAGCCTTGCTGATATGCAATTCAAAGACACATTCTTTCCCCTGCCTGTTTCCTTTCAGCTTCCAGCTCCTCTGTGCCTCCCTCTCCTGCTCCCCAGTTCCTTCAGGTTCTGCTTCTAAGACGGTTCACCTTGTTTGACTATGTAGTTTATTTTATCTCCTTACTGTCCTATTACAATCAGAAGGCTCAGCCATCATCCTGGCTAACACAGTGAAACCCCATCCCTACTAAAAATACAAAAAATTAGCCGGGCATGGTGGTGGTTGCCTGTAGTCCCAGCTACTCGGGAGGCTGAGGCAGCAGAATGGTGTGAACCCGGGAGGTGGAGGTTGCAGTGAGCCGAGATCGCGCCACTGCACTTCAGCCTGGGCGACAGAGTGAGACTCCATCTCAAAAAAAAAAAAAAAAAAAAGGCGGCTCAACCAGAGACTCCCTTTTCTGGGAGACAGAGTAGATGATTGAGTCCAGATAGCTAGTCCTCCCCACTGGGAATTTTGGATAATCCATCACATGACAACACCTTCTTTTATCTTCTACCTGGTTATTGTTTGAATTCACTGGTGCCAATCCGTCCTTCCTGTTCTTGGTACAGTTTCTACTTTTTCTGGTGCAGTTTCTACTTTTTCTGGTGCAGTTTCTACTTTTTCTGGTGCATTAATCTGGCTTACTCACAATTCCCTCTATATGCTCTTCTCTACCTAAACAGATGGAGAGAAACATAGCTTCTTAAATTACTTATAAATAGACAAGTTCTTAAAGGCGAGGGGTCAGGTGTGAAGGAATGATCAACAATTGTTACTGCCATTCTGCAGGAAGCTCTTCTTTTGTGAGCTAGTGGATGGTAGTGGCATTTGAATTCAATCTCGGAAACTTTTTCCCATTAATATGCCACACTTACTGCTGCTTGTCACTTAACTGCTCTGAGCATCAATGTTCAAATGTGTAAAAATGAGAATAACACCACCCTCCCTGCAAATTGCTGTGCAAACTGCATGAGGTAGTGATAATGTGAATGGACCTGGCTCAGTACCTGCCAGAGCAAGCATTCCAAGATGCTAGTTTCATCTGAATTCAACAGGAAAAAAATCTCTCCTTCTCCAGTTTGAGCCCAAAGAATTTTTTAAGCAATGATTATATTAACGAAGCCTGGACTGAAATCTTTTTTGGGATGAGGTTACTCATGAAAATATGAAAGGGATGACATCCAGTTGATGCTACTTCTTAGCACTTAAATTGCACACAATTCACTTTTAATTCTGCCTATTTTTTTTCTTTTTTTTTGAGATGGAGTCTCACTCTTGTTCTCCAGGCTGGAGTGCAGTGGCATGATCTCAGCTCACTGCAACCTCCGCCTCCCGGGTTCAAGCAGTTCTCCAGCCTCAGCCTCCCGAGTAGCTGGGATTACAGGCACCCGCCATCATGCCTGGATAACTTTTGTATTTTTGTAGAGATGGGGTTTCACCGTGTTAGCCAGGCTGGTCTTGAACTCCTGACCTCAGGTCATCTGCCTGCCTCAGCCTCCCAAAGTGCTGGGATTACAGGCGTGAGCCACTGTGCCCGGCCTAGAAATTATCTTATTAAAATGTAACTGCTGCTTTCCCTCCAGGTGCTACTGCTCAGATTTTCTTTCCCCATTTCTACCCACACTAGGGTTTGACAATTCAACTTTCCCACATCAGAAATGTTCAAGAGAAACTAGAGGATGGCTACAGAGTCAGTAAGAGTGAAGGGACCTCTAGGTACTGTCTCTTAGCCCTTGGTGGCCTCACTTTGAGATCCTCACCCCTCAAAATAGGCTAACAGAGCCAAGTGTAATGAGCACCTTCTAAGAATCAGGAGCCCTGGCCCTAAGTCTTCATGAATTTGCCAATATCTGCTGTGGCCTTGGGCAGGCCAACTTGTATTTCCAGGCCTTAGTTTCCTCATCTGTCAAAGGAGAGCAGCAGATCGAATACTATCTAAGGTGTTACTTGTCTCATTCTGGGGCTCTATGACCAGCCTCAGCTGCCCAGCATCTGGCGATGAGGACACACACAGTGATGAGCTGGACCAGCTGATCTGGGTGGCAGGTGCTTGCCAGCCAGAGCTTGGAGAAGGGGTGCTGCATGTCGGCACCCCACCAGACATCTGAGACCTCTCTGCAGCACGACATCCAGCTGAGATCTGCCAACTGAACCTCCTCACAAAGGCTAGCTTCACTCCTATTAGATGAGCATTGGCCTGAGGTTCTTCCTCAGCCAAGCAGAGCCTGTCTTTGTCTCCTGAGAGGCAGAGGACAGCAGCAAAACCCACCCCCTTGCCTTGCCAGGCAAAACACTAAGCAATCATAAGTTAGTAAATTACAAATGCATTTGATGTGTAGAGCTGCCAGGAATTTTGGTTGTGTTAACCAGGTACCTGGAATAATTGGATCAATCTTAGAATGTTTTGCATGCCAAGGGTCACTAAGGTAACCAACAATGACTAGGAACCAACAATGACAATCAGTCCCTGCATGTAAGGACAGTTGGCCCTGGGCACCTCACCCTAGTTCTTAGCTCTGTCTTGTTGTAGGAGCCCAGTTTCTTCATTCACTCAAAAAAATTAAGCACATATTATGTGCTCTAGGTTCTGGGGATATGGTACTGAACAAAACATGGCTTACATCCTATAGGTAATGACTAATTATTGTGCTTTCTACACCCCAGGTACTGTTATAAATATTTCTGCTTTATTTCTTTTAATACTTATAAGATCTCATATACAGTCCAAATCTGAATTTCACCAATTGTCCTCAAACTGTCCTTCACAGCATTTTCTCCCCTATCCAGAATCCAATTTAGAATTATATATTAATATTTCAGTGAGATGTCATGTCTTTTTAGTTTCCTTTAATCTGGACCAGTGCTTTAGCCTTTCTTTGACAGACATATTCATATCATACCACGTATATATACACACAGGAATGAGCTCCAATTCTTTCTATTCTACTGTAGGCAAGTAGTGGTACTGCTAGCCAGTGAATAGTAGGTGATGTTAGAACACCATTTCAAAACCCTGAACACATAGACCAGAGGAATACATTATTACTATCCCAATTTTACATATAAGGAAACTGAAGCCCAGAAAAGTTTCAATAAGTTGCCCAAAGTTATACTACCAGTAGAAGGCTACATGCTGTTTATTTTATTAATAACCTTTGTATGTGTACAAAGGTTTTGCAGGTTACAGATTGGATATAAGGCCATTCTATAGAATAGGCAGGAGAGATGGCACATCATCATCATCTTCATCATCCCTATCTTACCAGTGACTAACCTCAAAGAGGTTAGTTCAGGCTGGCTTGTAAGTGAAGGAGCAGGGTCCAGGACAGGTCTTCCAATATATCCCTTGCAGTGTCCCCTAAGGAAAGCTTGGAATGATTCAAGATCCAGCAATATGTTCCACTTCACAAGTGTTGGCTCTTCCAAATAGTCTTTGCTAGGGTCGGAGAGAGAATAGTCCTGACAGGCAGCAGTCTGGCAGAAGGTGGAGGAGACCTCTCTTCAAATCTCACCCCAATCACAGAGCTGATCCAATACTGCTGTGCCCAGTGTGGTGGCTCCTCTCATAGGGCTGGCTGCACTCAGAATTGAGTCTTCCAGGGCATGGCCTGCTGTAGGCCAGGCAGTGGGACAGCAAAGCTGAGAAAGCACAGGGCATGTGTAAGCATGGACTAGCTGGCTGATGCAGGAGGCAGGGTAGAGACGATTTTAAAGACATTCTACTCTGAGACTCTGTTATCAAGCTAAAGGGAGCTTGCTGCCCAATGCACTAGAAGCCGATACTATGATACCAGGTTTTGAGAGAAGAAAGACGTCTTATTGGAAGTTAACTCACAAGGTGACAGGAGTGTGAAGCTCAAATCTGTCTCTCTGTGCTGGCTTCAAAGCAGTATCTTTATTAGAAAAGTTTCAGGGGGTGGATTTTGAGATTAGGTGATTGGTGGAAGAAAAGTGGAGGTCTGGAAAGTCTCTGGGGATGTGCAGTTGTCTCTTCATGATACCTCATGGATCACATGTGCAAATTCAAGGGGAGTTAGTATGAATCATTTCATATAAATTCAGGTGGTGATGTCAGCAAGCTGGTTCTGCACAGACATGCACTGGCCATATTGATTCCAACTGATGTTAGTTACTTTATCTCATAAGCAGAGAGAGTTTCAGTGTTAACAACAAATTATTTCTTTCTTAGCTGCCATCTTGCAAACTCAATTATTTCTATTAGTTACTGGTTTCTTTAACTTTTGAGGCACAGATTCATTTCTAATTTGACAGCCTCCTGGGTTAACAATAATAATCTGGAAAAATTCTTTCAAGAATAAGTGAGAAAATCTGGAGGAGCCAAGATGGCCGAATAGGAACAGCTCTGGTCTACAGCTCCAGCGTGAGTGATGCAGAAGACGGGTGATTTCTGCATTTCCAACTGAGGTACTGGGTTCATCTCACTGGGGAGTGCCAGACAGTAGGTGCACGACAGTGGGTGCAGCGCACCGTGTGCCAGCTGAAGCAGGGCAAGCCATCGCCTCACCCGGGAAGCACAAGGGGTCAGGGAATTCCCTTTCCTAGTCAAAGAAAGCGGTGACAGACGGCACCTGGAAAATTGGGTCACTCCCACCCTAATACTGCGCTTTTCCAATGGGCTTAAAAAACGGCACACCAGGAGATAATATCCCACACCTGGCTCAGAGGGTCCTACACCCACGGAGTCTCGCTCATTGCTGGCACAGCAGTCCAAGATCAAACTGCAAGGTGGCAGCGAGGCTGGGGGAGGGGCACCCACCATTGCTGAGTTAGTTGTTTGATTAGGTAAACAAAGCCCCTGGGAAGCTCGAACTGGGTGGAGCCCACCACAGCTCAAGGAGGCCTGCCTGCCTCTGTAGGCTCCACCTCTGGGGGCAGGGCACAGACAAACAAAAAGACAGCAGTAACCTCTGCAGACTTAAATGTCCCTGTCTGACAGCTTTGAAGAGATTAGTGGTTTTCCCAGCACGCAGCTTGAGATCTGAGAACAGGCAGACTGCCTCCTCAAGTGGGTCCCTGACCCCCGAATAGCCTAACTGGGAGGCATGCCCCAGTAGGGGTGGACTGATACCTCACATGGCCGGGTACTCCTCTGAGACAAAACTTCCAGAGGAATGATCAGGCAGCAGCATCTGCGGTTCACCAATATCTGCTGTTCTGCAGCCACCACTGCTGATACCCAGGCAAACATGGTCTGGAGTGGGCCTCTAGCAAACTCCAAGAGACCTGCAGCTGAGGGTCCTGTCTGTTAGAAGGAAAACTAACAAACAGAAAGGACATCCACACCAAAAACCCATCTGTACGTTGCCACCATCAAAGACCAAAAGTAGATAAAACCACAAAGATGGGAAAAAAACAGAGCAGAAAAACTGGAAACTCTAAAAATCAGAGCACCTCTCCTCCTCCAAAGGAATGCAGCTCCTCACCAGCAATGGAACAAAGCTGGATGGAGAATGACTTTGACGAGTTGAGAGAAGAAGGCTTCAGATGATCAAACTACTCTGAGCTACAGGAGGAAATTCGAACCAATGGCAAAGAAGTTAAAAGCTTTGAAAAAAAATTAGATGAATGGATAACTAGAATAACCAATGCCGAGAAGTCCTTAAAGGACCTGATGGAGCTGAAAACCAAGGCACGAGAGCTACGTGACGAATGCAGAAGCCTCAGTAGCCAATGCGATCAACAGGAAGAAAGGGTATCAGTGATGGAAGACGAAATGAATGAAATGAAGCGAGAAGAGAAGTTTAGAGAAAAAAGAATAAAAAGAAATGAACAAAGCCTCCAAGAAATATGGGACTATGTGAAAAGACCAAATCTACGTCTGATTGGTGTACCTGAAGGTGATGGGGAGAATGGAACCAAGTTGGAAAACACTCTGCAGGATATTATCCAGGAGAACTTCCCCAATCTAGCAAGGCAGGCCAACATTCAAATTCAGGAAATACAGAGAACGCCACAAAGATACTCCTTGAGAAGAGCAACTCCAAGACACATAATTGTCAGATTCACCAAAGTTGAAATGGAGGAAAAAATGTTAAGGGCAGCCAGAGAGAAAGGTCGGGTTACCCACAAAGGGAAGCCCATCACACTAACAGCTGATCTCTCGGCAGAAACTCTACAAGCCAGAAGAGAGTGGGGACCAATATTCAACATTGTTAAAGAAAAGAATTTTCAACCCAGAATCTCACATCCAGCCAAACTAAGCTTCATAAGTGAAGGAGAAATAAAATACTTTACAGACAAGCAAATGCTGAGAGATTTTGTCACCACCAGGCCTACCCTAAAAGAGTTCCTGAAGGAAGCACTAAACATGGAAAGGAACAACCAGTACCATCGAGGCTAGGAAGAAACCGCATCAACTAAGGAGCAAAATAACCAGCTAACATCATAATGACAGGATCAGATTCACACATAACGATATTAACTTTAAATGTAAATGGACTAAATGCTCCAATTAAAAGACACAGACTGGCAAATTGGATAAAGAGTCAAGACCCATCAGGGTGCTGTATTCAGGAAACCCATCTCACGTGCAGAGACACACATAGGCTCAAAATAAAGGGCTGGAGGAAGATCTACCAAGCAAATGGAAAACAAAAAAAGGCAGGGGTTGCAATCCTAGTCTCTGATAAAACAGACTTTAAACCAACAAAGATCAGAAGAGACAAAGAAGGCCATTACATAATGGTAAAGGGATCAATTCAACAAGAAGAGCTAACTATCCTAAATATATATGCACCCAATACAGGAGCACCCAGATTCATAAAGCAAGTCCTTAGTGACCTACAAAGAGACTTAGACTCCCACACAATAATAATGGGAGACTTTAACACCCTACTGTCAACATTAGACAGATCAATGAGACAGAAAGTTAACAAGGATACCCAGGAATTGAACTCAGCTCTGCACCAAGCGGACCTAATAGACATCTACAGAACTCTCCACCCCAAATCAACAGAATATACATTCTTTTCAGCACCATACCACACCTACTCCAAAATTGACCACAGAGTTGGAAGTAAAGCACTCTTTAGCAAATGTAAAAGAACAGAAATTATAACAAACTGTCTCTCAGACCACAGTGCAATCAAACTAGAACTCAGGATTAAGAAACTCACTCAAAACCACTCAACTACATGGAAACTACTCAACTGAAAAACCTGCTCCTGAATGACTACTGGGTACATAACGAAATGAAGGCAGAAATAAAGATGTTCTTTGAAACTAACGAGAACAAAGACACAACATACCAGAATCTCCGGGACACATTCAAAGCAGTGTGTAGAGGGAAATTTATAGCACTAAATGCCCACAAGAGAAAGCAGGAAAGATCTAAAATTGACACCCTAACATCACAATTAAAAGAACTAGAAAAGCAAGAGCAAACACATTCAAAAGCTAGCAGAAGGCAAGAAATAATGAAGATGAGAGCAGAGCTGAAGGAAATAGAGACACAAAAAACCCTTCAAAAAATCAATGAATCCAGTAGCTGGTTTTTTGAAAAGATCAACAAAATTGATAGACCACTAGCAAGACTAATAAAGAAGAAAAGAGAGAAGAATCAAATAGACGCAATAAAAAATGATAAAGGGGATATCACCACCGATCCCACAGAAATACAAACTACCATAAGAGAATACTATAAACACCTTTATGCAAATAAACTAGAAAATCTAGAAGAAATGGATAAATTCCTCAACACATACACCCTCCCAAGACTAAACCAGGAAGAAGTTGAATCTCTGAATAGACCAATAACAGGCTCTGAAATTGAGGCAATAATCAATAGCTTAACAACCAAAAAAAGTCCAGGACCAGATGGATTCACAGCCGAATTCTACCAGAGGTACAAAAAGGAGCTGGTACCATTCCTTCTGAAACTATTCCAATCAATAGAAAAGAAGGAATCCTCCCTAACTCATTTTATGAGGACAGCATCATCCTGATACCAAAGCCGGGCAGAGACACAACCAAAAAAGAGAATTTTAGACCAATATCCTTGACGAACATCGATGCAAAAATCCTCAGTAAAATTCTGGAAAACCGAATCCAGCAGCACATCAAAAAGCTTATCCGCCATGATCAAGTGGGCTTCATCCCCGGGATGCAGGGCTGGTTCAACATATGCAAATCAATAAATGTAATCCAACATATAAACAGAACAAAAGAGAAAAACCACACGATTATCTCAATAGATGCAGAGAAGGCCTTTGACAAAATTCAACAACCCTTCATGCTAAAAACTCAATAAACTAGGTATTGATGGGACGTATCTCAAAATAATAAGAGCTATCTATGACAAACGCACAGCCAATATCATACTGAATGGGCAAAAACTGGAAGCATTCCCTTTGAAAATGGGCCCAAGACAGGGATGCCCTCTCTCACCACTCCTATTCAACATAGTGTTGGAAGTTCTGGCCAGGGCAATCAGGCAGGAGAAGAAAATAAAGGGTATTCAATTAGGAAAAGAAGAAGGCAAATTGTCCCTGTTTGCAGATGACATGATTGTATATCTAGAAAACCCCATTGTCTCAGCCCAAAATCTCCTCAAGCTAATAAGCAACTTCAGCGAAGTCTCAGGATACAAAATGAATGCACAAAAATCACAAGCATTCTTATACACCAATAACAGACAAACAGAGAGCCAAATCATGAGTGAACTCCCATTCACAATTGCTTCAAAGAGAATAAAATACCTAGGAATCCAACTTACAAGGAATGTGAAGGACCTCTTCAAGGAGAACTGCAAACCACTGCTCAGTGAAATAAAAGAGGATACAAACAAATGGAAGAACATTCCATGCTCATGGGTAGGAAGAATCAATATCATGAAAATAGCCATACTGCCCAGGGTAATTTATAGATTCAGTGCCATCCCCATCAAGCTACCAATGACTTTCTTCACAGAATTGGAAAAAACTACTTTAAAGTTCATATGGAACCAAAAAAGAGCCCGCATCACCAAGTCAATCCTAAGCCAAAAGAACAAAGCTGGAGGCATCACACTACCTGACTTCAAACTATACCATAAGGCTACAGTAATGAAAACAGCATGGTACTGGTACCAAAACAGAGATATAGACCAATGGAACAGAACAGAGCCCTCAGAAATAATGCTGCATATCTATAACTATCTGATCTTTGACAAACCTGAGAAAAACAAGCAATGGGGAAAGGATACCCTATTTAATAAATGGTGCTGGGAAAACTGGCTAGCCATATGTAGAAAGCTGAAACTGGATCCCTTCCTTACACCTTATACAAAAATTAATTCAAGATGGATTAAAGACTTAAATGTTAGACCTAAAACCATAAAAACCCTAGAAGAAAACCTAGGCAATACCATTCAGGACATAGGCATGGGCAAGGACTTCATGTCTAAAACACCAAATGCAATGGCAACAAAAGCCAAAATTGACAAATGGGATCTAATTAAACTAAAGAGCTTCTGCACACCAAAAGAAACTACCATCAGAGTGAACAGGCAACCTACAGAATGGGAGAAAATTTTCACAATCTACTCATCTGACAAAGGGCTAATATCCAGAATCTACAAAAACTCAAACAAATTTACAAGAAAAAACAACAACCCCATCAACAAGTGGGCGAAGGATATGAACAGACACTTCTCAAAAGACATTTATGCAGCCAACAGACACATGAAAAAATGCTCATGATCACTGGCCATCAGAGAAATGCAAATCAAAACCACAATGAGATATCATCTCACACCAGTTAGAATGGCAATCACTAAAAAATCAGGAAACAACAGGTGCTGGAGAGGATGTGGAGAAATAGGAACACTTTTACACTGTTGGTGGGACTGTAAACTAGTTCAACCATTGTGGAAGTCAGTGTGGCGATTACTCAGGGATCTAGAACTAGAAATACCATTTGACCCAGCCATTCCATTACCGGGTATATACCCAAAGGATTATAAATCATGCTGCTATAAAGACACATGCACACGTATGTTTATAGTGGCACTATTCACAATAGCAAAGACTTGGAACCAACCTAAATGTCCAACAATGATAGACTGGATTAAGAAGATGTGGCACATATACACCATGGAATACTATGCAGCCATAAAAAATGATGAGTTCATGTCCTTTGTAGGGACACGGATGAAACTGGAAACCATCATTCTCAGCAAACTATCACAAGGACAAAAAACCAAACACCGCATGTTCTCACTCATAGGTGGGAACTGAACAGTGAGAACACATGGACACAGGAAGGGGAACATCTCACACCGGGGACTGTTGTGGGGTGGGGGGAGCGGGGAGGGATAGCATTAGGAGATATACCTAATGCTAAATGACGAGTTACTGGGTGCAGCACACCAACATGGCACATGTATACATATGTAACAAACCTGCACGTTGTGCACATGTACCCTAAAACTTAAAGTATAATAATAATAAAATTTAAAAAAAAAGAATAAGTGAGAAAATGCTGATTAGGTGCCTAGCTCACAGTAGGTGTTTAAAAATGTGAGTGTTCCTTTCTTCCTTTCCATATATTCCTCCTACTCTCATCATTTCCACTTAGTATTTCTTTTATTGATACATAATAGATGTACATGTTTTTGGAGTGTGTGTGATAATTTGATACAGTCACAGAATCGAATCAAGGTTGATGGGATATCTATCATCTTTTTTTTTTCCTTCAACTTTATTTTAAGTTCAGGGGTACACGTGCAGGATGTGGAGGTTTGTTACAGAGGTAAACGTGTGCCATGGTGGTTTGCTGCACAGATCATCTCGTTACCTAGGTATTAAGCCCAGCATCCATTAGCTATTCTTCCTGATCTTCTCCCTCCCCCACCTCCCACCCCCAACAGCCCCCAGTAGGTGTTGTTCCCTCCGTGTGTCCTTGTCTTCTCATCATTCAGCTCCCATTTATAAGTGAGGACATGTGATGTTTGGTTTTCTGTTCCTGTGTTAGTTTGCTGAGGATAACAGCTTCCAGCTCCATCCATGTTCCTGCAAAAGACATGATCTTTTTCCTTTTTATGGCTGGATAGTATTCCATGGTGTGTATGTACTAAATTTTCCTTAGTCTATCATTGATGGGCATTTGGGTTGATTCCATGTCTTTGCCATTGGGAATAGTGCTGGAGTGAACATATGCATGCATGTATCTTTATAATAGAATGATTTACATTCCTTTGGGTATGGACCCAGTAATGAGATTTCTGGGTCAAATGGTCCTTCTGCCTCTAGATCTTTGAGGAGTTGCCACACTGTCTTCTACAATGGTTGAACTAATTTACACTCCCACGGACAGTGCAAAAGCGTTTCCATTTCTCCACAACCTCAAGAGCACATCTGTTGTTTTTGACTTTTTAATAATTGCTATTCTGATTGTTGTAAGATGGTATCTCAATGTGGTTTTGATTTGCATTTCTCTAATGATCAGTGATGTTGAGTTTGTTTTTTTTTCATATGTTTGTTGACTATATAAATGTCTGGATTTGATTTGCCAGTATTTTATTGCGGATTTTTGCATCAATGTTCATCAGGGATATTGGCCTGAAGGTTTCTTTTTTTGTGGTATCTCTGCCAGGTTTTGATATCAGGATGACACTAGCCTCATAAAATGAGTTAGGAAGGAGTCCCTCCTTTTTAATTTTTTAAAATAGTTTCAGCAGAAATGGTACCAGCTCTTCTTTGTACCTCTGGTAGAATTAAGCTGTGAATCCATCTGGTCCTGGGCTTTTTTTGGTTGGTAGACTATTTATTATTGCCTCAATTTCAGAACTCATTATTGGTCTATTCAGGGATTCAATTTCTTCCTGGTTCAGTCTTGGCAGGGTGTTTATCAGTTTCTTCTAGATTTTCTAGTTTATGTGCATAGAGGTGTTTATAGTATTCTCCAGTGTTTGTTTATATTTCTGTGGGGTCAGTGGTAATATCCCCCTTATCATTTCTGATTGTGTTTATTTGATTATTTTCTCTTTTCTTCTTTATTAGTCTAGGTAACAGTCTATCTATTTGATTAATTTTTTCAAAAAACCACCTCCTGGATTCACTGATTTTTTTTGAAGAGTTTTTTATGTCTCTATCTCCTTCAGTTCAACTCTGATCTTGATTATTTCTTGTCTTCTGCTAGCTTTAGGATCTGTTTGCTCTTGGTTCTCTAGTTCTTTTAGTTGTGATGTTGGATTGTTAATTAGAGATCTTTCTAGTTTTTTGATGTGGGCATTTAGTGCTATAAACTGCTTTAGCTGCATTCTTGAGATTCTGGTACGTTGTCTCTTGGTTCTCATTAGTTTCAAAGAACTTCTCGATTTCTGCCTTAATTTTATTGTTTACCCAGGAGTCATTCAGGAGCAGGTTGTTCAATGTAGTTGTGTGGTTTTGAGTGAATTTCTTAATCTTGAATTCTAATTTGATTTCGCTGTAGTCTGAGAGACTGTTATGATTTCAGTTATTTTGCATTTGCTGAATGTTTTACTTCTGATTATGTGATAAATTTTAGATAAGTGCCATGTGGCAATGAGAAGAATGTATATTCTGTTGTTTTGGGGTGGAGAGTTCTGTTTTATCAGGTCCACTTGATCCAGAGCTGAGTTCAGGTCCTGAATATCTTTGTTAATTTTCTATCTCAATGATCTGCCTAATATTGACAGTGAGGTGTTAAAATTTCCCATTATTATTGTGTGGGAGTCCAGATCTCTTTGTAGGACTCTACGAACTTGCTTTGTGAATTGAATCTGGATGCTCCTGCATTGGGTGCATATATATTTAGGATAGTTATCTCTTCTTGTTGAATCAAACCCTTTACCACTGTGTGATGCCCTTCTTTGTCTTTTTTGATCTTTGGTTTAATGTCTGTTTTGTCAGAAACTAAGATTGCAACCCCTGCTTTTTTCTGTTTTCCATTTGCTTGGTAAATTTTCCTCCATCCCTTTCTTTTGAGCCTATGTGTGTCTTTGCATGTGAGATGGTTCCCTTGAAGACAGCATACCAATGGGTCTCCTCTTTAGCCAGCTTGCCACTTGGTGTCTTTTAATTGGGACATTTATTTAGCCCATTTACATTTAAGGTTAATATTTTTATGTGTGAATTTGATCCTGTCATCATGATGTCAGCTGGTTATTTTACAGACTTGTTTATGTAGTTGCTTCATAGTGTCACTAGTCTGTGTACTTCAGTGTGTTTTTGTAGTGGCTGGTAACAATTTTTCCTTTTCATATTTAATGCTTCCTTCAGGAGCTCTTGCAAGGCAGGCCTGGTGGTGACAAATTCCCTCAGCATTTGCTTTTCTGAAAAGGATCTCATTTCTCCTTCGCTTATGAAGCTTAGTATGGCCAGATATTAAATTCTGGGTTGGTAATTCTTTTCTTTAAGAATGTTAAATATTGGCCTCCAATGTCTTCTGGCATATAGGGTTTCCACGGAGAGTCCCACTGTTACTCTGATGGGCTTCCATTTTTAGGTGACATGACCTTTCTCTCTAGCTGCCCTTAACATTTTTTCCTTCATTTTGACCTTGAAGAATTTGATGATTATGTGTCTTGGGGTTGATCTTCTCATGGAGTATCTTACTGGAGTTCTCTGGGTTTCCTGTATTTGAATGTTGGCCTGTCTTGCTAGGTTGGGGAAGTTTTCCTGGATGATATCCTGAAGTATGTTTTCCAACTTGGTTCTGTTCTCCCTGTCTCTTTCAGGTACCCCAATCAGTGCTAAGTTCAGTCTTTTTACATAATCCCATATTTCTCAGAGAGTTTGTTAACCCTTTGTTATTATTTTTTCTTCTTCTCATCTGTCTGTCTTATTTCTGAAAGATAGTGTTCAACCTCTGAGATTCTTTTCTCTGCTTGGTCTATTCTGCTATTGATACTTGTGATTGCATTGTGAAGTTCTCATGTTGTGTTTTTCAGCTCCGTGAGGTCAGTTATGTTCCTCTCTAAACTGGCTATTCTAGTTAGTAGCTCCTGTATTGTTTCATCATGATTCTTAACTTGTTTGCATTGGGTTACAACATGCTCCTTTAGCTCGCAAGGTTCATTAATATCCATCTTCTGAAGCCTACTTCTGTCAATTCAGCCATGTCAGCCTCTGCCCAGTTCATTCCCCTTGCTGGAGAGTTATTGCAGTCATTTGGAGAAGAGGCACTCCACCTTTTTGAGTTTTCAGAATTGTTTTGTTGATTCAGTGTCAGTTTTGTAGGCTTATCTGCCTGCAATCTTTGAGGTTGCTGACCTTTGAATGGGCTTTTTGTGGGGTCTTTTTGGTTGATATTGTTGTCATAGTTTTCCATTTGTTTGTTTTTCTCTTAACAGGGCACTGACTTAGCAACCGTAGGGCTGCTGTGGTTTTCTGGGGGTCCACTCCAGACCCTAGTTGCCTCAGTTTTTCCTGTACCTGGAAGTATCATCAGTGAAGTCTGTGAAACAGCAAAGATGCCAGCCTGCTCTTTCCTCTGGAAGCTCTGTCCCCGGGGGTTACTGACCTTTTCCTGGCCTGAACACTCTTGTAGGAGGTGTCTGGAGACCCCTCTTGGGAGGTCTCACCCGGTAGGAGGAATAGAATTCAGGAAACACTTACAGAAGCAGTCCAGCTGCTTTTTGGTAGAGCAGGTTTGCTGTGTTGACAAGGCTACTCTTTGTCCAGATGCCTAGACTCTCCAGAGCTGGCAGGCTTGAATAGCTGAGTCAACTGAAGTGCAGATATGGAAGCCATCCCTGCCGCCTACCCTGCCCCCACCAAGTTCCCTCCCAGGGAGAGATCAGGTCTTTATAATACTGGCTGGAGTAACTGAAGGCTTCCCACAGGAAGACCCCACCCAGTGAGGAGGACTTGATCGGGGTCTGCTTACAGAGGCAGTCTGGGCACAATCTGGCAAGTCAAATGTGCTGCATTAGGGGGTTCCCTCTTGTCCTGACCACCTACACTCTCCAGAGCTGGCAGGCTGGAATACTAGTTGACCGCACTATGAAAATAGTGCCCACCCCTCCCCTGGGAACTCCTTCCTATCTCAGGTGGGCTCAGCCTGTTGCCCCTGGCTGGCTGGAATTCCAAGCCAGTGTGTCTTAACTTGTGAGGTGCTGTGGAAGTGGGGCCTGCAGAATGACACTTCTTGGTTCCCTGGATTCAGCCCCCTTCCTAGGGGAATGTATGAACAGATCTGCTGCCTCACCAGGGATTTTGGGGCTAGAGTATGTAAAAGTCTTGGGTCTCTGCGAGTGCCTGAGTGGCTGCTCTGCCAAGGCCCCACACAGCTCTGTGTATAGGACCCAAGGCCCTAGAGGTGTGGGCTCACGAGGGGATCTCCTGATCTGTGGGCTGCAAAGATCTGTGGGAGAAGCATGGTTTCCTGGGCAGGGTTGCATGATCACTCACCACTTCCTTTGGCTGGGGGTGGGGGTTCCTTTGGCTTTGTGCTACTCCCGGGTGGGTCATTGCCCCAACCTGCTTTTCTTCATTCTCCTTGAGTCAGGTTAATTTTCTAGTCAGTCCCATTGTGAGAACCTGGATATTTCAGTTGAAGGTGCTAAATCCACTTGCGATTTTCCTTACTCTCTGTGAGTGCTGCGGACCACAGCTGCTTCTATTCGGCCATCACCACTGCAGGACAAGTCACTGAATGAGGGACAGGGCTGCTCACAGTGGAAACCACAAAGTAGCTCATTCTGCTCAGCACCTCGCTTACTACTTTGCCAGAGAGACAGGGTGAGGAGCAGATACTGAGTGAGCTTCCCTCAATGTCTGTGGTCTCTTTCTAACTACCTGCGGGAATCCTTGGATATCTATCATCTTAAATATTTATCTTTTCTTTACACTAGGAACATTCATATTATTGTTTTCCAGCTATTTTGAAATGTTCAATTGATTAATGTTAACTATAGTCACCCTACTGATCTATTGACTACCATGTCTTACTTCTATCTAACTGTATATTTGTATCCATTAATTAACCTGTCTTCATTCCCCCTGTACCCATACTTTCCTACCTCTGGTAACCACCAGTCAACTTTCTATCTCCATAAAATCCACTTTTATAGCTCCCACATATGAGTGAGAACATGTGATATTTGTCTTTCTGTGCTTGGCTTATTTTACTTAACATGTTGATGCAAATGACAAGATTTCATTATTTAGATAGCTGAATAATGATTCATTGCATATATATATACATATTATATATACATATTTTATATATATACATATTATATATATATATACACACACACACACACACACACACCTGTTTTCTTTATTGAATCATCTACTGAGGAGTACTTAGATCAATTCCATATTTTGGCTATTGTGAAGGGTGCTGCAATAAACATGGGAATCCAGATCCCTCTTTGATGTATTGATTTCCTTTCTTTTGGCTATATACCCAATAGTGAAATTGCTGGATCATATGGTAGTTCTATTTTTTAGTTTTAGTTTTTTTGTGTTTTTTTTTTTTTTTTTGAGACAGAGTCTTGCTCTGTCACCCAGGCTGGAGTGCAATGGTGCCATCTTGGCTCACTTCAACCTCCACCTCCTGGGTTCAAGTGATTCTCATGCCTCAGCCTCCCGAGTAGCTGGGATTACAGGCACCTGCCACCATGCCCAACTAATTTTTTGTATTTTTTATAGAGACAGGGTTTTACCATGTTGGCCAGGCTGGTCTCAAACTCCTGACCTCAGGTGATCCACCCGCCTCGGCCTCCCAAAGTGCTGAGATTACAGGCATGAGCCACCATGCCTGGCCTATTTTTTAGTTTTTTGAGGAAACTCCACACTATTTTCCATAATGGCTGTACTAATTTATCTTCCCATCAACAGTGTATGAGGGTTCCTCTTTCTCCACATCCATGCCAATATCTGTTATTCCCTTTCTTTTTTTTTTTTTTTTCTCATTAAACCTTTTTAATGGGTCTCAAAATTCTGTAACAGATTTTTGGTCAAGTTGTTTCCATTAAAAAGTACTGATTTTAAAAACTAATAACTTAAAACTGCCAGATGCAAAAAAGAAAACCAAAGTGGTCCACAAAACATTCTCCTTTCCATCTGAAGGTTTTATGATGCATTGTTATCATTAACCAGTCTTTTACTACTAAACTTAAATGGCCAATTGAAACAAACAGTTCTGAGACCATTCTTCCACCACTGATTAAGACCGGGTGGCAGGTATTAGGGATAATATTCATTTAGCCTTCTGACCTTTCTGGGCAACTTGGTGACCTTGCCAGCTCCAGCAGCCTTCTTGTCCACTGCTTTGATGACACCCACGGCAACTGTCTGTCTCATATCACAAACAGCAAAGCGACCCAGAGGTGTTTAGTATGAGAAGCTCTCAACACACATGGGCTTGCCAGGAACCATGTCAATGATGGCAGCATCATCAGACTTCAAGAATTTAGGGCAATCTTCTGGCTTTTTACCAGAACGGCAATCAATCTTTTCCTTCAGCTCAGCAATCTTGCATGCAATGTGGACCATGTGGCAATACAGTACAGCGGCATAGCCAGCGCTGATTTGGCCTGGATGGTTCGGGATAATCACATGAGCAGTGAAGCTAGCTGACTCCATTGGTGGGTCATTTTTGCTGTCAATTGCCACGATGAACATCCTTGACAGACATATTCTTGACATTGAAGCCCACATTGTCCCCAGGAAGAGCTTCACTCAAAGCTTCATGGTGCATTTTGACAGATTTTATTTCATTGTAATGTTGGCTGGAGCAAAGGTGACCACCATACCAGGTTTGAGAACACCAGTATCCACTCAGCCAACAGAAACAGTACAAATGCCACCAATTTTGTGGACATCCTGGAGATGCAGGCACAAAGGCTTGTCAGTTGGATGAGTTGGTGGTAGGATGCAGTCCAGAGCCTCAAGCAGCATGGTTCCACTGGCATTGCCATCCTTATGGGTGACTTTCCATCTCTTGAACTAAGGCATGTTATCACTTGACTCCAGCATGTTGTCACCATTCCAACCAGAAATTGGCACAAATGCTACTGTGTCAGGGTTGTAGCCAATTTTCTTAATGTAAGTGCTGACTTCCTTAATGATCTCCTCATATCTCTTCTGGCTGTAGAGTGGCTCAGTGGAATCCATTTTGTTAACACCAACAATTAGTTGTTTCACACCCAGTGTGTAAGACAGGAGGGCATGCTCTTGGGTCTGCCCATTCTTGGAGATACCAGCTTCAAATTCAGCAACACCAGCAGCAACAATCAGGACAGCACAATCAGCCTGAGACATCCCTGTAATCATGTTTTTGATGAAGTCTCTGTGTCCTGGGGCATCAATGATAGTCACGTAGTATTTGCTGGTATCAAATTTCCACAAGGAGATATCAATGGTGATACCATGTTCACGCTCAGCTTTCAGCTTATCCAAGACCCAGGCATACTTGAAGGAGCCTTTTCCATCTCAACAGCCTCCATCTCAAATTTTTCAGTGGTTCTTTTGTCGATGCCACCGCATTTGTAGATCAGATGACCAGTAGTGGTGGACTTGCCCAAATCTACATGTCCAATGACAACAATGTTGATATGAGTCTTTTCCATTCCCATTGTTGCTTTTAGGGGTAGTTTTCACAACACCTGTGTTCTGGTGGCAAAACCAGTGTGAAAAAGCTCCTTTCTTTTTGATAAAAAAGAAAGCCGTTTTAACTGTGGTGAGATGGTATCTCACTGTAGGTTTTTTGTTTTTTTTTTTTGTTTGTTTTTTTTTTTTTTTTTTTTTTGAGGCAGAGTCTTGCTCTACTGCTGAGGCTGGAGAACAGTGGTGTGATCTCAACTCACTGCAACTTCTGCCTCCTGGATTCAAGTGATTCTCCAGCCTCAGCCTCCCTAGTAGCTGGGATTACAGGTGCATGCCACCATGCCTGGGTAATTTTTGTATTTTTAGTAGAGACCGGCTTTCGCCATGTTGGCCAGGCTGGTCTTGAACTCATAATCTCAAGTGATCTGCCTGCCTCAGCCTCCTAAACTGCTGGGATTACAGGTGTGAGCCACTGGAACCAGCCTCATTGTAGTTTTGATTTGCATATCTCTCATGATTAGTGATGCTCGGCATTTTTAAAATATACCTCTTGGCCATTTGTATGTCTTCTTTTGAGAAATGTCCATTCAGATCTTTTGCCTTCCTCCCCTTTTTTTGAGAGATGGGGTCTCATTCTGTTGCCCAGGCTTGAGAGCAGTGGCATGATCATAGTTCACCATAACCTTGAAATCCTGGGAACACATGATCCCTCTGCTTCAGAATCCCAAAGTGCTAGGAGTATCGCCCATTTTAAAATGTAATTATTTGCTTTTTTCCTATTAAGTTGTTTGAGCTCGTTATATATTCTGGTTATTAATTCCTTGTCTGAGGCATAGTTCACATATATTTTCTCCCATTCTGTGGGTTGTCCCTTCAGTTTATTGATTGTTTCCTTTGCTGTGCAGAAACTTTTTAGTTTAATATAGTTCCATTTATCTGTTTTTGTTTTTGTTGGTGGTGCTTTTGAGGTCTTAGCTATAAAATCTCTGCCTACACAAATGTCCTCAAGTGTTTCTCTTATGTTTCTCTCTAATGGGTTTATAATTTCAGGCCTTACATTTAAGTCTTTAATCCATCTGGAGTTGATTTCAGTGTATGGTGAGAGACAGGTATCTAGTTTCATTCTTCTGCACATTCAGTTTTCCCAGCACCATCTATTGAAGAGACTGTCATTTTCCCATTGTATGTTCTTGGTGCCTTTGTCAAAAATGAGTTGGCTGTAAGTGTGTGGATTTATATCTGGGTTGTCCATTCTTTTCCATTGGCCTATGCATCTGTTTTTATGCCAGTACCTTGCTGATATAGTGTTGTAGTGCATTTTAAAGTCAGATAGTGTGATGCCTCCAGCTTTGTTCTGTTTGCTCAGGATTGCTTTGGCTATTTGGCATCTTCTGTAGTTCCACACAAATTTTAGCATTGTTTTTTCTATTTCTGTGAAGAAAATCACTGGTATTTTGATATGGGTAGCATTGAATCTGTAAATCATTTGGGGTAGTATTGTCATTTTAACAACAATAATTCTTCCTCCAATTCATGAGCATGGAATATCATTTCATTTTTTCTGTCTTCAATTTCTTTCATCAGCATTTTATAATTATTTTATATAGAAGAAAATTCACACATTCAATGCTATCCCTATCAAATTACCAGTGATATTCTTCACAGAAATAGAAAAAACAATGCTAAAATTTGTATGGAACCACAAAAGATGCCAAATCACCAAAGCAATCCTGAGCAAAAAATTTTCTTTCACTTTTTTGGTTAAACTGATTTATAAGTATATTTTATTCTTTATAGCTATTATAAATGGGATTGCTTTCTTGATTTTTTTTCAGATTGTTTGCCGTTGCCATATATAAATGCTATAATGATAGTGAGGTAAATTCAGCAAGAGAATAAAACAATTATAAATATCTATGCAACCAAAACTGGAGCACCTATGTATATAAAGCAAATATTAATAGATCTAAAGGGAGAGATAGGCTGCAATACAGTAATTGTAGGGGACTTCAGGACCCCACCTCATATGCATATTATGATTTTGTATCTTGCAACTTTACTGAATGCATGTATTAGTTCTAACAAGTTTTGGGGTCTTTATGTTTTTCTAAATATAAGATCATGCCGTCTGAGTACAAGGCTAATTTGACATCTTCCTTTCCAATTTGGATGCCTTTTATTTCTCTCTCTTTCCTGATTGCTCTGGCCAGGACTTCAAGTATTATGTTGAATAAAAGTGGTGAAAGTGGGCATCCTTGTCCTTTTGCAGATTTTAAAGGAAAGGCTTTCAATTTTTTCATGTTCAGTTCAATGTTGGCTGTGGGCTTGTCATAAATGGTCTTCTTTACTTTCAGGTGTGTTCCTTCTATACCCAGTTTGTTGAGGATTTTTATCATAAAGGGATGTTGAATTCTAGCAAATGCTTTTTCAGCATCTATTGAAATGATCATATGGTTTTTGTTCTTCGTTCTGTAAATTTGGTGTATCACATTTATTTATTTACATACATTGAAACATTCTGGCATCCCTGGAATAAATACCACTTGATCCTGGTGAATGATCTTTTTAGGGTATTGTTGAATTTTGTTTGCTATTTTTTAAATTTATTTTACTTTTTTGAGACAGAGTCTCACTCTGTCACCCAGGCTGGAGTGCAGTGGTGCAATCTTTGCTCACTGCACTAGACCAGTCCAAACCAAGACAGGTCCATTCCAGGATCAAGGGGCAATCAAAACCTAACTACAGGATGATTGATCAATGATGGTTTTGAAGAAAGATCTTGATCAAAAGAGGGAAATGTGAAAGTTGTCAGAATCAAAATGCAGTCACTTGTGTTAGAAAAAAATGAAAACCCTGACAAATAGAGCCAGGGAAGTCTATGAAGGGAGGGCTCTCATGCATAAATGTCTGATAAAAAGAACTATCACAAAAGATTCTGCAGAAACAACAAACTTGCACCAAAGCCATCACATCTTTACACAAAAAAATACGTCTTTGAGTATATCTGCCCAGCAACTGCCAGTTTAACCTCAAACTAGCATCACCTTGTTATTGATTATTGTAGCCAAGGATAATTATCTCAAAACAATTATACAATCCTCCTCATGTTTCCTTTAAAAACTTTTGTCTTTCTTTACCTCCCTGAATATGCACATGCCCATAGTTTACTATGGCACATGTATTTCTATTGCAATGCTCTGTTCCTGAATAAATATCTTCTTTGAGAGAGCCTCTCTGTTTATTATTTAGGTTGAGAGAGTAAAAGTGCTAACACCTAGATAACTAAAGTTCAAGGGAAGAGAGAGAGAGAGAGAGAGACAGAGAGAAATGGAAAGGAAAAACTATTTGAATAAATAATGGAGATCTCTCAGGGTTAAAGAAAAGCCACAGTGGCTGAAATGTCACAAGTAATGCAAGTAATGAGAGGAGTGGGATAATGTGAGGAGGAATGGTGTACAGGGCTGGCTCTGTAGGGTTTTATATTCTGTGTTGAAGAGTTTTTATGTTTCTTTTTGTTTCTAGAGAAGGATTGCATTTTATTATTTTTTTGTTTCTATTTATTTTTGTTTTATTTTTTTGAGACAGGGTCTCACTCCATCACCCAGGCTGGAGTGCAGTGGTGCGATCTTGGCTCACTGCAACCTCTGACTCCTGGGTTCAAGCGATTGTCCTGCCTCAGCCTCCCCAGTAGCTGGGACTACAGGCATGTGCCACCACACCTGGCTGATTTTTGTATTTTTTGGTAAAGACGGGGTTTCACCATGTTGGCCAGGCTGGCCTTGAACTCCTGACCTCAAGCGATCTGTAAAAAGGGTTGCATTTTAAAATTAAGTTATAATTTACACACAGTGAAATTCACCCTTTATCTTTCTATGCTGTACCATGAGAATGTTGCAGAGCAGAAAAATAGAAAGACCCTACAAATCTTTCTGAGTTTTGTTTTATACAACTGCAAACTTACACAGGAAGAATCTCAAAGAAATGGACAGTAGGAATGATTTTTCCTATCTACAATGAGAATGCCCTCTGTGGAGGGGGAGAAGGAGCTAGTGAAGACAAGAGGTCTGCATATTCTGGAGCCAGTGAGACAACAACTCCCACACACCAGCATCTGATGTGATCTCGAGGGAATATAAGAGAGGATCCAGGACTGAATTAAGATTTTTAGGGGTTCTGAATTCTGTCAGCTCCCTTTTCTCCCCACACTTCTGACACCTTACTCTAATTTTGTTGGTATCAGATGGAGATCCTACTGTAGCCGGATTGATAAGGAATCAGAGAGACCGATGGGGTTCAGGAGGATATTTATTTATTTATTTATTTATTTATTTATTTGAGACGGAGTCTCTGTTGCCCAGGCTGGAGTGTAGTGGTGCGATCTCGGCTCACTGCAAGCTCCGCCTCCCAGGTTCATGCCATTCTCCTGCCTCAGCCTCCCGAGTAGCTGGGACTACAGGCACCTGCAACTACGCCCAGCTAATTTTTGTATTTTTAGTAGAGAAGAGGTTTCACCACATTAGCCAGGATGGTCTCGATCTCCTGACCTTGTGACCCACCCTCCTCGGCCTCATGAGGGATTACAGGCATGAGCCACTGCGCCTGGCCAGGAGGATATTTATTATTTAGGTGCACCGGCCCAGTCAGATTAACATCCAAAGGACTGAGCCCTGAACAAAGAGTTAAGTTACCTTTTAAGCATTTCATGGGGTGGGGGGAGATCTGTGCAGGGGGAAGCATATTACAGAAGCAAGAAACAGAGACAGTTATTCAATTAATTGAGACATGCATTCTATCATTTCTTACTTTTCAAGGAAAAACATGTTTTGCAACTTGAGTTTATCTGTCTAGTGACCTTGCAGCTGCATAGCTAGAGAAACAGCGTCTTCACAATGCCTGGGAAAGGAGGAGAGATAAGGCTCACTAGCCACAGAAAAAGAGGCAGTTAATTTTTTTTTTAATACTTTAAGTTTTAGGGTACATGTGCACAACATGCAGGTTAGTTACATATGTATACATGTGCCATGTTGGTGTGCTGCACCCAATAACTCATCGTTTAACATTAGGTATATGTCCAAATGCTATCCTTTCCCCCTCCTCCCACCCTACAGCAGGCCTCAGTGTGTGATGTTCCCCTTCCTGTGTCCCTGTGTTCTCATTGTTCAGTTCCCACCTTGAGTGAGAACATGTGGTGTTTGGTTTTTGTCCTTGTGATAGTTTGCTGAGAATGATGGTTTCCAGCTTCATCCATGTCCCTACAAAGGACATGAACTCATCATTTTTTATGGCTGCATAGTATTCCATGGTGTATATGTGCCACATTTTCTTAATCCAGTCTATCATTGTTGGACATTTGGGTTGGTTCCAAGTCTTGCTATTGTGAATAGTGCCCCAATAAACATACGTGTGCATGTGTCTTTATAGCAGTATGATTTATAATCCTTTGGCTATATACCCAGTAATGGGATTGCTGGGACAAATGGTATTTCTAGTTCTAGATCCCTGAGGAATCACCACACTGACTTCCACAATGATTAAACTAGTTTACAGTCCCACCAACAGTGTAAAACTGTTCCTATTTCTCCACATCCTCTCCAGCACCTGTTGTTTCCTGACTTTTTAATGATTGCCATTCTAACTGGTGTGAGATGGTATCTCATTGTGGTTTTGATTTGCATTTCTCTGATGGCCAGTGATGATGAGCATTTTTTCATGTCTTTTGGCTGCATAAATGTCTTCTTTTGAGAAGTATCTCTTCATATCCTTCACCCACTTTTTGATGGGGTTGTTTTTTTCTTGTAAATTTGTTGGAGGACTCTAGTTCTTTCTTTTTCTCTGGGGGAATGGGGTTTTCTTACATACAGCTGAGTTTCTGCTTACAATTTCTTTAATTTCTTTTAGTTCCTGTTCCATTCCCCTCTTTGGTGCTTTTTATAACAAAAGTGTTAATAGAAAGCACTACATTTTGCCGCCTCTCCGTGGAGCTGAGATTTTTCTTTTGCTGGCAGCAGCTGATATTTGGTTAATGCCATCAACTACGCTGTAGTGTGTTGGGTTACTATTGCCTTTATAGTTGATTGAATACTGTTAATAAACAGAGGTAAAAGGCAAGAGAGGATGAGGCAGATGCCAAGAATAAGCAAGAACCTACCAATGAGGGTTTTGAATCTTTTAAAGGTTGAGAACCATTTTCCTAACAAGGAATCTGGGGACCACCTGGACTAAGTCTGAACTGGAACATGGGTCAACTCGGGCATTCTAGCTGTGATTTCCATGATAGCTCGGCCATTATCATTGATCTCTAGGCAACAGTAGGTTAAATTAAATTTTCCACATACTCTTCTTTTTGAGGCTAAAAGGTAATCTAAAGCTAATCTATTTTGATATATAGCATTTCTTATTTGTGTTGCTTGTATTGCCAATAAATCTAGTGCCCTTGATGTTTCATTGGTTATAATTTCAAGGACTACCTGCAACTTTATGATGCGGTTGAGCATATAGATTGGGGTGCGATATCTCCATGACCCATCTTGCGCCCAGGTAGCTGGCCTATAATATTTAATGATTCTTTCAGGAGGCCATTCCTTATCTTTTCAGTCTCCTATGTTCACATCTTTTTGACATTTGTGTCTATTTTTGTAATTATGCTTCTAGTTTTTTAAAATTTTTATCATAAACTGGATATCTTAAGGGTTCCCCTTGCTTTGGAGGAATTAGAAAGGATGGCTTGATTGCGCCTAACACACATGCCCCTGTCCATTTGGCCAGCAGTTGCTGATATGCCCATACACTACAGATTCAATATAGGCCAGAGGGTGCTTTCCAAGCATTTGGAGCCTCTAGCTGATGCCAAGAGTGGCTCAGAGTAGAGAATCGAGAGAAAGGGTTTGGATCTGGTAAGTAGGAGTAGTTCTGGGCATTTCTCTATAGAGTTTTATTTTTAGTCTTATTGTAATACTGTTGCCCTAGGCAGGTTGTTTCTCTTACTGCCTCTGTGAAAGCCTTTCCCCATTGGGCGATACAGTACTTTTTAATTATGGAGGTTTTTAACAACCAAACACTGGCTGAGGCTGTTGGTTCACTGGCAGGGTTAGGTGAAGTGAAGTTATCTCAAGGCATTAATTCCTTTGCCTCCCGTGGCCACTGGCTCCCCATATTAGTTTTTTTACATACATAGCATGAGGAAATTCTTGAGCTGCCAGCTATGTTTTCAGCTAGTTGAGCAAATAAGTTTTTGGTTAATGGGTGGAGCTCAGACACTGGCTGATCAAAATGCTTATAGAATGACTTATGGACCTGGAATTGCAGGGTTGGATGCATTTGAGTCCTTCTAGTCTTTTTGACAATCAGTAGTGGAACTTCAAGGCCTGCTTCTTGTCTATCAACTCGTAATAGTGCTGTCTGTCCTGTAGACCAAAAAGGTAGCTCTGGCTTTAAGGTAGTAAAATTTAAAGGATTGCGTGTCCTTATCTTAAAATTTGGTTTGGTTGACATACTACTTAGTAGAGCAGTCCTTCCTGAATATAAATGTTGGAGCTGTGTTAGCACAGACCACTGAATGTTACAGTTTGGGCATCCGATTTGTGGTTTTCCGTACAGATAAGTTTAGGACTGTTGCTGCTAAGCCTCTCTTGTGTTAAACCATTGCAGACTGCTTCTGGTTTTTTATGATTATGAACATACGTGGCGTGGCAGGCATCAAAGTACAAGGAAATAGGCCTTTTATAGGAGGGAGGGGCTTCTTTGGTTCAAGCTATAACCTCTCCTTTTTTTTTTTCTCTGATTTGATGGGTACCTCAAACGAGAATTCATAGGGTAAAAGGGTTATAACATACATATAGCTGCTTATTTCCTGGGTCACAGACTGAATAGGTGGCCTGGTTGTATGTGCAGGTTCCTAACTTGGTTTCTGTATATTTATAGTAGGTATGGTACAGTAGAGTTTTAACTAGGTATTTCTTACCCAGGTAGTGTGTACACAGTGTGGGCATCTTTCTAGAGATTTCTCCTTTTTCAGTATAGGCAGAAATGGTAAGAACATTAGTGTATGTAATAGAAACATGCTTATACTACACATGGGCACGGCAAACCTTCCTCTGGGCCTAGACATTTGCAGCATTTGCAGTAATAACATAACAACAGAACAATCAGTATTGACAGAATTATAACTAGGCTTATAAATTGTATTTACATTTACTTATCCGGAGATGGTCCTCTTAGCTTTGGCTGTGCGTAGACTAGTCAGCTTCCGGGATGTGACTAGAGCAGATCTTGCAGGATCCTCAAGCTTTAGCCATGTGTAGACTGACCAGCTTCCGGTGTGGTCAGAGCAGGGCAGTTGTCCTTCTTACTGGTGGTTGGGTTTTGCCATAGGACTATTCAGATGGGGTGATCTGGGTCTTGTTGGTTAATCCACTGGTCATCATCAGGAGTTACTGCTGCCGCTGGTTTCAGCTGGCTATGGTGAATCCAAGGTGTGAGACCTGCAACTTTAACAGCAGTGGGAGTAGACATGATTACAATATGGGGCCTATCCTGTATGGGTTCTAGAGTGGTTGGATTCCATTTTTTAACTTAAACAAAGTCCTTAGCTTTGAAAGGGTGTACCGGGTCTGTTAGACTTATAGGCATTCTTTTTCATACCTAGCCATGCATCTTTTACATGGCCATACTTAAAGCCTGCATTTGCCTTTTTAAAGTTAGTTCTCTTAGTTTACAGAGATTACCTTTAATCTGACCTATGATGGGGGGTGGCCGGCCGAACAAAATCTCATAGGGCGAATACCCAGTTTGTTTGGTGGGGGTGCACCTGACTTGGAGGAGGACCATGGGCAAGACCTGATCCTACTTTAGATGAGTTTCTTGACAAAATTTCTTCAGCAGCTGTTTGAGTGTTCAGTTCATGCATCCCACTTTACCTGAGCTCTGTGGCCTGTAGGTTGTATGTAATTTCCATTTTATTTTTAGTAGTCGAGTTAAGTCTTGAACTATTTCAGCCACAAGTGTTGGTTCATTGTCTGATCTTAGAGTTAGAGGCAGTCCAAATCTGGGAATAATGTCTCTTAACACCTCGGTTACCTCTAGTGCCTTCTCTGTCCAGGTGGGGAAGGCCATGACCTACCCTGAAAAGGTGCAAATGAACACCAACATGTACTGATAGCCTCCCTCTCAGGGCAATTCGGTGAAGTCCATAAGCAGTTTTTCACAGGGCATGGCTTTTGTTTTCTGATCTCCCGGGGGCCAGGTAGGCCTTTGTCGTGGATTGTTCTGAGTGCAAGTTAAACACTGCTTGTTTACAAATGGCTTGAGTAATGGCAGTGAGCCATGGCATATAGAAGTGATGCCTTAATAATGTCTTTAGTGCTGTTTTTCTCCATGTGAGTTCCTTGGTGGAACTCTTTTACAAATCTGGGGGCCACCATTTCAGGTATGGCTAGCCTCCCATTGGAGAATTTTTACTATCCTTTTTCAATGTAGTTTTTATTTTTCTGGGCAAATTAAGCCCTTTCATTTGGAGTAGCTCAGGATCTCCAGGAGGGGAATCTCTGGGAGGAGAGGCATAGCTAAGGCTTTCTTTTTAGAAGGTGGAGTTGTCATTGCAGCCTGCTTTGCCTCTTTGTCTGCCTTTCTATTTTTTTAGCCTTTAGTGTTCTTGCTTTTTGGTGCCCTTTGCAGTGCATCACTGCCACCTCTTTTGGGGCCTATACAGCATTTAAGAGCCATAGAATTTCTTCCTTGTACTTTATTTTTTTACTTTCAGCAGTTAAAAGTCTTTTCTCTTTGTAAATAGCCTCATGAACACGCAAAGTGGCAGAAATATATTTGGAATCTGTGTAAATATTTGTCTTTTGGTCTTTTGCTAGCCAGAGACTTCTTGTGAGAGCTATTACCTCTGCTTTTTTTTTTTTTTTTTTTTTTTTTTTTGAGATGGAGTCTCTCTCTGTCACCCAGGCTGGAGTGCAGTGGTGCCATCTCGGCTCACTGCAAGCTCCACCTCCCGGGTTCACACCATTCTCCTGCCTCAGCCTCCCGAGTAGCTGGGACTACAGGTGCCCGCCACCATGCCCAGCTAATTTTTTGTATTTTTAGTAGAGATGGGGTTTCACCATGTTAGCCAGGATGGTCTTGATCTTCTGACCTCGTGATCCACCTGCCTTGGCCTCCCAAAGTGCTGGGATTACAGGCATGAGCCACCATGCCCAGCCGCCTGTTTTTTTTTTTTTTTTTTTTTTTAATCTGGTATATGATCATACCTTACTGTTTCTTTGTATACCTTGTTATTTTTTGTTGGGAATTTGACCTTTCAGATTATGTGTAATATCAATTCTGGGTACCAGTTTCTCCACCCCCAGAGCTTGCTATTGCTATTTGTTTATTTATCAGTTTATTGGCTGGCTGGATTATTCTAGTAAAGTTTAAACACTCTCCCCCAACCCCCACAGTGCTAATGAAGCCTCTGACATTGCTCCTCAGAAAGACAGTTTTGGGTATGCCTACAGTTATCCTGGGATGACAGTGATATTGGTAAAGGCCACTTCTCTTTCTCTGACCACACCTAGATGTTAAATCTTCACTAATTGCCTGCTGATTGCTCCACTGTTTTCAACAATGTCCTGGGGCAAAAATAGCTTTATAATCTAAACCAAAGAAATTGTATTTCCTTTGAAAGAATAGTTTCTGAAGTCAGTGTTTGATATTTATTCTGCTCCTGGACAAGCTCCTGTCAGCTGCCTTTTCCCCTAGCTCTTTCTGAAGCAGCCTCGTTGTCTGAGATAACACCCGAGATTCTTTGTCTCATGGCCATGGAGATCAAGAACACAGACACACGCAGGGTGAGGTTAGAGCAGAAATTTAATAGGTGAAAGGAAAAGAACAGCTCTCTGCTACAGAGAGGAGTCACATATGGGTTGCCATACTGCAGTAAAACATAAGGTGTTTCATAAATGAGCTAGTGGGGAGGGGGTATCTTATCTATGTAGAGCACAAAAAACTGGTTGGGATCAGGTGTGCCATCTGCATAGAGCAGAATCTCTGGCAGCCCCCATCCCACTCTTTTGTCATGCAGGTGGGTTCTTAGCTTGGGCTCCTCCTATGCTGGGTATCTCCTTCCCACTCTGCATGAGTTAAAAAGAGGAGGGGAATTTCCATGCCTGGTCCTAGGTACCTCTTTGCAGCTGCAGGCATCCCCCCACCCCCATGCAAGCTTCCAGCTTTCTTATCTTAGTTTGACCCCAAAAAAGGGAAAGGAAAGTGCTCATTAAGACCCACTCTTTTTACTGGGACTCATCATATGTATGTGAAGTTTGGCGATTACCCAGAAAGCACTCCCTCTGTGCAGGAGTTGATTATCTAGGTTTTACAGCCTCATCTTCCAGACTCCAGCTGCATGACTCCTAAACCATAATTTCTAATCTTGTGGCTAATTTGTTAGTCCTACAAAGGCAGTCTAGTCCCCAGGCAAGAAGGAGATTTGTTTTGGGAAAGGACTGTTATCATCTTTGTTTTAAACTATAAACTATAAACTAACTTCCTCCCAAAGTTAGTTCAGCCCACGTCCAGGAAGGAACAAGGACAGCTTAAAGGTTAAAAGCAAGGTGAAGTCAGTTAGGTTAGATCTCTTTCACTATCTCAGTCATAATTTTGCAAAGGCAGTTTCAGAAGCTGTGGGGAGAAGGAGACCTGTGCTTTTTTAGGTGTAGCAGTCTAGAGTGGAGTCTCCACCATATTGAGCTGGGGTGGTGGGGTCTTAACTACCATAGACTTTTGCTTTCTTTTATCAAATTTTTACAGGTTTTCTTGAATAGATGTTTCTTCATTTGTTCTTTGTTGTTGGAACCATTTCCAGAGACTTTAAATGACTACTTTTTTTTGGTCATTTTCACCAGTTTCATTGGGAAGCAGGTCAGCAAAGCTCCTTATGGTGTCATGAAAGAAGTCAATCTCTTTCTTATAATGTTTTGCAAATTACAGTTCTCTAGCCAAAGAAATCACTTCTTTATGCCATATCTAATGGCATCAAGTTCAAGAGTGCAACATCTAAAAACATGCTTGGGCATTAGTTTTCATGGAATGACTTTAAGCCATTGACTCAGTAAGGATGCTGTTGAATGAAAATTACAAAATAACCTTCTTTTTTATGAGCTTTTCTTATAAGTGACTTAAACAACAGTTGTATAAAACTTTTAAAATTGTGAAATATGCACACATTCAGAAAAGCACACAAAATAACAGTATATTGCTCAGTTAACACCTGTGTAACCACTACTCAGATCAATCAACAAAATATTGCCAGTATCCCAGAAGCTTCCAGTTCCCTGATTCAGCTACTACCTCATTCTTTCCCTGCCCCACCTACTCCCACCCAAATACCCAGTATCCTGACTTCTGCAGTGATCCTGTCCTTGCTTTTGTTTATAGTTCATCACCACATAAGCATGCATTTTTAAACATTATAGTTTAGTTGCCCACCTTTTAAACTTCATATAAATGAAATCATATAATATGTTTCTTTTTGTGTCTGGCTTCTTATGGTAAACATCTTATTTGTCAGATGCATTCATGATTTTTTGTGTAGGTGCAATTTTTTATTTTTTATTTTATTATTTCTTTATTCATTCAGCTCACTGCAGCCTCCACCTCCTAGGTTCAAGCAATCCTCCTACATCAGCCTCCTGAGTAGCTGGGATTGCAGGTGCATGCTCCACCATACCTGGCTAATTTTTGTATTTTTAGTAGAGATGGGGTTTTGCCATGTTGGCCAGGCTGGTCTCAAACTCCTGACCTCAAGTGATCTGACTGCCTTGGCCTCCCAAAGTGCTGGGATTACAGGTGTGAGCCACTGCAACCAGCCTATTTTTTATTTTCTAGAGACAGGGTGTCATTATATTGCCCAAGCTGGTCTCAAATTCCTGGCCTCAAGTTATCCTCCTGCTTTGGCCTCCCAAAGTGCTAGGATTATGGGCATAAGCCACCATTCCCAGGCCATAACTGTGATTTTTAAATAGCTATTTCTATCTATTGTTATTTCAGAAATTGTTATTTCTGATTGAAGTTAGCCTTCCTACTATTGATGTGATATTGATAGATATTATTTCCATTTTGGGGCTTACATTAGTTTTCTATGGATGCTGTAACAAAGTACCACATATCAGGTGACTTAGAACAATAGAAATGTATTGTTTCAAAGTTCTAGAGGCTAGAAGTCTGAAGTCAAGGTATTAGCAGGACCACATTCTCTCTGAAGCCTGTAGGGGAATCTTTCCTTGACTCTTCCTAGCTTCTGGTGGTTTGCTGGCAATGCTTGGTGTTCCTTGGCTGCCAGCTGCATAACTCAAATCTCTGCCATCCTTGTTACATGTATTCTGCCTGTGTGGCTTTACATCATCTTCCCTCTGTGTGTGCCTGTGTACACATTTTCACTTTTTATAAGGACACTAGTCATATTGGACTGGGGTCTACCCTAATGGCCTCATCTTAACTTGGTTAGATTTGCAAACATCCCATTTCCAAATAAGATCACATTCTGAAATACCAGGGAATAAGATTTCATCATATTTTCTTTTTTGGGGGGGTACAATTCAACCCATAAAAGAGCTGTTATGAATCATGTCCCTATAAGCATTCTTGGTGCACATATGCATGCATTTTTATTGGATTTATACCTAAGATTGGAATTGGTAGGTCATAGGACATGTGTATCTTCAAGTGTTGTAAATAATGCCAAACAGTTTTCTAAAGTGATTGGATCACTTAGTCTCACCAGCAGTGTATAAGTGTTCCCTTCTTCCATATCCTTTCCAACACTTAATATTGTTAGTTTTTAAGTTTTAGCCATTCTGATGGGTTTATAGTGATATTTTATCATGGCTTTAATGTGTATTTCCCTAGTTATTAGTGAAGTTGAGCATGTATTCTTTCACTTTTTGACCATTTAGACTTCCTCTTTCAAAAATTGTCTGCTGATATTCCCTGCCCATCCTTCTACTGATTATCTGTCTTTTTCATATTAGTATGTAGAAGGTCTTTATTTAGTTTAGACATGTATGCCTCCTGGGAATCAAGTCTCAATGAGTCTCTAATGTTTCTACCCATCTTCTGAGTGAAGGCATTGACAGCTTTTGTTCTGGACTAACTTTTCTTGGCTTTTTGTATAGCAAAATATCTTGTAAGATACTGTCCCTTTTTGGAGTGAGGATAGATTTCTCTGCTGTCAGGAAAATAATGTCTCCCTCCAGGACAAGTTTGCTAGCAGTTCCTTTAAAAGATTGGGTTTCCAAAGCATGAGGTTCCTCGATTGTAATGCATGCCCACTGCATGCACAGCATCCACCCAGGCCACCCTGCATCACCACTTAAAGACATGGGGTCAAACAGAACTATGTCTTAAAGCTCCTGCTTACTTGAGATCTAAACACCCTATATTTTACTTTTAATTTTTTGTTAGAATTTTATAACTTTCCTTACAAAAGTAATACATTTTTATTACTGACAATTCAGAAACTATGGATGAGCAAAAGGAATCTTCCTGTTTTGTTCATTTTGAGACTACAGAATGGCATAGAGAAAAATGTATCAAAACCTGCTGATTCAAATAAATTATTTTCAGAATGAACACCCAGGGTTAGGACAGACTTAACAAACCTATAAATTTTAATACTATCTAGAGAAAATCAGTAACTCTGAGACACTGCCAGATAATGTTCTCAAATGCCTTTGGGATCATCAAAGACAAGTTAAATAAAGTGAGATATTGATCTGGATTTCAGAATATATCAAATCCATTGAAAAGTCAGAGGTTCTCTATTGTATATGGCTATGCAACTGAACTAAAGACATCATTCTCCAGTTATTCTTGATAAGAAAGAGTTTACATATTACTATGGGAAAGGAAAGGGGCAATTGCTGGCAGATATATAGATAAGGATTACCCAGGAATAATTCCATCTGAGTGAAATGGCTCAGGGAAGAGGAAGTTTCCCCTTTGTTACCAAGAGGTGAATGTAATTTGCAGGTTGAGTGCTATAATCAAGAACAAATGACTCAACTATGAATCAATCCCTCCTGTTTTCTACACACACACACACACACAAACACACACACACACACTCACACTCTTCTCCCATTCCAAGGCCTGCTTATCTACTTTTGTCTGTGACAGGTTGGATATCCAAAGAAGCAGATTCTGAGATGGAGACTAGTGTGCAGGAAGTTTCTTTGAAAGTACTTTTGCAATCAACACCTGGGAAAGGAGGGGAAGGGAAGAAAGCAGGACTGAGCAGAGGGAGAGCTGCACTGTAGTCTCAACAGGAACTTCAGCTGACCCTATCCTTCAAAGCAATTCCAAGTTGCAATGAGGAGCTGGGACTTTATACCTTCATGTTTGTTGATCATGCGATGCAGGCCACCCTTTGAAGGAGGCAAGAGAGGCAGTCCCCAAAGGGACTGAGAGCTAAGCAATGCCTTCTGGTGGCTCTCCCAGAAGCTGGAATAATAAATTCTTTATTTCTGAACATCATAGCGTCTACCACTCTGTCTTTTAGTTAACAGAAGTCATTAACTTATTGGGTTAACTTCTATTAATGAAAAGACAGAGTGCAGTCAAATTTCATGTATGGTTTGTGTTTTTGAATCTCATTTAAGGCATCGTATTTCCTTGTACTAAAGTCATGAAGATTTTCTTTTATATGATTGTTTGAAAGCTTTATTTTCATTATTATGTCTTGTCTATATTTGATACTTCGCATTTAAAAAATAAATTATAGAATATTTTATGTCACCATTATTCCTTTTTTTTTTTTTTTTTTTCTGTTGAGATGGAGTCTCACTCTGTCACCCGGGCTGGAGTGCAGTGGGGTGATCTTAGCTCACTGCAACCTCCATCTCCCAGGTTCAAGGAATTCTCCTGCCTCAGCCTCCTGAGTAGCTGGGATTACAGGGATGTGCCACCATGCCCAGCTAATTTTTGTATTTTTAGTAGAGACGGGGTTTCACCATGTTGGCCAGGCTGGTCTCGAACTCCTGATATCGTGATCTGCCCGTCTCAGCCTCCCAAAGTGCTGGGATTACAGGCATGAGCCACCGTGCCCAGCATCACCATTATTCTTAAAGATATCTTCACTGGATGTGAAATTCTACTTTGGCATTATTTTCTCTTAGTTCTTTAAAGCTATCATTCCTTTTTTACTGGCTTTTACTATTCCTATTGGGAAGTCTGATTTCACTTTAATTGCTGCTTGTTTGAAGATAATGTCTTTTCTAAAATCTGGCTTTAAAATTTCACTTTCTTAATCTGAAAAACATTTGGTTTCCACCAGTTTTTGGTATGCATAGGTGTCAGGCTTTTAAAATTCTACTTGGGATTGTAGGACTGCTTCAATTTGTCTTTTTATGTCTTTCCTCAGTGCAGGAACATTCTCAGTCATTATATTTCCTAATATTGATTCTGCCTCATTGTTTCTCTATTCTCCTTTTAAGGCTCTTAAAAACATATGTTAGACTCTATCATCTTATGCTGTATGCCTCTTACTCTCTCTATTATATTTTTATTTCTCTTCTTTTGTCCCTCCACACTTTATTCATGATATTTTCTTCTTGCCTATCATCCAGTTCACTAATTCTTTAGCTTTGTCCACTTTACTGAAAATCTCATCCATAGAGTTGTTAATTTTAATTATTTTACTTTTTAGTTTCAAATTTTCTATTTAGTGCCTTTCAAATATGCTCTTTTAAAAAATTATGATTTCCAGTTCTCTGCCAAAATTATCAAGATCTTTCTTTCTTTCTCTCTCTCTCTTTCTTTCTTTCAGAGACAGAATCTTGCTCTATCACCCAGGCTGGAGTGCCTGGCGTAGTACGATCTCGACTCACTGCAACCTCTGCCTCTTTGGTTCCAGTAATTCTCCTGTCTCAGCCTCCGGAGTAGCTGGGATTACAGGTGCATGCTACCACTCCTGGTTAATTTTTGTATTTTTAGTAGAGATGGGGTTTCACCATATTGGCCAAGCTGGTCTCGAACTCCTGACCTCAGGTCATCCAGCTGCTTTGGTCTCCCAAAGTGCTGGGATTACAGCCATGAGCCACTGCACCTGGCCAAGTTTTTTCTTTATCTAGGTGAACATAGAAAGCATAATTATTTATTTTAATTTGTTTTTTAGGGTTTTTGTTTGTTTGAGACAGAGTCTTGCTCTGACACCAGGCTGGAGTGCAGTGGCATGATCTCAGCTCACTGTAACCTCTGCCTCCTGGGTTCAAGCGGATTCCCCTGCCTCAGCCTCCTGAGTAGCTGGGACTACAGGTGCGTGCCACCACACCTGGCTAATTTTTTGTATTTTTAGTAAAGATGGGGTTTCACCATGTTGGCCAGGATGGTCTCGATCTCCTGACCTCGTTGATCCACCTGCCTCAGCCTCCCAAAGTTTTGTTTGTTTTGAGACAGGAGCTTGCTATGTTGCCTAGGCTAGAGTGTAATGAGTGGCTATTCACAGGTGTGATCCAACTACTGAGCATGAAAATTTTGAGAGCCTTCATTTCCAACTTGGCCAGTTCATTTCTCCTTAGCATAGTTGTTTTTAAAGCCTAATCTTGACCCTTCTGTATCTGTTGCTCCTGTAGTTCTGCCCCTTCTGTTTTTTGCCTCTGGTCTTTCTTGTGTATGGTGTCATGTCTCTTCATGTGCCTGGCTATTTTTATCATGTGCCAAAGACACAATAAATTTTTCAAAAATAATCAGAAAACTGTAGTAATGATTGACAAATAGAATGGTATTATCTTCCTCTAGAGAGGATTAATATTTGATTCTGTCTGGTTCCTGGGGGAATGATAGCAACCTGAGATTGCCTCAAACCAATTTCTAAGGATTGAGAAAACTGGAAGTTAGGTGCCAGTTCCTTCAAGGGCTGCCCTATGTCTGATTTACACTAATCTTAAGGTATAGCTCTAAGGGACCCATCCTAAGACAGAAGAGATTTGCCAGCATCCATTTTTGGAAAGTACTGAGGTCCAATTTTAATCTCCTACCCCTGTGAGTCAGTCAAAAATGCTACTGAGATTCTCAGGCTTGCAGAAGCTTTGTCTGAAATTGGCAATATCTCCAGGGGAAAAACAGACCCAAATGCTGGATTTATGTCTTTTCCAAGATTTTATAATTATCCATTAACTTTCAAGTAATTGGATACATACATATTTTTAATTTTTGTCCAGCTTTTTCTCTCTCCACAATAGAATGGTTAGTCCAACATACCTCATTTGGTACTACCAAAGTTAAAAGTCAAGGTTCAGTTTGCTCACAAAAAAAGTGTCATTTGACTAAACGAAAAGAGCTAGACACTAGAGGTCCCATATTGTATGATTCCATTTATATGAAATATCCAGAATAGTCAAATCCATAGAGACAGAAAGCAGATTAGTGCTTGGAGTGGGATGGAGGGAGAAGGAATAGAGTGTGACCACTTAATGGATTTCCATTTGGGGTGATGAAGAAGTTCTGGAACTAGATAGTGGTGATATCTGCACAACATTGTGAATGTACTAAAAGCTCCTGAACTATACACTTTAAAATGATTAACTGGTAAGTTTTATGTAAGTTTTACCTTCATCTAAAACAAAGGATTCTAACAGTAGGAGGTTTCAGGATTGGCCTAGCAACTCAATGATATGAGAGCTTTGGGTTGATACCTGTTACTGATATGGTTGAGTTTAATTCTACCATCTTGCTTTTTGTTTTCTATTTGCTATCCCCATTTCCTGTTTTTTTGTTTTGTTTTGTTTTGTTTTGTTTTGTTTTTGTTTTTGGCTTGTTTTATATTAGTCAACTATCATTCTAATTTCTTTTTTTTCCATTAGTTTGTATTTATATGTACTTGTACTTTTTTTTTACTGGTTATCCTAGAAATTTCAATACTCATCTCTAACCTATTGTGATTAATCTTAAGTTAGGATTTAAATATTTGTCAAGTAATGTAAGAACCATAAAAATGTTTAACTCTGTTTACACCTCCATTTATCCCCTCTTGTCTTTGTGCTGTTGCTTTATATAATTTTATTAAATGTAAATGCACTAAACAGTACAATTAAGAGGCAAAGATTGTTATACTGGATTTTAAAAATACAAGACACCTAGGCATGGTGGCTCACACTTGTAATCCCAGCACTTTGGGAGGCCAAGGTGTGCAGATCACTTGAGCCCAGGAGTTTGAGACCAGCCTGGGCAACATGAGGAGACTCTGTCTCTACAAAAATACAATAATTAGCTGGGTGTTGTGGAACTTGGCTGTAGTCCCAGCCACTCTGGAGGCTGAGATGGGCGGATCACTTGAGCCTAGGAGGTTGAGGCTGGGGTGAGCTGAGATGGTGCCACTGCTCTCCAGGGTAGGTGACAGAATGAGACCCTGTCTCAAAAAAAATGAAATAAAATAAAACAATTAAAAATAAATAAATAAAAATACAAAAGGTGGTACTCTTTGGCTTCTGCTTAAAATGAACAAACTCTCTCCAAGTGTAGGCACTGCTTAGAGATAGTTATGGCAATGTGTGCAGGGACATAATACCCCTGGAATATTATGTGAATGTGAAATTCTATATGCTGGGTCATGGAGTCCCTTCTTGCTCTCCCACCTCCCCCACCAAGCTCAAGAGCTGGTTCAATAGGAGTGCACCCTGGCTTGATGTGCTTGGGAAGATGCCCATAGCAGAGCTACTTACACCCTGAGAAGAGACCTCCAGAGTCCAAAAATTTCAAGAAATATACCAATTTCTGAAGGATGGCAGCCTTCAAAAGATCTAGGAAGTAACCTTAGACATTTAGAATCAGAACTTCCATTTCTAAGTATGCTTACCGACATCAATGTAAGAAATTACAGTCTTCTTGGTATCCATGGGGAATTGGTTCTAGAACCCCCGGAAGTACAGGAGGATGTTCAAGTCTCTAATATAAAATGGCTTAATATTTTCACATACTCCTTTATACTTTAAATTATCTCTAGATTACCTACATTACCTAATACAAGGTATTTGCTATGTAAGTAGTCATTATACTATATTTTTGACTTTGTATTTTTAAAAAAAATAAAAAATACAAAAAATATTTTCAGTGGTTGGTTGAATCCATGAATGTGGAATTGCTGATACAGACTGTATTCCAAGAAAACAGAGGCCTTAACCACTGAGATGACAGAAAAGAGTACAAAGGTTGTACAAAAACACAGATTATCAGGAAATTGCCACGGGGTTAGATTTCAACTTGTATTTCAGATTCTGGAAATTAAGAATGAGGAATTTGTCTTTTGTTATTGCTGATCTCAACATAATAATGGAGCTCACAGAATATTCAGAATTAAGTGAATTTATGTCTAGAGCAGAAGAAAAAAGAGAACTTTTTATGTTTTTCAGAAGCCTACACTTTTTTGAGGGATGGTATAAATATCATAAGCACATATTAAAACATTTTAAGAAAAAGCCATTTGGATGTTTTCTCAAAATGATTGGATTCAAGGCCATTAGCCTTGAAGAGTGTGTCCTCTGTAATTGAAATTACATTGTTAAACCAGAAAATAAAAGATAAAAATTATTTTGAAATCTGAAATCAACCCTTTGTATGCTCTATAATGGAATCCCACAGAATATTTTACCTAAAAATGATTTTGTCTTTGTGGCAATAAAATCCTCTCTCTCTCTGTGAGAAAAGAAGAGCCCAAACTAAATTCTGCTTACAAAAGAATATTTAAATAACATTAAAATATAATAATATAATATTAATATATAATATATTATAATATTTAAATATAGGAGAGTTGTTTGGTTTAAAGTGAAAGAACATGGAAATACACAACATATACACTAATCAAAAGAAAAACCAGTGTGGCTATATTAATGCTAAGCATAGTAGATACTAAGACAAGAAGTATTACTGGAGAGAAAGAGGCATTTCATAATGCTAAAAGAGTCAATTCAATAAAAAGTCATAACAATACTATTTATGCATTCACCTAATAACGTAGCTTCAAGATATATACTGCAAAAATTTACATAATTAAAATGAAAAATAGACAAACTTCCAATCATAGTTAAATATTTTAACATACAGGTTGAATATCCCTTATCCTAAATGCTTGGGATCAGAAGTGTTTCAGATTTTGGTTTTTTGTTTTGTTTCGTTTTGTTTTGTTTTTTAGATTTTGGAATATTTGTGTATACATAATGAGATATTTTGGGGTTGGGACCCAGGTCTAAACACAGAATTCATTTATGTTTTATATATGCCTTATACACATAGCCTGAAGGTAGTTGTATTAGTCAGGGTTTTCTAGAGGGACAGAACTAATGGAATATATATATATATATATATATATGAGTTTATTAAGTATTAACTCACATGATCCCAAGGTCCCACAGTAGGCCATCTGCAGGCTGAGGAGCAAGGAGAGCCAGTCTGAGTTCCAAAACTGAAGAACTTGAGTCTGATGTTCAAGGGCAGGAGGCATCCAGCACGGAAGAAAGATGTAGTTTGGGAGGCTAGGCCAGTCTCTCTTTTCACATTTTTCTGCCTGCTTATATTCTAGCCATGCTGGCAGCTGTTAGATGGTGCCCACCCAGGTTAAGGGTGGGTCTGCCTTTCCCAGCCCACTGACTCAAATGTTAATATCTTTTGGCAACACCCTCACAGACACACCCAGGATCGATACTTTGTGTCCTTCAATCCAATCAAGTTGACACTCCGTATTAACCATCACAGTAGTTTTATAAATTTAATTTAACTTATTTATTGAGACTGAGTCTCATTCTGTTGCCCAAGCTGAAGAGCAGGGGCGTGATCTCTGCTCAGGGCAACCTCTGCCTCCCAGGTTTAAGTGATTCTCCTGCCTCAGCCTCCCAAGTAGCCAGGACTATAGGCACAAGCCACCACACCTGGCTAATTTTTGTATTTTTATTTTTTAAGACAATTAAATCATTTATTAATTACACATGATAATGGATGATACACAAGCTTCATTCCCATCTATAATTTTACCTGGTGCCATTATTCAATTTAGATATATTGCATAGGATGTGCCAACAATCATATTTATAACCAATAATTACATGATTTTGCTTGGGTAATCTCTTTCAGTGGTGAACTTCAGGTCACAACAATAACCATCAGTTCAACTACACCAAGGTTTCTGAAGACAATGTCTTCTCCACCCAAGCAGTTTGTATATAAATTCCAAATAGAACCTTGCATCAGCCTGAAAGAATTCTAACTTCACACTGCTGGGGGAAATTTACCAAGATGGCTTCAGAGTAGACTAACCTTACACAGCACATTAGAAAAGAAAAGACATTTATTCAGCATCATGATCAGACTATTACATTTAGCAATCAACAGCATGGGTGCAAAAAAAAAAAAATCTACATTAAGACCCTTTGTTGGAATGCTTTACACTTTCCACAGAACAGAAACTAAAATAACCGTTATACAATTAGTCACAAATACAGTCCTCAAGATTTTTGCTCATACACATAAGTATTTGTCTAAAACATGTCTTCTTTGTAGCAGCTAAGCCCTGCCACCACTATGCTTTGTTGAGTTCACAAATCTGTTGTAACCTGTAGCTTCCCTGTCACTTCTCTGGCTCTCCTCTCCTGCTAAGCTTTGTTTCCTAATTAAAATCTTCTGCCACTGCTATAGCTACTGCTGCTACTGGAACTGCCATAGCCACCTTGGTTTCATGGTTTGGTAAAGTATTGGCCTCCGCCACCATAGGGACCAGAGCTTCTGCCTCCAAAGTTTCCTCCCTTCATGGGCCCAAAATGTGAAGACTGATTGTTGTAATTGACAAAATCATTGTAGCTTCCACCACCTCCAAAACTGCTTCCATCATTACCACATCCATTATAGCCATCCCCCCTGCCACCATATCCACCACCACCATGGCTGCCACCAAAGCCACCACGACCACTGAAGTTTCCTCCACCACCAAAGTTGTCATTCCCATCAAAACCACCTCCACGACCACCACCAAAGTTTCCAGAACCACTTCGACCTCTTTGGCTGGTTGAAGCACGAGCCATCTCTTGCTTTCACAGAGCTTTCCTAGCTTCACAGTTGTGGCCACTCACAGTACAGTATTTCTGAATGACAGTCTTATCCACGGAGTCATGGTTGTCAAAGGTTACAAAGGCAAAGCCCTTTTTTTTGCCACTGCCTCAGTCAGTCATGATTTCAATCACTTCAATTTTCCCTTACTGTTCAAAATAATCTTTTAGGTGATGTTCTTCAGTGTCTTCTTTAACGCCACCAACAAATATCTTTTTCACAGTTAAGTGAGCACCTGGTCTTCGAGAATCTTCTCTTGAGATGTCTCTCTTTGGTTCCACAGTTCTTCCATCCACCTTGCATGGCCTTGCATTCATGGCTGCATCCACCTCCTCCACAGTGGCATATGTCACAAACCCAAAGCCCCTGGAGCGCTTGGTGTTTGGATCTCTCATTACCCATGCAGTTCGTGAGCGTTCCCCATTGCTCAAAATGGCTCCTCAGGCTCTCATCAGTTGTTTCAAAGGTCAACACTCCAATGAAGAGCTTCCTCAGCTGTTCAGGCTTTTTAGAAGACTCTGACTTAGACAGGACGGCAGTGAGAAGAGAGAATCTAACGGTGCTTCTTCAATGGCATTTACAGGCAGAAAGGTTAATTTTTGTATTTTTAGTAGAGATGGAATTTCACCATATTGGCCAGGCTGGTCTTGAACTCCTGACCTCAAGTGATCTGCCCGCCTCAGTCTCCCAAAGTGCTGGGATTACAGGGGTGAGCTACCGTGCCCAGCTTGTGGTTGTTTGGCACCATCATCTTTCCTGACTCTGAACTTATCTGAAATATGCCATATATCTTGTTGCCAACACTTGGAACACAACGACTAAAGACATAGTTGTGCATGCCTGGCACAACCTCTGCCCCGTGATTTTGTCTACTGATGATGTTGAACTAGGGGTAACTTTGAAGGATTCTGTATGTCAAGTGAAAAAAAAAAGTCTGACTTCCTTACATATGCAAAAAGTATACTTCCAGAGTCTACAGTAGGCTGAAAGAAGTGGATATTGAAGTTTTTGACATCAATGAGGCTGTTATTCATTGACTGATGGTGAAACAGCTGAAATGGTTCTGAATCAAGGTGATTCAGATATTGAGTAAATCATTGATACTACTGATAAGCAATCATTTTCTTACACTTACTCACACGTAAGTACTTAAAAGTAAAAAATATGACGCACCATTAATAGTGAAAAAACGTGTTCATGGTAACTAGGCAGCAGTAGCATCAGCAGAATACCTGTATCAGCTGTTAATAACAACAATCAATAACGGCAAGTTTTCAGTCTCTACTTATGATACTGAGTTTTGATTGAAAGGTTACTGTCCACTATATATTTTTTATTTTTTTCCTGTAGTTACATACCAATATATTTTATTTTATTTTTATTTTTTATTTCTTACATGAGAAGAAACATCAGACACAGTTGAGGGATCAGGAAGTGGGTCCTCCAGGGAAGATGAGGCATTGTGTTTGATGGCTTTTAAACGTCTCTTCTAGAGGCATCTGCCTCATCAACAATGGTTTTTGTCTAGAAGTCTCTGTTTGATTTTATAAGCTGACATAATTTCTTGTTCTGTTATGAATGCATGCTGCTGTAGTCCTTCCATAAGCCTGTCAAATATTTTCACCATGTCATCTACAGGCACTTTTTATGCAGTATTAATAGCATCATCTTCATTGTCACTATAATCACAATCACCTTGATTCAGAATCACTCCAGCCATTTCACCATCAGTCAATGAATAGACAACTGGAGCCTCATCATTGATGTCAAAACTTCAATATCCACTTCTTCCAGCCTACTGACAGTCTCTGAAGGTATATTTTTGCATATGTAAGGAGGTCAGACATCTTTTTTTTTCACTTGGCATACAGAATCCTTTAAAGTTACCACTTGTTCAACATCATCAATAAACACAATCACAGGCTTGATGTTGTGCCAGGCATGCACAACTATGTCTTTAGTCATTGTGTTCCAAGTGTTGGCAACAACATATATGGCATCCTTCATGCTGAACTTTTTTTGGAAACCTTTCACACCCACACCTTTGCTCACTGCTACTAGCATGCCATTCAAGAAAATGTTTTTTATATTTAGTCTTCATTGATCCTCACAAAATGTAGTCTACGCTGGAGGAACGGGAGGAGTGCTGCTGGCAGGATGATGACTTTTCACAGCTCTCCCTAGGCATTTGTCTTCCTAGGTAGTTGAAGATTTGGCTGCAACTTTTCTGAAATATTTCTGAGAGGTGTTTCTTGAACTTCTCCCCAACAAAAGCATAGATAACAGGGTTCACACAGCAGTGAGTAAAGGAAATGATTTCTGTGACATGGGTGGCATAAGTCAGCTGTTGGCTTATGCTACATCCATCCAAGATGTGCATACTGTGCAAGGAAGTGAGGAAAAGAACCACGTTGAATGGGACCCAGAAAAGTAAAGATGCAATGACCACAATGAGCACCAACCTGATGGCCTTGGTCTTGTTGTGGTTTTGACACCTCTTCAGCTGGTGCAGGATTTTAATGTAGCAGAACATAAAGATGGTGAATGGGATCAACAAGCCTAAAATGTTCATTTTGAAGTTGGTGAAGATCTTCCACTTCAAAGTCTGTTGATTGTAAAATGAATAACACTGTAGAACACCATCTTCAGAGGCCACTTGGTAAAACACTAGCAATGGGATGGTAGCCATAATGGCGGTTAGCCATACTGCCAGGCACAGCGTTGTGCCCATCCTGATCGTCCTCACCTTTAGGGCATACACGGCATGGACAACAGCCAGGTACCTGTCCACACTCATGAGGGTGATGAAAAACATGCTGCTGTAGAAGCCAATGTAATAAAAGCCAGACACCACTTTGCACATTACAGTCCCAAACACCCACTGGTCCAGCAGATAGTAGGTCTGAAAGGGGAAGGAGAAGACAAAAAGCAGGTCAGACAGGGCCAGGTTCAAGAGGTATACATCTGTGATGCTCCTCAGCTTCTTGCAGACCACAAGGACCAGGATGACCAGGCTGTTTCCCAGAAGACTGAATACAAACAGGAGGCAATAAAAGACAGCAAGGAGCAACTTGCCATTTGTCTGAATAAGTTCCGCATCACAGGGGCTTGAGAAGATATCAGGGTAGTAGTAGTCGGTCACTGTTGTCACACTGAGGTCAAGTGTATAATCCATCAAGGCAGCGGGACCTGGTCACAGAGACACATAAAAGACATTCACTCCTTAAAAACATTTTTATTTTTTAAAAATTAGGGGGATGTTATGGACTGAACTGTGTCCTCCCCAAATTCATGTGTTGAAGTGCTCAACCTCCGGTGTGGGTGTGACTATTTGGAGTGGGTGAGACTATTTGGGCCTTTAAAGATGTAATTAAGGTTAAATGATAGACCGGGAGCTGTGGCTCATGCCTGTAATCCTAGCACTTTGGGAGGCCAAGGTGGGCAGATCACCTGAGGTCAGGGGTTCAAGACCAGCCTTGCCAACATGGCGAAACCCCGTCTCTACTAAAAATACAAAAATTAGCCGGGCATGGCGGGTGCATGCCTGTAATCCTAGCTACTCAGGAGGCTGAGGCAGAAGAATCACTTGAACCGAAGAGGTGGAGGTTGCTGTGAGCCGAGATCACACCACTGCACTCCATCCTGGGCGACAGAGTGAGATTCTGTCTCAAAAAAAAAAAAAAAAATTAAAATTAAAAAAAAAAAAAAAAGGTTAAATGAGGTTATAAAGGCAGGGCCCTGGCTCTCACAGTGACTCACACCTGTAATCCCAGCACTTTGGGAGGCCAAGGTAGGCGGATTGCTTGAGGCCAGGAGTTCGAGACAAGCCTGGCCAACAGTGCAAAACCCCGTCTCTACTAAAATTACAAAAATTAGCCAGGCATGGTGCCACATGCCTGTAATCCAAGCTACCTCGGGAGGCTGAGGCACGACAATTTCTTGAACCCAGGAAGCAGGGGTTGCAATGACTCGAGATCAAGCCACTGTACTCCAGCCTGGGTGACAGAGTGAGACTCTGTCTCAAAAAAAAGAAAACAGAAACAAAACCAAAAAAGGCAGGGCCCTAATCTGATAGAACTAGTGTCCTTAACAGAAGAGAAAGAGACACAAGAAATTTTGCTCCCCTTGTGCATGGAGTAAAGACCATGTGAGGACACAGCAAGAAGGCTGAAATCAGCAAGCCAGGTAGAGAAGCCTCACCAGAAATCAACTGCATTGGCAGCTTGGTCTTGGACTTCCAGCCTTTAGAAGTATGTTAAACAACACTTTCTGTTGTTTAAGCCACTCAGTCTATTGTATTTTGTTATGTAAACCAAAGGGAGTCAGCTGAGATGAGAAAAGCCAAAACTTACAAAGAAAATGTAAATACCCATAGTTCCATCACCTAGAATTAGCAGCTGCTAACATATTCTCACAATGCTTTGGGTTATTTTTTTTTCCTTCCTTCCTTCTTTTTTTCTCCCTTCTTTTCTCCCTCCCTCATTCCCTCTCTTCCTTCCATCCCTCTTTCTTTTTTTATTTCTGATGCAATAGAGATGAAGCTAATGTTCCCTTTAACTACACAACTTATCCCCATAACAGAAACAACAACTAAAACCAATTTGGTATGTATCATTCCAAACAATTTCCCCCTGTACTTTTACATATTTATATATATCCATAAACAATATATATTTTTGTGTGTTTTAACTTACATAAATGATATATTGTTTTAACTTACATAAATGATATATTGTTTTTCCCTTTGTATTTTGCTTATTGTTTTAGAGATATATCTGCATGATATTCATCAGTTTATTCTTTTAATTGCTTTCCTAAGCACCAGAAAAAAAATAACTTTATAAATGCAATAGAAAAATGATCCCAATTATACTAGCAATGAAAATTACTAGCATTACTAGGAATAAAACTAATAAAAATGCAATTCAGTTACATAAAAATTATAAAACTTGACAATTCTTCTCAAATTGATATATACATTCAATGCAATTTCAATCCAGACATATTTTTCCAAGGCATTTGTTTGCTTTACATTCAGACACCCCTCTCCACTCTGCTACTTTTCTATGATTTGAAAGCACAAGCAAGCAAGCAAGCAATTTATTTATTTTTTTAGAGACAGGGTCTCACTATGTTGCCCAAGCTGGAGTACAGTAGTTATACGCAGGTGTGATCTCACACAAAGCCCTGACTTCTGGGCGCAAGCAATCCTTCTGCCCCAGGCTCTTGAGTAGCTGGGACTACAGGCACCCACCAGCAACTTCTTTAGTCATATGAAAGTTTGCTCGCTGGCTTCTTTCCTTAAGAACAGCACCCAGGTGTCCTTCAGTTACCTGATAGAAGCCCTGTACCCAGCACAAGGACAGATCTTCCCAGATGCCTGGTATTATAAAGGATCTTCTCTTATCTACCTTCCCACTCTTGTAGGAGTTTTCACTCTCTCCTAAAGGCCTGCAGAGAATATGGCACGGTTTGCTCTCCTCAGCCAGAGCATGGGCAGCCACTAAGACACATGCATGTTTGTGGGCTCTGAGGAAATGCAAAGATTTAAAAAAAAATTTTACTTCTTGTGCTAGACCTCTGAAATTTTGGTCTTCCCTTTGCCTATCCTCTAAAGATATAAAAATGCCCCTGCCTACTCATGCCCTTCTTCCCCAAGGATGCTTGTAGCACATACCTTAGTGACAGCCTTTGTTCTGGAGGTTTCAGTGTTGCCAATTCCTTCTTCACAAAGTCTGTATCCTCATGTGAGTGCAGCTCAATGAGCAGCAGCCTCTCTGGAGGTATCCTCCCACTACAAACAGCAGATGGAGAGAAGGCAGTCTCTTGAGGGCTCCACCCTCACACCTAGTCACCTAAAGGGAGGCAATGAGGGTTAAATGAGATCGTAAGGCTGAGGCCCTAATTCAATAGGACTGGTGTCTCCTAGGTAGAGGAATACACACCAGAGCTCACTCTCTTGCCTCCAGGTGCTCAGAGGAAAGGCCATGTGAGGACACAGGGAGAAGGCAGCCATCTGCAAGTAAGGTAAATAGGCATCACCAGAAACCAGACTTGTGGGCACCTTGGTCTTCTAGCCTCCAGAACTGTGGGAAAACAAATTTCTGTTGTTTAAGCTACTCAGCCTGTAGTATTTTGTTATGGAAGTCCTAGCAGACTAATACAGGGGTTAATGGGAATTTTCTGTGTTGTCTACCTAGATTTTCTGTAAACTTAAAACCTCTAAAAAATAGTCTATTAAAATTTTTAATTGAAATCAGTATTAAAATGAAATCATAATTCCATTATTATTTTGAAGTTATACAATTTATACCAGGACTGGCTTTCCTCCATGGTATGTAGCATACACAAATGTGTGTGTATGTTGTATGCATGTACATATATTAACTCTTTCAACAGGAATGCCATTTGAAAATCACTTTAAGTCAGTTTCCCCTATCCCAGGAGAGTGAACATGAGTCCCAGAATTGTTGGGAGGAAATGACAGAAGTTCCAGAATCTCCTCATCTCCAACCCACTCATTCCTGGAGAAATGCAGTAGAAATATCTGCTGGATGCCAGGTACGGTGGCTCACATCTGTAATTCCAGCATTTTGGGAGGCTGAGGCAGGAGGATTGCTTGAGCCTAGGAGTTCAAGACCAGACTGGTCAACATAGCAAGACCCCATCTCATACGGTTTGGCTCTGTGTCCCTACCCAAATCTCATCTTGAATTATAATCCTCATAATCCCCATGTGTCAAGGGCGGGACCAGGTGGAGTTAATTGGATCATGGGGGCAGTTTCCCCCATGCTGTTCTCATGATAGTGAGTGAGTCTCAAGAGATCTGATCTGATGGTTTTATAAACACCTGGCATTTTCCCTGCTTGCACTCACTCCATCCTGCCGACCTGTGAAAAATGTGCCTGCTTCTCCTTTGCCTTCCACCATGATTATAAGTTTCTTGAGGCCTCCCCAGCAATGCAGAACTGTGAGTCAATTTAACCTCTTTCCTTTATAAATTATCCAATCTTGGTCTTTCTTTATAGCAGTGTGACAACGGACTAATGCATCATCTGTACAAATTTTTTAAATAAAATTAGCCAGGCATGGTGGCATGCACTTGTAGTCCCAGCTACTTGGGAAGCTAAAGTGGGAGGATCACTTGAGTCCAGCAGTTTGAGGTGAGCTATGATTGAGCCACTGACCTGTCTCTAAAGAAAAAATAAAAGGAAATATCTGCTGGTACCTGAATTCATACCTCGGCAAATTCCCCTCACCATCATTCATGTTTTGACGCAGTTTGGGGAAAACCCAGTTCCTTTATGAGAGTTTTGTATGTGATAAGCAAAGATCAATGGTGAGCCGATGGAGAACTCAGGGCCCTCAGGTATTACTAGTCCATGTCATGATGGTGGGAACTATGGGACCGCCTCATCAGTGAGGGCAGGTGTGGGGGAAGCCACCTTCCCCTCCAAAGCCCAGTTAAGCAAGGCCTGAGGGACTAAGGTGGAATTCCCCCCAAGCCCAGTTTCTAGTGCAAGCTGATCTAAACCCCAAACAGTCTCTATCTTCAGTTCCTGAGGATTCTTTTATCAGCTGCTCCTCCATACTTGGCACAGTGCTTAGTGCACAGCAACTTCTTAATAAATAGTTGAACAGAGAGAATGAGGCAAGGTGGAGATGTGGAGTCTGGTGAAGAGTTGGAGGAAAGGACTGAACAGCCAGAATGGAAGGATGCTCCTCTTTTTGTGTTTCCTGAGCCAGATCTGAGGGCTGGTGTGGGCCCCTGCAGGACTGGACACTTGCCTGCTGTCACCTGTGTATTTGTTTCCTGTGGCTGCTGTAACAAATTACCACCAACTTAGTGGCTTAGAGCAGCAGACGTGTATTCTCCCCCAGTTCTGGAGGCCAGATGGCTATAATCCAGCAGGGCTGCCTCCTTCTGGGTGCTTGAAGGGCGAATTGTTCCTTGCCACTTCTGGCTCTTGGTGGCTGCCCCAGCAAACCTGGGGCTTGTGGCCACATCACTTTAATCTCCACCATCTTCACATCTCCTTCTCCACTGTGTGTCTGCATCAGATCTCACCCACCTCTGATTTATGAGAACACTCATGATTGGATTTAGGATCCGTCCAGGTAATCCATGATAATCTCCCCATCTCAAAATCCTTGACTTAATCACATCTGCAGAAGCTCTTCTCCCAAGTAAAGTAACATTTACAAGTTCTAGGAATTAAGACTTCATCTCTTTGGTTGACCATTATTCAACCCACAACATCCTGACTCGGAAGACAGACAAACTGTGACATAGTTAACTGACAAGCCTTGGTTCCTCACCTTTGGGCCTACATCAGGGATTCAGGCATTCTATGGGAAGGCAGCAGAAACCAAACTACAAAACCAAAGTAGTGTGACCCCTCCAGAGCCAATGGCCTCTCCAAGTCTACCTTCTGCTGCACATTCAATGGGTTCTGAAAATGCTGGATCAGATCCATTGGGGACATCCCATCTAAATTCAATTCTACTGGGTCCCTCCAAAGGTTCAAAAGACTGTATTTCACTTCAGAGGGAAAAAGAGACTAGCAGCATATTTGACCTCCTTTCCTCCAAAATAAAGAGAAAGAAAAAACTGTATTTAAATAAACCCTAAGTGTAAATGTAGAAATTACTACTATCACAGATATTTGTCATAGAGTATTAGGGCAGAAAATGGCCTCAGGTCATACAGCTGATGTCTCTCTCCCTCTCTTTCTTTCAAAGTAGTAATATTTAAGTCCAGAGAGGCAAAGTGGCTCACCCAAAATCACACAGTAATTTGGTGGTAGAGCCAGAGCCAGAACTCAGGTCTTCCGAGGCACAGCTGAGGGTGCTTTTCTTACTGCACCACATTCAAAATTCTCGTGCAATAACATTATGAAGAGTTGTGGATAAGACTAGAGGAAGTCTTTCTGTATTTTCTATAGTTTTCAACTATATGTCAGTCCCTCAGTGATTTGTAGGGTAAAAATGCATTTGCTTAACGAAAAGTGTTAGACAAAGCCAGAGTTTAAGAAAAGCTCGTGTGTTATTAATAGTAAAGCCAGTTTTGCTGTCTATATAATTTAATTTCCCATATGGATTACAAAAAAGAGTAACAAGAAACAGATTTTCTTTTTTACTACTATTTATTTCCTTCATAAGAGTAATCATGACAATTGTCAGAATACAAAAAAAGGTATCATCATAATTTTGATTTGAAGGGTTGAATATGGAGAAATGTGGTTAATAACGTATTTTTAGTTGCATTTTCAGGAAATTCATATTACCTTGTGTGCCAGAATAATTGATTAGATCTCTTAGTGGTTTGTTTTGTTTTGTTTGAGACGGAGTTTTGCTCTTGTTGCCCAGGCTGGAGTACAATGGTGCAATCTTAGCTCACTGCAACCTCTGCCTCCTGGGTTCAAGTGATTCTCCTGTCTCAGCCTCCCTAGTAGCTGGGATTATAGGCGCCCGCCACTACACCTGGCTAATTTTTGGTATTTTTAGTAGAAACGGGGTTTTACCATGTTGGCCAGGCTGGTCTCTAACTCATGACCTCAGGTGATCCACCCGCCTCAGCCTCCCAAAGTGCTGGGATTACAGGCATGAACCACTGTGCCCGGCCTTTCTTTTTTTTTTTTTTTTTGAGACAGAGTCTTCCTCTGTGGCCCAGGCTGGACTGTAGCAGCATGATCTCAACTCACTGCAGCCTCCACCTCCCAGGTTCAAGAGACTCTCCTGCCTCAGCCTCCAGATTGGCTGGGACTACAGGTGCATGCCACCATGCCCGGCTAAATCTCTTAGCCTTTTGGTGGTGCTTTATTCCCAGAATTTATCTTCTACAAACATGCTCACCACCTTTTTCCAAGGCTACAAGCACTGAAGTGCCTAGCATATTCTCAGAACTGCTTTTGCCATTAGAAGGGATAAAAAAATGAAATTTATGATTTCCTCACTTAAGGAGCTTAGCAATCATGGCACTTTCATCACAGGAGTCCCAGGAGGTGATGGTTCTCTGAAGAATGATGAATAATGAAAGGAAAAAGTATCACTGTGAAAACCATGTAGAAACCCAGAGAAATCTTTATGATTAAGGTGGCATGTATACTATGACTGTCTCTTTGCGAAGCATGGATGAGTGTGGGTACATCCAGAATGAAATAGGCAGAAATTAAAACAATCTTATATTAGGTTATTTCTTTTTATTCTTAAAATTCTCTTTAATAAAGGCACGCTGTCATTTCAATTACAAGTTTTTAGGAAATAGAAAATTGCTATCAAGCACTAATTCAAAGCAAACACATTTTCATGTTGTGAATGATTTATTGATTAAATTGGAGATCAATTTAATAAGCCACACTTGTAATTCTCTCCCATTGACTTGCAAAAAGCACCTGCATTGCCAAAAGTGGTACACAAAGGAAGCCTGAGTTTATCATTATGAAGTTGGGGAGAAAAAAAAAATATGAGGCCAAAGTAGTGTGAGTCCTCCAGAACCAATGGCCTCTCCAAGTCTATCTTATGTTCAGTACCTGGGCCACATGAAAAACTCTTAAGGGGAAACTAGGAAGAGTTCGCCTCTGCCCAGGAAAAATGCTCACAAGTTAAGGGTAAACGTAGAATGTCAAGATACTTCTCTTCTTCACTCCTGATAATATTTACCCTGTTCCTCTGCATAGAAGAGGGGTTTGTGAAATACTGTTTTATTCCCTCTTTTCTTCTCCATCTTGTTACAAGGCCAAATGCATTCATTACTGTGACAGAGGAATACATGAAGGGCTTCAGGAGCAAAAGGGACTCTTGATTCTTCCTGGGTCTTCAGGGTAAGAATGTGGAGGAGATCAGGGAGCTGGCCTTAAAGAATGGGTGTGCCTTCCAGCCGGGAGTGAAGCATTAAGAAAAGCATTTCTTGGAGTCTCCAGAGCCTTGTCCCAACTGGGCTACCACATTGCTCTGGAAACCTGGGAAAGCCACTAAACCTTTCTGAGTTTTAGTCCAGTGCTACTTTAATGTGTACCCAAATCACCTGGGACTCCTGTTAAGCAGCAGATTATGACTTAGCAGTTCTGAGCCTTGAGATTCTGCACGTCTAACAAGCTCCCAGGTGATGTTAGTGTGGCTGGTCACATTTTGACAAGGCATTAGGATCTTCGTGTGTAAAATGGGAATAAAGCTTTCATGAGGGTTGGGCGCAGTGGCTCACACCTGTAATTCCAGCACTTTGGGAGGCCAAGGTGGGAGGATTGCTTAAGCCCAGGAGTTTGAGACCAACCTGGCCAATATGGTGAAACTCTGTCTCAACAAAAAATACAAAAAATTAGCTGGGCATGGTGGCACTTACCTGTAGTCCCAGGTGCTCAGGAGGCTGAGGTGGAAGAGTCACCTAAGCCCAGGGAGATCAAGGCTGCAGTGAGCCATGATCACACTACTGCACTCCAGCCTGGGCAACAGAGTGAGACCCTGTCTCAAAAAAAAAAAAAAAAAAAAAAAAAGAAGCCTTCATGACTTCATGAGGACATTGTGATTTAATGAGATAATATGTGTAAACATGATTAGGAAAATGTGTTGCTCCTAAAAATACAATGAATTGTTACTGTGGAGATGGTATATTTGAAGGCTTGTCCAATAAAGTGAAAGTGGGATCCCCTATATCTCCACTGCTTGATACCTGAAGACAATGGCCACACCCAGAAAATTTGGCAGCTGAGCCTATGAAAAGTGTCAACTGTGCCAGGAAGACACAGCAGTCTCAATGGCAGGCTCTCTGGAGAAGAAGAGAGCAAAACAAGAATGCTCTGTAATAGCTAACAGATCTGCGTGAGTGTCCAGCAGCTTCCAAAGCTCATGGGGTGGAAGAAGAGTCTGCAGAAACAGGAAGTCCTGCAAGAGAACAAAGACACACACACTTTCCAAACACAGAGATGGGCTCTTCTGATAATTTTCTTTACATTTTCTTTATATTTTAATTAAAATTTTTTGAGATGGAGTTGTACTCTGTTGCCCAGGACGGAGTGCAGTGGTACAATCTTGGCCCAAGGAGGTGGTCTCAAGGGAATGATGAAGATCAGGACATGGCACCCCAAAATATGACTGAAGGAGACCAGAACATGCCACTCCAAATATACCTTTTTTGGCATAAAGATTAATTTTGAGATGATTATTTTGGCAAGCAGGAGAAGCTCTGAAAACAAGAGTAGAAATTGCTCTTTTTGCAAGAGAAGTTTCAATAGATAAAGGAAATCTCCATTTGCAAGGGTGTCTCCTCTGTCTACCAGGAAGAGAAGATGACTCTAAATTACTACAGTCTTATCAATGGAGAAGGCTCCAACATAAATTTCCATAACAAACCTTACCCTTGTTTACCATATTTTTCCTGGCCAACTCCCTATTACTGACCTCCCCAACACCCTTCTTTCTTTGTTTCACTTGAAGATCATAGATAAGCATGAACTCAAAGCCACTTCTTTGAGATTTACTCATTTTTTGTAGGTGTCTCCAGGTATTCAGGAGGTATACACATTATTAAAACTTCTATTTGCTTTCCTTTTATTAATTTATCTTTTGCTACAAGAGTTTGTTTCCACTAAGAACTATGAAGAATAGAAAGAAAATTATTTTTCCTCCTTACAGGAAATTTAAAACACACACACACACACACACACACACAAACACCCACACCCACACACACAGAATTGAACTGAGCTGAAGATGAAAGTACAAACTGTCAAAATTTGTGTGATGCAACTAAAGCAGTGCCAAAAGGAAATTATTTTTTATTTCTATTATTTTTTTGTGACAGGGTCTTACTCTGTCACCCAGGCTGAAGTGCAGTGGTGTGATCTCAGTTCACTGGAGCCTTGACCTCTTAGGCTCAGGCTCAGGTGATCCTCCCACCTTAGCCTCCCTAGTAGCTGGGAGTACAGGTGTACACCACAATACCTGGCTAATTTTTTGTATTCTTTTTGTGGAGACAAGGTTGTCCATTTTGCCCAGGCTGGACTTGAAACCATCTTTGCAAAATTATGACTGAAACAGTAAAAGAGATCTAGCCTAACCGACTCCATCTTTTTTTTTTTTTTTTTTTTTTTTGAGACAGAATCTCACTCTGTTGCTCAGGCTGGAGCGCAGTGGCATGATCTGGGCTCACTGCAACCTCTGCCTCCCAGATTCAAGTGATCCTCCTGCTTCAGCCTCCCAAGTAGCTGGGATTACAGGCTCCTGCCACCATGTCCAGCTAATTTTTGTATTTTTAGTAGAGATGAGGTTTTGCCATGTTGGCCAGGCTAGTATCGAACTCCTGACCTCAGGTGATCTGCCCACCTTGGCCTCCCAAAGTGCTGGGATTACAGGCATGAGCCACCCACCAGGCCCACCGACTCCATCTTGGTTTTAACCTTTAAGCTGTCCTTGCTTCTTCCTGAGTGTAAGCTGAAGTAACTTTGGGAGGAACTTAGTTTATAGTTTAAAACAAAGACTGTAGCAAAGACTTTCCCAAAGCAAACCTCCTTCTTGCCTGGGGACTAGACTGCCTTTGTAGGACTAACAAATTAGCCACAAGATTAGAAATTATAGTTTAGGAGTCATGCAGCTGGAGGCTACAAGATTCTTACCCTCCCTAAACAGTTCCTAAGATCAGTGCTTGAGATATTTTGCATACCCTGCACTTGATGATTAGCTGGGACCATCTGGGTGGATAAACTGGCTCATGTGATCTTGTGGCCCCTACCCAGAAACTGACTCAGTGCAACAGGACAGTTTCAACTTCCTGTTGATTTTATCTCCTACCTAACCAATCAGCACTCCTGGCTCACTGGCCACCAAGTTGTCCTTAAAAACTCTGATCCTCCTTTGGGAGGCCGAGGTGGGTGGATCATGAGGTCAGGAGTTTGAGACTAGCCTGGCCAACATGGTGAAACCCCGTGTCTACTAAAAATACAAAAATTAGCCAGGTGTGGTGGTGGGTGCCTGTAATCCCAGCTACTCAGGAGGCTGAGGCAGGAGAATCACTTGAAAACAGGAAAGCAGAAATTGCAGTGAGCCAGGATCACACACCACTGCACTCCAGCCTGGGCTAAAGAGCAAAACTCTTGTCTCAAAAAAAAAAAAAAAAAAAAATCTCTGATTCTCAAATCCTTCAGTAGATTGATTTGAGTAACAATAAAACTCCAGTGTTCTGCACAGCCAGCTCTGTGTGAATTACTCTTTCTCTTTTGCAATTCCTCTGTCTTGATAAATCAGCTCTGTCCAAGCGGTGGAGAAGGGGAACCCAATGGGCAGTTACAGTCTCAAACTCCTGGTCTCAAGCAATCTGTCTGCCTCAGCCTCCCAAAGTGCTAGGATTATAGGCATGAACCACTGTGCCCAGCCAGGAAAATTTAAAGTAATAAATGTTTATGTTAGAAAAGAGGAAAAGTCTCAGGTCAATAATCTAGGCTCTCATCTCAGGAACCTAGAAAAAATAAAGCAAAATAAACCCAAAGCAAGCAGAAGGAAAAAAACAAAGATATGAACAGAAATCAGTGATATTGAAAACAGAAAAACAGTAGATAAAATCAAGAGGAAAATCTCGTTCTTTGAAAAGATGAATGAAATTGACAACCCTCTACTTAGGCTAACCATAAAAAAGAGTACGTAAATTCCCAGTATCAGAAATGAAATGGAGAATATCACTACAGACCCTGAAGACATCAAAAAGATAATATAACAATACTACAAACCATTCTAAACACAAAAATTTGACAATTTAGATGATATGGACTAATTCCCAGAAAGTACAAACTATCATAACTCACCCAATATTAAATAGTCCTATAATTATTAAGCAAATTAAATTAATAATTTTTAAACTCTCAATTAAGAAACCTCACGGTTTCACTGGAGGATTCTACCAAATGTTTAAAGAAGAATTAACATCAATTCTAAACAATCTCCTCCAGATTATGGGAGTAAACACTCCCCAATTCATCTTATGAAGCCTATATAACTCTGATATTCTAAACTTTATGTGGATAAACAAAGGAACAAGGATAGTTAAAACAATTTTTAAAAAGAGAATAAAATGGGAAGAATAACCTACATGATTTGAAAGCTTATTATAGAGCTACAGTAATGAAAACTGTGTGGTACTGAGGAGGAATAGACAAATAGGTCATGGAACAAACTAGATAACTGAGAAACAGAGCCACATACATATACACAGCTGATTTTTTACACAGATGCAGAAATAATTCAATGGAGAAAGAGTAACCTTTTCAACAAATAGGGCTGGAGCAATTGGACATCCATAGCAAAAAGTAAACCCCACCTAAACCTCACACTTTATGAAAAATTAACTCAAGAATCACAAATGTAAATGTAAAACTCAAAATTATAAAACTTTTAGGGAAAAAAAACAGAGAAAAACTTCAGTACTTAATGAATAGGCAAAAAGTTTTTAGACATGATACCAAAAGCACAATTTAAAAAAGGAAAAATTGATAAACGGGACTTTATTGAAATAAGAAACTTTTGTTCTGTGAAAGATACTGTTAAGAGGAAAAAAAAACGATATGCTACAGAATGAATGAAAAGATTTGCAAATCCTATATCCAACAAAAGGCTAGTATCTAGAATACAAAAAGAACTCTCAAAACTCAACAGTGAAAAAACAAACAAACCAACTAGAAAGTCGACAAAAGACAGGAAGATACATGTCACCAAAGAAAATAAACAAATAGCAAATAAGCACAAGAAAATATGGTCAACATTACTAGCCATTAAGAAATGCAAATTAAAACCACAATGAGATACTACTACAATGCCTATTAAAATGGCTAAAATTTTAAAATACTGGCAAGGATACAGAGAAACTGGGTCATTTATATGCTGCTGATAAAAATGCAAAATGATACAGCCACTCTGAAAAATAGTTTGGTAGTTTCTTTTAAAAAGTTAAATGTGCAACTACTATATAACCCAGGAATTGTTCCTCTGGGCATTTATTCCAGTGAAATAAAAACTTACATTCACACAAAAATCTGAATGGGAATGTTCACAGTGGCTGTATTTGTAATAGTCAAAAACTGTAAACAACATAATTATTCTTCAATGAGTGAATGGTTAAACAAACTATGGTACATCCATACCATCCAACATTATACAGTAATCAAGAGATAAAAAGGAACAAACTTTTGAGACAGATCACAACTGGGATGAATTTCTTTTTCTTTTTCTTTTTCTTTCTTTCTCTTTTTACTTTTTTTCTTTCTTTTTTTTTTTTTTTTTTTGCAGAGGAGCTCCTCATCATTCAACTTGAGCAAGTGAGATAAATTTCTAGGGAATTAGACGGAGTGAAAAAAATTCAGTCTCAAAAGTTCATATTTCAAAGTCTCATATTTCATTTATATAATATTCTTGGATGTGGCTATAAAAAGACAACATGCGAGATCATTGTGGTGATTGAACTGTTCTGTATCTTGACTATATCAGTGTCAACATCCTGGTTGTGATATTGTACTACAGCTTTATAGAAGATTTCTATTGGTGGAAATTAGGTAAAGAATACATGGGATTTCTTTGAATTATTACTTGTAACTCCATGTGAATGTATGATTATCTCAAAATAAAATAAAAATAAGCAAATTCACCAACATCAATTTGGTTCCTATATACCAGAAACAACCAGTTATATCATTGTTTTATTTTCTATTTATTTGAATATTACATATTGGAAAACTGTGTATATAGCTATAATTCTGGTCTATTTCTTCTGACATATCTTTTGCCCACTTTTCCATTTAGTCGCCTTTTTCTTATTGATATGTAAGAACTCTTTATATATATGGATATTACTATATTGAATATGTTATTTGTATGGCTCTAAGATGATGGCTGATTTTCAAATTCTATTCATCAAAACTTTAAAAACTTAGCAATTGAGTTTTGGTTTAGTTATCCTAGACACAGCTGTGTGAGCTCACTGACATGCCATGACTCCCAGTGTGATGCACTGACTACCTCACCTTTGTTTGATCATTCACTTGAATCATATAAAAGGCACGTAACTGAGCCCAGATCTGAACTTCAATCTGTCTGATACCAACTCCATGATTTTTTTTTTTACTGTACTACATTATTTTCAGTACCACTTATGCTAACTATATGTATAAGTGATTTGTATAAGGTCAACATTGTTCTTAAAATAATACTGATCATAGCTAATTTATTGACCACTCCAGATAAATATGCTACATATATTATCACATATATTGTTCCATTTAGTCCTCACCAAAACTTAAATAAAGAGAGGTTATTATTTCTAAATGAGAATATAGAAGCTTAGATCAGTTAAGTTAGGTCAAGGAAGTTAATAAATGGCAGGATCAGCTCAAATCCAGCTGCCGAGGCACCAAAGTTTATAAAAATGTTTGGTTTTGAAATCACCTTTGCGAAATTTTGACAGTAAGAAATCTGACATATTTGACCCCACCTTGCTTTTAACCTCCAAGCTGTCCTTGGTCATTCCTGGGCATAGACCAAGTGAACTTTGGCAGAAATTTAGTTTATAGTTTAACCTTAAAGCAAAAATGATAATGGCCCTTCCTAAAAATAAATTGCCTTTGTAAAACTAATGGAAGTCAATAAGGTTAGGATTATGAAAGGAGTCTGAATTCTGCTAAGATGTAGGCATAGTTAAACAGTAACCAGCCATTGTTCCAGAGGTCAAAAGATTTGTAACTTCCCCAATTGCTCCTGTAGATAACATCACTATTGTATAACCTAAGACTGGTCTTTTGAAATAATGACTCATGACTCAACCAGTCCTGTGTCCTTCCACCTAGAGGTGGACTCAGTGCACAAGGACCATTTTCCACATGCCAATAATGGCATCCACAACCAAGCAGCATTCCCCATTCCCTAGTCCCCTATGTTGACAAAGAGTCAAACTGTAAAATATTTGAAGAGATTTATTCTGAGTCAAATATGAGTGGCCATGGCCTGTGACATAGCTCCAGGAGATCCTGAGAACATGTGCCCAAGGTGGTTGGGCTACAGCTTAGTTTTATATGTTATAGGGAGACATAAGACATCAATCAATACATGTAAGATGTACATTGGTTCAGTCCAGAAAGGAGGCAACTTGAAGTGGGGGCTTCCAGGTCAAAGGTGGAGTCAAAGATGTTCTGATTGGCAATTGGTTGAAAGAGTTTACCTAAAGACCTGGAATCACTAGAACGGAGTGTCTGGGTTAATTAAGATGAGAGGTTGTGGAGACCAAAGTTTTTATTATGCAGATGAAATCTTCAGGTACCAGGCTTTCTAGAAAATTGATTGTAAATGTTTCTTATTCTAAAAAAGTGTCAAACTTTTAGTTAATTCTCTCCTGGATCAGGAAGAAGACCCAGGAAAGGGAAGGGGATTCTCTACAGAATGTAGATTTTCCCCACAAGAGAGCTTTGCAGGGACATTTCAAAATATGTCAAAGCCTGCTGTTATGTTGGTATCTTCTTGTTACAAAGAATCTGCTTTACCAGTCTTTTTTTAATTCAATTTTTAATTTTTTATTACAAAAAATAAGAAAAATGTGAAACATAACTGATTGGTTGCTATTGGTTTTTTGTTGTTGTTTGTTTTTTTAAATTCATACTGGTTCTCACTCGGTTTTTCAGGCTGGAGCATTGTGCCACGATCAGGGCTCTCACTGCAGCCTTGACCTCCTGGGCTCAAGCGATCCTTCTGCCTCAGCCTCCCAGGTAGCTGGGACCACAGGCGTGAGCCACTGCAGCTGGCTAATTTTTTATTTTTTGTAGACTGGGTCTCACTATGTTGCTCAGGCTGGTCTCGGACTCCTAGGCTAAAGTGATCCTCCTGCCTTGGCCTCCCAAAGTGCTGGGATTACAGGTGTAAGCCACTGTGCCTGGACCTTTGTCAGTCTTAAGGGCTCTGTTTTAATGTTAATGCTGGTCAGCTGTGCTTGAATTCCAAATGAAGGAAGGTATAATGAGGGATGTCTGACCACCCATTCCCATCATGGCCTGCACTAGTGTTTCAGGTTTACTTTTGAATGTCCTTGGTTGAGAGGAAGGGTCCATTTAGTTGCTTGGGGGGTTAGAATTCTATTTTTGGTTTACATCTACCCACCAAACTATCTTTGAAAAACCCTAACCTCTGAGCCATCAAGGAGATTGATTTGAGTAATAACTCCATCTCCTGTGTGGCCAGGCTCAAGTCAATTAAACTCTTTGTTTTTTAATTTTTCTTTCTTTTTTTTTTCTGAGATGGAGTCTTGCTCTGTTACCCAGGCTGGAGTGCAGTGGTGTGATCTCAGCTCACTGCAACCTCTGCCTCCCGGGTTCAAGGCATTCTCCTACCTCAGCCTCCTAAGTAGCTGGTACTACAGGCATGTGCCACCACGCCTGGCTAATTTTTTTTTTTCACCATGTTGGCCAGGCCAGTCTTGAACTCCTGACCTCAGAGAGTGATCCACCTGCCTCGGCCTCCCAAAATGCTGGGATTACAGGCGTGAGCCACTGTGCTCAGCCTAAACTCTTTCTTTACTGTAAGGCCATGGTCTCAGTGAACTGGTTTCATTTGTCCAGTGGGCAGGAAGAACCCACTGGGCAATTACAGTTTTAGGGGAGTTTAGGGGACTTGCTGTAGATGAGAACCCTCAACCTAGCCAACCCTTTTATAGCTGTTACATCCTAATACTTTTACCAAAACACTATGCCCCATCTCTGGTGTGTAATAGGCATTCTCTCCAGCCGCTGATAAATGCCAGAAAGAAAATTCAAAGAAGGGAGAGGAAAATTATAAAATCCTTTACATGATTACTTGTAATAATGGGACAGACCTAGAAATCTCTGAGGTCACATGTGCTGATACATCTCCAGGTATGAGTCAGAGAGTTCTTTGAGAACACCAAAATGGTTTTATTTCCAGATAAACATCAGAGCAGAAATAAAAATGACTGTCTGACCTATGAAATACATAAGGTTAGTTCATATGCCTTTTCTGGGGTGGGGGAAAAGGGGTAAGCAGGGGATTTTTAAACTACTAAATTTTAATTTTTTCCTAAGTAATATATGCAAAAAATTAAACAGTACTAAAACTTTATAACAAAACATAGCTGTTTCTTATCTCCAATTCCCACACTAGTTCCACACTCCAGAAAAGATCACCAATAGCACTTTTTGCTCTTTTTTTCCTTTTGGGATTTACCATCAAAATTTCTAAATACTATGCTTATCATGTACTTTTCAGTTCAGAACTTTTATTTTCTATTGATTTCCTATTGAGATGGTTGAGGATTTAGTTCTCTTACCCTTCCCCACTTCTTCAACCTCTCAAAATGATTATAACACAAAAAGTATTGTTTCCTTTCTTAAGATATTTTTTGTTCTCCCTTTATTATCTCTCTTTAAATTATTTGTTTAGTCTCCTTTGTGTCTACAATTATTTTTTCCAAATGTTCCTGCAGGTCTGCCCAATCAGTGACTAGTAATTTTTCTAAATGCCTAATGTTCTTTTGGTTTCTTCTCCCCTCCTCCCCTGCCCTGAATCAGCCCCTCCTTGCCCTCATTTCTTCCACCCTAATCTGCTCTTTAAGTAACAGTTATTATCCTTATTTTTCCTTTCTCTACCCTCCTGGGCTGGAGCTCCTTTTCCTTAAACCCCGTATCTTCTTGTTTGGTTTCCTCTCTGTTTCTCTGAAGCACACCCTGCAGTAACTTCCTACAAAAGGACACCTGGGAGGTAGTGTCATTTAGTTCTTACATGTCTGAAAAATCTTTATTCTACCCTTGCACTTGACTGATAATTCTCTGGGCAACTTCTAGGTTCTCTAGAATTGTAAAGACACTGCTCCACTGCTTTCAAGCATTAACTGGCATTTTGCTGTTGAGAAGTCTGATGCATTAGGATTCCTCAACTTTTTCAAGTGACTCTCTCCCGGCCGGGCTTGGTGGCTCATGCCTGTAATCCCAGCACTTTGGGAGGCCAAGGTGGGTGGATCATGAGGTCAGGAGACCGAGACCATCCTGGCCAACACGCTGAAACCCTGTCTCTACTAAAAATAAAAAAATAAAAAAATTAGCCGAGCGTGGTGGCAGGCGCCTGTAGTCCCAGCTACTCGGGAGGCTGAGGTAGAAGAATGGTATGAACCCAGGAGGCGGAGCTTGCAGTGAGCCAAGATTGCACCACTGCACTCCAGCCTGGGCAACAGAGCGAGATTCCATCTCAAAAAAATTTAAAAATAAAAAAATAAAAAAAATAAAGTGACCCTTTCCCTATCTGTCTTTCCTTGCCTTACCCCCCTGATTGCAATACATCCTCCAGGATCATTCCTTTATCCCCAAATGTCATAATATTGTAACTTGGTGTGATTCTTCTTTTATTCATCATCTTTTGTTCTTTTGGCATTTTCAAGCTGGTGGTTCATGACCTTCGGTTCTGACAAATCTTTCCTGTAATAGATTGACGTACCTGAAAGTACTGATATTTAACCTTTTTTGAACCTGTAAAAATGGCAACTTGATATTTTTCAGGCCAGTGTCCTTGATAATTTTCTTTCTTTTCTTTCTTTTTTTTTTTTTTTTCTGAGACAGAGTTTCACTCTTTTTGCCTAGGCTAGAGTGCAGTGGCATGATCTCTGCTCACTGCAACCTCTGCCTCCTGGGTTCAAGCAATTCTCCTGCCTCAGCCTCCTGAGTAGCTGGAACTACAGGTGCCTGCCACCATGCCTGGCTAATTTTTTGTATTTTTAGTAGAGACAGGGTTTCACCATTTTGGCCAGGCTGGTCTTGAACTCCTGACCTCAGGTGATCCACCTGCCTCGGCCTCCCAGAGTGCTGGGATTACAGGCATGAGCCACTGCACCTGTACCCTGATAATTTTCTTCTTTTGTTTTCTATTTTTCCTTTCTGGAACTCCTATTTGTGAGATATTGAACCTCCTGGGTTGATGATACTCAGTGCTGGCAAAGTCTTAGATCTTCCAGTGGGAGCAAAAACTATTGCAGCATTTCTGAAATCAATTTGTGTGTGTTTGGTTTTTTGTTTTTTGAGACAAAGTCTCACTTTGTCACCCAGGCTGGCACAATCTGGGCTCACTGCAACCTCTGCCTCCCAGGTTAAGGAGATTCTCCTGCCTCAGCCTCTTGAGTAGCTGGGATTATGGACACCCACCACCATGCCTGGCTAATTTTTGTATTTTGTTGTTGTTGTTGTTGTTGTTGTTGTTATACTTTAAGTTCAAGGGTACATGTGCACAACGTGCAGGTTTGTTACATATGTATGCATGTGCCCTGTTGGTGTGCTGCACCCATTAACTCATCATTTACATTAGGTATATCTCCTAATGCTATCCCTCCCCTCTCCCTCCACCCCACAATAGGTCCCAGTGTGTGATGTTCCCCACCCTGTGTCCAAGTGTTCTCTTTGTTCAATTGCCACCTATGAGTGAGAACATGCAGTGTTTGGTTTTCTGTCCTTGTGATAGTTTGCTCAGAATGATGGTTTCCAGCTTCATCCATGTCCCTACAAAGGACATGAAATCATCCTTTTTTATGGCTGCATAGCATTCCATGGTGTATTTGTGCCACATTTTCTTAATATAGTCTATCATTGATGGACATTTGGGTTGGTTCCAAGTCTTTACTATTGTGAATAGTGCTGCAATAAACATACATGTGCATGTGTCTTTATAGCAGCATGATTTATAATCCTTTGGGTATATACCCAGTAATGGGATGGCTGGGTCAAATGGTATTTCTAGTTCTAGATCCTTGAGGAATCGCCACACTGTCTTCCACAATGGTTGAACTAGTTTACAGTCCCACCAACAGTGTAAAAGTGTTCCTATTTCTCCACATCCTCTCCAGCACCTGTTGTTTCCTGACTTTTTAATGATTGCCATTCTAACTGGTGTGAGATGGTATCTCATTGTGGTTTTGATTTGCATTTCTCTGATGGCCAGTGGTGATGAGCATTTTTTCATGTGTCTTTTGGCTGCATAAATGTCTTCTTTTGAGAAGTGTCTATTCATATCCTTCGCCCACTTTTTGATGGGATTGTTTGATTTTTTTTCTTGTAAATTTGTTTAAGTTCTTTGTAGATTCTGGATATTAGCCCTTTGTCAGATGGGTAAATTGTAAAAATTTTCTCTCATTCTGTAGGTTGCCTGTTCACTCTGACAGTAGTTTCTTTTGCTGTGCAGAAGCTCTTTAGTTTAATTAGATCCCATTTGTCAATTTTGGCTTTTGTTGCCATTGCTTTTGGTGTTTTAGTCATGAAGTCCTTGCCCATGGCTATGTCCTGAATGGTATTGCCTAGGTTTTCTTCTAGGGTTTTTATGGTTTTAGGTCTTCCATCTAAGTCTTTAATCCATCTTGAATTAATTTTTGCATAAGGTGTGAGGAAGGGATCCAGTTTCAGTTTTCTTCATATGGCTGGCCAGTTTTCCCAGCACCATTTATTAAATAGAGAATCCTTTCCCCATTTCTTGTTTTTGTCAAGTTTGTCAAAGATCAGATGGTTGTAGATGTGTGGTATTATTTCTGAGGGCTCTGTTGTGTTCCATTGGTCTATATCTCTGTTTTGGTACCAGTACCATGCTGTTTTGGTTACTGTAGCCTTGTAGTATAGTTTGAAGTCAGGTAGCATGATGCCTCCAGCTTTGTTCTTTTGGCTTAGGATTATCTTTGCAATGTGGGCTCCTTTTTGTTTCCATATGAACTTTAAAGTAGTTTTTTCCAATTCTGTGAAGAAAGTCATTGGTAGCTCGATGGGGATGGCATTGAATCTATAAATTACCTTGGGCAGTGTGGCCATTTTTGCGATATTGATTCTTCCTATCCATGAGCATGGAATGTTCTTCCATTTGTTTCTCTAGGAGCTGGTTTTTTGAAAAGATCAACAAAATTGATAGACTGCTAGCAAGACTAATAAAGAAGAAAAGAGAGAAGAATCAAATAGATGCAATAAAAAATGATAAAGGGGATATCACCACCAATCCCACAGAAATACAAACTACCATCAGAGAGTACTATAAACACCTCTACGCAAATAAACTAGAAAATCTAGAAGAAATGGATAAATTCGTGGACACATACACCCTCCCAAGACTAAACCAGGAAGAAGTTGAATCCCTGAATAGACCAATAACAGGCTCTGAAATTGAGGCAATAATTAATAGCCTCCCAACCAAAAAAAGTCCAGGACAAGATGGATTCACAGCCGAATTCTACCAGAGATACAAAGAGGAGCTGGTACCATTCCTTCTGAAACTATTCTAATCAATAGAAAAAGAGGGAATCCTCCCTAACTTATTTTATGAGACCAGCATCATCCTGATACCAAAGCCTGGCAGAGACACAACAAAAAAAGAGAATTTTAGATGAATATCCCTGATGAACATTGATGCAAAAATCCTCCATAAAATACTGGCAAACTGAATCCAGAAGCACATCAAAAAGCTTATCCACCACGATCAAGTTGGCTTCACCCCTGGGATGCAAGGGTGGTTCAACATATGCAAATCAATAAACATAATCCATCATATAAACAGAACCAAAGACAAAAACCACATGATTATCTCAATAGATGCAGAAAAGGCCTTTGACAAAATTCAACAGCCCTTAATGCTAAAAACTCTCAATAAACTAGGTATTGATGGGACGTATCTCAAAATAATAAGAGCTATTTATGACAAACCCACAGCCAATATTGTACTGAATGGGCAAAAGCTGGAAGCATTCCCTTTGAAAACTGGCAAAAGACAGGAATGCCCTCTCTCACCACTCCTATTCAACATAGTGTTGGAAGTTCTGGCCAGGGCAATCAGGCAGGAGAAGGAAATAAAGGGTATTCAATTAGGAAAAGAGGAAGTCAAATTGTCCCTGTTTGCAGATGACATGATTGTATGTTTAGAAAACCCCATCGTCTCAGCCCCAAATCTCCTTAAGCTGATAAGCGACTTCAGCAAAGTCTCAGGATACAAAATCAATGTGCAAAAATCACAAGCATTCTTCTACACCAATAACAGACAAACAGAGAGCCAAATCATGAGTGAACTCCCATTCACAATTGCATCAAAGAGAATAAAATACCTAGGAATCCAACTTACAAGGGATGTGAAGGACCTCTTCAAGGAAAACTACAAACCACTGCTCAACGAAATTTTTATATTTTTAATAGGGACGGGTTTCACTATGTTGGCCATGCTGGTCTCGAACTCCTGACCTCAGGTGATCCTCCCACCTTGGCCTCCCAAAGTGCTGGGATTACAGGCGTGAACCACTGTGCCTGGCCTCTGAAAGCAATTTGATAGGGAGTATCAAATATCTTAGGAATACATACTTACTTTGATCCATTAAATTATTTTACAGCCAGGAGTTTCAAGAAATTGTTGAAACATGTTCAAAAATATATATTCAACTGTATTTTTACAATATTATTTACAATGCAAAAAAATTAAAATCAACCCAAATTCCAAAATAAGGAAGCAGTTCAATAAATTTAGAGACTTCTGTATGATAAGCTATTATGCATTAAAATGGCATGTATGAGAGAATTTTCAATGATATAAAAAAATTCATAATGCAAAGTTAAGTTTTAAAATATCCTTAGCTATTTTTTAGAAGTCTAGATACAATATGTTGTGAACTTTGATTTAAAAATATGCACAGAAATTTCTTTAAGTTCTTTGTAGATTCTGGTTATTAACCCTTTGTCAGATGGATAGATTGCAAAAATTTTCTCCCATTCTGTAGGTTGGCTGTTCACTCTGATGATACTTTCTTTTGTTGTACAAAGCTCTTTAGTTTAATTAGATCCCATTTGTCAATTTTGGCTTTTGTTGCCATTGCTTTTGGTGTTTTAGTCATGAAGTCTTTGCCCATGCCTACGTCCTGAATGGTATTGCCTAGGTTTTCTTCTAGAGTTTTTATGGTTTTAGATCTTACGTTTAAGTCTTTAATCCATCTTGAGTTAATTTTTGTATAAGGTGTAAGGAATAGGTCGTTTCAGTTTTCCACATATGGCTAGCCAGTTTTCCCAACACCATTTATTAAATAGAGAATCCTTTCCCCGTTGCTTGTTTTTGTCAAGTTTGTCAAAGATCAGATGGTTGTAGATGTGTGGTGTTATTTCTGAGGCCTCTGTTCTGTTCCATTGGTCTATGTATCTGTTTTGGTAACAGTACCATGCTGTTTTGGTTACTGTAGACTTGTAGTATAATTTGAAGTCAGGTAGCATGATGCCTCCAGCTTTGTTCTTTTTGCTTAGGATTGTCTTGGCTATATGGGCTCTTTTTTGGTTTCATATGAAATTTAAAGTAGTTTTTTCTAATTCTGTGATGAAAGTCAATGGTAGCTTGATGGGAATAGCATTGAATCTATAAATTACTTTGGGCAGTCTGGCCATTTTCATGATATTGAGTCTTCCTATCCATGATCATGGAATGTTTTCCATTTGTTTGTGTCCTCTCTTATTTCCTTGAGCAATGGTTTGTAGTTCTCCTTGAAGAGGTCCTTCACATCCCTTGTAAGTTGTGTTCTTAGATATTTTATTCTCTTTGCAGCAATTGTGAATGGGAGGTCACTCATGATTTGGCTCTCTGTTGGTTTAATATTGGTGTATAGGAATGCTTGTGATTTTTGCACATTGATTTTGTATCCTGAGACTTTGCTGAAGTTGCTTATCAGCTTAAGGAGATTTGGGGCTGAGACGATGGGGTTTTCTAAATATACAGTCATGTCATCTGCAAACAGAGACAATTTGACTTCCTTTCTTCCTATTTGAATATGCTTTATGTCTTTCTCTTGCCTGATTGCCCTGGCCAGAACTTCCAATACTATTTGAATAGGAGTGATGAGAGAGAGCATCCTTGTGCCGGTTTTCAAAGGGAATGCTTCCAGCTTTTGCCCATTCAGTATAATATTGTCTGTGCATTTGTCATAAATTGCTTTTATTATTTTGAGATACGTTCCATCAAAACCTAGTTTATTGAAGGTTTTTAGCATGAGCGAGTGTTGAATTTTATCAAAAGCCTTTTCTGCATCTATTGAGATAATCAGGTGGTTTTCTTCTTTGGTTCTGTTTATGTGATGGATTACGTTTATTGATTTGTGTGTGTTGAAACAGCTTGCATCCCAGGGATGAAGCCAACTTGATTGTGGTGGATAAACTTTTTGATGTGCTGCTGGATTCAATTTGCCAGTATTTTACTGAGGATTTTTGCATCAATGTTTATCAGGGATATTGGCCCGGAATTTTCTTTTTTTGTTTTGTCTGTGCCAGGTTTTGGTATCAGGATGATGCTGGCCTCATAAAACGAGTTAGGGAGGATTTCCTCTTTTTCTATTGTTTGGAATAGTTTCAGAAGGAATGGTACCAGTTCCTCTTTGTACCTCTGGTAGAATTTGGCTGTGAATCCATCTGGTCCCGGACTTTTTTTGCTTGGTAGGCTATTAATTACTGCCTCAATTTTAGAACTTGTTATTGATCTATTCAGGGATTCAACTTCTTCCAGATTTAGTATTGAGAGGGTGTATATGTCCACGAATTTATCCATTTCTTCTAGATTTTCTAGTTTATTTGCGTAGAGGTGTTTATAGTATTCTCTGATTGTAGTATGTATTTCTGTGGGATCAGTGGAGATCTCCCCTTAATCATTTTTTATTGTGTCTATTTGATTCTTCTCTCTTTTCTTCTTTATTAGGCTGGCTAGTGGTCTATCTATTTCATTAATCTTTTCAAAAAAAAAAAACAGCTCCTGGATTCATTGATTTTTTTTGAAGAGTTTTGCATGTCTCTATCTCCTTCAGTTCTGCTCTGATCTTAGTTATTTCTTGTCTTCTGCTAGCTTTTGAATTTGTTTGCTTTGCTCCTCTAGTTCTTTTAATTGTGATGTTAGGGTGTCTATTTTAGATCTTTCCTGCTTTCTCCTGTGGGCATTTAGTGTTCTAAATTTCCCTCTAAACACTACTTTAGCTATGTCCCAGAGATTCTGGTAAATTGTGTCTTTGTTCTCACTGGTTTCAAAGAACTTATTTATTTCTGCCTTAGTTTCATTATTTACCCAGTAATCACTCAGGAGCAGGTTGTTCAGTTTCCATGTAGTTGTGTGGTTTTGAGTGAATATCTTAATCCTGAGTTCTAGTTTGCTTGCACTGTGGTCTGAGAGACTGTCATGATTTCCTTTCTTTTGCATTTGCTGAGGAGTGTTTTACTTCCAATTATGTGGTCAATTTTAGAATAAGTGCAATGTGGTACTGAGAAGAATGTATATTCCGTTGATTTGGGTTGGAGAGTTCTGTAGATATTTATTACATCTACTTGGTCCAGAGCTGAGTTCAAGTCCTGAATATCCTTGTAAATTTTCTGTCTCATTGATCTAATATGGACAGTGGGGTGTTAAAGTCTCCCACTATTATTGTGTGGGAGTCGAAGTCTCTTTGTAGGTCTCTAACAACTTGCTTTATTGATCTGGGTGCTCCTGTATTGGGTACATATATATTTAGAATAGTTAGCTCTTCTTGTTGCATTGATCCTTTTACCATCATGAAATGCCCTTCTTTGTCTTTTTTGAGCTTTGTTCATTTAAAGTCTGTTTTATCAGAGACTAGAATTGCAACCCCTGCTCCTTTTTTTTTTTTTTTTTTTTTTTTTTTTTTGCTTTCCATTTGCTTGGTAAATCTTCCTCCTTCCCTTTGTTTTGAGCCTATGTGTGTCTTTGCACATGAGATGGGTCTACTTAATACAGCACACCAATGGGTCTTTACTATCTATCCAATTTGCCAGTCTGTGTCTTTTAATTGGGGTATTAAATCATTTACATTTATGATTAATATTGTTATGTGTGAATTCGATCCTGTCATTATGATGCTAGCTGGTTATTTTGCCCTTTAGTTGATGCAGTTTCTTCATAGTGTCGATGGTCTTTACAATTTGGTATGTTTTTGCAGTGGCTGGTACTGATTTTTCCTTTCCATATTTAGTACTTCCTTCAGGAGCTCTTGTAAGGCAGGCCTGGTGGTGACAAAATCTCTCAAAATTTGCTTGTCTGTAAAAGTTTTTATTTCTCCTTCACTTATGAAGTTTAGTTTGGCTGGATATAAAATTCTGGGTTGAAAATTCTTTTCTTTAAGAATGTTGAATATTGGCTCCCACTCTCTTCTGGCTTATAGGGTTTCTGCAGAGTGATTTGCTGTTAGTCTGATGGGCTTCCCTTTGTGGGTATCCCGACCTTTCTCTCTGGCTGCCCTTAACATTTTTTCCCTCATTTCAACCCTGGTGAATCTGATGATTGTGTGTCTTGGGGTTGCTTTTCTCGAGGAATATCTTTGGGTATTCTCTGTATTTCCTGAATTTGGATGTTGGCCTTTCTTGCTAGGTTGAGGAAGTTGTCCTGGATAATATCCCAAAGTGTGTTTTCCAACTTCGTTCCATTCTCCCTGTCACTTTCAGGTACACCAATCAAATGTATGCTTGGTCTTTTCACATAGTCCCATATTTCTTGGAGGCTTTGTTTGTTCCTTTTCATTCTTTTTTCTCTAATCTTGTCTTTACACTTTATTTCATTAAGTTGATCTTCAATCTCTGATATCCTTTCTTCCGCTTGATTGATTTGGCTATTGATACTTGTGTATGCTTCATGAAGTTCTTGTGCTGTATTTTTCAGCTCCATCAGGTCATTTATGTTCTTCCCTAAACTGATTATTCTAGTTAGCAATTCCTCTAACCTTTTATCAAGGTTCTTAGCTTCCTTGCATTGAGTTAGAACATGCTTCTTTAGCTCGGAGGAGTTTGTTATTACCCACTTTCTGAAGCCTGCTTCTGTCACTTCATCAAACTCATTCTCTGTTCAGTTTTTTACCTTGCTGGTGAGGAGTTGTGATCCTTTGGAGGAGAAGAGGCACTCTGGTTTTTGGAACTTTCAGCCTTTTTTGTGCTGGTTTTTCCTCATCTTTGTGGATTTATCTACCTTTGGTCTTTGATGTTGGTGACCTTTAGATGGGGTTTCTGTGTGGACATCCTTTTCGTTGACGTTGATGCTATTCTATTTTGTTTGTTAGTTTTCTTTCTAACAGTCAGATCCTCTGCTGCAGGTCTGCTGGAGTTTGCTGGAGGTTTGCTCCAGACTCTGTTTGCCTAGGTATCACCAGTGGAGATTGCAGAACAGTAAAGATTGCTGCCTGTTCCCTCCTCTGGAAAATTTGTCCCTGAGGGGCACCTGCCAGATGTCAGCCAGAGCTCTCCTGTATGAGGTGTCTGTTGACCCCAGCTGGGAGATGTCTTCCAGTCAGGAGGCATGGGGGTCAGGGACCCACATGAGGAGCCAGTTTGTCCCTTGGCGGAGCTCGTGCACTGTGCTGGGAGATCTGCTGCTCTCTTCAGAGCTGGCAGGCAGGAATGTTTAAGTCTGCTGAAGCTGCACCCATAGCCACCCCTTCCCCTAGATGCTCTGTCCCACAGAGATGGGAGTTTTGTCTATAAGCCCCTGACTGGGACTGCTGCCTTTCTTTCAGAGTTGCCCTGTCCAGAGAGGAGGAATCTAGAGAGGCAGTCTGGCTTGCTTTGCAGAGCTGCAGTGCGTTCCACCCAGTCCAAACTTCCTGGAGGCTTCGTTTACACTGTGAGGGGAAAACCGCCTATGCAAGCCTCAGTAATGGCGGACACCCCCACCCCCCAAAGAAGCTGGAGCATCCCAGATTGACTTCAGACTGCTGTTCTGGCAGTGAGAATTTCAAGCCAGTGGATCTTAGCTTGCTGGGCTCCATGGGGGTGGGATCCACTGAGCTAGACCACTTGGCTCCCTGGCTTCAGCCCCCTTTCCAGGGGAGAGAACAGTTCTGTCTTGCTGGCATTCCAGGCACCCCTGGAGTATGAAAAATATCTCCTGCAGCTAGCTCAGTGTCTGCCCAAATGGCCGCCCAGTTTTGTGCTTGAAACCCAGGGCCCTGGTGGCATAGGCGTCTGAGGGAATCTCCTGGTCTGCAGGTTGAGAAGACTGTGGGAAAAGTGTAGTATCTGGGCCAGAGTGCACTGTTCCTGAGGGCACAGTCCCTCACAGCTTCCCTTGGCTAGGGGAGAGAGTTACCTGACCCCTTGCACTTACTGGGTGAGGCAGTGCCCCACCCTGCTTCGGCTTGCCCTCCATGTGCTACACCCACTGTCTAACTAGTCCCAATGAGAGGAGCCAGGTACCTCAGTTGGAAATGCAGAAATCATCCACCTTCTGCATTGATCTCGCTAGGAACTGCAGACCAGAGCTGTTCCTATTCGGCCATCTTGCCAGCCACCTCCTTCCTACTTTTTGATGTAAGGGTTTATTGCTGTAAACTTTCCTCCTAGCACTGCATTTGCTGTATCTCATAGGTTTTGGTATGTTGTGTTTTGATTTTCATTTGTTTCTTGACTTTTTTTTATTTCCTCCTTAATTTCTTTCTTGACCTAATGGTAATTCAAGATCATGTTCTTTAATTTCCATATATTTGTGCAGTTTCCAAAGTTCCTCCTGTTATTGATTTCTAGTTTTATTCTGTTGTGGTCTGAGAAGATACTTGATGTGATTACAAGTTTTTAAAACTTTTTGAGTTGTGTGTGTGTGTGTGTGTGTGTGTGTGTGTGTACCAACATATGGCCGATCCTGGAGAATGTTCCATGTGCTGTTGAGGAGATATATATTCTGTAGCTGTTGGGTGAAATGTTCTGTAAACATCTATTAGGTCCCTTTAGTCTAAAGTTTAGTTTAAATACAACATTTATTTGTTAATTTTCTATGTAGATAATCTATCTAACACTGAGAGTGGGATGCTGAATTTCCCCAACTATTTTTGTATTGGGGTCTGTACCCTTTAGATACCCCTTCAGATCTAATAATATTTGCATTATATATCTGGGTTCTCCAGAGTTGGGTGCATATATGTTTAGAATTATTATATCCTCTTTCTGAATTAATCCCTTTATCATTATATAGTAACCTTTTGTTCCTTTTTCGTGTTTTTGACTTAAAGGGTTGTTTTTTGTTTGTTTGTTTTTTGTTTTTTTTTTGAGACGGAGTCTTGATCTGTCACCTAGGCTGGAGTGCAGTGGCACCATCTCAGCTCACTGCAAGCTCCACCTCCCGGGTTAATACCATTCTCCTGCCTCAGCCTCCTCAGTAGCTGGGACTACAGGCGCCCGCCACCGCGCCCAGCTAATTTTTTGTATTTTTAGTAGAGATGGGGTTTCACCATGTTAGCCAGGATGGTCTCAATCTCCTGACCTCGTGATCTGCCCGCCTCAGCCTCCCAAAGTGCTGGGATTACAGATGTGAGCCACTGCGCCCAGCCAACTTAAAGTCTGTTTTATCTGTTACAAGTATAGCTACTCTTGCTTGCTCTTGGTTTCTGTTCACAAGGAATATCTTTTTTCCTCCCTTTACTTTCAGCCCATACATGTCTTTACAGATGAGATTGGTTTGTTTCAGGCAGCACATAGTTTGATCATGTTTTTTATCCATTCAGCCAGTCTATACCTTTTTTATAAATGTATATATTTATTTGTAGAGGCAGGGTCTTTCTATGTTCTCAGGCTGGTCTTGAACTCTTGACCTGAAATGATGCTCCCACCTTAACATCCCAAATTGCTGAGATAACAGTTGTGATCCACCACACCTGGCCAAGTCTATATCTTTTAAGTGGAAAGCTGAATCCATTTACATCCAAGGTTTATTATTATTGATATGTGAAGGCTTATTTCTGTCATTTTATTAATCAATTTCTGGTTGTTTTGTACATCCTTTGTTCCTGTCTTTCTCTCTGTTTATCACTGTAGTTTGCTGGTTTTCTGTAGTGGTAACATCTGCATTTTCTCTTCCTTATTTGCTTGTTTTCTTTAGCAGTATTTTATATTTTCATGTGTTTTCATCATGGTAGTTATCATCTTTTCTTTCCTGGTATAGGATTCTGTTAAGCATTTCTCTTATTGGACCCATCTAGTGGTGATAAATTTCCTCAGCTTTTTCTTGTCTGGGAGTTTATTTCTCCTTCACTTATGAAAGATAGCTTTGCTGAGTATAATATCCTTTGGTTTCATTTTTTTTCTTTTAGCTCTTTAAATATATCATCCCTTTCTCTCCCCGCCTGTAAGTTTTCTGCTGAGAAATCCACAGTTAGTCTGATGGGGGTTCCCTAATAAGTGACTAGACACTTTTCTCTTGCATCTGTTTTCAGAATTCTCTCTTTGTCTTTGACTTTTGACAGTTTGACTATGATGTGCACTGGAAAAGACCTTTTTGAATTGTTTCTATTTAGGAAACTGTATCTGGATGTTTGAATGTTTCTATATGGGAAACGCTATCTGGGTGTCTAAATCTCTTGCTAGGTTTGAGTAGTTTTCAGCTATTAATCAATTAAATAAGTTTTCTACCCCTTTTATTTTCTCTTTGCCTTCTGAGACACCAAACATTTAAATATTTGGTTGCTTTATGGTGTCCCGTATGTCATGTAGGTTTTATTCATTCTTTTTTATTTTGATCTGACTGGTTTATTTCAAAAAAACCTGTCGTTAAATTCTGAAAGTCTTTTTTTAATTTAATTTTTTTTTTGACAGGGTCTTGCTCTTTCACCCAGGCTGGAGTGCAATGGCGCAATCTCAGCTCATTGCAACCTCTGCCTCTGGGCTCAAGCAAGCCTCCTGCCTCAGCCTCCGAAGTAGCTGGGACTACAGGCATGCACCACCATGCTTGGCTAGTTTTTGTATTTTTTTGTAGAGACAAGGTTTCTCCATGCTTCCCAGGCTGATCTTGAACTCCTGGGCTTAGTCAATCTGCCCACCTTGGCCTCCCAAAATGCTGGGATTACAGGCATAAGCCATTGTGCCCAGCCCAAAATTTTGTTTTTTAATTTTTGTGGGAACATAGTAGGCATATCTATTTATGGGGGTACATGAGATATTCTGATGGAGGTTTGCAGTGCATAATAATAACATCATGGAAAATAGGGTATCCATCTCCTCAAGCATTTATCCTTTGTGTCACAAACAATCCAATTATGCTCTTTTAGTTATTTTAAAATGTACAATTAATTTTGACTATAGTCACTCTATCAAATACCATATATTATTCATTCTTTCTATTTTTTTGTGTGTACTCATTAACCATCCCCACCTTCCTCCACCCCCCAACACACTTCCCACCCACTGGTAACCATCCTCCTATTCTTTATCTCCATGAATTCAACTGTTTTGATTTTTAGATGACACAAATAAGTGAGAACAGGTGATGTTCGTCTTTCTGTGCCTGGCTTATTTCACTTAACATAATGACCTTCAGTTCCATCCATGTTTCTGCAAATGATAGGATCTCATTCTGTTTTATGGCTGAATAGTACTCCATTTTGTATATGTATCACATTTTCCTTATCCATTCATCTGTTGATGGACACTTAGGTTGCTTCCAAACCTTGGCTATTGTGAACAGTGCCACAAGATGGGAGTGCAGATGTCTCTTCTATATGCTGATTTCCTTTCTTTTGGGTATATACCCAGAAGTGGGATTATTGGATCATTTGGTAGCTCTATTTTCAGCTTTTTGAGGACTCTCCCAGCTGTTCTCCATAGTGGTTATATTAATTTACATTCCCACCAAGAGTGTACAAGAGTACCCTTTTCCCCACATCCTCTTCAGCAGTTACTGTTACCTGTCTTTTGGATAAAAGCCATTTCAACTGGGGTGAGATGATATCTCACTGTAGTTTTGATTTGCATTTCTCTGATAATCAATAATGTTGAGTGCTTTTTCATATATCTGTTTACCATTTATATGTCTTATTTTGAGAAATGTGTATTCAAATCTTTTGCCCATTTTTAATTGGATTATTAGATTTTTTCCCATAGAGTTGTTTGAGTTTCTTACACATTTTTTATTAACCCCTTGTCAGATGGGTAGTTTGCAAATATTTTCTCCCATTTTGTAGGTTGTGTCTTCACTTTGTTGATTTTTTCCTTTGCTGTGCAGAAGCTTTTTAACTTGATGTGTTTTTTTGTTCATTTGCCCATTTTTGCTTTGGTTGCCTATGCTTGTGGGGTGGTATTACTCCAGAAATTTTTTGTCCAGGCCAATGTCCTGTAGAGTTTCTCCAATATTTTCTTATAGTAGTTTCATAGTTTGAGGTATTAGACTTAGTCTTTAATCCATTTTGATTTGATTTTTGTATATGGTGACAGGGGTCTAGTTTTATTCCTCTGCATATGTTTATCCATTTTTCCTAGTACCATTTACTGAAGAGACTGTCTTTTCCCCAGTGTGTGTTCCTGGCACCTTTGTCAAAAACAAGTTCACTGTAGGTGTGTGGACTTCTTTCTGGGTTCTCTATTCTGTTCCATTGGTCTGTGTATCTGTTTTTATTCCAATATCATGCTGTTTTGGTTTTCATTGTTCTGTAGTATAATTTGAAGTCCGATAATACGTTCTGACTTCAATTATGTTCTTTTTGCTCAGGATACCTTTGGATTTCTAGGTCTTTTGTGGTTCCATATAAATGTTAGGATTCTCTTTTCTATTTCTGTGAGGAATGTCATTGGTATTTTGATAGAGTCTGCATTGAATCTGTAGATTGTTTGGGGTAGCATGGACATTTTAACAATATTGGTTTTTCTAGTTCATGAACATGGAATATCTTTCCATTTTTTGGTGCTCTCTTCAATTTCTTTCATCAGTGTTTTATAGTTTTTATCACAGAGACTTTTCACTTCTTTGGCTGAGTTAATTCCCAGGTGTTTAATTTTATCTGTGACGTTGTAAAGGGATTTTAAAAATTTCTTTCTCAAGTTGTTCACTGTTGACATATAGAAATGCTCTGATTTTTTATGTGGATTTTGTATCCTGCAACTTTACTGAATTTGTTTATCAGTTCCAATAGTTTTTTGGTGGAGTCTTTAGGTTTCTCCAAATATAACATCATATCATCTGCAAATAAGGATAATTTGACTTCTTCTTTTCTAATCTAAATGCCCTTTATTTTTTTCTCCTGCCTAATTGCTCTAGCTAGGTGAAATTCTTTCTTCTGCTTGATCTAGTGTACTGTTGAAGCTTTTGAATGTATTTTTTATTTCATTCAATGAATTCTTTAGTTTCAGAATTTACACTTGGTTCTTTTTTATGATATCTATCTTTTTGTCAGATTTCTCATTCATATTCTGAGTTGTTTTCCTGATTTCTTTGTATTGTTTATCTGTGTTCTCTTGCATCTCACTGAGCTTCTTTGATATTATCATTTTGAATTGTTTTCTGTGATTTCATAAATTTCTTTTTTCATTGGACTGTGTTGCCAAAGTATTGTGTTCCTTTGGAGGTGTCTTTTTTCCTTGCTTTTTCATGTTCCTTGTGTCCTTACATTGTTATCTGTGCATGTGATGTATAAGTCACTTTTCCTAATTTTTTGAATTTCCTTTTATAGGGGAGGAATTTTTCCTGAAAATGTACCTATTGTGTTGGTTGGGTAAGGCACTTTAGCTTTGATTCTGAGTGTGTGCAGTAGTGTAGTCACCTATGATTTCTTCAGCTGTAAACATCACCCGTGATGTCTGTGATTTCCTCAGTGGCTTAGGGTGCAGTTATTAGTGGAGGCTGTGGTGAAGTTTTGTTGGGGTTGGGGACACCAGGTGGGCCAGTCCTGAGGCCCTGGTGGGGACATTAGCAGGCTGAGTGTGCCTATCCTTGGGCCCCAGGGTGACATATACCAACACTGTTTTTAGTGGGTCCAGGTGGGCTGATTCTTGGACTCCAGGTGGCTTGCTTAGGAGCCAGTAGCTGCAGTGGCAGGCTGGGCAGGTTGGCAGGTCTTCAGGCTCCTTGGCAGCAGGCATACTATAGGCCATTGCAGTAGCAGTGGTAGGACAACCCTCAGGCTCCCAAACAATTTGCACTGGTGTTGGTGGTGGCTGAGATGGGTTGTTCAGGAAAGTGCCCAGGCCAACAGGTTGCACGTGGGGTGGTATCAGCTGTGGTGATGATAGCAAGTTGGGTTGGCCTGCCTTCTGCCTCCCAGGAGGCATGCTCAGGTGCCAATGATGGTGGATGGTGCTGGCTGATCCCCAGAACCCCAGAGAGCATGCTTGGGCACTGCAGGCATATGGAGCTGGGCCAGGCCGATGGGTTCTCAGGCCCCCGATGGTGTTTGCAGGCACTGGCTGTGGTAGGCAGGGATGGGGTGATTCTGGATCCCTGGTGAAATGCTCAGATTGGGGCAGCAGTGGCTGAGCTGTGGCCCTGCTACTAGGATGGACAGGGTTGCTTTCAGTGGCAGCAGCCATAGTCAGGTGGCTGGGGAGTGCACGTTTCACCTCCAAGTGGCAGCTGCAGTCAGGGTAGCCTGTCCTCCAGGTACTTGTAAATGCATAGCAGCTCCACTGCTGGGGGCAGGAGGGTCACTGCCAGTGGCTTACACTTGAGTCCTGGCAGCAGCCCCCAGCAGTGTCCTTTTGTCCTTTTAAGCCTAAAGGTGGCAACAGATTGTTCTGCTACCACCAGTGGCACAGTAGTAGTGCAGTTACTACTGTGAGGTTTAGGTTACTGCACTAGTCCTTGTGGTTCCTCGACTTGCCCATATCTGTATAAGTAGCCCTTTATAAATAAACCATCCCTGAATTTTCCTAAGTGTGTTATCTATTTTCACTGACATCCATACTAGACATAGCTATTGTGCCTCCCCAGGACTCCTCAACCCTGCTCGCCTTCTGAACCTTATCTGCTTGTTTCCAGACACAGCATTCCCAGGTGGCTCATGCAATCTCCAGGATTGTCAAGTCTAGGCCTCCACCTTCCTTGTCTCATTTCCCCAGGGATGACGGCTGGGCTTTGGCACTGCCTCCATCATGCCCACAACACTGGGAGACACAACAGCTCTGGTTTCTAGGCCTGATCTGCCTGGACCCATGGAGGCTCTGATTTCCCCAGTGGCTAACTAGAGAGCCTAGGTAACACAACCTGAAAGTTCAGGGAAGTTAATGCTCCATAAAGAAAATGTTGACCTGGCCGGGAGCGGTGGCTCACACCTGTAATCCCAGCACTTTGGGAGGCTGAGGCGGGTGGATCACCTGAGGTCAGGAGTTCAAGACCAGTCTGGCCAACATGGTGAAACCTCATCTCTACTAAAAACACAAAAATTAGCGGGGCATGGTGGCAGGTGCCTGTAATCCCAGCTACTTGGGAGGCTGAGGCAAGGGAATCACTTGAACCCGGGAGGCGGAGGTTGCAGTGAGCCAAGATCGCACCATTGCACTCCAGCCTGGGGGACAAGGGTGAGACTGTCTCAAAAAAAAAAAAAAAAGAAAAAAAAGAAAAAAAAAAAAAACAAAGAAGAAAACGTTGATCAAAGAGACATAAGAGAAGAGAAAGGGGTGAGGAATGAATTGTTGTCCTTTGTTTCCACAGCCAACAGTTCCAAGAAGCAGTGGTTCCAGGGGCTTTTTAAGCTTCTTAGAGACAGGGTCTCACTCTGTCACCCAGGCTGGAGTACAGTGGCATGATCATGGCTAACTGCAGCCTCGAACTCTTGGGCTCAAGTGATCCTCCCACCTCAGCCTCCTGAGTAACTGGGGCTACAGCTGTGTGCCACCACACTCGGCTAATTTTTTAAATTTTTTGTAGAGATGGGGTCTCACTATGTTGTCCAGGCTGGGTCTCAAACTCTTGATGTCAATTGATCCTCCCACCTCAGCCTCCCAAAGCATTGGGATTACAAGTGTGAATTACTGCAGTGGGCCATTCCATGGGCCTTTTGCAGAGAGCCTGCATAACCAGCTACATTTCCTGCTGTAGCTATGGCCAGCTCAGGAATGCACCACTCTGTGTTTGCTTTCCTCTTTCCCTGCCTCACTTCACTTCTTCCTGCACTTTGTTCCTGTTGAATTTCACATTCTGATATGGCATCACCATGCAGGCTTTGCCTCAGCCTCTGTTGCCTAGGGAAGGAACTAAGCAAGCCCTGATGGAAATGGTGCTATTCCTTGAGGCCCAGTTGTAACGCACATTCCTCCAGAGGGGACTTGCCTTTACTTCACCCAGTACTCTGGGGTACTTCCAACCTGGGACCTCTGTGTTTGATTGGCTTTTTGGCCACACAGGAAGTGTGAAATTCAGCCCCAATATGCATGAACACAGGTTTGTGGCTGAGAGTTCTGGAGAGGACTTTTCTTTTTTTCTACTCACTGGAGCCAAAGCCAATGTAGGCATCGTTATATAATTTCCCCTCTGTGTGGAAATGAGACTGGGGTGGGACTCTTACTTCACTTACAAAGGGAGCTCCCCTTTGGGGATACTGGTTTTGTTTGGGCTTCAGATAGAATCTCACCCTTCCTAGCCCAGAACTTGTCTTTGTCTTCCACGTTGCAGGCACATGACCCATGAAGGCCAGGCTCCCGGCCTTAAGGGGCCACAGAGGGCCCAGGGTGAATGTGAGCTCCAGCCTTTCCTTCACCCAGCAGATTTGCATTCTGCCTCTGAGGATTTTCTTCACCTTTTTTCCAGATCAACCATTTATTTAAAAAGGTATTTTTGAGTAATTATCCAGCATCCTAGGTGTTCTATATCAGGAGGGGGTCCTCTAGACATTCTTACACCTCTATTATCTGGAAATTGCTTCTTTTCTCCTTTTTTCCCCTCTCTCCCTCTTTCTTTTCCACAGGCCATAGTCTTCCATCCCTCCCAGGATATGACATTGGTATGTCTCAGAGGCTTCCAGACAGACTCACTGGAATTCAAAGTTCTGCATCCACCCTTAGCCTAGCTCAATACTTCATGCAGTACATCTACAAGAGAATGCCCTGTCTCCTAGAACTGGGTGATCTGGCAAACAGAGGGCATGCACACCAGCGGTGTAGAGCTGGAGAGGTTCTAGGGGAGAACATGGTCACTTCCTCTTATTGTACACAGCAGCAAACTGAGGCACAGCATGTTAGGGCTCAGCACTCCAGCCAGCCAGAACCTGCTTCTGACATACAGCTGTGAGAAGGGTTAAAAGAATGACTAAAAAGCAGTTTTTAAAATAGCTGTCAATTTCTACTCCCAGTCAATCTGTGCACAGCTCTTATTCACCGTGAAGCGAAAACATATACAATGTACTATTCACTCAAAGTGAAACTCCAAATGAAGTCATACATTGAACCCCAGTATCGCCCATTGTTAGGAATCAATGACCCTGAGTAAATGGAGTTTCATGAAGCCTCTGTGTGCCAGCTGTCCATGGGAGGGGGTTTCCAAAGGCCTTTCTGGTTGGTCCTGCAGCCTAGGTGTCACTTGAGTGGGTATGCCTTTGTGGCCTGGTCATTCACAGTGTGGAATCTTCAAAGCCTACCAGTGCGACGTGAGTTTTATGTGCAAAGCTGAATTCAAGGAACCCTTGAGATGGTTCATGCAGTTTTTCCCTCTGAGCCTCCAGTGATAACTCCAGACAGCACAGGGTCAGGTGTTGCCCCCTGTGTCTGGCTGCCTTACCCCTTGCCCAGAACAAGAGTAGGGCCCACAGACATTTCCCAGGACACTGGGGAGCCTGTCATGTGGACTTCCTGGCTTCATCCTTCCCCCAGCCAGGGCCTCTGACCTCTCCACTCCTGTGTCCCTTCCCCCAGGAGGATCTCTGCCCCACTCAGTATCCGGCAGATCCCTTGTTATTCTTGTGCTTTTAGAACTTTTGCTGTTTTTGGCCAACTTGAATCAACATTACTGTCTCCTCGAGCGTTTCTCTGCCAGGCAGGGGACTAGGAAAGCAGGACTGCAGGGCCTGCTCATTGGGTTCTAAGATGTGGGTGAATTCGGAGTGGGGTTGTGCAGGGCTCCCACTGAGAGGAGGGCAGGGGCCCCTTGTGAAGTGGTTAGCTCGTCTTGTCAATAGGTCCTCAGAACATCCCTTTCAGTCTCTTCTCAAAGAAGCCCTTTCAAACCAGGCCCTTGCTCTTCTGTGATCGAAGTGCTTGACTTTTTCTGCTGTTGCTCACATCCGGCCTGTCAAGGTTGTTTTCTGCCAGCCTGGTCGTCCATGCACCCCATACTATTCTCATGGACTCATACCCGTGAGGAATTGGGAGGTAAGGGCAAGCACCTCAGCACGCTGTGTGGGACCCCTAGGGTTGCACCTGGGAGGAGCAAGGCCACACGGACCTGCTGTCAGCTCCTATGCTCCCATCTGGCTGGAACCAACCCCAAGCTTGGGGTTCAGTGCCCCCGGCCCATGCACTCAGCATCTACACCCATCACCCACCTGGCCTCCTGGTCTTCTGACCCTGGGATCTCCCAAAGAACAGAGCAGAGCCAAGGCTGGCCAGGATGAGCGCAGTCTCTCTGAGATGGGACCTGAAAACAGGGGCACCCTTGGCAAGGAAGGAGGCACACAGAGTGGGAAGCAGCCAGGCCTGGCTTCGAGTCCTGCCTGGGCACTCCCCCACAAGGAGACTGTGGGCAAGTGACTTCCCTTCCCAAGCCGCTGGGCTGCTCCACAGCAGAAATGTGGCAGTGGCGCACCCCTGAAGGTTGCCGTGGGGAGTGAGGATAAGGCATGCAGAGTGCCCGGCTCAGACTGGATGACGACGACGGCCAGTGGCAACTTCTCTCCTAATTGTGCAAGCAAGCAGTCATGGACAAATCCTTGTGAGAGTGACTGTGTGTACACCAGGACACAGCTGCACAAACACCATCCCTACCCTCATAATGCTCCAGTTTAGTGGGGGAGACAGACATTAAACACATCCACACATAAGAGGATGGTGATGAAGTGTCATCAATTTCACAAAGAAGAAATAATGGACTGAGATAATTGACAGAGTGGGGGACCTAATATAGCTTAGGGGGTCACAGGAGGTCTCTATAGAACAGACTTGCTGCCTAAGGAGCTACCTAAGTAGTGAGGATGGAGGGGAAGGGGTCAAGGCTGGAGAAAGCTTAGGGCGTTTGAGAACTGAAATGAGTTCATAGTGGCTACACGTACCCGGCCCATGTAGGTAATTTAAAATTTCCTGGTGTGATTGAAAAAGCAAAGGGAAATAGGTAAAGTTAATTTTAATAAGATATTAAATGTAAGGCATCTAATGTAAGGCATATTATATAGTTTCATCATGTCATTAACATAAAAATTATTAATGAGATAGTTTACATTTCTTTTTAAATACTGAGTCTTTAAGAATCTGGCAAATATTTTACATTTATATCACATTTCAACTGAGACTAGCCATATCTCAAGGGCTCAATAGCCACATGTGGCCAGTGACCATCGTATTGGACAGCACAGCTCCGGACATCATAATATTGCAACCACTACTCCCAGGAAAGACTGGTTCACTGGCACAGGCTTCAGACACCTGCCAGAAGTGCTTTAGAACAATATTCCAGGAAGCAGCTAGCACACACAGCAGCTTTACGTGAATTACAGCCAGGTTAGGTCATAGGCTTGGCCTAGAGCTTGACCTAGACCTTAGTTCACTCTCATAGTACAGCAAGTGCATACCCCCTCTCGGGGGCCCTGAGTATGCCCTCATTAGTCTTTCCAACATTTTTACCCCAAAGAACTGACTGTAACTGGTCTTTTGTTTTGTTTTGTTTCTAGCTATATCATTACCTCCAGATATTGAAAGAGGACATCTGAACCTGTGTGATGTTGTAGAAAGAAGATTGTCTAGGGTGTCAAAGCAGACAGATGCCAGTTTGTGCTCATCCTTTACCAGACTGGTGCCTACAGTGAGTCACACTTGTTAAGTACAGTGTGGTAAGTAAGAATTCAGGTTCCAGAGTCAGACTGCAGCTCCAGTTCCTGAACTGTGTAATTTGGGAGAGACACTCAGCTTTTCTGAGCCTCCTTATCCTCATCCGTAAAATGAGGACAATTACTAGCATTGCTGGAGGATTAAACAAAATAATAAATAGAAGGCACTTACTTAGCACAGGTCCTGGCACATGGTAAACATTTAATAAACAGTGTCTATTACTATGTTTTAACTGTTATTATCTCTGTGCCTCTGTTTTCTTGGTTTTCAAGTGGAGACAATCATCCCTAAAAAACCCTGCTTTGCAGGATTCTGTGTGGCTTATGAGAGATGAGGAGTATGAAAACACCTTGTAAAACCAGGAGGCCCTTTACAAAGTCAGAAGCAGCTCCTCGGTGCTACAGTCTAGTTGAGGGTCTGACTTTAGGAAGTCACAAGGAACTTAGAAATGGGAAGGGGCTTCCACCTGACAACAGCAGCTCTGCCACTGGACCGGGTCTTCCAGCCTAGCTCCACCACTCTTCTCATGGGTAAACTCTGCCTTCATCTCTGTTTTCTCATCTCTCACACAGGCTGAGAACACCCAGCTCTCAGGCTGCCGGGCTGAGGGTCAAATGAGTCCCTGACCATCACGTGCACAGGGCCTGACCCAAGGCAGGTGCTCAATCCCTGGCACTTGCTCTTGTTGCCTTAGAGGGGACCTTGCTGCCCACACCCGTCTCAGCCCAGACCTGGAGCAGCACTTCATGTGATTACCACAAGGGGGCGCCCCTAAGCTTTCCATTCACTGGAACCATTTCATTGAACCTGTCATTCAGCCCTTCCTTCCACATCCCTACTGCTATCCTAGAGCCAGGAGAAAGCCCTTTAGAAAGGAGCTCTGCAGACCCCGAAGGCATCTGCTGTAGGTTCAGTGACTCTTAGAGAAACAGCCCTGCTTTCCAAGGCCAAACACTGCATGTAGGTAAATTTGTGACCTGTGGTGGCCCTCCCACCAACCTATCAGCTGAGTGTCTTCAAGTTACTTCTCTAACTTTCTTGGGCCTCAGTTTCCTCACCTGAAAGGAAGAGTTGGAAATAATCACTCTTGGTGCCTGTGGGAGTGCTTTGTAAACCATGGAGTGAGCTGCACATGTGTTTCATAACTGTCCTTTTCATTGTTCCTATAAACCAAAAAGTATCTGAGACAGGTCTCAATAAATTTAGAGACTTAGTTTGCCAAGGTTAAGGATGTGCCTCCCAAAAAAGGAACACAAAATCCCAAGAACAACCTGTGATCTGTGCTTTTTTCCAAAGAGGATTTTGAGTGCTTCAATATTTGAAGAGGACAAGTAGGCGGGAGGGGAAAGAGGGAGCGTATGGTCACATGTATGGTCACATGACTGAATCTACATGTTGCACGTGAAAAAAGGCAGAATACCAAAATAGTCAATTATGGGCTGGGCGCAGTGGCTTACACCTGTAATCCCAGCACTTTGGGAGACGGAGGCTGGTGGATCACTTGAGGTCAGGAGTTCCAGACCAGCCTGGCCAACACGGTGAAACCCCATCTCTACTAAAAATACAAAAACTAGGTGGACATAGTGGCAGGCCCTTGTAATCCCAGCTACTTGGGAGGCTGAGGCAGGAGAATTGCTTGAACCCGGGAGGTGGAGGTTCCAGTGAGCTGAGATTGCGCTATTGCACTCCAGCCTGGGCAACAAGAGTGAAATTCTGTCTCAAAAAAAAAAAGAAAAGAAAAGTCAATTATTTATTCATCTGGTGTTCAGCAAATGTTTACGTAAGATAAAGTAAGCATAGGGCAGCTACCTGTGGAGACACCTGGCCTTCTATCTGACTGTTATTTTTTTGTTGTTGTTTATTTATTTGTTTGAGTCAGAGTCTCGCAGTGTCCCCCCAGGCTGGAGTGCAATGGCGCGATCTCAGCTCACTGCAACCTCCGCCTCCCAGGTTCAAGCAATTCTCCTGCCTCAGCCTTCTGAGTAGCTGGGATTACAGGCGCCCACCACCATGCCTGGCAAATTTTTTGTATTTTTACTAGAGACGAGGTTTCACTATGTTGGCCAGGCTGGTCTCAAACTCCTGACCTCGTCATCTGCCCACCTCGGCCTCCCAAAGTGCTGGGATTACAGGTGTGAACCACTGCGCCCGGCCCTATCTGACCTTTTATCTGTAGCTATATTCTTAGGAACAAAAGGAAGGCAGTTTATTCTGTGACTCAGCTTCCAGCTTAATCTCTCCCTTTGGCATAGTGAATGAAGGTCCCGAGATTTTATTTTCCTTTTACATTCACATTTAGCAGATTGTACCACTTGGGATTCCCTAATATGAAAAAAGAAAGTGAAAACTTGCCTGTCAGCTGCCAGACTGTGATGTTCCCACACACTGTGACCATGTTTGGAAAAGGCTCAAAGAAGACCACTCCACAACCACAAAACTAAACATCCCCACCTCTGATCGGCATGAGGGATTGCTGCTTCTTTAGCAATGATGACTCTAGCCCACTTCAATCCCCCCAGATAAAATCCACTAAGACACTCAGTCACTGAACTGCCCCTGTTTTTTGACAGTGCCTGATCTAGAACTGCCCCTGCTTCCTGAATCCTCCCTTAGACGTGTCCAGCACAAGCCCCAGCTCCCCATTAAGGACATGCTCCCTGGTTCCTTTGACATGTGTCTTCCCTTGCCGCAGTAAGCTAAACAAACCTAACTTTTAAACTCTAGATGTTCCTCATGGTCTTCAGCCCACAAACTATGAGAAATAATTTCACCCTGATTAATTGACATTAACTTTGGGGGTCAGTCTCCTTGGGCTTTCATAACAAAATACCACAGACTGGGTGGCTTAAACAATAGAAATTTATTTCTCACAGTTCTGGAAGCTGGAAGTCTAAGATCAAGGTGTCAGCAGGCTTGATTTCTCCTGAGGCCTCACTCCTTGGCTTGCAGATGCCGCCTCCTTTCTCTGTGCACATACATCCCTGGTGTCTCTCTCTTCTGATAAGGACACCAGTCCTGTTGGATTAGGGTCCCACTCTTATAACCTCACTTAACCTTAATGACCTCCTTAGAGGCCTCATCCCCAAATATAGTCATATTGTGGGTTAGGGCTTCAAAATATGAATGGGAGTTGGGGGAAACATAATTCAGTCCATATACTTGGATTTTAATTTTTTTCTAAGAATAGTTAAAAGGCCATTCAGGAGAGGAGAGGGACAAGATTGCCCACCAGTTTCAAGTAGAAAAGGGAGTTGTCACTCAGAAATTTTTGCCAAGCAAGTGGAGTAAGAGGGAACCAGGACCAGAAACAGTGCAATGAGTTCTGAAGGGACAGCTGCGCTTCAGCAAAGCTCCAGAGAGCCCAGAAGGAGGCTACTCTGAGAGGCTCCACTAATGAGTGAGGCTCTTCTACCCTCTTGACCCTTTGTACAACTTGGTCCCTCTCCTGGCACATCCTGCCCAGGTGAATGCATCCACCAAGACTCTTAGGAAGAGATTGCTCCTTCTTTGTATCCCCGGAACACAGATTTCTATTACCCTCATTACCCTACTCAGAGCACCATATGAAGTGCTTTACACATGTCACCATTAATCCTCATGCCGACTTTGCCATATAAGTTTACCCTGATTTTTTTTTTTTTTAGATGGAGTCTCACTCATTGCCCAGGCTGGAGTGCAGTGGTGCGATCTCAGCTCACTGCAACCTCCACCTCCCGGGTTCAAGTGATTCTCCTGCCTCAGCCTCCTGAGTAGCTGGGATTACAGATGCACGCCACCATGCCTGGCTAATTTTTGTACTTTTAGTAGAGATGTGTTGGTCAGGCTGGTCTCGAACTCCTGACCTCAGGTGATCCGCCCGCCTCGACCTCCCAAAGTGCTGGGATTACAGGCATGAGCCACTGTGCCCGGCCTGCCCTGATTTTAACAATAAGGAAATTCAGGCTTAGAGAAATATCTCGCCCTAAGCCACACAGCTTGAGAGTAGCAGGGTCAGGATTTGAACCAGGAGAGTGGGATTCCAGGTAATTGTGGGCCGGCTGGCTCATCACAAAACTGTAACCCAAAGGCTTGCCAGATTTGCCTGCACACACCACTTCCTCTGGGGAAATGCAGCTACCACAGATGACTGTCAGCAAAGCCAAGTGTTTTGAGTAAAACCAATGAACCAGAGGGGAGCTCTGAAGCCAAAGGGCTGCCCACCAGGTGGGGCCATCTCTGCTGATTGGCTGCTCCGCCTGCTGCTCCTGGACCTGGGGGTTGCTGGTGAGAGCCAGAGACACCAGGAGGGGGAGACAGAGCTCAGGGGATAGAGGCAAGGCAGCTCACTCCTGTATCTGATGACTGTAGATTACCTTAAGTTTCCTGAGCTACCTGGAAGAGTGGAAGCCAAAGCGAGACCATTAAGGGAAAGGGTAGAGACCCTGCCCTATTCATCTTTGTATCCTTAACAAACAGCCCTGAGCAGAAGGTAGGCAGGCAACATGTGCTTTCTAAATACCTGGCAAGTGAGTGAGCAAGGGTCAGGTTGGAGATGCATTGCTTGTGTACAAAAGTGTGACACATAATAGCGGCAATTACCAATAACTATTAAGCAGTATATGGGGCAAGTGATGGTTCATTTGGGAATAAAGAGGCACTTTTGTTTTAGTCTGCAATGAGCCTTTTAGGACTTCTGCCTCAACATACTGAGGTTTAAAAATAATTCAACCCAAGCTAGGTTCCCAGAGAATGACAGACACATTTTCACATATGAATCACAGATGGATTTCACTTATTTAAAACACACACACACACACACACACACATTAAATCATCTCTCTCACACACACACATACGTGAGCTTTTGAATATGACAACTGTTGCTTAATTCACATCCTAAGTTGCTTCCTTTGGTGAAATGTCACCATCCAGGAATTATAGCCATGTTGCCGAATGTGTGATTTCAACAAACATCAGCTTCTTCCTGGGACCCAGACATACACTTAAGCTATAGAATATGTACTGGCTTCAAGGAAATATACCTCTCAGCCTCTTTTGCATGTGGGTAAAATTAACTCAACATTGTAGATTTACAAAATCTTGATCATTGATCTAAAACACTTTTGAAAGGAGAATACGTGAACCTTCCATTTGACCCATTCAAATTATTGAAATATATACCTCCTTGTGCCCAATTCAGTTTCAAGGATATTCCAAATTTGTCGAAAATAAATGTGCTGAAGGCACTAAAACAATCTGAAGTCCGTTTACCAAGCAGAGTGTCAGAAACTTTGGAGTGAGCATGGCATCTCCATTTGGCTCTTTCTAAATTGAAATGTTACTGCAGGTTCCATCACCAAGTGTATTGACCGAGTGAAATGACTCAGCACTGCTTGCTGGACACCAAACACTCCCTCCTGGCCAAACGGTCACTTGAGGACCTACCACCTGCTCTACCAACTACATCTGCACGACAGTAAACAGCAAAATAAATACCTTCTACAGCCACATATAGATTAGGTCTTCATTACCTTAAACATAGATAAAACTGTGAGTGTGATTTATATAGACAAGAGTCTTTTGGCAGCTAGATCAAGCAGAAATAAATATTGATATTTTGTTTTAGAGTCAAGGAGATTAGAAGCTGGCTCTGAATAAAATACAGATTGTTTTACTTAGCACAGCCATTTTGTTGTTGTTATAAAAGAATAGAGATGGACAAAAGTACCTAAGAAAGGGCTTCTTGCTATAACCACAGGTTGACGGCTGTGCAACACTCTCCAGCCCGGCTTCCCTGTATTCACTTGTAGCCACAACTACAATTTCATACTGTTTAAGTTTTCATTGACAACGGCAGCCAAATATCTGCTTATTTCAGATATTCTGAATGCTAAGAAAGTAGATGGTCAGATGTTTCTTTCACAGCCTTTGCTATGTTTGCATCTTGTACTTTTGAAACAAGTTTCAGTTCAGGTAAAGGATTACTTAATCCTCTAAAGGATGAAAAAGTGTAGCTGAGGTGTCTAAAATTCTTGATTCAAGTTTGTCCAACTGAGAGAGTTTATCAGGAGCTAATTTGGCTCACACTGGACCCAGAATCCCACCCCCCAACTTCATTTGTGGTCCAATTATAGTCTTTTTTTTTTTTTTTTTTTTTGAGACGGAGTCTCGCTCTGTCGCCCAGGCCGGACTGCGGACTGCAGTGGCGCAATCTCGGCTCACTGCAAGCTCCGCTTCCCGGGTTCACGCCATTCTCCTGCCTCAGCCTCCCGAGTAGCTGGGACTACAGGCGCCCGCCACCGCGCCCGGCTAATTTTTTGTATTTTTTAGTAGAGACGGGGTTTCACCTTGTTAGCCAGGATGGTCTCGATCTCCTGACCTCATGATCCACCCGCCTCGGCCTCCCAAAGTGCTGGGATTACAGGCGTGAGCCACCGCGCCCGGCCCAATTATAGTCTTATATTAAACAGTATCCACTGCAGCTCCCAAATATCCATAAGATCACCTGTTATTAGTCTCTTCGTGTCAGTGAACCTGCTGCATTTGTGTCAGCAAGTGCAAGGCTGCCTCTGGACGTGTTCCTCACCTCTGCACTGTACTATAAGCCCCTTGGCTTTTGTTTTTGGAATGACCCTTTGAAATAAGTAAAATCCTGAAAGCAATAGTTTAGGAAATCTACCTGTCACTTCTGTAGTCATACAATGCCACATGTAAGGTTATCTTGTAGGTGCACTTATACCCTGGCCAGCTGGCTAATCTGGCAGCTTATTTTTCAATATCTGGCCAATGATACAGACTCATGAGTTCTGATACTTTATTGCCCTAGTTATTTAACGTTATATTATCTGTACAGCGAGGACAGAAAAGGCTGTTTTAAAGCTGTTTGTGAGAGACAACTATTATTTTCCTTATTTTTTAAAGCAGACTCTCCATAATATCAGCAAACAATATAAAGACATTTTGGCAATTAATTTGAATTACCTGTGTATTTCAAAGGGCTAAAATGGGCATGTTTTAAAATTCAAGATTGTAGTTCATTTATTCATTTTCCATTATTCTTCCATTGGTAAGTTCCACTTTAATGGAAACACATGCCATATTTGGTGAGAGAGCAGATTTTTTAATTTTTAATTTTTAAAAAATGACATATACTGTCTGCAGACAGATATTTTTAAGTATTGCAAAGCAAAAGTTGAATGATGCCTAAAAAATAGTTTATCCTAAGTACTCCTGGAGTTCCTTGCCAGATCCTGTTTGCTATGGTTCCAAAGGGGAAGTGCTTTTAATCACTGTTGAGCAGAATTTATGAAACAAACCTGAAAATTGCCACAGATGATGTTAAATGTAAACATTGGGACAGAAGGAGGTAGTAAATAGCACTTACTTTGTCTACATTTACTCCTCTCCAACTTTCCATTTTTCTTTTCTTTTCTTTTAAGAGTTGGAGTCATTCTTTCACCCAGGCTGGAGTACAGTGGCAGGATCACTGCTCACTACACCCTTGAATCCTGGGCTCAAGTGATCCTCCCATCTCAGCCTCCCATAGCTGGGACTACAGGTCGGCACCACCATGCCCAGCTATTTTTTTTTTTTTTTTTTTTTCTGTACCAATGAGGTCTCCCTATGTTGCCCAGGCTGGTCTCGAACTCCTGGACTCAAATGATCTTCCCACTTTGGCCTCCCAAGGTGCTGGAATTACAGGCATGAGCCACCTCCAATTTTCTATTGGCCTCTAATTTTCTAAGTCTGATCTTTTCTCCTCTTAGAGGGAGAAGATCTTTTGTCCTCTTAGGGTAGAAGAGGAAAGAGAGACTTTTTTTCTGCTTCTGAAATCTCCCAGCATATTGCTTTCGACTTGTCAATGGCAACACAGCCTTTGGATGCTCACTTGACCCTCAACGTGTCTGGTCCTTTACAATTCTATGCATTTTCCTGTAGCGAGATCCCTTCTCCGTCTTCCACCACCCACTGCTTTGGCTCCCCTCTTGCTGTTCCCTGCCTGCATCTGGGCAGGAAGTTCCAATCCTGACTTGACCCTTTTTCAGCTGTGTGGCCTAGGACTCATTGCTCTTTTCTCCCCATTTCATCATCTGAAAATGGAAAAAATAATACCTGACTAGAAAGTGAAAGTAAAAAAGAGATATAATGGACAATGTGCCTCGCACAGGGCCTGGCATGGAGAAGTCCTTGATGTACGTCTTTTCCTTCCCTTTTATGCAGCCGTTTCCCTCACACCCACCCATTGATTGATTTTTCTGAAGAGACTACTTTTGTCATGTCACCCTCTAATCCCCAGACTTTAAACTGGGAGGTAGCAGAGTGGTCTGATTAAGACCTTAGACAAGGGTTTCTTGTCTGGGCGCAGTGGCTCACGCCTGTAATCCCAGCATTTTGGGAGGCCAAGGTGGGCAGATCACTTGAGGTCAGGAGTTCGTGACCAGCCTGGCCAACGTGGTGAAACCCCATCTCCACTAAAAATACAAAAATTAGCCAGATGTGGTAGCAGGCTCCTGTAATCCCAGCTACTCGGGAAGCTGAGGTGGAAGAATAGCTTGAACCCAGGAGGCGGACCTCAGCACTTCTGCCTGGGTGATGGGAGTAAATCCTGTCTAAAAACAAACAAACAAAAAAAAAAAACTTAGACAATGGTTTCTCAGCTTTTTTTAATCACTCCCCAACAAGTCCTTTTAGATATTATATTCTTTTGTGTGTGGCGGGGTACATAGCGTGTGTATATGTTTGTAGGTTACATGAAATGCTTTGATACAGGCATGTAACGTGTGATAATCACATCAGAGGAAATGGGGTATGCATCACCTCAAGCATTTATCCTTTGTGTTACACACAATCCAATCATACTCTTTTAGTTATTTGTAAAGGTAAATTAAATTTTTTTTACTATAGTGCCCCTGTTGTGCTTGTAAATACTAGGTCTTATTTATTCTAAGTATTTTTTGTGCCTATTAACCACATTATATATATATATATATATATATATATATATATATATATATATATAATTTTTTTTTTTTTTTGAGATGGAGTCTCGCTCTTTCGCCCAGGCTGGAGTGCAGTGGCGCTATCTCGGCTCACTGCAACCTCCACCTTCCGGTTTCAAGCGATTCTCCTGCCTCAGCCTCCCAAGTAGTTGGGATTACAGGCACCCGCCACCACGCCTGGCTAATTTTTATATTTTTAGTAGAGACAGGGTTTCACCATTTTGGCCAGGCTGGTCTTGAACCCCTGATCTCGTGATCCACCCACGTTGGCCTCCCAAAGTGCTGGAATTACAGGCGTGAGCCACCATGCCTGGCCCACATTACATTCTTACTCACCTCCCCCTACCATGGAATTTTATTCCACAGATATGCTATTGGTTTAGCTACTATATGTATATCTGTGTTTTATACATAAAGCACAAGAACCTTCCAGAACCAATTTTCGCCACCTTGGAAGTAATACCACCTCTACTAAGAATGCACAGCATAGACCATAAAACCTCAATGCTAAGTTCAAATATTGGCCCTACCACACATGAGCTGTGTGGTCTTGTACAAGTTACATAACTTCTCCTCCTTGTCTCAAACTCCTCACATATAAGATGAGGATAATAATAGTACCTGCGGCCACACACAGTGGCTTAAACGTGTAATCCCAGCACTTTGGGAGGCTGCGGCAGAAGGATCACTCAAACTCAGGAGTTCAAGAGCAGCCTGGGTACATGGCGAAACTCTGTCTCTACAAAAAATACAAAAATTAGCTGGGTGTGGTGATGTGTGCCTGTAGTTCCAGCTACTTGGGAGGCTGAGGTGAGAGGATCGTTCGAGCCCAGGAGATCAAGGATGCAGTGAGCTATGATCATGTGGCTGCACTCCAGCCTGGATAACAGAGCCAGACCCTGTCTGAAAGAAACAAAAACAAAAACATTAGCACCTGCATCATAGGGTCACTGGGGGCACTACATGAGTTCATGTACATCGAGGACTTAGGACATTGCCTCAGGCAGACCTAGTGCTGCACAACTGCTTATGTAATTATTCCCAAATTTCTCCAGGGCCCACAGAAGAACATGGAAGTATCTTGGTTTGGCAATTAAGGTGAATCACATTCTCACTCTCCTTTTCTGCATCTCTACCCCACATTCCCACAAAGCTTTATTCACACCAAGTCTCCAGTCCTTGCCTGCATTGTGTGATGGGTGCCTGCAGTGATGGGTGGGGACACCCATCACTGTCCAGGGTGTCCCCACCATCCTCACAGCCTCTCTGTCTGGCCTCCTGCCTTTGAGCCAGCCCACCACACTCTCATTTCTCTGCCCAGCAGAAACCAAACTGTCCTCTGCATTTACTGTCTCAACTGGAAGAGAAATGCAGAATGACAAAGAACTTGTGAACAAGGGTCAGCTCCAACAGAGAGTGAAGCCAAAGGGGCTGGGCAGAAAGAGAGATGAAGACGGGGATCTAAGGAATAAGGCTGTACCAGAGTGAGAGTACGGGGGAGGGGTTGAACAAGAGTTCAGGGAGGAGAGAATTCCCAGCGCTGAGCCAGAGACTCCTTTACAGAGGCCCAAGGAGGCGTGGAGGGAGGGGGAAGGCTGCCAAGGCTCTTTCTGTCTCCATGAGTGTGTCAAGAATGCAAAGCACTAATGCTCTTCACTTGGTCCATCTTGCAGGGTTGAGTTTGCAGTGAGCAACCTTGAAGGATGAGCTGACATCTCGCTCAGGGCCAAATAACCGACTTGCTTACTGCTTGCTATAAAATGGCACGTTACCCAAGGTCAGAGTTCCCTTCCTATAACCTCCCCATCCCTCACACATTCACAGGTATCTATCCAAGCCATGGCATCACTCTGTGGGGCTTGGGGGCAAGGCAACTGACACTGGACGCTGGTTCTCATGCTTGCCAAGCATGAAGCCCTGTGCTGCTAGCAGCTGTGGAACATAGCCGTTAGCTTTAAAAGAGGGTAAAATCACGTCCTGGACAGGACAGCCAGGTGAGTTGGGAAGGGAAGAGAGCCTGCCACGGGCACAGGCATGTTGGGGGAAGTGGAAGTGGTGAGAGCACAGTAGGAAGTGAGAAGGGGCGGGCCGTGCTTACCAGGCCGTGGACTTAAACCAGGATGAGAGAACCCCTGGAGGCGTTTAAGTTGGCAGACTTGGATTTCAGGAAGAGCTCTCTGGCTTCTGGGTGGAGAATGGCCAGTGGGGTAAGTGGTGAGAGGAAAGACAGAGAACGGAGAAGGTTAGATGGGCTTGGGAAATTATCCAGGCCCTGGATGGAGGTAGAGATGTGTGCTCATGAACACGGAGGGGATTACTGATGTGGGGTGGATGAGACTGTCGTCAAGAGTGTGGGACAGGAAGAGAGGGAGAGTCTTGGCCAGATCCAAGAAAGGAGCCCTCAGAAGAGGAGGGGAGTCAGAGGCAAGGAAGGGGCTGAGGCAGCCAGCCCAGCTGAGTGGACCCCAGGAGAGGTATCAAGGGGTGGTGTGGGGTGGGGAGGGGCCAGTGTCAGAAAGTGGATGGGGAGCGGCCTGACTCTGCTTTTGTCCTGTGGCCTTCTGGCCAAAGGCAGGGAAAGGTGGCCAAACACTGAGACCAAGAACAAAGAAAGAAAACTGCTGGTGGACTTCTTCCACCATGAGCAGGCCACCAAGCCCGCAGCACTGCACTGCAGCCCCCAGCTCTGTCCTGGGGTTGGGGGAGGTGAGGAGGGGCAAGGTGGGGAGCACACAGAGCACCCGCTGTCCTCGGAACACCACAGCGACTAGAGGTAAGGGAGCACCGGATGTGGCTGGGATGTGGGCAGCAAGGGGCCAGAGGGGCCTTGAAGGGGTCACAGACCATTTAATGAAGGTGTATTGAAGGCCACCATGGGCCAGGCCCTAGTTAGGGATGGATCAGAATTATATAGCATATGCCAGGGGTCAGGCAGGTAATGAAGTGATCGGAAGGTGATGAGGCAGTGGCAGTTGAGATTCACGTTGCAGTCGCCCCAAGCTGGCCAGGCCAGGGAGCAGAAGCATGGCTGGATGCCGGAGCCCACCAGGCTCCCCACTGCAGGGCAAGAGTGGCAGGGGGAGAGACTGTGAAAGGAGCATAGGCCAGGTCCTGGGTGAAAGCTGTGTCCTCAGCCTTGACTGATGGGTATAGGGAGCCACTAAATGCCTTGGGGCAGAGAGGTGAGGAAAAAAATATTTACCGAGCATCTACAAGGTGCAAGGTACTCACTAGATGCCTTCAGTACCAAAGCTTCTCAAACTTAGTATGCATATCACTCTTCTAAGAATTTCATTAAAATGCAGATTCTAATTCAGCAGATATAGGGCAGGGCTTGAGGTGCTGTCTTTAATAAGCTCCCAGTGCCTGGGACTGCACTTTGAGGAGAAGAGCTGTGTGTGCCCCAGTGTGGTCCAGTGAGTACTCTGGGCTCCCTCTCGTGGGCAGGGAAGCTGAGGGCCCCATGAGCTCTCCCAGCTTCCTGAAGGCTCCCCATTAATGAGAGCTGACTGTGCTGTGCTTTGCTGACTGCAGGGCCTGCTCCCTGCCCCCCACCTCCAGGTTGGGGTAAGTGGCACCTCTCTCCCTCCAGCTCCGCAGTCTTCCCTGAGGTTTAGATCTTCCAGGTTTATAAAGTCAGGCCCTCCTGTTGGCAGCTGGCCTCCACCCTGGAGTATCTGAGCTTGCCTGTGGCAGCATCTAAAGATAGTCTCCCTTACAGGAAACAAGATACTATTGGCTAACTCTGCAAATAAAATGCTCTTAGAGGGAAGGAAAGGGAAATACTCGTCTCTGGTAAAGTCTGAGCAGGACAGGGTGGCTGACTGGCAGATCCAGAGGTTCCCTTGGCAGTCCACGCCAGGTAGGTGCACAGGACTAGTTGGGTACCTGTGGGTGGGGTGGAGCAGTGGACAGCTAATAGGTTAATAATGCCTGTTTGCTTACGTGCAGACAATGGAAACCATTTTCCTGGGGATGTTGTAGCCTAAATATGTCCAAGGGGATGGAAGAGTGGGAGGCAAGGGGTGATCAGATCATTTATAATACACTCAACCTGGTGGAATAGTATTAGAAGCATTAGTAATTACATTTTAGAGACATGGAGAAAAGCTCATGATTTTAAACTAACTGAAAAAAGCATGAAAAATTGCATCTGGATGCTGTTGAGGAATTATTGCTAATTTTTTGAGATGAGAAATTGTATTAAAGTCTTTTTCAAAAAAGAGTCCTTAACTTTTAGAGATGCACACAAGTGTTTATGGGTGAAATTAAATAATTCAGTAGAGACATTAAGTGGGAAATAGAGGAAATATTGACCATGGGTTGCTAATAGTTGAAGCCAGGTGTTGGGTATAAGGAGGTTCTCGCTGCTTTTATTTGAAAAGTTGCTTTTTATTTGAAAATTTAATAATAAAGAGTTTTTAAATTTGTATCTGTATTTTAATATAAATATAAATGCACTTAATATAAATATAAAATATGTATAACATTTAGATAGAGAAAAGCTAAAAGATTACTGTGGTTGATTCTAGGAAACTGCATTGCAGATAGTTTCATGGGTTTTTTTTTCCTTTTTCTTCCACTTTTTGTACCATCTATGGGTTTTTGTTTGTTTTTTGTTTTTTGGGTTTTCTTTCTTGTTTGTGTTTTGTTTTTTGAGACGGAGTTTTGCTCTTGTTGCCTAAGCTGGAGTGCAATGGCACAGTCTCGGCTCACTGCAACCTCTGCCTCCTGGGTTCAAGTGATTCTCCTGCCTCAGCCTCCCAAGTAGCTGGGATTATAGGCATGTACCACCGCCCGGCTAATTTTGTATTTTTAGTAGAGGCGGGGTTTCTCCATTAATAAATTCCTGGCACAAATTTAGTGTTCAATTTTGATATATGTTGTTATAACCATTGTGAGGATACTCAGGCTCAGGTTTGTGTGGGTGGAAAACATGGTCTTCAGAAAGAAATTATGAGTGCAAGACAGGAGGAAATCCATCAGAGGCCCCAGCTGAGGACTGACCACGGCTTGTTATTTCTCTTGCCTTGCCTCTGGCAATCACAGCCTCACAGAGCCTGCAATCCTTGCTTTGTGAGTTTATAGCTCAGTCCAGAGAATGGCTAAGAAAGTTTAGGATTCTTTCAACACCCACTCCACAAAAAAAAAAAAAAAAAAGAAAAGAAAAAAAAATTAATTTTTGAAATACTTGAGGTAGAAAACTTGAGGCAGAAAAAAATTGAGCCAAAAAAAAAGGAAAATTGAACCACGTGAAAGCAGGCAAGAAAGCTTGCATTGCTCAGGGCATCCCAGGCCCAGAGGGCGCTTTGGAGGGAGCTGGGTTTCCTGAGAGGAGGCAGGGTGGGTGACGGACCTGTGCTGGAGAGCCTTGAGGACCACTGTGGGTTGGGAATGGGGGCAGTGGATTGGGGTTCAAAACCCCTGGGAATGAGAAATGGGCTCAGGAAGGCTAGGGTGGATTCTTTCATCTTCCTCTTTGCTTGGCTTTATTTTCACAAAGGAAGGCAGGGCAGGAAATAGTCTCAGCCCAACTTCAGTGTGGTTCTTCTTAGTGCTCAGGCTTACCTGGCACTTGCCACACCTCTGGGATGGGAGCACCTACTATCCATCAGCCACGTGCCAGTCTCCACAAAGTCTGCTCCTGAACCCTGCTCCTCAGCTGGCCCCACTTCACAGATGGGGACATAGGCAGCTTGGCTTTGGAATGAAGGAATGAAGTCAGGAATGAAGTCCTGGCTCTGCACTTGGTGACTGTGCACTGGGCTTGCTAAGTCTGTTTCCTGCTTTTAAAATGGAGATTGTCCATCAGCCTTTGAAGCCATGTAATGGGTATGTGTCAACTTTCTGCAAGGATTAAAGGCATGGTATAGGAAGTCCCAAACACACTGCCTGACCCATCTTTGATGCTCAAGAAACGATATATGTTGTTGTCATGAGGAAACTGAGCCTCAGAAAGTTTGGATACCTGAAAAACACTGACTACTATTGAATGAGGTTGTGAAGAATCCAGAGCTGTAGGGGCAGGAAAGCAAAGAACGTATTAGAGCTGACCCAGTCAGGACGATCGTCTATCCCCTTCCTCACCCCACCCCATCCCAGGAGGAAGCCTGCCCGGCCCTAGGCAGCTATGGCACAGTGGCAATGTCAGGTATGGTTCTCCCTAGCCAGAGACCCTAGCCTCAAAAAACCTCCTTCTTGGGATCCAGGCATCCAACTGCTCCTCCCCAGCCCCAGCCTCTGACCCAGTATCCTGAGTCCAGAGACGTTTGGAACCAGCACCTGTAATGGAGGAGCTGAACAAGGAGGGGAACTTCTGCTGCTCCACAGCAGGTCACGGTCATAGGAGGGAGTGGAACCAGAATGGCAGAATCCAGATCTTGGCTGCCTTTCCCAAGGACTTGTTCTGATTCCTAGCAGCACAGCCCAGGCATTCCGAGAAGTTGGGCTCTCTGGCATCACTCACTCTGCCCAGAAGAGCCAGGGGAAAGTTGGGGCTTCTAGCTGAACCTTGATCCCACCTGCCCTCTTGAGGGGCTCAGAATCTGCTGGCTGCTTCACAGGTGGGATTCTCACGGCACGCTGGCCACAGCTGATGCTTCGACCCCCTCATCTTGTTTGGCCAAAGTGCAGCTTTTTAGCTTGTGAGTAAGGAAGAAAAGCTGTATCATATGTCTTTAAACATCTTCCTAGACCACCTTTGTTTTCCCCTTAAAGTGTGCTTAAGGAGAAAATGGAAAGTCTCTTTTCAGTGTGTTGTATTTTGTTTATTGCAAAATACAACACACTGAAAGAACAATGTCTGGGTTAGCAAAGTATTAGATTTAATTTCCCACATTACTACCATCCAGGCTGAGAAAGAGAACCCCAGAAGCCTCTCTCATGTCCCTTCCTGACCACAGCCTCTTCCTCTCCCACAAAGAACCACAAGTCTGACTTCTATGGTGATCACTTCCTTGCTTTTCCCTATAGTTTGACTGAATCTAAATATCATCCCTAAACAATATAGCTTAGCTTTGCCTATTTTTGATCTTCATATTTGGATTCATACTTTTTGGTTTGGCTCAAGACTAAACTTTTAAAATGCATCCACGTTGTAGGAGATGTACATGCACAAAAATTTTCACGGCAACATTGTCCAAACTAGCAACAAACTGAAAGCCACCTATGTGTGCATTAGCAGTAGAAATGGCAATAAATCATGGACTAGTCACACAGTGGAATCCTACGCAGCAAGGAGAATTAGCAGTCTACAGCCAAACCAACAGCATGGGTGAGATGCTTCCAGAAATACTGAGATGAATTTAGAGATAAAGGCACAATTGGTCCATATCTACAGGGCACTTAATCCAGTGCATCTCCACTAGACAAAATTTGTATTTCCATGAGCAAGAGTCATTTGCACTGCTATCTGCTATAACCTACGGTGCTGTAAAATTAGCTCAGGCAATAAAAGGGGGAGGTAGCCCCAAAGAGTATGCCAGAAAGGACTCCCAGTAATCTTCAGTGTGTGTCTATTTCAAAGTCTTTCATCATTTTTCCTTGTAGTTACTTAGTGTGGAATTTCAGACCCCTCTCTATGTCCCTCTTCTCCCTTTTCAGCCTTGGCTTTCTCTGCATCCTTCCCCGAAGCCCTGCACTCAGCCTAAACTGACTTTCCTGAACACTCTGGGAGCATGTGGGCTCCTCCCAACTCCACCATCTTCACTGCCTTCTGTTCCTATTTCCCTCTGCCTGGCCTTGGCCCCAGGAAACCTTCCTATGCTCAGACCCTCTGTGCCTTTGTCTTCAAAGCCCACCCACTATTCACTGCCACCTCCATCTTGGTCAACCTGGAAGACTTTCCCCATCCTTAAAACATCAGCTCAAACGGCAGATTTTTTTTTTTTTTTTTGTGATATCCTCTTGATCACCCTCCCCCAGTTTTTAAGGAGACAGATATAGAGGTTCAATCCTTGGGCTTCCCATGACTTTTCTTATATTCTGTTACTGAGCAATAATAAACACTTCTAGGAACTGTATCTTAAACACTTTTGCCTCTACAGAATCTAGCACAGTGCCTAGTATTGGTGAAATATAATTAACAAAGTCTTCTTTCAACACAGAGATTCTCTCCACAAAAGGAGTAGAGAAAGAACAGTTTTATTATGGAATAAGCAGTAAACCAAAATATGCAGAGCATTATAGGCCATCTACTAAGAGGTTGCAAGAACAGAAAGAAATCTCCCCCTTTTGTATAGCCAAGTAGATACAACCTGTTACATACATGTTATCAAGGCAAACAATAACTGTTCCTCAAGTAAGAGGTCTTGCCAGCACCGTTTGCCGTACATGGTTCACTCTAAATTTACCTGGTAATTAGGGTAACCACTTGTGTTAGCTAACTGGCTCTACCCAGAGGAAAATCAAATTTATCTTTAAGACAAGGGGTAATTTTGCAGCACTGAGCAAGGCTCTTCAGTTAGGCTCATACCTTCCCACAGAAACTAAGAGATAGAAGCACTATCTCCCTTAGGTTTGTTTACATTTCAAAGAGATGACGCCCAGGTCCTTGGGAAAGACTAGCTTAGCTCATAAAGCTGACAAAAAGCCTATCTAGTTTCAAAAGGATTTACACATGTTCAAAGAGAGGAGAAAGTATGTAAAAGTTTTCTAGGTGGGCACGGTGGCTCACACCTGTATTCCCAGCACTTTGAGAGGCTGAGGCGGGTGGATCACCTGAAGTCAGGAATTTGAGATCAGCCTGGCCAACATGGTGAAACCTTGTCTCTACTAAAAATACAAAAATTAGCTGGGCATGGTGGTGGGCGCCTGTAATCCCAGCTACTTGGGAGGCTGAGGCAGGAGAATCACTTGAACCCAGGAGGTGGAGGTGGCAGTGAGCCAAGATGGCACCATTGCACTCCAGCCTGGGCGATGAGAGTGAAACTCCATGTCAAAAAAAAAAAAAGTTTTCTAAAGTAAATGCTCTGAGAAAAAAACAGAAGGTGAGGAGATCTCTGTCCTTATTTTTAACAAGAATAATTAAATGTTTTTATTTTTAATTTCTACTTAGACTAGAATATGGTACAGATGCTCAAAAATATTGACTTAATTAATAATTAAACAATTAACAAGTCTATCTCTTTCCTAATTATTAAAAAAATTATGAAGTATTTCCCTTCAAAATTTCACAGTTTACTTTGACATAAATAAATAAATACCATAAAGTATTTTGAAGAGGAAAGGGAAGGGTGGGGCTTCAAACACAAAATAATGGCAGGTTTTGTAAAGGGGCAATTCACTAAACCCAATAGGATTCTCCTGTTGCTATTTTTTTTTTTTTTTTTTTTTTGGTGGTGGTTGGAGGGAAGGGTTGGGTGTGCATTTGGCCTGTGTGAAAAACTGGTGGGTAGACAATGCCATGCTGTTCTAGATGGGCTCATTGCTATAGGAATAGATAGTCACTGAATTTACTTGCATAGGGGATGGGGTATAAAATGTTTCCTTATAGCTCCTTAACATGGAATTCAGCACCCCTCTCCCCATCAGCCTTAGCTCTCTCTGAATCCCAAGGGATATGTGTTATAAAAATAGCTGCCATCATAAATGAGAAAACCATCAGGACCTGGTAAAACTTGGCTTCCCAAACAGTCAGGGGTCTGGGCATGGCAGCCGACTGAGAACCTTTCTATCTAGTACAAGGTAAACAAGATTTGCCAAGACTTGATCAACTGATCCAGCTCCCTATCTCCAAACAGAACCTCATCTGAATGCTCACAGGCTGTGCCCCAGAAGTGTAGAAGTGTCATGTTCCCTGGGCAGGCTGCTGGGCAGCCTCTCTGTTGACAATAGACCACACTTTTGCTGACCTAGGACTCATGTTGCTCTTTAAGACTGCTTCCTTGGCCAGGCATGATGGCTCACACCTGTAATCCTGGCACTTTGAGAGGCCCAGGCAGGAGGATCTCTTGAGGCCAGATGTTCAAGACCAGCCTGGTCAACATAGTAAGACCCCATATCTACCAAAAATAGCTGGGCATGGTGGTGCACACCTATACTCCCAGCTACTTAGGAGACTGAGGTGGGAGGATTGCTACATCCCAGGAGTTCAAGGCTGTAGTGAGCTATGATCATGCCACTGCACTCCAGCCTGGGCAACAGAGCGAGATCCTGTCTCAAACAAACAGTTTCCTTCTGTTTGATTCTTGCTGAAAAATTGAGCATGCCAGAGCTAGCAAGGCTCTTAGAGGTGGTCTGGTCCAATGCTTTAATTTCATACATCAAGAAACTGAAGCAGAGCAGAGTGACCTGCCCAGGGTCTCTCAGCCATTCATGCTCAGAAATGTATGGGCTCCTGTGAAACATGTGGCTCTTAAAAGCACTATCATATATTTGAAGGCAGAAAATAGGCTAAACCTTCAGCCTTCAGACTTTTCCTCTCCAGAGAAAATGACCCCAGTTTCCTCACTATGGTTGCTGGGAGCTAGATTCCTGGGGATCTGGCAGTGTGGACCACCTAGTGGTGGCTAGAGGAGCAAATAATATCCCGCATTCCATTTTCCACTCACCAATCCCTGAGGGGCAGCCTGCTGGGTTATGAGCCCACAGGGGGAGAACCCCAACGAATTCAGAGATGCATCATGGACCAGTTTCTCTTAAGGGGCCTGGGTCTACTATTTTCAGTTCTACTTCGAGAGAAGTGGCCTGCAATATCCTGCAGATTTCCCCTCCAGGGAGAAAAGCATTGTGCGGTGCAAGGAGCACAGGCTTTGTGGAAAGAGGCATCTGGGGTTGAGATCCTGGCTCTTTTGCTTCCTTGAACAAGTTAACCAAATCTCTGGGCCTCTGCTGGTTAATTTATACCATGGGGATCATCATTTCTCCAGTGGGGTTGTGAAGAGAATGTGGTGGGATCTTGTGTGTGGAGCATGACACTTAGCAGGCATCCGGGAATGGCAGCCTCCTCCCTTTCTAAACTGGGGCTTTCTGAGGGTGACTTCAGATTCCACAATGTCAACAGCACAATGGCATCCTCATAAGGAAAGTTTGGGTTGGGGCTCCTCAAGCAATTCTCTACTCTCATTTGGTACAAAGAAAAAAATTAAGCCTCACAATTTTCTTGGCACCAGACTGAACCTCAAACCCAGTCTTCACTTTTACTAAAAAGCCATAAACAGAGACCAGGAGGGTAAAAACTACCAGAAGATACACTGGATTTAGAAAACAGTAAGCTGGATGTGAAGCCAAAAGAGAGGGAGAAAGCAACATAAAAGAATGTCAGATTGAAGAAGAAATGGATTCTGGCCACCTAAAGAAGAAGGGAAGTATAGAAAAGGGAAGCTGATTGGAAACAATGGGTAATGATGAGTGTCCCTCCCCTAAAAAGTTAAAAAATAAATGAGCAGGCATGAGAAAAGGAAGTAGGCCAGAGGAAGTAGACCAGGATCAGCCACGGATGTGAGTGGGGAATTTTACAAATTTCTACTTGGGTGTGAAACATGTGTACACTCAAAGCTCTGTCTAGGTTCACCGAAACTCTCCCAGCTCAAGGCCATTTAGTAAAACCTTGGCTTAACTGAATAGTGGGTAAGGAGGCCTGAGGATGGCCCAGAGAAGGTTTAAATTCTTACTGGCTGCTGCACTAAGTTGTAAAGTGCAGCCTTAGTTGATGATGCCTTTATTAGTGCAACATCCCAGAATGCATGCGTCTTACAACCCTTGTGGATATGAAACCCAGCTGGGTAGACACTGCAAAGTCTTCTCATTTGATTCTTCCACTTGGTTTCTAGTGTCCCTCAGGGACAAAGGAAAGCCATGGTCCAGTCTAAGATGAAAACCAATTAGACCTCTGGCAGGCCTTTGACCACCCTGAGGGCCACCCCCAAGGCACGGCCACACTCGCATCTGCTGCCAGGAGGCCCTATCTTAGGCTCAGCTCCCAAACCTTGAACATCTTGGAGGATCCACAAATAGGAGGTACACTCAGCTCAGGCTCAGTCTTCCTTAAAAAGCGCCTTGCTAAAGCTATCAAGTTCACTGGAATACTTCTGCGAAGGACACAGCTTCAGCGATGTCAGATTTTTTATGTAAATGGTGCCTTCACATGCTCTGGGGCATTTGGCTACCAAGGGCGGTTTGAACTAGCTCCAGCACACAGAATACAAGTCTCTTCAGAACCAGGCAAAACCCTATGTTGCCCAATGACTCCTGCTGTTTCTTGAGATTTGCACAGAAGACAGAGCTGCAATTACCCACGCTGATATCTATTTCATGACCACATATGTTCAAAAGCCACATGTGAGAGGTATGGTTGAAATGAGAGGTTGTGTTTGCCAAGTTGTCTTCTGACTGTGGAGAGCTGGTGAGCCTCTTCTCATCTCCTGGGGCTCCATATTATAGAGCTGACGAATCTCTTTTCTTGCTCCTTGAAGTCTTTCATTCACTTATTTATTAATTCATTTAACACATCAGGCACCTACTAACTTCTCAGAGTTCAAGGCTTCCTAGCCTATGATCAGAAAGGACACCTGTGTGCTCATGAGCACCCCTGGGATCAGGGTGACTGATAGGGTGCTGTCATCACTACTAGATGAAACTCTTTGGAACAAAGGTCTAGGATATAATATTTATCCTTCTGCAAATATTCATATGGCATTCGCTGTGTACCAGGCCTTCTGTTGAACATTGGCCTGCAGAGCTGAAGAGGACGTGGGTCTTCTCTTAGGAACTCCTAGTCTTGGGAAAAAGGAATGGGGAAGGGCTGTAATGTGAAGTTAAAAAAAAGTGCTGAGGCCGAACACATCTGGGCCCTCACTGCAGCCCTATTGCACACACACTGCATCACCTCGAACAAGTTATTCACCCTCTCTGAATTCATCTATTTGCCCATAAAAATAGAGATGATCCTTTTATATGTTGGCTACCACTTATTATGTGCAGCATGCTTGTTATTGTACTAAGTTACTCATTTTTTAGTTTTTCATATAACTCATATTTTTGTTGATTTTTATTTTAAAATTCCAAACGAATTAATTAAACTATTTTCCAAAATACGTAGTATGTGTACATGGTAAAAAACATTTCCAAAAGTTTACCATAAAAACTGTCTCCTTTCCCATATCCTCAATCCTTCAGAATCCCTCTCCAGGGATAATTACCACCACCAGTGTATTCCTTAAGAGATATTTAAACTTTATACAAAATACGCACACATCATTCTTTTCCACAAATGACAGCATACTATGTACATGGTACCTCACCTAGCTTTTTTCACTTACCAGTATATCTTAGAGATTGTTGCATGACAGAATATACAGATCTGCCTGTTTTTGTTGTTTTTCCCAAGTTTCCAAGAGCTAGAAACTGTTTGGTTTTTAAGCAGCTGCTTGGTATTCCATTAATTGGACTTATCGTGCTTTGATCTGTCCCTAGTGATGGACATTGGGGTTGTTTCCCTTCATTTATATTTGAAGCTTGTTGCAGTGACAGTGTACACACTTGCTTGAGCATGTGTGTGTCTACGATAAATCCCAATAAGCAATTTAAAGTAATTTAATTCTTATGCTCTCAACAAACCTAAGAGGTTATTTTTTTAGAGGAGGAAGCTAAGGCTGTTGTTTTGATGCCTTTTTACCACTGGACTTGGGACTCAACTGTTTGATAGTCATCGAGTCCTTGACTCTTCTCCCCTGCCAGGATTTGGCCCCTAAGCCCAGGGCCCGAGTCTCCTCCATCTTCAAGGGAGAGTGGGAACAGCACAGGCCTTGGCCTCAGTCCTGCTCCCCCTGCTTCTAGCTGTGGGATGGGCCAGGTGCTTCACCCAGCTGTGCCTCCTGTGAGGCACAGTGTGTGCAAAATGGAAATGTGAACATGAAGATCAAAAATGTCCCTCAATGACCAGTGCTGTTCCTCAGAGTCACGTGGGAACTCATAGAAAGCGATATTGGTACTGCTCTTTCCTCTGTAGCATGGTCCAGATGGCTCATAGCAGGGACCATGATATGCTGGGTGAGCACCCACTGCATGCACCCACTGTGCCAGCACTGAGAGACTCCTGTGGGAGCCACAGCAATTCTAGGGTCTTCACTGGGGACTCTGAGACAGCAGGGAGCTAGGATGAGGGCTGCAGAGTGTTCGTCTGCCCTCACTGAGCAGACCCCCTGGATGGCAGGGAGCAGTCCCAAGCCAGATGGATGCCCATAACCAGCCATTTGGCTCTCAATACATAATATCACCACGTATCAGGCAAAACCATCCTGCCCAGAGCATTATCTGAATTTGCATCCCATCTGCAGAAGATACATTCACCCACTTCTTCCATTCTGTCTTAATCAAAGTCTTTATGTGAATTTTCCCCATTGAGAAGACAAGCCCCTTCCTGGCTTAGACTGTACCTGACTGATCTTTTCATGAGCTCCTTGCCAAGCCAGACCACCCCCAGCTTATATGGAGACTTGGTGCAAATTAGAGATGCCCCTGTGCACGTGGCAGCCCTGAGCCCAAGCACCCAGTAAGGCAAAGGGCCTGATTTGGGACCCCTCTGCCACTCCACCAGGCAATCAGTTGCTTATTTCTAACTTTCCCTTCCTTCTCCACATTTGTCCCATTCCTTCCTCTCATCATGAATATCCCCAGAGGCATTCAGCAGTGCAGTGAATTAAATATAGAACTTTTTTTTTTCAGAATTGCAGAACGGATTAGATCAATATTAATCCAAACAGAGCAATGAGCCTGACAGTTTAGTAAAAGCTCAATAAAGGGTGGCTTACCTCCCCCAAAATAATCTGAAAAGAAAGCATGTCTTATTTCAGGGGGAAAAAAAAATAAAGTGACCTTTAAAGACCAAATTCCCAGGATACCCAGGGTGGAGGTGGAACATGGGAGTCCACAGGCAGCCTGGATGTTTCCAAAGATCCAAAGGGCTTTTGCTTCCTCACATAATGCAGGAAACAAATTGAACATGTATTAAGTGCTTGCTGTATGTGACACACTGTGCCAGGTGCTCCCCTTAAAACAGTTCTGTGGGCAGGCATGAGAATGAATCCCGATCTTACAGACAAGGAATGTTAGGCTCAGAGGTTTCAAGCTCACCCATCACTCAGCCAGAGAGGACAGATGCAGGATTCAATCTCGGGAGTGCCCGAGTCCACAGAAGTTCCTGTGCTGAAGGACCGACCACAGGCACATAAAGAGATGCGAGACAATTTTTACTGGATTTGGCCACCTCTCGAGGTCGGCTTTGCCAGCTCTTCTCACTGGGGGAAGGGGAGGGAGAAAGTAGCTAGCTCCAGGGTCCCTAACATAGAACCACCAAGGACTTGACTATTTTTACTCATACAGCAGCTTGTCTGGGAAGATCATGCTCTGTGACAAGCTGCAGGCACTAAGTAGCAATTTCTGTTTCCCACATATTAGCTTGAGTCATATAAAACTGACATGGATGTGGCTCAAAAATAGCTGTATGTCAGCCATTTTATACCATTTGACTTAAATGTTATTAATTAACGTCACAGCCAGAGATTATTCTCTGAGAAAAGGGCATTGTAGCCTGAAGCAGAGAAAGCATACACGTTCCCTGGGGTTGAGAACTCATCACAGCCTGAGACAGCTTAGGTTGTAAAGCCCCGGCCCACTTATCCCAGGAGAGTCTGGGTGAGATGCAGGCCCCAAAGCAGAGGCTGGGAAGCGAGAAGTGACACACCCTGGCTGGGTGGGCCCTCATCTTGGTGAGACACCACCTGGGTAAAACCATCATGGAAAGGGTGTAGTGGGGCGTGGAAACTCCCTCGGTTAAAGCGTGAGCTTTGCTGTAAGTTGTGGTAAGGAGGGAGGCAGTGACAACCAGGAGGCCTGTTTTGAGGGTTTCTGAGGGACCCATCTGTGGTATCACGAGGAGACGCCCAGAGGAGCCGTGTGAAAGGGCTGCCTCCCAGCCGGCTCTGGAGTGAATGAGCAGCAAGTCCTGGCTGCGAAAAGAAGGGGAGTGCAGCCTGCAGAAGTGTCTTCTTTTTTCAATTCCTGCTCAGAAGGAAACAGGAGATAAGAATAGTGGGGAAGTCCAAACCAAAGTGAACTATAGGGCTGGTAATCGTAGGGGGAATTAGTCACCCGGAGACTAGCCCAGCAGACTAACGGAGCCCCATCCTCCATCTTGAATCAGTCAGCCCCTCTATGACTGCAGAGTCCTGAATGATGGCAACACCTTCTCTTCACTTAGCGTTGTAGGATGACCAACAGTCCTGATTTGCCTGGGACTGAGGGGTTCCCAATAGATGGGACTTTCAGGGCTAAAACCAGGAAAGTCCTGGGCAGCCCAAAACAAGGTAGTCACTCTAGAGTGTATGACTCTGTCTGATACCTGCTAAGAAAGAGAAGGACTTGTTGATTATAAGGAGAAGAGGAGGTGAAATGGTTCTCAAAAAACAAAGATGAGGGCTTCCGGGTGCTGTTCTGCCCAAGGCTCTGGGTCTGAGGCTTCTCTCTCCAGGCCTAGCTTCATGGAAAAGTAAGGGGCCAGAGGGTGGAAAAGGTGGAAACAAAGGAAGAGGATGGAGAATTGCTTTGGGGAAGTTTGGACTGGAAGTGTGAATTACAGCTGCACCCCCAATTCACCCCATCTCACCCCCCTCCCCCTCCTGCTCATGGTTCTCCCTTTCTCATCCACACATTGGTCAAACTAGCTAGCTTTTGGAGAGATTTTGGGCAGTAAAAGTAAAACAGATCTGTCTCAAGCTTCAAAAAGCCTAGAGCTGGCTGGGCGCTGTGGCTCACGCCTGTAATCCTAGCATTTTGGGAGGCTGAGGCGGAAGGATAATCTGAGGTCAGGAGTTTGAGACCAGCCTGGCTAACATGATGAAACCCCATCTCTACTAAAAATACAAAAATTAGCCAGGCGTGGTAGTGCACGCCTATAATCCCAGCTATTTGGGAGGCTGAGGCAGGAGAATCGCTTGAACCCCAGGGGACAGAGGTTGCAGTGAGCTGAGATCGCACCACTGCACTCCAGCCTGGGTGACACAGCGAGACTCCATTTAAAAAAAAAAAAATGCCTAGAGCCAAATGCTCACAGAGCCATTTACTGCATGGCTTTGGGCAAGTCAAAGGAGTCCGCCTCTCCTGTCAGAAGAGTCTGTTGCAGTCTTCATCACAAGACTGTTGTGGGGATTAAACAAGATGGCAAGTGGGAAGTTGGGAAATGTAGTGTGCACCCAACCAATATTTGTTTCTTCCTGCCTGCCTACATATGAGGCCACACAGAATTCCAACTTTGTTTCTCTGATAACTAACACAGTTACTTGTTTTTCTTTCTGATCCAGGCCTTCACCATGGATCAGTTCCCTGAATCAGTGACAGAAAACTTTGAGTACGATGATTTGGCTGAGGCCTGTTATATTGGGGACATCGTGGTCTTTGGGACTGTGTTCCTGTCCATATTCTACTCCGTCATCTTTGCCATTGGCCTGGTGGGAAATTTGTTGGTAGTGTTTGCCCTCACCAACAGCAAGAAGCCCAAGAGTGTCACCGACATTTACCTCCTGAACCTGGCCTTGTCTGATCTGCTGTTTGTAGCCACTTTGCCCTTCTGGACTCACTATTTGATAAATGAAAAGGGCCTCCACAATGCCATGTGCAAATTCACTACCGCCTTCTTCTTCATCGGCTTTTTTGGAAGCATATTCTTCATCACCGTCATCAGCATTGATAGGTACCTGGCCATCGTCCTGGCCGCCAACTCCATGAACAACCGGACCGTGCAGCATGGCGTCACCATCAGCCTAGGCGTCTGGGCAGCAGCCATTTTGGTGGCAGCACCCCAGTTCATGTTCACAAAGCAGAAAGAAAATGAATGCCTTGGTGACTACCCCGAGGTCCTCCAGGAAATCTGGCCCGTGCTCCGCAATGTGGAAACAAATTTTCTTGGCTTCCTACTCCCCCTGCTCATTATGAGTTATTGCTACTTCAGAATCATCCAGACGCTGTTTTCCTGCAAGAACCACAAGAAAGCCAAAGCCATTAAACTGATCCTTCTGGTGGTCATCGTGTTTTTCCTCTTCTGGACACCCTACAACGTTATGATTTTCCTGGAGACGCTTAAGCTCTATGACTTCTTTCCCAGTTGTGACATGAGGAAGGATCTGAGGCTGGCCCTCAGTGTGACTGAGACGGTTGCATTTAGCCATTGTTGCCTGAATCCTCTCATCTATGCATTTGCTGGGGAGAAGTTCAGAAGATACCTTTACCACCTGTATGGGAAATGCCTGGCTGTCCTGTGTGGGCGCTCAGTCCACGTTGATTTCTCCTCATCTGAATCACAAAGGAGCAGGCATGGAAGTGTTCTGAGCAGCAATTTTACTTACCACACGAGTGATGGAGATGCATTGCTCCTTCTCTGAAGGGAATCCCAAAGCCTTGTGTCTACAGAGAACCTGGAGTTCCTGAACCTGATGCTGACTAGTGAGGAAAGATTTTTGTTGTTATTTCTTACAGGCACAAAATGATGGACCCAATGCACACAAAACAACCCTAGAGTGTTGTTGAGAATTGTGCTCAAAATTTGAAGAATGAACAAATTGAACTCTTTGAATGACAAAGAGTAGACATTTCTCTTACTGCAAATGTCATCAGAACTTTTTGGTTTGCAGATGACAAAAATTCAACTCAGACTAGTTTAGTTAAATGAGGGTGGTGAATATTGTTCATATTGTGGCACAAGCAAAAGGGTGTCTGAGCCCTCAAAGTGAGGGGAAACCAGGGCCTGAGCCAAGCTAGAATTCCCTCTCTCTGACTCTCAAATCTTTTAGTCATTATAGATCCCCCAGACTTTACATGACACAGCTTTATCACCAGAGAGGGACTGACACCCATGTTTCTCTGGCCCCAAGGGCAAAATTCCCAGGGAAGTGCTCTGATAGGCCAAGTTTGTATCAGGTGCCCATCCCTGGAAGGTGCTGTTATCCATGGGGAAGGGATATATAAGATGGAAGCTTCCAGTCCAATCTCATGGAGAAGCAGAAATACATATTTCCAAGAAGTTGGATGGGTGGGTACTATTCTGATTACACAAAACAAATGCCACACATCACCCTTACCATGTGCCTGATCCAGCCTCTCCCCTGATTACACCAGCCTCGTCTTCATTAAGCCCTCTTCCATCATGTCCCCAAACCTGCAAGGGCTCCCCACTGCCTACTGCATCGAGTCAAAACTCAAATGCTTGGCTTCTCATACGTCCACCATGGGGTCCTACCAATAGATTCCCCATTGCCTCCTCCTTCCCAAAGGACTCCACCCATCCTATCAGCCTGTCTCTTCCATATGACCTCATGCATCTCCACCTGCTCCCAGGCCAGTAAGGGAAATAGAAAAACCCTGCCCCCAAATAAGAAGGGATGGATTCCAACCCCAACTCCAGTAGCTTGGGACAAATCAAGCTTCAGTTTCCTGGTCTGTAGAAGAGGGATAAGGTACCTTTCACATAGAGATCATCCTTTCCAGCATGAGGAACTAGCCACCAACTCTTGCAGGTCTCAACCCTTTTGTCTGCCTCTTAGACTTCTGCTTTCCACACCTGGCACTGCTGTGCTGTGCCCAAGTTGTGGTGCTGACAAAGCTTGGAAGAGCCTGCAGGTGCTGCTGCGTGGCATAGCCCAGACACAGAAGAGGCTGGTTCTTACGATGGCACCCAGTGAGCACTCCCAAGTCTACAGAGTGATAGCCTTCCGTAACCCAACTCTCCTGGACTGCCTTGAATATCCCCTCCCAGTCACCTTGTGGCAAGCCCCTGCCCATCTGGGAAAATACCCCATCATTCATGCTACTGCCAACCTGGGGAGCCAGGGCTATGGGAGCAGCTTTTTTTTCCCCCCTAGAAACGTTTGGAACAATCTAAAAGTTTAAAGCTCGAAAACAATTGTAATAATGCTAAAGAAAAAGTCATCCAATCTAACCACATCAATATTGTCATTCCTGTATTCACCCGTCCAGACCTTGTTCACACTCTCACATGTTTAGAGTTGCAATCGTAATGTACAGATGGTTTTATAATCTGATTTGTTTTCCTCTTAACGTTAGACCACAAATAGTGCTCGCTTTCTATGTAGTTTGGTAATTATCATTTTAGAAGACTCTACCAGACTGTGTATTCATTGAAGTCAGATGTGGTAACTGTTAAATTGCTGTGTATCTGATAGCTCTTTGGCAGTCTATATGTTTGTATAATGAATGAGAGAATAAGTCATGTTCCTTCAAGATCATGTACCCCAATTTACTTGCCATTACTCAATTGATAAACATTTAACTTGTTTCCAATGTTTAGCAAATACATATTTTATAGAACTTCCATCTGTGTAATCTTCTTTCTCCTATTCAATTATTTCCTGTGGTTAAATTCATTGCCATGGGGAAAACTGAGTCAAAGGGCATGGGAACACATTATCTTTGCATACACACATATGAAAGTCATATATTACACAACCTTTACTGAGTCGTATTATATACAAAACATGAACGCAGATCCAGAGCTATTCCAAAGGCAATGAGACCAAGCCTCTTCCCTCAATAATTTAAATGCAGAAGAGAAGTGAAGGAATAATCACGCTTTGCATTAGGTGGTAGCAGAGGAGTACTACGTGACTTCTGACCTGCGTCTTTAAGGGACAGGGGTTCTCCAGGTAAAGAAAGAGGTGGCATTCCAGGCTGAGGAAACAGCATGTATAAAGGAAGTGTGTGAGAGCCACAATGTGAGAAAACTCTGTGCGAATATTAAAAGGCGTTAGAAGCGGAGTGGGTGGTAGGAACTTTCTGAGCTGAGCTGTTAGCTGTGGGCTGAGCTAAAACAACCAATGGAGGGGGTGCTGGTTCTCCTCAGGGTGTTTACGGGGTTTCTTCGTTATTACCTGATCCTCATTCCAACTGTTGAACCATAAGACTTTTAATTAAAGTTTAACCTATTCCTGGACTTCTAAGAAGGAGGAAATAATTATTTTGGCTTGAGAAATAAAAGAAGAGAAATAAACACTTTCATTTCTAGAAGAAAATTAAATTTGTAACATTAGGAACCTATATTTATTCATTCATTTTGCTGAATAGGACAGAATAGGGAGAAAATAAGGAAGCTCATTGAAAAATCCAAAATAGCAAGGATGTTGGTGTCTAAATAAAGGAAGGCATTTTTGGAAAGGACAGCTGGCCCTCAGAGCACACCTGAATCAGACCCACTCCTGCTTCTGAGGTCTGGGCTTCCCAAGAGCAGAGGGATCTGCCTGTGATGAATCCCGACATATTAACTCTCTGCTTCGGCAGGTTGCTTAACATCTCTGAGGCTCAATCTCCTCATCAGAAAAATAAAGATAAAAGTAGTTCCCACCTGGTAGGGTTGGAGCAGAGGATTCAGTAAGATTACCCCTGCAAAGATCACAGTGCAGAACTGGCAAAGCAAGCTCGAGTGAATGGTGGTGATTATTTTTATACTTATTATTTTTAATATTAGACTGAGCTTTCCCCAGCAACTAAACACATGCTATCTTGTACTTGCCTTTTGCTTTTCTTAGTAGCAGAATCACAGACTCTTGGGTGGTTGGAGATAACTGGGTCCAAATCCACATTTCGTGGGTAAGAAAATGGAGGCTCAGAGAGGGCCAGCAGGTGCCCCAAGATGCCACAGTGAATTACTGGGAGAGGTAGATCCTTGATTCACAGTCTACCATCTCCTTCCTCATCTTGATAAAAATACAGATCAATCTGACCTCTAAGAGCAGAGAACACAGAAGGAAGGTCTGCAGGCAGATAATGAGGCAGGGAAAAGCAGCCCACAAGATAGCTGAAGAGTTTAACAGAATCAATCTGCACATGGACAGGTGTGTGCTGTGTGGCACAGCCTTTGGCAATTGCCTTTTGGAGACATCTGTATCTGCAATGATAGATGGTGTCAACTGAGACTCATCAGCAAAGGCTGCAGAATTCCCAGAGGCAAATGCTATCAGTGGCTTCCAAGAGGATCTGGGTGGGTGGGTCAAGACTTAGACAGACAGGCCACTGTGGAGGGACAGCCACACCCAGGGGCTGCCCAGTGCTTGGGTAAAATGCTGAATCCCTTCCACATAATTCCACTCACTTCATGCTTATTCTATGGTCATTTAATGACATTCTAAGAGAATGTCTCCTTCCCAGGGACCTTGCCATCAAGAAAGATGGAGCATATAGGCTTTCGGTTACTAAGAAGAGCTATCAACCCTTGTAATCCATTGCACCTAGAGTGTGTACAGGGTCTCATGGTTTTTCCATTCACCTCTCTCTGAGATGCTGTCCCTGAGCATCCAGGGAGAGAGTTCACCCAACAACTACACCTGGGAGCATAAGAGCCTGATTGAGAGGTCCACCTTGGGTAGTACCCGGGCCCAAGATGATGCCCATTTGTGCCTTCAAAATTGGAGCAGTTTGTCCTAACTCAGCAGCTAATTTTTTCTCCACCTGCACCGTACTCACTGGCCCATGGGGACCACTTCAGTTTCAACATGATTTGTAATATTGTTTGCTTAACTTGCTGAGTTGGCAACAAAATTTTGGGCTACTCAAAAGTAGTGTGATCTGAGAGCAAGTGAGAAAAGCGAGTCTTAGCAAATTTAGAAATATCCAGTTTCTCTTCAATATACTCTTCATCCACAGGAGGGCCAAGGGCCAAGTCGTTTTCTGAGGGATGTGTGGCATCGTGCTTCTATTTCCGTTACATTACAGCAGTTGTTAGGCAACAGGGAGTGTTCCTCCAGACACACCCGGGGCAGCGCTGGCAACCGCAAAACATGCTCAGCAGGAAGATTACTCTTTTACTCCATATTTCCTTATTTACTGAGATAGAAACAAAAATAACATTTTAATTTGCATTTCTTTGAATACTAGGTAAGATTGTTCATTTTTCAAGGCGTTTGTTTTAAATTATTTGTACATTTTTCTGATTCTAAAAGAAAGATACTCAGTATAGAAAACATGAAAAATATACAATTTAAAATTAAAAATGTTTAATTACACAATATTCAACCTCCCAGAGATAACTGTGGTTTAACACTGAAGTTATTTTCTGCTATGACCATATTTTAAAAAAAATACATAAGAATAGACATTTTTCAAAAGAAGACACACGAATGGCCAACAGGTAAGTGGAAAAATGTTCAACATTTCTAATTATTAGGAAAATGCAAATTAAAATCACAATGAGATATATCTCAGATTTGTCAGAATGGCTTTTATCAAAAAGACAAAAGATAATAAATGTCAGCAAGAACGTGGCAGAAGGGGAACTGTTGTGAACTGTTGGTAGAAATATGAATTAGTACAACCATTATGGACAACATTTTAGAGGTGTCTCCAAAACTAAAAATAGAATTACTATATGATCCAGCAATACCACTTCTGAGTATTTACCCAAAAGATGTGAAATCTGTTTGTTAAAGAGATGCCTGCACCCCCATGTTCATTGCAGCACTATTCACAATAGCCAAGTTATAGAATCAACCTAAGTGTCCATCAACAGAGGAGTGAATAAGGGAAATATGGCATATATACACAATAGAATACAATTCAGCCTTTAAGAAGAAGGAAACTCTGTTATCTGCGACAACATGGATGGAATTGGAGAACATGATGCTAAGTGAAGTAAGACAGGCACAGAAAGGCAAATACTGCATGTTCTCACTTATGTGTGGAATCTAAAGCAATGAAACTCATAGAAGCAGAGTAGAATGGTGGTTACAGATGGTAGGGGGTGGGGAGAGAGCAGAGAGCTGATGGTCAGAGGGTACAAAATTTCAGCTAGATAGGAGGAATATGTTGCTTTTTTCTTTTTCGGAGTTTTATTACACAGTGTGGTGAATCTAGTTAAGAATAGAGTATTGCACATTTCAAAATTGCTAAGAGAGTAAATTTCAGATGGTCTCACCACAAAATATGTTAAGTATTTGAGATGATGAGTATGTTAATTAGCTTGATTTAATTATTTCACATTGTATTCATAAATCATAACAGTGCTTTTTACCCCATAGTTCTATATAATTATAAATTGTCCATTTACAATTTTAAAAACTGAACAAAACCTAAAAGCACTTGAATTTCATCAATAAGAAAATGGTCCAATAAATTTCAATTTAGCCATACAATAAAATACAGTATAATTTAAAAGAATGAGTCAATTCTATAAATATGACCCTAAAGGGATGTCCATAATATATCCTTAAGTCAAAAAGACAAATTTCAGAGTTAAGCACATTTTTATTTTTAAATATAAACTATATATATATGTTTATATATATAAAATAAGCACATTTTTATTTTTTAAAAATTTGAGATGAGAACATATATACAGTTTTATATCTTTTTTCAATTAGCATTATAGTATGATCATTTTCCCATCTATTATATTCAAACATGATTTTGAATGATTGCAAAGGACTCAATAATAGACTTTATCCATCCAAGCCCTACTGACAGACATGGGTGTTACTCCCATGCTTTTCTCTATGAGGAGTGACAGTATGATGAACATAAATCTTTGCACATATCTTTGATTGTATGAAAGGAATTAGTAGACTAAGAGATTTCAGCATTTGTAAATCTCTTGCTAGCTACTGGAAATTTACTTTTCAGAGAGATGACACTGTGTTGCTGGCTCTCTAAGACTCCCAATCCCTGACCTTAGCACCACCTACCTTCCTAGTCTTTGAGGTCAGGATATTGTGGGCTTTTGTTATTGGGTGACAAACCAGCTACTGACTTTAAGAGGCAGAAAGAAAAGACTTCTGTTCTTAAAAGGAGATGGTAAGGCTGCCCTTTAGAAGAGAGAAAAGAAGAGGGATGAGGGGATTTTTAAAACAGGACCCATAACATCCCAAAACAGTTATTTTAAGGGAACAGAGACCACTTAGCACCTGGGCTAAGGGGACACAGGACAAGCCATCAGAGCCATACAGCATCAGGCAAGAGCAGGAGGTGGAGAGACTTGTTCTGAGGATAATGGGGTTTCCTAGCAGGAGAAGAAGAAATAGAGGTGAGCAGAGCAACCATAAAGCCCTTGTGCAGTTTCAATGTTCAAAATATCCACTTCTATACAAAACTTAAACAACCTGCAAAAGGCAACAGAGAGAACTGATTCAAGATTTAGCACAGTTGATTGGACTTTCAACGTATCCACCGTCATTCTGGATATACTTGTACATAGCCATCTCAGCATAATGTAGAGCTCACACCTGTAAAATAAAAGAAAGAACAAAATCAAACATTAGCAACTTTATTTAAATATTTTGTAAATTATCTCTCGGTTGCATTTCACAAATTATCTATACGTTACATGGAAGTAAAATTTATTAAAAGTTCAAACCATAGTGACTTTATGCATACTTTATACCTTGGGCTTTGCTGGCAGCAGTGATGCTCCAATCAGCCAGGGAAATCCATGAGTTCCAGCTTTAAGAACCCCTTGGCATATCCCGGTACTCTTGCTTTGGGGAGGAGGATGCCCAGCTGCCAGACTGGGAAACCTAATATCAAAAGGCTCATTTACACTTCCAGCACTACTATATGAGTTTCCCTTTGAAAGCGCATTATTTCACTGAGGAAATAGAACCAGAAAAGAACTTCCATGGCCTACCCCAACCACATCTTCCCATCTTCCTGCAGCTGTGCCAGTGCACTCTGCAGTCCCTCCTCGTATCATGGAAGAATCGTCCCTGCGCTTATCTAAAGCCAAACCTGCCACCTGAACGATGCATCCCAGCCCCTTTAACCTTCCCCTCCTGCATTTATCCCCTCTCCTGCATTATCTGTCTCTCCCCTCTGCTGGATAATTGGTATGCAAGCAGGCCAGAATACTTCTCATTTTTAGGAGCCTCCCCTTGATACCACATCTCCCCCAGCTCCTGTCCATGCAGAGGCACTCAAAAGAGTTCTCTCCAGACAGCTCCCTATGAGCTTGCCCCATGTGTAACCCTTCTATAGCCCGCAACCCAATGTCCCTGGCCTGTCTTTCCCCTTGAGGTGAGCTCATTCTTGAATTTTCTTCTCAACCCTCCCCCAGACACACTCTTGTCAAAGTCACCAGCGTTCTCTGTGTTGCTAAATCCCATGGTCCATAATCAGGCCTCCCCTTACTTGACCCATTAGCAGAATTAGGCAAAGTTTCTTGAAGCAGCTTTTCCATTCAGCTTTGGAGATGCCACTCTCTCGGTTCTCCAACAACTTCACTGGATGCTCCTCTGCAGTCTCCTTCTCTGGTTCCTTCTTGCCTCCCTAACCTCTGTGCATCAAGGGCTTCAGGCTCAGTCTCCAGACTTATCTGCTCCTCTTTCCTTCCAGCTTCCCTCTTCTTCTCCCCTCCCTTCTCTTCTGTCCTTTCTCAGCCAGTCGCAAAGCCATCTCTCTACACTGACAAGGTCTAAACCTTTTCTCCAGCCCAGACTTCTCTGAAGTCCAGATGTGTGTATTCAATTCCCTAACAACTTCCCTTGGATATAGAATCAGCATCTCCTGGCACTCATCGCAAAACCCACTCCCCTACAGTCTGTGCTGTCTCAGTAAATGACAACTTTATTCTTCCAGTTGCTCTGGTCAAAACCTCGGAGTCATCCTAGATGATCCACTTTCCCTGGCACTCCATGTAGGGCAAAACCTACAGTGGTTTCTTTTTTAAAATAGCTCTACAGGCCGGGCGCAGTGGCTCAAGCCTGTAATCTCAGCACTTTGGGAGGCCGAGCCAGGTGGATCACGAGGTCAGGAGATTGAGACCATCCCGGCTAACACGGTGAAACCCTGTCTCTACTAAAAATACAAAAAATCAGCCGGGCATGGTGGCAGGCACCTGTAGTCCCAGCTACTCGGGAGGCTGAGGCAGCAGAATGGCGTGAACCCGGGAGGCGGAGGTTGCAGAGCCAAGATTGCGCCACTGTACTCCAACCTGGGTGACAGAGCGAGACTCCATCTCAAAAAAAAAAAAAAGCTCTAGCCTGTAGAATGCAGTTTCCTCCCCTATTCTCACAACGTGGTTTCAGTCTTAGTCTGCGGCATTATTGAGCATTTTCATCTTTTCCTATGTATTAATTAGCATTTTAATAAAATATTGGAAAGGGCTGCCCAGGGGCTGTTAGCCAGATGCCATTTAAACCTGAAAGTCAAGAAAATGACTTTTATTTACAACATATTTATCATGGTCGTTAATGTAAACTGATCAGAGGCAGCAGAGCCAACACTGCATTAATTCATCAGTACTCCAAGTACAGGCAGATAGATATAGGCTGGAGAAAATAATACGCAATTGATGCCCATGCCAACTCCTTGGAGTACTGATCACACTCCATTTGGCTACTTCGTAAGGGCATCCAGGTATTTTACCTGTGGTGGCATGAACTGCTAAGACAGTACCAAAACCTTATACCAGGAAGCATTTTTTTTTAATGCTCAGTCTAGGGATGGTGTAATTGCAGCAATTAAGAGTTGAGAGTATCTTTGAAATCTCCTGTATATTTACTGGCAAAAAAGAATTGAAAAAACCATGTGTAAATCCTAAATACAGTGTCAGAGCAACCTTGAGAGAAGTAAGGAGCCCAGGTTATCAACCTTTAGCCTGGTCACTTTTGGCCACTCCCAGGCTGAGGGAACACCTGCCCCAGACTACTCTCTTCCTCCAAGTATTACAGGTGCCATCTGTGGAGTCCAGACTCCCCAACTGTACCATCTTCAGTGAGACCAACAGGGCCCTGAGGCCATTTTGCCACGTTCTTGCCTACAAGGTTCTGTCCTGGCCCCTCCTCAGACCCTGTCTCTGAAGCTGATGAGCCTGAACTTGAAGGTTAGACATCCACGCTCTGAGAGTGTTGGTCTTTGGAAATTACTTAACTGCCTCAGGCCTTATTACTCAGAAAAACGGGGTGGCAATGTCTATATTCAGGGTTGAGGAGAAAATGAGAGATTGCAGTGAAAGCATCTAGCACAGTGTATTGCCCACAGCAGAGGATTTGAATAGGCTCACTTCCCTTTTCTTCTGTTTGTTGCCCCAAAGGACACAGCTAGCTTCCCCAAAGTTAAGGGGCCCTCCCCGAGGCCCTACTGCTCCCTCTACCACAGTCGAGTGGACCAGCTCATTTGCATTCTTTCCTGATACACCACAATGTCAGCTTTGCTGTTGGTGATTTTACAGGAAGCTTTCCTTGCCCCATGTGTAACCCTTCTATAGCCTGCAACCCAATGTCCCTGGCCTGTCTTTCACCTTGAGGTGAGCTCATGCTCCTCCAGCCTTTGTCTCCCATCTTTTGTGCATGAAACAGCATGGTGGCCTTAACTCTAGTGTCTAGAAACCTTCCCATGGACTCCTCACTTCTCTTCCCTCTTCAGGAGAAGAATGAGATGAAGATTTGTAGCCTGAGGCCTCATGCACACAGGTATCCCCAGGAATGCCTAAGCAGCATACGCAGATTTAAACCTATCTTGGGGCTGAAGCAGGACCTAAAGTTATATGTACTTTTTCGTCAACACAGTTTTGCACAGAAGCAGAATATGAAGGATGCAGAGTTGAGGAGGCAAGAGGTGTCATTCTGCTCTGTGATGAACCTGAGTGGGCCCTTCAAAATACATGGCTTCTGGCTTTAGTGGCATGTGCTGGGTAAATTCAGCTGCTGCTATTCAGATGGCACAAAATATTACTAAAGTACTAAAGGCTTGTTGGGGTGAAATTAATGCAGCAAGAAAAATAGTGATTAAGTTTTCACTGGTAAAATTTTGACATTTGGCTGAGTAGGAGATAACTTGAAGTTGTAGGAGTAGCTATAGTTAGCAGTGCACTGGTATTTGTGGACTATATTTAAACATGTCTAAAAAAGGATGCACTTCTTTGGTATTTATGACTCATCTTTATAGGATGAATCATTTGCATGAATTAAATTTATCTCTTAAATCTAAAACCACAATTTGCTATTTTTTTCCTAATAAAAGAATAGTTTCTTAGACCATTTGTGCTGCTATAACAGAATACCATAGAGTGGGATATTTAAAAAGAACAAAAATTTGGCAGGGCGCTGTGGCTCATGCCTATAATCCCAACACTTTGGGAGGCTGAGGCAGGCGGATCACAAGGTCAGGAGATCGAGACCATCCTGGCTAACACAGTGAAACCCCGTCTCTACTAAAAATACAAAAAATTAGCCGGGCGTGGTGGTGGGCACCTGTAGTCCCAGCTACTTGGGAGGTTGAGGCAGGAGAATGGCATGAACCCGGGAGGCGAAGCTTGCAGTGAGCCGAGATTGTGCCACTGCACTCCAGCCTGGGCGACAGAGCGAGACTCTGTCTCAAAATAATAATAATACTAATAATAATAAAATAAAAAAATAAATAAAAAGAACAAAAATTTATTTCTCACAGTTCTGGAGGCTGAGAATTCCAAGACAAGGCATGAGCATTTGGTCTGATGAGGGCCTTCTTACCATGTCCTCACATGGCAGATGACAGAAAGACAAGCCACCAAGCTAGCCAAACGCTGCATGAAGCCTCATAAGAGACTTAATCCCATTTACAAAGGAGGAGCCCTCATGGCATAATTACCTCTTAAAGACCCCCGCCTCTTAATACCATCACATTGACAACACCTGGATTTTGGAGTAGACGCATTCAAACCATAGCAAATGGTAAAGAAAACACGCCTCAAGTGCCTGGGTGCCAGGAGACAGTGTCATGGTGCTGCAACCACTTTGGGCTGCCCATGCAGGACTTCCTAGCACAAGAGTCACAAAGCCTCCCACTTGTTCATACCACCTTCTATTGGGTTTTCTGCTCCTTGCAGCTCCCTGCAATAAGCTGGTAACTACCCTTCCCTGAATCCCCTGCTGCCACGCAGGTGTTCACCAGACATCCACCTTCCCACCTATACCACAGCCATCGAGCCACATAGGTGGTCTGGCCCCTCTTCCTGTCTGGCTTGGCCCTCAGGTCCAACTACTGTGCCCACTTTCCCATGCCACGCTGCAGGCCGGAGTCACTCTGCTGCACCCATGCCACACCACATCGTGGGCCTCTCCAAAACGCTGGTTATGGCCATCTGCCTAGACCTCTTCTCTCTCTGGGGTCTGCTCCTTCCCAGGACTCTGCCCAGGGAGCAGAGCACAGGCCTGTTGCCGCTGGATCCTACAGATGATCATGGGTGCTGCAGCAACTGCAGGGCTTTGCCCAAGAGGCAGAGAAGGGCCTCGCTCTCTGTGACACCTGAGTCTATACATTCGTAGCTGCCCTGCCCACCCCCTGCCTCCTCCTGCCCAGGAAATCTGTTTATCGTCTAGAAGGAGAGGAAAGGGGAAAGCCTCCTCTTTAGCATTGCCTAAGAAATTTAGATCTTTAAAAGGTAGAACCAGAAAAAAATAAGTTAAAATTCTTTGTGACTTGTCCTGCTTCACAGGGCATGGTAAAGACTAGGTGTCAGATAGATGTGGATGAATTTGGAAAGAAGCGATAAAAGAGAGGGCCAGTGTGCCACAGGGCATGGCAGAGCCTCTGGAGGTCAAAGAGGAAGGTTTCAGGTGGAAGAATTAGATAATGCAGGTGCTGTGGTTGGAGCCTTAGAGACCAGGCAAGACTGGAAGAATCCCACAGATGCGCTATGCTAACTGGGGGCGGGGGGAGAAAGAAGTAATCACAGAGGCACAGGAAGCAGCAGGCAAAAGTAGCCCCCAAGTCCTCTTCATCCTCCACTTCACACAGTCAACCCTCAGAGTCACCCCCTCCCTGTTGTCCTTCAACCAGACCCTCTGTCAATAGCCTCTCCCTGCCCTCACTCTGCACGCTACTATCGCCACTAGCTCCACTGCCAGCACCAAGGCCGGTCTCCCCAGCACTGCCTGGTGACCGCCTGCACACCTGAGTCTCCTGCCCCAGCTTCTCACCATGCATCCTCCCAGCCACTCCTCCCCAGGCCTTCCAGGTCCAAGGCCACAGCATGAGAGGAAATGGGATCACCTTTGCTGGAGCTCCTTTCTGTCTTGTCACCTCCTTAAAAGACTGTCAGCACTGGCTGGAGGCCTTCACCCCTCCATCGCCATTGTGGCCCATCAGTCCTCCTGTGCTGGGGGCTGGCCAGCAGTCCATGGGGCTGGCTGGAAGAGCCCGTAGGTCTGTGTGTGCGCACACACACACACATACATGCACACGCACATGCACACACCTTCCTAGGACCAAGAGAAGGGCCAAGTTTCATGGAGGGTATGGCAGTTGGGCTTAACGATGTGGAAGTATTAAGAATAAGAAGGAAGCCCCATGAGAACTCAGTAAGCTATTGGGAGAAGCCACAAGTCACTGGGTGGGTGAGACCAAGCTAAGAAGGTTGGTGACTGCTTGAAAGAGCAGTGATCCTGGGGACTTGGAAAGGTCCTGCTGACATGTGGGCAAAGCCCCCAAGTCTCAGAGAGAACCTTCCCCAAACAACCCTCACACAGCCAGACAAGTCAAATGCCCTCCTGGCCCATGGCCACCCTCAGGACCATTCATGAGGGGAGCCTGACATCTGCAGAGATGCCCCCTCTCTCCAGTCTCCTTATCTCTCCTCGTCAAAGAGCATCACTGTCCCCACCTCCATTCATGACTTTGTGTCCTAACTCCTATGATTTCCCTCTCTTCCAGGTTTTTCCTCCTCTGCTTATAGCAGAGGAGCAGAAGAGCAGGGCTGTTATACATGGAGGCAGACCCAGGCTTCAATCTCGGTCCAGCACTTCCCAGCTGTGCAGAGTGTTTCATCTGAGCCCTCCTAAATCCAGGCAGCTGTCCCCTGGTTAGCAGAATGTAGTCTTCTTGGGGGTAACTGGCATGTAGCTAAGGAAGCCACTTCTGTGCAAAGGTATCTGGGACCAGTGATGTGAAAAGTGTGGAGAAAAAGAAGCAGGAGGTATCTGGCCCCAAACCTGCCCCAGAACCTCTGAGAACTCCCTGGAACTGCGTGAAAGCCAGCAAGGCTATGGTGGTTTTGGAGTCTCAGGAAGTCTGCAGTCACTGGAGTGTACCATAGACAGTCCTGCTGGGAGCCAGGAAGAGATGTGATAGCAGGCAGGAGACGCCCGATGCCTGGCAGATGTGTAGGATGCCATTGGAGGGCATGGACTTGGCCCTGAACACCTGTGAGCTGCCCTCTCACTCCAGAAAGGTATAGAGAGATGCTGTCCTTACTCAGGGGAGACTGGAGACTCAAGATGACGGAGGCTTGGTGTTCATTGGGCCCCGTTAGTATCCTGGGGCATTTGAGCCACAATAGCCAAGGGACAGTGCATTTATTTCTGAACTTGTCTCAGCTTCTCCATGTGAAAAATGGTAATAAGAGTAGCATGAGACTTAAGCAGGTGGTTTCAACTCCTAGCTCCACCATATATGTACTGACTACAAAACTTGAGGCAATTCATTTAATGTCTCTGTGCCCTGATTTTCCCATCTGTAAAATAAACATAGCAATGGTGCCCAGTGTTGGGGTTTCTGCTGTTTTGGCTCCTCCAAGAAGCAGGTGCTAAGATGGGAAGGAATTGGACGTATGAGAGATGTGTTAGGGAGAACACCTGTGAGGGAAAAAGGGAGGCTGTGAGAGGCTGAGAAGCCTCCAGACCACAACACAGGTCTGTTCCCTGTGTGGAAGAGATGGAAGGAAAGTTTTGGCAAGGCCACTGGGATGTCATGGAGCTCAGGTGATGTCTCCCAGGATTGGAACTGCCATGCTGAGTCCCTCGATGGGAAGCAACTTCAGGGCACAACGGTCAAGTTCTTCTGACAGTCGGAGCTCTGAGGAGCTCTGAGGGCACCTTCTCACATCTGCCATTGGGCTGTCACAGAATTTAAGGATTTGCCTAATTCTGATAGAAGTGTTGAGAATAGAGCTAGTCTTATTTATTTTGAGCCCCCATCATATTCCTCCCAACATCCAGCCTGCTGGAACAAACTGTCTGCTCCCCATGCTCCCACTCTCCCCTGCTCCTCCCTCCTTCAATAAGCCTCCTGTTTTTATTATTTTCCCCCTCGTTTTCTTCCTATTTTCTTTCTTTTTAGGTCTCCTCTCAGATCTGCCCTCCAGCCACAGTCCCCTTCCAGGAAGGGGAAAGGCCACAGAGGGGTAGGCGGAGGGGAGAAATGGCATTGGGCAGGGGGGGTGGGTGATGGGTGGGGTGGGGCACCGTGTGCAGCCCTAAATGTGAGTGAGGGAAGGCCCGAGGCTGATGCCTCCATATGCCTCTGCTTCCCCACACTGAACCTTCAGGAAGTGTGGGCCAAGCAGGAGTCTCCCTCAGAACCACAGCCATCCCCCCTACTTAGAGGACCTGTGCCTGAGCTTCCACCCTGGCTTACTTCCCACAGGAGGCTAGGAAGCCCTTGCTAATCAGCATCCAGCCTTCACCTGTCAGCTCCTAAAGAGAGAAGAGAGCAGAGAAGAGAGCTGAGAAGAGAGCAGCTCTAGGAGCTTCCAACATTTGTTCCTCCTGCCCGGCACAACAAAGATCTATTTTAATTCCCTCTGCTGGCTAGTCACTAGCATAGTGGAATGACATTAATCTCCCTTGTCAGGGGGAAGCTGAGGAAGCCAATACTTCTCCTTTGAGGTTTGAGTTGCAAAACTCTTCCTCAATCTCCAGCATTATAAATCCTGTTTTTACTTTCACAGCTATGTGCAAAATCCAAATAGCACCTTTCTAAAAATGAATAGAAGAAGCCATGTCTTATTCTGAAATTAAGTTTCCGAGGCTCTAAGAGGAGAGGACTAAGAGGGGCTATTCCAGCAGGGACACTGCTACCCTTGATGGGACACGAGAGGAGCTGTGCACCCTGAAGGATGACCTGACCCCCTCCCTTCTATTTCTAATTCAAGGAACATGGCCCAGGATGAGACAGTCTAGGAAATTATGCACACCCAAAAGGGTGGCATCGTCTGGGGAAATGTCAGCATCCCAGCACAAACTGACTCAAAGAAAGGAACTACCATCTGTGTGTGTCTGCTGAATACAGGCATTGTGCTAAAGTAATCTTAGCAATGTTGTCTGCAGCCCTTTATGGCTTTTGGTGATAGGTACCCAGCCACAGGGCAGTCCTGAAAGTCTGAGAAATTAGTCACAGCATCATTCGGGTCACACCATTGTGGTGGCTGTTACCTGCAAGAGGCTAACAAAGAGGTTTTAGGGTATGACTTCAGGTTGACCAAGTCAAGTGCATGATCTTTCCTGAGTTCATTCCTGGAGAGTGTCTATGTGACGGGTTCCTGCCTCAGCCCTCCTGGCAGAGAGCCTGTTTGGCTGAGCTGTCATGGTATCCACTCTGGGTGCTCTCTTCCTGCTCTCAGTGGAGGAGGGTGGCAGTTCATCACTGAGGTGTGAGTGAGCCTCAGATGTTTACGAGGAGGAGTTTCAGGCGCATATAACTCAAAGAAAACGGCTGGTCTTTCGGAACTTGCTAGCAGACCTACCTGCCACCCAGAACTAAATTCAATGAAACTTTATTTCATCCCTTATAAAGCATCTCTCATTTTGTGGACTGGGATTGATTCCTTCAAAAGTTGCCCTTACAGATACCACATCTGCAATGGTCCAATCATAAGGGTAACCACTCTTGGTAAACTATGTACATGCTTTGCTTGAGGGCATTAAAGATCAATATGTCCATGGACTGGCCTCTTCTCAAAACCCAACCACCAGCCAGTTGCCTTTACCATAACTCTTATCCTTAAAAGCCACATCTGATGGCATGGCCATGATGGCTAAGTTGGGTGCCTGATGAATCCAGACAGAAATTTAATAGTAGGCCCAAGTTACAAGATTCCAGTTCTGGAAAGTCAGCCCACGTCCATCTGAAAGAGCCTATGGTGCAGTGGTGACAGGTGGGAGCTCCCAAGGACACTGCCTGGTTTAAATCCCAGTCATTCCACCCACCAGCTGTGAGACATTGGGCAAGCTCTTCACACTTTTTGGTCTCAGTTTCTTCCTCTGTAGAATGAGAGTGATAATAACGGCTAACTTCACAGTGTAAGAATTAAATGAATTAGTATTTGAGAACTTCTTAGACCTGGACCTGGCACATGGCACAAATTCCACGCACACTGTTTGTGGTAGTGGTGAGGGTGATCATTGTTACGTATGTCCTAGCAGTAGAAAGTGGCCCAGGCTGGGATTTGAACATAGTACCACATTACTACCCAGCCACACTCTTTCCATGAAGCTGTTTTTTGTTTTTTGTTTTTGTCTTTCTTTTCTTTCTTTTTTTTTTTTTTGAGAGGGAGTCTCACTCTGTGGCCCAGGCTGGAGTGCAGTGGCGCGATCTCGGCTCACTGCAAGCTCCGCCTCCAGGGTTCACGCCATTCTCCTGCCTCAGCCTCCCGAGTAGCTGGGACTACAGGTGCCCACCACCACGCCCGGCTAATTTTTTTGTATTTTTAGTAGAGACAGGGTTTCACCGTATTAGCCAGGATGGTCTGGGTCTCCTGACCTCGTGATCCGCCCGTCTTGGCCTCCAAAAGTGCTAGGATTACAGGCGTGAGCCACTGCGCCCGGCCCACGAAGCTGTTTTTAATTTGGAAATGTCCGTTCCTTGAGATTCAAAACTAAAAATTAGGAACTGAAAGGTAGAGAATTCATCTTCACTGGGTATTACTGAGTGTTTTTACATCATGGCAGCCTTCCCTTTCAGCCTGCTTGGTGTTGCCGACGCCTCACATAGGCTGAAAGCACCCAGCTCTCTCCCTCTCGAACAAGAACTATTGTTCTATCTATGGGAATAGAAAGATCGACTTTCACATTTGGAAAAAATTAAACAAACCACTTTAAAGAGGCTGAAAACTGACTGCTGGAATATTTAACTAGATTAAGAATTAAAATTAAGAAAGTTTCTTTTACCGTTTTCCCCAACTTTTTATTTTAAAAATGGTAAAGCTAAGAAGTTAAATGAGCACTACAACAAACACCATATAACCTTTATCTGGATTCTGCAACTTTACCATTCTGCCACCTGTGTTTGATCTCTCTGTGTGAGAGGAGAAAGAAAGAGTAAGAAAAAGAGACAGAAAGAGATTTTTCTTTGACTAAACTATCAGAGAGTAAGTGACAGATATATTACTCCTAATTACATTAGCATATGTGTCCTAAGGATAATGACTCCTGCCACATAACCACAATATTATTATCACACCCAAGAAATGTAACATTGATTCAGTAATATCACTTAATGTACAATCCAATGATACCCAAATTTTCCCCTATAGCTTTTTAAAAAATCTAGGATCCAATCAAGATTCAACATTGCATTGACAATTGATCGTCATGTCTCTTTAGTCATCTTTAAGGCAGAAGTGAGGCAAACTTTGTCTATGAAGAGTTAGGTAGGTCTGTGTCTTTTTTCTCTTTAAGACATTTATATTTTTGATAAATCCAGGCCACACTATCTTGTAGAATATCCCATATATGTATTAGGTTTGTCTGATTGTTTTCTCAGTATTAGATCAGGTTAAAATATTAGGCAAAAATGCAACATGGAGCATATATCAGGAGGTATATGAAGTTAATTTGTCACATTATTGGTAAGGTTAAGTTTCATCTCTTGGTTAAGATGGTATCTGTCAGATCTCTCCACTGTAAAGGCACTTTTCCCCTTTGTAATTAAAAAGTAACTAAAGTAATTGAACAGTGAGGAGATTGTACAGCATACTAACTATACTTGATAATAATGTATTATATACTTGAAAATTGCTAAAAGAGTAGATCTTAAATGTTCTCACAGCCAGATAATAAGTATGTGAAATGATGAATATGTTAATTCACTTGCCTTAACTATTTCACAATGTATATGTACATACCAAAACATCACATTGCAAACCATAAATATATACAATTATTTGTCAACTATACCTTATTAAAATAAATAATAAATAAATAAAATTGAGGACAAATTTTGAGACCATATGAATACTTTGTTCCCATGAAACCTTTCACCTAATGATCTTAGCATCATTGGTGGTCCTTGCTTGGATCCATTATTAGATTGGAATTGGAAAAATTGTGTTTTTCTAATTATATCATTCCTTCTATATTTATTATTTATTATCTGGCTTTGTAGTGGATGCTGTGATTGCTTTCCCGATTCTCCTTCAGACCAGGGCACTCACTCCCCAGCTGCTCAGAGTGTCATCTGCTGAGGGCTCTCAGCCAAGGCTGTCCCCAGGAATTATCCTCCATAGGAAGGAACTGCCTTCTCCAATGATGCCCAGGCATCATTCTAGACAATATGGGGGAGTGGATGGGAAATAAAAAGACCTGAGTCCCTCACCCCAACTTGGAACAACTTTAATGGGCCATCCCAACTGATAATGGCTGGAGGCCATTATCCTTAGCAAACCAACGCAGAAACAGAAAAACCAAATACTGCATGTTCTTGCTTATAAGTGGGAGCTAAACATTGAGCACAGATGGACACAAAAAGGGGAACAACAGACACTGGGGCTTACTTGAGGGCCGAGGGTGGGAGGAGGGTGAAGATCGAAAAACGTACTATGCTCACTACCTGGGTGATGAAATCATTTGTACACCAAACCCCAGTGACATACAATTTACCCATGTAACAAATGCAGCACATGTATCCTCTGAACCTAAAAGAAAGTTGGAAGCAAAAAAGAACACTAACATCTGGAATAAGCATCCTACTTGTTACTGGATGTCATTATTTCTAATCTCTTTCTATGGATAGAGTTAGGATACACACACGCTTATCTTTTTTTTTAAATTATGAGTCCATATTGATACTGATTTTAATCCAACAATACAATGGAAATACCCCATTCTGTGTTTGTAGCTCACTTCTCTCATGGTAAAAACAATTTAAAATGCTGAATAAAATACCGAACTCTTGGCTGGGCATGGTGGCTCACGCCTGTAATCCCAGGATTTTGGGAGGCTGAGATGGGTGGATCACTTGAGGTCAGGAATTCGAGACCAGCCTGGCCAACATGGTGAAACCCCATCTCTATCAAAAATATAAAAAATTAGCCAGGTGTGGGGGCGTGCAACTGTAATCCCAGCTACTCAGGAGGCTGAGGCAGGAGAATCGCTTGAACCCAGGAAGCGGAGGTTGCAGTGAGCTGAGATCACGCCACTGCACTCCATCCTGGGCAACAGAGTGAGACTCTGTCTCAAATAAGTAAATAAGTAAATAAATATATAAAAATATAAAACCCAACTTCTTGAAAGCACATTTAATATGGGAAAAGAGGAATGTTCCAGCAGGAACTAATTTAACGTGTGTAAGTAGAGCTCTGAAGCCAGCTTTAACATTAACAGCATTTATAAAACTTTGTGAAATTGAGTATGACTTTTTCTACTTCAAGGAGCTAAAGAGACAGAAAAAGCTCATGGCTTACTCAAGGCAGAGAGTCAAAGAGGATAATGCTCCAAAGCTGGAACCCCAAAGGACTGCATCCATAGTGTAACAATGCACTAACAATGAACTGCCTCCATAGCGTAACAATGAACTAAACAACGAACTCACCCTTCTCCCACCCGCCACCCTCAAGTAGGCCCCACTGTCTGTTGTTCCCTTCTTTGTGTCCATGTGTGCTCAATGTTTAGCTCCTAGTTATAAGTGAGAACATGTGGTATTTGGTTTTCTGTTCCTGCGTTAGTTTGCTACGGATAACAATGAACTGCCTACATCCCAACCCAGGGAAGTGAAGGTCTTGATCCTTTGTCCTGAACAGAAGCAGGAAATATCTCCCCTGGCAATTGTAACCATGAGCCATTCCCTCACATGAATTTGAAGCCTCAATTCACTCTTTCCCAGTGGTCAGAAAAGCTCACCTAATAACTTAAGGTGGTCCTGGAACAGATAGTAACCCTAGTACCAGAAAAAGGTAAATCCAAATCTCTGGAGGAAACTCCCCTATCCCAATTCTGAAAGAATATCCACAAATGTCCAAGGTATTGAAAGTTAAAAATAAATAAATAAAACATACAAGGAGAAAAGGCACCATAAGTAAAGGCTAGCAGGGAAAAAAACTGACAGAATTAGTCCTAAATAAATTCAGATATTGGAAATAAAAGAAATAGAAGATAATACAATATTTAATATGTTCCAATAAGTAACAGAGAAGCTTGAAAATATTAGTTAAAGGGAAACAGCTTCAGGAAAAAACAAATGTAACTCCTAGAAATAAAAATTGTGATAGAACTAAAAACTCAAAAGACAGACTTAGCAGTAGAATAAATGCAGCTAAATAGAGAATTAGAAAATGGGGAAGACAGAATTTAAGACAGGCCAAAAGGCACAAACACCCAGGGTTAGAGCCAGGATCAATGGGGGAGGTTACTGGGAATCAAATCTCCAGTTGACATTAGGGAGAACTTGCCTTCTTCTGCACTGTGTTTGTTATATAAATAATAAAGGCTTGTTGAAGAAAATTTGGAACTTTATGGAAAGCTATTTGAAAATTAGCTTTATTTCACTTCCCAGAGATAAATATTCTACATAGGTTTCTCAATGATTATACTTCCTCTGTTATTTCACTTATTTATTCAACATATATTTACTGGACACACTGTGTGTGTGATGGAGTAGGGGAAGACACCAGAGAAACAGCATTGAACAAAATAAACTCATTTCTGTCATAACAGAGCTGACAAGGTAGGGGGCAGAGAGAGAGGACACATGAGAATACAGAGACCCTTCACCTAGCCTTAGAGTAGAGAGAGGTCAGGATAGTCTTTCCAGGGGAAGACACACTTAACCCAGGAATTAAGAATTAAGGAGAAACTAGCGTAGGTGAAGATGTAGCAGAAGAGGGTTCCCAGCAAAAGAAACAGTATGTATAAAGTTCTGGAAGAAAGAGAAAAGAAAGAAGAAAAGAACATTAGTGTGCCTGGATGATAGGAGGTGGGAAAGGTCAGGACAAAAGGGATGAGCCTAGACAGACTCGAAAGAAAAGTCTTGGATCTTAACAGCCAGTTCTTGGAGGACTTTGTAAGTCATAGTGAAGTATTTGGACTTCATCGTGCATGTAGAGTGGGACCATTAAAAGAGATTAAGCATGTTTTCACTTATAAATGAGAACTAAATGATGAGAACACATGGACACATAGAGGGTAACAATACATGCTGGGGCCTGTCAGAGGATGGAGGGTGGGAGGAGGGAGAGGATCAGGAAAAATAACTAATGGGTACTAGGCTTAATACTTGGGTGATGAAATAACCTGTACAGCAAACCCGCATGACACAAGTTTACCTATGTAACAAACCTGCACATGTACCCCTGAACTTAAAAGTTAAATTTAAAAAGATATTAAGCAAGAATTATGCAAGATTTAGAAAAATTTCTGGCTGCAATGCTGAAAGATGGGGAACATGCAAGGAGAGGCATTTTTGGAAACAACAGTGATATCATGGACTCTGCGACTATTTCCCCAGCAATGATTCTTCCCCCATCTCATCTTACAGTAGCCATGAAGTTTGGCAGGTTTGACCCCTCCCAGCTCCTAGGGTAGATTCTGACGGACTTAGAATAATTTCTCTTTACAAAGAGAGTAGTTAAAGAACGAGGTCTAAGCCAATCAGCCTATGGCATTTTTCTGTCTATGTGTGGCTTCAAGGATAACCCAATCAGTGTTTTGATTGGAATTTTGGGACACACATTCTGGACAGTGTGGTGTTGAGTCCATGAAATCTGAAGTTGCTGCAGCCTTTTCATCTCCATGAGAGCAGTCAGCCTCAGGAGGAGGTTGAATGTGGGGAGAAAGGAAGAAAGAGGAAATTTCAGAGAAATTGAACTAGAATTCTGATCAAACTATATCTGAGGCCAATATACCTCTGGTTTTTATGATTAGAGCTGGTATGAGTCAGATTTTCTGTTACTTACTTCTGAGAGAATTCTACCTGATATAAATAAGGGGGTCTACTTTGCAAGCTGATTTTGAAGTACCTGTGGGATATATAAGTGGTGCTGCCAATTGTTCATTTTTCTCTTTCTTTAAACTTTTATTTTAAGTTATGGGGTACATTGCAGGCTTGTCACATAGGTAAATGTGTGCCATGGGGATTTGTTGTACAAATTTTTTTATCACCTAGGTATTAAGCCTAGTATCCATTAGTTATTTTTCCTGTTCCTTTTCCTCCTCCCACCCTCCATCCTCCAATAGGCCTCAGTGTGTATTGTTCCCCTCTATGTATCCATGTGTTCTCATCATTTAGCTCCCACTTATAAGTGAGAACACATGGTATTTGGTTTTTTGTTCCTGTGTTAGTTTGCTGAGGATAATGGCCTCCAGCTCCATCCATGTCCCTGCACAGGGCACGATCTCATTCATTTTTATGGTTGCATAGTATTCCATGTTGTCTAGATACCACATTTTCTTTATCCAGTCTATCATTGGTGGGCATTTAGGTAGACTTCATGACTTTGCTATTGTGAATAGTGCTGCAATGAACATACGCATGCATGAACATTTTTCTAAGTCATAGAGTCAATATTTTTTAAACCAAGGTGTGTGCCATTTTTATATAAAGACTATTATAAAACTACTGGTGACAAATATTTTTGTCCAGTTTTCTGTTTTCTCTTTCGTGTTATTTATGATGGATGTTGATATTCAAATGCTCTTAATTTTCAGTTAGACAAATCTGCTAATTGCTTCCTTTATGAATTCTTTTATGTTAAAATCAGGGACTTTGATATGCTCTAAGCTGTCCAGAGCTTGAGTGGACCCCAGTGGGAAGCTTATCATATTTCACACTTCTGACCACAGAGATTGGTCATGGGTAAGCACATGTACTGAGATGGCCCAAAGAGAGTCAATTTCAATTTCAGGACATTTGTGGGAGCTGTTGGGAAGCAGTCTCTCTCTCTCTCTCTCTCTCGCCCTCTCTCCTGGAGTTCCTCAACTGGTGAGATAAAAATATAATCTCATAAATATCTTGCTACCATTAGAGACAAAAGCAGAACCAAAAGATGGTGAAAGATGGTGAAAGCAATCCCAGTGACCTAGCTCAAGGACCTGGATCCCAACACACCCAGGCTTTGGCCTGTTCATTATGTAAGCCAGTAAAGTCCCTTTTTTACTTACTTCAATTTGATGAAGGATGCTTTTTTGTTTGTTGCAAGTTTTTATCACTTGCAACCTAAAGTATTGGGCAATGAAGAACATGGAACAGAATCTCACCCTGAGATAGTTATTTTAGAGACTAGGACTTCCCTAAACATCTCTTACTGGAAGTAACTTTGTCTAAATTGCACACACCTCCACCCACTAGAGAGGCTTTGCCTGCCTGACACATTCTCATACCTAATTCAGCTTGGCTCCCTGAAGGTCTCTGGTGACTGTCACTTGAAGAGGGATCAAGAAAAATAGCCAGACAGAGAACAGAAGGACCCGAAAGAGTTGAAGAAGCCCACTCTTCCTATTCACACCTTGGTCTTATTTCATCTTCTGACTCAATGTGCTGACTCTCCATCCAGATACACCTGCCTTTAGGTATCTGTTTTTCCCACTTTAGAAAAATCTCTTAATATCTCTCTCTGTCCCTTTAGCATTCTCAAAAGCAAATGCACAGCAGAGCCAACAACACCTACTTCTGAAGGAATGTTGTGAGCATTAAATGAGGTAAATTATGTTATGCAAAAACATGCTTTAGCTTAGAACCTGCATTAGTCAGAGTTCTCCAAAGAACCAATAGGACATATACCTACTGGTGGTGGTGGTGGTGGTGGTGGTGGTCGTAGTGGTGTTGTGTCTGTGTGTAAGAGAGAGACAGAGAGACTTTAAGGAGTTGGCTCATGAGATTATGGGAAATGGCAAGTTCAAAATCTGCAGAGAGGCTGGCAGGCTGAAGATCCAAGGAAGAGTTGATGTTGTAGTCTTGAATTATAAGACGGCAGCAGCAACACATCTCTGGGACACTGCCTTTGGGAGTCTCAGCACCTGTGTCTCTGAATCTCTTAACATCTGAAAATAGGAATGTTAAAAGTGAAATCTCCTGATATTAACTGGCAACCAATTCAAAGTGTTATTTAAAATACTCTGAGGGCTAGTCTAATATCCAGCATCTATAAGTAAAAAACAAATTTACAAGAAGAAAACAAACAACCCCGTTAAAAAGTGGGCAAAGGACATGAACAGACACTTTTCTTTTTCTTTTTTTTTTCTGAGACGGAGTCTCGGTCTGTCACCCAGGCTGGAGTGCAGTGGCGTGATCTCAGCTCACTGCAAGCTCTGCCTCCTGGGTTCACGCCATTCTCCTGCCTCAGCCTCCCAAGTAGCTGGGACTACAGGCGCCCGCCACTGTGCCCGGCTAATTTTTTTATATTTTTAGTAGAGACGGGGTTTCACCGTGTTAGCCATGATGGTCTCGATCTCCTGACCTTCTAATCTGCCCGCCTCAGCCTCCCAAAGTGCTGGGATTACAGGCGTGAGCCACCGCGCCCTGCCCTATGAACAGACACTTTTCAAAAGAAGATATACATGTGGCCCACAAACATATGAAAAAAACCTCAATATCACTGATCATTAGAGAAATGCAAATCAAAACCACAATGAGATACCATCTCACACCAGTCAGAATGGTGATTATTTAAAAATCAAAAAATAATGGATGCTGGCGAGGTTGTACAGAAAAAGGAAGGCTTATACATTGTTGGTGAGAATGTAAGTTAGTTCAACCATTGTGGAAAACAATGTGGCAATTCCTCAGAGCTAAAAATAGAAATACCATTTGACCCAGCAATCCCATTACTGGGTATATACACAAAGGAATATAAATCATTCTACCATGAAGACACATGCATGCGTATGTTCATTGTAGCACTATTCACAATAGCAAAGGAATCAACCTAAATGTCCATCGAAGGTAGACTGGATAAAGAAAATGTGGTGCATATATGCCATCAAATACTATGAACTATAAAGAGAGCATGTCCTTTGCAGGAACATGGGTGGAGCTGGAGACCATTAGCCCTAGCAAACCAATGCAGGAACAGAAAACCAAATACCACACGTACTCACTTATAAGTGGGAGCGAAATGATGAGAACACATGGATACATAGAGGGGAACAACACACACTGGGGCCACCTGAGGGTGAAGGGTGGGAGGAAGGAGAGGATCAGGAAAAATAACTAATGGATACTAGGCTTAATGCCCGGGTGATGAAATAATCCGTACAACAAACCCCCATGACACATGTACCCGTGACTTATACGACAAACCTGCACATGTACCTCTGAACTTAAAATAAAAGTTAAATAAAAATGAATAAGTAAAGAAATAAAATACTATGAGGGCTAAAGAAAACCCACACATTTTCACATAATCCTGCCCAATGTTTGAGAGAAAATAAAACCCGCTCTCCCATGATTAACTTGACACATAGATGATCAATCCAGCCAAAAATCAGGGAAGCAAGAATTGCTACATTTGCCTATTCCTTGAGTACAAGATATGAGGATGATCTTCTCTGGAAAACTCAGAGGCAGAAAACATAGGGACCTGCTCACTGTCCCCATCAGAAATACATTAAGATCTCCTGCTCCTCTACCCCCAACCACTCTGGGAACCCATCGCACCCCACCTGCCCTCATCCCTTGACTCATAAAATCTCCTAGCAGCTGGGCAGTTACGAGAGAGCTGAGAACTGGAGGACATACCTGAAACTCCCTTAAAGTACCCACAGGACTCCAGCTATCTCTGCTCTCCATTTAAGACTTCAGCAGCTTATGTGAGCACTTGCTTTGTTGAGAAATCTATTCCTAGAAAACCAAGGAAAATAAATAAACCCTCAAAGTAATATCAGAATCCCACACACTGGGGCCTATAGGAGGGAGAAAGGTGGGAAGAGGGAGAGAATCAAGAAAAATAACTAATGGGTACTAGGCTTAATACCTGGGTGATGAAATAATCTGTATAACAACCCCCCGTGACACACATCCTTTTCCAGAATAAGGCCCAGAGAGGTTAAGGGACTCGCCCAAAGTCACACACAAGGTCTTCCTATACCCTTCCCCAAACCCTAAAGATAGTGATAGAATGTTCCAGAAATATTCCCTCACCTCTCCCCTTTCTAATGGGATCTATGAGCTGACACCTAATGATATGATTTAACAAGCAAAATATAGGTTAATATTTTGAATTATTAATGTATGCTTCTTTCTTCCTGTATTTTCTCCTTCTTCTCTCCCCATATGAGCAGGTAACATGGACAGGACAGAAAAGAAATATCCTAGAAGGCTGGCTGCTATAATAATATTCACAAATACTATTATTATAATTAGACTATAGTTTAAATCTGTAGGAGAAAGGACTTGCAACATCTTGACAAAGGCAGGCAAAGGAAATGCTTTCGTTGCCTCTAAGGAGACTTCCCAGGGTTGGACCTGATCTGACACATCTGTGTGTGTTTCTGTCTCCCCATCTGACTCTGAGCTCCATGAGACCACAGACTTGGTCTTTTTTATCCACTGCTCTGTCCCCAGCATCCAGAATAGTGCCTGATGCAAAGCTGATACTCAATAAATATTTGTTGAATGAATTAATATATGAGGGGCAGGCAAGAGAGAGGAAGAAGGAGATTGAGAAAGGAGAGACTTCAGAGCCTTGGAGAAGGAGCCAAGAAGCTGTCCTCCAGAATGAGCTGGTGGGTGAGTCTGACAAATGGCCACAGGAATGTTATTGGTGCTCAGTCACCTTCTGTGATTTTCAGGGTTCCACTGGGGAAGATCCTACTATCACCCACACCAGGGACTGCCAGCTGTTCCCTCCACCAGCCTTCACAAGGACTTCATTAGTGTCTGCCCCTTACAGATCACCCAACAACATTGACGCCCTCAGGGATCCACTCAATCCTGGTCTAAATTCACCACATGGACATTCCACACCACAGCACTTCAGGACAACCCTAAACCCAAGAACAGAGGAGTGGGGCCCTGGAAAATGTCTTATCAGGCTCCTTAGAAGCAGAAGCTGAGACAGGGTTCAGGTGCAGGTGATTTGGGATCAGGGATGCTCTCAGGAGAAACTCCGGAGGGAGGGAGGGAAGCAGGATGGGGCAGGGGAAGAAGTTAAGCAAGGATCTGGGGCCAGCTGATGTCAAGGCTCAGCTGGATGCCTCAGAGAGCTCTGGGCTATAGACAGCACCCAGTCTGTCTTTCTCTAGGCCAGAGGGCTAGAATGTCATCGGTTATGGGCAGAGGAGGCATACCTCCCAGGCACCAGTGGGGCAGTGCTCTATCCTCCAGAAAGCAAGCCTCCAGAGAAGGTCCCTGGTATGAGCCTTTGGCAGCAGCTCTAGCTGCTAAAATGGAGGTCAGGAATCTGGGCAGGGTAGCCCCTGCTGCAGGAAGGAACCCTCCTTCAGGTACTCAGAGATGAGCACTGGAGCGGCTTTTGAGACCACCTGTATTGGTTTCCTACAGCTGTCATGACACAGTACCACAAACTGTAGGCTTAACACAACAGAACTTTATTCTCTCACAGTCCTGGAGGCGGGAAGTCTGAAATCAAGATATCTGCAGGATTGGTTCCTTCTTGGAGCTCTGAGGGAGAGACGATCTGTTCCGCACCTCTCTCCTAGCGTCTGGTGGATGTTGGCAACCCTTGCCTTTTCTTTGCTGGCAGACACGTCACTCCAGTCTCTGCCTCTGTTGTCACATGGTGTCCTCCCTGTGTGCCTGTGTTTCTGTGTCTTCACATGCGTCTTTATAAGGACACCAGTCATCAGATGTAGGGCCATGCTAATCCAGTGTGACCTCATTTAACTTAATTGTATCTGGAAAGACTCTATGTCTAAAGTCACATTCACAGGTACCAGGGGCTAGGACTTGAATATATTTTTGGGGGGAGTACAATTTAACCCTCAACACTCCTGAGCTGGGAGAGCCCCGAACAGAGCCAGTGGGTAATGATGTGAAGTATGGCGGAGGCGGCTTATGGCCTCACACTTCTGGGTGTCGCTCGGCAGGATCTCTCTGGGCTTCCCAACATTTCCACCAGATTCTCCAAGGCAGAAACCACCAAATTGGTGCCTGCAGAAGGAAGGTGTTCTGTTTACTGCAGGACTTAATCTCAGGCTGTGCCCAGCAACCTCAGAGAGTCATGGTGGAGCCATAAAAAGTTCTTTTTCTGAATGAAGGAGGCAAAAATTTAAAAAGTGACACACTGAGTGCCAACTATCTCCTCAAATGTTCACACATAGAATCTATGGCCAGACAACCAAGAAACTGGTTTCAGAGGGTGCCCCTGGCAAGAGCACAGGGTGGCTGGGGACAGGGATGGGAGGAGGATTAATTTTCAGCCTGGATTATTTTTGTAGTCTTGGAATTTTTTATTATGAATATGTATTTTCTTTTCAATAAAGAAACAAATTGAGAAAACCATCTATTTATTTAAAATGGGGTTTTAAAAATTTCCTATAACAGTAAGACTCTAAGTGTTAAAGTTTCTTCTAGATTGAATATTATTACAATTATTTATTGGTGAATGTTGAATCAAAATAACATATTTTGATAAATAGTAAACATAAAAAATAAAATTCCAATGAATATGCATCTCATTGAGATGAAACTTGTGGTTTTTCCTAATTAGTTCATGTTTCCATAGGTGAATATAACTTATTAACAGAATAAGACAGAATTTGGCATCAATTCTAATTCTGTCTTTTTAACTATAATAATAAATAGATGGTAATGGAAGGACTTTCTTTTTTCTTTCTTTCTTTTTTTTTTTTTTTTTAGTGACAGGGTCTCACTCTGTTACCCAGACTGGAGTGCAAATGGCACCATCACAACTCACTGCAGCCTCAACCTCCCAGGCTCAAGCAATTCTCCCGCTTCAGCTTCCCGAGTAGCTGGGACTATAGGTGTGTGCCACTACACTCAGTTGATTTTTTAAAATTTCATTTTTTTTAAAGAGACACAGTCTCCCTATGTTGCCCAGGCTGGTCTCAAACTCTTAGGCGCAGGAAATTCTCCTGCCTTGGCCTGCCAAAGTACTGGGATTATAGGTGTGAGCAACTGTGCCCAGCTGGGTTATCTTTTAATAGCAATGACACTCAATTTTTTGAACCCTTTCCAAGTGAAACGCTAAAAATCGTATGGAAAATTTGCCATCATCAAAGTGTATTTTAATTAATTATGTGTCAACTGTAACTCTTTTAACTCCTTCATGTTTGCTGAAAACACACACATACAAAAACACACATTTGTTGAAAACACACAAAAGTTGATTCCCCTCTAAAGACGGGGAACAATTATATAAAATCTCTTTATACTCTTTCCTTTTTAAAAATGTGTTTTCTTTTTTAAAAAAATTATTAATAGAGATGAGGTCTCACTATGTTGCCCAGGCTGGTCTTGAACTCCTGGGCTCAAGCAATCTGCCCCCTCAGCCTCCCAAAGTGCTGGGATTACAGGCATTAGCCACCGCTCCTGGCCTTATACTCCTTCTTAACCCTTGAAGATGATTATGGATTTTCTGTAAACAGTTCCTTATCTTTCCTCCCAGGATCTGTGACCATTTCAGCCACTTCCTCATCATTCCAAGGCCTGCCCCACTTTCCCTATTGACAGCCACATTGCTAATAGCAAGCGCTTTAATTTCATCACCATTTGATGTCCACTATGACCCCAGCTCTCTCTTCTTGCCCGTTCTTAATTTCTTCCCTGGGGCAAGTGATGTTTTTAGTGCTCCAAATTTTAATGCCCTGAAGTCATCTATGACGCTAATCCTTAAACGTCAACTTTCTCTAATTTATCAGTTATAATTGAAGTCTTTTTTCCTAGGTAATTTTTCCTAGACTTCCAGCTAGGAGTCTTTGCACCCAGAAGCAAGGACGCCTCATCCAGGTCGCCACCCTAATGCAGAAGGGGAGGGGCAAACAGCAGCTCCCTGGGTGTGATCTTCTCACCTCTAAGCTGAAGGAGACACCCACTTGCTGCTGGTGTCTCAGCAGATCTGCTGCTGTTAGCAGGAAATAGAACCACTCCCTTTCTCAGCTCCTTTTCAAAGAAATGCAAACCTAGACATTTCAAGACAGAGGGCATTGCCCTGAAGTATCACTGAGTTATCTCTCAGTACCCCCTAAAGGTTGACAGTTTTTCCATTTGTTTTTGCTCACTTTCTCCAGCATGAGTTCTGTGGTCCTTGCCTGCCCATCACTCCCCTGCCATAAATTACAACTCTTGCCTATAGAGAGAATACTCTGAGAACACAGGCGTCCCACCTTCCTCCCTTCAGGACCCCCTCCTCGCAGACAATGCTCCGCCCCTTCCCCAAATCATGGACCAGAGTTTTCTGCCTCAACTTGATATCCCTTCCATCTGGCCAGTGCGATGGGGTAAAATAAGCATTTATTTTACATATCGTTTATTTGGATCCCACACAGACTGAAGCCTGGAGTAAGAGCTATTAGGTTGGTGCAAAAGTAATTGCCATTACTTTTAATGGCAAAAGCTGCAATTACTTTTGCACCAACCTAATAGTAAAAGACTGCCTTTAGGGAGTTCACCATTACTGGCAAAACCAACATGAAAAATGACCCTTAGATCTAGTGTGGCAAGTGTTCCATCAGAGTAAGCACAGCCCAGGGGAGGAGACCTCTGGCCTCAATGGGAGGAGGACCTTGTGCAGGAGAAGAAGGGATATCTGTTTTGAGGAGCTGACCCAAGAGGTAAATTGCAAAGGCTGAGCAGAAGTTGGATAGGAAAGTAAAAGGGGCATCTGAGTCACAGGGAATAGCCTTAGCCTCTCTAAGCTGGGGGGTTAGGGGGAACCTCAGAATTGGGACATAGTTCCCGCACATGGCAGCACCAAGGGAAATTAACAGAGGAGATGTGTAAGATAAATCAAGGTGGGCAAAGGAGACAGAAAGCCTTTTAGCATGAAGTCTAAAAATTACACTAGTGCTAGCTGGGAGGATTATCAACAATATATGAATCCTGTTGAGTAGTAGCAGCAGCAGACCAAGCCAAACAGTGAAAGAGTACAAATTTTAAAGATAAAAGGGTAGAATTCCAAAAAAGAAAACCTTCCTGCCCTCCTTTACCCTCACTAAAGCCTCTCCCTTACCCAAATGGTCTAGAAAGAGCAAGAGGGTAAGGAGCTATGATGAGACTAGCCAAAGGCTGTGCCAGTTTCCAAAGATGGAAGAGGAGGCTGAAGGCTTGAAATTTTTAGAAAAATAGTCCTGATCCAGAAAAAGAGGGAATCTGGGTACTTTAGGGTGAGAATTTAAAAGAACAAAACCTTGGAAGATGAGGAGAAGGTAGCCAAGTGAAGAAAGGAGAGGTGGTCTGTACCATCTGCACCAGTCAAGAGACCATCCACATGGTAATGTCACCCATGCCCTGGGTTCTTGTAATCTCCCAAGATAGAAATCAAAAGAGACTAGCAGGTATAGCAGCAAAGAGAAAATTATATTAGCTCGTGCACAAGGGAGCTGGCACTAAGAAAGGAAAAGGAATAGGCTGCTCCCCAAGGGCAATATGTGGGTTAGTATTATAGGGTCTTTCTATAGGGAAGGGTTACATCAGGGCACATATAGGAGAGGTTTTTCTAGTGCTTGCACAGTGGCTCAACACACTTCTTTATACATCATATGTAGCATTAGCATTTTAAATCGCCACCCCTGGGCATGATTTTTAGCATTAAAATGAGGAAGGGGTAACTATAGGTTGGATTTTAAGACTAACTGCACACGTGGGGCTCTGAGGAAGCCTCCAGCTCCCTGAAATAGAAACACCTAACAGCTTCTTGAGTCTTTTGTTACTGATTGGCTGAACGTTAGATAAGCTAGAGCTTAAGCAAAGGGCTTTTATTCCCCCTCCAAAACCATCTTAAAATAGGGAACCAACCAGCCTGCCAACCAGCATGCCTGTCAGACATGAAGGTCTGACAAGTGGGATCAGGAGAAATTAAACCAAGAGCACAATTCCTACTTTGTATGGTTTTCATTCTATCTCTGGAAATCCAAAATAAAAAATGAACAATACTGTGCGTGTTCTTTTGCCAGAAGCAGGAAAGCAGCCCATCCAAACACACCTCACCATTCCTTGGCTCAAACCTGCAGTTCAACACGAAGTCCATGCCTTTGTCTGCCCTCCAAGTCCATGCTCTTTCCACTGTACCTGCTCTAGCATCTTCTAGAGGTGAGCAACTTTTTTCTGTGGTAATCCATTGAAAGACAGTTTTAAAACACCTCCTCTGTGTCAGGCATGGTGCAAAGTGCTAGTTACCAAGATAAAACAGGTGTAGTTCCTCTCCTCAGAAGGCTTAATGGGAGAGATATTAGAAAGCTGGAAGAAATTGATTGCAGTACAGAGAGAATCACCAGTGTAAATAATAGAGGTAAGCCAAATGGTCCACACAGGAAGGCTGGTTAGGTTGGAGGAGGGGCAGAGTGGTCTAGCAGAGCTGCACAGAAGAGGAGGTCCTCTTTCTGTTTCTGGAACATGATAAACCCATTTCCAACTGACATTGCCCCCCACATATTTACCTAGTTTACTTTTTGCTTCATACAGGTTTGTGATCAAAGGTTATCTGCTCAGAAAAACCATCTGTGTAAAATAACTCTTCTATCACATTCTTTATTCTCTTTTCTTCTTTCTTTTTTCTTTGCTGAACTCAATTAATTGCAATCTCTGCCTTCACACACATTACTAGATGAATTGTCCTTTCTTCTACTTATAGCTAACCCTGTATGCTTGATGTCACCCCTCTTGCCTCTTCCTCAAGGACATCTTACCAGCATTGCTCTCCTCCTTCCCTACATTATTATTTTTCCTACTGTTCCCATAAGCATGCAAACTTTATCTTTGCATTATCTTTATATAAATCCTGGACATATAAAACAAACGTAAGAAACTCTGGAAGTTGGAGAGAATAAGGCAGACTAGCTAGAAATCTCAGGACCCAAGGGAGGACATGGCAGTGAGTCCTCTGGTTTTTTCATTTTGCTTCATATATCCTGGCTCAGAGCTGAAAAAGCTGAAAATCCAAAAACGCTAATGGGCACAGACAAAACAAAATTTTTTTAAGCTCAATAAAAGACTTTTGTCTCCAGCCAAAGGAACAGGAAAGGGACAGCCTAGCAAGACAGAAAACTTTTAGACAACTGCTCTACTCCAGCCAAACACCACAGAAAACACAGAGATCTCACCCCAACTCATGCCAGCAAATGCAGAGTGGGGACTCCACACTTTGACCTTCCTGCAGCTGTAACAAGCCCTCCCCTCCAATCCCCACCCTGTGTGGTGTTAGTAGAGACTCCGTGAGGCCCTGAACTTTCACTCATGCCAGGCAATAATGAGGCACCCCTCCAACTCTCCACTGCGGTAACATCAGAGGAGGCCTGCTGAAGAGTCAGGACTTTCACCACTGATTAGTGATAATGAAGGCCACGTGGAGAGTAGTAACAAAGCACTCCTACCCCTTTCAGCCAAGGAGGTATCAGTGCAGGCCTAGTGGGAGCCAGAAACCCCATACCCACCCAACAGTAGTAAGGAGCTTCCCTCCTCAGACGTCAAAAAAGGCCAAGTGGAGAACCCGGACTTCTACCTTCACCTGCAGTAATAAGGCAGCACCACCCCTTCCCCTAAGGGACTGGTGTAAAAAAAAAGCCAGCTAAAATAGCAAGTTGAAATAAGACCAGAGTCTCATAATATAGTAGCCAAAATATACAGATTTCGATAGAAAATCATTAATCATACCAAGAACCAGGAAAATCTCAAATTGAATTTAAAAAGACTATCAACAGATGACAGCACTGAGATGTCAAAAATGTTAGAATTATCTGACAAAGATTTCAAAACAACCATCATAAAGATGCTTCAACACAATTACAAACATGCTCAAAACAAATGAAAAAATGGAAGGTCTTAGTAAGAAAACACAAAGTCTCATTAAGTAGATAATAGATATTAAAAAGAACTAAAAAATGTGATAACCAAAATTTTAAAACTCAGTGGATGGGCTCAACACCAGAATGGAGGGGACAAAGGAAAGAATCAGTGAACTTGAAGATAAGAACAACAGAGAGAAAATAGACTGGAAAAAAATAATAAACAGAATCTCAAGGATATCAGGATTATAATTAGAGAACCTGCATTAATGTCAGTGGCACCCTGGAAGGATAGAAGGATAAAGGCAAGCCTGAAAAAGTACTCAAAGAAATAATGGTTGAAAGCTTCTCAAATTTGGCAAAAGACATAAATCTACAGATCTAAGAAGCTGAATAAAGCCAAAATGGAAAATTTAAGGAAAATTCACACCTGAATATATAATAGTAAAACTTCTGAAAACTAAAGACGAAGAGAAGATCTCAAAAGCAGCAAAAGAGAAATCACAACTTACATGCAAGGGAAAAATAATCCCAATAACAGTGGATTTCTCATCGTAAACCAGAAAGGCCTGAAGGAAGTTCTTTCAGCATTTTTCAAGTGCTTTTTTCAGTTCTTTCAAGTGCAGAGAAGAAAAGGAACTGTCATATCTAGAATCCTATATCCATTGAAAGTATCCTTCAGAAATGGAGGGGAAATCAAGACATTCTCAAATAAGGGTAACCTAAGAGAATATGTTGACTACAGACTTGCCTTGAAGAATGACTAAAGGAAGTTCTCTAAACAGAAAAGAAACAATAAAAGAAGGAACTTTGGAATGTCAGGATGGAAGAAAGAGCATAGTAGGAAAAATATGCATGAAAATAATACATTTTCCTTAAACTATGTTTGATAATTGAAACAAAATTATAACACCGTCTCATGTGATTCCACATGTATATAAAATAAATATTTAAGAAAATTAGGCTGGGTGCGGTAGCTCATGCCTGTAATCCCAGCATTTTGGGAGGCCGAGGCGGGTGGATCATGAGGTCAGGAGATCGAGACCATCCTGGCTAACGTGGTGAAACCCTGTCTCTACTAAAAACACAAAAAATTAGCCGGGCTTGGTGGCGGGCACCTGTATTCCAAGCTACTCGGGAGGCTGAGGCAGAAGAATGGCATGAACCCGGGAGGCGGAGCTTGCAGTGAGCCGAGATCATGCCACTGCACTCCAGCCTGGGCAATAGAGTGAGACTCCGTCTCAAAAAAAAAAAAAAAAAAAAAAAAAAAAAGAAAAGAAAATTAAATTATAAGTGAGGGAAGGCAAAGAGATGTAAAGGGAGCAAGGTCTCTATATTTCATTCAAACTCATAAAATGTCAACATCAGTAGATTGTGATGGTAGATATACATAAGGTAACACCTAAAGCAATCACTAAAAAATACTATACAAAAATAAGCTCAAAAACATTATAGATAAATCAAAACTGCTTTCTAAAAAATGTTCAAGTAACCCATAGGAGACAGCAAAAGAAAACAGATAAAGAAGAAAAGAAAAACAAAAGATAAAATAGCAGCCTTAAGCCCTGATATATGTATAATTGCATTAAATGTGATGGTCTAAATACATGAATTAAAATACAGAGCTTGGCAGAAGACATTTAAAAACATAGCCAAATTATAAACTCTCTACAAAAACCTCACTTTAAATATAACCTAAATCTCACACCTTACACAAAGATCAACTTAAAATGATCACAAACCTAAATGTAAAATGTAAAACTATAAAACTTCTAGGAAAATAAAACCCATAAAAATAAATAAATAAATAAATAAATAAGAGGAAAAAAGCCTAGTAAAATATCTTCAGGACTAGAGCTAGACAAAGAGTTCTCAGACTTGACATAAAAATTACAACCCATAAAATTAAAAAATTGATAAACTTGACATTACCAAAGTTAAAAAATGCTTTCCATGCAAAAGACTCTTTTAGGAGGATAAAAAGACAAGCTACAGAGCGAGAAAATATTTGCAAACCATATATCCAACAAAAGACTAATATCAAGAATATATTTCTTAAAACTCTCAAAACTAAACAGTAAATAAAGCAAACAATCCAATTAGAAAACGGGTAAAAGACATGAAGAAACATTTCACCGAAGAGATGTACAGAAGGCAAATAAGCACATGAAAAGATGTTCTACATTGTTAGCCATTAGGAACACGCAGATTAAAACCATAGTGAGGTATCACAAGAACTAAAAAGCTAGCTATAACTAAAACTATCTAAACTATAGACTAAAAAACTATCAATAACTAAAAAAAAAAATAGTGACATCATCAATGCTGGCGAGGATGTAGAGAAACTAGGTCATTGATACATTACTGGTGCTACAGACACTCTGGAAAACAGTTTGCAGATTCTTTTTTTTTTTTCTTTTTTTTTTTTTTTATTGATCATTCTTGGGTGTTTCTCGCAGAGGGGGATTTGGCAGGGTCATAGGACAATAGTGGAGGGAAGGTCAGCAGATAAACAAGTGAACAAAGGTCTCTGGTTTTCCTAGGCAGAGTGTGTGTGTCCCTGGGTACTTGAGATTAGGGAGTGGTGATGACCCTTAACGAGCATGCTGCCTTCAAGCATCTGTTTAACAAAGCTCATCTTGCACCGCCCTTAATCCATTTAACCCTGAGTGGACACAGCACATGTTTCAGAGAGCACAGGGTTGGGGGTAAGGTCATAGATCAACAGGATCCCAAGGCAGAAGAATTTTTCTTAGTACAGAACAAAATGAAAAGTCTCCCATGTCTACTTCTTTCTACACAGACACAGCAACCATCCGATTTCTCAATCTTTTCCCCACCTTTCCCCCTTTTCTATTCCACAAAACCGCCATTGTCATCATGGCCCGTTCTCAATGAGCTGTTGGGTACACCTCCCAGACGGGGTGGTGGCCGGGCAGAGGGGCTCCTCACTTCCCAGTAGGGGCGGCCGGGCAGAGGCGCCCCTCACCTCCCGGACGGGGCGGCTGGCCGGGCGGGGGGCTGACCCCCCCACCTCCCTCCCGGACGGGGCGGCTGGCCTGGCGGGGGCTGACCCCCACCTCCCTTCCGGACGGGGTGGCTGCCGGGCGGAGACGCTCCTCACTTCCCAGACTGGGTGGCAGCCGGGCGGGAGGGGCTCCTCACTTCTCAGATGGGGCAGTTGCCAGGTGGAGGGTCTCCTCACTTCTCAGACGGGGCGGCCGGGCAGAGACGCTCCTCACCTCCCAGACGGGGTCGCGGCCGGGCCGAGGCGCTCCTCACATCCCAGAAGGGGCGGCGGTAAGAGGCGCTCCCCACATCTCAGACGATGGGCGGCCGGGCAGAGACGCTCCTCACTTCCTAGATGGGATGGTGGCCGGGAAGAGGCGCTCCTCACTTCCTAGGTGGGATGGCGGCCGGGCAGAGACGCTCCTCACTTTCCAGACTGGGCAGCCAGGCAGAGGGGCTCCTCACATCCCAGACGATGCGCGGCCAGGCAGAGACGCTCCTCACTTCCCAGACGGGGTAGCGGCCGGGCAGAGGCTGCAATCTCGGCACTTTGGGGGGCCAAGGCAGGCGGCTGGGAGGTGGAGGTTGTAGCCGAGATCACGCCACTGCACTCCAGCCTGGGCACCATTGAGCACTGAGTTAAGGAGACTCCGTCTGCAATCCCGGCACCTCGGGAGGCCGAGGCTGGCGGATCACTCGCGGTTAGGAGCTGGAGACCAGCCCGGCCAACACAGCGAAACCCCGTCTCCACCAAAAAAATACGAAAACCCGTCAGGCGTGGCGGCGCGCGCCTGCAATCGCAGGCACTCGGCAGGCTGAGGCAGGAGAATCAGGCAGGGAGGTTGCAGTGAGCCGAGATGGCAGCAGCACAGTCCAGCTTCGGCGGCTGAGAGGGAGACCGTGGAAAGAGAGGGAGAGGAGGGAGGGGGAGAGGGAGAGGGAGAGGGAGAGGGAGAGGGAGAGGGAGAGGGAGAGGGAGAGGGAGAGGGAGAGGGAGAGGGGTGCAGATTCTTTAAAACTAAACATGCAACTACCATATGTTCCAGTAATTGTACTTCAGGGAATTTATCCCAGAGAAATGAAAGCTTATGTTCTCACAAGAAAACCTGTACACAAATGTTTATAGCAGTTTTATTTATAATAACCCAAAACTAAAAATGACTCAGATATTCTTCAACAGATGAATGGTCAAACTGTGGTATGTCAGTGCCATGGAATACTGCTCATAAATAAAAACAAATGAACTATTAATACATGGAGCAACCTGGATGAATCTCCAGAGAATTATTCTGAGTTTTTTTAAAGCTATCCCAAATGGTACATACTCTATGATTCTATTTATATAATATTCCTGAACTGACAAAATTATAGAAATGAGTAAGAGGTTAGTGGTTGTTGGGGGCTAGGGAGGGGGGTGTGTCTCTTGAAGGGCAACGTGAGAGGTCCTTGCAGTGGTGAAAATGTTTTGTATTTTGACACTATGAATGTCAATATCCTGGTTGTGGTATTCTACCATAGTTTACAAGATGTTACCCTTTGGGGAAACTGGGTAAAAGGAACATGGGATGTCTTTGTGTTATTTCTCACAGTTGTATGTGAATCCACTATTACCTCCAAGTAAAAACTTTAATCCAAATAAAAACTTTAATTAAAAAATAATAAAAAAAAGAAAACTTACAGAAAAAATTATAAAGAATTAACTTTTAAAGTGCCTGTTGATACCACTTCCCCTTTTATACCACAGCTCAATTTCTCTGTTCTCCTTCGCAGAGCAAGTCTTTAAAAAAGAAGTTTTCTTCTCTGCTTACCGACTCCAATTCCTCTCCTTCCAGTCTTTCTTAAATGTGCTCCAATCAAATTTTTGTCCACATTGTTTCACCATAATAGCTCTGGCCAAAGTCAGCTCTGGCCAAGGTCATTTATCACATTGCTAACTCCTACAGTCAATCCTATTTCTCATCTTACTCAACTTATAAACAGCATTTTACACATTTGGCACAACTGATCAATTCCCTCTTCCTCCTCTCTTGGTTTTCCTCTTACTCTGCTGGATCTCTTTCTCAGTCTTCCTTTCTGGCTCATCTCCCCACCTGTTAATGTTTTAGCATCTCAAGACTCACTTCTTCATCCTTCCGTTGTTCTATCTATATTTGCTGCCTAGGTGCTCAGCCAGGCTCATGGATTTAAATATAATCCATTTCTGATGACCATGAAATTTATATTTTCCACCTGGGCATCTTCCCGAACTATAGATTGTATGTCAAGTGGTTTCCCTAACATCTTCTAGTTGTGTGTTAATAAATGTCTCAAAGTTACATGAGTAAGTCTGACCTCCTGACTTCCACCCAAAACATCTCCTTCTCAGTGTTCCCTCTTGGCTTATGGCATTTTGATACATTTAATTGCCCAGATGTGTAATCTTGGATCATCCTGGACTCCTCTCCAACCCCTTAGATTTAATCCCTCAGCAAATCTTGCCCACTCTACCATCAAAATATGTCAAGAATCCAATACTATATCATGACCCTCAGCCAAGAGTAATTGAAAGCCACAAAGGATTTGGTGTGAACTCAATGGGCCTCCTTCCTCCTTGTGGGTAATTGGACTTCCATCCCCCTGGACAGGGGTCTGTCTGAATCACAGGCAGATTCTCTTCTGGATTGCCTGTCATCCAACCTGGGCCAACTGCGCAGCAAAGGGTCCTGTCTTCCCAAAGAAATGTACTCAGCTGCTAGAACTAAATCTGCCTGTGGTTGTATTTGCTACAACCTGGGGAGATCTAGTCTGTGAATGAAGGTGATTTAGAAGAAAGCAGAGCAAAGGAATGAAGAGATAAATTTCTGATGACAGTGTTGGAATTTCTGGATCCACCTGCATCTGAAGCCAGATAAAACCCTGAACTTTTCAGTTATGTGAGCCATTAACTCCTTCCTGTCCTTCAGTATGAATTTAGTTTCTGTACCTTGCAGCCAAGAATTCTGACTAATCCACTCCCTCCCCACCTCTAGGTCCAGGAACTTAGCCCCCTTCTTCTTTGTATGGCATTTTCAGTAACTGATAAAACCAGGGTGCTTGTCCTGGGCCATCAACACACAGACCTTCTCAACATGTGTTGCAGCTGGAAAATCTTAACCACGAAGGTCCAGGTTATATAGATTTCGTGCCTATTTCCAAAATCCACATGCTGTTATTTCTTAAACTCAACGAATGTTTTTTAAAGCCTGCTATGTGCTTCTCTTGGGGCTGGGAATATAACTGTAAACAAAATAGGCAAAGCTCCTGCATTCGTGGCACTTATGTCCTAATAGGGGAAGCTGATAATAAGCATAACAAGAAACTTATGTAATGTAATACAAGTAGATCAGGTATTTATCAGGTACTAGTCTGCCAGTCCAGTGGGAATATTTCTGTACCTCTGCCCTAAGGCCTTGGTGCTCCCTAGCTTCCTTGCCCCTTTCCAGGAACACCACCACCCTGATCTCTTCATGATCTAGTAACTACAGGGTTCGTGCTAGCCCAGCAGGGGTCTCTAGAATTCCTACCTTTTTTCGTACCCTATAGTTCTCTACCCTATAGGATGGACTGTTAAATATTTTGACTATCACACCTGCTGAGATGATAAGTGCTATGGAAAAGAAAAATGGAACAAGGCAGTAAGGTCAGAACTACAATTTTAAATAGAATGGTCAGAGTCAATTAGTTGAGAAAGTGGCATTTGAATAAAGAGCTGGAAGAAGGAAGGGTATGAGCCATGCAGTTATAAGGGAGGAAAGCAGTCCAGTTAGAGGGATAGCAAAGAGAAAGGGTACAGGACTAGGAGATGAGACCAGGAGGTAGTGATGAGGGTTCTGGATTCTGTGGGGCCTTGTGGGGCATTAGGAGGACTTGGAAATTTACTCTTCTAAAGGAAAGGAGAGCTCTTGGAGGATGCTCAGCAGAGGCAAGATATGATCCGATTTGTATAGACACACACACCTTTAATGAGATAGAATTTATATTCCATACAATACACTCATTTACAAAGTATAATATCACACTTAATGGGTACATTCTCAGAATTGTGCCACCATCACAACAGTGATTTTTTTTTAAATTTTACTTTAAGTTCTGGGATATATGTGCAGAACATGTAGGTTTCTTACATAGGTATACATGTGCCATGGTGGTTTGCTGCACTTATCAACCTGTCATCTAGGTTTTAAGCCCTGCTTGCATTAGGTATTTGTCCTAATACTCTCCCTCCCCTTGCTCCTTATCCCCCCAACAGGCCCGGTGTGTGATGTTTCCCTCCCTGTGTCCATGTGTTCTCATTGTTCAGCTCCCACTTACAAGTGGGAATATGCAGTGTTTGCTTTTCTGTTCCTGTGTTGGTTTGCTGGTAATGATGGTTTCCAGCTTCATCCATGTCCCTGCAAAGGACATGAACTCACTCTTTTTTATGGCTGCATAGTATTCCATGGTGTATATGTGTCACATTTTCTTTATCCAGTCTATCATTGATGGGCATTTGGGTTGGTTCCAAGTCTTTGCTATTGTAAATACTGCTGTAATAAACATACATGTGCATGTGTCTTTATAGTAGAATGATTTATAATCCTTTGGGTATATACCCAGTAATAGGATTGCTGGGTCAAATGGTATTTCTGGTTCTAGATCCTTGAGGAATCACCACACTGTCTTCCACAATGGTTGAACTAATTTACACTCCCACCAACAGTGTAAAAGCATTCCTATTTCTCCACAGCCTCAGCAGCATCATCACAGTGAATTTTTAAATATTTTCGTCACCTCAAAAAGAAACACCCTACCCCTTAGCCAGCACTTCACAGTGTTCTCATCAACCCCTTCCCCCTGCTAGGTCTAAGCAACTAGGAGTCTACTTTCTGTTTGTTTCTATATATTTGCCTATTCTTGGCATTTCCTATAAATGGAGTCATACAATATGTGGTCGTTTGTGACTGTCTGCTTTCACTTGGAATAATATTTTCAAGGTTTATCAATGTTGTAGCATGTATTAGTACTTCATTCCTTTTTATGGCCAAATAACATTTCACTATATGAATATACTACATTTATCTATGTATCAGTTAATGGACTTTTGGGCTTTTATGAATGCTGTTATGAGCATTCACGTAAAAATCTTTGAGTGGAAGCATGTTTTCATTTCTCTTGTGTATACACCTAGGAGTGAATTGGTGGATCAAACAGTAACTATGTGTAAATTTTGCTGAACTGTCACTGTTTTCCAAAGTGGCTAAACCATTTTACACTTCTACCAGCAGTACTTGAAGGTTCTTTCTCCACATCCTTGCTAACACTTATCTGATTTTTTTACTGTAGTCCTCATGGTGAGTGTGAAGTATTATCTCACTGTGGTTTTGGTTTACATTTTCCTGATGACTACCGATGTTGAGCATCTTTCTATGTGCTTAGGGGTCCCTTGCATGTCTTAGGAGAAATGGCTATTCAGATCCTTTGCCCATTTTTTAATTGGGTTGTGTGTTCTTTCAATATTGAGTTGTACATGGTCTTTATATCTTCTAGATTTACAAATATTTTCTCCCATTCTATCAGTTGTCTTTTTGCTTTCTTGGTAGTGTCCTTTGAAAGACAAAAGTTTTTAATTTTTATGAACTCCAATTTTTTTTCTTTTGTTGTTTGTGCTTTTGGTGTCATATCTAAGAATCCATTGCCAAATTCAAGGTCATGAGAACTTATACCAATATTTTAAGAGTTTATAATTCTGGCTCTTACATTTTGGTTTTTGATGCACTTTGGTTTAATCTTTATACACAATGTAAGGGTCCAATTTCATCCTTTTGTATGGGGCTGTACAGTTATCCCAACACCATTTGTTGAAAAGACTCATTTTTCCCCATTGAATAGTCTTGACATCCTTGTCAAAGTTCACCTAACCATAGATAAATGGGGTTATTTCTGAACTCTGAATTCTGTTTTATTAATCTATGTGTCTATCCTTAAGTAAGTACTATGTTGTCTTGATTATTGTTTTGCAATTAGGAAGAATTAGTCCTAATTTTTTCTTCTTTTTTATGATTGTTTTTGGCTCTTCTGGGTTCCTTGAGTTTCCATATAATTTTCAGGATCAGCTTGTCAATTTCTATTAAAAAGTCATCTGGGATACTGATAGGAACTGTATTGAATCTATAGATCAGTTTGGGGAATATTGCTGTTTTAATGCTTAATATTTATTAAGTATTTGAGACAATATTTATTTTCTTCTGATTATGAACATGGGATGTCTTCCCATTTATTTAGTTTTCTTTAATTTCTTTCAATACTGTTTTGTAGTTTTTAGAGTATAAGTTTTGCACTTCTTTTGTTAACCTTATTCCTAAGTGTTTTATTCTAGTTGATGCTACTATAAATATTGTTTCCTTAATTTCATTTCTGGATTGTTCATTGCAAAGTTATAGAAATTGATTGTTACATACTGTCTGCATATCCTATAACCTTGCTAAACTCATTAATTAATTCTGACAGTTTCTCAGTGGATTTAGTGGATACACATCATCATATAATCTGTGAATAGAGGTAGTTTTACTTCTTCCTTTCCAATCTGAATGCCTTTTATTTCATTTTCATTTTCTTGCCTAATCTGTATGTTAGCTAACAGCTGCCTTGTTGAGCACACACCAAATCAGGGTGAGATGCAGCAGGAATCCAGGTGAGAACAAATTGTGCCTTTGACCAGGGCAGTAGCAGAAAAAGGGTCACAAAATGGTTCAGCTGTTTCTCTTTTGTTCTTCTCTCCTTTATTTCTTTTGACTATCTTGATGGTTTTGTTGTTGTTGTTGTTGTTTTTGTTTTGTTTTGTTTTGTTTTTAACCTCAACCAACAACAAAGCCAACATTTACTTTCTTAAAATCCTCCTGTGGTAAAATTCTTAGTAAGCAGTTCCACATGAAGGAAGCAGACACCAGACTGGAGGCTAAAAAAGCACAAACCCCACACGTCCTGTCTATGTAAGAACAGATCTAACAAGGCAGGTCTGGTTGGAGGGAAGGTCTATTTTTATGAGACGGGGGAAAACAGAAGTGTCCATCACCAGGGCTGAGAAATGCTGCAACTCTCAGCAACCAGCTAAAGATAACCCAGGCCAGGAACTCTCCACCCAGACTGAAGGGGCCTCAGTGCTCTGTGCATGCAGGATAATTCAAGCTTCTCCAGTGAGCAGCCATCCCAAGCTACTGGATCCTTCAGTTTGGGAACACTAGCTTAACCAGCCTTCCTCAGGAACTTCCTTCTCCCTGAAGGTGGCAACACAGGAAAACTCCCCATCAGTCCCTCTTACCCATACACCGCAAGCCAGTTGTGATCTCTCCCTCCTGGCAAGCAGGATCCTGGAGTTCTAATCTGGGCTGGGCCTAGGGTGAGTCAAGGGAAGCCCCTAGGGCACTTGCATGATCCTGACGGTGAGGGCTTCCTTACATTTTGCTTCTTAGATGTTTCTCTCGCCTCACTGGATGGCCAGCCCTGGTTCTAATCCCAGATCTGCTGTTGACAGGCCATGTACATGAGGACAAGTCTCTTGTTCTCTCTGGCCTTCAGTTTACTCATCCGAGAAACTGAAGTGCTGGAGTTAGATCAGTGTTTCCCAATAACTGATCCATGAACCCAAAATGATCCTTAATATTCAGATACACAGAACCTTTACCAAATGTCCTCACTTCTGAAAATCTAAAAACTTTTCTATAAGAACCTAATGTATGACTATAGAATGTGGCAGATGTAGTCAGGGTCCTCCACAGGACTCATTCCTCCCTAGAGAAACTGCACCATCTTCTCTACAGCTCTGTCAGGGCTGTCCCAGCCACTATTGTAACATTGCTAACTGCCCTGACAAAAAGTGATTAGACTAGAGGTAGAACCCAAGCCCAAGATGAACCAATCTATAGACTGGACAGAGACATGCAGATTATTGCTCTCACAGTTTGGGCACTGCAGACTCCGTAGCCAATAATGGTGGGCAGGTCAGCAGTCAGGTCAGACTCAAGGCTGATGGGCACAGAGACCCACGTGCAGGCAAAGAAGCTGATTAAAAGAAGGAGGATGCAGAGAGATGCAGTGATGAGTAAGTCTTATGGTCTATGAAAGTTGAGAAATTACTTTGCTCTTGAGAGAGGGAGGGTGTCCCCAGCTCCTGACTTTCCCATCCTACGCCAATATGAGGCAGGAAGGCCCAGAAGCAATAAGCAACCAAGTACCTAGATTATAGTCTCCAAATATCATTCTCAACTCTAGCACTTCTTGTAGAAATAAGTAATTCTGAGGCCAAGGCAGGGAAATTACAAGATGAACCTGAAACATTTTCTTGTGCCAGAAAGTAAAGAATTACTCAAAGAATGATGGGGGCATGTCTATAGCTCATAGGTACAAATTTCAATGGTTATCCTCTAGCCAAATCTGGAATAATTTGATATTAAAATAAATACTGATGGTAATGGATTAAATCTGCTGAATAAAATAGGAATCCATGAGTCTATGTCAATAAAAATAAGTAGAGGATTGAGTATGAGTAATTTTTTTAAAAAGTAAAAAAGTAAGTGGAGGAAAAGGGAAATGTCTTCCTTATAGTAGCATAGCAGCTAATATATATCGTAGGAATGATGATAATGGATAAACCACCATTTACAACCGCCATAATGGTGGTTAATTCAGGCAAAAGTAATCAATAACTACTAAGTCAAGTTAGTGGAGATTTAATGGGATACAAGATATTGGCATAGTTTGAGAATATCTTCCCACAAAATGTTCATCAATTACAAATAGAAAATTGATGAGTTAATGTGGAGAAACCTGACACAAAATGACCAGGTGCTAAAGATGAACATCACCAGTGTAGGGACAAGCCCACGTTGTATGCCCCCTCGTGTGATGCAGTGAGAAGAGGACAGCCTCCCTTCCGTATAGCACTCCCAGAACACATGTGTGAACCCAGTCCTGAGGAAACACTGCTGGAACCAGGCTGAGCTTTGGCACTCCAAGAACACATGTGTGAACCCAGTCCTGACAAAATATGGGTAGAACCAGGCTGAGCTTCGGCACTCCCAGAACACAAATGTGAATCCAGTCCTGAGGAAACATTGGTGGAACCAGGCTGAGCTTCGTCCTAGAGACTGAAAGGTCTGCACTCTTTCAAACTAATGAGATCATGAAAAACAGGGAGAGACCAAGGAATTATTCCAGATTGAAAGAGACTAAAGAGACTTGTGTATGAAGTACAAAGTGTGATCCTGGCCTAGACAGGAAAGAGACACTGTTAGGACAGCTGGCAAAATATGAATATATTCTTTGGATTAGATGTTAGTGTTAGAGCTGATTTCTTATTTCCTGACTGGAAGAGTTGTATGCTGGTTATGTAGAAGAGTGTCCTTGGTTTGGAAAGATGCATGCTGAAGATTTTGGGAATTTGGTGCATCATGTTGCAAATGTATTTTTTAATAAATTTATTTATATGTATTTTATATATTTTTATCTTACATAATATATAACTATATCATATGCATATTACTTATGAATATATCATTAGTATCACCAGACAGAGCATCTATAATTTTGTCTTTCAGGTCTACCGTTGATTTTTTTCATTTTAACAAATATTTCTAATTTCCTAGAATTCTTTCTTGCAAGTTTTTCCATAGCAATCTATTTTTGTTTTCCAAACAGAAGATATTCTTGATACTCCATTCAATTTTGGACATTGCCAGTTGAACATTCCACAGTACTGCAATATCAGCCTGCTCAAAGCTGAATTCTCCATCTTTTCCTACAAGCCTGTGGATCCTATAGTCTTGTGGGCCACTGAAAGCAATAGCTTTCTTTCTAAGTTGGGTAGGAAGCCATTGAAGGGTTTTGAACAGAGAAGTGACATAATAAAATTTGCATTTTAAAAGAATCACCCTAGCTGTATTGAAAATAGACTGTAAGGAGGCAACGGAAGAAGAGAAGATTCCAGTTGGAAGTAGGATAATCAATAATCCTGGTTTGCCCAGGGCTGAGGGATTTCCTGAGACTGGACTTTCAGTGCAAAAACTGGGAAAGTACCAGGCAAACTGTGACAAGCTGGCTACTCTGGTTAGGAGACTATTTCAGAAGGTTCTGGTGTGAAACGATGATAGCTTGGACCAGCTAAATGGAGATGATTATGAGATGTCAGATTCTGGATATATAATGGGTAAGTTTTATATAATACATAATGCATGGGATGTGTCAAGTGAGGAAAAGAGAAGATTCCTGTGTTCTCAGATTGAGTACTAGGAGACCTGAATTAGCATTTACTGAGGGATGAGGGGGACTGTGGAAGAAGCTATTTTGGAGGTAAGGGGTAGGTCAAGAGCTCAATTTGGGACTTTCTAAGCATAAGATGCCTATGATCCAAAAGGGGATGTTACAAGGCAGTGAAATACATGAGCCTTGAGATCAGAGGAAAGAAGTTAGGATTATAGATATTATATATACATGGACTTTAAAAAGAAATTCATGAAGTGTAGATAAAGAAGAGAATAGATCAAGAACTGAGTCCTGGAGATCCCAATATTAGGAGGGTGGACAGTGGAGGGAGAACCACCAATAGAGAGTGAGAAGGAGCTGCCAGTGAGATCAGAGGCAAACCAGGAGAGTGCAGGGGTCCTGGAAGCCAAGTAAAGATGGTGCTTCAAGGTAGGTGGCATGATTCCCTGCATCCAGTGGAATCTGGGGCCTGCAAATTGACCTTTGGGTCTAGTTATAAGGAGGTCATTGTTGAACTTGACAAGATTTGTTTGGGTAGAGTGGTGGGGGCAAAATCTTGATTAAAGGAGAATGGGGGTGGGCACTGTGGCTCAAGACTAATCTCAGCACTTTGGGAGGCCAAGGTGGGCAGATCACTTGAGGTCAGGAGTTCAAGACCAGTCTGGCCAACATGGTGAAACTCTGTCTCTACTAAAAATACAAAAATTAACTGAGCATGGTGACGTGTGCCTGTAGTCCCAGCTACTTGGAAGGCTGAGGCAGGAGAATCGCTTGAACCCAGGGGGCAGAGATTGCAGTGAGCCAAGTTTGCGCCACTGCACTGCAGCCTGGGTGACAGAGTGAGACTCCGTCTCAAAAAGAGAGACAGAGAGAGAGACAATGGGAGACGAAAGGCAGTAGCTGGAGGGGAAGGTGGAAATGCTTTTTGTGGTTTTTTAAGATGTGAAAAATAACAGCATGTTTGCAGATGGGAATAATACAGTAGAGAGGGGAGAAATGATGATTCAGGAGAGAAGGCAGAGAATGGTGAAGCCATGTTCTTAAGAAGCGGAGAGAGGTTAGGATCTAGGGCTTCAGGGAAAGAGCCAGCCTGAGCTAAGAGTAGAGACAATTACTGCACACAAATAGGAAGGAAGACAAGGCATGTGGGTACTGGGTCAGGAGACTGAGTGGATCTGGCAATGGGAGCTCATGAAAATTCTCTTCTGGCACTTCTAATTCTCAAGAAAGTAAGGAGCAAGGTAATCAGCTGAGGTGGCATGGGGAGACTGCACTGGAGGTCTGAAAGAGGTAAGCTATAAAGGCATCGCCTAGGGGAGCAGATGGAATGGGGAAAGAAGGACAGCTGCTGAGCAGCACTCTGAGCTACTTGAGGTTTCAGTGGTCATGGATTTAGAGAGAGAGACCAGTCAGCACTTTACAACTTTCAGTTCCCTTAATGCTATCTGTTTTTTTTTTTTTTCCTGTTTGTTCATCTTAGTCCTTCTCAATTTTACTGTTGGTTTTGCAGAAATGTCTGGTGGTCCATGGTGGCCCATTTATATTTGAAGAAAAAGGGCTGGGTTAATTCACATAGGTGACTGAAGACACTCAAAGCTCCCCTCCCCAATTACTAAATAGGCTGAATGGAAAAAAGACCTACAACCAGACACGTCATGGTCAAGTTTCAGAACACCAAAAATGAAGAGGCAATCTTAAAGTCTTCAGGCACACACACAAAAATGATAACAGCAGTAAAAGCTGTCACACACACACACAAAAAGGTGTCAGAATGCCATCAGCAATCCTGGGGGCTGGAAAATAAAAAGCAAGCCTTTAAAGTTCTAGAATTCTAGACCTAGCTCAATCACCAATACAGCAAAATGGTAGAATAAACATACCTTTCATCGTATTTAGGATGTGTTCCAACAAAATAAGGAAATCAAAGAAAGACAAGGGCAGGAAAGAGTGAATCCATCTCAGAAGAGCAATGAAGGGAAAGCCCAGGATGAAGGTTTACCTTTCATTACTCTTAATTGCACGCCTTTTCTCAGGTTCAAATGTCTTTACCTTGTGCATTTATCACTTCCACAACTGTTTCTTTTGAAACAGAGTCTTGCTCTGTCACCCAGTCTGGATTGCAGTGGCGCAATCTCTGCTCACGCAACCTCCCTCCCGCATTCAAGTGATTCTCATCCCTCAGCCACCTGAGTAGCTGGGATTACAGGCACGCACCACCATGCCCAACCAATTTTTGTATTTTTAGTAGAGGCGGGGTTTCACCATGTTGGCCAGGCTGGTCTCGAACTCCTGACCTCAAGTGATCCACCCACCTCAGCCTCCCAAAGTGTTGGGATTACAGGCGTGAGCCACTGTGCCCAGCCTAACAACTATTTTTGTTTAAATAACTCTTTACCTCTCAGATCATCAAAATTCTGGACACTGTAACTTCTCCCCCCATATGACTCGAAGTGTTGGAAAAATATGTATGTTTAATTCCTTACTAATTTTTCACATCAAACCTCTTTCTTTTTCATATTATCAGAAATATTTAGATTTAACTATTTATAACTGGGTTTCATTGTTATCAATAGTTACATAAATGCCTCTTCACAGAAAATGCTTCTTTATTATAGAAGCTCTCTTCGTTTTATTTTTAATTTATTTTACTTGAATTTAGTTTTCTTTTGGCTGAATCCTTTCAGCCATATCACCCTTTTCAGAAAAAGTTCCTGGGCAATATACTTTCCAAAATGTCTTTCTGTGACTTGTACACATTGATAATACACGAATGGGCATAATTTCTAGGGTTACACATTTTCTCCCCAAACTCTAAGACAATGCTCATGTGGCTTCTATTATTTAATTAAAAGAGGGTATGTATCCTTGGCTGTTTAGTGGAATCCTGTTTAGCAAATGCACACACCAGGAACTAAACATGACTCCCAGTACTGAATTCCATGAGCTACACATTCTATCTGAGCACTACTCTTGTTTTCTCTTTTTTAAAAACATATGTTTGCTTTATTTATATAGCAAGCGGATAACATTAAACATGGAAGCTTTCCATTTGTGGCACTGAATGATGGCCTACACAGAGCATCCTTCAAAAGCTGCAATTAAGTACCCATCTAACTTTTCAGCAATACAAGCCCAGTTGAGATCTTCTGGTCCATTTGCTTGAAATTTCTTTTTGATTGCATCCTTACAGCTTGTGAAGATCATTTTACTTTTCAGAGGTGGTAGTTCTGGTGCCCACAAAAACAAACAAACAAACAATACTCTTCCGGATTTCTTCGTTTCAAAGCTTGCATCATATAAAGCATAGCAGCAATCTTTTTCAGGAAGCATTCCCACAAAGTGCTTGAAAGGACCAGTTATGGTTACACCAATATCTCCAGCTGAGATCTCTTTGCCCTCTTCTACAATGATGCACTTTTTGTCTGCACTGAGACAAAAAATGACAGTCTTCTTTCTTTTCTTGATTTCTTCTGATGTGGAGCATTTATGAACTTTTATGTCACAAAAAATGTGACATACTTCATCAGCAACTTGCACTCCTGAGTCCGTCTTTGCCGCCACGGTCACAGGGACACAGGGGAGGCCGCTGGTGGGCACCGAGTCTGCGGAGTGTCCTCTTCACAGCTGCGTACCAAGAGACTGCACTGCTCTTAACTATAAACGTCTGAACACTGAATATTAAACACTAAAGCCTAAACCCTGCCCGCACCCCGACTCTAATCCTAGACCAAACAAAACACTAAAACTCACCTTAGTCTCCAGCCCCTTGCCCTAACCTCAGTGTTAACCTAAACCTTAATCCTGATGCTACAATTTTAAAGCATGAGCATTTGGTCTATGTGTAAAGCGTTTTAACTATGGCAGTGAGTAAAGAAGGCATCTCCTTCCACTCCCCTTTGCTTACTCTGCCCCAGGCCACAGATTCCTGGCCAGTCCCCTCATTTCCTTCTGGTCTTTACTCACACATCCCCTTCCCCAAAGAGTTTAAGCCAACTGTGCAGTTAGAGAGAACAGTCCCCACAAGAGACCACCCTCACTTCTGACACCAACTGCAATTTAGGGGGAAAACCACCCAAAACCACCCTCAGGTTACATAACTTGCTAGCAGGGCTCACGGAAAGCTGTTGTATTCATAGTTATGTTGTATTACAGGGAAGCCATACAGATTAAAATCTGCCAAGGGGAGGGATAAAATCAGCCAAGGCAGAGTCTAGGAGGGTCTCTCTAAATATGAAGCTTCCGTTTGTTCTCTGTGAAGTCATGGGCACCACTTATCACCAGCAGGCCTAAAACCCACTTTACCTATTTGTGTATTGTCTCTCTGTCCCATAGGAATGTTAGCTTCATGACGGCAGGGAATTTGGTCAGCTTTACTCACTGCTGTGTGACTTCTAGAACTGCACCATCCAATATTGTAGCTACTAGCCATGTGTGGGTACTGAGCACTTGAAAAATGGCTGTCCCACCTCAAAATACACCATAAGTGTAAAATACACATGGGATTTTAAGGGCTTAGTATTAAAAGAAAAATGTAAAATAACTCACTGCTAATTTGTTATACTGGTTATGGGTTAAAATGATATTTGGTAGATATTGGGTTATATAAAATATATCATTAAAATGTATTTCTCTTTTTTATAAACTTAAATTGTGATCTGCAATGTGTGTGTGTGTGTGTGTGTGTGTGTCTGTGTCTGTGTGTATCAGACAGCACTGATCTAAAAGAAATGTCGGTAAACTTTTTCTGTAAAGGATCAAATAGTAAATATCTTAGGCTTTAGGGCTGTATGGCCTCTACTCAACTCTGTTGTTGTAGCACAAAGCAGCCATGGAAAAGACTTAAACAAATAGGAGTCACTGTGTTCCAATAAAACTTTATTTACAAAAACAGTCCCACAATTTAGCTTATGGTCCACAGTTCTAGCCCCAATATAGAACATTGGTCCATAGTTAATATTCAATAAATATTTGTTGAGCAAATGGCAAGAGAGAAGGCTAATATAGCTGCAGCACATAAGCCAGAAGGAGAAGATACTTCTGAAGGTAATCAGTAGCCAGAGTATGTAGGGTCTGTTACCCATGGATTTCATTTTAAGCCATTGGAGGAATTTAAGGAGGATAGTGGTAAAATCTAATGTAACTTCTATCAAAGTTCACTGTGATAGATGCTACAGTTTGGCACTCAGACATGCTCCCCTCCCACCCCTTTCAGAACTCATCCTGAATGTTGGTGGCCAAAAGCTCTCAGGTGAGTCCCTCTCCAAGGGTTGCTCATGGCTGAAGAGCGCTGCCTTGTTCAATGTAGCACTCCTGGACAGGCGTGGTGGCTCACGCCTGCAATCTCAGCACTTTGGGAGGCCAAGGTGGGCAGATCACCTGAAGTAATGAGTTGGAGACCAGCCTGGCCAACATGGAGAAACCCCGTCTCTACTAAAAATACAAAAAATTAGCCAGGCATGGTGGTGCACGCCTGTAATCCCAGCTACTCAGGAGGCTGAGGCAGGAGAATCGCTTGAACTCGGGAGGTGGAGGTTGCAGTGAGCAGAGATTGCGCCACTGCACTCCAGCCTGGGTGACAGAGCAAGACTCCATCTCAAGAAAAAAATAAAAACAAAAACAAACGAACAGAAAAAAAGTAGCACTCCTTACTTGGAATTAGCCTACATTCAATGACTCACGAATGTAGGGCATAAAGGCCTGGCCTTCTTGCGCCCTGTGCAGACAGTTCCAAAGCACTGCCCCAGCTCCAGAGCTCCCTCTGGGATTGCCAGCAGTGATCTTGGTTGTGGCTGCATGGCATTTCCACAGTCTGCCTCACTCCCCACGGGAATCCATCTGCTTCCATCCCTCTCCCACAGGTGTTGATCTCATGAGCACTCCCCAAAAACCTGCCTGCATGCAAATCTGCATCTCTGAGTCAGAATCCAGAGAACCTGACCTGCAACAGCTGATACCAGCAGTGGTCCAAGAAAGCAAACTTTACAGTGGGATTTTGGAGCTGTTTACTTGCCAGCTGGCTAGCAAGGAGAGCCCTACTGCTGATTATAGGTGAAGTACAAATAGCCCCAACAAACTGAGGCAGTGCAATTGTCAAATCTGTCATGCATGGTGAACTAGGATGGTATATGGAGGCAAGGGATGCCCTGGTGGGTGGAATGTACCAGGCCTGTGTGAACTATTGAGTAGTCATTATAAAGACAATGGAATTGGATGGCCATTGCTGGGAGCTACTGAAGCACTGGAGAAAGTGTCAGGTGTGAAAGCCAGAGGGCCTCCTAGACAGCATATCAAGAGACTCAAATACTGAGAGACTCAAATACTGCCTCCAGGGAGCAGAAAAGGCTGGGTGGTCAGGGTAAACAAGGAGACCCATATGCAGGCCATTGCAACAGCCCAGGCAAGGAATGGAACTGGCTTGGCCCCGAATGCTAACAGCAGCACTGGGGAAAAATGGTCGGATTCTGGCTACATTTTGAAGATGAAGCCAACGTAATTTACTATGGCATTTGTATAGGTTTCCCATTGCTATTGTAACACATTATGCAGTTACTGGTTTAAAACAATATAAATTTATTCCCTTACCATTTTGGAGGTAGGAAATCTGAAAATAGTTTTATGGGGCTAAAATCGAGTAGCAAGACTGGTTCCTTCCCGAGGCTCTGAGGGGAGAATTCCCCCGCCTTTTCTAGCTTCTAGAGGCCACCTGCATTCCTTGGCATGTGCCCACTTTCTCCATTTTCAAAGCACCTCTCTCCAACCCTGCTTTGATCCTCACATCTCCTTTTTCTGACTATGATGCTTCTGCTTCCCTGTAGTTACAACTGGTCTGCCTGGATAATCCATCCCTATCTCAAAATCCATAATTTAACCAAATCTGCAAGGTCCCTTTTGCTGTGTAAGATAACAAACATTCACAGCTTCCAGGGTTTGGATGTAGACAGCTTTGGGGAGACATTATGTAGCCTATACAGGGTTGGAGATGGGGGTGCAAGAAAGGGAAGGGTCAAGAATGACCTGAATGCTTCGGGGCCTGAGCAGTTGAGGAATGCGTGGCCACAAACCTAAATGGGGGAGAGACACAGGGCTCAGAGATTCAGTCCATTCTTCTTTGGAAGCCAAGTCCTGCCACTTCCCCCCAAAGGCTTCCCTGTGTTAAATGATAATTTTCAGTGAAAGGTAAAATCATGACTCTCATATAGATGTAAAAATTAGCACATGTTGAAGAATTTACTTCACTTATATGATCTGAGAAAAGCAAGCAGGTGTTATAACCAGTTTAAAGGAAAACTCAAAAACAGATTTATATGGAGTAAAGGAATGTTAAGATAAATTGCAAATGGGGACAAAACTGAGTTTTCCACAGTGAGGAAGAAGTCAGTTAAAATCACAACCAGACAGTACAGCATTTACATACCAGTTACAACTTACAGAGAGTTTCAAAATAGCTCAGACAATGTACAGGCCTAGAATCTTATAATGCAGGAAGGTGTGCTACAGACAGTGCATTGTTTTCTACTGAAATACAAAGATTTTTTTCCTACACTTGATTTTTCTGACAGAAGAACTCAACGTATAAGTCCTCGCAAGGGCAGATTGAGTTTCTGGCAGGCGAGGAACAGGAAGAAGGGTTTGATGTCTCCAGGCAAGATCTAACAAAAGACTGGCAGAAACAAAAACAAAAACAACACATTTTAACATGAACATTTGGTATTGTATTCATTATAATACTTTTTAACTAGTCTTTATTTATAGAGAAGGTGTTATGGACTCATAGTTTGTGACCACCCAAAACTCACATGTTGAAGCCCCAACACCACCCTTCCCCCACCCCCTCCAAGTGATGGTATTAGGAGGTAGAGCCCTTGGGAACTAATTAGGTTTAGATGAGGTCATGAAGGGTGGGGCCCCATGATAGGATTAGTGTCCTCATAAGAAAAGGAAGACAGACCACAGCTCACTCTGCATGCACACAAAGAAGAGGTTCTGTGAGCATACAGTGAGATGGTGGCCACCATTACCAGGAACTGAATCTGTCAGCACCTTGATCTTGCACTTCCCAGCCTCTAGAACTGTGAGAACTAAATGTCTGCTGTTTTAGCCACCCAGTCTATGGTATTTTATTATGACAACCCTAGCAGACTAATACAGAAGCTATTAATCTGTTTTTGGTCCAGTCAACGTATAATCAGCCACCTGCTGACATTTAGCATTCTACTTAAGTGCAATTAAACCAGACTAAATGTAAACCAGCATAACTCATCTACCCTTCTGGCCATTATCACTTTGAAAACAAGAAAGCAAGAAAGCATTCCTTTTGTTCAGCCATTCTACAGCATACACCAGCCCTTCATTGTTTGTGGCTAAATTGGAAATAACAATGATTTATATAAATAAGGTAGGGGACAAAACATAATTTTCCCTCTACCCTTCTTTTTCTTTCTTCCTTTCTTTTTTCTTTTTTTTTTTTTTTTTTTTTGAGACGGAGTTGCTCTGTCGCCCAGGCTGGAGTGAAGTGGGGTGATCTTGGCTCACTGCAACTTCCACCTTCCAGGTTCAAGCAATTCTCCTGTCTCAACCTCCCGAGTAGCTGGGATTACAGGCACCTGTCACCACACCTGGCTAATTTTTGTATTTTTAGTAGAGGCAGAGTTTCGCCATGTTGGTCAGGCTGGTCTCAAACTCCTGACCTCAGGTGGTCCACCCGCCTTAGCCTCCCAAAGTGCTGGGATTACAGGCGTGAGTTACCATGCCTGACCCCCTCTACTCTTCTTAGTTGGCCTAGGACCCTCTGTAACAAAAGACAGATTAACAAGAGAAAAACAAAGAGAAATGTATTAACATGTATATTTTATATATATATGGAAAATACTCAAGAAAAGATTAGTTCTCAAATAAGTGGCTTAGAACTTCAACTACGTAGCATCTTCAACAAGGAACAATACATTTTTAGAGTAGTGTCAAGACAAAAGAAAAAGACCTTGAGTCTCCAGGTGGAGAAAATTGTGGGAAAGCAAATATATGGGAACTTTACGGTAGATAAAGGCTAGTCAGTGAAGTCTGCTGTGTCGACTCCTCTGGTGCCACCTTCAGGCTGATGAGGGCCTAAAGTTGTCGTCGGTCTTTGTTCTTCCTGACAGGGAGAGGAGGAAGAACTCCTTTGTAAAGTTATATCCTGTTTTTAGGCAAATGGGGAGAGCAAAGAGCTTTTCTTGTGTCTGCCTCTTCTCAGTTACCTTCAGTTCACAATAATACTTATGCCAGTGTGGCATATTTTGGGGTGGAGTATTCTGCTACCCTTTAATAGTACATTTGGCAGTGCAGTCTCCTATATGGTCTCTTTTCCTCCATCTTTTCTAATCCAATTAACATGCATGAGAAAGAGAAAGAGACAATAAGCAACCCTCTGCTATTCAGCAACTTTGGCAGGCCAGGAAGATAAAATCCAGTACCAGATAGAAAATCTTTGTCGGTCACCCATACTCTTGTTGGCAAAAGGAAAGTGTGTTGGGAGAAAACACTTTTTCTTTACCTATTTATGTTCAGAGTCTACAGATTAACCAACCACAGACAGATTAACAGGGAAAAAAGATGAAGTTTATTTATTCAAAGGAGTCTTCAGATAAATATGGCTGTCTAAACAGCCAAAAATAGGGGTTTATATATCCACTTAACAAAGAGAAAGGGAGGCGGAGAGAGAACTTCCATGGAAGAACAAATGGAAGGCATGGAGTTTCAGATAACATTTGTTTAAGCAATTACTCATTACGGTGACAATGATTAGTCTCTTCTCTGGCTGTAAACTTCCTCGAGAGGGGATTTATGGCAGCAGTGTTCAGGAGGTCCTGTTTAAGTCAGCAGTTTAGGTACTTTTTGTTTGTTTGTTTCTGCAGCTGCTGTTTGTTCAGATGTTTCTAGCTTAAAATAATCTTTATGCCATTGAAGTGCATTTTGGATCCCTGCAGGTGCAGAATCATTCTTCATGTAACACAACTTTTCAGGGGCTCTTCCTGTCTCAGAGATTTTGGTCAAAGCTCCAGAAGTAAGAAAAATGCATTCAATGCCACACACTCAAATGAAGTGGCAACTTGCAGAAAAATGGTGACTGAGTTGTTTCTCACTTTTTAGTTCACCACCTGCCACCAGGCTATATTTGGGGAAGCTGGCATGGGCCCAGAGGCAGCCTGAGGTGTCTGATGGTCCATGATACCATCTCCAGAAGCCCTGCCCTAGCTCAGGTCATCACTTCTTATGTCTCACTGTGACATCAATACCCCAACTCTTCCTCGAGCTTCTACTCTTTGTGTCTTCCCCCCAACACCCCCACCACCAAGTCGCAAAGCAGCAAAAGAGGTCTCTCTAAAATGCAGTCTGTTTACACTGTTAACCTGTTTAAACCACTCCAAGACTTCCCACTACTCTGGGATAAGATCAAAGTCTTTGCCGAGGCTCACAGTTCTCTGTGTGATGCACCCACCCCACCTGTCCACCTCCATCCCCTACTGAGACTCATAGCACTCTCTCCTTCCCTCCCTTTCCTGTCCCCAGAATGCACAATGTTCTCTCTCACTTCAGGGTCTTAGCACCTGCTGTTTCCACTGCTGGGCTGCTGGGGACATCTTAGCCTCCTCTCCTATCTCATATGTCTGTAACATTTACAGACAGGCGAGAGAATAAATGGATCCCTGGCTTCATCCCTCTTTTCTTCTCTTCCCTGGTTCTGTTCTGCTCCATGAAGTGCATATGTGTGAACATCCCAGACTGCAGATCCAAGGTACATCCATAAACTCCCCTCTTTTTGGCCACCCTCCCAGGCCTAAAGGTGTATGGTTTAGCACAATAGTCTGTCCTCAGTGGATGAACCTAGAAAAGAGAACCACACAGGCCCTGGAAGTGAGATGGAAATTTGAATAGAGAATACTCGGTCCCAGGTACATTGAGATGGAGAGAGATGTCTTAAAAGGATTTGCCCACGGGGGCTGCCTGGAGGGCCAATAGGAGCCCAACTGATTTGTAGAGATGATCTCCTAGGACGAGGGGTTGAATGGGAGTTGTCAGGAGAAGGCTGGAAAGTACATCACTTGTGTCAGTAACTGCAGGGGGTATGGGGCATGGAAATCCCCAAAGAACCTTCAAAACACCCATGATAGAAAGAGCCACCTGCCAACTCCGGGAGCGATGCATTAGGGAAGTCCCAGGCATTCAATCTCTTTCCTGCCCTTTACCTGTCTCCCTGCCCCATCCCTTGAGTTTTGACCTGGAGAGGTCAAAAAAGCTGGAGTACAAGCTGGGCAGGCTGGGGATATGGACAAGGTGGGTACATGGAAGGCTGCCCTGGCTCAGCTTGGAAACTTGGTGAGGAAGGGAAGTGTCGCTGGCTCCCTCACTATTTCTTCCCCTCCTCCTCATTCCTCTTTACCCACTGATGATGCCACTCCTGACTCATCTAGAGTTGGATAAGGAGAGAGTGGAGAGATAGAGTGGCAGAAAAGTGTTGCTGGTGCCCTCTGGGTGGGTCAGATGTCCAAATGCTGGCTCTTTCTCTTGTGGGGTGCTCTGGTGGGTGCACTGGAGACACCATCCCACAGGTGCACCATTCCCTGACAAGAGCGACACAGTCTCCAGCCAACTGCTTACGATGGCTTCCCCGCCTGCACAGGTCCTTGCCCTGCCAGCATCCTCTTGAGTGGGCTCGCAGGAGACCTTGGCAGTTCTCTTCGCTCTTGTCCCCCAGTCAGCTTGAGGGACTCAGGCCAAGCTCTCCCAATGGCTCTCTTGAAGACCCCTATCAAACTTGAGGAGAGGGGAAGAAAAACCCTTTCCTTTAAGAAATCATCTTTCTAGCTTCACTCTTAGTCCCATGCTTCTCTGTGTGTGCATTTAATGGCTATTATCCCATTGGAGAGTCACAATGACTCTGAGGAAAGGGAGGGTATTTGTATATGCAATATACTTGGAGATAAGGTCAAAAAGGCCAGGGGCCTGGAGCCTGGGAACCTTGTCACAGCTTCAAGTTTAGGTTAGCCAGCAAATTAGTTTACTTTGATCGCAATCCATTTTCCCACCCAGGCAGTAAATTCTATAATAGCACAGACGGTCTGTCCTGTTCACCATACATCCCCAGCTCTTAGCAAAGAGTGCCCAGCATAGAGTGGGCACTCATAAATATTAATTAATGAATTATCTCTATCTATTGCAGCATAACAAACCACTCTAAAACTTAAATGGCTTAAAATAATGAAAATCATTTATTTTGCTTACAGTTAGACAATCAGGAACAGCTCATCTCTGCTCAATGTGGTATCAGCTGGGACAACTCATCTTGAGACTGGAATATCTGCTTCCAAGAATATCCACAAATTGATGCTGGCTGTTGGCTGGGAGCTCAGCCAATGCTGTGGCCTGGGGGCCTTGGTTCTCTCCCACATAATCTCTCCACAGGACGCTTGGGCTTCCTCACAGCATGGTGGCTGGGTTCCAATGTCATCAGAGATGGAGGCTGTATTGCCTTCTATGACCCAGCCTCAGAAGTCACAAAGTGTCCTGCCACCGAAGTCATAAGCCAGCCTGGATTCAAGGGGATGGCACAAAGACCTCTTTCTCTCAATTGAAAGAGTATCAAAATCACATTATATGCATAACATATGAGGTGGGAGATATTGCAGTGACCATCTTTGGGAAATTCATCTAATCTGTCCCATGGATAGGCAAACACTCTCACTTCCTGGTGGACCCAGTATTTGAACTCAAGTTCTGCTCAGTACATTTTGTTCTAGGAGGAGGGGATATATGTCACACAGTCTAGAAGGACTTCTCTCTAACCTGGAGAAGATAAAGCCTTGGAGTTTGGAGAGTTAATTGACAGTTACGAAGATAATTCACTTCTTTGTGTTAACTGCCTCTTCAACTAAAATTTAGGCTTCCTAGAAGTTATGTACATATATATAATTTTATACATATTTTATATTAATATATTAGATTTTTTATTAGGTATGTACATATACAATAATCTCCAGTGCTTAGCCCAGAGTCTAACACATAGCAGCTGTACAAAGAGTACAAAGAAATCTTGTAGAATAAAATAAATTAAATAACTGCTTAGTCCCGCTAGATGAAGTGCGGCTTGATGACGTGCTGTCACCTTCTGGGCACTACGGTATTGCTAGCCATTTCAAAGGCATCATGTCTTTGGAACTAACTACGCACCCCTTGCCTCAAGTCACTCTCAGTTTACAAGGCACTCTCCCAGTGGCTGGTTTTTTATGTATCTATGTATTTATTTATTTTGAAACAGGGTCTCGCTCTGTCGCCCAGGGTGCAATGCAGTAGTGCAATCTCAGCTCACTGCAGCCTTGACCTCCTGGGCTCAAGTGATCCTCACGCTTCAGCCTCCCGAGTAGCTGGGACCACAGGTGTGTGCCACCACACCCAGCTAATTTATTTATTTTGTAGAGATGAGGGTCTCGCTTTGTTGCCCAGGCTGGTCTCCAACTCCTGGGCTCAAGTGATCCTCAGCCTCCCAAAGTGCTGGGATTACAGGGGTGAGCCACCTGGCCCGGCCCCCCAACGGCTGATTGATTTTTTTCTTTTTAACAGGAATTCCGACCCCTGTGTTGATTACTATTTGATCAATGAGAGCTCTGAGGACCAGAGGAGCTGCTGAACAGAAGCCTCCCTCCTGGTATCTCTACAGCCTCACCCGGCCCTCCTCAGCCCCGCCACCTGGCTGTGCCTTCTCACTGTCACTGCTCTGCCAAAGTGCTCAGGGGCATCCTTGCTGAACCAGCAGCCCATCCTGCCTGCTTATCTTACCACAACTCTGTGTAGCCCCAGACATTGGTGCTCTCTCCCCCCTCAAATATGCTCTTCCCTTAGCATCCTCCATGACCAACTCTTCTCCAGGTTTTCTCCCTCCCTCTCTGGCTGCTGCTTCTTTGAAGTCCTTCTCCCATATCTGACCCTAAGCCCGCTTCTCTTCACAGACCCCTGCGAGTGCTGCTCCCCTCACAGCCTCAATCCCCATCTGCACACAAACACTTGCCAGCCCAGTCTTCTCTCTTGAGCTCCACATCTGATTGCCTGGTCCCCAGAAAGCCAGCTCTGACTGGGACAGCCCGACATTTAATGCTTATCTTGTCCAAAGTCAGCCTGTGGTCTCCACACACCACCAACCACCCTGCCCCTTCTCCCACTCCCACTGCCCCCACTTATGCATCCCCCACTCACTTATCCAGACAGCCGGGTAGCAGCCCAGAGTTTTCCCTTCCTCACCCCCAGGGTCACTAGATGGTTTTCAGAAGTTGCATCAAACAGTACACCAAGAACTTTAGCATATTTTAGCTCGTTTAGGTTCTGTCGACTCTGACTCCTGGGCAGCCCTCAGACAGTCCCTCCTCTCCCTCATCTGCCACCATCAGATCCTCATCACATGGAACCTGGACTGCTGGGACAGATTCCCTGCCCTATCTTCTCCCCTGTGGACTGACTCTAACCGACTCTATACTCCAACTTGCCCCTGATTAAAATCCTTCAGGATGGGACCCAAACTTCCATGCCTGCCATTCAGTTTTCACAACTTGGCTCCATGCGCTCCAAGACCACGCTCCACCTCTGCCCATCCATCCTGCCTTCAAAGCAAACTGCACACGTCACACCATCCAAGCCTCTGTACCTTTGCCACTCTCTTCCCTTTGCCCAGAGCCTCCTTCCCTCATCTTCTCATGTCCAAAGTGTCTCATCCCCGCTGTACAGACAAAGAAACAAGTTCATTTTATTATTTTTATTTTTTTGAGACAGAGTCTTGCTCTGTTGCCCAGGCTGGAGTGCATTGCTATGATCTCAGCTCACTGCAACCTCCACATCCCTGGCTCAAGCAATTCTCCTGCCTCAGCCTCCCAAGTAGCTGGGATTACAAGCACCCGCCACCATGCCTGGCTAATTTTTGTATTTTTAGTAGAGATGGGGTTTCACCATGTTGGCCAGGCTAGTCTCAAACTCCTGACCTCAGGTAATCTGCCCGCCTCTGCCTCCCAAAGTGTTGGGATTACAGGCGTGAGCCCCTGCACCTGGCCAGGAACAGGTTCAGAGAGCTGACACAATTGCCCAAGGTTGTAGAGCTGGGAAGTAGTGGAGCTGGGGTCCCAAAGGAAAACTATCTGAAACAGGCTCTTTTCACTGCTCTGCAGGGTCCAGACTTTATTCCAAGTCTCAGCTTCCCCATGTGTAAAAGGGGGAAATAAAAAAACAAAGGAGTCCTCCTGCTCCAACTTTGCCTGATCAGGATTTCTTGACTCTGAGATGCTCTGAAGTTCCCTGGTGACCTGGGGGCACTGAGCAGAGCTGCCTCAGGTCCCTAGCCAGCCACTGAGTGGAGAGTGCTCAGGCCAGACCCCCCTCAGGGACTGCCTGCGTGACCTGTGAGTGCTTTCCACTAAGAACACTATGACCAGTAGGCGGCATGGCCTCCTGCCTGCCCTCAAGTTCGCCAGTTTCCAGTCTGTGTTCCTTATCTATTGCTGTGTAGCAAAATACCACAAAATTATCAGTTTAAGAGGATGTTTCCACTCACAGTTCTGAAGCTCAGAGGTCCTACACACATGGCTGGGTTCTCTGCTCAAGGTTTCCAAGGCTGAACCTTGGCTGTGTTCTCATCTGGGAACTGAAGAGAAATCTTCCAGGCTCATTCATGTTGGGGAAAGGATTCAATTTCCCGAGTTTCCAGGATTGAGGTTCCTGTTTTCTTGAGGCTGTTAGCCTCTCCTGGCTCCTTGCAGTCACCCACAGTCCTTCTCCTGTGATCCCTCCAAGTTCAAGTCAGCAATGGTGCGGCAAATTCCCCTCATGCTTCAAATCTCTCTTCGCATTTCTCTTCTGTCACCAGCTTGGGAAAACTTTTGAGGGGCCATCTTTAGAAGTCTGACCAGACCCTCATTCATCAGGCGTTTGCTATCTGCTCCACACCTAACCTGTACTCAGCAGTGCTGGGGGGCAGAAATGAACAAAATTTGACCACATGGCCTCTGGGACTCCTGTCTCAATGCCCCTCTTTTCATCTGTGCTTAACCAGATTTTCCTCCTACCTGTCCATACTTAGGCCATACCTCCTACCTAAATGCTGTTCCCCACCATATTCATTGGCCAAAGCTGCCATATCAAAATACCACAGACTGGATGGCTTTTAAACAGACATTTCTGTTCTCACAGTTCTGCAGGCTGAAAGTCCAAGATCAAGGTGTCAGCAGGGTTGGTTTCCGGTGAGGTCTCTCTCCCTGGCCTGCAGACAGCCGCCTTCTCACTGTGTTCCCACATTGCCCTCCCTTTGTGCATGTACATCCCTGGTGTTTCTTCCTCTTCTTATAAGGACACCGACAGGGCTATGGCCACACTTTTATGAGTTCATTTAACCTTAATTACCTCTTTAAAGGGCCTATCTCCAAATAAAGTCACATTTCAAGGTACTGGGGCTTCCACATATGAATTGGGGAAGGGGAAGAAAATTTAGTCCACAATACCCACCATCTCCACCCATCAAGTATCTCATTTGGTGGGCTCAGTTCACAGGCTCCCTCTTGCATAAAACCATAAAACCACCCTAGATGGAGTTTGTATCTCACTGGGTCCCCCAACACCCAGTTGGTACTTCTGTTCCCACCATGTCAGTTTCCCACTAGACTGGGAGGTTCTAGGGAAGGCTCCAAAGCTGACAAGTTGGTGTGCCTTGGGAATCCTCCAGCAGAGGCCTGCTCCCAGTAAGGCATCAATAAGTGTTGGGGAGGAACAGAGGAGCAGGGGATGCTAACAAGGTCAAGCGACAGGGCCCCCAACCCCAGGAGAACTGACAAAGGCTGCCAACCACACATCTTCCTAGTGAAAAGTGTTCTGGGTCCCCAAGACTGCTGCATGGCTGACGACAGTTCTGCAAGCCCAAGGACTAGGGGGCAGCCATCTCTCAGCTTTCTGCAGCCCCACCCAGGCAGAGTTGGACTAGGTCCTTAGAGAGACTTAGGCCTGTCTCATCCCCCATTACATCCCTTCTCACAAGGTATCCCTGGGTGCTATAGAAGTATACCTGCCACCCTGATCAAGGGTTCAGGAAACCTGAGTTCTAGTCCTTGATGTGCCTCTCGCTTACTGTATCACTTTAACATCTTAACATAACTTCGCTGAGCCTTTGTTTCCTCACCTGTAAAATGGGCCCAAATAACTTTCTCACAGGGCTTCTGTGAGGATTGCATGTGGTCAAGCACATGCAAAAGGACCTCAGAACACTGGAGCTGGATATTAAAGGAGGGAGGGATTTGAACATTGGCAGCTCTGGGAAAGGTGTTCTAAGCCAAGAAAAGTGAACTAAATGTTAACACTTTTACCTTCCCTGTGGCTGTTAACCATAAACAAATCGCTTTCCTTTGCTGGGCCTTAGGTTTTTCAACTGGAAAATAGGAATTTGGATTCAATCTTTCCCTGTCAATGAGATTTTTGACCCGGAGAGGACTTTAAATACCATTGACTGTTATCTTATACATTTCACAGATGGGGAAAATGAAGAGGGGTTGTCAGGGCAGTAGTGGGGCTAGGACTGAGGACTCCTGACTTCCAGGCCAGCGCTTGCCCCAGTACCTTTCGGCCTCTCTCAGTGTGCAGACCCAGCCAGAGCTGATATAAGCTGACTATTTGCCCTAAACACCTCACAGGGATTAACCCTCTACATCTATGCTGTCCAATATAGTCTCCACTCACCACATGTGGCTACTGAGCACTTGAATTATGACAAGGGTAACAAAATGCAAAATGCACAAATGACTTCTTTAGTTTTATTTAATTCACTCAAATTTTAAAACTGATAATTAAGTTACTAGAAAATTTTAAATGTGCTTGAACAACTTGAGAATCTACTTTTCAGCAATGCATTTTATTAAATATAGATAAAGTGGTTTTTCTCGTTGTTGTTGTTGTTTGAGACAGGGTCTCACTGTCACCCAGACTGGAGTACAGTGGTGCCAACTCGGCTCACTACAGCCTTGACCTCCCAGGCTCAGGTGATCCTCCCACCTTAGCTTCCCAAGGAGCTGGGACTGCAAGTGTGTGCCACCACTCCTGGCTAATCTTAGTAGAGACAGAGTTTTGCCACATTGTCCAGGCTGGTCTCAAACTCGTGTGCTCAAGAAATCCACCACCTCTAGGCCTCATGAAGTGCTGGGATTACAAGCGTGCACCACCATGCCTGGCCAGATAAAGTGTTTCTGATGAAAATTTAGTGTCTGAATTAAGATATACTATAAATATAAAATATACACTGGATTTCAAAGATAATTCAAAATATCTTATTAATAATTTTATATTAATTTATGTGCAAATGATACTTTGGAAATCTAGGTCAAATAAAATATTAAAATTCATTTCATCTCTTTTTTTCACTTTTTAAAATGTGGCTACTAGAAAATTTTAAATGACTTATATGGCTCTCTCTCACACTATTTGGCTTATATTATTTAGACAAATTGCATTATTTTTCTACCCAACAGCACTGGCCCAAATCTTCAAAGCAACCCCATGACGTGGGCCTGCTATTATCTCCCTCATCTCACAGATATGGGAACCTAACATAGCATATGCTGCCCGTGTCCCATACTATCTTTGCCCCACTTGGGGTCACCTGTAACTTCCATAGACAGTTCCTATAAGAGCTTCCTACTTCAAATACTTGCATCTTCTCTCTGCCTAAGGAGCAGGCAAGAAGTACAGGGGAAGAGGAGGTAGATAGCACTTCCTGAAACAGCACCCAATCAATGGGAGGTGAGGGTTGGTAGACAAATACCCCATTGTCTTAGTCCATTTTCTGTTGCTTATAGCAGAATAACTGAAACTGGGTCATTTATGAAGAAAAGAAATTTACTTCCTATAGTTATGGAAGCCAAGCAGTCAAAGGTTGAGGAATGGCATTTGGTAAGGACCTTCTTGCTGGTGAGGACTCTCTGCAGAATCCCAAGGCAGCTCAGGGCATCATATGGCCAGGGGGCTGAGAGTGCTTGCTGTGGTGTCTCTTGCTCTTCTAATAAAGCCATCAGTCCCACTCCCATGACAACCCATTAATCCATTAATCTACTAATATAATCTATTAATCCATGAATGGCAGAACCCTTATGACCCAATCACCTCTTAAAGGCTGCCGAGTTTCAATACTGCCACATTAGGGCTTAAATTTCAACTTGAGTTTTAGAGGGGACAAATATTCAAACCATAGCACTCACTTTCCTCACCCCAAGTGAGGCATGCACTACCCCCATCTGTCAGAGGGTCTCAAGTGAGATTAAACTCAGTTTCATGATGAAGTGGAATCTATCCCTAGGATACAAGAATAGTTCGACACACAAAAATCAATTAATATTATACACCACTTTAACATAATAAGGGATAAAATCACATGATCATCTCAGTTGACTTAGAAAAAGCATCTGATGGCCGAGCCTGGTGGCTCACCCCTGCAATCCCAGCACTTTGGGAGCGGGAGGCTGGTGGATCACTTCAGGCCAGGAGTTTGAGACCAACCTGGCCAACATGGTGAAACCCCATCTCTACTGAAAAAAATAGAAAAATTAGCCAGGTGTGGTGGAGTGCACCTGTAATCCCAGCTACTTGGGAGGCTGAGGCAGGAGAATCACTTGAACCGGGGAGGTGGAGGCTCGGAGGCTGCAGTGAGCCAAGATCATGCCACTGCACTCCAGCCTGGGTGACAGAGTGAGACTCGATAAAAAAAGAAAGAAAGAAAAAAGAAAGAAAGAAAGAAAGAAAGAAAGAAAGAAAGAAAGAAAGAAAGAAAGAAAGAAAGAAAGAGAGAGAGAGAGAGACAGAAAGAAAGAAAGAAAGAAAGAAAGAAAGAAAGAAAGAAAGAAAGAAAGAAAGAAAGAAAGAAAGAAAAAAGAAAAGGCATTTGATACCTTCTATTCCTAGTTTATTGACAGGTTAAGCAGTCAATAAGCTAGGAATAGAAGGAAGGCACATCCTAACTAGGAATAGAAGGAAGGAACATCAACATACTAATAGCTGTATATGAAAAGCTCACAGCTAACTTCATACTCAGCAGTGAAAAACTGAAAACTTTTCCTCTAAATTTAGTAACAAGGCAGGTACGCTCCCTCTCACCACTTCTATATTGAGTAGACATAGTACCGAAGTCCTAGCCAGAACAATTAGGCAAGAAAAAGAATAAAAGTTAATCAAATCAGAAAAGTAAAACTGTCCCTGTTTGCAGATTCTTATATATAGAAAACTCTTAAAGGCTCCATTTAAAAAACTGTTAGAACTAATGATGAAAACTCAGTAAAGTCGTGGGATACAAAATCAACAGATGAAAATCAGTTGTGTTTCTATACTCTAACAATGAACTACCTGAAAAGGAAATTAGGAGATTAAGCCCCACTTGTTTACAGAGGTAACCCACTTTCATCCCTTCCCTTACTCACTTCTCTACCCTCACTACATTCCTGGGATCCTCTCCCGGTTAAATCACTTGCACTCAAATGCTCGTCTCAGATTCCGCTCTTGGAATAACCTAAATACAGACATTAAGGTACAGAGAGCTGAAAGACTCTCAGAGGTCAAATAAATAGTAAGAGACAGACTGGCAATTTGATCTGAGGCCATCTGACACCAGCTCCCACTCTCTCAAACACCATGCTCTGTTCCCTCTCACACGGTAGCCATGATATTCCCATGGCAGGAGGGTGGAGACTCTCCCCTCAAATCTGCTGACCCCAGAGCAGAAAATCCCTTCTCTGGCTTCAGATGATTCTTCTCTGGTATCAAGAGGCTGAGCAGACCCTTCACCTGCAGGCTTGGAACAGAGCCAGCCTGGCTGCCCAAGCTGTCCTCCTGGCACCAGTGCCTGCTTCCCAGCCAGCAGGAAGCCAGGACTGCCAGCCAGTGCCAGGGTAGCCAGGAGTTGCACAGCTATTAAGTGTCACAGGTAGGATTCAGCCTCAAGCAGTCTGGCTCCTATCATTCTCGAATCCTGTCTCTCCTGAAACTTGAAGTGAGTCAACTGCCAGCTACTTACTCGGCTCCTTCATGATTTATGCGTGAATTTCTGCCCAAACCCAACTTTGATGGAGCCCTACTTGGAGGGAGGGGCTGGTAGGAGATGATGCCCTGGACCCTAAAAACCAGTAGGCTCCCAAAGAGAGGACTGCGATAGCTGGAAGGGAACCACCCTTCCCTCATACCCCCTCCCCGAGCACCTCTCTGCCTGTTGGCAAAGATCAGCTGTTCAACCTCAGGATATTTATTTATTTCCAGCCTCGTTCCCAAAATGATTTGAGAGAGCTTAAAGAAATAGATGCACAGTATCTCCACTGTTAAAAAAATGGAGCTCAGACCTGAAGCATCCCTGAGCAGGCAAAACAAGTTAGGTCTCGTAAGGGACCTTACCCTTGCTTGATTTGCAGACATGCAAAACTGGAGCTCTTCCTTTCTTCTTTCCTTCCTTCCTTCCTTCCTTTTTCTTTCTTTTTCCTTCCTTCCTTTCTTCCTTTTCCTTCCTTCCTTCCTTCTTTCCTTCCTTCTTTCTTTTTTCTTTTCTTTTCTTTTTTTTGAGACAGGATCTCACTTTGCCACCTAGCCTGGAATGCAGTGGCATAATCACGGCTCACTGCAGCCTCCACCTTTCTGGCTTAAGCGATTCTCCCACTTCAGCCTCCCAAGTAGCTGGGACAACAATTGCATGCCACCACACTCAGCTAATATTTTCTTTTATTTTTTGTAGAGATGAGGTCTCGCTATGTTGCCCAAGCTGGTCTCCAACTCCTGGGCTCAAGTGATCCTCCCACCTCAGCCTCCCAAAGTGCTCAGATTACAGGTGTGAGTCACCATGCCTGCCTTTGAGCTATTTCTTGTAAATGCCTATATTAAAGAAAAATAAAACTTAAGTGCAACTAATGAGAAGCAGCCAGCACAAATAATTATATAACCAGGGACTTTCCAATGGGATAGATCAAATAAGGCAACTGTATAACTGTAACCAATCAAATATTATATTTGCTTTACTTCTGTATCTGTCTTATAAAAACCTCCCGCTTGTGCTCCCTCAGTAGAGTTCCCAAGCCACTTCTGGTTTGGGACTGCCTGATTCAAAAATTGTTGTTTGCACAAATAAACTCTTAAAAAATTTATTGTGCCTCAGTTTACCTTCTTAATACCACTAAAGATACTCCAGTAAATAATGCCTAGTTTACTATCTTGACAGCCTCATAATTAATACCATGATGATGTGATATCATTAGATCATTACACATAGAGTGACTAGCTTGTCCTGGTTTTGTTAGAACTTTTCCAGTTTTAAAACTGAACATCCCTTGTCTTGCAAAACTCCTCAGAGACAGACAACAAAAAGTTGGTCACCCTCATTACACAGGATTTGGACCATAAAGTCTACTTGCTAGGTTAAAAATTTAGCTCTGAGTTTCCTAGCAGCCAAGTCAAAGAGAAACACCATATGTCATAAAAATTGTTTATTCTATTGACAATTCTCCTTCCAGAAAAATTTATTTTCTTATTTATTTTAACATCTATAACAGCACTATCCGTAGAACTTTCTGAAATAATGCAAACATTCTGCACTATTCAATATAATAGTTTCAGGCTGGGTGCGGTGGCTCATGCCTGTAATCCCAGCACTTTGGGAGGCGGAGGCAGGTGGATCACCTGAGGTCAGGAGTTTGAGACCAGCCTGGGCAACATGGTGAAACCCCATCTCTACTAAAAATACAAAAATTAGCTGGGCACGGTGGCACACACCTGTAATCCCAGCTACTCGGGTGGCTAAGGCAGTAGAATCGCTTGAACCCGGGAGGTGGAGGTTGCAGTGAGCCGAGATCGCGCCACTGCACTCCAGCCTGGGCGACAGAGCGAAACTCCGTCTCAAAAACAAACAAGCAAACAAAATCAATATAATAGTTGCTAGCCACTTGTCTCTATGGAGCACTTCAAATATGGCTAGTGTAGTGAAATAACTGAGTTTTTATTTTATTTCATTTTAATGTACTTAAATTTAAATAGCCTCATTTGGCTAGTGGCAACTCTATTGGACAGCACAGCTGTACTAGATACAAAGAAACCAAGTGCTCAGGAAGAGCCTCTTTCCTAATATTGAGGCCTGAGGAATTTCTCCCATGAGTTATCACAGGAGGTGAGTACAAAAGTGAGTTCCACCTAGGGGCTTTTCTCTTTTTATATTATATACAGTATAATAGCTGGCTCTTCTAAAGCATAGGCTATGTGCTAAGTACTCTCAGGCACTTTTTTTTTTTTTTGAGACAGAGTCTTGCTCTATCGCCCAGGCTGGAGTGCAGGGGTGCGATCCCAGCTCACTGCATCTTCTGCCTCCCAGATTCAATTTTCCTGCCTCAGCCTCCCAAGTAGTTGGGATTACAGGTGTGTGCCACCACACCCAGCTAATTTTTTATATTTTTAGTAGAGACAAGGTTTCACCATGTTGGTCAGGCTGGTCTCGAACTCCTGACCTCAAGTGATCCACCAGCCTCAGCCTGCCGAAATGTGCTGAGATTACAGGCGTGAGCCACCGTGCCTGGCTGGAGGCACTCTTTTCATATAATAATTCCTTCAATTCTCAAAACTATCCTAGAAAGTAAGAAATTTCAGTACCCACAGGGAGAAAGCTCCTCCCAGGAGAAATCCTGAGAAACCTAAGGCTGCCCTTTCCCTGAAACACTGGTACATCGGTCTCCCTGCCCTTCCTAGAGAGAGCCAGGAGCCTGGGGGACAGGCAGAGGGCTAGAAAAGAGCAGGGGAAGAGACAAGAGGGAGGGAGACCAGGAAGAGGGGGTTCCCAGATGTCCTTACCCCCATCCCAGCTGACGCTGCAGGACTGACATTGACTACATGGAAAAAGTGAGCAATGTCTGGCATCACCCCCTGGTACCAGAGGGCATTTGGGGAGTCAGAAGGAAGACCTCATGTGCCAGGCCACAGAATGCACCTGCATACCCACAGGCATGGAGCCTGGGCCAGGCCCACCTAGGACAAAACACCTCTTTCGAGTTTTTTGCAGATGGTCCCCTGACATCCTTCACCACACTGGTCTGACTGCCAGGATCTCTTGGGCCTCCTGGGCCCCTCACGCCCTGGTAAGCAAAGGAGGAGGCAGGTGTGACCCCCCCACCCCCGCCGCCACTCCATCTGTGACTGGGAAGCTGATGACTCCAGGGTCAGAAATAACCCCACGGTCAGCTCCCTGCATGCCGCCCTTCCCCTCCCCTCCATTCCCAGAAAGCCTGGGCCCTGAGTCAGAGGGAAGAGTCGAGAAGAAAGGACTCAGATAATCTGGAATGAAAACCATAGAGTCCTGCTGTGGAATTCATTCATTGGGAGGCCGAGGCAGGTGGATTACCTGAGGTCAGGAGTTCGAGACCAGCCTGGCCAACATGGTGAAACCCCATCTCTACTAAAAATACAAAAATTAACTGGGTGTAGTGGTGCAAAGGAGGAGCTGGGCCTGGCCAATCTCGGCCCAGTGAAGAGCTGGGCCTGGTCATTCAGATGTCTTCCCCCCAAATCCAGCTTCATCGGGGCTGTGTTGACCTGTGCTGTGGGGCACAGGGTGGAATGGATAAGAAAGAAGGAACTCTTTAGTGCAGAAGGGAATGGGGAAGAAAGAGAGCTGAGCATCACACTCAGAGGTATCCAGGCTCAGAACAGAGGAGGAGGTGCCCAGCCTGCCCTCAGGAGACCTCCAGTCTCCTGGCACGGTGGGTGGAGACACGTCAGGAAGAGTCAGAGGCAGGGCCAGAGTAGAATGATGGGGGCTCACAAGACGGGAGCAAGCTGTCCAAGGTGTCAGATGCCTCTTCTTAGTCACTCTCTCAAAATAGTCTGGGACACCCCCAACCTCACAACCCAGCTGAGTCACTGACCCCAATCCCCAGATCAGACTTTGGATGAATGAAGCTTCTCCCCCTCTGTTTCCCCTCCCCAGCCCAAAGGACATGTAACTGATTCCCCAGGATGGAAGAGTGACTTCCACAAGACCTAAAAATAACCGAACCACTTAATACTCGGAACATAGCCTCTCCCACCCGCCCCCACCACGGCCCACCCACTAGCCAGCAAGATAAAGGCAGCTGCTGGGGCTGGCAGGGGACAGAGACCTGGAGCCAGGGCAGCAAGAAGGTGTCTGTTGGAGCCAGCAGAACAGAACCAATTTGAACAAGAACCTCCAGAGGAACGACGAACCCTGAGACCACAGCTGCTACAGACCACAAACACCCCATCAGCCAAGAGAGACCCTTGGTGAGTAACCTACCTCTCCATCCTTCCACAGCAAGGCTGGCTTTCACAGCTGGGATCCCCTCTCCTTCTGAAATGGACGTATTAGGAATGGCTCTGAGTAGGGGAAGGAGATTGAGGGGCATGCATGGGAGGAGGTGAGTGGAAGTCTCAGACATAAAGAACCCACAAAGGAGGTAAAGACAGTGTGAGCCCCATGGGAGCTCTCAGAGTGGCTGCCACAGGCCTGAAGCTAGCAGAAAGGATAGGCTCCTGCCAGGCTGGCATGATCCAGAAAGGCCTGGAGTTGTGATTTTTAAAATACAGGTATGGAGTGCCTCAGGCTTCAGGGCTTCCTCCCAGGGAAGCTTCAGGCAGGCCCAGGATCTGGAGGAAGGAGGAACAGGAGAGAGGTGGGGGCAGGGGGCTGTAAGTAGGCCTGAGTGTGCATTGCTAGAACAAGCCCCATGCCTAGTTGTTGTGGATGACACTCTTGGCATATCTGGCCCAGGGATAGCTCCCAGGGGCTGGCCGGAGCCCAGCTCCCTACATATCATAGCCTAAAACCTGGGGTGGAATTCGGACTCTGCCCATGTCCATAGTCTTGCCCAGTGGGAAAGCCCCCAGGGCAGATTTGGGGGGCTCACGGGAGGGAGACCAGATCTGAATTTGCCCAGATGTAAAGACATATGGAGCCAGCTGGGCCAAGGAGGAGGTGACCCGAGGACAGCAGGGGGACCATCCTGAGAGGCTGGCCCAGCCCTAGGAGACCAAGCTCTAGGACAGTTCTTGGGGCTCACCCCACGTAAGTCTGGTCCCAGTTATGAATTCTGTCCTGACTCTACACTTGTCCCAGCAGTCTCAAGCCAGGCAAAGATGGTGGTGGGAAGGCCAGGAGTCAGGAGACATGCTTCAGGCTTTGCTACTGCCTTGCTGAGCCTCCTTGGACAGCTCCTTTCCCCTCTTTGGGCCTCTGTTTCCCTATTTGAACAATAAGGGGTTTAGATTGAGTGACCTCTGAGGGTCCTTAGGCCTGACATCCCTGGACTCCATGATAATAACTGTCTGTGGCCTTAGCAGAGATTCTGGAAATTCCTGGGGGCGGGGGTGGGGTGAAGCTGATGGTGTGCACACACCATCTGCTCAGGCCACCCTGGTGGTGACAGGATGGAGTAGAGGTGGAGACAGGCTCAGGTTTGCCTTGGGCAGGGGATCCTCATTGGAGCTCAGAAATGAAAGAAAACCACCCAGAGCTTTGATGAGACTCAGGCTGCAGGTTTCAGAGCTCACATTCCCCAAAGGTTCTGATGTCTTTGGTGGACATGCCAGGGTGGGCATGGGGTCAGCAGGTCTCAGTTTCCTCTCTCCTCCTTCTGAGGTAGCCATAGGGAGGAAGTCCTGCCCCACTTACTTCCAGTACCTCCCCCCAGTGCAGACTCCTTTGGCCAGGGAAGGTGTCCAGGTTCTAGCACCTGGCTGGCCTGCAGCCCAGGGGCCTGACACCAGCCCAGGAGGCAGGATAGGGGAGCCCAGGCTAATGAAGGAGATGAGGTGAGCCAAGGGTACTGAGGGTCCCCACTGGCTGGGCCTCAGCCTCCCTCTGAGCCCAGGGCTGCTGTTCTGAGGCCAGGACCTCAGCTATATTTAGCACCCTGTGTGGTGCAGAGCAGTGGGTCAGGGGCAGCAGGAGGGGGCACGTGCTTCCCATTCTTTCCCTACTGGCCTCTGGGGACTGTTAGTACACCTGTCACAAGAGAGATAAGACATACATGGACAGAGACCAGAGAAGGGCTTGAGGGGTGGTAGGTCATTGAGGGGCGGGGGTGTAGCCGGGGAGAGGCTGAGCTGGGGTGGCCATGAGGCCTGCAGGGGTAGGGCTTAGCCTGAAGCCCCCCTGAGTCCGAGCCCCTGAAGCTGTGCTTGCTTGCTTAGAGAGCGGTATCCAGGAGCAAGAGGCAGGGCTGTCTCTGCAGAAAGGACCCTGATCCCATGGTCCTCTCCCTGGTTGTTGTCACCCTCATATCCTCCCAGGGGTGCCTGCTGGGGAATAGACGGGTTCTATGGCCAATAAGAAAGCTTTACACCTGCTACCCTCTTATTTCTTGGGGCCATGCCCTAAATGGAGTCTAGGGACCCCAAGCCAGCACGGCCTTCCATTTATTCACCAAGATCTGACTCTGGGCCTAAGTTCCCTCATCTTTATTTATAAATGATTGTGCTAAAAGACCTTTGAGATCCCCCTAGCTCAGACATTCTCAGTCTTCGAGTATAATGCAGAAAACCCTGACCAGATATTCAGAATTTGGATCTGGCCTAAGCACGAGATATCTGATGAGCAGCTTCCCAGCCCTGATTCTCAACTGCTTCCGCTCTAGCATGGGCTGTTGGCCTCTGCTTGCCTCCTTGGGCCTGGGAAAGGTTGGAGTGCGTTGACAGCCAAGAGGTAAAAGTTAGGCAGCGTTCCAGGTCAACATGGCAAGTCTGCCCTCTGGTGTTCTGCAAAGGAATCTCGTCTCCATAGGAAATCAGTCACCAGTTTAGAGACCTGCCTCTCCAAGGCTGGGACTCCAAAAGTCAGGATTCCCCCAGGCCACTCCCCTGGCAGTCTTCCAGGGAAACACTGATTTTTAACAAAGGAAGGTGAGGATGGGGCATGTCCAGTTTGCCCACTGGAGGTTTATGCGTCCCTTATGGAGCTAAAGGAAAGTGTCTCATGTCCAGTGGTACCATGGTCACTCCCTAGCAACGCATGAGATGTAGGGAAAGCAGGAACCCACTATGATTAATGGGTCCATGTCCTAAGTTCAAGACCTGTTGCCCACGAACCATGCAGGCAGCGAAGTGAAGCCCAGGCCAGGCACATAGAGAGAGGGAAGGAGTCTCTAAGCGTAAGTCACCCAGAGCTACTCTGACTCTGAGCCCTGTTTACTACCATTTCTCCCAGCATCCAGCCTCTACCCTGCTGAACATCTAGATCTAAGGCTCCCAATCCCATCCTCATCTCTGCCCCTTCTTCTCAGAAGGATGGCCGACACCCAGACACAGGTGGCCCCCACACCAACCATGAGGATGGCAACTGCAGAGGACCTGCCCCTCCCTCCACCCCCAGCCCTGGAGGACCTGCCACTGCCGCCACCCAAGGAATCCTTCTCCAAGTTCCATCAGCAGCGGCAAGCTAGTGAGCTCCGCCGCCTCTACAGGCACATCCACCCTGAGCTCCGCAAGAATCTGGCTGAGGCTGTGGCCGAGGATCTGGCTGAGGTCCTGGGCTCTGAGGAACCCACCGAGGGTGACGTTCAGTGCATGCGCTGGATCTTTGAGAACTGGAGACTGGATGCCATTGGAGAACACGAGAGGCCAGCTGCCAAGGAGCCCGTGCTGTGTGGTGACGTCCAGGCCACCTCCCGCAAGTTTGAGGAAGGCTCCTTTGCCAACAGCACAGACCAGGAGCCAACCAGGCCCCAGCCAGGTGGAGGAGACGTTCGTGCAGCCCGCTGGCTATTTGAGACAAAGCCACTGGACGAGCTGACAGGGCAAGCCAAGGAACTGGAGGCCACTGTGAGGGAGCCTGCAGCCAGCGGAGATGTGCAGGGTACCAGGATGCTCTTTGAGACGCGGCCGCTGGACCGCCTGGGCTCCCGCCCCTCCCTGCAGGAGCAGAGCCCCTTGGAACTGCGCTCAGAGATCCAGGAGCTGAAGGGTGATGTGAAAAAGACAGTGAAGCTCTTCCAAACGGAGCCCCTGTGTGCCATCCAGGATGCAGAGGGCGCCATCCATGAGGTCAAGGCCGCATGCCGGGAGGAGATCCAAAGCAACGCGGTGAGGTCTGCCCGCTGGCTCTTTGAGACCCGGCCTCTGGACGCCATCAACCAGGACCCCAGCCAGGTGCGGGTGATCCGGGGGATTTCCCTGGAGGAGGGGGCCCGGCCCGACGTCAGTGCAACTCGCTGGATCTTTGAGACACAGCCCCTGGATGCCATCCGGGAGATCTTGGTAGATGAGAAGGACTTCCAGCCATCCCCAGACCTTATCCCACCTGGTCCAGATGTTCAGCAGCAGCAGCATCTGTTTGAGACCCGAGCGCTGGACACTCTGAAGGGGGACGAAGAGGCTGGAGCAGAGGCCCCACCCAAGGAGGAAGTGGTCCCTGGTGATGTCCGCTCCACCCTGTGGCTATTTGAAACAAAGCCCCTGGATGCTTTCAGAGACAAGGTCCAAGTGGGTCACCTACAGCGAGTGGATCCCCAGGACGGTGAGGGGCATCTATCCAGTGACAGCTCCTCAGCACTGCCCTTCTCTCAGAGTGCCCCCCAGAGGGATGAGCTAAAGGGGGATGTGAAGACTTTTAAGAACCTTTTTGAGACCCTTCCCTTGGACAGCATTGGACAGGGTGAGGTTCTGGCCCATGGGAGTCCAAGCAGAGAAGAAGGAACTGATTCTGCTGGGCAGGCCCAGGGCATAGGGTCCCCAGTGTATGCCATGCAGGACAGCAAGGGCCGCCTCCATGCCCTGACCTCTGTTAGCAGAGAGCAGATAGTCGGAGGTGATGTGCAGGGCTACAGGTGGATGTTTGAGACACAGCCCCTAGACCAGCTCGGCCGAAGCCCCAGTACCATCGACGTGGTGCGGGGCATCACCCGGCAGGAAGTGGTGGCTGGGGACGTTGGCACAGCTCGGTGGCTTTTTGAGACCCAGCCCCTGGAGATGATCCACCAACGGGAGCAGCAGGAACGACAGAAAGAAGAAGGGAAGAGTCAGGGAGACCCCCAGCCTGAGGCACCCCCAAAGGGCGATGTGCAGACCATCCGGTGGTTGTTCGAGACTTGCCCAATGAGTGAGTTGGCCGAAAAGCAGGGGTCAGAGGTCACAGATCCCACAGCCAAGGCTGAGGCACAGTCCTGCACCTGGATGTTCAAGCCCCAACCTGTGGACAGGCCAGTGGGCTCCAGGGAGCAGCACCTGCAGGTTAGCCAGGTCCCGGCTGGGGAAAGACAGACAGACAGACACGTCTTTGAGACCGAGCCTCTTCAGGCCTCAGGCCGTCCCTGTGGAAGACGGCCTGTGAGATACTGCAGCCGCGTGGAGATCCCTTCAGGGCAGGTGTCTCGTCAGAAAGAGGTTTTTCAGGCCCTGGAGGCAGGCAAGAAGGAAGAACAGGAGCCCCGGGTAATCGCTGGGTCCATCCCCGCGGGTTCTGTCCACAAGTTCACTTGGCTTTTTGAGAATTGTCCCATGGGCTCCCTGGCAGCTGAGAGCATCCAAGGGGGCAACCTCCTGGAAGAGCAGCCCATGAGCCCCTCAGGCAACAGGATGCAAGAGAGCCAGGAGACTGCAGCTGAGGGGACCCTGCGGACTCTGCATGCCACACCTGGCATCCTGCACCATGGAGGCATCCTCATGGAGGCCCGAGGGCCAGGGGAGCTCTGTCTTGCCAAGTATGTGCTCTCGGGCACAGGGCAGGGGCACCCTTATATACGAAAGGAGGAGCTGGTGTCAGGTGAACTTCCCAGGATCATCTGCCAAGTCCTGCGCCGGCCAGATGTGGACCAGCAGGGGCTGCTGGTGCAGGAAGACCCAACTGGCCAGCTCCAACTCAAGCCGCTGAGGCTGCCAACTCCAGGCAGCAGTGGGAATATTGAAGACATGGACCCTGAGCTCCAGCAGCTGCTGGCTTGCGGTCTTGGGACCTCCGTGGCAAGGACTGGGCTGGTGATGCAGGAGACAGAGCAGGGCCTGGTCGCACTGACTGCCTACTCTCTGCAGCCCCGGCTAACTAGCAAGGCCTCTGAGAGGAGCAGCGTGCAGCTGTTGGCCAGCTGCATAGATAAAGGAGACCTGAGTGGCCTGCACAGTCTGCGGTGGGAGCCCCCGGCTGACCCGAGTCCAGTGCCAGCCAGCGAGGGGGCCCAGAGCCTGCACCCAACTGAGAGCATCATCCATGTTCCCCCACTGGACCCCAGCATGGGGATGGGGCATCTGAGAGCCTCAGGGGCCACCCCTTGCCCTCCTCAGGCCATTGGAAAGGCAGTCCCTCTGGCTGGGGAAGCTGCAGCACCAGCCCAATTGCAAAACACAGAAAAGCAGGAAGACAGTCACTCTGGACAGAAAGGGATGGCAGTCTTGGGAAAGTCAGAAGGAGCCACGACTACCCCTCCGGGGCCTGGGGCCCCAGACCTCCTGGCCGCCATGCAGAGTCTGCGGATGGCAACAGCTGAAGCCCAGAGCCTGCACCAGCAAGTTCTGAACAAGCACAAGCAGGGCCCCACCCCAACAGCCACTTCCAACCCCATCCAGGACGGTCTTCGGAAAGCTGGGGCTACCCAAAGCAACATAAGGCCTGGGGGTGGAAGTGATCCCCGGATCCCAGCAGCCCCCAGAAAGGTCAGTAGGGAAGAGCAAGCACTACCCAGAGGGCTGCCTGGGGGGTGGGTGACAATTCAGGATGGCATCTACACCGCTCATCCCGTGAGGACCTTTGACCCACCTGGGGGTGTCCAGCTTTCTCAGAGGGAACCCCAGTCAAGGCACAGGGAGACTGCCCTCTCAGTCCAGGCTCCCCGCCCACTCCAGGGAGGCCCAGGTCAGAGTACTGGGCCAGGGCGGGAGGAGCCTGGGGGCTGCACACAGATGGCCTGGGGGCCACCAGGGAAGGCGATGGCAGAAGTCTGCCCAGGGGGCCTCCAAGCTGCAGAGACCACCCTGAAGACTGCCCCTCTAGGCCGCCACATTCTGGCCTCTGGGCCCCAAGCTGCAGGTGCCAGCCCGCACCCCCATAATGCCTTTGTTCCTCCTCCTCCTACTCTCCCAGCTGCTGTGACAGGACCTGACTTTCCAGCTGGAGCCCACCGTGCTGAGGACTCCATCCAGCAAGCCTCTGAGCCCCTGAAGGACCCCCTTCTTCACTCCCACAGCAGCCCTGCTGGCCAGAGAACCCCTGGAGGGTCACAGACAAAGACCCCAAAACTGGACCCCACCATGCCCCCAAAGAAGAAGCCGCAGCTGCCCCCTAAACCTGCACACCTAACCCAGAGCCACCCTCCTCAGAGGCTGCCCAAGCCCTTGCCTCTATCTCCCAGCTTTTCCTCGGAGGTGGGGCAAAGAGAACACCAACGAGGTGAGAGAGATACAGCCATCCCTCAGCCAGCCAAGGTTCCCACTACTGTAGACCAGGGCCACATACCTCTGGCCAGATGTCCCAGTGGACATAGCCAGCCCAGCTTACAACATGGCCTCAGCACCACGGCCCCCAGGCCCACCAAGAATCAGGCTACAGGCAGCAATGCCCAGAGCTCTGAGCCCCCCAAGCTCAATGCCCTCAACCATGATCCCACCTCACCACAGTGGGGCCCCGGCCCCTCAGGAGAGCAGCCCATGGAAGGTTCCCACCAAGGGGCCCCTGAGAGCCCTGACAGTCTGCAAAGAAACCAGAAAGAGCTCCAGGGCCTCCTGAACCAGGTGCAAGCCCTGGAGAAGGAGGCCGCAAGCAGTGTGGACGTGCAGGCCCTGCGGAGGCTCTTTGAGGCCGTGCCCCAGCTGGGAGGGGCTGCTCCTCAGGCTCCTGCTGCCCACCAAAAGCCCGAGGCCTCAGTGGAGCAGGCCTTTGGGGAGCTGACACGGGTCAGCACGGAAGTTGCTCAACTGAAGGAACAGACCTTGGCAAGGCTGCTGGACATTGAAGAGGCTGTGCACAAGGCACTCAGCTCCATGTCTAGCCTCCAGCCTGAGGCCAGTGCCAGAGGCCATTTCCAGGGACCTCCAAAAGACCACAGTGCCCACAAGATCAGTGTCACAGTCAGCAGTAGCGCCAGGCCCAGTGGCTCAGGCCAGGAGGTCGGAGGTCAAACTGCAGTCAAGAACCAAGCCAAGGTTGAATGCCACACTGAGGCCCAGAGTCAAGTCAAGATCAGAAATCACACAGAGGCCAGAGGTCACACAGCCTCAACTGCCCCTTCCACCAGGAGGCAGGAGACATCAAGAGAGTATTTGTGCCCTCCTCGGGTTTTACCTTCCAGCCGAGATTCTCCCTCCTCCCCAACATTTATCTCCATCCAGTCGGCCACAAGGAAGCCTCTAGAGACTCCCAGCTTTAAGGGCAACCCTGATGTCTCAGTGAAAAGCACACAACTGGCTCAGGACATAGGCCAGGCCCTGCTCCACCAGAAAGGTGTCCAAGACAAAACTGGGAAGAAGGACATCACCCAGTGCTCTGTGCAACCTGAACCTGCCCCTCCCTCAGCCAGTCCCCTGCCCAGAGGGTGGCAAAAGAGTGTTCTGGAGCTACAGACGGGGCCAGGGAGCTCACAACACTATGGAGCCATGAGAACCGTGACTGAACAGTATGAGGAGGTGGACCAGTTTGGGAACACAGTCCTCATGTCTTCCACCACAGTCACCGAGCAGGCAGAGCCACCCAGGAACCCAGGCTCCCACCTCGGGCTCCACGCCTCCCCCTTGCTGAGGCAGTTCCTGCACAGCCCAGCTGGGTTCAGCAGTGACCTGACAGAAGCTGAGACGGTGCAGGTGTCCTGCAGCTACTCCCAGCCAGCTGCCCAGTGAGGCCCACCGCCTCCCACCACACCTGCCACCTGTTCCTGGCCTCCACTGCCCCAGGACTGAAGTGGGTACCTGCCTCCTGTACACTGGAGCAAGGACCAAGAGGAAATGGCATCTTCAGAGGATTACTGTGGGCCATTTCCCTTTCGCAGTTCTTTCAATAGGCCCAGTTCTTCCAAATGGAAAAAGAAAGGTCTGGAAGAGGCCCACAGAGTTGCACAGGCGTGGGGGTAGGATGGGGGCTCCCAGCTGCTTGTGGAGGATGTAATATATACAGACACACACATGTTTTTCACACAGGCCTGGCCCACGCATCGACATGTGTGAATTTGCACACCACTGCCTGAATTGGAGCCCCCCAGAGTGTCCCTCTACCCAGAGTTTTTATTTCTTTAATTAGTCTGAGTGTTCCCAGCCATCTGCTCCTTAATCCCTGGAGAGGAACAGAGCCAACTGGACACAGCGTTGGTCTCTGTTTGGAATCACTGTGAGGTCTCCAGAAGGACCTGGCCGCCAGCCCCTTCATCACCATCTCCATCATTCAGCTGGTCATCTGGTGGCCCAAAGGTCACCCAAAGAGTCAGCAATCAGCATGTCCCTAGAAGCCAAATGCACTGCCTTTCTCTGTCCCCATGACTGTCCCCCACTCTGCACCCCAAATGGGAAGCATACGGTCTGAATAAATCCAAGTTTTATTCTCTACTCTGTGCATGTCTGACTGTGTGTACATCTGTTCCAGTATGTGTTCCTACTGCAGGGGGAGAAAACAGCCACAACCTCCAGGTGCCTCGTCTTCCTAGCAACAGCAGTGTGGGAAGGCTCTAAAAGCCACCCCTTCTCCACCATCTTGGCTGGCAACCAGAAATGCCCTGCCCACACTTCTATTCTCCTTGCCCCTATCCCCATCACACACACACACACACACACACACACACACACACACACACACACAGTGCTGCCCTCTCTATCTCGACCTCGCCTCCTGGATGTTCTTGAATACCATCCTGGAGGGGTTCTTAGAATCCTGCCCCAGAGCTGGAGAGCAGCCCAGTCAGGACTGGGAAGCAGGAGGAACTCACGCCAGGAGAATTCCTGTGCCCAAGATGGCTGGATCACTTCTGCCTGTTCAGCCCAGGTGTTGTGTGCCAAGCAGTGGTTCCTGAGAAATGAAGTGCTCAGATCCTGGCCTGGAAAGTCAGGTTGTTTTGGTGAAGGGCCCTTTTCATGCTGTCTTTCAAAAATCACTAAGCATCTTCTGTATTCCAGGCCTGTTCTAGGCAGTGGGGACACAGAGGTGAGGTCCAATGGGGTCCCGCTTTCAGGGAACTTTTTAGAATGAGGAGACAGAGAGACAATAAATAAGAAAAATTAGATCAGGAATAGGGTGACGCATCTGACTAGGCCACTCTCCCACTTTGGGATAAGAGTCTTAAAATATGGTCATATGACAATGGCAGGTGACTGCCTTAGACGGAGTGGCCAAGGCAGGGCTCTCTAAGAAAAAAACACCTCAGCTGAGATCTAAATGACAAAGAGCAACTATGTGAAAATTGAGGGAGGAACCATGCTAGGTAGAGGGAACAGCACTTGCAAAGACCCCGAGGTGGAATAAATTTAGTTCCTGGGTTTCCTGGATACCCAGGCTTTTGAAACTAGGTTTGCCTCACACCAAGTTTATGTGGAAAGTCACCCACACTTTGCTTCAATGGAAGAGACAGGCCCCTAGCCTACCCCTAGCCCAGGGCCCAATCTTCCACAACCCTCACAGGCCCCTCATTGCCTGCTCAGCCAATATGGGTAGGGTTCCCTTGGGACAACACAGCTCTGATCTGGAAGGAGCCTGTGCCCTGTGGGAGACTGTGCTGTGTCAAGAATAATCAAGGTACCAAATCCACCTGCTTGAGCCTGGTACATGAATCTTGTTGATCCCCTGCCTTCTGTGGGATCTCACTTGATTACAGGGCCCAGTGGCCTATATAGCATGACGGTTCTCCTCAATGTTCTCATCTGTAAAGTGGGCACAGCTATATTACCTACTATTGTGAAGATTAAGTGAATTAACCCATTTATGCCTGAGGTCGCAATTTTTTGAATTTTTGTAATCAGACCTTGGCAATGACCTTGAGCAGTCGCATAAATAACTCCCACATGCTTAGCGTTCCAATAATGGAACACTAGGCAGTATAAAGTGCTTGAAGCTATGCCTGGCATCTGGAACTCCAAGACACTCACTTTTAGTATTATTGTAATTTTAAAAAAATATATATCTTCTTTCTTACCTCCAGGGGGGTCACTGTCTCATTCATCTTGGTACGTCTTTACCACAAGTGCCTAGAGGGCACTCCATAAATGTCAAATAAATGAATGCATAAAGAATGAAATGATTGAGTAAATCTGCCGATTCATCCAAGTAACTTTTATTGAGCACCTCATTCATGCCAGGTTCTGTTCAGAGTGCTGAGAACAGAGATGAACAAGGCAGAATTTGTGCCTCAGTTTATGGAACTTAGGTTTCAAGAGGGAAGGCAATATAGGTAGAAGCAGACAAGATAATTTTAGAGGGGAGAAATACTGTGAAGGAAATAAAAAACAAAGTCCAAGAGAAAAGGTTAGCAGTTCCTTCAACTTGGGTGGTCAGGGAAGGCATCTCAGCGGAGGTGACCCGAATGACAGAAGAGCCAGTCCGATTGGTTGGAGGTGGCGGCCTAGGGGGAAGAGTGGGGAGAGGTGACTGGGCCGGTGGTGCGCGCCGGCGGCGGCGTGCACAGAGGAGAGAAGCGGCTTCTCGGCGAGGCCCCTCCCGGTGCCCTGCACACCTGCGGCCACGCGTGCCGCCGAGGAGGGGCGGGGGCGGGCGGGGCTGAAGGCGCACCCCGCGGGAGGCGGAGCGCGTGGCGACCAGACCCCGCCCCCGGAGCCCGCAGGGCGTGTTCCCACCGGCCGTCGCCAAGGTGACGATGAGGACTAAGGGGCCGCCGAGTTCAGAACGTTCGGGCGGCGGCGGCTGTTGCTGGGAGACGCCCGGCAGGCGTGCAGCCAGGGACTGGCTCTGCACTGCAGACGCCGGGCGCCAGGACGCGCCGTCCTGGCCAGCCCTCTCGCTGAGGCTCCCTTCGGATTCCAGACGGATACAGGGTTCCTGTCCTCACCCACGTCTAGATCCTGCCCGGGACCTGCAGGACTGGGCGCCTCCTCCCTCCCTGGTGCTCTCTGTCATTGCCTCTGTGTCCGGAATTTGTCCACCAGTCCCCATCTTCACCGCCATCACCATGTCTCAGGCCACCGTCCATCCTCCCTTCCCTGGGGGATTAGGCACTGCCATAGCCTCCCCAATGGTCCTCCTCCCTTTGCCCTGTGTGTCCTTACGCTCTGTCCTCCACCAGGCAGCCAGAACTCTTACTAAGAATTGACCAGATCCAGTCACTCCTGCATAATACCCTCCACCGGCTCCCCAGCTCACTCAGTCTTAAATCCAAACTCCTCTCAGTGACCTGTAGGACCAGAATGACTTGCCTCTCTGCCTTCTTCTCCACCTTCGTTGGCCCCACTCTCCTCCTCACCCACATCACCCTAGTCACACTGTCTTTCTTGCTCTTCTCAGAACATACCAAGCTGATTTCTGCCTCCAGACCTTTGTACTTGATGAACCCTCTGGCTGAAAGTCTCTTCTCCCAGAGGGTTAGCGGTTGAGCTCCTTCTCACTCAGGTCTCAGTTCCAATGTCTCTCCAGAAAGGCCTTTCCTGATCAGTCCTCCCCCCTTCCCCCATCTAAAGAGGCCCTTATTTTCATGCTGTTTTATGTTTTCCCATATTTCCCTCTCACAATATGAAATTATCTTGCTCACTTATTCACTTGTTTCTTAGTGTTCTAGATAGTATTTCTGCATAGCAAACCACCCCAAACAGGAATTTGGACAGAGCACAGTGGGCATGGCTTGTTTCTGTGCCACAATGTTTGGGACATCAGCAGGGATGTCAACCAGAACACACATGTGTGGCCTTTCCATGTGGCCTGGGCTTCCTCACAACATGGCAATCTCTGGGTTGTCGAACTTCCTAAGTTGTAGCTCCAAAGACATGTCCCATCTAACAAGGCAGAAGCTATATCACCTCTTATGATCTAGTCTCAGAAGTCATGAAAAATCACATCTGTAACCAACATGCCGTTGGTTACAAGTGAGTCACAAGTCTGCCCAGATTGAAAGGAAGGGGGTATTGGACATCACCTTTTGGTAGGGAAGAGGCAAAATTCTAGAACATGCATACATCTTTGGAAAGTGACATCTCCACAGTCAGTCTTCCCCCCACTGAAGTAGCATCTCCATGAAGAACCACGTCTTATTTGATTTTTATTGCATCCCCAGTGCTAGAATGGTACCAGAACACATAGTAAGTGCTAGATTCGTGTTTTAGAGTGAATACATGAAGGATTATCTTTCAAGGAGTCATTCAGACCCAGCTCTTCTCCCTGTAAGTGTATTTCCTGTCCCAGCCCTTGCTTTTGGCCTGATCTGCTCTGGAGAAAGCCCAGTGTTTGTATTGGAGGGTGGGAGTCAAGCCTATTATGGGGGTGGGGATGCGCACATAAAAACAGTTATTGGGGATTAAGAAGTAGGTAGCCAATGAGTTTATGGGGCAGTTTTCTACTGAAAGGGTATTGAAAACCTAGTCTGCTTTTCCCCATTCTTTATTCTGGAAATGTCCAAGTGAGGTGGTTTTGTCCTCCAGGCCATAGTGAGCAGGAAAGTGTCCCAACTTGCAGGGTCTGGGCAAGAGGTGGCCCTGAAGCTGCCCACAAGCCTGTGAAGTTACTCGAAGTCTCCTTGCTTTGTTATTTGTGAAAGACCTTCCATTTGATCTTCCCAAAGTCCTGGTGCACATACACGTTCTCCTCCCGTCTTCCTATTTTCCAAGAGGGGTAGCAGCATCTGCCATTCACCCAAGCCAGAGAAGATAGCCCAGGCTTCTCTCTGCATTACTGCCTCATATCAGTGGGCTTCGGCTTCCCAAGTATGTCTTCCCCTTGCCCCCTGCTTCATTTCCACATTGATTTGTGAGCTCCAACATGTGACTACCATAGCAACAGCCTCCTCATTTCTCTCCCCACCACCAGTGCCACCCCCAAACCATCAGTCCTCCAATCCAGCCTTGCAGCAGTTTCTCACCACCTCTGTCGCCTTAAAATCCACACTTCTTAGGTCATTCAAGGCCCTTCCTGTGCAGCTGTTCCTGTGTTTATGGCCTCCTCCAGGAGGGGAGAATTCTATCCTCTAGGTCCTTTCATGTTCTTTCCAGGCTGTGTCACATCGCTCTGATTTTACCCAGGGCCAACTCACCCATCCGGCACAGGGGGCAACACTGCCTAGGGTCCACAATCCTTTTAGAAGCTCATGAAAATGTTTAACTCATTTTACTATCAGAAGGGAAAAACAAACTTTCAGGCCGAAGAAATTGTTTGAATATATAACATTAACATATTCGGCTTTATACCACCACAGTCGTAAAATATACTTTTAAATATTTTTTTATGGAAAAGGAGCCCATTAAGGCAAAGGTACTTAGGGCCCACAAAAATCATAATGGGGTTCTGGTTTTGGTTATGCTGTCCTTCCCCCCAGCCTGTGGCAGAGCTGCCTAGTTAGATGCCCAGCTAACTTCCGAAGAAAACTCTAGCAGAGGCTTTGCCTGGGAACCCTCAGGAACCACTCCCTGGTCCCAAATCAGGAGCTATGAGGACTGAGGTCCGTGTCCCCAACCCCCACCTGCGTCCCGGAAGGCAGGCACGGGGGTGCCCTGCTGCGGGCCAAGGGGGCGGTACTCGGGTCTCGCTGGCTGCAGCTCGCCCGCCCGCCCTGCCAGCTCCACCCGACCTAATCGGAAAAAGGAAGCTGGCCCTGAGCTGTTCTCTCTCTTCTTCCTCAAAAGCTCCGCCCACCACCCCCTTCCCACCCCCTTCCCACCCCGCGCCTCCCCAGTTACGTTTCTTACGAAAAAGTGCTGCTGAGAATTCCCAGAAAGTCCCGGATATGAAGTCACTCGCGTGAGGTCACCGAGCCTGGTTCCAAGAATCAGAAGCTTGTGGGGGAGAAAGGAAAGCGCAGAAAAAGAAGGAGCAGTGATCGGAGTTGTGGGTGCTGTCGCGGCCAGGGGCGGGAGGCGGGAGGCGGGAAGGGCCCCGCCCCCTCCCCCCTCCGCCCCCTCCCCCCCCCGCCCCCGCTAGATCGGCAGGGTCCCAGGCGTCTCCAATCAGGCCTTGGCCGGTGTGACCCCTGGAAAAGTTCCAAAGGAAACTAGGCTTCACTACCATATTAGAGAAATGCCGACTGAACACAGAAATACCGATCCTTATTGACCAAGATCAAAAAGTCTGATACTGCATGGTGTTGGAGCAGATGGGGAAACAGCAGTGTTTATCCACTGTTGTCAGGGAGAGAGAACTGGCCGGGTCTGCCAGTTTGGAGAACAACTTGGAAATATGATCAGAATTTTAAATGAGCATACCTTTTGACCTAACAATCGCACATCTAGGAACTTATCCTACTGAGAAATACAAGGATAAATGCTTAAGAGAGTTTTCAGCAGCATCATTTGAAATACTGAAGGTTAGAACCCACCTAGATGTCCATCATAGGAAACTAGTCTAAAAAATGCCATGGTACATCCGTACTCTGGAATACTATGTGCTGTGAAAAAGAATGAGGCAGCTGTTTATGAGCCAGCTCTGTGTTCCCCATTACGGTCTTTTTTGTGTATGTGTGTGACAGGGTCTTATTCTGTCTCCTGGGCTGCAGTGCAGTGGTGCAGTCATGGCTCACTTAAGTGATCCTCCCACCTCAGCCTGCCAAGTAGCTGGGACCACCGGTGCACGCCACCATGGCTGGATAATATTTTTCAATTTTTTGTAGAGATGGGGGTCTCACTATGTTGCCCAAGCAGGTCTTAAACTCCTGGGCTCAAGAGATCCACCCCCCTCAGCCTCCCAAAGTGCTGGGATTACAGGCGTGAGTCACCACACCTGGTCTGGTCATTTCTTAAAGGTATATATTCATTCAACAGACATGTTTTGAGCACCTACAAAGTGCACGGCACATTGCAGATACTGGCAATAAAACAGAGGACAAAACAGCTTATGGGGATGGGGGAAAACCAATAAAATGCATCAAGTGGTGATAAGTGCTTTGGAGGAGACTCACTCAGAGCAAGGGGTACAGAAAATGTCAGGGTTGTGCTATGTTAGATTGGGTGGTCAGGGAAGGCCTCTGGGACAAGTTGACTTGGGAGCAGAGACCAGAATGATGGGAGAGAATGTCACCTATCTGCCCGGTGTAGGGCCTAGCCTGTGCCCAGGATTTTACTTGGACATAAAGACCAGCCAGGAGGCCAGCAAAGCTGAAGAGGAGCGGGCAGGGTCACAGTGGTAGGAGGAACAGTAGTGAAAGAGAGGAGGAGGAGGGTCAGGTAGGACTTCCTAGGCTTTTGTGAGGATTTTGGCTTTCATAGCCATTGGAGGGTCTTGCACAAAGAAGTGACATGACTCGACTTAGGTTTTAAAGGATCCCTCTGGCTGCTGAGTGGAGACTACTACAGAGGGGCAAGGGTAGAATCTGAGAGCCCAGGAAGGAGGCTGCTGCAACCATGGGAGATACAGCAGGGCTGGACCAGGGTGGTAGGAGATGTCACGCAGTGATCTGCTTCCGGGTACATTCTGATAGTAGAGCTGATAGGATTTGCTGATAGCCCCAGATGTAAGTATGAGAGAAAGAGGAGTGTGTAACTATAAGCATGGAGTTATCTTTCATCAGGAGAGGGAAGCTGGTGGGAGGAGCAAGATTTTGGGGGACCGGGGTGAAGAATCAGTCTGAACTCACATGGGTTGGGAATTCAGGAGTGATGGAAACATGAGAGCTGTTTGGAATTTGTAGCAGAGAGGGTCCTAGGGAGAGACAGCTGGCACCCTGGAATTGGGAAATTTGAGGAGGGTTTAATAAAAGGAGCCTTTAGAAAAGAGTAGCAGGATGTAGAGAAACCAGGAGGGCAGTGTAGGCCCCCAGGGCTAGTAACAGTGGGGCCTTAACCATCCATAGTTCTGAAGGAGTGAGAAGAGGGAGTTGCTGGAACCTGGGGACAAAGATAGCTAAAAGATAGCTGAGTGGAGAAGACAACATCTAAACTCATGTGATTTCATCCAAGGAAGGGGATTTATCTTTTTTTTTTTTTTTTTTTTTTTTTGAGATGGAGTCTTGCTCTGTCACCCAGGCTGGGGGGGTGCAGTGGCACAATCTTGGCTCACTGCAACCTCCGCCTCCCAGGTTCAAGTGATTCTCCTGCCTCAGCCTCCCGAGTAGCTGGGATTACAGGTGTGCGCCACCACACCTGGCTAACTTTTGTATTTTTAGTAGAGACAGCATTTCACCATGTTGGCTAGGCTGGTCTCGAACTCCTGACCTCAGGTGATCCACCCGCCTTGGCCTCCCAAAGTGCTGGGATTACAGGTGTGAGTCACCACACCAGCCTGGGATTTATCTTTTAATAGACAAGTTTGTATGTTGCCAACTGACAGGAGCTGAGGCCTTTGGTGGAAAAATGCAGCCAGTCCATGGCAACCCTACAGGGAGAACAAATATCCTGACCTCACTCTCCACCCCTCCTCCAAAGGCTGTGGGAAGCCAGAGAGCAAGAGAGCCCATGGATGCAGCACATATGGGTCAGTCCCCAGCCCAGAGCAGGGAGGAGAAGGATTGCAAGCGGGTCTGGAGTGGCGCATGGAGGCCAGGGACGCAGGAGCCAGCAGTGAAGGTGATCCGCAAAGCCATAAGGCTGGAGAAGGGATCTCTTAGGAAGTGAGGCAGATAGAAAAGTGGACCCAGTTCACTGTCCTGGGGCCCTCCAATATTTAGAGATTGAGAGATAAAATAGAGCCAGGAAAGGAACCGCCAAAGGAGCAGTCAGTAAGACAGGAGAACAGAGAGCTGTGCCTGAGGCCAAGGGAAGCAAGTGTGTCTAGGAAGGGGAAGGGAGGCAGGGCTGAGATGAAGACTCCAGAGAGGTCTAGTAGGATGAGGGTGTGTGTGTCTGTAAATAATGTACATAGCATATTTCTGGAAAGCAACAAAAACTCTTTTTAAAAATTTTTATTTTTATTTTTATTTTTTTTGAGACGGAGTCTCTGTCACCCAGGCTGGAGTGCAGTGGCGTGATCTCGGCTACTGCAAGCTCTGCCTCCTGGGTTCACGCCATTCTCCTGCCTCACCCTCCCTAGTAGCTGGGACTACAGGTGCCCACCACCATGCCCAGCTAATTTTTTGTATTTTTAGTAGAGACAGGGTTTCACCGTGTTAGCCAGGATGGTCTCGATCTCCTGACCTCGTGATCCGCCCGCCTCGGCCTCCCAAATTGCTAGGATTACAGGCGTGAGCCACCGCGCCCGGCCCACAGTTTTTTTTAATCAGTTGAAAGACAGGCTTGGAAAAAAACAAACATCCCCATCAAAAAGTGGGCAAAGGACATGAACAGGCATTTTTCAAAAGAAGACAAACATGTGGCCAACAAGTATATTAAAAAAACCTCAATAGCACTGATCATTAAAGAAATGCAAACCAAAACCACAATGAGATACCATCTCACGCCAGTCAGAATGGTGATTATTAAAAGATCAAAAAATAACAGATGCTGGTGAGGTTGCGGAGAAAAGGGAATGCTTAACACTGTTGGTGGGAGTGTAAATTACTTCTGCCATTGTGGAAAGCGGTGTGCCAATTCCTCAAAGACATAAAAACAGAGGTACCATTCAACCCACCAATCCCATTACTGGGTATATATCCAAAAGAATATAAATCATTCTATCATAAAGACATATGCATGCCTATGTTCATTGCAGCACTATTCACAATAGCAAAAACGTGGAATCAACCTAAATGCCCATCAGTGACAGACAGAATAAAGAAAATGTGATACATATGCACCATGGAATACTATGCAGCCATAAAAAAGAATGAGATCATGCCCTTTGCAGGAACATGGATGAAGCTGGAGGCTATTATCCTTAGCAAACTAATGCAAGAACAGAAAACCAAATACCACATGTTCTCAGTTTGGAGTTTGAGACCAGCTAAATGATGGACATGGACACACAGAGGAGAACAGACACTGGGGCCTACTTGAGGGTGAAGGGTGGAAGGAAGGAGGGAATCAGGAAAAACAACTAGTGGATACTAAGCTTAGTACGTGGATGATGAAATAATCTGTACACCAAACCCCTGTGACACAAGGTAATAAACCTGCACATGGACTCCTGACCCTAAAATAAAAGTTAAAAAAAAAAAAAAACAAGAAAGGCAGCCTTGGGGGTAACCCTGGGATTTGAGAAAGAGAGCTGATAGAGTCTGGGATGGGCAAGGCTGAGAAGAGAATGGCTGGAAGCATCTTCTCCATGTGTCAGTCCAGCCAATGGCTTTAGGAGCAGTGACCTCTGACATCTGGTTTAAATTATGTCCTGCTATGTGCTTCATGACTTGCCCCTCACTCCACTCCTTCCAACTCAAGACTTCAAGAAAGCTTAATTCATCACATCTTAGTATCTTTTCAATAATTTTACATGTCATGCTTTAAGTATTTTCAGTCTTGTATATCAAAAATAAATCCCCCTCCTTAGATGATGTCCAAGCTTGGATGATGTCATCTTGGAAGACAGATTCCTCCTAGTTCTCTTTCTGATGAAGCTAACCCTCAGACAAGGTGTGTCTTCCTTGCAGAGCGCAGAATCCTCTGGACAGAAAGCTTTCTTTCTTTCTTTCTTTCTTTCTTTCTTTCTTTCTTTCTTTCTTTTTTCTTTCTTTCTTTCTTCTTTCTTTCTTTCTTTCTTTCTTTCTTTCTTTCTTTCTTTCTTTCTTTCTTTCTTTCTTTCTTTCTTTCTTTTCAGTTAAGAATCAGCTCCAAATTTGTGGGAATTATTTGAGGATTGTACTCTGATTCTTATCTCTATTGCAGGTCCCAAGGAGGATAGGGTCCTGGTTAAAGACTCCGGTGGAACCAGTCCCTCAGGAGCCTCAGGCCAACTTTAGGAGGCTTCTCACCAATAGATGGAGGGATGAGATTGGGGGAGGGAAGTGGTAAGAGATAGCTTTGGGAAATCTCATCCTCTCCTTTCCTAGGGCTGCTTCCTTGGGTTGGGAGTTGGGGACTCCCAGTCTGACAGACTTGAGACTTTTCTGACATGGGGGTTTTCCCAAAAGGGAAGGGCCAGCAGAGGAAAGGGAGCCATCAGCCCAGGCCATCTCCCCTCTTGGAGCCTGACTGTGGTGGGCTAAGGTCAGTCAGAGCTCCACTTTCTTCTCCATTGCTCAAACTTCTCAGTACAGCCTGTGCCTTTGAGTTTTCCCACCTCTGTCCTGATAAAAAAAAAAAGAAAAGAAAAAGAAAACTCCATGACAGCAAGGAGCTTGTGTGTATCATTTTCTGCTAATGATCAATGACTAGAATACCATCTGGCACTCAGTTGAGTACACAGGATGAATGAATGCCCAAAATGCCTTTTCCGCAGCTCAAACTACATTTCAGGAGAAACTCCCTAAACCAGCTTCTCCATCACCCACTCAGAAATCTTCCAACCATCCATTTTTAGAACCCCACACACATAGGTCCTGGGGTTGGCAGCCTCTACTCAGTGGTGTACTATAGCCTCAGAGAGGTGATTGTGCACATCTCTGCCCAATTTCACTTTCTGTGCCAGTAGCTTGAAATCAGCCATCGTGGAATAATTTACACCACAGAAATTGGAAAACACTAAAGATCATGGCTTCCCTCCTCCCTCCATCCCTGCCCCAACCCAGAGAATTGGTTGTTAATCATTTACCAGCACACTACTGCCTCCAGTCCCGTTTTGCCACTAACAAGCTCTATGATTCCATCAAGTCACTTAATTGCTCTGAGCTTCAGTTCTCTATAAGGTAGACATCCCATAATATCTACCTATAGGATTGTTGGGAGGATTAAATGTGATTATAACCCTGTAATGTGTTTAGCACACTGGCTTGTAGTAGATACTCAATACACTTTAGTATGGTTCCAGTTATCTGTTGCTGCATAACCAATTGACAAATGTAGTGGCTTCATACATTTATTTTGCTCATAAATCTATAATTTGGGCAGAACTTGATGAGAATAGCTCATAACTGGAAAGACATGAAGGCTAGAGGTGAGAATCATCTGAAACTGTGTTCACTTATGAATCTGGCAGTTGATGCTGGCTGTCAGCTGGGGCCATTGACCAGGACACCTACATGTGAGGTGTCTGCCAGGTAGCCCAGGCTTCCTCACAATATGGTGGCTGAGTTTCAAAAGCGAGTATTCCAAGAAAAAGCTAGGTAGAAGCTATATCACCATTTCTAACTTAGCCTTAGAAATCACACACTATCACTTATTTTACGTTCTATTTATTAGAAGCAAGTCACTAAGTCTGGCCCATTTTCTTTCTTTTTATTGAGACGGCGTCTCGCTCTGTCACCCAAGCTGGAGTGCAATGGCATGATCTCGGTTTACTGCAACCTCTGCCTCCAGGGTTCAAGCGATTCTCCTGCCTCAGCCTCCCAAGTAGCTGGGATTACAGGCGCGCGCCACCACGCCTGGCTAATTTTTGTATTTTTAGTAGAGACAGGGTTTCACCATGTTGGTCAGGCTGGTCTCGAACTCCTGACCTTGTGATCCACCCGCCTCAGCCTCCCAAAGTGCTAGGATTACAGGTGTGAGACACTGCGCCCAGCCACCTGGCCTGTTTTCAAGGGGAGGGATGTTAGATTCTGATTTTGATAAGAAGAGCATGTGGCCAGGCGTGGTGGCTCATGCCTGTAATCTCAGCACTTGAGGAGGCCGAGGTGGGTGGATCACTTGAGGTCAGGAGTTCAAGACCAGCCTGGGCAACATGGTGACTATCTCCACCAAAAACACAAAATGTGTCAGGCATGGTGATACACGCCTGTAATCCTGGCTACTTGGGAGGCTGAGGCAGGAGAATTGCTTGAACCTGGGAGGTGGAGGTTGCAATGAGGCAAGATTATGCCACTGCACTCTAGCCTGGCAAAAAAAAAAAAAAAAAAAGACTTAATTGCAAAAAAAAAAAAAAAAGCATGAAAGAATGTGTAGGCATGTTTTTAAACCATCACAGCCATTATTATTGTTGTTGCCTTTAGTATGCTCTAGCCTGTAGTATGGGAACTATCCCACTTCTTAGCCTATGCGCTCACCGCGGGAGGGCAGGAATGCATTCGATTCTTTAAGGTTCATCTCCTGAGCCCTCTATCATTCTGCATGTGAGCCTAGGGCCCTGCAGGATTCAGTGACTGTTATATAAATGAATTTCCTCTTGCAAGAGCTGGCCCTGGACATTTATGCTCCAGTTCCTTAGGATGACATCCCAGTTGGCCCCATAAGAACTAAGGTGAGAGCCAGGTGCAGTGGCTCACGCCGGTAATCCCAGCACTTTGGGAGGCCAAGGCGGGTGGATCATCTGAGATCAGGATTTCGAGACCAGCCTGGCCAACATGGTGAAACCTTGTCTCTACTAAAAATACAAAAATTAGCCGGGCATGGTGGCAGGTGCCTGTAGTCCCAGCTACTTGGGAGGCTGAGGCAGGAGAATCGCCTGAACCCAGGAGGTGGAGGTTGCAGTGAGCTGAGATTGTGCCACTGCAGTCCAGCCTGGGCAACAGGGTGAGAGGTGAGACTCTGTCTCAAAAAACAAACAAACAAACAAACAAACAAAACCTGAGGTGAGGGATCTGGACAGGACACAGCTAGGAGAGCGGGTGATTTTACCAGCAGGGCCATGATTCTAATAGGCCCTACTTACCTTGGGGTAGTGGATGATTGAGAGGGTAAGCTTATGGTTTAAACTCCTTCCAAAGCTTCCTCTGAAGTTGGAATGGCAAAATCATTGTCTGGAGTCAGGTCATGGGTTCATGATATAACCTCTTTCTTGGCCTTAGTCTGTCAAATGGAAATAAGAAAAGGTCCATAGGTTAGACATTTCCAATCGGTTATTTAGAAAACTAGGTTAGAAGCCAATTTCTTCTTCTGGAAATGGTTGACAGGGTCACAAGCTTCTCTCATAGGAAATAGGAAAAGATGAAGCACAGAGAAAAATGCCTTGTTCTGTGGGACATGAATCCATCTCAGTTTCTTTTTCTTTTTCTTCTTCTTCTTCTTCTTCTTTTTTTTTTTTTTTTTTTTTTTTTTTTGAGACAGAGTTTCACTCTTGTTGTCCAGGCTGGAGTGCAGTGGCGCAATCTCGGCTCACTACAACCTCTGCCTCCTGGGTTCAAGCAATTCTCCTGCCTCAACCTACCGAGTAGCTGGGATTACAGGCATGCCCCACCATGCCCGGTTAATTTTTGTATATTTAGTAGAGACAAGGTCTCACCACGTTGGCCGGGCTGGTCTCGAACTTCTGACCTCAGGCGATTCACCCTCCTTGGCCTCCCAAAGTGCTGGGATTATAAGTGTGAGCCACCACGCCCAGCCCCCTCTCAGTTTCTTTGAGATCCACAGAGCCAGGGTCTAATCCCAGAGAGAAACGAGTGTGTACACAGATGATCTCCTACTTACTATGGTTCTATTTACAATTTTTGTACTTCACTATAGTGTGAAAGCTATACACATTTAGTAGAAACCGTACTTCAAGTACCCATACAACTATTCTATTTTTCACTTTTAGTATTTAATAAATTACAGGACATATGCAACACTTTATTGTAAGATAGTCTTAAAAGTGTTAGATGATTTTGCCCAGCTGTAGGCTAGTATAAATGTTCTGAACACATTTAAAGTAGGAGAGGCTAAGCTATGTTGTTTAGTAGGTTAGGTGTATTAAATGCATTTTTGACTAATGATATTTTCAATTTATGATGGGTTTATCAGGACTTAACTCCATCATAAGCCGAAGAGATCTCTGTGTGGGATGTTTGTGTGGGGACTTCTTTAGGAAAGATCCAGGAAGGAACAGACCAGAAAACCCTTCATTTCAATGGTGAGGGCAGGAGCGGAAGGAGAAAAACACAAGAGCTGGGAAAGCGAGGTGAGAGGGGTTCAGGGGAGAGAGGAGGTACAGAGTGGTCAGGCCCAGCCCTTCACTGGCTGGAGACCCCTTCCAGCCTTAGCTTCCTCTTCTCTTATTCCCCTCCTGCCCCAGCTTATGCCAGGAGCTCCCTGTCCTCAGTGGATCTTCCAGGTAAGTCTAAGAAGGGCTGAGGCCCCTGTGTGTCTTGCCTGGTTGGGGGAGTTCAGGTTACACCTCCAAGGCAGCCCCCAAGGGCATCAGGACATCAGTCTATGCTGGTTCCATAGAAACACCAGGGCCGCTGGGTCTGTCCCTCACCATAGAGTAACCCTAGGCACTTCAGGGCCCCGACTCTGGGCCACAGTCCGCTCATTGATGAAATGAGCAGAGTTGTCTAGAATAGTTTTTCCTAAAATGTGTTCCATGAATCTCAGAGCCGGCAGGGATATTTCAAAGAAAAAACTGCCTCGAGCTCATTTCCCTCAGAAGCAAACCCAGAGACAAAGATTTGAGTGTTTCACTTGGATCCCAGGAAGCACTCATGGAAAGAAAGGAAGATGGGCAGGGAAGGGAAGGAAACCAACACAGGGTGTGTTGATGAGTAAATTACCAGGGTGGGCAGCTGCAGCTCAATCTCCCTGGGACCTCTGGGATGCTGTCTGGAACACCCCTCAGTGTCTACCCTAACCCATTGTCAGCTAAGGGCTGTATTCAGGGGCATGTCCAGCCTGCCCTGTGTGCCTGTGGAGCATAGTCCTGTGACCAGAAACATCACTCAGGCAGAGAGTCACCTGTGTTTGCAGTGAGAAACCATCAGGAGGTGTGAGAACTATGAAGGCCAAGGGGATACAAGCAGGGCATGGCTACACAGAGGTTGCTACACAGACAAGAAATTTTGTTCACATACATTTCATAAATGTGAGATCAATGATAATTTCCATAGAAATCTCAATACCTTTGTAATAATTATCATGGTCTTGTAGCATGCACCTGGGCCATCAGAGCTGAATTAAGCAGTTTAGCTCAGCTTGTATTTAGTAAAGAGAATAAATACCATTAGCTGTAGTCCAACTTGATAAAACATTTTCATACTGTTTTCATGGTATTATTTATATTTATTATATTTCCATTTTATTGTTACTATTATTGTTATTATATCATATAATAATGGCAGTATGGCCCCAAATCATAAAGATAGATCCATCGTTCAAAAAAGGTTCATTAAAGAATAAAAGTATTATTGAAAATAGTAACAAAAATACTGCAATATAAAGTGTGATTATATATATTAGGGCTGATGAGTGGTTGAATCAGATGATTTTATACAAGTAGGAAAAAAAGTACGAATCAGAAATAAGGGTATGGGAATGAATATCCAAAAATAGGATTTTGTTAGCTTGTAATGCATTTCCTCTTGAGGCATCATCTATTGTGAAACTTGTCAGATAGTGGCATGATGCCCAGTGAGGCCTTTGCATCATATTTGTTTGCATCAGACCTTGTAAGCTAGTTAGAAAACCAATCAAGCTTCTCCTGAATGTGAGTAAATAAAGTCTACTGTGATAGGGATGCACTTTCTCACTAAAGACAGAGAAAAGATTGAAACCACAAAGGCATCATTAAACTTGTCCAACTTACAGTGAAAATCAACACAATTCACATCATGGCTTATAAACTGAGTCATAGGCTACCAGGGAATATGATGATTACAGAAAAAGCAGAGCAAGCTCTTGATGAAATTACTGGATCAAACAACACTTTTGGCTGTCACAGAAAATCAATGGCACATTCTGTGAAAGAGCAATTGCTGTCCTGAGTGAGTGCTAGCACACAATTGGCTTCATTGTTGAATAAAACTACTTGTGGTAAGCCTCATTCATTGTCAAGAATTCATCCCATCCCTGCCTTCTTGATGACAAATCCCTGATTTTGATCCATGCACCAAAGTCTCCAGTCTCAAGCAATTAATTACAAGTCATCTAAATCAGGCATGATCAACCCATTTTCCACCTTTCCAGTCTTCCTTGCTACTATAGGAGACCACGAAGCCCCATTCTGATCAATGAAATGTGATGGGAAGTCTGCTGAGGGTACTTCTTGAAAATTTTTGTTTTCTTAATAATTAGGCATACATGCTGGTACCTCTTTCCCTCCTTCTTCCTAAGTTGACCATGCCTGGGGCTGGGCAGCCATCTTGCAAATATGAAGCAACCAGTACAAGGTAAAAGCTGAAATAATTGTAGGCACATCCGCACTGCCATTATTGAGCCACTGAATGTCAGTGGTTGACTACTTCAAGACTGCCTGCTATAGTATAGAAGTCAACCTCTCTATGTTTAAAGCCACTGTAACTTGTTTTCCATCACTGATAGTTGCAGACATTGCTAATGGGTGCACCACTGGTGTGTGGAGTGTGAGTCAGCTCTTCACATATTTTCAAGACACATGAGGGAAATGTGCTTGTTAACTTTTTATGCTGTTTATCACCGAATTCCTTTGCAAGATTAGATGAATGAGCTTCTGGCTCCCAGTTGGGTTTCAGCAATGGCAATCCCCAGCAGGAAATGGAGAAGGAAGAGAGTGAGATCAGGGCACTTAATCCCCTGGCTTCCTGCCTGTGAGTCACCATGGGTTGGATGCATCCTTCAACAGGAGGCCACTGGTCCTCCCAAGACAGCCCACTCCATCGGTTCTCTCCCTTCTAATGACACCTTCCACCCTTTTTTTCTTCAGGCCTGTTGGTGGTAACAGCTTTGCTACTGCTTCTCCAGTTTATTGTATCATCTCTTGGCATACTTCTATATCTGCAAGACTGCAAATAGTCCCCTTGTAAACAAGCCTTCCTAAAATCAGGCTTCCTAAAACAAGCCTTTTTTTTTTTTAAAGTGAAAACAAGTTTATTAAGAAAGTAAAGGAATAAAATAATGGCTACTCCATAGGCAGAGCCGCCTCATCTTGGTTTTAAGTGTGCTATTATCTTTTGGTATACTGACTGACCAACCAGCATCAATTCACAGATTTAAAAAAAAAAAAAAAAACTTGCAGCTGAATGTCAACCATACACCACTGTATTCACAAAGACCAGCTGTCAGGCAACAATCTGGCTCCTAATCTCGATATATATAGAAACAAATAGCAAGAAGAGTCAATGCCTTCAATTCATGGCCTCTCCTATTATGTCTTCTCAGAATACTGTGTAGAGAAATGGACAGTAAGTCAAAGACACTGTTGAACAAAGTATGCTGGTTGCTGAAGGAAAGATATTCACATGAGGTTTTGAAAGAAGAGATGAGATACAGCATCCCTTTGTGGTACTGATAGCTCTTTGATGTAGGTGGCTAGTTCAAGCAGCATCTCAGTGGCACATTCAGTATCTTGATTACCCTGAACTTTTGGCTTCTGGGCAAGGCTATCAACCTCTTTCATATTGAGAAAAAGACATCAAGATTTTGAAGACAGAACTGTGGTGCCAAAGCTTAGCCTTTGAGAATACAACTCTTTTCCTACATCTAAATGTTTTCTTTTCTTGGCAGAGAAATAAATTGATATAAAAGCAACCACTAGAAATATTAAAAACAGACTTATGAACCTTCAAATAATCAGACAAAAATACAAACATATAGGCGCACACACACATGCATACCGAAGAAGACAAAAATACACAGGGTAAAACATAGAAAACACAAGCAGTATTTAAATAGAAAACAAGATAAGAAGACACAGTTAAGGCGAATATGTCAGTTATATCAGCACATGTAAATGGGATAAAACTACTCATGATAGAAAAATGATTCTCACATCGAATGATAAAAGTGTCTTAAAAAGTGTATGATGTGTGCAAGAGATGCATCTTTGCCAAAATAACTCAGAAAGGTTAAAAATAAAATACAAACCAAGGTGTACCAGAAAATAGTAAGCTAAGGCTGCAATGTTACCATCAGCCAAAATTAAATTAAATATAAAAATGTGAAACGAGGCAAAAAAAAAAAAAAAAGTTAAACAGGAGCAAGAGTGGTATCCACCTGAAGAATCTAGTTTAGGCCGGGTGTGGTGGCTCATGCCTGTAATCCCAGCAGTTTGGGATTGCTTGCATCTAGGAGTTCGAGACCAGCCTGGGCAACATAGGGAGACCCCCTGTCTCTACAAAAATTCAAAAATTTGTGGGGCATAGTGGCATGTGCCTGTAGTTCCAGCTAGTCAGGAAGCTGAGGTTGGGAGGATCACTTGAGCCAGGGAGGTCAAGGCTGCAGTGAGCCGTGATTATGCCACCACATTCCAGCCTGGGTGACAGAGTGAGACCTTGTCTCAAAAAAAAATAATAACAATGAAATAAGTAAAACCACAGTAAGATACCACCTTACCCTAGCCAGAATGGCCATTATTAAAAAGCCAAAAAACGACAGATGATGGTGTGGATGTGGTGAGATGGGAATGCTTATACACTGTTGGTGGGAATGTAAATTAGTACAACGTCTATGGAAAACAGTATGGAGATTTCTTAAAGAACTAAATCTACCATTTGATCTGACAATCCCATTACTGGGTATCTACACAAAGGAAGAGAAGTCATTATATGAAAAAGACACCAGCACATGCATGTTTACAGCAGCACAATTCACAATTGCAAAGATATGGAACCAACCTAAATGTCCATCGACTAATGAGTGAATAGAGAAAATGTGGTATATATACCATAGAATATTACTCAGCTGTAAAAAAGAATGAAATAATGTCTTTTGCAGCAACTTGGATGAAGCTGGAGGCCATTATTCTAAGTGAAGTAACTCAGGAGTGGAAAACCAAATACTGTATGTTCTCACTTATAAGTGAGAGCTAAGCTGTGGGTACACAAAGGCAAACAGCATGGTGTAATAAACTTTGAAGACTCAGAAGTAGGGGGGTGGAAAAGGGGTGACAGATATTGGGACAATATACACTACTTGGGCGAGAGATGCACTAAAATCTCAGACTTCCCCACTATATAATTCATCCATGAAACCAAAACCCCCTGGGACCCCACAAGCTATTGAAAGAAAAAATTATATATAGAGAGAGAACGAAAAGGCCTGACATTGTGGGCACATCCTATACCCAGGTAAGAGGAGGATTAAACCAAGAGCTGTAAGGTGACAGATTAGCTGAAAAGTTCCAGAGGAGAGCTGACTGCACTAACAAACGTTGCGTTTTCAAACATGTTTCAGGTGCATGTCAGGTCATTCGGATGGGACAACAGTTTATACCACAGTAGCCAAATGTAAAAAGAAAAAAGTCATTTCAGGAAAAAGCATCAGGTTGAAGGTAGTGCCTCCAAAGATAATGTCCTCCTGGAAGCTGTGAATGTATGAAAGGAGTTTTGTGGGTGTAATTCCGTTAACAATCTTGATGCCATCATCATGGATTGAGATGGGCCCTAAATCCAATGATAAGTGTCTTCAGAAGAGAAGAGGAGAAAAGGCCCACAGGGGAGAAGGCAACGTGAAGACAGAGCAGAGCCCAGAGGGACGCGGCCACAAGCCAAGGAGTGCCGAGGAGGGCCGGCAGCCACCAGAAACTGCAAGAGAGGCAGGGAATGGTTTTCCCTCACAGTGTCCAGAAGGAAACAGCAGTGCCAACACCTTGACTTAGGACTTCTGGCCTCCAGAACTGTGAGAGAATAAATTTCTATTGTTTTAAGCCAAAAAATAAAAAGCAAGGTGAAAGCAGCCATCATGATCATTATCATTTAACATGGCTCTAGCAGTTCAAGCCAGTGTAATTAGACAAAAAAGAGAAATGTGATGTAAATATTGGAAAGAGGAAGCAAATTTATATGTAGATGATGTGATTGGAAAATTCCCAACTATTAGAGAGGCAGTAATTCAGGATGGCTCGGGTGCGGTGGCTCATGCCTGTAATCCCAGCACTTTGGGAGGTTGAAGCAGGTGGATTTCTTGAGCCCAGAAGTTCGAAACCAGCCTGGAAACATGGCGAAACTCTGTCTCTACAAAAAATACAAAAATTAGCTAGGCATGATGGCGAGCACCTGTGGTGCCAGGTACTAGGGATGCTGAGGTGGAAGGATCACTTGAGTCCAGGAGGCAGAGGTTGCAGTGAGCCAAGATTGTGCCACTGGGCAACAGAGCAAGATCCCATCTCAAAAAAATAAATAAATAAAGATGATGGCAGTTTCCAAGGTTCATATACAAAACCCAGTAGCTCTCCTTTACTTTACTTTATATACATAATATATGTATATATATAAAATCTATCAGAAATATACGATAGAAATTACAGTTATAATGGCAATCAAAAAGACAAAATATTTAGAAAAATATTTAAAAGACATATAAGGGCCTTTACAAAGATAATATTAAAATTATACAGAATGCTGGGCAAAGTGCTCCCAGCATTTTGGGAGGCCAAAGCGGGAGGATGGCTTGAGCTCAGGAGTTTAAGACCAGTCTGGGCAACATAGTGAAGCCTGACCACTGCTAAAAACAAACAAAATTAGCCAAATGTGATGGTGCACGCCAGTAGTCCCAGCTACTTGGGAAGCTAAAGTAAGAGGATTGCTTGAGCCCAGGAGTTTGAGTCTGCAGTGAGCTATGAGCCCACCACTGCACTGCAGCCTGGGCAACAAAGTGAGATCCTGTCTCTAAAAATAAAAATAAATAAAATAATAGAGAACATTCTATTCTAGGCTTTTGTTTTTTGTTTTGTTTTGAGACAGGGTCTCACTCTGTCTCCCAGGCTGGAGTGCAGTGGCATGATAATGACTCACTGCAGCCTCAACCTTCTGGACTCAAGTGATCCTCCCACCTCAGCCTCCCGAGTAGCTGGAACTACAGGCATATGCCACCACACACCACAAAGTTTCGAATTTTTGTAGAGACAGGGTCTCCCTATGTTGTCCAGGCTGGTCTCAAACTCCTGGATGCATGTGATCCTCCCACCTTGGCCTCCCAAAGTGCTGGGATTACAGGTGTGAGCCACTGTAGCCAGACTACTCTGTGTTTTTTGTTTTTTTTTGAGACAGTGTCTTCCTCTTGTCACCCAGGCTGGAGTGCAGTGGTGTGATTTCAGCTCACTGCAACCTCTGCCTCCGGGGTTCAAGTGGTTCTTCTGCCTCAGCCTCCCAAGTAGCTGGGATTACAGGCACCCACCACCATGCCTGGCTAATTTTTTTTTTTTTTTTTTTTTTTGAGATGGAGTCTCATTCTTGTCCCCCAGGCTGGAGAGCAATGGCGCGATCTCGGCTCACTACAAACTCCGCCTTCTGGGTTCAAGCGATTCTCCTACCTCAGCCTCCCGAGTAGCTGGGATTACAGGTGCCTGCCACCACACCCAGCTAATTTTTGTATTTTTAGTAGAGACAGGGTTTCACCATGTTGGCCAGGCTGGTCTCGAACTCCTGACCTCAGGTGATCCACCCGCCTCGGCGTCCCAAAGTGCTGGGATTACAGGCATTAGCCACTGCGCCCGACTAATTTTTGTATTTTTAGTAGAGACGGGGTTTCACCATGTTGTCCAGGCTGGTCTCGAACTCCTGACCTCAGGTGATCCACCTGCCTCAGCCTCCCAAAGGGCTGGGATTACAGGTATGAGCCACTGTGCCCGGCCTATTCTGTGCTTTTGAATAGAAAGACTCAATATTATAAAAATGTCAGTGTTGGCTGGGCACAATGGCTCATTCCTGTAATCCCAGAACTTAGGGAGGATCACTTGAGGCCAGGAATTTGAGATCAGCCTGAGCAACATAGTGAGACCTCAACTCCACATTTTAAAAATTTAAAAATAAAAAATGTCAGTGCTTTCTCAATCCATTTACTCACTGTGACTCTAATCAAAATACCCATAGGATTTGTTTGTTAGTCAGGTGAGGAACTTGTCAAAAATTATATGACAACCAAATGAGGAAATAAATAAGAGCCAGGAAAGCCCTGAAAAAGAAAAGCAACAAGATGAGGCTAGATGTATCAGATGATAAAAATATTATGAAATTATAATTTGTAAAGCAATTTGGTATCCAAAGGTGAAATAGACAACTCAGTAAACCAGAATAGAAAATCAGAAATAGATCCCAACACATATCAGAATTCAGTTTACGTTTAAGGTGACATTCTAAATTAGTAGAGAAAGGTGGTAGTAAAATTAGCTACCCATTTGGGGGAAAAATATAATGGGAACACTATTCCCTAAATCAAAATAAATTCCAGGTGGATAAAGGATATATATTAAAAATAAAACCATAAGACCATAGAGAAACAATAAGTAAATTTATTTATAATAGTATGATAAAGAATTCAGCAAATAAAATCCAGGATCCCTAAAGTAAACATTTATGAAATGTGGCTATATAAAAATTTAAGCTCACACGTGTAATCCTAACACTTTGAGAGGCTGAGGTGGGACGATTGCTTGAGCCAAGGAGCGCAAGACCAGCCTAGCTACATAGCAAGACCTGGTCTCTACAAGTAATAAAAAAAAAAAATGAGTTGGGGGTGGTGGTGTGCACCTGTGGTCCCAGCTACCTGGGAGGCTGAGGTGGGAGGATTGCTTGAACCCTAGAGGTTGAGGATGCAGTGAGCCAAGATCTTGCCACTGTATTCCAGCCACCCTGGGCGACAGAGCGAGACTCTGTCTCAAAAAAAAGAAAAAAAAAAAAGACTTCTGTACGGTAAAGCATTCTATAAAGCAAGGTGAAAGACAAACCAATAATAAGTGCTACTGTGTAACAGACAGACAAGCTCACCTCCTTCATCCTCAAAGACCTAAAGCAACTCAAGACAAAATGAGTAAGGAATATAAACCAGCAGTTTACTGAGAAATAGAAATGGTTTTTAAAAGCTTCAACTTCACTCGTAAAAAGAGAAATGCCAACTGAAACAGTAAGATTTGTTTCTCCTATCAGATTGGCAGAGATTCACAGTTTGATAGCACCCAGTGCCAGGGAGGGTGTTGGGAAACAGTCACCCTCAGACACTACTGGTTGAGAGTGAAATTGGTGCAATTTTTGGGATGGTGATTTGGCAATGTCTTTCAAACTCCTTTGACCCAGAACTCAACTGCTTGGATTTTTAACCTACAGATCTATGCACAAAAGTCTTCCAATTTAGATAAATAAGAATGTTCAAGAAATGTGCTTTAAGACAGTCTCCTTTCTGCATTCTTGCTTTCCAATGCAATGCTCAGTGGGCCTCAAAATTTGATGTGCATAAGAATCAATTGGAGGGCTTGTTAAAACCCAGGTTGCTGGGCCCCACTTGCAGAATTTCTGATTCAGTAGGTCTAGGAAAGACCTAAGAATCTGCATTTCTAACAGCTTCTCCGGTGATGCTGATGCTGATGGTCAGGCGTTAGAACTTGAGAACAATTGCCTTAGCCTGTTGAGAGGGCTGGGGTGGGTCTCCAACCAAGATGAAGGCCTAGAGAGGGGAATTCCTTTGAGGAGGGGGAAGAGTAAAAGGCAAGGTGGAGAGGAGCAGAATTCCCCTCAGGACTATGGAGAGGAGGAGGTAGTTTGGGTGGGGTTGTCCAGAGGGGAATGTTTGAGCCCCCTAAGAAGCCAGGAACTTAGTCCCTATTCGCAGCCTCATAAAAGAGTCTTCCCTTCCCTCTGCACAACCAAGGATAGCTCAGAAATAGCAGGGCCCATCTTCTATGCTCAGTGGATCCATGGGCTTGGAGAAGGAGAATATTAGCCACAAGCAGACAGTATGGACTGAAAATCAGACAGCTAGGTCATCCTAGACAGGGGAAGGCATCCCCATTCTTCAGATAGACCTCAGAGGGGTGGGGTTGGGATGGCACACAGGAGAGTGTCTCTGCTGACTGAAGGGGAAGCTCCCCTTGAGACTTAGCTGCTCGGATTTGATTTGGGGGAGGGGGAATTCTTTTTAACAAATCATGTTGGGAAAACTAGATATTCATATGCAAAATAATGAAGTTGGACCCTTAGCTTATTATCATATAAAATTTAACTATAAATGGATTAAAGACCTAAACGTAAGAGCTAAAACTATGAAACTCTTAGATGAAAAATAACTTGAAGCTCCTTGCACTTGAGAGTCATGAATGGAATAAAATTCTTACCCATCTGTGGCAAAATAAGAAATATATCTGGTCTTTGTCCCTACTTTCTTGCTCAGAGTTCCTTTGGAATTTCCCTTGGAGTTTCCTGAGTGACAGGATTTATCCATCAGGAGCCCCTTACAATCACACCTGAGTCTATGCTATTATAATAAAGTGATTAAGGGTGGGGCCCTTAGCCTCAGAATGAGGTTGATCACCAGAAAGACCAAGGGATTAGAAGGCTAGAACTTTCAACTCTACCCATCAACCTCCAGGAGGGGGAAGGGGACTAGAGATTAAGCTCTACAAAAACTCCTGAACAATAAGACGGAATGAGCTTCCAGGCTGGTGAACACATCCACATACCAAGAGGGAAGCAGACCCCAGTGCTCCAGACACTTCTGAACCTTAATCTGTTTCTCGTCGTCTGGCTCTTCGTTTGCATTCTTTATAATAAACTGGTAACTAAAGCGTCTCCCTGAGTTCTGTGAGCCATTCCAGCAAATTATTGAACTTTAGGAGGGGGCTGTGGGAACTCCAGCTTTATAGCTGGTTGGTCAGAAGTACAATAAGCCTGGAACTTGTGACTGGTGTCTGAGAGGAATGGTCAGTCTTGTGAGACTGAGCCCTGAAGCTGTGGGGTCTGCACTAATGCTGGGAAGTTAGTGTTAAAGTTGAATTGTTGAACACCCAGCTGGTGTCTGGAGAATCAGATAATTGGCTGTAGGTGTTGGAAAACTCTCCAGACCATCACACTAATTTAGATGAAGAGAAACCAAACAGTTGAACCTGACCTGTGGACCCCAGATATACCTCACTGGTCTAGATGTAGATTATCGGTGAAAGGCTGAAAACACTGGCTCCATTTTCACAATAATGGCACTGTGATTGACACTAACTTCTCCTCTCTTTAAAAAAAAAAAATCAGGGTAAAACTTAAAGTGAACAAATCTTCAGTAAGGAACTTGAATCTTTACACATGTATATACCTGTCCAACTGCTACACAGATCAAGATATAGAACATCTCTAGCATCCCAGAAGGCTCTTGTGCCCCTTCCCAGTCAATATCCCCAAGGCAACATTATCTATCACTGTGCTTTAATTCACCTGCTTTAAAATTTAATAAAATAAGTGGAATTATAGTTACTCCTCTTTCAAAGGTCGCACCTCCCAGTACTGACACAATGGCAATTAAATTTCAATCTGAGTTTTGGCGGGGACATTCAAACCATAGTATCGTATGAAGCAATAGCTCGTTATTTTTCGTTGTTGTGTAATATCCCATTATATGATAACAATTAATTTTCACTTACCTATTAGTAGAATTCGTGTTGTTTTCAGTTATGGGCTGAAAACATACATAAAACTGCTATAACATTATTTTAAATGTCTCTTGGTGTGTATAAGCGCCTTGTTTCTCCTGGGTATATACTGAATAGTGGAATTATTTCCAATAGTTTCCAATTATACCCTCACTAACTCAAGTGCCCAAACCTGCCCAGTTCCCTGATTGTGTCAATTCACCCTCCCATCAACAATGTACGATGGGCCAGGTATGGTGGCTCACGCCTGAAATCCCACCATTTTGGGAGGGCAAGGTGGGCAGATCACTTGAAGTTAGGAATTCAAAACCAGCCTGGCCAACATGGTGAAACCCCATCTCTACTAAAAATACAAAAATTAGCTAGGCATGGTGGCATGTGCCTGTAGTCCCAGCTACTTGGGAGGCTGAGGCAGGAGAATTGCTCGAACCTGGGAGACGGAGGTTGCAGTGACTTGAGATCATGCCACTACACTCCAGCCTGAACAATTTACAACGGATCTGGTCAATTCTCAATTTTGTCATATTTAATATTATTAGTTTCCTTTGAGATTAGCTTTACTAATGGGAATAAAGCATTAATTTTTAATTTAAAAAAATTTTATTTAAAACTTGTGATAATTTTTATTTACCTAAAATTGGTGGTTCATGGATGCTGAATGTTGGAGAAACTTAGGACTCTTCCAAGTATTCAGAAATTCCTTGAGGATATGTGGGTGTGTTTCTGCCTATATATGTGCCATAGTCACAGATGGATGCTGCTCTAGACCCCACCCTTAATGCTTTGGAACAGACCTTTCTTTTCCCCATGAATAAGAAGAGTTTACTTGGGATCCCAGAGGGAGATGTTTCCCATCATCAGTAACATCTGGGGAACATCTGGTGAGTCCATCCCAGGACGGGGAGATGCTTTTCTGGAGAACACACGTCACTTGATTCTTCTTATTCTCCTGTATTTTCCTTTGTTCTCTCTTTCTCTTCCATTGGGCTCCCCACTCTAAGCGCCACTCCAGCCCTCACCAGCAAACTCCCTACCCTGATTTCTGACTCGTCTGGTTTCCCCAATATACAACTCAACAGGATGCAAACGTAGGCAGCATGAGAGACCCTCATTAATTCTAGTGCCCAACCCTGCCCAGTTCCCTGATAAGCAGGCAGCATCTTCTAGAAACTGAGTCAAGGAATGTTGAAGCTGGTGAGGGTTCTCTTGTCCAATGCCTCCATTTTACAGATTGAAAAGCTAAAGGCCAGAAAGTGAGGGAAAGAGACAGTCAGGGACAGAAACAAAACTAGATCACTTCTGGGTATCATAGAAGCCTCTCTTCTGCTGGAAACTTGGCCTGGAGATTAGAGGCAGGCAGGAAGGCAGGCAGTGGAAAGGATTCCTTGGGAACAGCAACGTCTGCAGCCCGCAGCCACAGTGAGAGCACAGCTGAGGTCTGAGGTGGGTGGTGGAGGGTGGGTGGCCTGCGGGTTTACCCCTTAAAGCCCTGAGAGTGGAGTCACCTCTAGCAACAGACACCCAGCTTTGTAGCCTTTAAGCTCCTTCCTGTGCATTCTCAGCTACACTATAGCTTCAGTGTGCTAGCTGTGTGTTAAAAATCCATCCACTGCCACCTCCAGCCCTGCCCTCTCCTTGAGCCCTAGCAACTTTACCCATTTGCTAGTCATGTTTAGTTTATTCAACAAGTTCTTATCAAGCACTGGAGATAGAGCAGTGATCAAGTCCAACATTGCTCCTGCCCTCCCACTGCTCACAGACAAAGCACAAGGAAATGCACAAGGAAACCACACAACTAAGTGGGTGCAAGGCAGGTGCAAGGTGGGATCAGCATCCTTGAAAGTTTAAAACAGGACATACTCTGAGAACTGACAACTGGCCAACAGAGCTGGAGAGCAGTCATCAGGGGTATGAGGTGGAAGTGTACAGGTGAGGCTGCGACAGAATCATACCTCATGTATAAAATAAAACCAAATGCAGAAGGACTAACGTTAAAAGCACATGAACTGGCCGGGCGCGGTGGCTCACACCTGTAATTCCAGCACTTTGGGAGGCCAAGGCGGGTGGATCATCTGAGGTCAAGAGTTCGAGACCAGCCTGGCCAACGTGGAGAAACCCCATACCTACTAAAAATACAAAAAAAACTAGCCAGACGTGGTGGCGCATGCCTGTAATCCCAGCTACTCGGGAGGCTGAGGCAGGAGAATCGCTTGAACCCAGGAGGCGGAGGTTGCAGTGAACCGAGATTGAGCCACTGCACTCCTGCCTGGGCAACAGAGTGAGACTCCATCTCGGAAAAAAAAAAAAAAAAGCACATAAACCAACAAAATGACACGTACACACATTAATGGCATTGAAGGGGGGGGAAGGGAGTGGTAAATGAGGGTATGAAGAGAGAGGTGAGACTGCAAAAGTGAGAAAGGGCCGATTATTTCAGCTTTGTAGGCCCCAAGGAGTTGAGACTTCATCAGGAGGGTACTGGGAAGCCACTGGAAGCTTGGCTCCAGCTGCCCAGACACCTCCGCCTGCAGGCTCCCAGGTACACACTCAATGCATGCGGAAGGACAGGGCCTTTATCTTCCCCCAACCTGCTTTCCTCCTGTTGTTCTTGCAGGAAAGGTAAAGTGGAGCAGACCCCTGCCATTCTACATGCACATCTGTGGCTGAAGAGGGGCTCTCACCATCAACTCCACCGCAGATGCCATCCAAGAAGGCCAGGAGGTCACCCCCACCCCCAACCTGGAGGAAGGTAGAATGGAATCCTGAGGGCTGGGCTAGTGGCTGACAGCATTCATCTAGGACAGTCAGAAGAACCCAGAATGCAGCGGGAGCAGGACTGGGAGGGGGAGGGTCAGGCTCCCACGAAGGCTCCCTGGAGGAGGCAGTGCAAGCTGAGCCCTTAAAGGCATTGGGATTCTGGTAAGCAGAGAGAGGGCAGGAGAGCATTCCAGTCGAGAAGACCGGCTGCAGTAAAAGCGTGAGGGTGGAAACGCTCGAGGTGATGAGTAGACTCGTACCTGCGGTTGGGAAGTGGGGCTGAGGGTGGGCTCCCAGGCCAGGACTTGGTTGCCGGGGCATGTCGTACCGGGAGGGTTGGCCCCGAGTCAGGAAAGGCCTTGGCGGGAGCAGAGAAGGCAGTGGACCATTTTAAGTGGCCAAGATCTGGCCCGGAAGAAACCAGCCTTTTTATTTTTTTAAGGGAAGGTTGAGGTGGGAGTGGGGAAGCTAGTTCTAAGAACCCCTAGTTTGGAACTTCTGCAGGGAAGGGTCTCTTGGCCCGTGGGCAGGAATGAAGTTCAGGCCCACTGATTACATCCATCCTTCCCGCTCCCTGCCTCCCCGCTCCCCACACACCCCAGATTCCTCTCCAGCCACAGTTTACTTTTCCGGCGGATCTGGGGGTGGGTGGTAGGTTGGGGGCGGAGGGGGGAACTTTTAGATTGGAATAAAATAAACTCCCTCTAGAGGGGTGGGGGTGGAGAGCGTACAGGAGACGTCGGCTCTGCCACTGTCTAGCCCGTGGCCTTGCGGAGTTACGAGGTGCTCCCGGCCTCGGTCTACCCATCTGTAAACTGGGGCGGTGGGGCGAGGTGGGGATCTCTACGCTCGGCTCTGCCGGCTTGAGTCGTCCGCGCCTTTAGGGACCGTGCTGGAAGCGGGGCGGGGAGGGCGCTGGCGGGAGAGGGCTGGGGGCGGAGAGCGGCGGAGGCGCAGTCGCCGGGTCACAGTCCGCAGGGAGGCCCCCAGGCCGCTGCGCCAGGCTCCAGGCGGGGGAGGAGGCGGCGCCTCCGGGGCGGGGCTGCCGGGCGGCCTGGCTGGAGGCCCGGCGTGCGTCAGCGCAGTGAGCCCCGGAGTTTTCCACTGACGAGGAGGGCGGAGCGGCGGGCGGGGCTGGGCGCAGGCAGTCTCCCGCCGCCGCCGCCGCTGCCGGACGCGCAGAGCGAGGGGCGGCTGGACCGACGGCTGCCGGGCCGAGCGCACAGAGTCGCGGCGCAGGGGGCGTCCCCGGCCGGGACGCGGGTCGCGTCGTTGTCCTCCGCGAGCGTCCGGATTGCAGGTGAGCGCCGAGGGGCCTCGGGCCCGGCAGGACGGGACTTTGGGGAGGGGGCATTCAGCGCGAGTGGCACTGCCGCTCCTGCCTCCTGCCGTTCACTCCCCGGCACCCTGAGCGGGCGCGGGGGCTGGAGCTGCCCGGCTCTGACGGCGTGCCGCGGCCGGAGTCGGGGGCCGGGGGCCCGGCCGGCGGGAGTCGCAGGTTTTCTGCTCCCCTCCCCCGCCCGCCGCGGTAACCCCGAGAGAAGTCACGGCTCCCCGAGCTCGGCGCGAGTGGGGACAGAGCCGGGCTTGCGCGCGAGCGGCGAGGCGACGGGGGCGTGCGTCCGCGGGTGAGTTTCCTTTTGACCCAGTTGCCTGAGAACTTTTCAGAAGTTCCTCGCGTGGCCGGAGCAGGTGACATTTGTCGCCTTCCTCCTCGGGCTCCCCCCTCGGGGAGGCTGCGGGAGCTGCGGCGTGTGCCGGGCGCCCCCGGCCGGCGGGGGTCAGGGAGGGAGTGGAGGGATGAGCGTAGAGGGAGGCGCGGTGAGTCACGGACCCCGGGAGGGAGGGATTGTGTCGTAGGCTCACCTGTTTGTCAGTCGCCGTCACTCTCAGAGGCCACTGCTGTGAGTCACGGGCTCAGCTACACCGGCCACCCGCAGGCACACGTAGACTCTCTCCCACGCACTTCTCCTCCTTCCGCAGCACGTACTTCCTCCCCTTCCTCAGTTTCTCCTCCCCGGGGCCCATTCACAGGCACGCACTGTGGAGATGCCCACACCACAGCCATAGTCACACACTTAGTCACTCCCGCTCCCGGCACAAACACACACAGCCGTAGCCCACACTCCTGACACCAGAGGGTTCCTCCCCGTCTCCTGCTGCCCACCCAGCACCTCCACCCAGAAGTCTCAAGCCTTTTGGAGAGTAGCTCGTCACCTCCCCCGATCCAAATCCTTGACAGCCCTGCCCTCTTCCTTCTCCACATCTTGGTATCTGCCTTTCTCCTATGCCCTTGACCTGTCATCTCTCCTGGCCCTGGCAGCACCTCCAACCGGTCACACCCCCTCCACTCCCGGTGCTGAGCCACGTTTTTAAAATGCAAATCTGGCATTGTCACTCCCTACTTAAGCCTTCTGTGGCTTGCCGTGCCCTCGAGGTAAAGCCTGCCCTGGAGCCCAGGCTCAGCCTCGCGGGCTGCCCCTCCTCCGATCACACTGTGCTGGTCCCTCCTCCTGTTCCTTACCCATGCGGAGCCCCTATCTGGAACTCTGCCTACATTCCTTCCTCGGAGAGACCTACCTTCACCCCAGCCGTACCCTGTCCCACCCTTCAGACCCTCCATCCCAGCACCCCACTCTATTTGTCCTCCCTGCTCAATTCAGAGCTTCAAGAGGGCAGCAGTTGTATAAGTCTTGCTCCCTGCATGCGCGAGTGCCTGCCACAGTGTTTGGCACATATGTGAGCTTAGTGTGTATTTGTTGAATGAATGAATGAGAGAGGGAAGAAGGCCCCACTTAGGTGGAGGAAGCAGTCATTGTCAGGTGCAGTTTCCCTTCTGCAGGAACAAGTGCCTCATGTAGCCAGCAAACATTTGGCACCTATCCAGTGCCAGGTCCTGGAGGCCAAAGCCGAGGAGCCGTCCCCTCCCCCAGCTCTCCTTCAGAGGGATGGTTGGGGAGGAGGTGCCAAGGCTTTCGGTCTGCCCTCTCAGGGCCACCCAGGCTGGTTTTTCAGTGGGGGCTAGAGGTGCTGGGAGGTGCCCTCCCCTTCTCCCAGGAAGTTCCTGAGGGACAGGGGTCATGTGACCCCAAGTGTTTTGGGGGGACTGGCCAAGGCCTGGGGCTCTGAGGTTAAAGGACACATTCTTCAGATTCCTGAAGGGGGATGGAGGCAGCTAAAGGTGCCCCCTCCCTAAGACTGGCTTGGGTTGAGGCCTGGGGCACTGGTAGGACTGCTGAGGTGGACAGAGGAGTTGCTGTGACGTTTTCAAGCCCCGCCCCCACTTCTCAAAAACAGCCTTTGGTTACTTGGTGCCCAGGGGTGAGGTGGCCTTTCCTGGATTTGCACAGTGTGACCTGAGCGTGTGGATAACTGTGGCCAGTTGAGTGGGGGGTTGTCAGTGCCTGTGTGTGGTGGCAGGAGGGCTGCCTGATTGTCAGGGCTCAGATCCCAGAAGAAGCCTGGCTCTCAGATTCAGGGCCTGTCTCTGGGGTTCCTCGGCGGTGTGGTATTTCTGTCTGAGCCAGCTCCTGGGAACTGCTTTTCCTTCCTCCAGGACCCTAGGGAGGGGGCTGTGCTCACCCTGGGAACACTGCCATGGTCAGGATCTTGATTCCTGGGTAGCTGCTGAGGGCCCCTCCCCCCACCTCTGACTCACTGTCTGACACTTTTCTTAGATTCTCACTATGTTTCATTCCCTCTTGGCCTCTCCTTGTCTCTGGCTCAGTCTTTTTGTTTCATCTCCTGCCTCTGCCTCTTAGCCTCTGGATTCCGAGGTGGAACAGAGGAACATGAGAACCAGGGGCACTTCCCCCGCCTCTCCAGAGGAGTATCAGGGAGGAGGTAATTTCTCATTTCATTCCCGCTCTGCAGATTTGGAGGGGATTGTTCATCACTAGAACCTGCAGCATGACCGTAGCTTCCCTGTGTCTCTGTTTCCCTGTCTGTAGGCTTGGAGGTCATAACCTCCTCACCTTAAGTTCTCTTTCTGTGGCGATCCCTTAGGCAGAGCCGCAGTGCGTATCTGAGCCTGCTTTCCTGACATCTCTCTCCATCTGTTTCCTCTTGGGGGACCAGGGAGCCTCCTGGGATTGCCTACATTGGCACCTGCCTGCAGCCTGAGCTTCCCTCTCCTGCCACCAGAGCCACCCTTTTTGAGCACCATTCTTGCTTGTACCCTCTGGCACAGCTGGGGGATAGACATGTGACTCTCCTCCTGCCCCTCTTAAATTAACTGTGACAGGAGCAGGAGAAGGTCACACTGACCAGTCGCCCTCAGCAGCCTCATGTGGGTAAGATTGCCTGTGCAGTTGGGTCTATACCCGATATGCAGGGCTGGTCTGCTTACCTCTGGTATTATCAGGTGCCTTCTCTATGCCAGACTCTGTCCTAGACATGGGCACATGGGCAGCCAGAGAGAAATGCCCTCAGTGTGAGGCAGATGAGCAATGAGGCCCTTGCAGTCTGATCAGATATAGTCTGTGATAGGGAAATACCAGGGTTTTTGGGAGCTGTTTTCCTTTGGGCTGCTATAATGGAAAGTCCATAGACTGGGTTGCTTAAACAAAAGATTTATTTTTCACACTTTGGGAGGTTGTGAAGTCCAAGATCAAGGCTCTAGTCAGCCTGATGAAGTCTGCCTTCTTGGCTTGCAGATGGACACCTTCTTGCTGGGTCTGAGCTCACATGTTGGAGAGGGAGACCATCTCTTTTGTGTCACTTCTTATAAAGGTGCTAATAAGGTGTCATTCATCTCCTGATTACCCCAAGGCCCACCTCCAAATACCGTCACACTGGGGATTCAGTCTCAACATAAGAATTTTGGTAGGATACAAATATTCAGTCCATAGCAGGAGCACAGAAAGGCAGGAGGAAGGAGTGGGGGATTCAGGAAGCCCCTTGAAAGATGACTTTCTGAAAGGGAATAAGGCTGGGTTGTTCCAGCTTTGCAGAGGCCAGGAGGTGAGCAGGGACATGGCCATTACGGGAACTGCCAGTTCAGCTGGAGTAAAGAGAGCAAGGTGGGGAGAGGGAAGCAGTGGCCAGGTCAGCTTCAGCTTCTTGAATTCTGGACTTGATCCTAATGCCCCAAGGGGAGCTATAGAGTGGTTCTAGGCGTGGGAGTGGCAGGTAAATGTGTGGTTTAAGAAGGTCATTCTGGCTGCAGGATCAAGAATGGCTGGGGAAAGAGGGCAGGAGTAGAGGGACATGGGGTGGCCACTGTGGGGACAGAGACATGTTAAGGTTAGTGAACTTTTTAAATTGATAGTAACCTAAATAAAATGCGTAAGTATATAAATCTTAAGTGTCCATAAGACGAATTTTTACAATTTTAGACATTCATTTAACCACCATGCAGATCAACATAGAACTTTTACAGGTCCCCCAGCCCTTCCTACCTCCCACCCCAGAAAATTTCCCTCATGACTCTCTCCAGGGTGTCCTTCTCCCTCTCCTGGGGAACCACTGCTCTGACTTATATCATCACAGAGTAGTTCTGCCTTTTTTTTTGAACATTTGCATGTATTTCGTGTCTGCCTTCTTTCACTCAGCATGATGTCTGTGAGATGCATCTGTGTCGTGTGCATCCAGGAGCTGGAGCTCATTTTTTTTTTTTTTTTAAACAGTGTGGAATAACACATTCACTGAGCACTTATCACTAATCTAAGAACATGTGACATGTGTTGATTCTTCTAAACCCCCCAACCCTATGAGGTCTTAAGACAAAGAATTGGAGGCACAGAGAGGTTAAGGAACTTGCCCAGGATTACCCAGCCAAGTAACAGTGGAGCCAGAGTTCAAAAGCAGGCAGTCTGGTTCTGGAGCCGAAGCTCTTAACACTGCCACGTGGCCTCCATGCAAAAGCAGGCAGTCTGGTCCTGGAGCCGAAGCTCTTAACACGGCCACGTGGCCTCCATGATACCTCCTGGGTCTGTTCCTGGCTCTGTGTGGATTAAACGGATTTACATGAACTCCCAGGCATGGCGTGCCTGGATATAGATGGAGGAAGAGAGAGGAAGGAGTTGAGGATGACTGCAGGTTTCTGGCTTGAGTGACTGGGTGGGTGGTGGGGCTGTTACTAAGATAGGGAACACAGGAAGAGGAACAGATGGCATGGGGGGTGGGGAACAGACACAAGGGGTTCGATTTGGGGCCTGCAGAATTTTATGTTTCTAGGGGATGGTTGGGCGGAGATAACAAGTGGGCAGTGGGTCCTGGGGGATCTCAGGCTGGATGTGTGGTGAAGGAGGCATTCAGGGCCCTGTAGATGGCATCTGGAACTGGGGAAAGGATGGGGTCTCTTGGCAGGATGCGATGGGGACAGGATGTGTGGGTGTTGTTTGTCCATATGTGTGTTTCCGTGTTGTCTGAGCATGTGTGTACATGTGAGTATGCCTGCCTCTGGGTCATGAATCCCCCACCTCCTGGGAGAACCTGCTGGTCAGCTGGGAGCTGGGTTGTTTTTGTTTGTGGTTTGACCCTGGGAGGGGGGTGCCAAGCCTGAGAAACTACCCACGGAGAAGCCCCCGGAAACATCTGTGAGTCTTCCCCCAGGCCCAGGGTGGGGGATTGGCTGGGGAGGGAGATTTTCTTGCTTCTCTCACGCTTGCCTAGGGGAGGCTGTCCCTGGGGTAAACATTATCCAGTTAGTAAGGTTGACAGCAAACTCTACAGGATTCGGGGACTTTGTAGGCGGCTGGGAAGAGGGCAAAGGAGTGTTTGGAAAGGACACCTGAGTAGAGGAGACCAAGACAGCCTTCTGGTTGGTTTTTCCTGTTCTCTCTCATTTCCTGTGATGGCAGTGGGGGAAGGGTTCCCCAGCACTGGGGCCTCGGCCTCAGCTTCAACTTCCTTTCCCTTTCCCCCTGGTGACCTCCCCGAAGGCCCAGCTGGAGCAACAGACACAAGGTAGCTGTACTCAGCCTTTGGGATTGAGTCCTCTGGGGCTTGCCAAACCTTGGGAAGGACCCTTATTTGCTGAAGCATTCCAGGGAATGAGCCCCAAGTCTCTTCTGCTTGGATAAGGCCAGCCAGCTGTGGGAGTCTCTGGTTATGCTTCTGCTGAGGGCTGAGACTCTCACTTGGGAGACAGTGTTGTGTTGTGGGGTGCTCCATGTCACGAAGCCACAGACAGGAGAGACTTTGGACATTAGGATCAAATGAGATGTTAAAGAGACAGCCTTAGTGGCTGTGGTCACACAGGCCTGGAGGCAGGAGACTTCTTGACAGTGGAGCGGGGGTTTCTAAGGGAAAGTCTGAGAAGCTCCCACACCGGGAGGGGAAGGGCTCAGAAACTACTCCGTCTAGGAATGGAGGCCAACGTCAAAGCCAGCCTGTTCCCCAGAGTGCCTGGCTAGCCTGGAGCAAGGGCCCGCAGCCCTGCCTGTGTGCAGAGTGGCGTGCCTGTTTGGATGTGCTGGAGGAGGAGGAGGAGGAAGCAGAGCCACCATACCAGGGCCGTGCGGGCTGTGCGGGCTGTAGGGCGTACACACACACACATACACACACACACACACACACACACAGGCACACAGATGCAAGCTGTGTGAATCACCCAGCCTGTGAGTCAGCGCCAGGATTCCTGTCGGGGAATGAGTGAGACCAGGCTGAGGTCTGTCAGTCCATCTGTTGGTCTGTCTGCCTCCTTCCCCTGCTGGTGTGGATGCATGTGTGTGTGTGTGTGTGTGTGTTTTGTGTATGTATGTAAGTGTGTGTTGTAGGAGGTAGTGGGGAAGGTGCCTGGTGCCTGGGAAGGCTTTGGGCAGAGGTGGGAGTTTGAAGCATCAGGCTGTGGATTTGCACATTAGTTTGGAGGGAGGGAGGTGCTGTGTCTTGTGCAGAGATCCTCCTGGAGACTGTGCCCTCCCCCACACAGAGCTCCACAGGCAGGGCTGGAGGGCAGAGGCCAGGGTCTGGGATGCCTTGGAGGGTAAGTGGGAGGGATGATGATCCTGGCTGGAAGTCCACCTGCTGCTGCCTGCCTGCCACTTAGAGCCTTCTCATTCCTATTCCAGGCTGTCTGTCCCCAGACCCCAGAGCACGTCCGGCACCACCATGACTGGGCTGTTGAAGAGGAAATTTGACCAGCTGGATGAGGACAACTCCTCGGTCTCCTCCTCCTCCTCTTCCTCTGGGTGCCAGTCTCGCTCCTGCTCCCCAAGCTCTTCTGTCTCCCGTGCCTGGGACTCAGAGGAGGAAGGCCCCTGGGATCAGATGCCCCTGCCTGACCGTGACTTCTGCGGCCCCAGAAGTTTCACCCGTGAGTACTCCCTCCCCTGGGAACTCCATCACCTGCCTGCCTTCCTGAAAGATGAAATTTAGAAGTCCCTGACCAAATGCCTTTGGCCTCTGGTGGTTAGGTCCCCATGGCGGTAGCTCTCATGAGCTATAATATAGTGGTCACTCAGTGTCCACTGTCCAGGGGCACCTGAGCCCAGCTAATTCACCTTTGACCTTGGGAGTGATGACATCCGGGATGCAGCTCTGCAGAGTGCTCTCAGGGCCTTCCCGGTCTGGCCCCTCCCTTCTGTTCCAGTTTCGTTTCTCCAATGAGCACCCTACCGTCCTACAAATGGAACTGCTGGAGTTCCCCGCCCGCCCCATGCTTCTCTGCCACGGGGCCTGTCAAGCCGGTCCCTCTCCTGTCAAAATGCTGTCCATTTTGCCTGAACATAGTGAAAAGGGGTTTTTCCTGGTTATTTTCAAGCTTGTATAGTTGTGATTCCAGACTGATGAACATGGCCCTAGAGCAGTGTTTCTGGACCTTATTTTTCATTATTGTTCCCCAGGAAGCCTATTTAGACATTTTCTCCTTAATTATCCCCCACCATGAAATTTTAATACAATAGATGTGCTGTTTACCTTTTTATGTACTGTAGGTATATATCTGTGCATTACACATAAAAAGAATATAATTTTTAGCACATGGAATCTAACAGTATAAACAGAAAACCTTTTAGAAGGGAATTCCCTCTGGTAGCTGGGTACAAAATTAATATAGTAAGTTGAAATATATGGAATTTCCAATATTTGACCATTACATGGTAATTTGCTATGGTTCAACCTAATGAAAATACCAGTACATAGCTTACTAATCAATAAACATTAACTTGTAAAGGGAAAGCCTTTTTAAGCCTGTTGCAAAACACAGAAATCCTACAAATCAATAAAAAACAATAGAAAACTGTACAAAGGACCTGTACATGGCTAATAAACATAGGAAAGATGTTTAATCTTACGAATACTGTCATTTGGACTGGTAAATAACAATAAGCCAGTTCTGACATGGGTGTGGTATTCAGTTTCAGCCGCTCCAGTCCCAACCACACAGGCTCCTAAATTCACATTTCTTTTTTCAAAATGGGTGGAGAGGGAGGAGGGAAAAGGTGGGAGGCGGGAGGGCAGTCTGGCATGATCTTTTTGGAGGTAAGTTGTGCCTCACTGAAAACTAATCCCCAGCCCATCTTTGCCTGCTTTCTAGCCCTGTCTATCCTGAAGCGGGCTCGCCGGGAGCGCCCAGGCCGTGTAGCCTTTGATGGGATCACCGTCTTCTACTTCCCCCGCTGCCAGGGCTTCACCAGTGTGCCCAGCCGTGGTGGCTGTACTCTGGGTATGGCCCTTCGCCACAGTGCTTGCCGTCGCTTCTCTTTGGCTGAGTTTGCGCAGGAGCAAGCCCGTGCACGGCACGAGAAGCTCCGCCAGCGCTTGAAAGAGGAGAAGTTGGAGATGCTGCAGTGGAAGGTAGAGAGAGTCCTCTCCGTGGCGCACCTCCTGAGGCAGCTCCTGGAGTCCTAACCTTGAGGGGTGGGCGTACCAGGGGTGGGTGCTGACTTGCTCATTATGGTTATGGGGAAACAGGCCTGTGGGCCTGGTGATTGGCTTGATTGGAGCCTGTTGCCTGGGTTGTCTGCAACAGGAGGCGCAGAGGAGGGCTCGTGTCTATTTGCTGCAGGGGCTGGGGGCATGATACCTGAATCTGAACTTTTTGGAGAGGGGGATGTGAAGTTGATATGAACTGGAGGGGGTGCGTATCTGTCTGGTTAGGAAAGGGAGTCTGTCCATGATCTAGGGAATGCCATGAGTAGGATATCTCTTTTTTTTTTTTTCAAATGCCCTGAGGGCAGTTTTCTTGGCTGTCCTGTTCACTGTCTGACACACAGTGCCCATCGCAGATTAAGCACGAGTAGTGGGGGGGTAAGCACTTGGGGAGGGTTTGTCTAGTGACAGTAGGGCTAAGCCCATGTCCATGTCTGTGCTTCTTACATCCCTCTTTCCTGTGGATGCAGCTTTCGGCAGCTGGGGTACCCCAGGCAGAGGCAGGGCTGCCACCTGTGGTGGATGCCATTGATGACGCCTCTGTGGAGGAGGACTTGGCAGTCGCTGTGGCAGGTGGCCGGTTGGAAGAAGTGAGCTTCCTACAGCCCTACCCAGCCCGGCGACGTCGAGCTCTGCTGAGGGCTTCAGGTGTGCGAAGGATCGATCGGGAGGAGAAGCGGGAGCTGCAGGCACTGCGCCAATCCCGGGAGGATTGTGGCTGTCACTGCGATAGGATCTGCGACCCTGAGACCTGCAGCTGCAGCCTGGCAGGCATCAAGTGCCAGGTGTGGTGGCTGGACTGGGATGGGGATCCTGAGCGTGGGGACTTCTTTGCACTCCACAGAACCCTCACTTGTACCTCTACTTTTCTCTGCAGATGGACCACACAGCATTCCCCTGTGGCTGCTGCAGGGAGGGCTGTGAGAACCCCATGGGCCGTGTGGAATTTAATCAGGCAAGAGTTCAGACCCATTTCATCCACACACTCACCCGCCTGCAGTTGGAACAGGAGGCTGAGAGCTTTAGGGAGCTGGAGGCCCCTGCCCAGGGCAGCCCACCCAGCCCTGGTGAGGAGGCCCTGGTCCCTACTTTCCCACTGGCCAAGCCCCCCATGAACAATGAGCTGGGAGACAACAGCTGCAGCAGCGACATGACTGATTCTTCTACAGCATCTTCATCAGCATCGGGCACTAGTGAGGCTCCTGACTGCCCCACCCACCCAGGCCTGCCTGGCCCTGGCTTCCAGCCTGGCGTTGATGATGACAGCCTGGCACGCATCTTGAGTTTCAGTGACTCTGACTTCGGTGGGGAGGAGGAGGAAGAGGAGGAAGGGAGCGTGGGGAACCTGGACAACCTCAGCTGCTTCCATCCAGCTGACATCTTTGGTACTAGTGACCCTGGTGGCCTGGCCAGCTGGACCCACAGCTATTCTGGCTGTAGCTTCACATCAGGCGTCCTGGATGAGAATGCCAACCTGGATGCCAGCTGCTTCCTAAATGGTGGCCTTGAAGGGTCAAGGGAAGGCAGCCTTCCTGGCACCTCAGTGCCACCCAGCATGGACGCTGGCCGGAGTAGCTCAGTGGATCTCAGCTTGTCTTCTTGTGACTCCTTTGAGTTACTCCAGGCTCTGCCAGATTATAGTCTGGGGCCTCACTACACATCACAGAAGGTGTCTGACAGCCTGGACAACATCGAGGCACCTCACTTCCCCCTGCCTGGCCTGTCTCCACCTGGGGATGCCAGCAGTTGCTTCCTGGAGTCCCTCATGGGCTTCTCCGAGCCAGCCGCCGAAGCCCTAGATCCCTTTATTGACAGCCAGTTTGAGGACACTGTCCCAGCATCTCTAATGGAGCCTGTGCCGGTGTGAGGACCAGGATGTCTTTTCCCAGCCCCAAGAGACCTGTTGCTGCTTTCTTGTAATTATGGGGCTCCCCAGAGTCTGCGTAACAGTCTCCCACTGGCTGGCTCACCCACAGGTGCCATGTGCACACTCCTGGTTTTCAAACAATTCTCTGGATTTATTTATTTGTTTTAACTTTTCTGTGCTGAAGAGAGGACTGGGGGGAGGGGGCTTCCCCTTTCAGCTGCCCGGCCCCCCACACCCACAGCTTGCTCTTCTATCTCCACAACGTGAGCCTGGAAGAGGAGAAAATGTGGCTCCTCTGGAGCTTGGCAGACCACTTTTCGGTCTTTGCGTGATGTTCCTTAGCCCAAAGACGGTGAGACAGGGCTGAAATCAGGTGGCTTCTGCCACCCTGAGCCCTAGACCCATGGGTGGCTAAATCCACTGGACTGTGAAGACTATAATTTATTTCCATAATTTATTTGGAGATTGAGGAGGCTTTGGTTGCACTTCTTTGGCTGGTGGGTAATGCCAGGGGTGGGGTGGGCACAGGCCCTCAAGAGCCCCTTTTGCCTTGTAGTCCTACACCTTGCCCTGCCTGGGCTTTGGTGCAGACTAGGTGTGGATTTGAGCTCTGTGATCTATGTCTGCTGCCTGGCTCCTAGATGGCTCTGTGGGCAGGTGCTGGCCAAGGACATCATCTAGGCAGGGGGAGAGCCTGGGCTGAACAGCTGTGACCAAAACTCCCTTCTGCCCCACCCTGCCCCCTCCACTTCCTGCCCTCTGTTCCATCTTCCCCCTTCCCAAAGGCCACAGCCTTTATTCCAGGCCCAGGGATGTAGGAGGGGGAAGGAGGAAACAGGAAGCCCAGAGAGGGCAAAGGGCCTACCTCGGGGCGCGAACCATGCCCCAGACTATTATCTCAGGGCTTTCTGGGCACTGCACTTCAGCGTGGCCCACCTGCCCATGCCCTGAGGCCAGTTGGCGAGGGGTGGCTCCTGAGGGTTTTTATACCCTTTGTTTGCTAATGTTTAATTTTGCATCATAATTTCTACATTGTCCCTGAGTGTCAGAACTATAATTTATTCCATTTCTCTCTGTGTCTGTGCCAAGAAACGCAGGCTCTGGGCCTGCCCCTTGCCCAGGAGGCCTTGCCAGCCTGTGTGCTTGTGGGAACACCTTGTACCTGAGCTTACAGGTACCAATAAAGAGGCTTTATTTTTAGCAATGTGGTATGTATTTGTGGGGTGGGAAGCAGGGGCAAAGGGGATGGGGGACAAGCCCTGCAGAGGGGAGTATGGACACAGGCTGTGTTGAGGGGTAGGAGTAGGCACACCCAGCATATTGGGCCTCTTTCCAGGCAAGCCAGTCAAGTTGGAGGCAGGAAGCCAGCTGAGAGGCTGGCCAGGCAGATAGAGCAGTTTTTCCTTTGGAGTAACCTGTTCCTCTACAGTGGTGACCTGGGGTGGTGGGGAGGAGCAGCACCAGGGTCTTCTGACATGGGGCTATCTGCTGGGGATGGGTAAGGGCACCCTTCTTCCTACACACCCACACTGAGCTGAGGCCTTGTCCTGAGGGTGAATTCACCAACCTGGGTGGAGGCAGGGTAAGGGCATGTGCCTGGTCAAGGCCTGGTGATGGCCTTACGTAGCAGCTGTGGTCCCTGGGGACTTGAGCAGGGGGGCAGCGGAAAGGGCAGGGGGAAGCTGCAGAACCTCATCCCTCTGCACCAGCCAGACCTGTCTGACCTGTCCCTGGCAGCTCAGCTGGGCAGCAGGCCAGAGGAGTAGGCCACACCCTGCTCTGGGGAGCCCCAGTCTGGGGGCCTGAGAAAGGTTGACTTCCCCCTTAGGAATGATAGTGATTTGTACAAGAGCTGGAAGGAGGAACCGCCAGAGGAGAACTGATTTGGGTCTCCTTGCTCTAATTCTCTGCCTTGGTCTGTACTGGGCTCACTCATCTCTTTGGCTTAACTGGTAAGAGCACAGAGCCAGAATGCTGGGCTTGAATCTCAGATTTTCTGCTACCTAGTGAGGTGATTTGTGCAAATTACTCCCTCTGTGCCTGGGTGTCCTCAATACTACATGCAAACAGTAACACTACTCACCTCATAAACTTGTTTATTTCATATTTACAAAGCCCTTAAAGAGTGCCTGGAACATGCAAGTCCTGTGTATGTTTGCAACTTGCATTGATTTTCATGTTTCTGCCATTCTTTCTCTGAATGTTTAATCCTTTTTTTGCCTGTCCTGTCACCCTTCAGGTATCTGTCTCTTGCCTCTGGACATGCATGGTCATGACCACATGGCCATATCAGTGCCATTAGAGGACTCATAGTTTGGAGTCTGGCCTATGGTGCGGCAGTATGTCCCTGTAACCAGCTTAACTAGGAATAGGCTTCTCAGGTTAGAGTACCCTGGTACATTGAGTTGTCCTGTCTCTTCTTCACTGGTGCCTAGACACCCTTCTGTAGCGATTACTTCAGCAAGCACAATCCAAAACCTGGGTTCTTCAAGGGTTCCCAGGGTCACTCTGATTGGCCTGGTGGTCTGGGTGGCAGCCCTCAGCTCCAGTACTCTGGCAGGAAGTCCCAACAGGCTTCCACCACATGGACTCAGCCCATGGCTGGACTGAGGCCTGCCTACTCCCATCTAGGGCCACAGGGTTCTTAGTTTTTGTTTCTCTGTTTTTAGATAAATGAAGACAATCTAGGTTTTACAGCAAAAACATGATTAATGTACAATCCCTTTACAGGATCATTCTCCATATAGATAGACCTGTCAACAAACCTGTCCCAACAAAACTGGGTTGTAAAGCAGATCACAGAAAGGGGACTGGGTTTTCCCGTAGGAAAAATGGTAGTAACCTGGAGAAAGCATTCCAGATCCCCAGCTCATATCAACAAACCATGTATGTGATCAGCAGTGTGTTATAAAAACAAGGCTCAGCACCATCCGAGTTACACTGTTCCAAAGGGACCCTTATCTGTCCACTGTTCCCAAACCTTAGTCACTGGACAACTGCTCTTGAAAACTCTGCCCATATCATATCTGCATTCTACTTACTCTAAATAATTTTTCTTTAAATCAATTATATCAGTATGCTTAAAAGTTAAACCCATCCCATGGAACAGCACCCATAAATTCCTGACTTTTCTGTGCTAGTTGGTTTTCCATGTAAAAATGATGTGTTTTTAAAAACACATAGTTATTAAACTTTAAAATGTTTGCTGTGTATCACTGGCAGAGAGTTGTGCCATGATTTGGGAGACATCTAATTTCCTGCCACAAATGGGGACACTAAGACCCAGAGAGGGGAAGGGACCCGGGAAAGCCACATTGGGAGATCCTAGGCTTCCTGATTGTCCTGAGGCCAGACTGTCCCATTATTGGCATCCTTAATGACATCAAGGAAGACTGGTATTGGGAGCACAGCAAAGGTGCCCTCTGTCACCCTCTTGCCAGTTGCAGTTAACATTATTCATCTAAATAGGAACCACTGCATTTGCCCCCTTAGACATTAAAAGGGTTTCTGTAGGATGTTAGATAGGCAGTGTATTTTGTAAAAGCTGAAGTGGGAACTATTTTTTCTTGGCATGTATTTCCTTGTGCCAGGCGAGGGTAGTCAGGTTTGTCCCAAACTGGTAAGGACTAGAAGAAGCCAGCTGGACTTGGCGGGGAGTGGGGGTGCGGGGGGCAGGGGCAAGGGAAACAATGCATGGACAGGGTGGGACAATGGCTCTTGCACCCTGCAGGCCCTCTCACACAGGGCCTTAGCTGTGCGGGCCTTCTGCAGTTAATCCTCCTGTCTGGGCCCACTGCCCACAGCATCCTGGGCCCACCGCCAGGCAGACTCAGGGTAGCATGGCAGGGAGAAGTATCTGCTTCTTTAGCTCCAGGATCCTGGAGACCAGACAGGAGAGGGGCAACAACCATTGAAAAACAGCTGAAGGGGATTCTTTTCAACCACCATTCCACTAGGAGCCCCCTCTTTGCTCCCCTCCGCCCCCTCAAAGAGTCTGGGATAAAAGCGAGGTCTGTTAGAAAGCGCCCAATGAGCCCAGCAAAAGTTAAGCCAGTTGATGTCTTTCTTCCCAGAGCAAAATTTCTTGTGCCTTAAAAACATAAAGTTAGGTCAGATGAGACATGACTCAAAATAAACCACATACACTATAGAAATGGGGAAGAATGTGTCATTTTCTGAATCCCTTCTCCACTGACCCACTTTCCATCCCTCCACACAACTTCAGTAGGTTGATGGCTTCTACTGGTCCAGGCCCCTTGACCCCAGCTAGGGCCTCAGGGACCTTCGGGCCTTTTCCAAAATTTCCTCCCTGATCTTGGGGTAGTCGGGGTGCTCCCTGAGGACCTGGAACAGAGAGAGAATGGGTGTGCAGTATCATGCAGGTTTCCCCACCACTACACCAGGCCCTCCCCACCAAGGCTGCTGGCTTACATCGTTGCAGATTTCAATGGCCTCCACAAATTTCTTGTCCTTCAGGTAGTTGAAAGCAAGTTTGAAGCCTACCGGGGACATGGAGAGCAAAGATGGTGGCACCCTGGTGACCTGAGAACCCCTCTGGTTCTCATAACAGCCAGGGTACAGGCCTTGAGTTCTGGGGTCATGGTGGGGGCCCTCCTGCCCACCTCCCTCCCACGTCCATTCACGTGCACCCTGGCTGGTTGCCTTACCAATGGCAGGGTTGGCGTGATGACTGTACTTCCAGGCCAGTTTGTAGTTGGTGACTGCATCCTTGTAGGACTGCTCCTTCTCCATGATGAAGCCCATGTACTCATAGGCCTTGTAGCAGGACTGCAGGGAAAGCCAGTTAGAGCCTCTGCAGAGCGGAAGCCCCAACTGGTTCCCTGGGCCAGGGTGGGACTGGGACCAGAACCAGAAGCAGGCAAGGGACAGAAGTGAGCTGCCATAAACCAAACTGCCAAGGGACCCCAGGGGTACCCCAACCTTTGCAAGAAGCCAACTGTGTGCCCTCCTCTCAGCTACCCCAGACACTGGCGTAACCCCTTTCCCTGTAGCCCTCCTGTTCCGCCACTCCCATTCCTGGCCTGCTCTGACCTGCAAAAGTCCCTCCAGCTTGGAACCCATGAAGCTTTCCCATCTCTTTCTGTCCTTTAGTGTTCCCTCCTCTGGACATAACACGACCCCTGTGCACCTCCTCTCACCTGGTCCATCGCCCTTGATCCTCATTCCTATTCTGGTCTGTCGCCCATGTGCCCCTCTCAGCCTGCCTCTTCCCGACTAGTTCTTATTCCATATGGCCTCTACCTGCAAAGCCTGCTTCACCTTCCTGGAATGCCTAGAATCCTTTCCGCCATCCCGCAGCCCTAGTGTGTGTGTGGCTCCTTGCCTTGTTGTATTGCACACAGCGCCGCAGCAGTTCTAAGGCGAGGTCGAACTTGCTGCCCTGGCAGTAAATGTCAGCCAGCAGGAGCCAGCTCTTCTCCAGGTCCTCAGCCTCACTCAGCACCCAGGGGGTCTTGGCCAGGCGCTTCAACTGCATACGCGCCTTGGGGATCTGCTTCAGGAACACGTAGGCTTGTGCCAAGGCCAGCAGGGCAGGGACGCTGTCCTTCTACACACCAGGTAGGAAGTGGACGTCAGCACGTGTTGGCCGCCTGGTCTTCTCGGCCCTGCCACCTGCCCATGCCCGCCAGTCCCCACCAGCCACACCTCAGCCTGCGCTATCTGGATGAAGCTGCCCAGCGCAGCCTCCATGTTAGCCTTCTCCCTGGTGGCCAGCCGGCAGAGGCCCTGCAGCAGCCGCAGCTGGGTCTGGCTGGAGTCTGAATGTGGGTAAAACTCACGCAGCAGTTTCTCGGCGGTGCTCACACCCTGCTGCTCCAACTCCTTCTTCTCCATGTAGCTGCAGGTGTTAGACCTGGGTATCAGACACAGGCCGGTGGCCTGCCCGTGTGGCCCTCACCTGGCTTCAACCCAGAGGTTGCAGGCTTTCTGTAACTTCCCCAGGGTTCCGCCCCTGCCTCCATGGGCCCTTACTTGCTCTCAGCTCCCTGGTTCTCAAAAGCCTCTCCGCCCACAACCTCGTTGTCTGGATTCAGACAGATCTGCACCATGTGGTAGATGGCGCTCTGGCCCCAAGTGCTGTCCTTGCGTGCCTTGTTCAGGAACTTTAAGGCTTCGTTGGGCTGCCCTATGTGCCTGTGGTGGAGAAAACACCAAGAATCAGTGAGGGAAACTGAGGCCCAGACAGGGCAGGGATATACAAGGACCACTTTGTGAGTCTGCACAAAGCAGAGGCTGGATCTCTGGTTTCCCAGCTCCCCTGGAGGAGATGCGGGCGTCGGACCTGTGTGTTGGATGCAGGCTGGTGGCCTGCCCAAGTGGCCCTCACCTGGCCTCCATCCAGAGGCTGCAGGCTCTCCCTGACTTCCACAGGGTTCCACCCCTGCCCCCATGGGCCCTCACTTGCTGGGTCCGGGTGTCCTGGAGGCAGAATTTCTGCTCCTTTTGTGCAGAGCAAGGGCCTAGCCTATCTGCCAGTAGGGCTTCCTGCACACAGCTGCCCCTCAACACACCACACCCAACTCACCAGCAGTAGATACCTCTGCAGTAATTGAACCCTGGTTCCAAAGGCACCCGGCTAGACACCTTCTTGGCCAATTCAAAGAAGGCAGGAATGTCTTCAAGTTTTCCACTTCTTCTTAGCAGATCGATTAATTTATGCAATACCAAAAAATTGTCTAAAATAAGAGACAGAAATCTCCAGGCTGAAATGCCCAGTAGCTGTTATCAGATGAGGGTGCTGGGGCCCTAGGAGAAGCCAAGAGATACTGCCCATCTGGGCTGAGCAGGGACATTCCAACAGCTCCAGAGTCTCCACTGGTCTCCAGGGTTGAGTAAAGAATAATACTAATGCTTAAAAATAGTAAAGAATAGCAGCTAACACTTATATAGCACTTATATTGTACCTGGTATTAAGTGCTTTACCTATATATTAACTGCAAGATTAGGTAGGTACCTAATCTTTTTTTTTTTTTTTGAGACGGAGTCTCGCCCTGTCACCCAGGCTGGAGTGCAGTGGCGTGATCTCGGCTCACTGCAAGCTCTGCCTCCTGGGTTCATGCCATTTTCCTGCCTCAGCCCACCCCCGAGTAGCTGGGACTACAGGCACCCGCCACCACGCCCGGCCAATTTTTTTGTATTTTTAGTAGAGACAGGGTTTCACCGTGTAGCCAGGATGGTTTCGATCCCCTGACCTTGTGATCTGCCCGCCTCGGGTTCCCAAAGTGCTAGGATTACAGGTGTGAGCCACCATGCCCGGCCTAGGTAGGTACTCTTATTGTGTCTGTTTTACAGATGAGGACACTGAGACATGGAGAAATAATTTGCTGAAAGTTGCACAACCAGTAAGTGGTAGACCAGGACTCAGACCCAGGCAGCCTGGCCCCAGCACCCATACTCCTAACCGTGGTGACCTCCTGGGCCTATGGGCACACTGCCATGGGCCTGCCAGGGCTCCAACCTGAGCCTCAGGTCTGGCCCCTTTCCCCAGCAATAAGGGGTGGTTTTACGCTGCAGTGAATGGGAATGAAGCTATACAACGGGGGAGAATTTCTAGTCCCTACAAGTGGCTGTGACCTCAAAAGGGGACTGTGTCAAGCCCCATTGGCTGTGATTTGGGGACAGACATGCTGTCCTGGGTCCAGTGCCAAGTCCTTGAGACCAGGAACTGGCCCCTTGGACTCGGGAAGGGCCGGCACGTTCCACTGGGTCTTTATCAGTTTCCTGCTTCTCTGGAACAATCAGGGAGGAAGGGGCTTCCTCTGCCCAGTCAGGAAGGAGGGAGAGGTCCCACCCTTCTCTGGGAGAGCGGCCCTTGCTCAGTGGGAACTGGTACAGGCAGTCTCCATGGGCAGAATTACCTGGCGCTTTCTCCAAGACTTGGTGGTAAAGATTGATGGCCGCTTCATGTTTCTGTTTTCTAAACATCAGGTCAGCCATCAACTATCAGAAAACACACAAAGCTCCAGATTTCCCAACAGTGGCAGCTTGCATGGGTGTAGGGGGAGGCGGGGGGTATGGGGGTGATGGTGGTAAGAAGGGAAGGTAGAAAAGGACTTGCAAGGCAGCCTCCCTAGGCCTTGTGAGAAGCTGCCACAGGAGAAGCCTGAGGGTTTCTCAGGCCCCCACCCAGAAGGTGAGGACTTCCCAAGGTGAGGGGCAAGAAGAGTTGGGTTGAGGATGTACATGGGAAGGTAAGACTAGTGGTAGAGACCAGTGGGGCTTTTTGACAGCCTACAGGGGAAGCCTCTCCACCCATTCTGAGAACTGCCAGGCAATAGAGGTAGGGATGAGGACCCCTCCTTGCTCTGCAAGGGCTCAGCTTCTGCTCCTGGGCCAGCCCTAGAGGAGGTCTGGATGATAGGGAAGAGAGAGGCAGGACCGAGGAGGGCTTTTCCTGAAGCCCCAGGAACCTGTCCCGCCCTTGCCTTCACCTACAGTGAATGTGCTTTCCCCTGGGGTGAATCAACCTCACCCCACCTTAGACTGGCCCAGGAGATTGATGCTGCCCACTGCCAGCCAGCCTACCGCTTCCGGCTAAAGGGCAGAGTAGGTGCAGCACTGAGTCCTCTCTGCCCGACAGCTCCTCAGAGGTGTGTCAGTGAGGCATCTGAGGTTACGGGGCTAGGAAGTAGCCTGCATCTGGTCACAGGGACCCTGGGAAGGGAGGAAGGGAGGGGAGGGAGTGGGTGCTGGGGGCTTCCTACCACAGAAGCGGTCTCATGGTTCTGCTCAGTCTGCAGGAGGATGGCACAGTGCTGCTCACACAGGTCCAGGTGCCCCTGGAGCAGGTAGAGCTGCGCCAGCTCCAGCATCACCTGGGACAAGGCCGGATATAATAAACTAACTAGTAAACACCATGGGAAACCCCTGGGGTTATCCTTGACAGCTCTTTCCCTCACACCCCACTTCTATCAGCTCTGCCTTCAAAATATGTCTCGAATTCCCCACGTGAACGTCCTGGCCTTCCCCTTCTCCCATGCAGTTCTCCAGTCATACCCTGTGTCTTACTAACCTCTGAAAGTTGGGCCAAGCTAACACATTTTCATCCTTCAGCTTCACCTCTGGCCTCACTGCTCTGAGAGCCCTCTGTGCCCCAGACTCTGGGGCAGGTACCATTCCTCCAAGTGGTGCCCTGTATCCCCATGCAGGCATGTATTGCATGGCATTAGCGCTGCCTGTGCTCTCGTCTACATGCCCTTGCCCAAGGGTAATCTGTGGGCAGTGACCAAGCTTTGCCCCACTATGTCTCCAGAGCCGGGCAAAGTACTTGGCACATATTAGATGAGGTATCTGTTAAATGAGTTGAGTATTAAATGAATGAATGTATCGGTCACTAAGCTCTTCATCTACTGTGTTAGCGTGAACTCCAACTATGGTTCCCTTATCTGGAGCCACACCTCCCTCACAACTCTAGGCCCTCTTGGAAGCTCAGCCTGCACTTCATGCCCAAAGTGCCCTGACAGCTGCAACCCTCATCATCTCCCCACCTCCAACGGGGACTTGAAAATGTCAGACTAACGTGATTTTCAGCAATGTCTTCCCCACTACACCCTTCACATTTGGCTATCCATGGTGAGCCTTGCTCCAAGGGCTGCAGCAGGTGAGGCCCCAGGTCAGCAGGAGCAGACACCTTACCCCAGAGGCCACTGCTAGCTGGCCTCCCATGCCCATCATATCTGTGACTCCTCAGGGAAGAATGGAGAAGGGACTGGCCCCTGTACCTGGTCAGTGAGCTCAGCAAGTCATTGTGCCCTGAGGGAGAAAGCAGCCTCTTGCTTTGAGGGCCACTCACCTTATTGTCAGTTGGCAAGTAGGAGAAGACATCCTTATAAGACTGTACCGCCTTGTCATACTCTTTCTCTGCCAGGTAGTGCTCTGCAAATTGGATGCAGATAGAGGCTGCCAGTTGCTTCTGGGAGGGAATCATTTCTGGTTGCTCCAGTGGAACTCGCTTCAGTATCCGAGACTGGAGGTCCAAGGCCTCGAGAAACCAATCAAGCCAGGATCAGAAACTCAGAGCCTGACATACCAGTTCACAGAAAGTCCTAAGTTCTTAATTCAAAGCCAGAAGTATGAAAAATGACACATAAGTGCCCTTGGGCAAATTTGGGTCACTCTGAATAGGCAAAGCCACTGGCTGAGTACACATGAGGCAAGCTGGCACTGCCTCTGGGGGCAGGAGCAGAAGCAAAGGACTCAAACAAAACACGCTTTTGTACTTAGCCTGTTTACCTGCTTCCATCACACCTTGAGGTTCTGTGTCTAATTCGCTTCACTGCACTACAGGCTAGAACTAGCACACAGTAGGTGTCCAAGGCACACAGTAGACTGTTCTGTTCTGTATGCCTCCCTGCTGGGAATTTGAGGAAGCACCCACAAATATTCACCACACAAATGATCAGGTGAGTAAGCAGAGAACATCAGGGCAAGAGGAAATGATGATGCCAGGGTTAAGCTGTAGGACATGGGTAGGAATCAGCACTTGGCTCCCCGAGGGCCAAAAAGAGGAATGGGAATCCAGTGGTAAACAAGGGGATAAATCATCTCAAACAGTCAGAGAGTGGGCCCTCCCTCTAGAAGCACAGAGCATACTCCAGGAACAAGTTTGAGGCCACACCCCTGGGGGGAAAAACGTGAGGAAGATATGACAGGAATGGCCGGGGGCTCTCGGATCAGGGGCAGCCCAGTGTGCAAAGAGCATGGGTTGGGAAAGGCCAGACCTGGCTCAGATCTCAGCTCCACCACTTGCTGGTACAGTCACGTGCTGCATAACATTTCAGTCAATGACAGACCACATATACGATGCTGGTCCCTTAAGATTATAATACTGTATTTTTACTGTACATTTTCTATGTTTAGCTGTGTATAAATACACAAATACTTACCATGATGCTACAACTGTCTACAGTATTCAGTAGAGTAACATGCTGTGCAGGTTTATAGACTCAGAGCAATAGGCTACACTAGATAGCCTAGGTGTGAAGTCAGCTATATCATCTGGGTGTGTGGAAGTACATTCTATGATGTTCACACAACAAAATCATATCCCTGCTGATAAGCAACATATGACGTTGCTATGGTTTGAACATGCCCCCCAAATGTCATGAGCTTTCCTGGAAACTTAATCCCCAATGTGGCAGTATTGAAAGTTAGGGCCTTTGAGAGGTGATTGGATCATGAGGGATCTGCCCTCATAAATGGATTAAACTACACATGGATGAATGGATTAATGGGTTATCATGGGAGTGGAACTGGTGGCTTCATTAGAAGAGGATGAGAGACCGGAGCAAGCATGTTAGCATGCTCGGCACCCCCCGCCCACCATGTGATGCCCTGCACTGCACTCTTTAGAGAGTTCCCCTTCCCCTGAGCAGAAAGGATCTCACCAGATGTGGCTCCTCCACCTTGAACTTCTCAGCCTCTAGAACTGTAGAAAATGTATGAATTACCCAGTTTCAAGTATTCTGGTATACACCAACAGAATACAGACTAACACAACTGAACCCAACTTTGGGCACATTTCTCAACCTCCTAGAGACTTATCTGCTACATGGGAATGTCACAATGCTTATTACAAAGGGCTACTGTGATCATTCAATAAGAAAGCAAAAACCCTACAGAACCTAGCACAGAGCTTTCAATGCATGGGAGCTATTGTCATTACCATCCTTATTATCTCTACTATCACCCTTGAGGACAAAGGCACTCTCTTACTTCCTGCCTTTCCCAGCCCACCACAGCTCAGAGCACATTAGTGTACCATAACTGAATGAACCAGGACGGGAAAATAAGTGAAGGTGGATGTCAGAGGTGTAACCTAGGTCCTTTTTTAAGGAAGAGGTCTGGGGCTTTCCAGACCTGGAGCTCTCTCCTTCCTCCTCCTTCAGCCCCCATCAGCAGATGGCAGATAAAGAGCTTGAGTCCACCTGTCAATTACCTTGTTCAAAGTTTCTATCACAGCTTCTTTTTTATGGCTCTTGTAAACCTTTGCCAGCAAAAGCAGGCACTTAACATCATTCATCATGGATGGGATGTCTTGGACTGTTAAATGGAAACTCAAATTAGTGTTAGTTCACTGGCTCCTGGGAAGCTGTGTTGGTGGGGAGCGCTGGGATCAGGACTTCAGCTAATGGGGAATGGGGGAGGAGTATGTCTGCTCCAAATGCTAGAAATGGGTTACAATGCTGCCTCACCAATGTCATGTTCCAGTGCCTGCTTCAAAACTTTTTCTGCTTTATTGACCTTCTTTAACTTCAGGAGCAGTTTGCCCAGATCGCAGCACAGAAAGTCCTGTCCATTAATCTTCTGGGCAGCCTCATAATACTCAATTGCCTTAGTGCAAACAGTAAATATTAGCCTCTGGCCTGGTTCTGCCCTTCAGTGCCCGACACCATGTTCCCCTCAGCAGCCATCACACCAGTGTGCCCCTCCAGAACATAGCCTAAAGTGAAAAGGCACTCCTCCCAGCTGGCACAGGGTGTAACCCTCAGCTTAAGCAGGTGTGGTCAGCAGCAGAGAGTTGCTGAGTTCTCCCCTTGGCACCCCATTCAGCAAGGAGCTGAGTGAAAAGTCAGCCACTCTCCTCCCACCCAGAGCTCCCCAGTCATGTACCGTCCTCCTCCTTCCCTGCTGGGCTGGCCCTCCCTGCCCCTTCACACCCTAGCCCAGCCTGACCTCAGTATACTGGTGGGCCTTCACATAAGCGTGCCCAATTCTGCTGGCCAGGGAGGCGTCATGTGGGTTCTGTCTATAGGCCTCATCATAGACCTCCAGGGCCTTCTCGGGCTGGTGGGGAAAGTGTCTTTGGGTCTTCCTCTTCTCTCCCACTGGAGAAGGGAGACTGGGGGGCCACTTGGCAAGGCTGTGAGGCCTCTCACTTACCTCCAGAATGCTCATTAAGGCATCGCCCAGTAGCAGGCTGGTGTGGGGGCCAGGCAGATGTTCACAGAGCTCACTGCAAGCAAGAGTAACCAAAAGCTTATCCCAGGTTCGCACACACCTCATGTTCCTGAAATCATCTCCTTCACTTCCTTCCCACTGATTCTGGCTGACATTCATTCATTCATCAATCAATATTTATAGAAAGTCCACTGTGAATGAGGCACTGTGCTAGCTACCTGAGTCAGGCTCTCCACATCCATCTCTGTAGTTAGGCCATGGCCAGGCCCTCTACCTGTTCCTCTCACTCTACCTGCTATCCCTCCAGATCCCTCTCCATGAGGCAGCAATGTCACTCTTTCTAAAACTCCAATCTGGCCGTGCCTCCATACTGTTCACTGGTTTCCCACTGCTGGATAGCCTTCCCTACTCCCTCAGCATCCCCACCTCCCACTTTAAATTGCTTAGATGCAGCTCTGCCAGAAGAAAGGGATGAGGAAGGCACCTTGGAGGTCCCAATGCAAAATCATACAGAGACAGCAGCTTGGAGCTTCAGTGTGTCTGCTCTGAGAACCAGGCCTACAGTCTCCCACTAGCATGTGCAAGCAGGTGAGGGGGAGGCAAGCAGGGCTCAGGGCCAATTCGATTCTGTATCCTCATCCATGAACAGGGCTTACTGACCTTTCATGCTCAAATTGTAACCCATGGACAATTCCATACATTCATCAACTACACTCCAAGGACACATTCTGGAGACCCAGGTTGAAGAAATACCATCTGAAGGAAACACTCCCTAAGATACCATTGGAGAAGAAGCTGTCATTGTGCTGCCTGTGGGGCTTACCGGTAGCATCTGATGTAGAGGCGCCTGTCTCTGAGGGTCTGCAGGTAGATGTTGGCCATCTTCTCTCTGGCTTCCATATAGCAGGACTGCTTGGGCAAGATGTTCCTTAGCATGTTCAGCGCCACGTCCACATTGCCCTTGCTCAGGACCAAGTCCACGTTGGCAATGGTGATGCGGTTCTCTTCTGGTGTGCCACCGAACTCATTGATGGTGTCCTGCATGACCTTGGTGGCCTCATGCTAAAACATGGGAATCAAACAGACCCTTCACTTGATGCACAAGTAAACAGTGGGTGGAATCAAAGAACCTGGTTCCTGGGCCTACCCTGAGCCTCCAGTGTGCCCCAGTCCCCAGGGAAGAGAGCACGGCATTTCTTACTAGCTCCCCATTCAGCCGGAGGGCCTCCACCAGTTCCAATAAGATGGATGCCCGCTGGCTAGGCTGCACAGAGGGCCTGAGGAACTTTCTGCCTTCTTCCTTCTTCAGAGCTGGCAATTTGATGACCATTTTCAGCGTCTTTATGGCCTCTGGATAGTCTCCAGCCTTGTTGAGGGCCCTGGCCTTGATGAGGTGGTAGAGGGGGTGATCTCGGACCTAGGAGGAGCACAGCAGAGTGTGGGGCTCCAGTTCACTGCTGCTACTGCTGCTGCTCACAGCAGCCAGGTCAGAGAAAGCCTCAGGAGCCCACTGAGCCTACCCCTGCCTTTGGACGAGCAGAAAGATCTACGGGACACAGCTAGCCCCTGGGGCTACTCTCAGAAGGCAAACAGGGGCCACAGCTAGCTGGGCTTTGGGATGCTGAGAGGATGAGAGGGCACCCACCTGGAAGTTGTGGCTGACACCCAGCTCTAAGCAGTGGAAGCACATGCCAAAGTTGCCCTGAGCCAAGTAGATCTGACACATGAGGAGATGGGCATCCACGGAGGCGGGGTCCAGCTCCAGGCAACGCTGCAGGATGCTCTGGGCATTCTCTAGCTCTCCTAGAAATAATACACAAACCTCTACATGCAGGGTTCCCAAGGGCTCCTAAGACCTGATATGCAAGGGCAGAATGAATTTTACATGTCCTGTTCCCCAGAAATATACAAAATTGAGTATTTTAGCCAGTTTTGTTCTGCTTCACTCAGGGGTCCATTTCTAAAATTAAGACTACACAGTTGTTTCCTTGACTCAGACAAACGACAGGAAACTCAAACCTCAGTGCAACACCCTTCTTGTCTCTGTAACCCTCAGGGAGATAGCTAAGTCACTTCACAGCTCCATCCAGAAGCTCAGGGGAACACATTAAGTCTCAATTCCCACACCTAAGAGCAAACAAAACCTAGTAGTAACAGCAACTATAATAGTTACAATTTAAGAAGCTCCTGCTCTATGTTCAATACTTGCAAAACACTTTAGAAAGTCTGATTTATTACTTGCCCAGCCCTGCAAGGTTGGTGCTATTGTTCTTGTCTTTTCAGATGTGGTACCTGGGGCTCCAGTGATATAAGCCACTCGGCTTGGAAGGGGCGAAGTTGGCATTTACGTCCAGGCCTATTGGGTTCCTGAGCTTCAGCTCTGAACCCCCTGGGGCTTGAGGGCTGCGGGGCCTCCCTGCAGACAGGCTGGCACTTTCAGGGTGGTAGCAGCAGCCTAGGGGTTGGGTGTGATGAGTTGGTAGGGGCACTCTCTTCCCTCGCAGTCAGGTCTCTCAACAACTCCTACTTGGGATCCATAACCTGGTGGGTAGGGAGCACCTGTTTCTGGGTCCCAAGCTCCCTGCTCCTTCTTATGTGCTGTGGAAATGTGAAGAGGTCACCATGGCAACCTACACAGCTGGAGACTGCTTTGGGCCCAAATCTGCTGGCAGATGCCGGCACCCAGGGGAAGTTCTCTCACCCTGGCCTTGTATCCAGGATACCTTGAAGCTGTGGGGAAACCTGGCACCCAAATGAACATAGGGAGGACTAAGGATGAAGACAGGAAAGCTCTCAGCAGGAGTGCAACCCACACGATGCAATGCCAGAAGACAGACAAATGGCCACAGTATTCTGATCCCTTTGGACACCCCCAGAACACCACAGATCAGCCTGGTTTCCAGGCAGGCAGGATTGGGTGAGAGGCCACAGGGAGACAGTACTTCAGGGGAGGACTCTGCATCAGATAGGACAATAGAGCACCCATGGAAGAGTTTCCCTCTCCTTCCCTTTCTCTCCAGGGTCTGGGCCTTGAGAAGGGAGAAGGTGAAAGGGCCCCTGGAGGCTCTGAAGGCCTCATGGTACAGGGTTCTCACTTCTCCACAAGTTCTTTCTGGATACCTTTTCAAAACCGCAACCCTGCCACCCCTGCATCACTTCCCTGTTTCAGCTTCTTCCATAGCATTACCATGTTCTAGCAAAAAAATACGATGTGCTCCCTCGTGGAGCTTGTATTCAGTTGTCAATTTCCCCTTACTAGATGCAAGCTCCATGAGGGAATTTTTGCCTATTTTTGGTACTACTGTATCTCAGAAGAAGTTCAATAACTATTACCAGCACAGATCAAATGAGTAAATCCACAAAGGCCTAGGTGGGAGAGACCCCTGCTGGTGAGAGGTCAGGAAGCTTACTAGGGAATGGAGGCTGGGAGTGGGCAGGCCTGTAGGATCATGTGCCTGTGTGTGTGTGCACGTGTGTGCATACGTGTGTGTGTGTGTGTGTGTGTGTAGTACACCAGGCAAGGAGCATGCATGTGTGTGTGTGTGTGTGTAGTACCCCAGGCAAGGAGCATGCATGTGTGTGTGTGTGTGCGTAGTACCCCAGGCAAGGAGAGTGTGTGTGTGTGTGTGTGTGTGTGTGTGTGTGTGTGTGTGTGTGTAGTATCCTAGGCAAGGAGCCTGCAGACACAAAGCTACATCAGGTGTTTGCAAGGCCCCACCCGGCTGTCAGGATCCCCCGCTCACCTGAGTAATACCTGACCTGAGCCATCAAATACAGGGGGTCGATCAGAGCTGGTGCTGCTTTGACTACAGGATTCAAGATCACGGCGACTTGTTTAAGAAGTGGAGACACGATCTGGCCTGGTAACCTGGGCTGTGGGAACACGGCGGTGGAGGTGGGAGTAGGTTTGCCCTATTCTAAGAGAGACTCCTGGAGCTCTCAGAAAATGCTCTCAGTGAAGGAATTTTGCTTCATTCCACACTTATTTATTATCCTCTGTATCACCTAGTGCTTAGAGCACGAGCTCCAGGCTATGGAACTTTGTTTTGTTCACTGTTGTGTCCCCAGTACCGAGAATGGTATCTGGCATGTAGTAATGCACTCAATAAATATTTGCTGAATGACTCATTACAAGGCACTGGGGGGATATTAAGGTGTATAAAAATATGATCCTTGGTCACAAAGAATCCTGACTGGCTGGAAGAGCAGGACAAACAAGTAAAGACTAACATACTTCTTAGGGGGCTTCTGCGGAAAAGGAAGCCAAATTCTCATCTCGGATAAAGGCAGGGCCATGGGCCGGTGCCCTGTTCTTCCAAGTGTGGTCCCTAGACAAGCAGCATCCATATCACTTGGGAGCCTGTTAGAGATGCAGGGTTTTAGACCCCCCTGTAGAGTCAGAATCTGTACTGGAACAACCTCCCAGGTGACCTGTGTGCTGTATGTTCAAGTTTGAAGAGCACTGGGCTCCCCAGCTGCCCAAGGCTCACCCCATCCTTACTTGTGACTGGCCAAGTAAGGTCCTTGCCTCTGTCCTTCAGGTGGGCACCATCCAAACCTGTACTCCAGACCCCCACCATGAAGACAGGCCTTCCCCTAACCTGCTTGGGGCAGAAGAGCAAGTACTCCTTAGCAATGCAGACCAGGAAGTACGGGTCCAGCTTTTCAAAGTACTCAGAGCCAAGAGGGATGCCTTGCATGCTGGAGAAGTGAAGCTCCACTGCCTCCTTCAGGAGCGCTGTGGTCTCTTCCTCCCCCTTGTGCTTCCTGGACATCAGGAGGGCTTGGAGGAAAATTAGCACCTGTGGAAGAGAGGACCGAGTCTCAGTGCCAATGTCAGCCTGGGCAGATTTGGTAGGCAAGGGCAAAGTGAAGGTCCAGACCACCTTGCATGCTTTCTATTGGAAAGTGGGGGTGGGAGGACAGCAGAGGACATCATCCTGGAGCAACCCATACCCCCAGGGAGCTCTGACCTCAGACTTCCCAAGGGACTTCTGCACCTCCTTCAGGAATTCCAGCCGGTACTCAGCTTCCTCCAGGTGGCCTTCTAAGATATGACACAAGATGATCCCTGTAAATGGGACAAAACAATGATGAGCAGCTAACACTGAAGCATAGCCAGCAGCCCATCAGGTCAAGGGGCATGGATAAGACAGTGGAAGGAAGATGTCTCAGTGTAGGGGATCTTTTCCAACATTTCTACAAACTTAAAGAGAAATACATGCTCATGCTCAAGAATTCAAACCCTAAGGCAATACAGAAAAACATCCCTAGCTCATGTTCTGGCTGTAACAATGTCTCTCTCTAGAGATAACCACTAGGAACAATTTGAGGTATAATACGTTACTACTATATAGACACCTCAGACATATATATGTACACATGAGCATACCAATGGGTTTAAAAACACACACATACACAAAGGGAATCAAATTTCACATACACCATTCTACAATCTGCTTTTTTTTTTTTTTTGAGACGGAGTTTCGCTCTTTTGCCCAGGCTGGAGTGAAGTGGCACGATCTTGGCTCACTGCAACCTCCGCCCCTCAGGTTCAAGCAATTCTCCTGCCTCAGCCTCCTGAGTAGCTGGGATTACAGGCATGGCCACCACGCCCGGCTAATTTTTGTATTTTTAGTAGAAACGGGGTTTTGCCATGTTGGCCAGGCTGGTCTCTAACTCCTGACCTCAGGTGATCCACTCACCTTAGCCTCCCAAAGTGCTAGGATTACAGGCATGAGCCACTGCGCCTGGCCACAATCTGCTTTTTAAAATTTGTATATGATAGTCATATTTTCCCATCTCTTCATACAAATCTACCCCATTTTCTTTGATGACAACACAATGTTTTACTGTGGATGTAACAATTTATTGCCCTACTAATTATTTAACTATTGCCCTACTGAAGGACATCTAATTTCACATTTACTTTATTTTTGGTATTTAAATACTACAATGCTATGATGAACATTTACATAAGTTCAAATTCCTGAGGGAGAGCTGATGGGTCATAGAGCACATATATTTAAAATACTGATAGATAAGGTCAACTTGCCCTCAAAGATACTTGAACTTATATTACTATCAAGAATTTAAAATATCCTTTCTTCATAACCTCAAACGTGCTGTAATTTTTGCCAGTCTGAAACATGAAAAGTAACTAGTTTTCATTTAACACCTTTTTTAACTATTAGGGAGAATGAACACCTGTTCATATTTCCAATATAGCCTTTTCCTTTCTACTGTGAATATTCTGTTCACAGCCTGCCTGGTTTTTTTGGGGGGGGTGATTTTTTTTCTCTTTATGTTTTATTAACCCTTTGTTGCAAGTGTTTTCTATTAGTTTGCCATTTATCCTTTAACTATTTTTACAGTACCTTGTCATGTAGTAATTTTAAGCTTTTATGTAGTCAAATAGGTAAAATATTCTCCTTTGCAGCTTCTATTTTTTTTTTCCATGTAGAGCCACAAAGCCAAACTTTGCAGCTTCCAAGTTTGGAGTTAGGCTTAGAATCCCCAGGGAAACCCATGTTTCATTTAATTTTTATGTTTAATACTTAATTCATCTGAAATTTAAGTATGGTGTAAGATGAGAACTTACCTTTTTTTCTTTTTCATAATGGATAGCAGGGTATCCAACTAGGAGTTGGTGAACAACCTATTAGTTTGAAATAAGGCCTGTTACATCCCATTTATCTATTTGCTTATCCCAGTCAGTGCTGGCCTCAAAGGGACTTAATTACTGTAGTTTTGTGATATGTTTTGATGTTGGGAGGACAAATCTCATCTGTTTGAAGCAAGCTATTCTACTTGCACAGGTATTTCTTTGCTACTTTGGTATATTTATTCTTGACTGTCTTCCTCATCACCATCTTAGTTTTCAGTTATATCCATCCCACTATTAGGCCCATTTATGAAATTTTTTACCTTACAATAATATTTTTTATTTTTGGCAACTCTTTTTTGTTCCTGTACCTTTTTCACAGTAGCATGTTCTTTACTTATTGACATAATAGCCTCTCCAAACACTGAAGGTGTTTTGGGAGGAAAAGTCTTTTCTGTACTAGCCTTAACTCTGCTCCTCAGAGGGCTACTGCTTTGCATGTTCCACTCGGCCAACCTTTCAGACTGCTAGCAGATTTATAAAGGAAGGGCAGCAACTAGGCACATTTTACACACTGTTAAGGTCACTGATTTTGTCAGACTGGGCAGAAAATATGGTGACTCCAGGACATACAGGTGGGCTCAGCTTGGACTGGGAGAGTGGGACAGACATCCTGACCAGTGGACTTTCCTCTGGCTAACCACTGGGACTCTGCCCCTTGAAGGAGGAAGTAGGGAAGGACTCAACCTGGTGGAAGAACATTCTAGGGAATTTTGCTTTTGTGCTGAGCAGCCAAGTCCTTTTGTCCTTCATGTCCCTGGTTATGGTGGGAAATCATCCAGAGCAGTGCTCCTCTCCCTCCTGCCCCAACACCCAATACACACCTCCTGGATTCTAGCCTCTGGCCAAGGCATGATTCCAGTAATCCTCCTATTATCGCTCTCACTGCCCCGTGGCATGCTTTCACACTCAGCCTCTGGTGACCCTGAGCTCGTCTTTTTTAGTTTTTGTTTTTCCTGGAACTCTTTGGGGAAAGCTGGTCTACTAAATTCTTTAGCTAACCCATCTCTGCCTATGTTTGCTTATGGGTTTCTAGATCTGCTTCGAATTCCCATGTATTTGACACCATTTGCCTTCCATCTTCTAGAAATGTGAAATTCTTCAAAGTTTCTGGTCCACGCTGCTATGTACTCTTTTTTTTTTTTTTCTTTCTTTTTTTGAGGTGGAGTCTCACTCTGTGGCCCAGGCTGCAGTGCAGTGGTGTCATCTCGGCTCATATCAACCTCCATCTCCCGGGTTCAAGTGATTCTCCGGCCTCAGCGTCCCAAATAGCTGGGATTACAGGTGTCCTCCACCACACCTGGCTAATTTTTGTGTGTTTTTAGTAGAGATGGGGTTTCATCATGTTGGCCAGGCTGGTCTCGAATTCCTGACCTCAAATGACCTGCCCACCTCAGCCTCCCAAAGTATTGGGATTACAGGCGTGAGCCATCACGCCTGGCTCATTACCTTTTAAAGATATCTTTCATTATTTTCATGGGATTTGGGGACAGAGGGAAAGCATGGATTTGAGGGGGTCAGCCTGACATGTTGAACCAGAAGTCAAGATAAACTACTCTGATAAATGTGCTATGCAGATGAGGAGCCTGGAGTTTAGAAAGGAGAAGTGACTTGGCCCCAAACACATAGCCCCTCAGAGCCAGGGCAAGAGTCGGCCTGCCTTGAGCACTGGACCACACAACTTCCTCAACCCAAACCAAATACTGCCACTTCAGAGTTCACCACAGACCATGGAATAGGGGGCTTTAAAAAATGCGTAAAATGGAAATGGCACTGTAGAAAGTTCATTTGGCATTTATAGAAAAGATTTTTAAAGTCACCTGGACAGACAGGGAAATATATAATTCTCAGAGCTACTCTTTTTGGTGGTTTTTCAGCTCAGAGCCCTGAAGGAGGGTCTACAGAGGTGAATCTAGAGGCTCTGCATGTGGGGACTGGTGGTGAGTAGAACTGCCTCCAACCCCGGCCTGGGCAGCCTGAGAAGAGGCAGGGCCCACTGAGTATAAGGTTCAGCCTGTCAGTCTTCTGGGGCAGTCAGTGTAGACAGACATTGGAGGTCTGGTGGAGATCAGAGTGACTCTGATCATACCTCTGAGCATTGCTGTGCCTCTTACATCTATACTTGTGGATTCCCAGAAAGATACCCCATCATACATTGTACCCCAAAATTCACATACCCTTCAAGGAGAATGCTTTCCAGCACCTCTCTTCTGGACCCATGGAAGCTGCCCGGTTTGGCTCCCGACACCCATCCCTGAGCCCTGCCACACCTGCATATACCTGTCAAACCAGCCATGCCATCCTTGTCCAGTTTCATGGCTTCTGAATACCACAGCAAGGCCTCTTTCACTTGGTTCTTCAGGATGAAGAGATAGCCCAGTTCTGTGGCCACATGGACATACGAGGGGGTGGCCATGAAGGTGCGCTCGATGAAACTACACACTAGCCCTAGAATCACCTGGTGACTCCCACACTGCAAGAAACAGGAAGGTGGGAATTGGGAAACCAGTCAGTCCAGCCTGTATGAGCAAGGTCATGTCAGAAACGGGGGACACTTTGGTAGGCAGGGCTGGTAGGCCCAGGAGAGCCAAGAGGTACCGTGTGTCTAGGCAGCTGGGTCTGTGTTGCTGTCTGGCTCCCAAGGAACCTCTCACTGGCCACAACTGTGGAACCTGCCTCTAGCCACAGGGTCCTCTGAGGGACCTATCCCCTGTCTGGTCACAGTAATTGGTCTAAGGAGTCACCAAGAGGTTTTTCAAAAATTGAAGCTGAATGTGTCCAGTAATAAGAAGTGGCCCCAAAGGCTGCCATCAGCCATGTTCCCTGCCATGTGTGGAGAACAAGGCAGAGAGAATCAGACATACAGAGGGAGAGATGGTGCCTATGCAACTCCACAGTTCTGGTTCCTGGGGTCCCAGAGTTGCCTTCATTCTTACAGCAACTACTTCTAGTAAATCTTGCTTTGGGGCTGAAGGGTCTGAAAGAGATACAGATTTGTTGGCAACCTGGTCTAGTTGAACCTTCCCTGATGTTTGAGAGGCCTAGGCAGGCCAGCCTTCTCAGGTCACCTCCACAAAAAAGAATATGGGAGATGGGCACCCAGGCACTAGAGGCTAGAGCTGGGTGTGGCTCTGCTGCATAACAGCTGCAATACCACCCGCTTTCCCCAAATAAGGCACAGCCCACTCCAAAAGCACTTTCAGACCCCGTCTCCCTGATCTTCATGGCATCTCTGAGGGGGCACCTAGGCTAAGGATGTAGAACCCACATGTCACAGTTATCAGCCAGAGGCAAGTAGGCACAGCAGGATATGAGCCACTACCCTAAAGGACAAGTTTGAGCCAGAAGGGAGGGGTAAGGCACTCAAGGAGCTTCCTGGGGGAGCACAGTTCTCCTCTAAGGAAAGCAGGGAGAAGCACCATTTCAGAACCAGGAAAGAACCTTCTTACCAGTCGGCTAACCACAATAATTTTTTTAAGATGGAGGCTTGGATTTTCGGGTTCCCTTGTCTCTAGTGCCTTAATCAGATTTCTAACGTGATTGGTAGCCTGCAGGGACAAAACAGAGAATGTCAACATGCAAGGTGCAAGGTCAGAGTTGCGCCGTGGTTCTCAACCCTGACTGCATAGTAGCATCAGCTGGGAGATTTAAAAAATGCCCATGCCCAGGCACAACCCCCCAGAAATTCAGATTTAAGTGAATTGGAGTGGTCCAGGCATCAGAATTACTTCAAAGGCCTATAAGTGGAACTCCTGGGGACATTATTCACCCAGAGCTGGCACTGCCCCTCTGTTCTTGAATTTGTTTTTTTTTTTTCTTTTTTTTCTTTTTTTTTTTTGACTGCTCCTTATGGAGCAGGGCTAACCCATAGAGTAGCCCTGTTCCTGAGTTTGTGAAGAGAAGTTGCCTTTTCAGACCCACCCAGGCAGAGCCAGGAGCTAGCCCTCACTGTGTCCACAGTGCAGCCTGCCAGGCCAGCAGCAAACTAACTAGTGCTGGCCCAGAAGCCTCTGCTCCATTTTGACATGAATCAAATGTAAGTCAGTATAACTATTCGAACTTTCCAAACCTTCCTGTCCAACACATGAAAGGTTAGAAAGGTTAGGCAATTGGTCTGAGGTCACCCAGCCACCTAGGTCACTGACAGATTCCAAAGCTTAGGTTCTTTCCCACTCCCCACCCAGGAGTAAGGAATTCTTAGTTCCCAGCTGCAGAGAAGTGCCAAAAGCAAAACCAAGGATGGTATGGGTCCACTCTGTTCAGTAAGTATGAACAAAATTAGAACTGGGTAGCCAGCCCGGGGTCGGTGGGGAGGTCCCAAGGTTTGAAGTGGGAGTAAAAAAGGGGCTAATGCTAAATCTCAGTTAGCTAAATGCTAAGTCTGCCCCTGGGATTAACTTTCAGGCCAGGCCCCAGGAAGGCCTGCTTAGGGATCTGGAGTCACAGGGAGCTGAGGATAGTCCTATTCTCTTATTCCTACCCAGAGACGAAAAGGGCTGGGGCCTTTTTCTCCCAAATACGGACTCTCCCCTCTACCTCACCCCATCCCACAAAATCCACAATCTCAGAGCTGTGCAGAAGAAACCAGAAGCTTCCCCTTCCCACCATGACCCCTTAGAGACTCCTGGTTTGCCATGCTCTCCATAGAGGCAATATATTTCACTGATCTAAAAGGCAATGCTTTGGCTAAAAACAAACCTTTCTGAAAATGAGAACCTGTCTGGGTATTGAGGTTTCACTAAGAATTCTAGGTGTTTCTGACTGCATTTGAGGGCTATTTTTGGTTTCTTTGGAAAACTACAAGACTTACGAGCATGTTTGGGGCCCAGTATTACCTGGCCAATGCCTGAGCAGTTCCAACTATCCCCTAAAAAAAAGGCATTTCCTGAATTCAGAAATACTACCACGACTTCTACTATCAGTTAACATTGATGGAATTACTGTAGTGTGCCAGGGACTGTTCCAAACTCTCCCACTTCTTATCACATTTAGTCCTGTGTGGAATTCTGTCTATTTTACAAACAGGAAGCCTGCGGCTTATCCAGGTGGGGACACCTGCCCAGGCTTCCACAGATAGCACATGGCAGAGCCTAGAATCAATCTCACTGCCTGATGCTGCCTGACTCCCAAGCTACACAACTCAAAGAGTCAAACCAGAGCAGGCCTCCTTGGCAGCGAGTATAGGGGTGGGGTAGAAAAGAGGAAGCTGAGATCCAGGAGCTCCCTACAAGGGCTTTGGGTCAGGTGCACAGGTCATGAAGGGTTCCTCCTTGATTCTGTTTCAAGGATCACCTTCTGAGTCTTCAAAGAACTTACTGTGGTCATGTTTCCTTCTCTTGCAAGCTCATGCACGGTTAGAATTTGGCAGGCATCAATATTGCTCTCATCTTTTTCTAGGATTCTGAAGGAAGAAGAGGAGGCACATGAATTGAGAGTATTGATAGGCAAAGCTGGGATGGTGTGTTGGCGACTTCTGATTGTCTTTGAATATCCATTCTCCCCTCTTCTTTTAATAATAGAACTCCCAAATTAGCCAGGCACAAGCTGCTCAGAATAAAGACATTTCCCAGCCTCTCTTTGCAGCTTACATTTGGCCATGTGACAAAGGTCTGACCTACAGGATAGAAGTACAAATGAGGGGTGTGCTGTCCAGTTGTGCCCTACCAGCATGCCTTCCCTTTCCCCCCTTTCCTCCTGCCTACTGTATGGAATGTGGACCATGTGAGCATTATCCTAGGAATAGCAGAGCAACAAGACAGAGGGGCCTGGGACTCCCCAGAGTTAAGCTGTCATCCCAGCCCTGAGCCACCACCAACTTTGCCTGGAGGAGGAATAACCTTTTATGTTATTTAAGTTGTGTATCTGAGGGTATCTTTGCCACAGAAACTTATTCATAACCCAACTAACCAGACATGACCATGGTGCCAGAGACTGGAGGTGGCCAGAAAGGCACTTGGGGGGCAGTCACTGTAAGATGGAAAAGGAACCTGGGTTTCAATTTTGTACTATTGTGAAGCTATAGCTTCTGACCATACTATGAGGTTTTCAATATTCTATTTCTTTATAGAAAGATTCTTTCCCATTTTTCAGCCTATCAGGGAATGACTTTCTGCTTAATAGCAGGTTAGTCTAATTCACATACTAAATTCCGACATGATTAGACACAATCAGCATTGAAAAAGTTCTAACCATTTCTGATACTTCTGAAAGCACTGTAAACCTCATACATGTGAGAATTAACAAAAACTGCAACATACTTTGAAATAACTTATAGACCAAAGAAGAATCAAACAGATATTAGAAAATTCTTGGAGCCAAATGATATGGAAAAATATTACATATCCAAATGTGTAGACTGTGCAAAAATGGTACCTCAAGGGACACGCACAGACTTCAATGCTTATATTCCAAAGTAAAATTGAGAATGGTTGAGACAGGCATCCAACTCAAGAGTCAGAAAACAGGCCAGACACGGTAGCTTACACCTGTAATCCTAGCATTTTGGGATGCTGAGGTGGGAGGATTGCTTAAGGCCAGGAGTTCAAGACCAGCCTGGCAACACAGTGAGATCCCATCTCTACCAATTAAAAATTAAAAAATAAAACTAAAAACTAAAATTTTTAAAAAGTTAGAATACAATAGCAAAATACCTTGGAAGAAAGCAGTTGGTAGGAAATAAAAAAGTTAAGAACAGAAATTAGGCTGAGTATGGTGGCTCATACCCATAACTCCAGCACTTTTGGAAGCCGAGGCAAGAATATCATTTGAGCCCAGGAGTTTGACACCTGCTTGGGCAACATAAAAACAAAAAATAGCTTATAAAAAAAATAGCTGGGTATGGTGGTGCTTGCTTGTAGTCCTAGCTTCTCAAGAGGCTGAGTTGGGAGGATCACTTGAGCCCAGGGGTTCGAGGCTGCAGTGAACTATGATTATGCCACTTCACTCCAGCCTAGGCAACAAAGCAAGACATTCCCCCCCAAAAAAAGGGGGGGGCAGAAATTAATAAATTAGAATACACAAAGAATATGATATAGAATTTATAATACAAAATTTCTATTTTATTAGAATATAATAGAAAGGAGCTACAAAACTCAAAGCTGTTTCTTTAAAAAGACTAATAAGAGAGGCAAACTTTTAATATTAATGAAGAAAAATAAGAAAGAAAAAATATATTAGGGGTGAAAACAGAAACACATCTTTACAGAGCAGAGTTTTAAAAATCAGTGAGGGAATTCTATGAATCCCACTAACTGGGAAAGCTTCCATGAGGGAACACGCTGGGGCACTGGATTCAATCTGTTGGCCCCACACACTGTCTCCCTGCACATGGGCACAGCAGGGCCAGGGCCAGGGAGGCCACAAACATCCACATATGGCTTCAGCCAGGTGCTTCCAGGTGAGTTGCTGGCCTGAGGCCTAGCCTCCAAAGCAAGCTCCTACCAAGGCCAGGTTTACACTGCGAGAGAGGGAAGCTGAGGTCCACACAGGCATTACATGTGTGGCGCTGGGCAGGGTAGAGATAAGTTTGATTTGCTACCAGCACCTCTCTATAAGATTCAAGTTCCAGTCATCAGCAGAGGAATTAGGATTCTTCTCCAGGGAAGGAAGAGGTTTGATTATATGCTTTTTTTTTTAGACCTGTGCTATATATTTCCCTATAATTCAGTTACAAGTCATAGTGATAACTCATGGGCCATTAACTCCTTATGGGAAAAAAGTGAAGATGACACATTTTAGAATGATTGCGATAAAAATAAAGTGTTAGAGTTTATTTTTATTTTGTTTTATTTATTTATTTTTTTCGAGACAGGGTCTCATTCTGTCACCCAGGCTGGAGCACAGTGACACAATCACAGCTCACTGCAGCTTCAACCTTCCTGGGCTCAAGTGATTCTCCTGCCTCAGCCTCCCTAGTAGCTGGGACTTCAGGTGCACACCACCATGCCCAGTTGATTTTATTTTTTAATTTTCTGTAGAGACAAGGTCTCACTATGTTGCCGAGGCTGGTCTTGAACTTCTGGGCTCAAGCAATCCTCCTGCCTCGGCCTCCCAAAGTGTTGGGATTACAGGCATGAGCCACTGTGCCCATTAGAGTTTAAAGAGATAATTTTTTTTTTTTTTGGTTCCCCAAAAGCCTTGCATCAAACACCCTCCCCAAAGCGGCTGTCATTTCTCTTCACAATGCTTCCAGATCACTCTACACTTGGAGTCTGGTTTCTACATGCCCAATAACTCCTGAAATCTGCTCTCTGGTTTATGTACCCAGCCTGCTGCTAAAACACTTCTCTCAAAGTCACCAGTGACTTTTTTCCCCTAAAGTTTTTATTAAGGTATACTATACTTAATAGTTTTAAAAAAACCTTAATAATGCAATATATTCTAGTCTCATTCTCCTGCCAGTCTTCATAGCAACTGCTTTCTACCCTGTAACTCTTGCTTTAGTTCTTTTGATGGGTCCTTCCCTGTCTCTTCTAAACAATAAGCCTTTACCCTCTGTTTCTTGATTTAGCCATCATAGGCCACAGCTCCTAGCCTCATGTTATCATGTGTATTTCATTTGCTTGCACCCATCCCTGCTCTCTTCCTCATCCCAATTTGGCCATAGCACAATTCCCAGTTCCTCTATGGGCGATATTTACCTTTCTGTCTTGTTCTCCTGCCTCCCCAGCTTATAAGATGGTAAATACCTGTTACCACCCTTGGCTGCCCATTTGTGCAGTAGCTCACCTGTGTCCCATTTCTACTGTCTGCTCCCAGTCCTGCCGAGCTAAGAACAGCTGCATCTTCAGGACGAGGGCTGGCAGGAAGCTCCCTGAAGTCACAGTGATCTGGTTCACCACCTCCAGGGCCTCTGAGTAGTTCTGCTGCATCATGAAGTACATTGCCTGTTGGGAGCCAGACAGAAGAGCCTCCGTGAAGGGAGTGCCCATGAAGGGAGTTTGCTGGAGGGGGGTTGTCTCTGTGTCTCCATGAAAACAGGAACAGAACCTGACACATGGGCACCGTGGGTCCTCTCAGCTGGGCCAGTAGCCCCTCAAAGTTCCCGGGAGAAGGAGTGACATATCCAGGTTTACAACAGTCTTGGGTTCTCGGACAGGATGAGCAGGGGCTTTGGGGAGATAGCTAAGCCTCAAGCTTGGAAAACTTAGCAGGCCTGGGATAGGGTAAGGCCATGTGAGGTCACCCTGAAGGGGAGAGGTGAGGTCACTGGGTGCTTTCCAGTTCCATACATTTTCCATTCATTTCCCATTCACTTTTCCATATTTCCTCACTGAAATTGCTCGCCAAGGCCCAGTTTAGCAATTCTGAGTCAGTTAGGGTTTTCTGGCAACTACTTCTATAGCAAGGTTGTGGCGTTTTTTTTGTTGTTGTTCTGTCAAGGCCTATTGGGCTGTGGTCATGGCCTCTGCAGGCCAACACCAGCCACCAGTTTCTCCTCAAAGGGTCATGACACAGGTGCCCTAAGGGCCAGGGGGCAATGCTTCTAAAAGACTTGAAATTGGACTCTGAAAGGACGGCTTCCCTTAGACCTACAGTAACCCCCATTAAGAGACTCGTCATTAAAAACAAGAGGATTATTCCGTATAATGAAGACTTACGCATAAATGTGTTCATTGAAGCACTTTAAGTGCATAACTGGAAACAATCCCAATATCCAAACAATAGGGGACTGGGTTGGTAAATTACATTATGCTCATACAGTAGAAGACTGGCTTTATATCCATGTTCAAACTGACATTTTGAATATTACACAAAGAAAATATTACATGAAGAAAAACAAACTAAATGACAATATGCCCTAGGGTGAAAACTACGTTATAGACCAACACTGTCTCCCACCCCACAGTGACTGCTGTGTGTGACCCACCCCCTACCATCAGGAGCAGGAGAGTTGGTGGCTGATGGCTCTCCATGGAGTCTCCCTCCAGGGATCACCCATGGTTGAAGGGAGCTGCTTTGTCCCAGGTCACACCTGTCCCTGGGGCAGCCCACCTCCAGTGTCAAGGCACTGATGGGGAGCTCACTGAAGGGGCATCCCGGCTCCAGAGTTCCCCAAAGAGTAGGCTGTGGCCTTTGCTGTGACTATTCACAGCCCGCCTTCTCTTTCCACAGGTGCTGGCCCCAAGGGTGCTCTGTGATAAGCTGGCTCACAATAATCTCCATTGCTTTCTGCCAGCCAGAAAACCAACCTAATACACACCCTGGACCCAAGTATAGAAAGAAGACTAGAAGACATTGCCCTAAAATACTAACATTTGTCTTGGAGCGGTAAGACTAAGCCTGCCATTTTAATTCATCTGTTGACTTTTTTTAGGCTTCTGTTTTCTTAAATAAGTATGTATTCTTTTATAATAAAAATATATGCAAACAGAAGAAAATACGAGGACATTTTTTCTCTCAAAGATTAATTCCATGAGGTTCACAAGAGAAAAAAGAAACTTAAGATCAGAAAACACAGAACATATAAAATATATACCTCCCTTCTCTTACGGCACACTAAATGAATTTAACAGGTAGAAAGAAGTGAAATGGGAAGGTCAAAATAAAAGAAGAAAGGGAGAAGGGCACTGAGTGAAACTAACACAGAGGCAGAGAGAAAGCCTGAGAGGGTCAAGGAAGGATAGACCTTAAGAAAGTGACCCTGAGAAGACCCCCATGCAAATGAGACAGAAACTCAGATCAAGCAGGAAGAAATCTGAGAAGTAGAGTGGACCTTGGACTGCTGTGTAACCCTGGATTGGTTGCTGAACCTCTCTGGGCCTCTGCTCTTTATCTACGAGATGAGGCATCTGGAGACTACGAGGGTTTGGCCTGGGGGTACCTGGTGGGTCTCTGGTTCCAGTGGCCTGGCCAGGAATACTTCCACCTCTCCCTTTTCCACTGCCCACCTTTCCCATCAGCCCCAGCACATCTTTGGTGTCCTGAATTCCTTGTTCCAGGTACTCAATGGCTTTCTTCGCAGTGTGGGGCTTGTCTGAGGTCAGGTCCACCCAGCCTCTGAGCACATAGGCCTGGGATGAGAACAAGATGAAAGATGAAGTCCTTGGTCCTGCACAGAATCAACTCAGCCTGCACATGATCCACACTTTGCCACCCAAAACCCTGAGGCCCTGCCAGGCACAGTCCCGTGCAGATCCCAGGGCAGCCAGCTCTCTCTCATGGCCAGGACTCCCATTGTTGCTTTGTCTGGAAATGCCCTGGACAGCGCCCCTCCCACTCCCAACCAAACCCCTTCACCTAATGTCCATTACCACTACTTACAACTCAGCCTCAGAGGCCCCTGCTTAGGAGGCCTCCCTCCCTGTACCCCTACAGCTCTCCATGACCCTTACTGAGGCACACTCACCTATCCTGTCATTGCCTGTTTACACTGGGGTCAGGAGCCAACATGGGGGCCTACGCAAGGCCACTCTTGATGTCTCCACTCCTTAGGCCAGCACGAGGCCTGGCCCTGCATAGGAAGCCAAGGAATGCCCTCTGAGTGGGTGAGCAGGAGCCGTTCTGAGCTCGTGGACCTCGCTGGTTCCATGTTAGCCTTCACCCAGCCTCTCCAGGCAGATGGGGAGGGCCAGGCCTGGGAAGCAGACTTGGAAGAGCCCTGCCCTAAAGCACCCCTCTTGATGGCCTAGATCAGTATTTCTCTATTATAGTTCTATTTCTCTTTTTCTATTATCTATCCTAAGGAGTCTCTTTAGATACTGTTTTCTAATCAATCCCTCCCCTTCCAAGAAATGTTAGTGCCTCAGATATACCGTATCTGTGTATTGTGTACTGTATATATATCTGTGTTTTATACATAAAGAGTAAGATTTTTTTCACCCTCTCCCCCAGGGACCATGTCTACACCCTTGAAAATTGGTATCAGCCCTGCTGAGAAGGCATGGCCTAGACTGAGGCTTCAAATTCCATATTAGTGCAGATATACAGTATATGGGCTGCACTGCATGAGCCACCATTCAGTTCCAGCAGAGCATTACAGGGAGGGAATGGCCCAGTGTGGCCAGCTCATCTGGGTCTTCAAAAGAACCAGTAAGTCTGGACCAGCCTGGGCAACATGGCAAGACCCAGTCTCTACAAAAAATGTAAAAACTAGCTGGGCATGCTGGCACACACCTATGGTCCCAGCTACTTGGGGGGCTGAGGTGGAAGGATTGCTTGTGCCTAGGAGGTTGAGGCTGCAGTGAGGTCTCAAAAAAAAATTTCTTAAGAATATGGTGCAAGCCATAGAAAATCTATCTAAAGATCAGACTCTGTGTACAAATGCCAATGTGTAACCTCTGCTAAGCCCAGAGACAACACGCGTGGGGCAACTGTGAGACCCGGTGTTTTGCCAGTGCCTGGGTGTGGCTCTCCCCCAGTTTCAGGGCCCTTTGTGGGAATGAGGGCCACCCTGCTATTATGTGTTTGGATGCTGCTTTCTTCGCCTGTTGTCCCCATGGTGTGGTAAGTACCTCTCTGAAGCCTCTAGAAATCTTCAGCATGCGGTCAATGTACTCTTTGGCCTTGTCATGGCGGCCTATGAGCCAGAGGAAAAGGCCAGCATAGTACAGTGCAGTCCCACTGACTGTCTTGCGTATTTCCTTCAGGCTGTACTCAAGCTCCTGAATTGCTTCTCGGTCTGTAAATCCAAGAGCGAAGGAAGAGGGAGAGTTAGGATGTGGAAGTCTGCCTGGTTCTGCATGGGCCACCGAGGGCCCAGGGAACTACCTCGGGGTCTCCCCCAGACACTGTGGATCTCCTTCAACATATGCAGCACACCGCATGCAGCCCAAGGCCTGGAAACCAGCAGTACCTGCCCTTGAGATGCTGCAGGGGCTGCCCTGGTGTGGACTCACGTGTGCTGTCTGAGATTACCTTCTCTTCTCTGTGCCCAGCAGTGTGCTGAGCAGGCAGGCCAAACCAAAATCCTTAGCCTCAGGCCCACAACTTATTGTGAGTAGGGAAATAGTAGTCTGTAGTCTCTCTTGGACCCTCTCCCTGACTCTAGAAATGTGGAGATTAGGGGTAGAATTATATATATTGGCTTGGTTTTTCTGACAAGATCTTGGCAAAGAAGAAGGGTGTTTCCCCAACTCTTGGGATCTGGAGCATGGGCCCCTCCCACTGTCATGGGCTCTGCCTGCTTCCACTCAGTTGGGCCCAGGCATGGAGTCTTCTCCCAGGCCTCCAGGGGGAGAGGAGCAGCAGCCACTTCTCACTGGTTAACAGCATCTGCACAGCCACCAGGGCACATACCTCCTTTGGCAGCCCTTGAGGGGCTGTGTTATCTCTGGGGCAGGGCTTTCCTTCCCCTGGTGGGTCAGGCCTGGTTGAGCATGGTGGCACTCACCAATGATTTCACATCTTTTGTGAGCATAAATGAGGGCCATGGTGGAGCACAGGGACACGTCTGGGTGATGCCTGATGCTTTCCAGGTCACTGATGGCATCCTGGATGTGCTCTGCAAAGACAGTCCACATAGTTATACTCTCAAGCTCCAGGACTAGAGGACATGAGACTCTGTAGCTGACCCAACAGCTCAGCACTACTACCTGCTGGACTAACTGGTCTGAAAGGTCCCCAGTGACCCAAGTTCCCTGAAGATTGGGGCTCTTTGAAAGAGTTGCTGGTAACATGGTCCAGGCTGTTAGGGGCTGGAAATCTTGGACTTGAAAGGTTCACCCTGTGAGTACTTGTGGGGATATGTGTGAGGCTGCAATTATTAGCTGCGTCAGTTCTGAAGAAGGACCTCAGGCAGGGCATTCTCAGCTACTGCTCAAGAGCCACTGATTACATTTATCCCTCCATGTCCTCAGACATTTGGCCATGGGCTATTCTGCCAGTCCTCAGCCTAGGACCACCTTCTGAATGTCAGCCCATCTGCACCTGCATGGGTCTCACTCCTCTCCCTGTACCTGTACCATACCCACCTGTCCTCACACCTACCTCTTCCCCCTCCTTTGCCTGCATTACCAGTTCTCAGCTTCCAGGCCTGGAATTACTTCAAGAATCATGCAGCTATCTCTCCAACCACTCATTTTACAGAGAGGGAACCCGAGGTGCAGAGCAGGGATAGTCAGCGCTCTGAGGTCTCAAAAGTCAACTAGATATGGATTACGTAGGCCTCTGTGGATTCCCGTGGGAATCCAGCCGCTGAGTGTGAAACTGTTTTTATGGGACCATAACTAGGATACAAGAAGGCATCCAGGTGGAGCCAGAGTGTTAGGGCCCAGCTAGTGCCTGGGGTCACAAGACCAACACTGCCAAGTCCTTACCTTCTTTGAGGACTCCATAGGCTTTAAAGAACTTCAACACAGGGTCATTGCTGAATTTTTCCAGGCCCACAGCTGCAGCCTGCTGCACATGGTGGAAGTACTTTTCCTGGCTATAGTAAATGATCCCAGCCTGTATGAAGGAAGACATAACTGCAATAGCCCAGTCCCTTCTCTGTCTCTGTTCTGTCCCAGATGGGATGAGACCTGCTCCCTTCCCTATCCCCTGCTCCTCCTCAGTTCTGCAAAGGGAAGAGAAAGAGGAAACATTCAGGCCTCATCCTGTCCTCTAACAGCCCTGGGAGCAGCTCCATGCAGTTTTCCCAGGAAAGAGTTTGGAGGTGTTTGTTTGGGGGATTACCAACAGATTCTGGTTCAACTATGATGGGGAATTCAACCAAGGCTTTGTCTTAGGAAGGGAATAAGGGGGGAAAAATGAGGACAAATAATAAGAAAAATTATACGAATTGTAGTTACAAGTTATTGTGGGCTTCATATCCACTATCCTGTGCATGGTCCTCTCAGTATCTTTCACAGCTAAGGAAGCTTAAGCCCATGGAAACTACAGCTTGACAAAGGGGCTGAGATTTTAAAGTTAAGTTTCACTTCCTCTAAGGTTTGTGGGTGCTAGGTTGGGAGCAGATGTGGTTGGACTGTAAACATCCTCATGGGCCATATGAAAGAGCCCAGACACCATCCTAAGGGTAACAGAAAGCAGAATGGTTTTAAGGCGAGGGATGTTTTCAGATGTACATTTTTGCAACAACCACTCTGGCTGCTTTTGCATGTGGGGGGTGTGTGCCGTGGTGGCAGCAGGGACTACTGATGCTGAAAAGAGCCACAGCAGAGAAACCAGATGGGAGGGAGGCTGTTGCAGGCTCTCAGGGGGGAGAGATGGTGCTGGTTCTGGGCTAGAAGATAAAAAGATAAAAAGAAAACCCAGGAGACATCAAGGAGCTGGCATTTCTTGTAGACAGGATTAGAAGATGAGTATAGGGAAGAGGTATGAGTTAAGGCTAGGAGATTAAATGGTGAAGCCATCAACTGGGGTGGGAGGCGCAGGCGAGAGTGAGCTGGGTGGAAGAAGGGATGATGACAAGAAGGGATAATGATAGTGATTGGATGAGCTGGTTTGGGGTAGCTCAAGAAACGGGGATGCTAATTTGGGGCTCAGGGTGCGCAGAAGCCACCGGAGAAGACGCCCTTGCCAGGGGGAGTGGGGCAAGAAAAGGCAGGACCGCCTGATATAACTGAGGACAGCGAAGGGTGGCAGGAGAGTAGCAGGGCAGACGGTCTCTGGGTCAGGGGCGGGGAGTCACGAGGGAGCCCTCGGACAGCGCCCGGGCCACGCACCATAAGGGAGGAGTCATTGCTGCTCATCTCGGGCCGCTCGCGGCTCCGAGTCCGGGTCTGGTGGGGCGGTGCAGAGCGGGATTCCCGAGGCAGGGTCGTGGGCACTCTATCGCGGCGGGCGGTTGAAGGCGTTACAGTCCTTGGAAACCGAGCTGCTAGCCGGTTGCTAGGAGCGTCCAGTGTCTGGAGTGGGAGGAACAAAACGCCTCACGTCACAAGGCGCAGGAATCGAGCGCCGAGAGAGCGAGTCGGTGCTACTGGCGTCGGGTCGGTCCGGGTAGGCGCAGCGGGACTGGACCTGGGTGCCGAGCGGAGCCGCTGCCATGGGCCTGGGCGTCAGCGCTGAGCAGCCCGCAGGCGGCGCCGAGGGCTTCCACCTCCACGGGGTGAGTTGCCGCCGCGGCGCCGGTGACCTTGGCGAGGCGCCCGCAACCCCGCGCCCGGGCGTCCGGTCGCCGGCTGGCTGGCGACTGCGGCGGGGTCCCGGCCCGAGTGTTTCCGCCTGGGTGGCGGGAGGTGCCCCCTGCCCGGTGGGAGCCTCCTGGGAGAGGCGGCCTCGCGGGACTCCCGGACCCTGGCTAGTCCGCGGCCGCGGTCGGGCCCAGCGCCCGCCCCAAGTGCCAGCAGTGCCGGAAGCGGAGCGTTTTCCTGGTCCGGCCGCCGGGAATGGCGCTCCTCCCGGGTGAAGAATGCACCACTACCAGTCGGGACGCACTCGTGCACTTAGCACACATTTACGCTCGCCTGCCGCGGGCCGCTCTCCGTGCTGGGCCTGGGAAGAGAGTCAGCCACGCCGAGGACAGTCCCGGGGGCCGGGGTTAACCGAGTGGACGCAGCTGCGGGGGAGCCCGTCGGCGCGCGTCCTGCCAGTCGTAGGGTCGTAAGGGCTTCCGAGGGTAGAGGACCGGTGCAAACCAGCCACGGGATAGTGGGGAGCGGGAGGGCCGGGAGAGTGCTGCAGAATCCTCGAGGAGAGCGTTTGCAGCTGGGGAGGGTCCCAGCCTTTAGATGCCGCTACATGGAGGTCTGGGCGAGCAGGCTTCCGGAGAGTGGAGACGGAGTGGGGTTCCTAGAACGGAGTGTGCTGTGAGGGTGAGGAGAGGGTCCCGCAGCCGGATGGAGATTTGTGCCTGCGGTGAGGGAAGGGCTATAATGTAGGTGAGAGGGGCTGGGGGTCTCTGACCCCGGAGCGCTGCGGGGAAGAGGCGTCCCTGCACCCCCCCTTTCCCTAGTGAAAGGCAGCTGGATGCAGAGATGAGTGGAGACAGGCAAGCTTGTCGGTTTGTGTGTTTTGAAGGTAGGGTCTGTTGCCAGCTAACCACATGAGAGGGCTAAAAGTTTCTTAACGTGAAAACCAGGCTGGCTTGGAGAACCCAGAGTTGACAGGATTTGTGCTTGGGAATGGGCTTTCTTATGGTGAGACACCAAACAGCAAGCGTGGACAGTGGAATGCATCCAGCCAGGAGCGTCTTCCAACAGGTTTGATTAAAGGCAAAGGAACTCAGGATATTGGCAAGAGGAGGGGTGGGGCGATGATGGGAGCTTCGAAGACGGGAGGGGCCTGCCTGATGGAGAGGGACAAATTGGAGAGGGACCAGGGATCAGAGGTTGTCAGTCACAAAAACAAAGTTTTGAGCTCCTACTCTGGCAGGCAGAATTCTAAGGCTCTAGAGATAAAGCAGTGAACAGAACAAACATGGTCCCTGTTCTGGAGCTGACATTTGGATGATGGTAGGGAAAGAAGGGAAATGAAAAAATACATGGTAGGTGGTAATTACCAGTGATAAAAATAAAGCAGGTTAAGGGGATACAGAATGGTGAGTGGGTGCTATTTTTGATAGAGTGGTCAGGAAGGGCCTCTTCTCAAGTCACATTCGAACAGATGCTTCTGAAGGAAGTAAAGAGTGGACAATACAGATATTTAGGGGAATAGTAGTATTCCAGGCAGAAGGACCAGCTTGTGCAGAGGCCCCGAGGTAGGTTGTGCTTGTGTGTTTGAGGAAATGCCAGGTGAGGCTGGTGTGCTTGGATGGTGTGGCCAGTGTGAGGAGGAGACCAGAGCAGACCGTGTAGGACCTTGCCTGTTGTCCTGAAGATTTAAGATTTTATTCTGAGATGTAAAACCATCAGGAGGTTTTAAATGGAGGAGTGACATGACCTACTTACCTTTAACAACACTGAAGAACAGCTGTGCTGCATTCTAGAAATATTGGCACCTCGCTGCGTGCCCAATACTTTGGAGAAGTCGCTGCCCTCAGCGAGCTTAGAGTAGTGGCAGATTCACCAGGAAACAGCTGTTAGGAGAGGGCAGTGGTTAGGGGGAGGGCTCTGGGTTGGATTTCCTGGGGTCAAATTACTGAATTATTGAGTACTTGGTCTCATTTGTCATTTGAGGTTATTAAAAAGGTTAAATGACACATAAAGCAGGTGAGGTGGTGCCATGCCCTGGCACTCAGCCAACCAGCCCTTAGTAAGTGTAAGTTGTGATCACTGTGAGTTCCATTAGGTTCCCTGATTGGGAAAAATAGGGTGGGAGCATGAGGAAAAGCAGCACTATAGGGCCTTGGGGCAGGCTGTGATGGGAGCCCCTGAGGGAGCTGGATGGCAGGCAGTGGTTTCTGCAGGGGGAGCCGTACAGTGGGCAGCAGCATAGATTATTTCAGCTGCGGAGCCATAGTGAGTAGTGATGAGGCCCCAGGTGAGAGAAGTGGAGTGTAGCCAAGCAGAGGACAAAGCCACAGGAGAGGGTGGTGGAGGTATTGGGTGGGTCAAGGAGGCCAGGCCTGGGGCCTGACCCTCTGGACCTCATTCATGATGGAGAGCAGCTGACATGCAATACTGGGGAGTGGGGAGGGAAGTAGGCAGGCACCTGACGTGGAGTGATTTGGAGGTGGCCCTGATTAGGGAGGGGCATTGTCCCCAAGCTATTCCTGAATAACTGTCCTGTCCTGTGGTTTTCGAAAGATCCCCTCACCTGAAGGGTTAGAGGGCAGGGCCCAGAGCTCCCCTGCAGCGGGGCCTGGGAGCAGCTTGCCTACTGGGCCAGGCCAACTAGGCCCAGATCTGATTTCTGGGCCGCACTCACTCCCTTTGGAAGCCATGGCAGCTTCTGGAGGTGATAAGGAGGGGCTCAGTTGGTGATGCTGCCAGAAGGGAATCCTAATTCCAGGGGCAAACTGGCCTTGATCTCAGCGGTTTGTTCTCAGCCTAGTCTTCATGAGCTCTCCTTCAGGTTGGGGAATCCAAACCTGGAGGGGCTGGTATGTAGCAGGAGCCACAGGGCCTTTCCCATGAGGAGGCAGCAAGAGCCTAGGTCCTGTGCCCTCTGGGCTGGGTCTGGCTGGTGTCTACGCCAACAGGTTATCAAATGCCCGCAGCCAAAGACCTGAGGGTGTGGGCCCATCTTCGGGTCTAGGGCCTTGGGACAAAGCCTGCATTGTTTAAGCCAGGCTCTGTATATGGGGCTTTTGGGATGGATTTCTGCCACAGCCTGCAAAGCCTGGTTGTTGTGCTTTTGGAGACAGCAGTGAGGTGGGGAGTTCAGGGAGGGGCAGGGAGCACCCTGGAAATGGGAATGCTTCCTGGAGGAGGTGTCCTGCACAGGCATGGAGGCTACACTATGAGGCTGGTAGGGCAGCTGAGCCACTGGGGGGCTCCTCAGTCCAGAGCCAGGCTGTGGGGATTGGCACTGCCCACTCACTGGGCTCCCTGGCTCAGGCCTAGTTCTACCCCTGGGGTCTGCTTCTCTGCCAGTGGCTTTCATTACCTGCTGGACTGAGCCTGGGTCTCCCACCCCAGAGGCTGGGGTGCAAGCTGGGACCTGGCTGCAAGCTGCTTTTCCCACTCCCTCTTTCTGGGTACAGCCCTGGGTGTATCCCTCCCGAGGCCTGCCCACTTCCACTGCACGTCAGGGCCCTCCCTTCTGGTCCAGTCTAAACCTTTCTGGTAAACCCTTTTGGCTTTCCGGCCAACCCTAGCCTAGCCCTCTAGAGCAGCATTCCCACAGGCCTGGGCCAGCCTGTCTCCATATTGCCTCCTGGGAGCCCCTAAGGATGTCCTGGGCTGTGAGCCATTTCTGAAAGCATCTGTGGATCATAATCAGGAAGGAGCCATTTTCCTAAGAGGAAAATTTGTGCCCAGGAAGGTAGCAAGAGGCCATGGAGTGAACCCTGAGAATGTCCGGAACAGTTCATGCCAGACATGTGTTCTGGCTGGCACACTGGGAGTGCTGATGGTTCCTGAAATGGGGGAGAGGGCTACTTGGAGAGTCCCAGGGTTGGCGCAGTGACTGTGGTCTTTGCTGTGGGATAGGTGCAGGAGAACTCCCCAGCCCAGCAGGCGGGCCTGGAGCCCTACTTTGACTTCATCATCACCATTGGGCACTCGAGGCTGGTGAGTTCCCCAACCTGCCTCTGCTTTGCTTGCTTATGTGTGTTTGTGTGTCTTCATCTGTCCCACAGGGGGCCCCAGTCTACCCTTCCCTCCCTTTTTTTCTAAAGGGAGTCCCAGCCCTGTCTCCCCTTCTTCCAGGGCTGTACTCAGAGCCTGACTGGGGCCCTGCCCAGTGCTCAGCTTCTGAGCTCTGTGGGGTGGACAGAGGACATATGGCCTCTTGGAGGTGGCAACAAGGCCCAAGGGGCCTGCCTCCTGGGGCATGAGGGATATGAGGGCCCTGGCCAAGGGGCAGCTCAGAGTGGGGCAGCACTGGAATGCTGTGGATCTGGGAGGCTTTTTGCTTGCTTTGTTTTTTCTGGCAGGCTGAGGAAGGTTTGGCAGTGCTTGGGGAAGGTGGGGGTCCCAGTGGCTGCAGGCTCAACCCTGGTCTGTGAACCTGGCCCATCCACTACCTTGGCCCATCCCCACAGTGACCCTGCTGAGGGCTGCTGCCCACTAAGGCCCTTGCCCCATCTCAGGCCCAGACTTGTCTGAGGGTCCTAGCCTGGGCATGAGGTGGCCTTGGAGTCAGCCCCATTGCCCCCACAGAACAAGGAGAATGACACCCTGAAGGCACTACTGAAAGCCAATGTGGAGAAGCCCGTGAAGCTGGAGGTGTTCAATATGAAGACCATGAGGGTGCGCGAGGTGGAGGTGGTGCCCAGCAACATGTGGGGCGGCCAGGGCCTACTGGGTGCCAGTGTGCGCTTCTGCAGCTTCCGCAGGGCCAGTGAGCAGGTGTGGCATGTGCTGGTGAGTGTGGGGTATGGCAGGGCAGGGTGTGTCGGAAGGATGAGTTTACTGGGGCAGGTCTGGGTGTGGGCGGGGTGTGAGGGGGTACATGCAGGAGTGGAGTGGGAGCCTTGGAGCAGTGGCCAGGGAAGACTGAGGGCAGGATGTGGTCTCATTCCAGTGTCCCAGAGAGGGCAGCTCATTACTACCTGAACAGTGTATCTTGCTTCCTGTTAGCCATGACTTTGGGTACTTTCTTACCTTCTATACCTAGGTTACTTAATTTGAAAGGTAGAAATATCATCTACTGGAATGGTGGTTGGACTGCTGGAATGCTGCTGCTTTTATTATTCTCTGTGTCTCTCCGTGTGTGTGTTGCATGACAACGTTTCAGTCAACCACGGACTGCATATACAATAGTGATCCCATAAGATTATAATACCATATTTTTACTGTACCTGTTCTATGCCTGAATGTTTAGACACACAGATACTTAATTGTGTTACAGTTGCCTACAGTACTCAGTATAGTAACATGCTGTGCAGGTTTGTAGCCTAGGAGCAACAGGCCATAGCATATACTCCAGGTGTCTAGTAGGCTATGTGTAGGTTAAGTTCTATGATGTTTGCACAACAATGAAGTCAACTAACAATGCATTTCTCAGAATATATCCCTGTCATTAAGCAATGTGACTGTAAATATACTGTTTTTTCTGGTATATTCTTATATGATTAATCGATATCTTAACCTCAGTGACCAAGCTGTCATAGATGTTAGTCTGTCCACAGACACACATGCACACCCAACACCTGTGCCCATTGATGGTATCTAAGTTCTTGAATGCTCAGTCCTGTAGCCTGGTGGAAGGAGGGTGCTCTGAACTAGAAGTTGGCTGATTTGTTTTCTAGCCACTTATTTTTCTCACTGACTTCTTGGGAGAGCCTGGCCAAGTTTCTCAACTTTCACAGCCTGCCTTAATCTGCCCATGAGGGAAAGGGGACTGATGATGCAAATTGCTTTGCATTTCCCAGGGAGACTGGGAGATTGGGAGTGGTGGAACTTTCCAAGGGAGAAGGGAATCCTTATTTGTACCCAGTTTTGCTCATTGCCCTCACCTCCAACCCCTAGGAGTCTTTAGCCACATGCCTGCAGCAGAAGCAGCAATGTAGTGGGTGCTCCTGTAGCCAAGGTGTGCTTTTCTTCTTTTCATATATTTATTTATTTTTCTCAGCAACCCTATCATTAGGTACTGTGTATCTTACTTTTAATTGTGGGGAAACTGAGGCTAGGAGAGGTTCAATAATGTGTTTATAGTCATATAGCTGGGCAGCTGGAGCCAGGGGTTGAGCCCGGGGTCAGATTCCAGAGCCTGGTGCTGAGCCTTATCATGGTACTGCCCTCTGCTGGACAGGCTGTAGACCTGGGGGAGATAGGGGAATGGAGGGGTGAAATGAGGGAGTATGGGCTTGAAGCCCTGCTTAGGGATAGAGGACAAGTGTCCCACTCACTACCTCAAGAGGCAGTTCCCCCTGCCCTTTCCCATCCCCCAACCCCACCTCTAGTAGCATGGCCAGTGGTTTGCGGTTCTTTCCCCAGGATGTGGAACCATCTTCACCTGCTGCCCTTGCCGGCCTGCGCCCCTACACAGACTATGTGGTTGGTTCGGACCAGATTCTCCAGGAGGTGAGGAACCCGCAATTTGCCCCTCCCCAGACCCTCTGGATGTGGTGTGAAGAGAAGGGTGCTGTCCATGAGAAGTGTCTGGTTTTGTTGAGGCTTTAGCCCTGGAAGCAGGCCTCAGGTGCTATGCGTTTCTCACAGTCCGAGGACTTCTTTACGCTCATCGAGTCTCATGAGGGGAAGCCCTTGAAGCTGATGGTGTATAACTCCAAGTCAGACTCCTGCCGGGAGGTGACTGTAACTCCCAACGCAGCCTGGGGTGGAGAGGGCAGGTACTTCGTGGGGTTGGAGGGCTGCAGGGCCAGGTGGGTGGGGCCTGACCATTGGGCATGGACCTCAGAGTTCTATGGTGGAGATGGAGGAGGGTTGGGCCCTGGGCCCAGGGATCCTGAGGCTGACCGGTATTTCAGAAGTACCCTTTTCAGCCCCCTTATTGCTGGTAGTAGGTGGGGATAGCAAAGGTAGGGAGGGCCGTGGGACAAGCCCCTGGATTGAATGTTTCTGGCCTTCGGCAGTCTGGGATGTGGCATTGGCTATGGGTATCTACACCGGATCCCAACTCAGCCCCCCAGCTACCACAAGAAGCCACCTGGCACCCCACCACCTTCTGCTCTACCACTTGGTGCCCCACCACCTGATGCTCTACCACCTGGACCCACCCCCGAGGACTCTCCTTCCCTGGAGACAGGTTCCAGGCAGAGTGACTACATGGAGGTATGTGGGGAGAATCTGCCAACTGGGAAGACAGAAAACTCTAGAGGCTGCCCTTGGGGAGCCATCAGCAACCCTCACCAGGGGCCTTTGTGATCTGAGAGGCCCATGTACTTCTGGGACCCAGTGGGAGCAGGCAGGCCATGCCTGGAGCAGTGAAACTCACTTTTGGCTTTCCTGCCCCTTGGGTCTAGAAGTGAGGGTGGAGGTGAAGCACCAGTTGTCATCTTCATTTCATGAGTGGGAAACTGAGGCTCAGAGATGGGTGCTTGCTGTGCCTGTGAGTTGTGGCAAAACTGGACAAAGGGCTAGGCCTTCAGAGCCACAGTTGGGATGGTTGTCTAGCCAAGTCTGCAGGGAAGTGCTGGCCCTGCCTTCACAGCTGATGAGTGGGTCCTCTGAGAGCACCTTTGGGCACTGGGCTGGTGCCTTGGGTCTAGGCCAGGGAGTATTCAAGGATGTTCTCCAGGTATGCCTGAATTCAAGGAAGCCCCTCTCTTCTAATGAGTCATTGATGGGGCAAAGGGAATGTGTTGGGGCCAGGTGGGCACCTGGGATTCCTTGTCTGAGTGCAAAGAGTGCTCCCTCTCAGTGCCAACACTGCAGGGAGGCCAGGCCAGGCCCCTCAGGCCTGACTTCCTATCACCAATAGAAGAAGGGGTGGTTTATTAAGGCCATTTCCTTCCTTTAGGCAGAGCAGTGTTCCTGGGACAAGTGGGGACTGGTGGTTAGGTTGGACTGCAAAATTCTTCACCTTGAGGCACTGTCCTGATTGTCCCCTACCCATTTCTTCTTCTTTCCTAGGCCCTGCTGCAGGCACCTGGCTCCTCCATGGAGGATCCCCTTCCTGGGCCTGGGAGTCCCAGCCACAGTGCTCCAGACCCTGATGGACTTCCCCATTTCATGGAGACTCCTCTTCAGCCCCCACCTCCAGTGCAGCGAGTTATGGACCCAGGTACTGGGCAGGCCCTGGAGAGGAGTGGGCCCCAGGCTTGGGGCTGGACTTTGGCAGCTATGTCAAAACTTTCCCCAGGCCTTGCTGACCCCTCATATCTCATGTATACCAAGATATTTAATAGTTGCATATCATCCAATCTAGTATACAGATGGGGAGTCTGTAGTCCAGAGAAGAGAGGTAGCCTCCTTCAGGTCACACAGCAAATTGGACACAGAGCAGAGTCTATGCCTACTGCCACTGTGCTATTCACATGATGACCAACTCCAGGCCCCTTTCTTTCCTCAGAAACAGGCAGTGTGGGAACCTCTTTGAGGTTGGGTGAGGGGTATCACCAGGGGCTGAGGAGATTACAGTCTCACAGGCTGGGCCAGATGCCCTAGGCAAGGTGAGCCCAGGGTGCTGCTTTCCAGCAGTCAGGGTTTCTTGCTGGCAAAGAACTGCACCACCCTCCCCTAGGCTTCCTGGACGTGTCGGGAATTTCTCTCTTGGACAACAGCAATGCCAGTGTGTGGCCCAGCCTGCCCTCTTCCACAGAACTGACCACCACAGCTGTCTCAACCTCAGGGCCAGAGGACATCTGCTCCAGCAGCAGTTCTCATGAGCGGGGTGGTGAGTGGCCATCACCTTCCGAAGTCCTCTGGGAAGGACCCCGGGTTGTTGGGAAGGCTGCCCTCAATTCCTCAGCTGGGCAGAAGTGGGCCATCGGGTTGATACAGCCACACCAAGGCATTTGTACACTCCATCTCCAATCCCCCATCAAACCTGGAGTGGCAATGGGGAGCGGTCGGTGGGGTTACTGGCCCTAACACCATGGCCCTAGGTTCTTGCAGACCTCCTCAGCCTGATCTTCTGTGTTGCAGGTGAGGCTACATGGTCTGGGTCAGAGTTTGAGGTCTCCTTCCTGGACAGCCCAGGTGCCCAAGCCCAGGCGGACCACCTGCCTCAGCTGACTCTTCCTGACAGTCTCACCTCTGCAGCCTCACCAGAAGATGGGCTGTCCGCCGAGCTGCTTGAAGCTCAGGCTGAGGAGGAACCAGCAAGCACAGAGGGCCTAGATACTGGGACGGAGGCTGAGGGGCTGGACAGCCAGGCCCAGATCTCTACCACAGAATAACACCCTGGGCTGTGACAAGGCCCATGATGACATTTCATGAGGCCCAGATGTGGGCAGGCAGCCCGGGCTGCACTATGCGGTCAGGATTCCTTGCTGCTTTGGTGGGACATGAGGCCTCAGTGGGTGGTGAGAGGGGGCCATGGGCCTTGTGGGAGGATATCTTTTGGCCGTGTACCCTCAGGTCCAGTGCTTGGTCCTGCTCTGGTCACTGGGGCTTCCCAGGAGGCAGCAGGGTCTGGTCATAATCCAGTGTGAAGATGAGGTGAGGAAGGAAGGGGTTGCTGTCCAGTGTTGGCCTGGTCGCTTTGATTCTTCCTGCACAGCTCAGCCCACCCCATCTGTACTGGAAGGGACCCTGGAGCCCTGGGACCACCCCCTTTCAAGTCCCAAACACTGAGTCCTCTGTCATGTGTCCTTGTCCCTAGGCTACAATGCTACACTTGGCTCAGGCTGATCACCATGCTAGTCACAGGAGGGAGAGAGAGGCAGTGTACTTGCCCCCATCTCCTGGAGGGAGGTGCGTTGGAAATTCTAGGCCCTTCAGCAGAGACCCATTTGTGCCCAGACCACAATATTTCTTCTTCCTCAGGGACTACATGCCACAGACCTGTATCCCCAGTGGCAACTCCTGTTAGCTCCCAAACTTAAACAGTGATCTCTTCTAAATATACAAGGCATCTACCCAGCCCCAATAGTGAATAAAAGTCACAAATTTAAGTTCAACACCCTAAGCAATTTCTCAAAGCCAGTCTACCTGACTAGGTCTATCCACGCACGGTTCCCAACCCCAAGGGGGAATTAGGGGATTAGATTAAGAGTAGGTAAAGACCCTTTTGTTCTTTCCTGTTGTAGGGGAGGAAGCTGTTCTCCCCACCCCAGGTGCCTTTGGAGGTTAAGGCTAGGTTAGGCCCTGCACTCCACCTGGGGACGGCCCCTCATCACCTGAAGTCCTCTGCTGTGTTGACTGGACCCTCAGTTCCCACACTGCTAATTACTATGAAAGCTGCTCTGGCCTCGTCTTCTAGCTTGTGCCTAGTTGAAAGTCTCACCTTTACAGGATCATTTGTAATGCTGGTGTACATGCAGGGAACTCACAAGCTGTGTCAGGTATGCAGGACAAGGAATGTCTGCTCTGGGGGGCACAGGCCAACTATATGGAGGGAGGGTCCCAAATTAGCAAACCCTTCATTTAAAGCAAACCCTTGTCAAGCCTACCAGAGCAGCTGATACGTGTGCATAACAGTGAGGCATTGTGTCCTGGATCGTCTGGGAGCCCAGTGTCAAGTCTGCTGGAATGCAGGAAGTAGAACAGAATCGCCACAGGACTGTTCTGGGGCCAGCTTCCCTTAACTCTGTAGCCTGGCAGTCTGACCCAAAGTTGCCCTCACCCAAAGGTTCTGGCTCTTCCCTCCCTCACTTTTACTTTCCCTTCCCCCATAAGTTGGAGGATAAAATGGGTATCAATGCTAATATTTCCAGGGAGAACATGAAACCAGAGGTTTCTTTCTTTCTCTGTAATCTGCTATGAAAGAAAATAACAAATGAAAATAAATGTGTACTACACTTTGAAATATTTTAACTAAAGCCTTTATTCTATACAACTGTGAAATACAGATTTTTACCCTTTTGGCATTGCAGACTGTCGAATTTTCTGGAAACTGTATTACGGTTTGACTGGAGGGGAAAGAAATACAATCATGCTGGGGGTCAGATCTATGACAGGAGGGGAATGCAGCCACCCAAGGCTTAGCACACAGGGCAAAATGACCCAGCAAAACCCATTTCTTTGCTCAAAGGCCCCTCGGGCAAACACAACTGAGGGCTGGTAAATAATTTTTTTTTTCTTTGCCATTAATTCACAACTATTGCTAAAAAATGTGCACCAAAAGCACACTGTTGTATCCAACAGATAGAAAGGACTTTTAAAAAAAAAGAAGCTGGTTGCTCTCTGAGGAAGGGAGAAAGACCATTTCAACTTATTAGAAATGTGGCCACGTCTTTGCTCACTTCTTCAAAGTGCAGGTGGCAATGGCCTGTCCAGTTTCCAAAAGAAGCTGACTAGCAGTGAGGGAACCCTGTCTCTGCAGTTGTGCGATCAGAGTATCTTAAATAGTAAGGTATGGCCTTAGGCCTATCAGCTGCCCCCAGCCGAACCTGTGAAGATGTAGAAAAGAAAAAACGTTCCCTGCCTCCCTCCCTAGTCCCTGCTATGGTGGAGGCAGGCCACACACAAGCTAGGGAGGCAACTGGACTGGAATCAACTGCCCTCTGAAGGCACTTGTGCTTCTGGCTTCATACAGGAGGCTTGTCTTACAGTTTTATGGGGGTGGACCACTGATTTACTCTGAATACAAATGACCTTGGGGAGAATCCAAAGTATTTTCTGCCAAAAGTTGAAGTGTTTATCCCCAATAAGTTACACTCTATACAAGATCCAAATGATTCTATGAAAGTGTTAGATTGTTAGAACAGTGAAAAGAAGATCTGGATACAGGTACAACAAAAACCTGCATATAAAACTTTGGAAAAACAAATATGTATACTTCCAGGATATGAATATCAAATTAACTCACTATGATCTCCCTTTATTCTGACACCATAAATTTTAGGTAACATTTGAATGAAACTGAAATTTCATCATGGTCTTAAATTTTGATGGTGTCATGCTGCTCATCCAGAGCAAGAACCTGTGGTCTCAGCTCGCTTTGTGTAAATAAAACTGGACACAGTGGAGGAAGGAGTGAAACTGCTGCACCTCCCTGGGGTTGCCACAAAGCCAGGACATCATGGGAGGTGCAGCATCGCTAGGCATGGGCTGCACAAACTCCGGCCCAACAGTCCAAGTGCTATGATCCAGCACCTGGAATTTCAACAGATCTTCCTACAAGAACACATCTGAGATGCAATATTAACAACAAGCCCAACATTAATCTTTTATTATGAAATGGGCTGGTTCTCAAATTGTGCAACAGCAAATTCCCATTAAAAATAACTGTCTTAAACGGTGAAAACAATTTGATTACTTTATATGACAAACTTGGAAAAAGCCTTCATATCTACTGCATGAATGGAATGTACTGTTTTAGAAAAGCTACAGAGTGTGTGGGCTTAAAGTTGAAACAGAGACAGTTGTGGCCCGACTGAGGTGTCTCTAACAAGTGTTAATGGGTAGATAAGGTCCTTTGAAACAAAAGGAGGAAGCAAAGTCTGCACTGGCCTGTTGTCAGTCTTCTGTACATCTTGAAAGACATAGTCTGCTTGGGGCTCTTCTGCTCTTGCACTCTGCTTCCCTGGGGACAGCTTAATCTACACATGGAGACTGGTTTCTATATTACATCTCGATTAGTCACTTCAATTGAAAGATAATCTCGGTCCATACCAATCAGCCGTTAGAAGTCTTGCTCCCGTTGGGGATCAGTGGGCTTCCTAGGACTACTCTTGGGGCCATAGAGGAAGGTCGTAAATGAATATCCAGGAGCATTAGCCCAGCCTTCACGTGGACTTCTGACGGTAATGGAGGGTGAGGTCTCCACCGCTCTTCCATATGAAGTGTTTCACTGTTCGAAGGTCCATATTTGGATCCAAAACCTGAATAGCCAAAATTAAATTTAAAAATTTCAAAGTCTCTAATATCTAAAACCTTATCATTAACTCAGGGACTCTCATCAGGTGATCCAGCTTGCTCACTCCTCCCCTATGCCTGGTATCCAATTCTTGCTGTCACGGCTTCCATGCATGCGGGAATGAAATTGAGCTTAGTGAGATGTACATCTTTTGTGACTATGCCAGAAACACCAGGCCATCTTTCAGCCATTCCTCTGAGGATACGTTTTGAGTGCATCTTGATTTAAAAAACAGTTCTGCCATTTCTCCGCACACCTTCACTCTAAATCATAAACATGGCACATGCTTTTTGCAAATCAAGAAGACCATGTGTCTTTTTTCTTGTCAGAAAAAAAAGCTACCAGCACATCCACATTTGTCTATGTATCCCTTCTCTGAAAATCTCCCCAGCAGTAAAGAGGAGCTTTAGGGTGGGCTTTAGGTAGGAGAGGCCCAGGGCTCCTTAGAGCCCCTCTAAAAGTAGAAGCCCCCCACCCAAAGGCATGTAACTCTTTATGAGCACCAGCACTGGAAAAATTGGGGCTGTAGTCCTCAAGTCCACTTACCTGGTCCTGGCACAAAAGTTCAATTTTCTCCTCTGCCAACACAGCAATATCTTCTTCTTTTTCCTGTTCTCCTGGTTTTTCATTATTAGAAGAGCTAGTGGTTTGAGACTCATTATCCAAGTTGATAATTTTTTCATAAACATGTTCCATAACTTTTCGGACTTGGAGCATGTCACTAGCAGAGAGTCTATCTCTGTAAAAAAGCAATGGCATATTGTGACATCAGGGAAATCACTAGATATTATTTATTCCATATTATTTTTCTTTGATGCAAACATTTTAAAGATGAAAAATAAACCAATAAATGTTTTTAGTCATTACCTTAATCCATTTTTAGAGCTGCGGAAAGATTTTCTACAGTGTCCTTCTAAGACACAGTTTATGTACAACTAAATGAGATTAATATGTGTTCTTAAAACTTGACATATACAGGCCAGGTGTGGTGGCTCACGCCTATAATCTCAGCACTTTGGGAGGCCAAGGCAGGTGGATCACTTCAGATCAGGAGTTCAAGACCAGCCTGGCTAACCAACATGGTGAAATCCCGTCTCTACTAAAATACAAAAAATTAGCTGGGCATGGTGGTGCACGCCTGTAATTCCAGCTACTCAGGATGCAGAGGCTGCAGTGAGCCAAGATACGCCACTGCACTCTAGCCTGGGCGACAGAGTGAGACTCCATCTCAGAAAAACAAACAAAAACATTTACATATACATACATAGTAGCCTTCTGGGTTTTATTCCCTTGAATACTTTCCCAGAACCTGGGCAAACTAAATAATTCTGGAAAGGCAGGCAGCTCCCAGTGCTTACCAGGGTCCGACACTCTTAGTGCTCAATTTTCCCTGGGCTCTCCTCCCCACTGCCATGCCTTCAGCTAGCACCTGTGAGCAGACAATGCCTGAGTCTAGACCTTGAGTCTCAACCTTCTCTTCTAAACCACAAACCCAACAGCTGGTTGGGTATCTTCAGTTGGATGTCCTACAGGCACCTCAAACTCTGTATGTCCCAAACTAGACTCATCAACACCCTACTTCTGTATCTCTGATAACAGTCAATAACTATTATACCAAAAAACTAAGGCCTACGCTCTGAAAATCATTTGAACTTCAGTTGTTAAATCTATCTGAACTGATGTCTAGGACTCACTTTAAAATAATTGTGTGTGTGTGTGTGTGTGTGTGTGTGTGTAGACAGAGATGGGTGGGAGGGCAGGTAGAGGTATAGGTGAAGCAAAATGTTTAGCAAGGTATTGATAATTACTGAAGCTATCTGATGGGACGATGGGGGCTCACTAGCTTCTTTCTATATAAGTTTGGAAATCTCTGTAATAAAAAGGTTTAAAAATTTTTTTTATTTTATTTGCTAGAATACATATTGTTCATAGTTTAGCATCCCATTACTACACTACTAAAATTCTTCTCTTGGGTCTCCCTGGACCATATCCCACATTGGCTCAAAAGTTTCTGGTGTTTAGTCACTGCACGCTCTATGGCTTGGCATTCAAATCCAACATCAACAAAACCTTTAACTGCTTTTCCAATTTACCTCCTAATATCCCCCTGCTGCCCCTCCATCCCATGCTGCAGGTGCATGGGTCCTCACGTTACTTTCCACTATCTTATGCATGCTCCCACTTCCACATCCCTGATCACACTGTGTCCTGGACTTGGAATATCTATCTTTTGAAGTTCTACCAATCATTACATGTCCAACTCAAATTCCACGTCCTTCAAGAAGCCTTACTGGGAAGCTCCAGCCAAAAGCTCATTTATTTCTCTCACTCTCATTATTCCTTAAGTATCCATAAAAACAACTATTATATACAGGTTGGGTCCTAAACTGTGAATTAAGGCAACAGACAAAATGTGTGTTTTATTTATCATTTTTTTCTTAGAGACAGGGTCTCTCTCTGTTGCCCAAGCTGGAGTGCAGTAGCATGATCTTTGCTCACTGCAGCCTCAAACTTCTGATGATCCTCCTGCCTTAGCCTCCTGGCTAGCTTGGACTACAAGCGTGTGCTCCCATGCCCAGCTAATTTTTTTACTTAAATCTTTTGTAGAGACAGGAGTCTCACTACGTTGCTCAGGCTGGTCTCAAACTCCTGGCCTCAATTAATCCTCCCACCTCACCCTCCCAAAGTGTTGGGATTATGGGCGTGAGCCACTGTACCTGGCCTTATTTATTTTTGAACACCTGTAATCGGCCAAAGTTGGTACCTGGTAAGTGGTTTAATTGTATAAACTTTGAATATTATAAAATCAGCCTTAGATCTGGTATTTGCTTCCTTTGCTATAAAAGCAATCATAAGGAAAAGGAATTCTCTCTAGTAGTTAATTAGATCAAGAAACCATATATTTACTTACTTTTTTAAGGTTTTTGCTCCTGAAGATGCATGAGGTTGGAGGTAGAAAGGAATTTTGTTGAATTTGGGCATATTTTTCTGAAACAGTAAAAGTTAAAAAGGTATAACAGTTTCTATTAGTTGATAAATGAAAATAATGTTAATAGGAAAACATGACTTGCAAGTAATAATTATCTTACAATTAAAAGTGACTTTCTATGAAATGTATAGTAAGCTATCAAATTACCTAAGTCAGCCTTCGAGAAAATTCATCAGAAAAATATATGTAACATTAGAGGTAATATGAAATTGTAGCATGGCTCTTCTTAGATAACAGTACAAGGTATTAAAGGGAAACAAACTTTAATTTTTTAAGCCATACAAACCAGAATCTCAATTCTACATTAAAATATTGGAGTTGATACCTAAAGGCCCAAACAAAAACTTAAGTGTCTTGAGAGAAACCCACAGCATTCACCTTTGAGCAAAGCCACACATTCTGTGCTGGTGAGGCCCATCATCCAACTGAAAAGGCCAATCAAAGTCCTCCCATTTTCTTTCCCTCTGACATCACAGTGAGGTCTGAGGTGTTAAGAAAGAGTGGAAACTTCAGCCAAGAACCCAGATGTCTACCATGAAGTAAACCACATTCTTAGATGAAGGATAAAATTACGTGGTCATCTTTTCTCAGGGTATTAATCCCCTCCAAGCCTTCATGTCACATCCTGTCTGGATGTCTCCTCTCAAGAATAAGCCACAGGGCTAAAGTCAGCAATGCGTCCCAGGTGAGTTTCACACTCAAAGAAATTAGTGGCTTATGGGGTGCTCAGGCATAGAGAAGACCATGGAATATCCATCAGGTGTCACATTGGCTTTAAGTCTTAGAGGTATATCCGGGACAGAAAATAAAGTTTCTGAAGGTTCTAAAGATTAAATTCCTTTTCATATGGCTTTAGAAAGATACAAAATAGACCAACAGTACATAAGAGAGTCTAGAAGCAGACCCATGTGTATACAGAAATTTAGTACATGATAAACATAGCATCCCAGATAAGTAGAAAAAGGACAGATTTTCAATAAATTGTGCTAGCACACTAGCTGTCCCTTTGGAAAAAGTCTAAATCCTACTTCACACCAAACAGAAGACTAAATTCTAATAGATTAGAGAGCTAGACATAATTATCATAAAAGAACTAGAAGAGAATATAGGAGAATATTTTTGTTACTTTGGAGTAGGAAATACCTAAACAAGACATGAAACTAAGAGCCATCAAGGATCAATTTGATTATATAAAAAGTAAAACTTTTCACCTGGCAAAAGGAACAAAGTGAAAATTTAATTGAGACACAGATAATAGTTAAAGGGTTAATATTCAATATAAACCACCACCCCACAAATCAGTAAGAAAAATGACCCAATAGAAAAATGGGTAAAGAATACAAACAGGTAATTCACAGAAGAAAAACAAATGGCCAATATGAAAAGATGCTTAACCTCACTATTAATTTGTTTTTAATCCACATAAAAATAATGAGATACTATTTGCCTATTTTTTAGCAAAGATTAGAAGTATCCAGTGTTGGTGCAGGTGTGGGGAAATGGGCACTCATACACTGTTGGTGAGAATGTAGACTACTACAGCCTTTGTGGAGGGCAATTTGGCAGTATCTATCAAAATTTAAAATGTGCATAACCTTGGATCCAGCAATTCCACTTCTAGGAATTTATCCTAAAAAGCACACAAAGATATATGTACAAGGATGTTCACTGCAGCACTATTTGTAATAGAAAACATTGGAAACAACCTAAATGTCCATTAATAGGGGACTGATTAAATAAATTATGGTACATTTATACAGTAGAATCTTACACAGTCATTAAAAAGGAATGATTCACATGTACAGACATGAAAAGATGTACAGACATGAAAAGATGTCCAGGATACATTTTTTTAGGTGAAAAAAAAGTTGCAGAACAGTATAAGAGATTTTGTGCAATATAAAATGAACTGTAGACACATCTATGTACACAAATAATATATGCTTGTATGCAAAGAAAAAAGTACTGAAGGCTATGCATTAATTTATTAATAGTTGTTACCTCTGGGAGGAAGGATAGGGAGTGAATGGGCAAGAATGAATGCTTGGGGAAGATGAGAGCTTCATTCATTTATTATTTTGTTGAATAAGCATATATTATTTTTATAATTAAAAACCAACAAAGCTAGATAGATAAATAATTATCAGTACTATTTCTGCAACTTTGGAACTGCAAGGAAGCAGATGGGGATTCCACTTGGGAGTCTAGCTTTTATTAAGGTTTAAAATTATAATGTCTAAAGCAGTTCTTAATTTCATGAGTTACAAAAAAATAAAAGAGCAAAGTGGGAGTGGAGGATACTTACATCCACAGTGATGTCAATTACCCATTGTGGCACTGTTTCATTAAGAAGCATAGACTCAGTCTCACCCCCGGAATCTCGGCAGAGCAGCCTAAACATAAACCATCAAGTAGTAAGTAACCCAACAAGCACAGATGTCAAAATCACTGTCAACAAATATTAGCGGGAGGAACCCTCATGGTTTTCATGTAGGATAACCCCCACTTGACAGCTGAGGAAATAAAAGTACAGCCTGGAAGAATGACTCACTCAGCTAAAAGGGAAAGCAGGCCCTAAAATCAGGCCCCCAGATTCCAAGGCCAGGCATACACTACAGCTGCTTCTTGGAGTCCTTGGGTGATGACAGGAAACCTGGGTGCAAGCAAAGCACCCAGTAAAGGTCCCCAGCTAGTGCCACAGTGCATGGCAGAGACTTTCACACACAGTGGAAGTCAGAATATTTCTGGTAACCACTCAGGAAACTATCAGAAAGATAGATAATCCTGCACTCAAGAATAAGACAAGCATGTCTTATTCTTTCTTTCTTCTGGCACCTATAGACTAGTAAGCTCTCCCCCGGCTCTACCAGGACCTTGCTAGCAACTTGGAGGTGAACCAGTCCAGCCCTTCCCTGAAGGGCCCCACACATAACTGTCTGGCACCCCAGGCAGTGTCAGTGTCAGCCTCAACAGTTCCCAGGAGCAGCCCAGCTCATCTTGGCTGGATCAGCCTAAGAAAAGTAATGTAATGTACTCTGAAGCTCTTCTGTGGGCAGGGAATTCTAGTGGTATCATCTGTTGCTTGGCCCTTGCAGTCACACGGGCAAAGTGAAGGAAAGTGAGAATTACCTACAGAAACCAATAGAGAAGCTGCTTCGAGGCAAAGTATTCTACCTCATTCGAACACTAGAGTTTCTCCTCCCAATTAGAATGTGGTCTAACAGCAGCAGACATTTCACTATCTCATGGACATGGGATGCTTCCAATCCCTGGCATCCCTAGAATTTAATAATAAACTATTTCTAATATCGAAATACTGAGTTTGAGTCGACACTTCTTAGCAAATGGGATACCTTCTCAGGCAGAACCTCTTGTCTTTCTTACCCATACCTGAACAGTGTGCGACCTCCAGCTTCACCAAAGATCACGGGTGTATGTGGGGGCACTTGAAAATATCCATTTCCCTTCTGCACTCGGTTCTCCTGCTCCCCATTTACTAGGAAAAGATGCAGGTGGTGTTAATATCAGAGTTAGTGCTAAAAATACAGATTCTAAACATTTTACTCCCACAAGCTTCAAACATTGCAAGATTAAATTCAAATGTCCTCTAAGTCCACCAGAGTTAGAAATAAAGGTTAAAAACAAGTTAAATTTCTGAAAATAAGAAACACAGCAACTTGTGGTCTATTTCATGGAAAAAATGACTGTATTTTAGAGGATTTTAATAAAAGAGATTAATGTTTGAGATTCAGAACAAAAACATAACCAGCTACTTCAGCCACAAGGAAGTCTAGGACAGCCTGTATATAAACGAAGATCTAGAGTTTTTTTGTTTTTGTTTTTTGTAGAACACCAAGCTCAGAAAAATTTCTTGAGGAAAAAAAAATTACATTTAATGGCAGCCATAACTAAAGACAGAAGCATTTGTGAAAAAATCCTCAAGGAGTCCACAATTTTGCTTTTATTGTTCTCTGCAGATTTCCTTTCCACTGTTGTTTTTTCTTTGAGACGGGGTCTCATTCTGTTGCCCAGGCTGGAGTGCAGTGGTGTGATCACAGATCATTGCGGCCTCAACCTCCCCTGGCTCAAGTGATCCTCCCACCTCAGCCTCCTGAGTAGCTGGAACTATAGGCACACACCACCACAACTGGCTAATTGTTTACATTTCTTGTAGGGACAGGATCTTGCTATATCGCCCAGCATGGTTTCAAACTCCTGGGTTCAAGGCTGCTGGGCAGGGCAGCCTAAACATAAGCCATCAAGTAGTAAATGACCCAACAAGCACAGACGTCAAAATCACTGTCAACAAATATTAGAGGCCTCCCAAAGCACTGGGATTACAGGTGTGAGCCATCACGCCTAGCTCCATTCTGCTTTCTTCATAAACTTTTGACCCAGCACAGGTGGGTGATACCAACTCAAGTGCCAATTCATTCATGACACTTTCCTCATCAAACTGGAAGCATCTGACCCCCTGAAATCCTATAGCATTTGTGGAACCTCTCTCCTAGCACCCTTCTATCTCAGAATGCTTTCCATAAGTAACTCTCTGCCATACCAGAACATCAGCTCCTGAAGGACAGGGACCATACCCATGTGTCTTTAGTACCCCCACCTGAAACTTGGTAAGGGCCCCTGAATAGTAGAGCTGCTCACCAAGCACCATCTGAACAACTCCAGAGTGTCCACTGAGTATGCTGCAGGTGCTGTGGTCTGAGCTCTGGATGAGGAAGTAGCCATGCCCTGCCCTACCTTTCCCATGCAGTCTGATGTTAAGGATGACGTGATTTCTGGTGATGTCTTCCTTATACTCCTCACCCAAAGCCTAGATCCAAAGGGTGCATGACTATACCACTGTTTTGATAACTTAATCCTTATTGCTTATTTGGGTGGCTGAGAGTATCCCATCTAACTGGAAATGATTTGCCCACAGCAACATAGCTGTTAAGCAGCAGAGCCCACCCCAGAACCTAGCTTTCTTGACCCTCTGTGGAAAGATTTTTCCATCAGTTTCTTTAGCTCAAAGTCCACTGTACAATTCTGACAGGGATCAAAGTGTGTCAGGTGATGTAAAAGAAAAGCCACCATGGGTGGGGCAACAGCACCCTCTCTCTGACAGGAACATCAGAAGACTGGTTTTCAAGGAAGCATGTCATCCTCATGTGAGAGATTTAAATTCCACATATCATTATGGGTGAATCTGACAGCCAGAACAAAGTCCCTGGCAGGAGGTACTCGCCATTGTTGCTCACTCCTGGTGGCCAGCAGAGAATCTTCAGCAGAGTAAGCCTCAGTCGATGGGACTCAATGATTCCTCAACCAGCTGTAGGTTACACATGAGGATGTGAAATTCTAAGTTCTTGTTTCCCCTTCCTTTGATCAAACTGAGCCAAATGCATATATTCAAAACATGTTCTCCTCTGCTGCTCAGGGAACGTTACTGCCACTGCCTATGGCACACACACGTTTCAGATGTCCTCAGTGACATTAATTCTTTACACATGCTTGAGCATATGCCCTGTCACTTCTGAGTTGGAATTTGAATTTTTTTTTGAAACAGAGTCAAAATCAGGTAGGCCATGAGACTAGGAAATACCAACATTTCAGCCCAACATGAAGAGTGACTATGCAATGACAAACCTGGCTTTCTGATGCAGCTAACTACCTAGCTTTGGAGGTTAATCCAAAAGATCAGAGGTACCTTGAAGAATATTTTGGAAATAAGTCTGTTAAGGTGCCTCATTTTAAGACAAAAGTCATCTGAATATAGAGTATTTTATTTATCTTGAGCAGTCTCACTAAAAGCCATATCATAAGGTGGTCTGCTCTTTTGGAATCTCAGTCTCAGTTAAGACTGGATGGATGTTCCTACTTTGAGATATGGAAGAGAGGACAATAAACTGAGTACACCACAAATATTTTAGCTAACGGTTTAAGTAAGTACCTTTTAGTAAGTACCTTTTAAGTAAGTACCTCTAACTTTTTATGCAACTATCTGAATATAAAAACTAACCATGGTTTACTTCATTTTCCTCTTCATCCATTGGATTCACATGTGTTCTAGGCCAATATTCCAGGAGTGCTTGGAGTAAAAGTCCTCCTAAATTCACTGCAAAAAAGTTAATTAAAAAGAGATAAAATGGAAAAGCGAGTTACTTGGCTTTAACCTAAAAATAGAATAAAAATTGTAAGTTTGTACATATTCTGATGTTACATTCTTAACCCAATGCGAATGATGTCTAAAATAAAGACTTTAGTCATTTTGCCAATTCTGCTAAAATTTTATCTTAGAATGTTTAAAGCAATGATGCTATGGAGCAAAGACATATTCTACTTGGTTGTTCAGATACAGCTATTATTTAAAAACAAACATGAGAATCAGATTTTTTTTTTTTTTGAGATAGAGTCTCGCTCTGTCACCCAGGCTGGAGCGCAGTGGTGCAATCTCGGCTCACTGCAAGCTCCGCCTCCCGGGTTCACGCCATTCTCCTGCCTCAGCCTCCCGAATAGCTGGGACTACAGGCACCCGCCACCACGCCCGGCTAATTTTTTGTATTTTTAGTAGAGACGGGGTTTCACCGTGTTAGCCAGGATGGTCTCGATCCCCTGACCTCGTGATCCACCCGCCTCGGCCTCCCAAAGTGCTGAGATTACAGGTGTGAGCCACTGCGCCTGGCCGAGAATCAGATTCTTTAAACGGCTATTTCCATATGAAATTACTAAAATGATTTGTATACATTAGGTATTTGTACATACCACATTTTTAGGACATAGTCAACAAAATATAGAGAACTTTTACAAAGATAAGTACTTAGCAAAAAACAGCTCATATTCATCTTCTCTTTAGAAGGGAGGAAAAAAATGAAGGACACTTAAACTCACATTTTGGATCTGACCCATCAGGGCTGCTGAAACCAGCATCTTTTGCAGAAACCCAGGCAGCAAAACAATCACTTTCATCCAAAGTAATAGTTAACATCTATCAAAAGAAAAAACTTAGTGGCATCCCATTTGAATATATTCTCCAAACAAGTCTCTAAACCTTCATTTATTTGTACTATTTGACTAAAGTGCTAAGTCATAAATTCAGGAACCAAAATGTGTTTTGTGTGATTCAATGCAACAACACAATTTAGTTTCCTGGGATACCAAAGGCATTTTGTAACTTTTAAATTTTTTTCTTTTTTAATATATTTTTAATTTTGTTTTTTTCTTTTTTATTCCATTTTGCATTTTAAGTTTTAACACAAATTTTTTTTTTCACACCTAAAAACACAGGACTCTGTAACTAATAATAATTATAAGCTATAATGAAAATCTTCAATTATCCCAAATCATACAAGTATCAATTGCTAACTTACCCCTGTTTTTAAGTCTACTGAGAACCAATTTGGCACATACACCATTTTAAATCTTTTCTTAATTTCATCTTCAAAATCCACTTTGCCCAGATCTTCAACTTTACATGCCTATACATCAAAAGAAAGTATAATGATCAATATTAAGTGGTGAATTCACTTGATTCTGACTTTGCTATTCAAAATTTTACATATTTTCACATGTGTCTAAGTGAAACAGTCTAAAATACATTTCAAAAAGAATGTGGTCCTTTTTTAAAATAACAATCTGCTGCTATAAAAAATTTAAATTAAAAAAGCACAAAATAGTATTTGGGAAGAAACTGTATTTAATTGTGCTGATATTGATATAATATACCACCTCATCTTAACAGCAACGTGGCTCTTTCGAGGGTCCCAGTTGTCGGCCATCTTCTCAAAGGGGGACTGCTTATTTTCCCACATCCCATTGTTCCTTGATGCTCCATGGAGACCATTACTCTACCATCTCCCATGTAAAAACTTATTTCTCTGAGGCCTATGTCATTTAGCAACAGTAAACGGTACACCTTTCCTTCACTGCCATCTAGCAACCTGCCACTCTCCCTCATTTACTGGAGACTTGAGCCCTGGGGTCACTGTCTTGCAGTCCATCTCAACTAAATCTCTCTTCTACCTCTGACCTTGCCACCTTCCCCATTATCCTCAGCACATGACTCTGATTCCTTTTTCTCAAAACAAAGAGAAGCCTTGACAGAATCCCCTTAACTTTCTCTATCATTCTCCCTGGTGCAAGGAAAACGGTGTCCCTTCTGACTGTGCTCCGGTCCCCCTCACCTCTTGCTTCTTGGGATGACCTTGTATTGTCATCTACCCATGAATGTCTCTACTGGCTTCTTCCCAGGAGCAATGAAATATGCTCAAATTTCTTACATCTGAAAAATACCCAAATATCCAAACAAAACCAAACAAAATCAAAAGCTTCCTTTGGCCCTCTGACTCCTACATCTTCTCTAGTTTCCGCCGCTTCCTGCCTACCCCTCCAATCAAATTTCTTCAAAGATTATCCAGTCAAATTTTCTGTTTCTTCACCTTCAAATCACTACTCAACTCACTCTACCTGGCTTTTGCCCTTAAGACTCTACCCAGAGGCCACCCTCTTTATTTAAATCCATGATGTTAGTCACATCTTAAATCAACTCACAGCAGGTTAATGCCACTAACCGCAAGCTTCTTCTTGAAACACTCAATTAGTTCTGGAGCTGCCACTGGCTCTTCATTTTCTTACTCCCCCGCAACTTTTTAAAATCATATACTATTGTGGCTTCCTCTTTTCCCAACATCCCTGAAAGACTGATGACTTAGTTTCTTCTCAGTCTACATATGTCCCTTGGAAACTCTGACATTTCCTATGACATCAAACTGTAACCCACAAGCTGATGACTGCTGAGCCTTTTTCTCCAGCCCAGTTCTTTAACTGTGCATGAGACTGTACAGCTGTCTGCCCACCAAACACCTCTATTCAGATATCCCACAGAAACTCAAATTCAACATCTTTCTCAGCATGTCCTTTTCTCCTGATAACCTGTTTTTCATCTTACATTCCCTACATCACTTCCATTCACCAAACTGGACAATCAAGAAATCTGGGACTCATTCTTGCTTTTTCCTTTCCTCATACTCCTTTCATTAAAGTATCACTCCTGTGGGCAGGCACGGTTGCTCATGCCTGTAATCTCAGCACTGTGGGAGGCCAAGACGGGCAGATCATGAGGCCAGGAGATCGAGACCATCCTGGCCAACAAGGAGAAACGCTGTCTCTACTAAAAATACAAAAATTAGCCCGATGTGGTGGTGCATGCCTGTAATCCCAGCTACTCGGGAGGCTGAGGCAGGAGAATCGCTTGAACCAGGGAGTCAGAGGTTGCAGTGAGCTGAGGTTGCGCCACTGCACTCCAGCCGGGGCAACAGAATGAGACTCCGTATCAAAAAAAAAAGAAAAAAAAAAGTATCACTCTTGTTCACAGGCCTAAATATTTTCCTAATCATTCGATTTTTTCCATCCCCCTTGTTCCCACCCTAGTCTAGACAAATATCACCTTTCACCTGTATTAGTGCAACAGCCTCCTATTATGTACCAGACACTGTGCTTCTCAACATCACCAATAATAGGCACCCCCGACATTTTAGGAATGAAGAAACCATTTTAGAGATGTTCCCTAGCATATTCCGTAGATCACTTGGCGAGTATTTGGCACAGCCAAGGTTAGAATGCAGCTCTGTCCAACTCCCAAGCCAATGTTCCTAAAAAACTCCTGACTGTCCCACACTGTTTAGCCACGTCTATTACACCAGATCATTTGATATCAAAACTTCAAGGTCTAGATATGGGAAGCTGCTAGGTACACAGAAATGCCAATCATGATGTATGCTGGCCCCATCTAAGTAGAAGTACCTCCCATTCAGACAGCAGGATTCTACTCAGGCCTCAGTTAACCAGACCAAGAGTGGGCAACAGACCCATATACAGAAAACAGATAGGTCAACTCTCAAAGAGGAGCTGGCCTGATCAGATTCTCTTGGGTATTCTGGAGACAATTAGGTCCTGGGCAGCATGAGGCGAAGTCCAGCCACAGGACAGAGTTAGGGACACATTTGTGGTAGAGTATCAAAGTGAAGAATCAATAATTTCTGCTGATGAGTTTCTTAGGGCTGTTCTGGATCCTGCCAGTCCCCAAGAGAACCCTCTCTGAAATCAATGTGTTTCTACCCCCACCCCCAACAGGCATCTCTCTATTGTAGAGAAAAACTAATCAGATTTTTGAAGCTTGCCGCAACTAAACTTTCTACTCAAAGAACTAAAGCCTCTCATTCTGAAGCAATGCTCACCAAACAACTGTTTCATAATGGACTTCCCACATAGATGTCCCACAGGGAGCAAAAATGGTAGTCAAGCCAAGGTTTCTGTTCAGTGACAGTCCCTTTTTCCTAGCAAGAAACTTGCCTGTCTTATTCTTTAGTTCATTAAGTGAATCTCTTTTCTTTATAACCAGGAGCTTAACCAAAATACCAGCTGTTTTCAATTCTTCCTTTATAATAAGCTCAACACCTGTCTCGTCCTTTATTTTTATTTATTTATTTAACCTTTCCTATGGTGCTCATGTCTCTTCCTTTAGATCTCCAATCATGACGTCTTCCAGCTTTCAGTTTCCCATTACATACACTAACAACTACTGCCCTCAACATGAGATTTTCCTGCTCTAAAATTATCTAAGGTTCTTCTAGGAGTACAAAAGAAAGGCCAACTTTGGGTCCTGCAGCTTAAGGCTCTTTGGGAAATGACCTAAATGTCATTTTTCAATCTTACACCCCTGTTACTTCCTTATATTTACTCTGGTCTCCAAATAAACAAAACTGCTCACCTTGCCCCAAATAAGCACATACCATCCTTTTCCTGTGCCTCTGCCATTCATTTCCTTTTCCTGAAATGCTCTTCCTTCTACTCCCATTATGCATCTACTGGAAACCTTTAAGTCCTTGTTCAAATGATTTCTCCACCACGAAGCTCTCCTGACTTCCCTCATCCATAAGCTATCCTGAAATCTGTTCCTTCTTTATCTATAAGGTTTTCCCATTCCACTTGTCCCTCCTACCAAAGGGGATCAAGGTAAAGACTTTTTCATCATTTATGACCCTCAAGCATGGTTCTTTGCACATGACAGTCATTCCATCTAGGAAATATCTGTTGAACAAATGAACAAGTATACCAACAACACTAAGAGAGAGACTTGTGAGAATGATAAAAGCAGACTAACTTTTTAATCTGCCTACAAATGCTTCACTGCTATTTGGAATGTGATTGAATAGCTTCATGCATTTCAACTGTCCCAGAAGGAGTTATTGTAACATGACCCAGAGTTGTAACTAATGCTCATAGTGATGTCTATAAATCCTAAGAAACAGCCAACCTTATTGTGTGCACTCCAGTGTGTCTCATCTAGGGTGATTTTACACCATTCTTCCTCCCTCCAAACATCTGGCAACATGTGGAGACACTTGTGGTTGCCACACCTAGGGGGAGGGAGGGGTATTACTGGCAACTACTGGGTGGAGGCTAGAGATGTTCTAAACATCCTACAATGCATGGAATAGCCCCCTACCTGCCCCCTCCTCCACCTCCAAATAATTATCTGGCTTAAGATGTCAATAGCTACAAGGATGAGACTTTTAAGGTAAGGCAGCATATAAGATTGTCTGCAATACACTAACCAGAGAAAATGATTCCATTTAAACAGTTTATTTACTTAAAAAGATGAATTATGATCTTATCTAATATTCATATAAGAAAGTATATACCACCCCATAAAGTATTACTGCAATTACATCTTAATTTATATTATCTTATCACATACAAAAAATAAAAAATAAAGGGGGTATACAATCTAACAACCTATATTTAGCCCAAAAAAAATACTCACCTTCAATACATCCCAATATGCCACATTATTATTGGTATCTTTGGTTAATATATGTCTCTTATCATTAAGAATGTGGCACTGAATAATACTAGCACCCCCTAATGGGAAAAAAAAACACAATTGGTAAAACAATCTTTCTACATTTAAATTCATGGTGTGGTAACAATTGTTAACTGGTATCTAACAGGAACATAAACTGTACTAGCTACTAGAAAGGAAAAGGCAAACCTAAAGACTATATAATTATATCTAAAGCAATTCAAGTCCCATAAATTATTTATGTCCATTTATAAACATTCAAAGAAAAACTATCTGATTTTAATAATACATTATGGATTAAAGGGCTCTTCATGTCAAGGGGGTACTAGTGGAAAATTGTTGAGGGACAACAGCTTTATCCACTGGGAAAAGTCAAAATGATGACAGGAAGTCTCTGTATTAGTCTCATTTTGCATTAACTTTGGTTTCCCATCTTTTGCTTCCTGAATGAATATTCTAAAGGTTTAACAGCATGAACAAATGAATGTGCCATACAAAATTCTAATCCCAAACTCTGACATTAAACATATACTGCTTTTTTGCCATAATCAGCAGCAGCATGTAGAATTTGAGGATCATATCTGTCCTTTTCTGCCTCATATCTAAGTACAATATTAAATCCTATGTATTTTATGAAGTGGTTACTGGCTTTATCATGGCTATTCTGATGTTAGGCAAATAAACTGACTCAAGAAAGTCCACTTTAAAAGTCATTAACAGCATTTTTTTTTTTTTTTTTTGAGACGGAGTCTCGCTCTGTCGCCCAGGCTGGAGTGCAGTGGCGGGATCTCGGCTCACTGCAAGCTCCGCCTCCCGGGTTCACGCCATTCTCCTGCCTCAGCCTCCCAAGTAGCTGGGACTACAGGTGCCCGCCACTACGCCCAGCTAATTTTTTGTATTTTTAGTAGAGACGGGGTTTCACCGTTTTAGCCGGGATGGTCTCGATCTCCTGACCTCGTGATCCGCCCGCCTTGGCCTCCCAAAGTGCTGGGATTACAGGCGAGCCACCGCGCCCGGCCCATTAACAGCATTTTTTAAAATAACTTTTTCTGGCTGGGCGTGGTGGCTCACGCCCGTAATCCCAGTACTTTGGGAGGCTGAGGCGGGCAGATCATTTGAGGTCAGGAGTTTGAGACCAGCCTGGCCAACAAGATGAAACCCCATCTCTACTAAAAATATAAAAAGTAGCTGGGCATGGTAGCTCACACCTGTAATTCCAGCTGCTCAGGAGGATGAGGCAAGATAATGGCTTGAACCCGGGAGGCAGGGGTTGCAGTGAGCCAAGATCCCGTCACTGCAGTCCAGCCTGGGTGACAGAGCAACACTCCATCTCAAAAAAACAAAACAAAACAAAAAGCAAAACAAACAAACAAAAAAAAACCTTTTCCTTATATTAAAAATAAACCAATGTATTATCTTTTGTTTACATCAGGATTATATTTAAAGAAAGGTCATTGTCTTGATTTTTGTCAATCTCTAAGTAACTATCGCTAACTTCAATAAGGGGTACAGTACCTTCCATTTTCTTACCTTTAATAACCTGGTCAGGTTGTGTACAAAGAGGTGTTATAGGATTTGTACAGTCATTGTCATAATCTCCAGAGGCTCTAAAATTATGAATTCCTTTCAAAGTCTAAAATTACAAAATTTGTTATTTGATCATGTTATGCTCTACAAGCTTTGCCAGCCTGTTTAAAGTGGCAAGAAAAATAAAGTCAAAAAACAAACAAGAAAACCTCAACAACCACTACATCAACCGAAAAATATTTGGTCACAGTACAATTATCTATCATCGTTTAGAAAGAAACAAATTTTAAGAAGGGAATATTGTCTTTGGGAGAGAAAACTATGCATGAAAGCAGGAGTGCTCTTCCAGGTAAAATTGTATTGGTCATAAGTTGGCATGATGAAATTAACACAAGATATACAACATTTAAAAAATAAGTATACAGAAAGAACACTTGACCTGCATGTCAACAGGAATAAATGCAAACACCTTCTCTTTTGTTACCTACAGATAGTCTGGTAAGCAAGAAAACTTAAGTCTTTTTAAATTAAGATTTAAGAATTAACGGTGCACTTTGGATGACTTCTGTTTATCCTCTATCTCTATCCCTGTTCTTCATGCTATGAGGAAAAAGAAAACTAATTTGAAAGCACAATTTTCTGCTTTCTCTTATGTTTAACCAAATTTGAATCCTGGTGAGTTTCCCTGCCTTGTTGGTACTTGGGCTACCTATCTTCAAATGTAGCTTCATGAGGTCAGAAGATGTACTAAGACTTACTGGTTTTACCAGGCAACAGTGTCTATTCTAAGGACATGGAACATGTATCTTGGCTCCAGACAAAGAAGTCAGAATAGTCATTTTGACTATTATCTTAATTTTAGTATGATCTTTAGGATTCTACCTACATTCACAGGGCTTTCAGGTTTTTGCCCCTGCCCAAAAGCATGCTAGAGTTAGGGCCACACTGAGCATTTGCAACTGGCGTCTACAGGTCTGTGATAACAAAATACATGTTTATAAACCTTTGCCAGGTTAATAGCTCACTTACCCATTTATTTACTGTAGACTTAGTTGTTGCAACCCAAATTGCAGGAGGAGGATCAGCTGATCTATCAAGCTCCATCTGAAAACAAAGCACAAAAATATTGCTTTGTGGAATGTCAACTCTTCTGAACTGCCAGGACTAGATATGTTATTAATATCAACTCCTTCATTCAACAATTGTGGTGACTATACCTGGGCATGTGTGAAAAACTAAGGATGCACAGAAAAATGAGAGAGTCTTTTTCTTTGCTAAATAAATTCATAGCCCTATAAAAGTGTAATGGGGTAATTTCTCACCTAAAACAGTGGCCAATAATTTTAAGTGTGGTCAATTTGAGGTACTTGAATGGATACAGTCAAAAGGATAAAGACTTTCCATAATTTTCTCTTCTTGTTACTCCAGTTTTTATGTTTCTATAGTAACAAGGAAATAAATTTCTTTTTACTTTGAAAATGTCTGAAGTAAAAAACATCCTAACAACATAGTAAAAGTGAAAATAACCCTCGCCTAAGGACGGGACACCTGGGAATAGCTTACTGTATATTCTTCTGTATGTAAAATACTGCACATATAAGAATATGTTTATGTGCATGTATATATTACACAAGCGGAATCACTCTACATTCATCCACTATTCTTCCCACATCAGGAAACCGCAGGTTTGCAGTGATGGGAACAGGGCAGGACTCCTAGCTAGCAGCAATCCTCCTCAGTTCAAGATGATATTCCTTATAACATATAATTATGTTTGTGCCAAGTTCTTTCAGTCTTTCCCCCACAGCCAACATCCCGGCAAGAGATCCAGGCAGCTGCAGAACTCATAATGCAGAGTGTTTCTCCTCCAAGTTTGTCTCCCCATCACATCAGCCTGCTGCCTGCACACATGTTGTATATGTATGATTATTAATTCAGCTCTGACTCCTTGCTTCTCTAAAGGATTACTGGTTCGGTCCATTAGGATATGCCATCTATTTTAAAGAACCGTACTTGGCCAGTTTTGTCTGAATTCTTAGACTGCAGACATCCTCCCAACCGTCGCATTTGACCTCCATTCCTCTTTTCAGCCCTTCCTCCTACACAACAGTCTGAGGTTTCAGATGTCACTTAGTTTCGTAGAGAATGGGTATCTGCAGTTCTGTTTCTCATTTTCCTTTTAGGTGATTTCTGAGAAAAGGGAGTAGTAGTATTTTTCTGCCTCCATTTTAAAACTTGGAAACTTCCGGCCACGTGTGGTGGCTCACGCCTGTAATACCAGCACTTTGGGAGGCCGAGGTGGGCAGATCACCAGGTCAGGAGATCGATACCATCCTGGCTAACACGGTGAAACCCCATCTCTACTAAAAAAACAAAAAAAAATTAGCTGGGCATGGTGGTGGGTGCCTATAGTCCCAGCTACTCCAGAGGCTGAGGCAGGAGAATGGCATTAACCTGGGAGGTGGAACTTGCAGTGAGCCGAGATCGCATCACTGCACTCCAGCCTGGGCAACAGAGCAAGACTCCGTCTCAAAAAAAAAAAAAAATTTTGGAAACTTCTTCACTGTTGTTTTAATGTGAAATTCTGTGACTATCGGTGAGGTTGAACATGTCGACTGGCCATTTTTCAGTACAGCCTTCACTTTCAGCAGGTGTCCATATGGATGGCTTCCAAAGACTTCCTCAAGAACCCTTTGACCCACATGGCAGATCCTGATGGTTAGGGCTGCTCTGAGGCAGTGGTGGTTTGGAGTATGAAGCAGCCTGCTCCCTCTTCTTTCAGGAGAGTACTCTTCCACTTCCTTACTCCTGAAACCATGGACACATTTCCTGACCTTCCTCTGCTTTGTTGTCTGCTCACAGATAACCTTAACTCCTCATATTTCTTTTCCTAAGGACTGCTCAGGAAAGCCAGGCAAGCTCAGGAGCAAGTATGAGACAATTTCACTACAATTCATCAGTGGGAGAGCCATGCATCACTGATGTACCAAGAAGTCACACTTTCTTCTATAGGCGACTTACAAAACTGTTAAAAAAAAAAAAAAAAAAAAAAGCAAAACACAAAAGTGCCCCAGAACTGACCCAGAGTATCTCATACTGACACTCTTCCCTCCAGACAGATGCCTACTCTTCCTTACCCTGTCAAGTTCTGCTCATGATGGAATATCTTTTTTACAAACCTTCCCCCTCCGAACCCTGCAGTTGAGTCATGTTTTAATATAGCTTTTGCTCTATTTGGCTAACACATGTAACAACCTTAATTATAAAACTAAAATATTAACATATGACATACCTTGAGAACTGGTGCTTTTTCTTCACAAATTAGCACCCGAATGTCAGGGTTTCTTAGGTCTGTACAATAAATCTTCCTGTCCCTTCCACCAGAATACACATGTGTGAAGGCATCATTGACTTGCAGCGCCCAAACACCTTCATCATGGACTCGGTATGTTGCTATACATCTCTGCTGGCCAAGGGACCAAAGGCGAATTGTCCCATCAGAACTGCCTGACAGGCACTGCAAACAAAGAAAGGCAAAGTTAGAACTTGCCACAAAGTTCCTGCTTTCTTGTGCTTTGCACTTGACTTCTCCCGAGTCCACACTGTCAAACACACGACTCTATTAACCTGTGTTTCTGCCTCTGATAAAGGCTTGACAACCATGCACCACAGGCTAAAGTGACCAAATTTATGTAATTTTGGGAAAATTCCTTATTCTTCCCAAATATGTAATTAGGGTAGTTTTGTTGATCAATTCACTAATCTGCAAGTAAAAGTTTCTTTTCTCCTCATCTCTTTTTCCTAAATAAGTAGTTACGGTTGTTCTGTTGATCAATTCACTCATGTAAATATGCTAGGTTGTTGGTGGTAATTTTACATTTAGTCTATAGTTGCCAATAAGGAAAATGGATAGAAGAGAAACTAGATGAATGACACCTATTCATTATGCTTAGAGATACTCCAGCAGGAGAAATCTCTGAGCAGAACTGCCTTTGTCCTCTCTACCTGGCCACTTGTTGATTTCTGGTCAATCCTGTAGACAAGCCCTACTCGCATTATCTACTACTAAGGGAGATAGAGTTTGAAAGCAGTGGAAATGAAGGTAGCTGTATGCACTAGGCCCATGGGTCTCAAAGTGTGGTCCCAGCAGCATCAGCGTCCCCTGGGAACTTGTTAAAATATAAATTATTGGGTCTCATTCAGAGCTAACAAGGCAGAAACTCTGTTGGAACCCAGCAACTGGTGCTTTAACAGGCTCTCCAGGTGATTCTGATGTTCACTATCTTTGACAAACACTGCACTAGGCCAGCAAGCCTTTTGAAGTCCTGGGTTACACCTCTGTCTCATGGCTCTGGATTCCTGATGAGGCCAGGTCTCTTGGATTCTACTGACGGGAATCAGAAACAAAATCTAGTCTCAGGCTTACCATTCACTCTTTGCGTTGGACACTTTCCATATGAGCCTCAAGTGAGTTAACACTGGCAATTCTGACAATTTCTGATGGCTCAAGAGAGTCAACTACATAGAAGCTGCTGACACACAAATTAGGGCTGAGCACACTGTGAGTGTGCTCAGGTGGAAAAAGACTGAATTAGACACCCTGCATCCACACAGCATGTTACTGTGGTGACTTGCAGAAGAGTATAAAAACTTGATTTCCTTAGGAAAAAGAATGGCCCGGAGGAAAAAGCAATTGCTGGTGCTGGAGTATGAAGTTAAGTAAGCAGAGCTTCAAAGAAGGAAAGACAGTTGTGGGCTTGGAGATTTGGAAGGTGCCCAAATACATGAGGCCTTCAGGAATAAAAATTTACTGGCCTGCCCCATGACTTTAAGGGCCCTTGAGAACTCTAAGCATGTTTAATTAAATGAACACATACTAGGAAACTCTCCCACAAGATGCCAGGAGCATCAGTAGTTTAATAACCTATTCCAGCTAGTTTACAAGGGAACCAAGAAACTAACCAATAAAGCAAACGTCAGGAGCAAAGTTAAAGCAAATCTGCAACATATGTGAGTGAGAAATGTGGCAATCTGATGGTGTAGGGGCCAAGGAGGGGCTCCCCATTCCAGGAAGAGGTGTTATTCTGAGGTGGCAAAGCTTTTAGTAAAGCTTTGATCCCTCAGATCCTAGACTATGCATCTACAGAGTAAGATTTGACAACTTAAAGAGGACAAGGAAAGTAAGATATGATGGTTAGAAGTCCTCGTGGCCTGGGGCAACTTGTAACAGGAAAGGATAAGTCCCAAACTAAGGGTGCACAGTTGGAAGCAGATAAGGAAACACAGTTTTATCAACCCTGATATAGAACGCCAAGTAATCTCTGATGGTAATCAGTATTCTAAGACTACGGAAAAGCAGATCCCCCAACAAAGCAACCACTTTAAAAGTATTATGTTGGCCAACTTCTTCGCAGCATTTGGTAGTATAATTAAAGAATGTCCTGTTTTATAGGAATTATAGTGCCTGAGATCTTGTAGGAGCTGGAGGAGTCATCAAAACATTTCCACTGCCTCCATCCTTCCACTAGAAAAACATAGATAAACATGAAGATGTTCATTATGAGGTAACTCCTGGGACTAGGACAGAATGTCCTTCAATGATTCTGCTAAATCAGATTTAGTGGAATAGTCTGTAGCCCTAATCAGGTGCTCTTTGTTTCTGCCAATGAAGATAGGAAGTACCAGTGTACTGAGGCCAAGTTGCTGCTGACCAACAGGAGTGTTCCCGGGATGGTCACTAACACACAATCTCAAGTGCCAACAGAGATCAGCCAAGTGGACGACATAAGCTGGGGCAATAAGTGGCCTGATGCTCTGAGACCCTCAGACCCATAAGCTAGGATCAGCAGACTTGTATTACCAAAAGAACCCTTTGAGTGACATACAAGGACATGACTGACTCAAATCAAGATGGCAGGTTGTCCCAGCTCCTCAAGCAATGAATTGCCTAAGTAAAAGGAATAAAAAGATAGGTGGCTCTGCCCAATAATGTTAGCACCAATCAAAGCAACTGCAATGCTGATCTCTTTACAGGCAGAACTCCCTTAGGGAGAACCTCAAATAAATTTGGTAAATAAGAATCTTATTCTACAACAAAAGAATCAGGCAACAGGTAGATATTCATGGGATTCATTGGCCTATAAGATATGTATCTTACTGCCAATTCCTGATTTACAAAGCCACCAGGTACCCTATATTACAAGCTCACAGGGCAATTTAGCAGGATGCAATATAAACTTTGGCCCAGTAACTGATAACCACCTCTTCCATATTACAAGAATTCAAGAATCTGTAAGTAGAAGTTTCTTTTTTCCTCACCTCATTTTTCCAAATAAGTAATTATAGTTTTTTGTTGGTCAATTCATTAATCAGTAAGAGTTTCTTTTTTTCTCATCTCTTTTTCCCAAATAAGCAGTTATTATAGTTTTTTGTTGATCAATTCACTAACGTAAATATGCTTGGTTGTTGGTGGTAATTTTACATTTAGTCCATAGTTGCCAATAAGGAAAATGGGTGGAAGAGAAACTAGATGAAGAGTGATACCTATCAAGTTTGCACTCTGAGACTAACAGGCAGTTTTTAAAGTAGAACCACAATATTTCCTCTGCTTACAATGACTGTAGCTGACTTCAGATGAAGTGCATTTCTAACTGTACACGTGATACTTAAATCATCTTTTATAGAAGCACATTCATAATTGCATAGATAGGAAACAAGAGATGGAGCAGACAGGTAGAGCTTTAGAAGGTCTGCCAGGCCCATAGCCCCCTTCTGGAAACCATGGAGATGATATGATCCCGCCCAATCCTGGCAAAGCTAACTGAAGAGACACGGGCAACCATCTCAAGTGCAGCCTTGCAGCTACACTGCAAAACAGTGAGGAGCTGACTGCACTGGGTAATTCTTACAGTCATGTGAAAATGAGGCCACAAAGGAACTTGAGAGCTCTAGGAAATGCCCTGGCTTACAGTTAAGAAAATACTTATTATTAACACATATATATACATATACACACACTCTCACCAACTATATAAACTATATATTATGATTCTCACTTTGCAGATAAGCAAATTAAGGACTAAAGTGAAATCCTATCCTGTATGTTTATTGCGGCACTATTCACAATAGCAAATACTTGGAACCAGCCCAAATATCCAACAATGATAGACTGGATTAAGAAAATGTGGCACATATACACCATGGAATACGATGCAGCCATAAAAAATGATGAGTTCATGTCCTTTGTAGGGACATGGATGAAATTGGAAATCATCATTCTCAGTAAACTATCGCAAGAACAAAAAACCAAACACCGCATATTCTCACTCATAGGTGGGAACTGAACAATAAGAACACATGGACACAGGAAGGGGAACATCACACTCTGGGGACTGTTGTGGGGGTGGGGGGATAGCATTGGGAGATATACCTAATGCTAGATGACAAGTTAGTGGGTGCAGCGCACCAGCATGGCACATGTACACATATGTAACTAACCTGCACATTGTGCACATGTACCCTAAAACTTAAAGTATTAAAAAAAAAAAAAAAAAAAGATCCTTCACATCTCCAAATACCTCCACAGGTATCTTTAAATCTTTCTTCTCCTGGTTCTGAAAAATGATTTCCTTCCTTAGACTAGTTTCCAAACCTTCTGTTCATTTCTGGAGGCGACGGCTTCTCTGATTGATGTCTAAAGCAATTTCTTAGACGTGAAATTTTAGCAATTTCATGTCTAAAGTCTTAACTTCCACAGGAAAAGAAACTGATGGTGTTTCTCACCTCATCATCTTTCTACCTGCCCTTTTCTAACCCTATCACAATCAATTCCAGTTATCTCTGACTTATCACTGCATTCTGGAAAAAAAATGGCTGAGTCAAGGGTACATGGTAGACATATGTCATACCCATAAAATGATGCTCAGTTTTTGTTTTTTATTATCTACATTGATGAAAAAGTATTTTCCATTGCTACAGAACAGAATTGTGATTTATAATTCACAAATTACGTGGCCAACAGAGCTAATGTATAACATTACCAAAATGTTTTTCTTTGAAATGTTCACTCTGAGCATTATGTTAGAAAACTAAATTTATCAACTATATCTACATAGTCAACTGACAAAATGTGCCCCTAAGTCAGACCCACTGTGAGCAAATTTTCCACTTAATACACTGGCAAAAAGCATTTGATATCAAAGCTTCCTTTTGCTTTACACAGGTAATGTTTTTAGTTATTTTAGCCCCTATGCACCATAAATGCATATACTCATCTGCATCAGAATTATTCTAAGGAAATTCTTTGTTTTGTTAAAAGTGATGCAAATAGAATAGTTTTTAAATGTAGCTTATATGTGCAATTTAGTATTTTAAAATTTTTTAATTAGACAATTTATAATAAGTGTGGCTTTCGGTTCAAATCAACCTATGCAATAGTATACAAAGTGCGGAAATTTCTAACAAGGTTATTAGGTAAACACCCAAATGAAACTGCATACTTGCGTGCCATCTCTGTTTAATAGCAATGCCTTCACATTATCCGTGTGCCCTTTAAGCTTCATTAGTTTTGCACATGTTCTTGGATCCCATACCCGTAACACCTGTGAATTTTAATAGAGTATTACACAAACTAAATATATCAGTATCAAATTTAAATAACAGACAACTCTCATAAGTCAAATGATAACCATTATATTCTGAGAAGGCAATACCACTTCTGCCAATGGACACTGTCTAAGCCTCCCAACCTCAGGGAATTAGGCCTTTCAAACATCAAAAATGCACAGCCTCTTTATCTTGTCACTATACACACAACAGTTATAGTTATACTCTTACTTATTCAAATAAAACCTTTTGTTTAGCACCCACTAGGCAAAACCACTGTCCATATATTTAATAATTACACAGATTAAATTATTTTGGTTTCTTTATTTTCTAATGTTCAAACCACCCTTTAAGCTCCCCCGATTGGGGCACAGTGGCTCTCATGCCTGTAATCTCAGCACTCTGGGAGGCCAAGGCAGGTGAATTGCTTGCACTAAGGAGTTGGAGGGACAACATGGCGAAACCCTGTCTCTATTAAAAATATACAAAAATTAGCCAGATGGGACAAGGAGTGGCCTGATGCACGTGATGGTGTGTGCCTGGGGTCCCAGCTACTCAGGAGATTGAGGTGGAAGGATCGCTACAGCCTCAGCAGTCAAGGCTGCAGTGAGCCAGGATCATGATGCCACTGCACCCCAACCTGGGTGACAGAGTGAGACCCAGTCTCTAAATAAATAAATATAAAGAAGCTAATCGTAAAATACCTGCTTAAAAAATAGGAGACAAGGTATGTGAAAAATAATTTTTTTTTTTAAATAAAGAAATAAGCTCCTCCTTACCTTTTCAGTGGACCCTGATACAATGATTGTTCCCAGTTGATTCATGGCCAGGCTATAAATGGAATCTTTGTTTCCACTTAAAGAAGAAGCTATTGAGGATAAACGGAGCTAAATGTTAACAAGATCATCAGCTGTTTAGTAACTAGTCAGCAAAAACTGCAAGTTTATTCAATTTAGAAAATCTTATCTTTATAAGTCCTCTACGGAAAAGAAATCTACCTATAATGGAGATAAATCTAAACAGTATTATTATCAAAATTTACATATTTTCTGGATTTGAATATATACAAATGCTCAATATCTGATAAACTGCAGTGCCATTGAAAAGCTATCCGCTTAAATGATATGTTTAAAGCTATTCATGTGCCATAAATATGAAAAAATGTTCAATTTCAGTATTTTTCAAACACAAATCAAACCAAAAACACTGTTTCATACACCAAGACAAAAAACAAGGTAATACTTGATTGTAAAAAGAAAACAGTACAATGGAACTCTCATATATTACTTATGTGAAGATAAATAGGTACAACCTTTCAGGAAGGAATTCAGACTATAGCAAAAATCATGTTCATACTCTCAGTATCACTGAAGTAAAAAAGATGTATATGAAACTGTCTATATAGTATGAACCCAATTTTACAAACATATTAAAAAGTTGAGTAAATGAGTTACTACATGTACTGTTTAGAAAAATGTCTACTTGTAGCAAGTACTCAATACAGGTTAGCCATTATTAGTATTATTTTTATTATTATGTATTAAAAAAAAGTGTGATATCCTCTCTAAACAACTCTAAGCAAGATGTAGCAGAATCTGTATCCACTAAGCCTGGGCCCTGACCTTGTGACAACCTGCTTTTTTTTTTTTGCTTTGTTCCCTCCCATTAGTGTCTCTTTGAGGCAGGCCTTACATCCAGACTTAAAACCTAATGATGTACCATGACAGCCCCAACAGGGACCAGCTAATGAATCAGAGATAATGTACAGGTGAAAAATCAAGAACAAGGGAAAAAGAATGTTGAGACCTTCACATATTTCCTGGAAAACAAGGCAAAACAACAATCAAGAGATTATAAACACAAGTCTCCCAACTTACCCTTCTTGGCACATACTAGGCTATATTAGTAAAACTGTATTGTCTATGTCAATGTGAACACTCCACAGAGTCGTTATAAAATGGACCTATAATGTAGGGATCCAGAGAATGCAGGCCCATGTCTTCAATGTAGACTTTCCAGGTCAGGCCTAGCCAAAAATGTGCTCCTAACAGTCCCTTCTGAAACCTGGCCTAGAGGACTCTACTAGGTTGGGCCAAGCATGAAGCTCAATTTCAAATCTAGACTTGTATGAGCCTGACTTGGTAGTCTGAGATCTCTTAGCTGATGAATCATCCATGCTGTGAACATCTCTGGATTGCCTCTAGAAGCACTCTACCGTTCTGGCTCTTCTGGAATTGGCTTGATTCCTCAGGGCTGCTCTAAAAGGCAGAAAATTTGATAAACTGGCACTGGAAACCTTTTCTTTCTTTCTCCTGGGTATTTTTCATCTTGGCTATTAACTCAAAAGCTCTTAACACTTTAAAAAGTCAGAAAACCGCCTACTTTGTCAGAAAATCGCCACCTCCTTCAATAATACCTGCTGAGTGTATGGATTTGGACCAGGGAATGCTGTGGGAGATACGAAGTAGTAAGACAGTCTCCTCTACCCTGCAGGGACTTACATTTTAGCTAGGGAGCTAAGACATGCACACGTACAAAAAATAACCAGGTTATACCTGGAGAAGTTACCATTTTTAGACTGCAGTGAGGAACTAGCTCTTTGTTGTTCAATCATACTCTTGGGGGCCAGAACGCTGTAGGTAGAAGCACTCTCAAAATATGAAACACTCTCTCGATGCAAACCTATCAAAAATGTTTTATAAACCATTCTTTATTTATGTTAACTTGGATCACTTTCAAAGAAGTTTCTTTTAAACACCTTACTTGTGACAGTGTTATTTGAGGCAGTCAATGCTGTTAGAGTATTCACATCCCAAAGGAATATTTGTCTGTCCAACCCAGCTGATGCTACTAGTTCTTTATCCTTGGCATATGCTAAGGCCTTTACGTAATCCTGTAATAGAACAGACATACTATGATCTATTCTGTAGATCAGTAATAAAATGAGCCACACAAAGTACTGAGATCCCAATATTACACTAAAGACACTGAGAACTGTATTGTTTTACCTTATGTGTCCTTAATGTTGACATGCAAAATCCCTTGTGTGCATTCCATACTTTTACTGTCGTGTCAGAAGAAGCAGATATTACTAGAAGAAGCAAAGAATTAACAAACTCCTTAGTAGTATGACTTAAAACTTTGAAAACTTATCTTACAACAATGTAACATTATTTCAAACTAACATATTCTCTCTCTTACACACACAAACATACCTAAAAGCTCTTTCTAGAACCTATTGTATATTGCCTCAATTTTTTAAAATCTCAAGACACATGTTCAAAGAAAAAAATATATTTTTAAAACAAGCAGTGCAAACATTTTTAATGTTCCAGTTGAAGGCTCAACTAATGTGATTGAGAAAAATTCCTGTAACTCGGACTGCAAAACCAAGGAATGGATCTCACCAAAATTAGAACAAAAAGAGGTATTAATAAGGCTAAAAGAAGAATACATATAGTACGAGTCTATATACAGTTCAAATGAAGGCAAAACTACCCTTTGGTGTTCAGAAGACAGAAGAGCAGTTACCTTGGGGCAAGAGGGAATAACTGAAAGGGTGGCAAAGGGTGGCACAAGAGGGCTTCTAGTAATATTGTTTCTTGATTTGGGTATTCACTTTCTAAAATTGTGTTGAACTGCAATCTCGAAGTGTGTGTACTTTTCTGTATGTATGTTTCAATAAAAAAGCTTATATAAAAAACAAAAAATATATCAGAAGCCCAATAATAATCCAAAGAAATACTTACATGTTTTCCCATTACAACAGAGTACAATGTCGTTTACCCAATCAGTATGGTGTTCCATAGATGCTATATATGGATCTTGCTGAAATTAAAAGAAAAATCCTAAGAGTTTATATGAGAGAATGAAATATATTACAAATGATAGATATGGTTAAATTCTTCAATTAATGTGACATACTGCTCTAGGCATTAAAACTAACACCTGAATTCTGAGTAGAATCTCACCAAATAGGTGATGCTTCCAGATAACAGATGTAAACAGTTTTGTTTCAGGACAGTTTTACTCTTACTGAAAGCTTAGGTTTCCAGGACAAATACTTCATTTTTTTTTTTTTTGCCTTGTTAAAGTGAAGGCAACAAGCTCTGGACTAGGCACTGTGTGTGACATAAAACCCTTTAAAAAGGGTTCACTAGAAAGGACATGACTTGTAGGAATCTGTAGGCTGTGGGGATTTGAATGAGTGGTGGTGAAGGCTCAACAGCAGACAGCAGGGGCAGCAATGAGTCTGATGAGTGCACTAAGGAGCCTGGTCTGAATGCAGAGGGAGATAAACACTTCTGCTTTCAGCTTCCTACTGTTGGGTTCACCCTCTGAATTAAATGTTTTCCTCATGGTACCTACAGGCCTTCAGAGATGAAAGGAAACCCAACGGCTGAGAAAGGACAACCTGTGTCACCATTTCAATTAGGTGATTCGAGATTCTACTTCTCTTACCTGGCTTAATAACCAGGAGAGGCCTTTTAAAGAACAGTATTTAGTTACATCCTACACCTAAAACAGGCAAGTTTGAGACACTTTATGGGCAAACAGAACAGCTCTGTACAAGTCTGTTTGACAAATAATGCTATTCAATCTTGTCATAAAAGGAAGACCAGAAAAAAGATGTTTGGGGCAAGACAGGCAGATTTCCAGATTCTTCAGGTTAGTTCTTTTGGGTGTTTTTCTTAATTTGTTTGAAATACTGTGAATGCTCAGAAAGGAGACATTCCAATTCAATTATAAGTACCAAAAAGCATTTCAAAGCCAAACATAGTTTTCTTACTTTTCATGCTTTTGACATTTGGCCACCACTGCATGGTCCATTGGCTAAAGAATTCAAAGCCTGCCAGACTGAAGTTATAGGCGCATAAAGTAGTGGTTCTTTTTCTGAACTGAATATCAGACTTGTAAAACTTGCTAAAAAGACACAAACTTTTAAAAATACAAGGTCTAGCACTAGGGTTTTCAAGTTGGGCTGGGTACTAATTCTCTGTCACTTCCTAGCCACATAACCATGGGTTTCTCTGAGCCCATTTTCTCATCTATGAAAATGGATCTGGCCAGGCGCGGTGGCTCACGCCTGTAATACCAGCACTTTGGGAGGCCAAGGCAGTTGGATTATCTGAGTCTAGAAGTTTGAGACCAGCCTGACCCACATGGTGAAACCCCGTCTCTACTAAAATTATAAAAATTAGCTGGATGTGGTGGCGTGTGCCTGTAGTCCCAGCTGCTGAGGAGGCTGAGGCAGGAAAATTGATTGAAGCCAGGAGTCAAGAGGTTGCAGTGAGCCAAGATCGCGCCACTGCACTCCAGCCTGGGTGACAGAGCGAGACTCCATCTCAAAAAAAAAAAAAGAAAAAAAAGAAAATGGATCCTAATAGGTACCTTGAGGGACACTGAAAATTAAAATCACATTGGATATGAAAATGCAAAGAGCGTATGGCACATAATTAGAAGATCAATAAATGCTCTTTTTTTCTTCCCTGATTCTTCTTTTCTCTGTCATTCACAATATAGGTGTTCCAACAAAATACTAAAAGGGCTCGTTACCATTTGCCTGGGGATTTATCTTTACACATATTTAAACCCTGTTCCCTGCTTAAGAAAGGGAAATCTTTGAAGGGGAGCATGTTGTCTTCATAGTTTTAACACCAATTTTATATTATCTTTATTTATTTATTTGAGACAAGGTCTCCCTCTGTTGCCCAAGCTGGAATGCAGTGGTGTGATCACGGCTCACTCAGCCTCAACCTCCCATACTCAATCAAGTGATCCTCCCACCTCAGCTCCCCGAGTAGCTGGGACTACAGGTGTGTGCCACCATGCCCAGCTAATTTTTAAGTTTTTTTTTTTGCAGAGACAGGGTATTGTCACATTGCCCAGGCTGGTCTCGAACTCCTGGACTCAAGGAATCCTTTCACTTTGGCCTCCGAAATTGTTGGGATTGCAGGTGTGGGCCACCATGCTCAGCCTAACCTTGTATTACCTAGTTAGGCCGTGTGGGGTTTGTGAGGATCCTAATTACTTTTAAGTGAGGAAAATAAAATATTTTTTCAAGATTAATTAGAAATGTAAAAGAATATTCAATCTTTTTTTAGTAAGGTTACCAAGAGGTTGTTGGGGAACATATTTAAAGCAAAAAAATTAATTGTTGAAAGTAATCCCCCTACTAGCCAAATCACTTTGTTCCTTTGTGGCAAAGAACTCTGTAAGGCAAACCTAGTTTAGGGAGTCCTTGTCTTAGCTGAAACACTTCTGAAACTTTCCTAGGGATGGTTTTTCTCAGAGGCTTACAGAATTCTGGTTGCGATGTCTTTATAGAGTGTACCAAATAACTCAGCATTCAGAGAGATTAAATCTGAAACTGTGAAAAGTGTCATATTAGACAGTAAAAGCCATTTGTCCAGAATTTGCTGGGTACAGATTTTAATCCCTGCATTACCTTGTGCTGATTGACACTCCATATTCTTATGATAGAGTCTCGACCGGCTGTGAAAAGTCTATTTAGTGCTGGATCCAGCTGCAGAGCATTGACTCCATTTCGGTTGTACTTCTCCACTTCATCTCGAATAACATAGGAAACCTGACAAATGTGTCAACATATGCTTTTTATAAAGTACAAGCCATGCAGTAATAAAATATAGTCTACTAGTGGCCAATCTGAAACAGAAAATCCCATGTTTTCCAATATGTACTTTTTCAACCCAATACAAATTTAAATTTTACTCCTTAAAGACTAAAGGGCTGAAGAGAAGGATGGTATCAATGATAGCCTAGTCCAACATGAGTAAGTTGCTAAACTACTATAACTGCTTCCTGACTGGACTCCTTTCCCAGTCTTTAGTCCATTTTTCACAAAGCAGCTAGAGTAATTATTTAAAAATCTATCTCAGCTCTGCTCAAAAACCTCCAGTTGCTGACTACTAGACTCATGATTGGATGTAAATTCCTTAACATGGTCTCAAGTACCCTGTTTGTCTTTCTGGCCACTCATCTCTGCTCCAGGTTCTGGTGCATTGTGCCTCCAGACCATCACACATGCTGGTCCTCTCTGTTTGGAAGCTCTTCCTCCGACCTGTCTGGCTAACTCTTGTTGCAGCCTTCAGGTTTCCATTTAAACAATACTTCCTTTAGAAGGCCTTCCCTGACTTGCCAAGCAAAATGAGGTTTTGAGCTCCTATCACATACTAAACTTTTTCTTCAGGGCATTTTCCCCTACTTTGTTACTGTTGGTGACCTCTGTCTGTTCCTTGTGAAAACAGGGGATCAACTGAAAACAATTACACCTAAGAAAAAGTCAATAAGCTGGCTGGCAGCCAGAAGTAAAACTTTCTAATGTAATGAAATAAACAGTTAAAAATTAACTCAAGATGGACTAAAGACTTAAATGTTAAGACTTAAAACCATAAAAACCCTAGAAGAAAACCTAGGCAATACAATTCAGGACACAGGCATGGGCAAAGACTTCATGACTAAAACACCAAAAGCAATGGCAACAAAAGCCAAAATTGACAAATGAGATCTAATTAAACTAAAGAGCTTATGCACAGCAAAAGAAACTATCATCAGAGTGAACAGGCAACCTACAGAATGGGAGAAAATTTTTGCAATCTACCCATCTGACAAAGGGCTAATATACAGAATCTACAAAGAACTTAAACAAATGTACAACAACAACAACAACAAAAACAACCCCATCAAAAAGTGGGCAAAGGATATGAACAGACACTTCTCAAAAGAAGACATTTCTGCAGCAGACACAAGAAAAAATGCTCATCATCACTGGCCATCAGAGAAATGCAAATCAAAACCACAATGAGATACCATCTCATGCCAGTTAGAGTGGCAGTCATTAAAAAGTCAGGAAACAACAGATGCTGGAGAGGATGTGGAGAAATAGGAATGCTTTTACACTGTTGGTGGGAGTGTAAAGTAGTTCAACCACTGTGGAAGACAGTGTGGCGATTCCTCAAGAATCTACAACTAGAAATACCATTTGACCCGGCCATCCCATTACTGAGTATATACCCAAAGGATTATAAATCATTCTACTATAAAGAAACATGCCCACGTATGTTTATTGCAGCACTATTCACAATAGCAAAGACTTGGAACCAACCCAAATGTCCATCAATGATAGACTGAATTAAGAAAATGTGGCACATATACACCATGGAATACTATGCAGCCATAAAAAAGGATGAGTTCATGTCCTTTGCAGGGACATGGATGAAGCCAGAAACCATCATTCTCAGCAAACTATCACAAGGACAGAAAACCAAACACCACATGTTCTCACTCGTAAGTGGGAGCTGAACAATGAGAACACATGGACACAGGGCAGGGAACATCACACACTGGGGCATGTTGGGGGGTAGGGGGCTGGGGGAGGGATAGCATTAGGAGAAATACCTAATGTAAATAACAAGTTGATGGGTGCAACAAACCAACATGGCACATGTATACTTATGTAACAAACCTGCACGTTGTGCACATGTACCCTAGAACTTGAAGTATAATAATTAAAAAAAATTATCTCAAGTACCTATAGTGATTCTATTAGGAACAATTATACCCTTTCTCCACATCTTAAACCAAAAACGAATTTTTCTATGAATTAAAGACTGAAATTTAATAACCATAAAAATAATTTTTGTTTTTATTTTTTGAGAGAATCTTGCTCTGTCACCCAGGCTGGAAAGCAGTGGCCCGATCTTGGCTTACTACATCCTCTACCTCCCAGGTTCAAGCAATTCTCGTGCCTCAGCCTCCTGAGTAGCTGGGATTACAGGCATATGCCACTGTGCCCAGCTGATTTTTGCATTTTTAGTAGAGATGGTGGTTTCACCATGTTGGCCAGGCTGGGTTTCAAGTGGTCCACCCGCCTCAGCCTCCCAAAGTGCTGGGATTACAGGCGTGAGCCACTGCACCTGGCCAGCATAAAAATAATTTTTAAAAGACAGGTGAATATTTACATAGTCCCTTGCCAGAGAAAACTCTTCCAACATGCCAAGAAAGATGGTAATCTTTACGAAGGAAAAGAGCAATGGTGATCTGGCCAAATACAAGTCAAAACCTTTTCTATGTACAAGAATGTTCACAGCATTGTGGCATTCACAATAATGTTACAAAAGTGGAAACAACCCAAATATCCATCAATGGACAAAACAAATAAAATGTGATGTGTGTGTGTGCATATATATATATATATATGCACACACACACACTGTACTGACACATGCTATAACGTGGATGAACCTTGAAAATGTGCTAAGTGAAAGAAGCCACATATTTTACAAAAGGCCACATATTTTATGACTCTATTTATATATAATGTCTAGGATAGACAAATCCACACAGAAAGTAGATTAGTAATTGCCAGGAGATTGAAGGAGGGAAAAATGAAAAACGGGGAGTAATTGCTAATGAACATAGAGTAATTAAACATTCTGGAGTTAGGTGACCAATAAACAACTTTCCGAATATACAAAAAAATCACTGAATTGTACACTTTGAAAGGGTGCACTTTATGGTATGTGAATTTTATCACAATGTTATTATTTTCTTAAACCTTCTGAATGTCAAAAAGTAACACGAGCAAGACTAAGAGAATAATGAAATAAATATGAAAGAAAGTTTACTCTTAACAAGATTCCTTATAAAATAAGAAAAAGTCAAATTTACCAACAGAAAGAGGGACAGTTACAAAAAGGGACTTTTTAAAAAAGAAATGGCCAAAAACCCCATAAATAATCAAAGACAAAATTAATATGAGATTATTTTACCTATAATACAAGAATTTTTTAAAATAACTGCCATTTTTGTTTCCCCTGAGGATAAATAAACACTTTCTGACAAAAGTTTTAAACTCTTTGAAATGTTCTTTAAAATTCAATTTCCAGAAATTTGTCCTTTAAAAAGGGCCAGGGCTGCAGACACAAATAGCTACAAGGATGTTGTTTTAACCCAGTCTTTTGGATGCAATTAACTGTAACTGAGATCTACTCAAACCAGCTTTTGTTTGTTTGTTTGTTTTTTAAAGGAGACTTCAACACAAGGATATCTTAACAGAGCCCAAGGTCAGGAAATACAGTCATCATTTATAAGAGGCATTTAAAAAATCAAATCATGACACTTCTCTGCTGAAACTTTCCAATGGCTTTTCACAAAATTTAAAGTTCAAACTCCTCAAATGCTTAGTTCTGACCCTGCATCCCCCACTCATTTCAAACTGACTGCCCCCAGCTTCTTTTATGACAGTCATTCCAAACTCCTTTCTGTTACCGTAAACACATCAAGCTCTTTCCCATCCCAGTACCTTCTCATTTACTGTTGCCAGTGTCATGAAGATTCACCACCCCTCGAATCCCTATAGGAATACTCTTTCTCCAGCTTTCATCTTGTCTAACTCACCCTTACTCTTCAGATCTTAGGAGAAAGGTCTCCTTGGAAAGGCCTTTCTGATCTCATTCTCCTCAGGGTTATGACCCTATCTATCTTACATTACTTATTTAACAGTTCTTACCACATTCTGTATTTTTTTTTTTTTTTTTTTTTTGAGACGGAGTCTCACTGTATCGCCCAGGCTGGAGTGCAGTGGTGCGATCTTGGCTCACTGCAACCTCTGCTGCCCAGGTTCAAGCAATTCTCCCAACTCAGGCTCCCGAGTAGCTTAGATTACAGGTGCCTGCTATGGCGCCCAGCTAATTTTTGTATTTTTAGTAGAGACAGGGTTTCGCCATCTTGGCCAGGCTGGTCTTAAACTCCTGACCTTCTGATCCACCCACCTTGGCCTCCCAAAATGCTGGGATTACAGGTGTGAGCCACCGCGCCCAGCCACATTTATATTTTTTGGTGTATCTTCTCCATTAGAATAATAGCTCCAAGAAGGCAAGGGACTTGTCTGCCTTGTTCCTTCCACCCCTGTGCCCCCATTATAGTGTCTGGCATATAAAAGACATACGTATCATTGCATGAATTGGCTTTCCAAAGCCACCAGGAACCAAGCTAGCTTCAATGTCAACTTCAGCCTCTCTCAATCTCTCTTTCTCTGGGGTTCCAGGGCTGCTTACCTAGCTCACATTTCCTTTAACTGAGACTGTGCAGCATATCTAAATCTTGATATCCAGACTTCTGGGAGATTATCTGACTGGTTAAGGCAAGAGTGAAAGAATAACCTGAATGTCAGAATTCTCATTCTAGGTGGAAAGTAATTACTGTTAAAACCAGTCTGGGCCAACCTCTTCAACGGTATTTCCTAAAGACGTGTGCTTTAAAATGCAAAAGAATTAGAAGTATCCTAGTTGGATAAATTCTAGCACGCACATCTGTAAAACACAACACTATTCAATCACTTAAAATGTTGATGTAGGCCAGGTGTGGTGGCTCATGCCTGTAATCTCTGTGCTTTAGGAGGCTGAGGTGGGAAGACTGCTTGAGCCCAGGAGCTTGAGGCTGCAGTGAGCTATGATGGCACCACTGTACTACAACCTGGGCAACAGCATGAGAGCCCTGTTTCTAAAGAATAAGAAAGAGTTGATGGAGGTCTAGACTGATAAACATGGGCGGAAAGCCATGATATATTTTTAGTGAAATATGTGTGGTCCAACACAACAATGTACAATAGTCATTATTATAAAAATGTTTCAAAATATTAAATATTTCAGAACAAATACACAAGTTTTGAAGACTATACATATATAAAAATAACCAGGGGCCAGGCGCAGTGGCTCATGCCTGTAATCCCAGCTTTGGGAGGCCAAGGCGGGCAGATCACGAGGTCAGGAGATCAAGACCATCCTGGCCAACATGGTGAAACCCCGTCTCTACTAAAAATACAAAAATTAGACGGGTGTGGTGGTGCGCACCTGTAGTCCCAGCTAGTCAGGAGGCTGAGGCAGGAGAATCACTTGAACCCAGGAAGCAGAGGTTGCAGTGAGCCATGACGGTGCCACTGCACTCCAGCCTTAAGACAGAGTGAGACAATGTCTCAAAAAAATAAAAATAAAAATAAAATAAAATAACCAGCAGTTATTTCTGAATGATGGGATTATGGTGATTTTTCACTCATTCATGTCTCTTTCATGTGTTCTGAATGTTTTACAAACAACATGTATTACTTAGTTTTTAAAATTTGATCATTTGTTATCCAAGTAATTCCTGCTTGTATTTAGAAAATCAAATAGTAATGACTGTAATGAAAAACAGTCTCTCTACTGTCTGGATAAGACTCCCACACCTAGTCTTCATCCCTAAAGGTAACTAATTGCAACTCAGTTGTTGCTACTGGATAGTTAACTGCATTTCTCTAAATATTGTGCTTATCCTATAACTTTTTGGCTCATCCATTTTAGACATTATCGATTTACTCATGCTACTGTAGATTAGGATGTAGTTCTGAAACTACCCTCAATATCTCCTCCCTCTACTCTTCTAATATAGATACATCCCTATTTTTAATTGAACAAATAATCCGTGCTATATTGTTGTGACTGTAAGGCTATCTACTAAGTACTATATTATGAATACATTTCCTTCCTCAAAGAGCTTTTTGTTTTCCCTAGAGTTTTAATTTTTCCTTCTTCAATGGTTTTCTCCACTTTAATTTCAATTTTAATTGCTGTACCACAGAACTCACCCCCACCCCTTTATTTTCTCAGAAGGCTTCCCCCTCCAAACCCTCCTTCTTCTCATTACAATCTAGGCTGACTGCCCTCTAGATCTGCTGGCACAGCTGTCACCTTTGGTGTTTTCCTTTACTGCTTTTCTGGGTTACAGCCATTGTTTCCTGAATTCTAATGCCTCCTTCTTTCTTTGTTCACTCCATAGTTTTGCTGAAATACATCCCCAATACCTTAAGAAAGTAATATAAGAAAAGGCACATGGGTTGGCAACTTAGTCCTTGCATGCCTGAAAAGGTCTTTCCTCCACATTTACACTTGATTTAGCAATTCTCTCAGCTCTTGAAAGCATTGCTGTAAGTTCCTCTAGCATCCAATGTTGCCACTGATTTCAATGCCATTCTGTTTCATACAGCTTTAAAGGGATCCTATTTTCATTCTTTCCTCCACTCCCTCGTCATCTCCTTCCCTAAGCTTTCAGGATTTTCTCTTTTTCCTTGGTGTTGTGACATTTCTTGTTTGTTTTTTCTATCATTAGTTTTTCTGTGCATTTAGAAAGCCCCTTCGATCTAGAAATTTGCGGCACTTAAGCTCCGGGAAATTTTCTTGTATCCATTATTAATCATCATCTCTGTTTTCTTTGCTCTTTCTTGAACTCAAATGAGTCAGATACTGGAACTTTCAAACTGATCCCTCATCTTTTATGCATTCTGTATTATCTATCTTTGTCCTTTCATTTATTTTTGTAACACTTCCTTTACTATTTTATAACTGGAGGTTTTTTCAAAGCAAATTATAGTATGATGGAAAAAAAATCAAAGCAATATCTTCAATAAGGAAATGGCTAGACAAATTATGGTACATCCATTCTATGTGGTCATTAAAGAACGAAAACTATATATGCTGATATGTTTCAAGACATGTCACCTTAAAAACTTGTTATCTGCATCCATTAAAGTACAGAGAAAAAATTTAAAATGTCTGGCTATAGAAAAATAGAGGAAAATGGATTTAATTCTTTCAACGAATATTAACTAGGCACCCACTTGTTGCCTGGCACTATTCTAAATGCTGAGGATACGGTAGTGAGCACAAAAGTCCTCTTGGCATTTAGCTGGGGAAAGAGCTTAACTAGAAGTGGCAGCAAGTTAAGCGAAGTATTTTTTTTCCCCAAGCACTGTGAAGCACTGAAGGAAGAGGCCATAACAGGAGGAAAAATGGAGGCACAGAGAGCCAATCAACAGACTCAGGTTGCTGGAAAATCATACCACCAAGGGACTGCTAAGGATGGAAAAGACTTGCTTTGATATCCTGGTTACCAGAGAAAATGCTACATCATGTATCTGAATTCACATATTTGATTATGTTTCTGACAGTCACAAATCCATCCCTCTTCCCTCGTATCTCTAGTTTTCCTAGAAGTTGAAGATGGTAGGACATGGACTCATTTAAAATTATGTCTACAATTAATATGCAGTATGTTTGGACCCCTCTCCACTGATTTTAAGTATCATTTTATTTTATTTTTGAGATGGAGTCTCGCTCTGTCACCCAGGCTGGAGTGCACTGGTACAATCTCGGCCCACTGCAACCTCCGCCTCCTGGGTTCAAGCGATTCCCCTGTCTCAGCCTCCCAAGTACCTGGGATTACAGGCATGCGCCACCATGCCGGCAATTTTTATATTTTTAGTAGAGACGGGATTTCGCCATGTTGGCCAGGCTGGTCTCGAACTCCTGACCTCAAGTGATCTGCCCACCTTGGCCTCCCAAAGTGCTGGGATTACAGGCATGAGCCACCACGCCTGGCCTCCACTGATTATTTAGCAATATTTTTAAGTCTCAAGGGTTTGTCTTGGCCTACAACTTGACAAGGAGCTCAGGGCTACTGTCTCGTGGTCTGAGACAGTCAGGAGACAAAGTATATTTACTCCAAGTACCCATGTATGCTTTTTCCAAGATGAGAAGTTTTCTTTTTGATGTATAAGAGCAAATAATGTGGTAAAAAGTTCAAAAATACAAAGTTGTGCATATTTCAAACTAAAAGATATCCCATGTCCTGTCTTATCTATAATCACACAATCTATTCCCAAAGGGATAATCACTGCTATTACCCTTCCTGACTTTTAAAATGCATATTTCCTTTGTGGAAATGGGAATATGCCATGTTGACTTGCTTTTTTGACTCTCTCTCTCTTTGAGGCCTCCCTGGAAGACGAGCAGATCCTAGCACCATATTTCCTGTAAAGCCTGCAGAACTATGAGCCAATTATGCCTCTTTTCTTTATAAATGAGCCAGTCTCAGGTATTTCTTTATAGCAATTCAAGAATGGCTTCACACAACACCCTTGCATAAGTAGGGACAGATACATGCATATGCAATTTTGTAGAATATATTTTTAGATAAGGAATTCTGGGCTAAAGGGAATGTTTATTTAAAAATTTGACAAAGCAAGACACAAAACAGTGAATACTATGGCTCCATTTATAGCAAAAAAATATGTTAAGTCAGGTACACAAACAGCAAGAGGTATAGAACAGCGGTTCTCAACCAGCGGCAATTTTGCCCTTGAGGGGACATTTGAAAATGTCTGGAGACATTTTTAGTTGTCACAACTGGGGAGATGCTACTACATCTAGTTGGTAGAAGCCAGGGATGATGCCAAAGAACCTGTGATGCATAGGACAGCTCCCTCCCTCAGACACAGCGAAGAATTATCCAGATGAAATTTCAAGAATGTTCAGGTTGATAAACTCTGGTCTAGGATTAAAACATGACATTGCCCGCAGTAGCTTTCTTGGAAGCATGGAGGGCAACTCTAATTTATGTTTTTGTTTGTTGGGATTTTTACAATGAACACGCATTAGTTTAAAAAACACCTCATAGACAATGATGGTTCAGATGAAATCAATCCCTGTGGCTTCTCAGGCTGCTTCTATACCTTAGGGACAAATTCCGAAAGTTCCCTGAATCTTCTCTTCAGCAGGTTAATCTAAGACAGCTCTTTCAAAAGTTCTTCATAGGAAATAATTTCAAGTCAGTTCACCAATCTGATTGCTACCTATGAAGAACAAGGTCCTAAGTGCTGAACACCAAACTCTAATTTTGTACTTTGACCAGTGAAAAGTGGAATTATCTATCACCTGCCTCATTCTACGTGCACTGGCTCACATTCAGCCTATTGGAACACTGTTTTTCCAAACCTGCTGCAGTTAATTTACATTTTCTCCATCCCATACTAGTACAATTGCCTTGTAAGTCTTTTTAAAATATATATACTTTATTGCATGCATTTTGGGAGTGGGCAGGCCTGGGAAGGAAGCAAGCAGGGAACACACTGCAGTAATAGGAGTTTTAAGTCTTAATGCAATAAACTGAAAGGCCTGATTAACTACCCTTACTCTCCTAAGATGTACACCACCATAGAGTCTATAATACAATCGGGTTACTTTTTGAGTTATATTTCAGTCCCAAGGAGACATTCTCACTACCTGCCTTGGATGCTGGTGATACTTAAATCCTATCACTAATGCACTGAAAAACACCTAATAGGGTGAGTTTAGACTTATTAATTTCACTCATTTCAACAAACATCCAGTGAGTGCTTAAGACACTGTACTGATCAGTGAGATCAATAAAACCAAGATGTGAACTAATCAGAAGACTTTATGGCCTACCACCTTCTGCTGGGATTACCTTACTGAAGGACCCCTTCATCTAACTACCTTTATCTGACACTTGATTTCAACCCGCAGAACTCCATATAATGCTGTGTTTTATAAAGAAAGCCTAGGTGTTAATTATTTCTACACCCTTTCAATCCCTTTTCCCCTTTGGGGGCCACCCTAAGTGCTAGGTAAATGTTTAATGAATAAATGCACCAAACTGCCACTACCACATACAATATACCTGCAGGCAAACACCTGTAAGAGGGCTTTTATTCCCTGCATCACTGAAAATATTAAGTGGCAATAACTATTTTTTAATATTATTATTATACTTTAAGTTCTAGGATATATGTGCACAACGTGCAGGTTTGTTACATAGGTATACGTGTGCCATGCTGGTTTGCTGTACCCATCAACTCGTCATTTACATTAGGTATTTCTCCTAATGCTATCCCTCCCCTAGCGCCCCCAGCCCCCGACAGGCCCCGGTGTGTGATGTTCCCCGAAGTGGCAGTAACTCTTAAGCGTAACCGCAAACAAAAGTGAATTCACAAAGGCATAAGGCACAAGACACACACGGTAAGATTAGACAACTCTTTACCACATGGACAATAAATTACACAAACAATAAAGACAGATTCAGCGATGCACACTTAAGATGAAGAAATGGTGAAGAGGAACTTAAATACCAAAACAATTAAAATTATAATTTCCCCACGCACATTCTTATGTCACTTAAACCTACCCAGGGGACAGCTCCCACATAAGAGAGGGCTGGGGGCTCCCAAGTGCGGAATCCTCAGCAGAAACCCCGCAGGGCCGTTGGCGCTCCGCCGCCTCGCCACGCCCCCGCACAAGCCGCTCACTCCTCCAACGCCCACCCCCCTGGGAAACCCCTGGAGGCCTCGGCTCCGACGCAGCGAGGGCAGAGCGCTTCGAAGAAAGACAGGGCAAGGGGGAGGCAAGTGGGCGGGGAACGAGCCTATCCCGACCCCGCAAGTCCACTCCTACAGAAGAGCGGCGACAAGCAATCCCGGGCTCAGAATGCCGCCCACGAGGGTCCCGGGCCTGGGCCCCAAGGGCCAAGCAAGCCGACCCCCGCCCCTTCCTCAAGCCGTTAGCGCCGCGGCCCCACCCCTCGTGGCCGGCCGCGCCCCGCCCCGTTCGCCCCATGCCGCTACCCCAGCTGGTCGTGGCGCCGGGCACCTTCTAGCTGGAGTGGGCCCGGAGCTGCCGGCCGCGTCCGGAAGACCGAGGAACCGGGCTTCCATACCTGCACTTTCCTCCGCCCTGCTGTGTTCTGCCGGTGATGGGCCGCCATCTTGCATGTTGACACTCCGACGTCACTTCCGGAGGTGGCTCAGAGCGGGAGGATGTCCTGCCCCTTTCCCTTTGGCCAAGGGTTAGTGGCGGGGCTGAAGGTAAACAGGCTGTTGTGTTTCCTCGGTGCTGTTAGTTGCTGTGTGGCCGGTAGCCATGTGATGAGGTAGATGCACCTAAAAACAAAACCACTGTGCAAGTATAATGCTGATGGGGAGAGAGCCACTTTTCAGGGCTGAGGGAGCAACACGAATTCACTTGTGTGGTCCTAGACCCTGGCTTGCGCTCTTTTCCGCGCCCTCCCCGAGAGGCCCAAGCAAAACGAAAGCACTGAAAGAATTAACAGTGCTAGACATGGCGCTGGACCATCTCCTGACCTTTCCTAGGCAGGCAGGAGAACCAAGTGAACCAAGTGATTTACTGTTAAGTACCTAAAAATGCGGAGAATTATGTCGTGGCCTCAAAGGGGGAGAGATAGAAGTCCTTGCAAAGGAGGTGGCCTCCATCTTCAGGGGGAGCAAAGAATCCGTTTAAATTAAAAGGATAAAAAGTGGGGCCATAAAAGAACGAGATCATGTCCTTTGTAGGGACATGATGGAGCTGGAGGCCCTTATCCTTAAGCAAACTAACAAAGGAACAGAAAACCAAATACCGCACGTTCTCACTTATAAGTGGGAGCTAAATGATGAGAACACATGGACACAAAAGAGGGGGACAACACACACTGGGGCCTTTCGGAGGGTGGAGGGTGGGAGGAGGGCGAGGATCAGGAAAAATAACTAATGGGTACTAGGCTTAATACCTGGGTGACAAAATAGCCTGTACAACAAACACCCGTGACACAAGTTTACCTATATAACAAACCTGCACTTGTACCCCTGAACTTAAAAGTTTAAAAAAAAAAAACAAGACAAAAAGATGTTATAGGAAGGCGAAAACGGTACACCAGCTAAAATTGTTCCCAGAGACAATTCTAGTTTAAATCATCTCTTATACTGGAACAGTTAGGTTTGACTTAAGGTGGTTTTCCTGACCACTAATTATAAGAGCTGAGGGTGATCAGACCCTCTCTAGTGAAAGTGAATCCTATAGAACTACACTGTGGGATATAGCATATGATGTATCTGCTAGTCATTTGTGGCTCTTGAGCACTTGAAATATAGCTAGTTCCAGTTGAGATATGTAATTGTAAACTACCCCCAAATTTCAAAGACTAGTTTGAAGAAAAGAATGTAAAATATCTCATTAATAATTTTTTGTATTGATTTCATGTTGAAATGATGTTTGGGGGTATATTAGGCTAAATAAAATTTATTAATTTTGTCATGGATATTAGAATATTTAAAATTACATATGTGGTCACAAATTTCTGTTGCATAGTGCTAGTATATAAGTAATGCTTAGAAAAGTTGTCTTGACAAATACTTCTTAAATTAATAAAGAAATGTGAATTAGATGAGTAAAAATTGTGATGGCAGAAAGCTTCTTAAGCAAAACTGGCAGTGATAACTTATAGGTAAATTACTGCATCATTACAGGCTTATTCATTCACTGATTCATGTATTCATTCATTTAACAAAATATTATTTAGCATATCATATATGCCAGGCACTATATTAGGTGTTGGGGAATCAGTGGTGAGTGCACATAGTCATAGAACTTAGAGTCCCAGGATGAGACAGGAATTAATACAGAGATAAGTACTATGAAGAAAGATGATTGTAAGACAGGAAGTATCTTGAGTCAAGAGTTAACTAGGCAAGGAGAGGGAACAGTCTGAGCAAAGGTCTTGTAGCAGGAGAGAGCATGGAACATTACAGGAACTGAGAGTCAAGGCTTAGAGTACAGAGAAGTGAAAGGAGTATGCAGAGGCCATACCCAGCAGGATCTTTTAGACCAATGGGAAGCTGTTGAAATACAGGTAGGGAAATAATATGTCTGTATTTTAAAAATTGCTTAAGTGTCTATTGAGCACCTATGATGTGCAAAATACAATACAGGTATGTTGCTCTGGACAATATACTGGTACTTGCTAGAAATTGATATGTTGTAGTCCTGCTTTGGACCTGAAAAATATTGAAATAGTGAAGTTCTTTCAGTGGGCAGAATTTTCACCAGTATGTTTTGATGTTCAGTTTGGCTGAAAGGAGAAATGGTCAATTCAGGGTCAGAGGATAATTTTTTGGCCAGTTTGTGAAGGACATGGAAAGAGCAAGACTGGAGAACTAGTGACAAGGAAGACTCCAGAAGGGATATAGTGATGGACCTCTCAGAATAAATCTTAAGAATCATATGGATGAAATGAACTGCTTTGTGATGAAACTCAGCCTCACTGCCTGCTCAGTAGAATCATGAAATAAATGGCAATGGCAATGGCAACAGGATTGGAGCTATGCATGGGATCACCAAGCCACCGCTGGGTGTTCAGAAGCAGTGACCAATACCCCATGCTCTGGGAGGGTCAGCCAGTCACATGTAGGCAAGTCTATTCCATTGGTCATTGGCCCTCCCCATCATTGAGGGAGTTCTTATTTGTCCTCTCTAAAATATGTTTATTCTAGATTGAGATTTGCTTTCCCTGCTCACTGTACTTCCGCTGACACCACCATCTAGGGAATTACTCAGTGCTTTAGACACTATCATTTTCTCTAACACTATATTGCTTTTGACCAAGAAATTCACTCTGCAATGAAAGAAGTAATGCAATGGGCTATTGCCCATGGAATTTATTGGTCTAATTGTGTACTCAATCACTGAGAAGTATCTTGTCTTATTGAAGATATATTGAAGACTTAGCTATGGTGCCTTCTGGGAGATAACCCTTTTTGATACTGTCCTGTAGGATGCAGTATATGCTCTGAACTACTGTCCAATATTCAGCACTCTTTTTTCCTGTTCCTTTTATCTATTGCTGTTTAACCATCTGCAAAATGCAATGGTTTAAAACAATTACAACCCTTACTTTACTTACAAATCTGTAATTTATGCAGAGCTTCATGGGAACAGATTGTCTCTGTTCCACTATCCACTTCACATCAGCTGGGGCAGCTAAAAGATTGGGGCTGGAATCATCTGAAGACCCCTTCTCTCACATGTCTGGTGACTGATACTGGTGTTGGCCTAGTCCTTAGCCAAAGCTGTGGCTAGAACACCTTCTCATGATCTTTCCACAGCACTATTTGGTTCCTCACAATATGCTAACTGGGTTCCAAGGATGAGCATCCCGAAGAAGAAAAATCTGGTTGAAAGCTATAATGCTTTTTCTAAACTCACAGTGGAAGTCATGCAGTGTCACTTTAAGCCATAGTCAATTCATTAGAACTTAGTTACTAAGGCCATCAGTGTCTAAGGAGAGGGGATTAGATGACTCCTTTTTTTATGAAGTATCAATAAATTTGTGGATGTATTTTTTAATTGACACATAATAATTGTACATATATATGGGGTACAGTGTGATATTTTGATACCTGTATACAATCTGTAATAATTGCTTTGGGAAAATTCAATATCCACTCTTTTAGCTATTTGAAAATATGGAATAAATTATTGTTAATCATAGTCATCCTACAGTGATATAGAACACCAAAAATTATTCCTTCTACCTAGCTGTAATTTTATATGTGTTAACCAACCTCTCTATATATAATCCTCTCCTTTACCCTTCTCAGCCACTAGTTACCACTATTCTGTTCTCTACTTCTCTGAGATCAACTTATTTCTCTTTCACATATTGGTGAGAACATGCAGTATTTATCTTTCTGTGCCTGGCTTATTTCACTTAAGATAATGACCTCCGGTGCTATCCATGTTGCTGCAAATGACATAATTTTATTCTTTTTTATGATTGAATAGTATTTCATTGCATATATGTACCACATTTTCTTTATCCATTCTTCTTTTGATGGACACTTAGGTTAACTCCGTATCTTGGCCACTGTGAATAGTGCTGCAGTAACTGTGGGAGGACAGGTATCTCTTTGACATACTGATTTCCTGTTCTTTGGGTAGTAGTGGGATTGCTGGATCATATGGTAGTTGTAGTTTTAGTTCTTTGAGAAATCTACACACTGTTTTCCATAATGGTTGAACTAATTTACATTCCTATCAACAGTGTATGAATTCCCTTTTCTCTGCATCCTCACCCTCTGCATTTGTTTTTGTCTTTTTCGTATAGCGATTCTAACTGGAGTGAGATAATATCTCACTGTGGTTTTGATTTGTATTTCCCTGATGATTAGTGATGTTGAGCATTTTTTTCATGTATTTGTTGGCTATTTATATGTCTTCTTTTGAAAAATGTGTATTCAGATCATTTGCCCATTTAAAAATTATTTGGGTTTTTTTTGCTATTGAGTTGTTTGAGTTTTTTATACTTCCTGGATATTAATTCCTTGTTGGATGAATACTTTGCAAATATTTTCTCTCATTCTGTAGGCTGTCTCATTCCTCTATTGATTGTTTCCTTTTCTGTGCAGAAGCTTTTTAGTTTGATGTAATCCAATTTGTCTATATTTGGTTTTGTTGCCTGTGCTTTTGAGGGCTTATCCATAAAATCTTTGCCCAGGCCAATGTCCTGAAGCATTTCTCCTGTATTATCTTTTAGTAGTTTCATAGTTTTGGGTTTTATATTTAGGTTTTTAATCCATTTCGTGTTGATTTTTGTATAGGGTGAGACGTAGGGAGTCTAGTTTCTTTCCTTTTCATATAGGGGGTCAGTTTTCCCAGCACCATTTATTGAACAGGCTGTTCTTTTCCCAATATGTTATAGGGCCTTTGTTAAAAATCAGTTAATTGCCAGGCATGGTGGTACATGCCTGTAGTCCCAGCTACTTGGAAGGCTGATATATGAGGATTGCTTAAGCCCAGGAGTTTGAGGCCTGCAGTATACTACAATTGTGAATAGTCACTGCACTCCAGCCTGGGAAACATAGCAAGACCCAGTCTTAAAAAAAAAAAAGGGGGTGGGGGTGGGGGTGGGGGGATGGGGGTGGGGGTGGGGGGTGGGGGGCTGTGTGCAATGGCTCACACCTATAATCCCAGCACTCTGGGAGGCTGAGGTGTGTGGATCGCTTGAGCCCAGGAATTCAAGACCAAACAGGGCAACGTGGCAAAACCAGTCTTTATCAAAAAATACAAAAATTAACCGGGCATGGTGGTGCATGCCTGTAGTCCTAGCTACTCAAGAGGCTAAAGTGGGAGGATTGCTTGAGCCTAGGAGGTTGAGGCTGCAGTGAGCAGAGATCACATCATTGCACTTCAGTCTGGGTGACAGAGCAAGACCCTGTTTCAAAAAAACCATTAGTTGGCTATAAATACATGGATTTATTTCTGGGTTCTCTATTCTGTTCCATTGGTTGATGTGTCTTTTTTAATGCCAGTACTATGCTGTTTTGTTTAGTGTAGCTTTGTATGGTATATTTTGAGGTTAGTGTGATGCCTCCAATTTTGTTCTTTTTGCTCAGGATTGCTTTGGCTATTTGGGGTCGTTTGTAGTTCCATATGAATTTTAGGATTATTTTTTCTATTTCTATGAAGAATGTCATTGGTATTTTGATAGGGATTCCATTTAATCTGTAGATCACTTTGGGTAGTTTGGTCATTTTAACAATATTAATTCAGTATATGAACATGGATGTCTTTCCATTTTTGTGTATGTCCTCTTCAATTTATTTCATCAGAGTTTTATAATTTCCTTCATTCCCTCCCTCCCTCCCTCCCTCCCTTCCTCCCTCCCTTCCTTCCTTCCTTGCTTCTGTCCTTTCTTTTTGAGACAGAGTCTCACTCTGTTGCCCAGGCTGGAGTGCAGTGGCCTGATCTCGGCTCACTGCAACCTCCACCTCCCAGATTCAAGTGATTCTCATGCCCCAGCTTCCTGAGTAGCTGAGATTACAGGCCCGTGCCACCACGCCCAGCTAATTTTTGTATTTTTAGTACAGACAGGGTTTTGCCCTGTTGGCCAGGCTGATCTTGAACTCTTGGCCTCAAGTGTTCCTCCTGCTTAGGCCCCCCAAAGTGTTGGGATTACAGGAGTGAGACACTGTGCCTGGCCGCTACTGTTTTGTATATTGATTTTATATCCTACAACTTTATGAATTTCTTTATCAGTTCTGAGAATTTTTTGATGAAGTCTTTAAGTTTTCTATATATAAGATCATATCATCTGCAAACAGTGACAATTTGACACTTCCTTTCCAGCTTAGATGCCCTTTATTCTTTAATCTTGCCTAAATGCTCTAGCTAGCATTCTCCATACTATGTTGAATAAGAGTGGTGAAAGTGGGTATCTTTGTCTTGTTCCAGTTTTTAGAGGAAGAGTTTTCAATTTTCTCCTGTTTAAGATGATACTAGCTGTGGGTTTGTCATATATGGCCTTTATTGTGTTGAGGTATGTTCTTTTTATACTTCCTTTGTTGAGAGTTTTTATCATGAAAGGATGTTGAATTTTATCGAATGCCTTTTCTGCATTGATTAAGATGATCGTTTGGTTTTTGTCCTTGATTCTGCTGATGTGATGTATCTTTTGTTTATTGATTTGCATATGTTGAATCATCCTTGCATCCCTGAAATAAATCTACTTGATCATCATGTGTAATCCTTTTGATGTGTTGTTGGATCTGGTTTGCTAATATTTTGTTGAGAATTTTTATATCTATGTTCATCAGGGATATTGACCTGTAGCTTTCTTTTTTTGTTGTGTTTTTGCCTGGTTTTGGCATTAGGGTAGTGTTGGGGTTGTAGAATGAGTTTGGAAGAATTCCCTCCCCTTCAATTTTTTGGAATAATTTGAGAGGAATTGGTGTTAGTTATTTAAATGCCTGGTGCAACTCAGCATTGAAGCCATGGTCCTAGGCTTTTCTTTGTTGGGAGACTTTTTATTTCTCCCACAATCTCATTACTTGTTATTGATTTGTTCAGGTTTTCTATTTCTTCCCGATCCAATTTTGGTAGGTTGCGTGTGTCCAGGAATTCATTTCCTCTAGGCTTTTCATCTTGTTGGCATATAGTTGTTCATAATAGTCTCTAATGATCTTTTGTATTCCTGTGGTAACAGTTGTTTTTTTTCATTTCTGATTTTATTTATTTGGGTTGTTGCTCTCTTTTTTTAAAATTACTCTAGCTAGTGGTTTGTGGATATTATCTTTTCAAAAAACTTTTTGTTTTGTTGATTTGTATTTTTTGTCTCGATTTCATTATTTCTGCTCTAATCTTTATTATTTCTTTCCTTATGCTAATTTTGAGTTTCGTTGGTTCTTGTTTTTGTAGTTCCTTGACGTGCATCATTAGTTTGTTTATTTGTAATCTTTCTGCTTTTTTTGATGTAGGCATTTATTGTTATAAACATTCCTCTTAGTAATGCTTTTGATGTGTCCCATTGGTTTTGGTATGTTGTGTTTCTGTTTTCATTTGTTTCAATTAATTTTTAAATGTCCTTCTTAATTTCTTCATTGACATATTTATCATTCAGGAGCATGTTATTTAATTTATATGTATTTGCACAGTTTCGAAGTTTCTGTTATTATTGATTTCTAGTTTTATTTCATTGTAGTCAGAAAAGATACTTGATATGGTTTTGATTTTAAAAAATGTGTTGAGACTTGTTTTGAGGGCTAACATATGGTCTATCTTGGAGGATGTTCTATAAGCTGATGAAAAGAATGTGTATTCTGCAGCTGTTAGAAAAAATGTTCTGTAAATGTCTGTTAGGTCCATTTGGTCTATATTGCCGTTTAAATCTGATGTTTCTTGGTTGATTTTCTGTCTACATTATCTGGTCAAAGGTATTGAAATCCCCAACTTAATTGTATTGGAGTCTGTCTTCCCTTTAGATCTAATGATATTTGCTTTATATATCTGGGTGTATATATATTTAAAATTGTTACACCCTTTTACTGAATTGATCCCTTTATTATTATATAATGACATTCTTTTTCTCTTTTTACAGTCTTTGACTTAAAGTAAAAAACTCTTGCTTGTTTTTGGTTTCTGTTTGCGTTTACATTTGGCATTTAAAAAATTATTTTTATCTTTAACTTTCGTGGGTACATAGTAGGTGTATTCATTTATGGGATATATGAGATCTTTTGGGACAGGCAGGCAATGCATGGTAATCACATCATGGAAAATTGGGTATCCATCTCCTCAAGCATTTATCCTTCTTTTTTTGCATTTATCCTTTTTATTACAAGCAATGTAATTATACTTTTTAAATTATTTTTAAATGTACAATTAAAGTATTATTGACTGTAGTCCCCCTGTTGTGCTATGAAATACTGTCTTATTTATTCTTTCTAATTTTTTTTGTACTCATCAGCCATCTCCACCTCCCCACCACCCACCCCCAACTACCCTTCCCAGTTTCTGGTAACCATTCTTCTATTCTCTGTATCCATGAGTTCAGTTGCTTTGATTTTTAGATCCCACAAATAAGTGGGAACATGTGATGTTTGCTTTCTGTGCCTGGCTTATTTCGCTTAATATAATGACCTCCAGTTCCACCTATGTTGTTGCAAATGACAGGATTCTGGGTTTTTTTTTTTTTTTTTGGCTGTATAGTACTTCATTGTGTATAAGTATCACATTTTCTTTATCCATTCATCTGTTGATGGACACTTAGGTTGCTTCCAAATCTTGGCTATTGTGAACAGCGCTGCAACAAACATGGGAGTGCAAATGTCTCTTTGATATACTGATTTCATTTCTTTTGGGTGTATACCCAGCAATGGGATTGCTGGATCGTATGGTAGCCCTATTTTTAGTTTTTTGAGACTGCTAAATGATTCTTCATAATGGTTGTACAAATGTGCCTTCTTACCAACAGTATACGAGGGTTCTCCTTTCTCCACATCCTCGCCAACATTTGTTATTGTCTGACTTTTGGATAAAAGCCATTTTAACTGGGGTGAGATAATATCTCATTGTAGTTTTGATTTGCATTTCTCTGATAATTAATGATGTTGAGCACTTTTTCACATGCCTGTTTGCCATTTGTACGTCTTGTTTTGAGAAATGTCTAGTCAGATCTTTTGCTCATTTCTTTTTTCTTTTTCTTTTTTTTTTTTTTTTTTTTTTGAGATGGAGTTTCGCTCTTGTTGCCCAGGCTAGAGTGCAATGGCATGATCTCGGCTCACTGCGAACTCTGCCTTCTGGGTTCAAGTGATTCTCCTGCCTCAGCCTCCCGAGTAGTTGGGATTACAGGTATGCGCCACCAAGCCTGAATAATTTTGTATTTTTAGTAGAGACAGGGTTTCTCCATGTTGGCCAGGCTGGTGTCGAACTCCTGACTTCAGGTGATCCTCCTGTCTCGGCCTCCCAAAGTGCTGGGATTACAGGCGTGAGCCACTGCACCTGGACCTTTTGCTCATTTCTTGATCAGATTATTAGATTTTTTTTCCCTATAGAAGTGTTTAAGCTCCTTATATGTTCTGGTTATTAACTTCTTATTAGGTGGATAGTTTGCTAATATTTTCTCCCATTCTGTGTGTTGTCTCTTCACCTTGATGATTTTTTCCTTTGCTGTGCGGAATCTTGATGTGATCCCATTTGTTCATTTTTGCTTTGGTTGCTTGTGCTTGTGAGGTATTACTCAAGAAATTTTTGCCCAGATTAATGTCCTGGAGTGTTTTCCCAATGTTTTTCTTGTAGAAATTTCATTGGGATTTCTTTTTTATATTTTTTCACTTTCAGTCTATGTGTGTCTTTACAAGTGAAGTGAGTTTCTTATAGGCAGAATAGGCTCTTGGTTTGTTTGGGTTTTTTTGGAGATGGAGTCTTGCTCTGTCTCTCAGGCTGGAGTGCAGTGGCACAATCTTGGCTCACTGCAGCCTCTACCTGCTGGGTTCAAGCGATATTCCTGCCTTGGCCTCCTGAGTACCTGGGACTACAGGCGCCTACCACCACGCCCAGATAATTTTTATATTTTTGGTGGGGACAGGGTTTCACCATGTTGGCCAGGCTTGTCTCAAACTCCTGACTTTAAGTGATCCTCCTGCCTCAGCCTCCCAAAGTGCTGGGATTACAGGCATGAGCCACTGTGCCGGCCTGGGTCTTGTTTTTTTAATCCATTCAGCCAGTCTATATTGTTTAATTGGGAAATTTAATCCATTTACATTCAAGGTTATTATTGAAATATGATATTTTTTCTGTCATATTGTTAATTGTTTTCTAGTTGTTTTGAAATTCTTTGTTCTTTTCTTTCTCTAATTTATCTTTGCAGTGATAAAGTTTATTTTTCTTTCTCATTTGTGTATCTTTTCAATCAGTTAGTTTTGTACTTTTGTGTTTTCATGATGGTGGTTATCATCCTTTTGCTTCCAGATGTAGGACTCCCTTAAGTATTTCTTGTAAGGATGGTCTAGGGTGATGAATTTCCTCAGTTTTAGTTTGGGGAAAATTTTATTTCTTCCTCATTTCTGAAGGGCAGTTTTATTGGGTTTGATATTCTTGCTTGGCAGTTTTTTTCTTACAGCACTTTGAATATATCATCCCATTCTCTCCCGGCCTGTAAGGTTTCTGCTGAGAAAAATGCTGTTAGTCTAATGGGGATTTTCATATATGTGACTTGACATTTTTTTCTTGCTGTTTTAAAAATTCTCTCTTTGTCTTTGACTTTTGACAATTTGATTATAATGTGCTTCAGAGAGGACTTTTTTGGGTTGACTATATTTGAAGATTTTTTAGCTTCCTGGATGTCAATGTCCATATGTCTCCAAAGTCTTAGAAGGGTTTCAGTGATTATTTCATCAAATAGGTTTTCTATTCCTTTTTCATCTCATTTCCTTCTTAAACATTCAGAATGTGAATATTTGTTTGCTTAATGATGTCCTGTAAGTACTGTAGGCTTTCTTTATTCTTTTTGAATTCTTTTTTCTTTTTTTAGTCTGACTGGGTTATTTCAAAAGACCTGTCTCCAAGTTCAGAAATTATTTTCCTTTTGTTTTTCTTTTTTGAGACAGAGTCTTGCTCTTTCGCCCAGGCCGGAGTGCAGTGGCGCTATCTCAGCTCACTGCAAGCTTCTCCTCCCGGGTTCACACCATTCTCCTGCCTCAGCCTCCCGAGTAGCTGGGACTACAGGCACCCGCCACCATGCCTGGCTAATTTTTTTTTTGTATTTTTAGTAGAGATGGGGTTTCACCGTGTTAGTCAGGATGGTCTCGATCTCCTGACCTCATGATCCGCCCACCTCGGCCTCCCAAAGTGCTGGGATTACAGGCGTGAGCCACCATGCCCGGCCTTCAGAAATTATTTTCTTCTTGATCTAGTCTGTTATTGAAGCTCTCTATTGTATTTTTTATTTCATTAGCAGAATCTTTTAGCTTCAAGATTTCTGTTTGGTTCTTTTAAAAAAATAATATATGTTTCTTTGTTGAATTTCTCATTCAGAGCATTAATGTTTTCCTGATTTCATTTGTATGTCTGTATTTATCCTGTATCTTGCTGAGGTTCCTTAGGCTCATTAGTTTCAATTCCTTTTTAGGCATCTGATAGCTTTCATTTTGGGGAATGTGTTACTGGAGAATTATTGTGTTCCTTTGGCAGTGTCGTGTTTCCTTGTTTTCTTATGTTTCTTGTGTTCCTATGTTGATTTCTGTGCATCTGGTAAAATAGTCACCTCTTCCAATTTCATGGAGTAGCTTTCATTGGGAAAGACTTTTTTCCTGTAGTTGTGACCTGTAGTGTTGATTGCATAAGGTGCTTTGGCTTTGGTTCTGAGTGGGTGCAGTAGTATAATCTCCACACTCGATCTTAGACAAAAGGCTGAGAAGCAATAACAGTTATGTAGTCTCTGTGTGATTTTTAACAGCATGAGCAGTATTTGAGTGCCACAGTGGCATAGACTGTTGACATTTATGGAGGCTATAGTGTAGTTTTGCTGGTGGTAAGTGTCCATTGGTGGCCAGTTCTTGGATTATGGGAGGGTGCTTGCCTGGAACAACAGCTTTACTGATTATAGGATGCCATTGCCAGCTGTGGTGGGCACCAGGTGGGCACCAGCCCTGAGGAACACAGCACGTGATGTCTCTACCTCTAGAGGGGGTGGGGTTAGCAGAGGTGGTGTGTGCTAGGTAGACCAGTCCTCAGCCCTTGGCGGACATGTACACATGCTATATCTCCATCACTGGATGGGGCAGGGTTGCTGGCAGCAGTGGGTGCTAAGTGGGCAGGTCCTTGGTCCCTGGGAACTGTTTCAGGTACATGGTAGCTCTGCCACTGGAGGGGGCAGGGTCTCCAGTGGTGACAGCCTCTAGGTGGGCTGATCTTTGGTCTCTAGGGGTGCCCATGCATAAGGCAGCCTCATCACTGGAGGGGATAGGGTTGCTGGCAGCGGTGGGTACCAGGTGGCTGGCCAGGCACATTGGCTTCCTCACTCCTGAGGGTGACCTCCTTACTGTGCTGGACTACCTGCTTCCTGGAGCACAGAGTGCTATGTGGGCTTTAGTGCTAGAGTCATGGCTCTACTGCTAGGTCTGGCTGGGATACTGGCACTCAGTCTTCTGTATGGGCATGGTGGAATGACCGCAGGGCCCCAGGGATATTGGAGACATAGGGCCATTGGATCCTGGGGCAGGATGTACTTCAGCAGTGGCTTCTTTCCCAAAATGGTACCATGCCGTGACAGCTTAGGTCCCAGGGAGTCTGCAGGAGAGGGTTCATTGTGTGTTTGTGGATGTATTTTAAAACCATCACACTGCCATAGGCAAAATAAATAGATTCAGAAACAAAGGGATATTATACCTAATGACCCACTTAAAACAATTTTTTAGACTTCCATTCTCTGAAATTCTGGGCTTCGGTGGTTTTAGAGGTTTGTTTCTAAAGAAAGGAGTTCCTCCAGCAAGGGCTAAACAATGATTTCTTTGATTTGGAGCTGAGACTGCCATCTGACCATTTTCCATGTCATCTATCATTGGATAAGCAAGAGAAGAAGAAGGTGAAAGAGAGGAAGAAGGTTATGGTATTGATTGATGTTATTAAACTTATCATCAAGCAAAAAAAATAGTTCTGCTGGTATATCTTTAAACAGATAGATCTACCAAATGCTTGGATCCCTTAGAAATGAAGGTATTGGCTGAAAGTAAAAGGAACATGGAATCGCTAGTAGAGAAAGGAAGTCATAAATGGAGGGAAGGCCTTATGATCAGGGGAAGAAATGAGAGTTGTCATCTTGTTTATGTATTTTTTAATGTTTCATGTATTCTTTTATGTGTTTTCACTTTTCTTTAGCCTTTATACTTCACTATTGTATGTAGGGTGTGATACTGTTGTAAACTTCATTATTTAGTCCATAAGTATCAGAATGTGGATACGAAATCAGTACAGAACTTGAAGAAGAATGGCCACCAACTAGACTTGGTGATGGATGGTTCTAGACTTGGAATTGGGTTGATGGATGTGGTAACTGATGACACATTGGATTGACTTCCTTGGAGAGTGACAGTGTGAGTGCATCTTTGATTGTATAAAGGAAAATTGCAATATTTTAAGTGGCAACACTTTTTTGAAATGTAAACATTGGAAGCAATGGTTATATTGGTGTTGGGCAACCAAAGGGATGACTTTGTGTTTGACATTTTTGTGGTTTTATTTTCTGCTGTTTATCATCTGAGCCCTCTTTCTATGTGTGTGGAATTCCTCACTGTATGTGTCTTGGTTGTGGTGAGCAATACTCCCACTATAGAAAATGAGGATAGTTACTCACTTCTATAGTTAAAGTATGTTCATGTAACCTCAGCTTGACTAATCAGATAACATCTTGACTGCAACCTCATGAAACTCTGAGCTACAACCAACCACCTAAACTGCTCCTGAATTCCTGAACTACAGAAACTGTGTGAAACAATAAATGTTTATTATTGTTTTAAGTGGCTAAGTTGTGGGATAATTTGCATTGCAACAAAAGATAACTAATACACCTTCTCTTCCTCATGGGGAGTGGAAATGTCACAGCGCCTTCACAGCTCTCACAAAGATATTCTTACCATCACCCTCTTCAATCTACCATTTAATTCTTTGCCTTCTCTTACAAAATTGCTAGGAGGCTTGTCCTGGCAGAATTCCTTTAACAATCTTTTTAGCATTTTCTTTATGAAAAGATTGGTTTCGTTATTCAAAATGTAAGAAGCCTTGACACCTATTACATTGTTTTCAGCTTTTAAGACTTCTGCCAAAACTCCTAGATAATATGAAAGGTTTAACATCCTTCTTTATTTTCGGCTCCCATTCTCATTTCTATCCCCCATTATAAGTACAGTCATCCCTCAATATCTATGGGGGATTTGTTCCAGGACCTCCTCTGATACCAAAATCCAAGTATACTCTAGTCTCTGATATAAAATGGGATAGTGTTTGCATATAACCTAAGCACATCCTCCTGTACAGTTTAATTTTTTTTATTTTTAATTTTATAGGTATATAGTAGATGTATATATATTTATGAGGTACATGAGATACTTTGATAGAGGCATACAATGTGCAATAATCACATCAGGGTATATGGCGTATCTATTACCTGAAACATTCATATTTCTTTGCGTTACAAACATTCCAATTGTACTCCCTTAGTTATTCTAAAACATACAACAAATTATAAATGACTGTAGTCACCTTCTTGTGCTATCAAATACTAGGTTTTATTCATTCTATCTAACTATATTTTTGTACCCATTAATGATACCCACTTCCCTGACCCCCACCACTACCCTTCACAGCTTTTAGTAACCATCATTTTACTCTATCTCCATGAGTTCAATTGTTTTAATTTTTACTTCCTACAAATTAGTAATAACATGCAAAGTTTGTTTTTCTATGCCTGGCTTATTTCACTTAACATAACGTCCTCCAGTTCCATCCACGTTGTTGCAAATGACACGATCTCATTCCTTTTTGTAGCTGAATAGTACTCTATCGTATACACGTGCCACATTTTCTTTATCCACTTGTCTGTTGATGAACACTTAGGTTGATTCCAAATCTTGGCTATTATGAGTAGAGCTGCAATAAACATGAGAGTGCAGATATCTCTTCAATATACTGATTTCCTTTCTTTTGGCTATATACCTAGCAGTGGGATTGCTGGATCGTATAGTAGTTCTATTTTCAGTTTCTTGAGGGAACTTCTATACTGTTCTCCAGAGTGGCTGTACTAATTTACATTCCCACTAACAGTATATGAGGGTTCCCTTTTCTCCACTAGCATTTGTTATTGCCTGTCTTTTGGATAAAAGCCATTTTAACTGGGGTGAGATAATATAGTTTTGATCTGCATTTCTTTGATGATCAGTGATGTTGGGCACCTTTTCATTCGTATGTCTTCTTTTGAGAAATATCTATTCAGATCTTTTGCCCATTTTTAATTGGATTATTAGATTTTTTCTTACAGAGTTGTTTGTGTTCCTTATATATTCTGGTTATTAACCACTTGTCAGATGGATAGTTTGCAAATATTTTTTCCCGTTCTATGTATTCTCTCTTCACTTTGTTGATTATTTCCTTTGCTGTGCAGAAGCTTTTTAGCTTGACGTGATCCCACTTATCCATTTTCTTTGATTGTCTGTGCTTTTGGGATATTACTCAAGAAATCTGCTTGGCCAGGTGTGGTGGCTCTTGCCTGTAATCTCAGCACTTTAGGAGGCCGAGGCGGGTAGATCACTTGAGGCCAGGAGTTTGAGATCAGCCTGGCCAACATGGCAAAATCCCGTCTCTACTAAAAATACATAAATTAGCCAGATGTGGTGGGGCATGGCTATAATCCCAGCTACTTGGGAGGCCTGAGGCGTGAGAATCTCTTGAACCTGGGAGGCGGAGGTTGCAGTGAGCTGATATTGTGCCATTGCACTCCAGCCTGGGCTACGGAGTGAGACTCTGTCTCTAAAAAAAAATAAAAAGAAATCTGCTGAGTGCAGAAAGCTGACGCAGGAGGATTGCTTAAGTCCAGGAGTTCTGGGCTATAACGCACTATGCCAATCAAGTTTCTGCACTAAATTTGGCATCAATGTGGTGACCTCCCAGGAGCAGGGGACCAGACCACCTGGTTGCCTAAGGAGGATTGGACTAGCCCAAGTCAGAAATGTAGCAAGTCAAAACTTCAATGTTGCCAGGCACAGTGGCTCACGCCTGTAATCCCAGCACTTTGGAAGGCCAAGGCGGGTGGATCACAAGGTCAGGAGATTGAGACCATCCTGGCTAACATGGTGAAACCCTGTCTCTACTAAAAATACAAAAAATTAGCCAGGCGTGGTGGCGGGTGCCTGTAGTCCCAGCTACTCGGGAGGCTGAGGCAGGAGAATGGCATGAACCCGGGAGGCGGAGCTTGCAGTGAGCTGAGATTGTGCCACTGCACGCCAGCCTGGGCAACAGAGCGAGACTCCATCTAAAAAAAAAAACCTTCCATGTTGATCAGTACCAGGATCACACCTGTGAATAGCCACTGCACTTCAGCCAGAGCAACATAGGGAGATCCCATCTCTAAAAAAAGAAAAAAGAAAAAATTTTGCCCAGACTAATGTCCTGGAGAGTTTCCTCAATGTTTTCCTTTAGTTGTTTCATAGTTTGAGGTCTTAGATTTAAGTCCTTAATCCATTTTGATTTGATTTTTATATACGGCAAGAGATAGGGGCCTAGTTTCATTCTTTTGCATATGGATATCCAGTTTTCCCAGCACCATTTACTGAAGAGACTGTCCTTTCCCCAGTGTATGTACTTGGCACCTTTATCAAAAGTGAGTTCATTGTAGATGTATGGATTTATTTCTGGATTCTCTATTCTGTTCCCTTGGTCTGTGTGTCTGTTTTTGTGTCAGTACCATACTGTTTTTGTTACTATGGCTCTGTAATATAATTTGAAGTCAGGTAATGTGATTCCTTCAGTTTTGTTCTTTCTGCTTAGGATGGCTTTGGCTATTCTGGGCCTTTCATGGTTCCGTATAAATTTTAGGATTTTTTTTTATTTCTGTGAAGAATGTTATTGTTATTTTCATAGGGATTGCATTGAGTCTGTAGATTGCTTTTGGTGGTATGGACATTTTAACAATATTAATTCTTCCAATCCATGAACATGGTATATCTTTCTATTTTTTGTGTGTCTGCTTCAATTTCCTTTATCAACATTTTATAGTTTTCATTATAGAGATCTTTTACTTTTTTGATTAAGTTTATTCTTGGTTTTTATTTGATTTGTTGTTATTGTAAATAGAATTACCTTCCTTCAGATTGTTCACTATTGACATACAGGAATGCTACTGATTTTTTATGTTGATTTTTATATCCTGCAACTCTACTGAATTTGTTTATCAGTTCTAATAGTTTTTTGATAGAGTCTTTAAGTTTTTCCCAATGTAAGATCATATCTGCAAACAAAGATAATTTGACTTCTTTCTTTCCAATTTGTATGCCTTTTATTTATTTCTCTTACTGGGTTGCTCTAGCTAGGACACTGACTACTATTAAAATATTCAATAACAGTGATGAAAGTGGACATCTTTGTTGTGTTCCAGATCTTCGAGGAAAGACTTTCAGTTCTTCTGCATTTAGTCTGATACTGACATAGGTCTGTTGTATATGGCTTTTACTGTGTTGAGATATGTTCCTTCTATGTCCAGTTCTTTGAGGATTTTTTTTTATCATGAAGGGATGTTGGATTTTATCAAATGCTTTCTCAGCATCAATTGAAATGATCATATGATTTTTGTCCTTTATTCTGTTAATATGTTGTATCACCTTAATTAATTTGTATATGTTGAACCGTCCTTGCATCTCTGGGCTGAATTCCACTTGGTCATAATGAACGATCTTTTTAATGTGCTGATGAATTCTATTTGCTGGTATTTTGTTGCCTCCTGTATAGTTTTTTTGTTTGTTTTGTTTTGTTTTTGAGATGGAGTCTCACTCTGTTGTCCAGGCTGGAATGCAGTGGTGCGATCTCGGCTCACTGCAACCTCCGCCTCCTGGGTGCAAGCAATTCTCCTGCTTCAGCCTCCTGAGTAGCTGGGATTACAGATGCACACCACCATGCCTGCTAATTTTTGTATTTTTAGTAGAAATGGTGTTTCATTATGTTGGCCAGGCTGGTCTCGAACTCCTGACCTTGTGATCTGCCCACCTTGGCCTCCCAAAGTGCTGGGATTACAAGTGTGAGCCACCATGCCCATCCTATACTTTTAATTATCTCTAGATTACTTATACCCAATACAATGTAAATGCTATGTAAATAGTAGTTCTACTATATTGTTTAGGCAATAACAAGAAAAAAACTCTTGAGTTTTTTTCAAATATTTTTTATTTGCAGTTGCTTGAATCCACAGATGTGGAACCCATGGATATTGAGGGCCAGCTGTACTGTGATGTGTTCATATAATCTCTCAGATTCCCTGTGAATGCCTAATGATAGCCATGTGCCATGACCTAAGGAATATTCTCAAGTCAATCTTACACACCTGAAGTTATTCACATGATGTGGTTCAAGTCCTAGGTCAGCCTTTGCCCTTTGAGAATTCACATTATCTCTCCAAGCCCCCAAGGTCTTAACTAATCTGTAAAATAGTAATAACAATGCTTTTCTCACAAGGTACTTCTGAGGTATATTGTAGTTCTGTTCTCTTTGAGTCTCGAATCTTTGTTTTAAGCATTTTTGTGCAATAAAATGTAGATTGTACATGAAAAAAGTTTAACATCTGGAAAGAAACCTCACATGTCTAATAAACAAAAATGTAGTAAATATAAAAAGTAAATATAAAAAGTAAATAAGAGTTTTAGAAGGCTTCTGCTTCCAAACAAACCAGACTTGCTATTGTTAAATCATCCTCTGAAGTTTGATCTTTCTTCTGCCAATTACCTGAGCAAGTTAATTAAGTTTTCTCTCTCTCTCTCTTTTTTTTTTTTTCAAGATGCAACCTCCTTCTGTTACCCAGGCTGGAGTGCAGTGGCGCTATCTCAGCTCACTGCAACCTCCACCTCCCAGGTTCAAGCAATTCTCCTGCCTCAGCCTCCCCAGTAGCTGGGATTACGGGCGCCCGCCACCATAGCTTGGCTAATTTTTGTATTTTTAGTAGAGTCAGGGTTTCGCCATGTTGGCCAGGCTGGTCTCGAACTCCTGACCTCAAGTGATCTGCCCACCTCGGCCTCCCAAAGTGTTGGGATTGTAGGCATGAGCCACTGTGCCTGGCCAGTTTCTCTCATCTTCAATTTCTTTATCTGTAAAATGGTAATAAAAATGGTACCCATTTCATATGGGTCTTCTGAATTCAAATGAGATGATCTTAGCATAGCACTTAGTATGCAGGAAATATTCAATATATTTTAGGTATTATTTTTAATAATCAGCTTGCCCAGGAAACATTGGCAAAGTGTTATAATTTCCTAGAGTCAACTGTCTCATAAGTTTTATGTAATACAGGCTCTATCACTTTTTAAAAATTTTCAAATCAGTTTGAAATTTTCTGTTTTTCTTGCCTCCTCTCTTGCTTTTACAACCTGGAAAAGGTCTTGTGAAATGATAAAGCTTGTTTTTTTTGTTGTTGTTGTTGTTTTCAGATTGTCCCAGTGCTTCGCATGTTTTTGGCTCCATGTTCAATCCATTTGCTGAACACAGTGAAAGTATCCAGTATGTCTTTCCACCGTACCCTAGAGTTGGCATCTTGTTTACCAGAGGGGAGCGGTGAGTGTTTTCATATTTTTTGTTTGTTCAAGAGGAATTAATATATTTTGAAAATATATTTAAAAATGCAACATAATTAGAGCCTTTATTTATAACCACCACTGTCTGTTAGTGATTAATATGTTAATTTGGATATTTTAAAGACAGATTTTTAAAAGAATAGAATAAGACTCATTTAAATAATGCAGAAATGCTAAATAAACTAATTTTTTGAGCAACTGAGTTTATTTTATTGCCCTGCTCCTGACACAGACATCAATCTGTTTTAAACACATCAGTTCTAGAAGTATATTTAGAAGTACAGGGGGAAATGAGCACGTAAGAATCAGTCAGTATTCAGAGATTAATCCACTCCTTTTGTATAACCATTTTTGGTTTTTTTTTGTTTGTTTTTATGTTAGTAAAATGTACTTTTTCTAAGTTTTTCCTTCACTGTAAAATATATCTATCAGTTGGTTAAAGCAGGATGCAAATGTGGTGGGAATTCTGACTTAGCAGGGTTTGGCAAACTTTTTCTGTAAACAAAATAAACTTTTTAATGCAAGCCTATCACGGATATTAATCAGATTCACGGAGAAACTAAGAAGCCGCATAATTTCTTCATAGCCCTTTAATAGTCTTCTTTGAAGAAATAAGGGTGTTATGATATATAATAGACTAGAAGATCATAATTAAATAATTATACAGAAGTAAAGCAAGATTATATAAGTATACATAGAGACTCAGAATGCTTAAAATGTTTAAGTTCAAAGTTGTGTACTATTTTTGTCCTGGCAGAAAGACCTCCATTTTATCTTTCTTTTTCTTTTTCCTTCCTTCTTTGTTTGTTTTTTTTTTGTTTGTTTGTTTTTTGTTTGACAGAATCTCACTCTGTCACCCAGGCTGGAGTGCACTGGTGCAATCTTGGCTCATTGCAACCTCCACCTCCCAGGTTCAAGCTATTCTCCTGCCTCAGCCTCCCAAGTAACTGGGATTATAGTCACATGCCACCACACCCAGCTAATTTTTGTATTTTTAGTAGAGATGGGGTTTCACCGTGTTGGCCAGGCTGGTCTCCAACTTCTGACCTCAAGTGATCCTCCTGCTTTGGCCCGCCAAAGTGTTGGGATTATAGGCAAGCGAGAGCCACCGTGCCTGGCCAAGACCTCGGTTTTAAATACAGTATTTACAATATCCTTTTGAAGTTGTAAGAAGTCATGGTGCTGAATGGTTCATTGTTCAACAGTTCACTTATTTCTGAACACACTGAGAAGAAAACATCCTTCAGTTCTTTTATCTCCTTCTGTCTATATATTTTACGTCCCAATATTAGAGACACATAAACCAGTCCATTTTCCATTTCAAAAATGCTTTGACCTCCATCTAGCTTTCCCACTGGAGGGCAGTAGAGAACCATCCAGGCCATCCTTGATTTGAACTAACTGGCGAATATGACAAGTCAGACTTCAAAATACTTAACACTTAATCCCTACTGATGAAAAGTCATAACCAAAGTATCTTTTCAGGAAACCTATTTTCTCCCATAAAAGTTCTATAATTGATCATGAAAATACATTAAAAGAAATAAAGCAAAATGTGTTTGTAAAGTACTAAGTGGGCAAAATAAAAACAATATAAAAACCATGTCACAAATGTGCTTTGTGTGTGTGTGTGGTAGGATTTTTGTTAGGAGCTGAACTGGCTGAGGCTTCTTAACAATACTAGTCTAAAAACGTGCGCTGGATGTAAATTTTAATCCACAAACTGATGTGTCAAATTGGATGTCGCATTATTAAAAATAAAAATAATTTCAAGCTCTTGGCCAGCTAAAATGATAGAAAACGTAACTTCAGTTACTGTTAAGATTCTTCTGACACTCTAATATACCATAAAGTCACTCATGTATCCCAGGGGTTATATGCCTGGAAGCACCAACAATCCTCAGGCCATAGTGGTTAGGGCTGAGATGCCTTAGGGTGTCAGAAATATGGTCCTGTGGAAGTGGGCGAGCCACTGGTCTTTTCTGCCGTTGAGACTGGGATTTTTTGTTAGGACCGGGAATCCCAGTGCCTAGGGCTGCACTTCCTGAAGAGCTCCAGCCATCACGACCAGGTTCTGTCACCAACCTAGATGTTTTCAGCAGTGGTTACAGGTCTGCCCTCTTTGCAGAGCATCTCCTGCTTTCGCTCACTCCTCCTCTTGCCTCCAAAGAGAATTGGCTTCTCCTCGCCATGCCCCTCCCCACTTAGATTTATAGTTTAAAACTCTTCAGTGAGCTTGAGCTTTCACTAAGGGCAAGACTAGAGATGATCTTTAAGCAGTTTCTGCCTTATGCCCAGGAATATAAACCACTCTTGAGACCAGCAAGCACTGTGGGCTGGCAACCCTCAGCAGATGGTGGAAATGGAAGAAAAATTACACTAAAAACAAAATATACTCTAATGTCTGAACAAATCATCTTGCCACAGAAGCTGGAACTGAAGACAATTCTTTTCCTAGTAATCTCCCTATAGAAAGCACAGGCATTCTTTATGTCTCTAAGCACCTTCAAACTGCATTCAAAATTAGGGTTGTGAATCTGGAATCTTTCTTTGCTAATTGGTTGTACATGAATGCCTGCAGAAGCCTTTGAATGGTAAATATTGTGGGAGGGGCAGTTGCCATGGTGACTGTCCAATGGACCCTTTTTCTTACATTTCAATTAAATCTTCATTGCTGAACTGCTATGAATGAGAAGGTAACAACTCAGTAACATCTGGAAGACAGGAGAAGATGTGAGAGATGCTGTTCCAAATGTAGCTACATTCTAAATGCCCTGAGTTGTACTACGTTTGCCTTGAACCATCTCTTCATGGGTTCCCCTGCCCACTATGTCCTTTCCCACTATGGGAAAATCTGTTTGGAACACACATGACAGTGAGCCAATTTCCCTAATAATACAAGAAGTGTTTACAAGTTAATATGAAAAATACCAAAAGCACAATAGGAAAAAATGGGCAAAAGATATGTACAGGCATCTCATAGTAAAAGAAAATAAGTGGTTTTAAATTGCATAAAAATATATTTAACTTCATTTATAATCAAGAAAATACATATTTATATAGATATAATTTTTTACCTATTACATTGGAAAAGGTTTAAAAGTTTAATAAGGTACTGTGTTCAGAGGATGTGGAAAAACCATCTTTTTTTACACTTAGATTGGGAGGGTAAATTGGTATAACCCCTTCAGAGAGTGACTTAGCTCTTTTTCTAGAAATTTACCTACCGGTATATTAACAGTTGACTTAAAAACACAGGTAAAGGGATATTTATTAAAGCATTATTGAAGTAAATGACCATGACAGATTAAATGAATTGTTGATACATCCATAAAGATGCATCCAGACAGTTACTGATACTGCCACGCATAGGCAGTTACTAATGGCTTGAATATGACTTGTCCCCTATAAAACTCATGTTGCAATTTGATTCCCAATGTAATGATGTTGAAAAGTCGTGGGAACTTTATGAAGTGTTTGGGTCATGAGGGCTTTGCCTTCATGAAGACATTAATGCTGCTCTCATGGGACTGGGTTAGTTCTCGATGGGGAGTTCTTGCTCCAACGGGACTGGATTAGTTACCATGAGAGCAGATTGTTATAACACAAGGCCACCCCTCATGTTTTGTCTTTTTTGCACACTCTTGCTCTCTTGCCATGTGATGCCATTTGCCAAGTTATGATGCAGTACAAAGCTCTTGCCAGAAGCTGTCATCATGCCCTTGCACTTCTCAGTCTCCAGAACTGTGAGCCAAATAAACTTCCTTTCTTTATAAATTACCCAGTCCCAGGCATTCTGTTATAACAACAGAAAACAGGACAAGACAGCAGTTAAAGAATGGTATGGCATGAGTGTTTATTGTCTCAGTTTGACCTGAAGTAGAAACATAATTAATATAAAATCTCAAATAGGTTTAAGACGGATCCTATGTGCCAATTGACAAATGAAATATCCCTGAGAACTAGTTATAAGCATCTAGCAGGTTTAAGGATATTAACAGTGTCAGAACATGGGAAGAGGGGTTAAACTATTTCTTTGGAAAAAATCTGTACTATGAACTCTATCCCTTCTCCGCCAAGGGGATGTATGCTGTGATCTGAAATATAATGAGGTAGATCTTCAGTGAGAGCATCTGAGAGCTTGGTAAGTGACCAGATGGGTGGTCTGGGGTGTAACCCTCCAAAATCTAGAGGGCTAGAGATGGGCCAACTAGTTGTTTTGGTGGTAGAGCCACAAGAGTGCTAGTTGACAGACTGTACTCCCACAGTTTTTTATTTGGGAGGGGGTAGGGGTTTGATGAGGGTTTTCTGTAGACTAGATGGATGTGTGGGAGATGGGAGAAAAATCCAGGCTGAACTGAATTAAGTCCCACTCAAGAGGACCACCTGGGAGGTGAGAAAGAAGTCTTCAACTATGAAAAATGTGTGGGTGCATCACCATGACCCAGGGCTGAGAGGGATGCAGCTAGTCCAAGGAGCAGAATATGTCACCTCTTCAGGAGACTTGAAGCTGGGTCACAGAGCTGGGGCTCCCAGAAGTGCCCAAGAAAGCTCTAGAAGGTAAAATGCCAGCTTTAATCATCTGCTAGTTCCAGAGAAGCCACCAGCTAAGGAAGAACTCTCCTACCTCCTTACTTCTCAAATCCTTGCTTCAACCTTGGTAGTATCTGAAATAGCAGCTGTGAATGTGGGGTAAACAGCCTCCCCAGTCGGGTTTGTGAGATGTTTTAAGGGATAGGGGCAGTGATAGTTTTAAGGGGCTAAACTTTCAGAAGCCGAGTGTTTATTCCTAAAGTTCATTTGCTTGAGAAATTTGCCCACAGCTGAGTGCCAATGCTGGTCCTTCTTTTCTTACCTACACTTTCGAGCTGAGCTTCCAATTTACAAAAGAAAGTCATATGTTCTGAATCTCACTATCATGCACTGACCCCTGGGCAACAAGCAGGGATTTTTGAAAAACTGGTGTCAACCTTGAGTAAGTGAATGACCCCCAAAACCCAGTAACAATCCTTTTGCAAATCTCGTGGTTTAATAAAACTGAAGGAGGATCTATCCTGCCAGATGAGGCCCTTTATGGTTGCCACTGGCTTTGCAAGCATGACTTAAGTAAGGAATAGTCTTTATTGAGTAAAGGAAAATCCCCCATGCCAAGGTAAACAAGACAGGGATGTTCAATGTCCCTCATTCTACCCATCTTTCCATGTGAGTTGTTTCTAGGGCCAGGGCTTCTGCTGGACATTTTTTTTTTCTAGTAGAGTGACCCATTCCTGGAAGTGGCCTCCATGGGAGGAAGTGGCATCAGGCAGTCTTGATTTGGAGGGCCAGCTGTTTTCAGAAGTTGTCTAGGAAAGTTAGCTCTCCTACCCCTGGGGGCTTTAGGGACATCTAGAGCGACAGACTCTCTCTGACTTAACACTAATAAGGCTCTTCTAAGCCCTGAAGACCCAGACCATGGGCTCTGTCCTTGGCTTGCTTATTCTGCTTTCAGAAAGAATCCTGCTGAGTTAGTGTCACTAGAATCCCCCACCCTTGGTATCTGACCACCCTTGATATCTGATGAAATTCCTCAACCCCTCTCCCTCAGTATCTTCTTATCCTGGCTGCCTTCAGCTAGAAGCTGAGTCAGTTTAGAATCCCTCTTATTGCTGATGTTCCCTTTTAGTAATTTCCATCCACTGACCTCACCCTGCACCTTGGCCATAATTTCCCACTTGTCCTTGTATTCAGAAGGGAGCCCATTCTAAACTGAGGTCTCTCTTTCCCTATTGCAATAGCTCCTGAATAAAATTTGTCTTCACTGCTTTAACTTCTGTCTGGCCCTGGTTTTCCTTGACAGAGGTCTGCAGGATGTTAAAGGCCCTTTACCCGGGAGAAAATCACTGGTATCATGGGAAGTTGGACTTAAAGGTTTTCATCATGATGGGAAAAGGGAGAACTCCCACGACCCGGCGAGGTTGTAGTTCAGATAATTCGTGGTGAGCAAATGAGTTGTTTAGAAGACATTTCTAAATTATATCCCAGGTAGAGAACAGTGAACACATCTTAAGTATAGAGCTTAATGAATTTTCAGAAAGTGAACCTTCACACATAAAAAAGAACACAGGATTATTTTAAAGATAAATATCTGCCTTGTATATGACTTGTCAGCTGAGAAATCATTGCAGACAATCTAATGACAGATCAGTATGTGATATTTAAGGTTGAAAGGATTTTCTTCTATGTTTTTTTAAAGTTTTATTTTATTTTTAATTGACACATAATGTAATAAAAATATGGAACACTTCATGAATTTGCGTGTTATTCTTGTGCAGGGGTCATGTTAATCTTCTCTGTATCATTCTAATTTTAGTATATGTGCTGCTGAAGCAAGTACTCTTTTAAGTATTTTTGTCAACAAAAATACTGCTTTAGTTATAAAAATACTTAGTGCATTAGGTATAAAAGAAAGAAATAATAGCAATAGAACTGTCAGAAGCGTTTGAACCAGAGAAACTTCATCTTGAATTGGGGAGGAGTAAAATAAGGCTGAGACCTACTAGGCTGCACTCCCAGGAGGTTAAGCATTCTTAGTCACAGGATGAGTTAGGAGGTTGGCACAACATACAGGTCATGAAGACCTTGCTGATAAAACAGGCTGTGGTAAAGAAGCCAGCCAAAACCCACCAAAACTAAGGAGGCGATGAAAGTGACCTCTGGTTGTCCTCACTGCTCCTTACACACTAATTATAATGCATTAACATGCTAGAAGACACTCCCACCAGCGCCATGACAGTTTACAAATGCCATGGCAATGCCAGGAAGTTACCCTATATGGTCTAAAACAGGGAGGAACCCTTAGTTCCAGGAATTTCCCATCCCTTTCCAGGAAAATTCATGAATAATCCACCGCTTGTTTAGCATATAATCAAGAAGTAACAATAACTATAACCAGCTGCGCGTCCTGTGCTGTTCCTCTGTCTAGGGAGTAGCCATTCTTTTATTCCTTTACTTTCTTAATAAACTTGCTTTCACTTCCCTCTATGGGCTTGCTCCAAACCCTTTCTTGTGTGAGATAGAAGAACCCTCTCTGAGGGCAATTTGGCATGCTGAGTACTTTGAACTAAAGGAGACTGGAAGGTCTCAGAAGCAGCCTCAGAACCAAGGTCTCTCTGACCTCCTGCTCTCCTGTCTCCCACCCCTCCTCTCTTGAAGTAAGTCAGGAACAAGAATTGCTCTTCCCCAGGGGTTAAGGGGGGCTCTTAGAAGCTAGAACTCCCTTTATCCAAAGCAAGCTGTTACTCCAAACTTCCTCCAACCTTTCTGTCTAAGAGCTCGTGCAGAGGCCAGGGGGTTTCACTTGGCGCTTTGAGGGTTTGCTGAAAAACCAACTTGGAAAAGGCAGATTAACTGGAGAAAAGGCATACAAATTTATGTAATGTGTATATACAGGAGCCTTCAGAAGGAAGACCCAAAGATACAGGGGAAATTGTCCATTTTCATGCTTAGGTTCAAAAAAGTATGGACAGCCCTGTAGAAATGTGATTGGACAGAAAGGGTATGATCTAATGCTAATAGACTGGGGATATCCAGCAAGGCCTGTCTGTCTAAACTCTTCTGGCCCTCTCTGAGCATGCATTCCTTCCTTCTGGGTATGGGGCAGGACCCTTTCTGAAATGGGAGTCTTATGACTTACAGTCAAACAAGGAAGATCAGATAACTTTTTTTATGGCCAGTTTTACACAGAAAGGTAGAGGAAAAGTTAGAGTATTATGTTCTGGTTTTATGACTGGCTTTGGGGTAAAGGGGTTCTGGTTTCTGTGACCTGCCTTGGGGAACAGGGATTCTAGTTTGTATGGCTAGTCTCAGGGGAGAAACTTTTTCTCTTAAGGCTGCTTCTGAGGCCTTCATTTTGGGATATTGTTTTCTGAGCCCCAACACTGGCCATAAAGATGTTCTCTGATCTGCCCTTGCCTGATAGTAGGTCATAAGACCTAACCTCATTCCAAAGGGTCCTGCCCCATACCCAGGAGGAATAAATGCTACAACAGAGAGGCCAAGAAGATTCTGAACAGACAGGCCTTCTTGGGCTTCCCCAGTCTATCTGCTACTATTAGGTCATACCCTTTTGTCTAATCACATTTCTACATGGCTATCCATTCTTCATCGAACCTAAACATAAAAACAAACGATTTTCCCTGAGTCCCTGGGTCTTCATTTCTGAAGCATGTAAAACTTTGACTAAATGAATCTGTTATGTTCTTCTCTTGTTAACCTGTCTTTTGTTATAGGAGTATCTGCAGTGACACTTGTGATGGGGAGGACAGGTATCACACCTTTTGGTCCCTACAGTTTATATACATAGTCACTACTCCTCCATGGAGACAGAAAAAACTGGTGATTGGGAAGGGGGACTGAAAGGACTGAAAGTTGGGGATCTTGGCCAGGCACAGTGGCTAATGCCTGTAATCCTAGCACTTTGGGAGGCCAAGGCGGGCAGATCACCTGAGGTCAGGAGTTTGAGACCAGCCTGGCCAACATGGTAAAACCCTGCCTCTACTAAAAATACAAAAATTAGCCAGGCGTGGTGGCAGGTGCCTGTAGTCCCAGCTACTTGAGAGGCTGAGGCAGGAGAATCGCTTGAACCCGGGAGGCAGAGGTTGCAGTGAGCCGAGATCATGCCACTGCACTCCAGCCTGGGTGACAGAGCAAGACTCTGTCTCAAAAAAAAAAAAAGAAAGTTGGGGATCTGAGGTGAAAGGCAAGTCTATTTTTCATCATCTACCTTTATATTCTGCTTGATTTTTTCTTTGCTTTTGCCATAAGCATATATTATTTTTAAAGAGAAAAGGGTATTTTTTATAAACCTACTTTGACAAATAATAAAGCAATAAAAGATATAAAGGAAGCATTGCAGAAAATACAAATAGAAATGAATAGAAATATAAAAGTCATGGAAGGAGAACCCTCAAAAAAACCCTTTCAGGTTTTGACAATTGAGCAGACAAAAAATAAGTAAGGGTATGAATAGCAGTTCTCAATATAGGCTGTATATGAAGAACAATTTAGAAGTTTCTTTTTAAATGCTTTTTTATTATGGAAACTTCAAACATATGCAAAAGTAATAGACTAACCAAATGAGCCCACATGGTCCACCACCTAGCATCAACCATTATCAATTCATGACCAGCTGTGTCCCCATCCAGTTTCCCCCTTTCCAGATTATATTGAAGCAAATCGCAGAAATCATATTGCTTGATCTATAAACATTTCTTCCAGTCAGTATCTCTAAAATGTAAGGACTCCTTTTAAAAAGCATAACCACAATACCCTTATCACTTTTTAAAAATTAAAAATTTGTAAGCATAATATCATTATCACACTTAAAAAATAACAGTAATTCCTTAACTTCATCGAAAATTTAGTGTTAAAGTTTCCAATTGTTGCACAAATGCCATTATTTAATAGCTGTGTTTATTTTATTTTATTTATTTATTTTTTTTTTGAGACAGGGTCTTGCTCTGTCACCCAGGCTGGAGTGCAATGGCATGATCAGGGCTCACTGCAACCTCTGCATCCTGAGCTCAAAATCTTCTTGCCTCAGCCTCCCAAGTAGCTGGGACTACAGGCATGCACCACCGTGCCTGGCTTATTGTATTTTTCTTGTAGGGACAAGGTTTTGCCATGTTGCCCAGGCTGGTCTCAAACTCCTGGACTCAAGCAATCCACCAGCCTCAGTTTCCCAAAGTGCTGGGATTACAGGTGTGAGCCACTGCCCCTGGCAAGAAAAACTGTGTTTAACTCAGGATCTGAGTAAGGTCTACACATTTTGATTGGTTGATGTGTCTCACAAGTCTCTTATTGTAATCTATACTTTACCTAGGAAGTGTCAACTGAAGAAAGATAAGGTTCATAAATGTGGGAAGGAAAGCTTTATGTCTCATAAAGGGTTGCAGCCTGCAGGATGGCCATTCTGACAGGCTGGGAAGCACAGCCTCCAGTAAGAAGCCAGAAACAGACACTTCAAGGGAGGGGCAAAGGGAGCAGAAATTTATGTGTAGCACAGTGGCCAAATATACATATTTATTAAGCTATAGGAAAAGTCATGAATATTTATGAAAGGAGAAACATGCACATGCACAATTGAGCTTCACGCCTCTCCATGAGTCCCAGGGACAAAACATAGCAATGTCAGCATGATCTGAGGGTGGAGTTTTTGGCCCTCTGATATCAAAAGGTGAAGCAGAGGACACACAAACCATTACTGTGCCTTCTCCTTAGACAGGCCAGAACTACTCCAGTGGTGATCTCTTATCAGGGAAAAAAGGAGGGGCAGCCTTAGGCACTTGGTTGATTGATATCTGTGGTGGAGTCTTTTGAAAGGGCTGGTTTCTGCTAAGCCCTGAGGGAAGAAAGCCTAATCATGGTTAGTCAGGGAGGGGGTATAACAAGGTGTGTCTGAACCCCCGATCCCATCATGGCCAATAACTCAGTTTTCAAGATTATGCTGGGGACTCCTTGGCCAAGCAGTCAGTTGAGGGGCTTAGAATTTTATTTTTAGTTTACAGAAGCTTCTAGAAAATGTTGTTCAGGCTCCATCCAGACAACATTGAATTTTACCTGAGTCGTATCATTGTGGAAAAAAGAAACAGTTAAGAATCCTTCCCTTGCCCACCCATTTTGTGTTCTGGAAAAGGCCCATTGCAAAGAACCATCCTTTCCCACATGACTTAGGTGGGACTCAGAACAAATGCCTGTTAACCAAACTTCGGTTAAGATTCTCTCCTTCACTCAGGTCCCCACAACATCTTCTTAGCAGCCCCTCAAGAATAGGCTGGCCTCAGAGCAAACCATTCTCTGATCTGTTATTCCATCAGGCCACCTTTTCATCCCAGTTCCCCACACCAGGGTCTTTCTTGTCTTGTTTACTCCTCTCTATAAAAGAAATCCCTTTTTGGCCTTGAGAGCTGTCAAAATCATTAATAGGGAGGCCATTAGGCTAATACAGCTCCAGCACCTTGAGTTCCTAAGCAAACTAAAACCCAACTCAATGTAAACAATAAAGCAAAACTTAAGCTTAACCAATCAGAAACTGCCAACTAACCTCTACCTAGAGACTTCACCAATCAGAAATGGCCAACTAACCTCTAACTAGGGATTTTCCATTTTAACCAAGCAAATATTTAATTTGCCTTACTTCTATGAACACCTTCAAAAAGTTTCCCTTACCTTCTTGGTGGAGCGCTAAACCACCTGTGGTCTGGTACTGCCCCATCCACAAATAGCTGAATGCTCAAATAAACTTATTAAAATTTTAATGTGCATAAGCTTATTTTTTTTTTTAACAGATCTTATGGTCAGAAGGTTCTCTCTGTTGTAATAGCTCTTCTCTCACTATTGCAATAGTTCCTCCCCACTCCCCTTTGCAATATTTTTTTTTGAATAAAGTCTTTCCTTACTAAATCTGGATTTGTTTTTTATTTCACCATTCCCAGAAATTTTGATGCATTCTCCAGTTGATTATAATATGAAATGAGAATTGAGAGCCACTGCTTAGAGGATGTGAACAGTGCATTTGCTAGGACAATCTAATACATATACATATCTGTGTTAGTGTGTGTTCCTACAGAAAGCAGATTTAGGAGGTAATCTCAGGAAGCCCAAGAGAAAGAGCAGGAACTGTGAGACAGGAAGAGGAAAAAGCCCATCCAGGGTGCATAAAAAATGAGTGGGTTTCTTCTGTGGGTGACCGAAGCTCAGTCTTTTTGGGGATTCTAGGAAGAATATATACAACACACCTTCGATTTTCTCTCTCAAGGGACAGGAAAGCTGGGGTTTGTATCCCTTTTTTCCTGTTCCTCACTGATTGAGAATTATCTCTGAGAGTTTCAAATCTCAAACACTGCTGGACTGCCCTGGAGCACCTTCAGGTAGACAAGCAGAGAAATGTACAGGTTCTTGAGGGAAACTGTCCTGTCGGCACATTGCCCAATGCAGCTTCAGGCAAACTCTGAGGCGGGACAAAGGAATATGGAGTTGGAGATCAGTAACATCCGTTGCAACATTGACCACACCTATTGAGAACATCCTTTTTTATTCTTTCAAGTATCAGTGAGTATCAAAATTTGACCACAAAGAAATCTATAAATTTTCCCAAATAGAAACTTTAATTGAGATTTGTTGAATGCTTACTATGCGCTAAGGCTTCCCAGATACTTATTATCTTTATTTAACTCTTGGGGCAACCATTTGAGATAGGTATTATTATCATCTCCATTGTACAAATGAAGAAATTGAGCCTTAGGTTAAATACTTTGCGCAAAATCATATAGTCAGAAAAAGACAGAGCAGGGATGTAAACCTCAGCCTTCTGACTCAAGCATTCAAACTATTAACCACTATGGGGTCTGCTTCACCACAGCCTTTACTCATAATGTGGAAAAACAAGAAGTTTATAATAACAATGATACAAAATGATCAAACAGTAAATACCCCAACCATTTGGAGATTTAAAAAATTTATCTGATGAGACAATGAAAGCGATGATAAGAAAAACCCTATAAAGTAAAATGTATGGGTTATGGATAAAGTTGTGATAAAAGGGAATATCATTATAAATAAGAAAGTGACATATGAATTAAACATTCTACTCAAAAGTTATGAAAAGAACAAATTAAGCTTTGGAAAATGGAAGTGAGGGATTCATAAAAATAACAGCAGAGTGGACTTTGACTTCAGGTAAAGATGGCATAACAGAAACTGGATTGATCCTCCTGCTGAAACAATGAAAAAATAGACCAAACATGTGAAACTGCAACTGCTCAATGGACTCTTCCTGCCCAGTGCACAAACAAAATCAATTCATGGAGACCATGGCATTGCAGTAAAGAAAGAGTTTAATTGATGTGAGGCCGGCCACGTCACACAGGAGACAGAGTTATTACTCAAGTCAATCTCCCTGAAGGCTCAGAGGTTAGGGGTTTTTCAAAGGTAGTTTGGGGAAAGGGGTAGTAGTGCTTGCTGGTAATTGGTTGGAGGTGCAATCAAAAGGGTGTGGGAAATGATTCTCCTGAGCACTGAGTCACTTCTGGGTGGGGTCACAGGAGTGGTTGGTGGGTCCAGGTACAGCCATCCATTATCGGACATGCAAAAAAACTGAAAAGATATCTCAAAAGGCCAATCTTAGGTTCTATAATATTAATGTTATCTGCAGGAATAATTGGGGAAGTTGCATATCTTGTGACCTCCAGAATAATGGCTGGCAATTGTTTATGTCTACACCTTAGCAGAATTCAGGCTTCTCTATCCTCCTAGCCTGGTGGTCTCTCATTAGCTTTACAAAGATGGTTGAATTTTGGGGAAGGGTTATTATCATGTAAATTATGAACTATATTTCTCCCAAAGTTAGCTTGCTTAAGCCTAGGAGGGCAGCTTGAAGGCTAAAGGCAAAAGAAAGAGCATTTGGCTAGATCAGATCTCCCCCACTGCCATAACTTTATCACTGTTATATAATTTTTGCAAATGCAGTTTCAAAACAATGATTTATTTATTTATTTATTTATTTTTGAGACAGTGTCTTGCTCTGTCACCCAGGCTGGAGTGCAGTGGCGCCATCTCGGCTCACTGCAAGCTCTGCCTCCCGGGTTCACGCCGTTCTCCTGCCTCAGCCTCCCAAGTAGCTGGGACTACAGGTGCCCGCCACCACACCTGGCTAATTTTTTGTATTTTTAATAGAGACAGGATTTCACCATGTTAGCCAGGCTGGTCTTGATCTCCTGACCTCATGATCCACCCACCTCAGCCTCCAAAAGTGCTGGGATTACAGGCTTGAGCCACCGCGCCTGGCCCAAAACAATGATTTTTTAAAGACACTCAACATCAAACAACAAAAGACAGTTTCCTTAACAGGAAACAAAGGAGGTGAACCCTATCTTGAGAGAGCTTCCAGGTCTTAGAACAGGAAGGGGAACCCAGCAGAGTACAGTAGCTTCCTTGAGTTGAGGAGAAGTAGCTGAGAGTCTGAAGGAGAATAAAAACACCCGGAGTTTTCAGGACAGACAACCAACAAGGAAAGAACTGCACACAGAAAGAAACCCAGAGATCTGTAGAGAGTTCTTTTCTAGTATTTGGCAGAGTACTGATCAGTGCATGTGTGTGAAGAATCAACCTGAGGTCAGGAAAAGAAGTTTCTAAAAAGATTAGAAGTAACAGTGCCCAGGGTTCACAAAAAGCCAGGAATAGTGGCCCAATTTCACCAGCCAGGGCACTGGGTAGTCCCTGTGGAAGAGTCTTGCCTTAATAATGGGAAATAATTAGCCCCCAAATGAATGCTGTTGCAGTTTTACCTAACAAATCTTAAAAGTAAGACCACAAAGAAACAAAACTCTTTCCAAATAAATTAATGGTGTTCCAGAACAAAGTTTAAGAATATTTATAGGAATACAAAATACCCACACCTAACAAGTAAATTTCACTATATCTGCCACCCAACAAAAATTGCCAGGCATGCAAAGGAGTAGGAAAATATGACCCATAATAAGGAGATAAATTGTTCAATCAAAACCACGCAGAAGTGCCATAGGTATTATAATTAGTAGGACATTAAAACAGTTGTAACTATATGCATATGTTCACAAAGTTGAGTAGAGATATAAAAGATGTAAAAAAAAAGACATAGAACTTCTACATGAAAACTGTAATAAAAGTGAACTGCAGGACAACTTCAAACAATACAGTTGGAGCTTCCAAAAGAGAGGAAAGAGAGAGAGAGACAGAAAAAATACTTGAAAAAATAATGGTTGAAATTTTCCCAAATTTGATGGAAACTATATAGATCCAAGAACCTCAGAAAATACTCAAGTACAGAAACATAAAGAAAACAACTCTAAGGCACATCATAAAACTGGTGATAAAGAGAAGCTCTTAAAAGCAGCCAGAGAGAATAAAAGGCATTACAGAAAAGCAAGGATGAGGATGACTTTAGATTTCTTGTTCGAAACAATGTAAGTGAGAAAATAGTTGCCTTGGTCAGCTTGGGCTGCTGTAACAAATTACCATAGACTAGGTGGCATAAACAACAAACATTCATTTTTCAGGGTTCTGGAGACTGAAAAGTCCAAGAGCAAGATGCAGGCAGACTTGATGTCTGATGAGAGCTCACTTTCTGGTTTGCAGAAGGCCATCATTTTTATTGTGTTCTCACATGGCAGAGAGCAGAGAGAGAAGAAGCAAGCTCTCTTGTGTATTTTTATAAGATCTCTAATTTCATTCCTGAGGGCTCCACTCTCATGATATAATTACCTCCCAAAAGCTCCACTTCCCAATATCAACAACACGGGGTGTTAGGATTTCAACATATGAATTTGAGGGGAACACAGTCAGTTCAAGCACTAGTGAAGCAACATTTTTAAAGTGCTAAAATAAAAATACTATCAACTTATAATTTTATAACCAATAAAAATATCTTTTAAAAATGAAGGCTGGCTGGGCACAGTGGCTCACACCTGTAATCCCAGCACTGTGAAAGGCTGAAATGGGTGGATCGCCTGAGGTCAGGAGTTTGAGACCAGCCTGGCCAACATGGTGAAACCCTGTCTCTACCAAAAATACAAAAATTAGCCTGGCATGTTGGTGTGTGCCTGTAATCCCAGCTACTTGGGAGGCTGAGGCGGAAGAATTGTTTGAACCCAGGAGGTGGAGGTTGCAGTGAGCCAAGATCTCACCACTGCACTCCAGCCTGGCGACAAGAGTAAGACTCCATCTCAAAAAATAAATAAATAAAGTTAAGTAAATAAATAAATAAAAATGAAGGCAAAATAAATATGTTCCAAACTTAACAAAGGCTGAAAGCATTTATCACTACTACATGATGCACTATAAGAACTATTAAAGGATGTCTTTCAGGCCATAGGAAAATGATGCCAGGTGGAAACATGGATCTACACAAAGGAATAAACATCAGAAATTGAATTGTTTTCAGTGCCTTAGTTTGTATGCACATGCTTGAGCTGACAGGGTGTTTCAGGCAATACCTCATACTTGCAACTTTCTCTGGGGGATCACCCCTGAACAACTAAAGCCATCTTACCCCAGATACCTGAGAATTTTACTGCCTTCCCTACCCTGGCAGCCCATGGCCAATGACCATCTGCAATGGGGGTACTAAAGCCCCTTTCCTTGCCTCAAAGTGGGACAGATTCTGTGGCACAATTTATACTTCAAAGTTCCCTGTGGGATCAGGTGAAGCTAGACTTCACTTTAACCCACATTCTTACATAGCTCCTTTTCCTTCCCTACCCTGCTTCTCTCATTCCCTTATCAGTTTCTCCTGATAGCGCCTTAAAAATATATCACATCTAGTGGCTCATGCTTGTAATCCAAGCATTTTGGGAGGCTGAGTTTGGCGGATCACTTGAGGTCAGAAGTTCGAGACCAGCCTGGCCAAAATGGTGAAACCATGTCTCTACTAAAAATACAAAAATTAGCCGGGCATGGTGGTGAGTGTCTGTAATCCCAGCTACTTGGGAGGCTGAGGCAGGAGAATTGCTTGAGCCCGGGAGGCGGAGTTTGCAGTGACCCGAGACCACGCCACTGCACTCCAGCCTGGGAGTCAGAGCAAGACTCTGTCTCAAAAAATATATATGTCACATCTTTCCTGTGATGACCAAAACAATCCAGTGCTCAGTAACCCTTTTCAGTGTAGTCACTGTCTCTATGAGAAATAAATAAACATCTATTTGTTTAAGCCACTGGAAAAAATTTTGCATATATATGAACCTCTGTTTCAGGCTCTGCTTCTGGGAAACCTGAATTAGGAGAGGCACAGAGTATACAAATGTTTGTATCCAATGTAAATACTGAGCAGATGGCATTAACATCAGTGGAGCTTCACAATAATCAAGCTTCAAGATGATCATCCTATGGCCATAAGTCAGTCTCTTTTTTCAGTCGTTCTGTGCTTACTCAGTGGGTTTGTGTATAGAAACCCAAAGTGGTTGTCTTAGTCCATTTGTGCTCCTATAACAGAATACCTGAGACTGGGTAATTTATAATGAGTGGAAGTTTATTGGCTCACTGTTCTGGAGGCTGAAAAGTCCAAGATCAAGAGGCTGGCATCTGTCAAGGGCTTTCTTACTATGCTATCACATGGAAGAAAGTAGAAGGGCAAGAAGAGAGCTAGAAGAGGCTAAATTTGCCCTTTTATAACAGCACCAATCACACCCATGAGGGTGGAGGCCTAGTGCCCTGATCTTAATGGCTCTCTCTTCTTAAAGGCTCCACCTCTTAATATTGCTACAATGGCAATTAAATTTTAACATGAGTTGTGGAGAGTAACAAATATTCAAACCATAGCAGTGGCCATGACATCAGAAACATAGGCCATGCCTCAGCTCAACAGCATGGACTTTCCCACACCAAGACTGATTTGGCTGCTGCTGCTGTTGAGTGCACAATATGCCAACAACAAAGGCTGATGATGAGCCCCTCATACTATATCATTTCCTTGGGAGACCAGCCAGCCACCTGATGGTAGATCAATTACACAGAAGCCCTTCCATCATTAAGTGGGCAGCATTTTTATCTCATTGAATTTTTTTTCTGAATATGAATAATTGCTTCTATTCAACTTGCTTTAACTAGCAGCACTATCCATGGATTTATAGGATTCCTATTCACCCCCAAGGTATCCCACACAACATCACTTCCAATCACAGAACTCATTTTACCATAAATAAGTACAGCAAGGGATTCAACTGGTCTTACTATGTGTCCCACCATCCAGAAGCAGCTGGCTTGATAAAAATGGTAGAATGATCTGCTAAAGACTCAATTATGGCAGACATAATTGAGAGACAATACTTTACCAAGTTGGGATATTGTCTTATAGGATGTGTTTTGAGCCAATAATTTATATATGTTTCATTTTCTCTCCTGGCAAGAGCACACTGTTTGGAAACCAAGTGATGGAAATGGGAGGGGCTCCTTTTTACAATTAATAACCTGTTTGCAAGAGTTTGTTGACTTTGTCTGTAACCTTGACTTCTGGTCTAGAAGTCCTAATTCCCAAGAGCAGAATGCTTACATCAGGAGACACAATAGTTCCATTGAATTGGAGGCATTTCTACTCAATGAGGACTGAGAAGACCATGTCTGGAATCACGAATTCCCTGGGGCACCTCTTAATACTTGCATGTTCAGTAGAAAAGGTCAGTGTGGAAGAGGTGGGTAAGAGTGACCACAAAAATTCAGGACGAGTAAGGACTAAAACCCAAAAAGAATGAAGGTGTGGGTCACCTCACTGTGTAAACAATTCCAACCAGCCAAGGTTCTGCTCGAAGGCAAAGGTATTATGGAATGGGTAATGGAAAAAGGATGTGATAAGTATCAACTATGGTTTCATGATCAGATACGAAGCTGAGGACTGAGGCTGCAGTGTTATGTGTATTTAAACCAATAATTCCAAGCCTCTGCCCTTCATCTTTTCCCTGTGGTTTTGCACAAAGACTTTCAATGGTGCTTAACTTTAATTCAATGGCAACCAGGTATGAGAAGATACAGCCAGACCTGCTGTTGCTGCATATCCCTTGGAGATCTTAGATTTGATGTGGACAACATGACAGATGAGATTTTGTGTTTCCCCTTGTTGGGGAGAGAGCAAGAACATCCTTATTTGTTGGACAGATCTTCCGCCTAACATTTTATGTTAGGTAGAAGCATAAGGTTGTTTTATGAGAGTTAAGTATGGGCAGAAAGATTAGAATGGATGCTGAATAGCAAAAAGGGTGGGCTATGCTGATCCTGTGCTTGTTTGTGCCTCTCCCTTTCTTCCTGTGACTTCCTGGGGCTTCCCCGCTGTGGGCTGCATTTTCCAAGATCTTACGTCAGCTGACTTCTGGCTGGGTTCAGCCAATGGGAGGCACTACTGGGAGACTGGAAAAAAAAAAAAAAGGCAGAAGCCAGAGAATTTCTTCCTCTTTTTCTGTGTCCTAGCATCATCTCCAGCAGGGACTGGATCTCCTGCATAGCTCCAACTATGGCATATACAAATTTTATGTATGTGAAAGTTTGTGTGAACTAAGCATGTAAAATGTGTTTTTGGATCACTTAGTTTGTTATACCTGCCAAGAAAAAGGATTGGAAGACACTGTTAATGATGTAATTTGCTAAAGATCATTATCTCTAAGTGGTAGCATTATTGATGACTTTTTTTCATTTGGTTGTTTTTTAAAATAAAAAAGTATGCCACCCTCTCATCTCTGTTAATGCTCTTTGATGAACAGTGCAAACTGTCACCTGGTATTTATTTTCAGGAACCTCTAATAGCAGCTCATCAAGCATTTATCTTGCATTTATAAACTCTAGCTGGAGGTACATTTTTAGCCATCCTCAGTTAAAAAAAATAATTGCAGTAGAAACTGTAGAAATGAACATAAGAAAAAGTCAAAGATGAGCATAATCATTTATTACGTAAGCATTGCTACCTTTTTTCTGCCCACATAGAGATCAGGAAGAGAAAACATCTTAAGTAGAATTTATGAAGCAAGGAAGTTATTGGAAAGGAGCTCAAAGAAAAACTGCTATGGAGTTTTCATGTAAAGAAAATGATCCAGGCCGAGCACAGTGGCTCACGCCTGTAATCCCAGCACTTTGGGAGGCCAAGGCAGGTGAATCACTTGAAGTCAGGAGTTTGAGACCAGCCTGGCCAACATGGTGAAACCCTGTCTCTAATACAAAAATTAGCTGGGTACGGTGGCACATGCCTGTAGTCCCAGCTGCTTGGGAGGCTGAGGCAGGAGAATTGCTTGAACCTGGGAGGTGGAGCCTTCAGTGAGCCAAGATAGCATCACTGCACTCCAGCCTGGGCAACAGAACAAGATTCTGTCAAAAAAAAAAAAAAGAAAGAGAGAAAGAGAGAGAGAAAGAAAGAAAGAGAGAAAGAGAGAGAGAAAGAAAGAAAGAAAGAAAGAGCAAGGAAGGAAGGAAGTAAGGAAGGAGCTGATCCAGTACACCAAGTTTATTCAATCAACAGAATTTCTTTCCTTTTCTTTTTTTCTTTTTGAGATGGAGTTTCACTCTTGTTGCCCAGGCTGGAGTGCAATGGCGTAATCTCGACTCACTGCAACCTCTGCCTCCCAGGTTCAAGCGATTCTCCTGCCTCAGCCTCCCAAGTAGCTGGGATTACAGGCATGAGCCACCATGCCTGGCTAATTTTGTATTTTTAGTAGAGAAGGGGTTTCTCCATGTTGGTCAGTCTGGTCTCGAACTTCCGACCTCAGGTGATCTGCCCGCCTTGGCCTCCCAAAGTGCTGAGATTACAGGCATGAGCCACTGCTCCTGGCCCCAGAATTTCATATTATTTAATTTGTAAATCTCAAAGCCCAAATCAAATATTATTTTTCTTTTCTAAAATGTTTTTATTTATATTTTAAAGATAAGAGAGTTTCCTTGTCCAGATCAGTCTGACCTGTTTTTTGTAATTCAGAATATTATTGGTAGAACATACAATAATTTTTTGACTTAATTGTAATCTGAGTGACTATCAAGTGCACTCCTCTTATTTAACGGGAAATTGAGAGCAAGTGACTTGGTTAGGATGAGACAGAGCAGGGACCATTTTTAGGAACCCGCCGCCCCCAACCTTGGAAATATAGGAAAATCTTGAGCTCCTTCAAGGAGACTTCCAGGCATCTAGCTAGCCTTGAGAAATAAATGAGCAACCTGATAAGCAAAAAGTTAGCTTAAAACAGTAGACTAGGAAGTTAGAACCACAAGATATTTGGTTCCCTATAGAAACTAAAGATAATATCTTATCATATGTCCTTTTTCAGAGTTGTTTTTTCAGAAACCTGGACCTCCACCAAATGGAAAATGCCATCTGCTGGCACGTAGACCTCAGATAAAAGGGAACTGAGGACCAAACTCTGACCACTGTTCTTTGTTCTAAATTTCTTCCTGAGGGCCCTGGAGAAGGACACGCCTGCAGGCCAGAACTTAACATTCCTTTCTGCTGACCCCAAGTTTTTAGGCAAAGCCTTACTTCCTGAACCAATTGCAAATCAGAGAATCTTTGAATCCACCTATGGCCTTTAAGCCCTCACTTAAATATATCCCACCTTTTTAGGCCAAACCAGTGTATAACCTTCATGTATCAATTTATAATTTTGCCTGTAACTTCTACTTTCCTGAAATTTACCCCTGCCTTTAAAAACCCTTTCTGTAAACCATCAGGGAGGTCGGGTCTTAAGCATAGCTGCCTGAGTCTCCTTGCTTGGCACCCTGCAAATAAATGCCCTCCTTTCTCTTGCTGCAAAACCTCAGTGTTAATGTTTGGCTATGCTGTGCCAGACAAGCAGACCCTAGGTTTGGTTCGGCAACAAGGGGAGTAAGTGGCAGAGCTGGAACCACAGTCCGCTCTCTTGATTCTGAATTCACTGTTTCTTATAAATATTAATGGTTCTTCAATGAACAGCAGTTTTTCTTCAAACCACACACACCCCTCCTCAGCAATCCCACCCTTGTTATTCTCTTATGTTCCACCCCCCAGTTCGGAAACATGTATTACAATCTTCCATTTCTCAAATCAAAATTTAAAATCCCAAATTTACTGCAGTGGTCTCTGAATCAGAAAATTTAGCTGCTATCTCATGAATTTATCTATTGTAAAGTCAAGAAAAAAGAAATATTAGGCTGGGCAGGGTGGCTCACGGGCTGGGAGTGGTGGCTCACGCCTGTAATCCCATCACTTTGGGAGGCCGAGGCGGGTGGATCATGAGGTCAGGAGATCAAGACCATCCTGGCTAACACAGTGAAACCCCATCTCTACTAAAAATACAAAAAATTAGCCGGGCATGGTGGCGGGCGCCTGTAGTCCCAGCTACTTGGGAGGCTGAGGCAGGAGAATGGCGTGAACCCATGAGGCGGAGCTTGCAGTGAGCAGAGATGCGCCACTGCACTCCAGCTTGGGGAACAAAGCGAAACTCTGTCTCAAAAAAAAAAAAGAAAAAAGAAAAACTAAAACTTCTGTTTGTACTAATTTTTTTCTATTTTCAGCTTTCATCTTCAACAAAATTATACATAATTAGAGTCAAATAATTCCACAGGACTTGTTGGGAAAATGCCATCTCCCTCTTCATTTCCCCCTTCTAGAGGCCACTACCTCTACTTTTATTTGTGGGTTTTTTAGGATTTATTTTCATATCTCTAAATGACATGCTTATTTTTAAAACCTTCTTTTTAGAATTAGTTATTATCTGTTGACTTCTCACTATGGAAGATGAGAATTTAGCTCTTTTTTGACAACTTCCGTTTAACTAGACTTGCCCCTACTATCTAATATAGTTATGTCATACCTTTGATTAGACAATATCATTTTACGTTAATATGGCTATGTACATGCCCTGGCTGGGCACAGTGGCTCATACCTGTAATTCCAGCACTTTGAGACGCGGAGGTAGGAGGATAGCTTGAGCCCAGGAGTTCAAGATCAGCCTGGGCAACATAATGAGACCCCTATCTTTACCAAAAAAAAAAAAAAAAAAAATTAGCTGAGCGTGATGATGCACACCTGTAGTCCCAGCTACTCAGGAGACTGAGGTGGGAGGATCACTTGAGTTCTAGAGGTCAAGGCTGCAGTGAGCTATAATCATGCTACTGCACTCCAGCCTGGGTGACAAAACAAGACCCTGTCTCAAAAAATGAAAATAAAAAATATTTTTAAAAGACTGTACACACTCTTTTCAGCTGAGCCATCTAGTATGCTATGCTTAGTTTTCCTTTTCTGTTCAACTTTCTATTTTCTCTGGAATTTATAATTGTTTGTTTGCTTTGGTCTACCTAACAAAAATTCAACCTAAACTCTCCATTAGTTTTCTGAATCAGCAATTCTCAAACTTTCTGGTCTCAAGAGCCCTTTCCACTCTTAATATGACGGAGAATCCTAAAGAGCTTTATATATATATGTATATATATAGACACACACATATATATATGCACTTTTTATTTTTGCATGAGCAGGATCAGACGACCAAAGAGCTTTTGATTATATGGGTCATATCCACTACATTTATCATATTTGAAATTAAAACTTACCAATAATAAAATCTATGTATTAATACATGAAAATACTAAATGTATTTTATGTTAACATTTTTCATGAAATGTAACTATGTTTTCTAAAACAAAACAAATATAATAAGAATGATATTATTTTACATATTTTCAAATCTCTTTAATGTTTGGCTTCTTGGAAGACAGCTGACTTCTCATATCTGCTTTTTCATTCAATCTGTTGTAATATCACATGCCATGTAGCCTCTGGAAAACTTTTTTGTATACTTATGAGAGAAGGAGATTGAAAAAGAAAAATAATATCTAGTATTATTACATAAATAGCTTTGACCTTGCAAATTATCTAATAAGGTTTCAGGGACCCCTAGGGCCACTGGACCTGACTTTGGGAATTACTGGTCCAAATATATATACATACTTTTTTTTTTGTTTTTTGAGATGGAGTCTTGCTCTGTTGCCCAGGCTGGAATGCAATGGTACAATCTTGGCTCACTGCAACTCTGCCTCCTGGGTTCAAATTATTCTCCTGTCTCAGCCTCCTGAGTAGCTGGGACTACAGGCACGTGCCACTACACCCACCCTTGTATTTTAGTAGAGATGGGGTTTCACCATGTTGGCCAGGCAGGTCTCAAAGTTCTGACCTCAGGTGATCCACCCACCTCGGCCTCTCAAAGTGCTGGGATTACAGGCATGAGCCACTGCGCCCAGCTCCAAATATATTTAGATGCATTGGATGTTCTAATAATTTAATCTTTTAAAAAGGACTTCCTTCTGGATCTTTCTGACTGCTCCATTTGAAATGGTTTCCCTCTATATCTGGTGCTCAGCAGTTATCCGGGTGTCTCCTTTCACCAAAATCCAGAGGATTCTCTTGATTTCTCTTCTATGCTATATACTCTTCCCATATCCTAAGGCTTCCTCTTTCTTGTTCTGGTGGAATATATCCTGCAGTAGCTTTCTGTGAAATGATGCCTGGGGACACATTTTTTCAGACCTTGCATGTCTGAAAATGACTTTATTCTCCTCTCATACTTGATTGAGAGTTTGGCTGAATTAATATAATAATTTGGAAATGATTTTCCATTATTATTTTGAATGAATTACTCCATTATCTTTTAGACCCCAATGTTGCTATTGAGAAGTCAAAAGCCATTGTGATTACTGATCCTGTTACTCTACATTCAGAGAACTTTTAGTATTAAAATAAAAACTTTTTGCCTCTATTCAAAACACTTCTGACACCAAATGTGTAGATTTCCCACACCGAGCAATTCTCCACTTCTCTCTGGACACCAACTGGGTGTCCTACAATTTAATTCACTTCTGACACTAACTGTCCAGAGTTAATGCAGACCCCGTAGATTAAGGGCTCAGTCCCATAAGACTGCCCCCAATTTCAGATGCCAGTTGCAAGTATTGGGTGTTTAGGGCCATCCACACTTCTCTCCAACTTTGCTACATATCTGGGGTTTCCATGACCTTCTCCTCAGGTTTGATAATTTGCTACAATGTCTTTCAGAACTCAGGAAAACACTTTACCTACACTTACTTGTTTATTATAAAGAATACAAACTAATGGCCAGATGAAGAGGTACATAGGGCAAGGTCTGAAATGGTCCTGCGTGCAGGAGCTCCTTTCCCGATGGATTTGGGATGTGTCTCCTGGCACAATGATGTATTCCCCAACCTGGAAACTTTTTTAAGTGTTATTTAGGGTTTTTATGGAGTTTCCTTTATGTAGGCATAACTGATAAATTATTGCCATTGGTGAATAGCTCAATCTCCAGCCCCTTTCCCCTCCTAAAATGCCTCAGTCTTTCTGGCAACCAGACCCTATCCTGAGGCTATCCAGGGAACCCAGCCACCAGTCATTTTATTAACATGAAAGAAGACTCTCCTATCACTCTGGAGATTCCAAGGGTCATAGAGGCTCTTATGTCAGGAACCGGGGACTAAGACCCAATGTTATAACAAAAGGTGCTCCTATCACTCAGGAAATTACAAGGGTTTTAGGAGCTTTGTGCCAGGAACAGGGGATGAAGATAAAATGGACATTTCTTTAAAAAATTGTTTAAAATTTTTTTAGAGTGCTTTGAGTTGCTCTTTTATGTATATTTCTTATTATATCACAAGTATTTTCTCTTTCTTCCCAGCATTCTAAAATCTCCCAGTGATATGTCTTGGTATGAGTCCAGTGTACTGGGCATTTCCTAGGTCTTTTTAATCTGGAAATTCATGTTTTTCCATTCTGGGAAAATTTCTTGAATTTTTCCTTTGATAATAGTTTCACTTAAATTCTTCTTTTTCTCTCTCTCTATGAAACTACTATTCAGATCCTCTCTCCACCACCACTTTTTTTCTATGTCTTGTTTATTTTTGTTCTACTTTTGTACAATTTTCTCAATTTTATTTTTCAATTCTTCTATTGAATTAAAAATTTTTTCTTTTAGTGACATTAAAGTCCTCTGAATGCTCCTGTTTGTTTATTTAGGTTTGGTTTGGTTTTGGTTTTTCTGAGACAGGGTCTCACTCTGTCACCCAGGATGGAGTGCAGTGGTACAATCATGGCTTGCTGTAAACTTGAACCCCTGGGCTCAAGCAATCCTCCCACCTTGGCCTCCTAAAGTCCTAGGGATTACAGGCAAGAACCACTGTGCTCAAGTAGTTTCATGGCTGCAACATTTTCTCTAAGTACCCTGAAGACTTCGATAATATGTTTTCTTCTTCTTCTTTTTTTTTTCCTTCTTTCAGAATCTGTTTCCTCAAGATTGCTTTTATCTATTGGTTGGTTTGTCTCCATCTTTCATAAAAAAGCTCCCAGATGTCTGTTGATTCTTGATTGGTTATATAATGGTGGGGCATGCAAACCCTGATTGAGCATCAGATGTGGGCTTTATCATAGAATGATCTGGCTGGGCTATTTTCAAGGAATCCTTTATGTTGGTATCATTGGGACTTCTTGGGCTGGTCAGATTCTCAAGAGAAGGTTCTTTCATTCCCAGATATTGATTAGTTGTTTAGGTTGTCACTTGAAGCACTGAAAGATCAAATATGTTGATAAACACAATACACAATGCAAAACTAAGCAAAGGCCATGTGTGGACTTCATAGTGAATATCAGAATGTAAAGGATAAAGGGAAAAATCCTAAAATCTTTTAGAGACAAAACATGTATTACATAATAAGGAATGATAATCAGATTGTCATAAGCCTTCTTATCAAAAACATTGAACAAAAAAGACAATAGAGCAGAATTTTCAAAGTACTGAGAGAAAATTACTTTATATTTAGAAACATATACCAAGCTAAACTGTCATTCAACATTGAAGATGAAAGATAACTATTTTCTTAAAAATAATGATTTAGAAATCTCAGTACTCTGGACTTTCTCTGAAGGAATTATTAAAGTATGTACTCAGGTAAGAAAAACAAAACAAAACAAAAAAAACAAAAAACAAATCCGAGAGGTAGTGGGAGGCAGGAAGCAGAATGAGGGGAAAAAATTAGTAAAGCTCATTGTTATGTTTAAATACTGATTGAGGGTTTTGTTCAAAGCCTCAGAGTGAGCACATGCCAAATGCTTTTTCCTTTGCTCCAAATATGTAAAAATGGATAAGACAATATTTTAAAATAAAAAAATATGGATAGTTGATCTAGAAGTTAATGGAAAGTTTATGTGAAGCAAAAAGACAGCCCACATGGCAAACAAGGGCTGAAGTCACATGGTCCTTGGGGAACCAGGACTGTAAATGGGCACTTTGAGCCAAAACTTAATGCCTTTGCAGGAATGGGAGCCACAAACACTTTCACACGTGGTAGGAGACTAGAATGGGGCTCATTATGCGAAGCCAGAGGTAGGAAAGGAAAGAGGTTGGTCCCTGAGATAGCTTTGTTACCCCTCTCAGGGGTTGTAGTCACTTGCCAATGTCTGGGGAGATCCTAGTACAGAATGGCAGATTTTGCTCAGAGCCCTGTATTGAGGGAAGAGAGAGACCCTCTCATATTGTTTTATACTGTTTTATACTCAGTACCTGTTTTAGAAGAAACAACAAGGAAGTAAAGCCAAAGACAGGCAGCCCGGCGCCAGGCCTGAAACCAGGCCTGGGCCTGCCTGGCCTAAATCCAGTAGTTAAAAATCAACTCATAACTTAAAAACCGATGTTATTCATAGATTCCAGACATTGTATAGAAGAACATTGTGAAACTCCCTGCCCTGTTCTGTTTCTCTCTGACCACCAGTGCATGCAGCCCCTGTCACGTACCCCTTGCTTGCTCAAATCAAACACGACCCTTTCATGTGAAATCCTTAGAGTTGTGAGCCCTTAAAAGGGACAGGAATTGCTCACTCAGGGAGCTCGGATTTTAAGGCAGTAGCTTGCTGATGCTCCCAGCTGAATAAAGCCCTTCCTTCTACAATTCGGTGTCTCAGAGGTTTTGTCTGCAGCTTGTCCTGCTACAGTATCACATGAGACTGAAGCAGAAGATATAGAATTATATGTATGAAGAGTGGAAAGAAAAAAATCGTCAACCTGGAATTCTACATATAATTAAAGTGTGAGGGCAAAATAAAGATATTTTCATATTCTGTACAATGAAAATTACAAAACACTGCACAAAGAAATCAGAGAAGACACAAACAAATGGGAAAAAAAACATTACCTGCTCATGGATAAGAAGAGTCAATATCATTAAAATGGCCATACTGCCCAAAGCAATTTACAGATTCAATGCTATTCCTATCAAACTACCAATTACATTCTTCACAGAACTAGAAAAAAACTATTTTAAAATTCATATGGAATAAAAAAAGAGCCCAAATACTCAAGACAATCCTAAGTAAAAGGAAGAAAGCTGGAGGTGTCACATTACCCAACTTCAAACTATACTACAGGGCTACAGTAACCAAAATAGCATGGTACCAGTACAAAAACAGGCACACAGACCAGCGGAACAGAATAGAGAGCCCAGAAATAAGGCCGCACACCTACAACAATCTGTTTTTTGACAAAGCTGACAAAAGTAAGGATTGAGAGAAAGACTCCCTATTCAATAAATGATGCTGGGATAACTGGCTGGCCATATGCAGAAGACTGAAGCTGGATCCCTTCCTTACACCATATACAAAAATCAACTCAAGATGGATTAAAGACTTAAATGTAAAACCCAAAACTATAAAAACCCTGGCAGACAACCTAGGCAATACCATCCTGGACATAGGAATAGGGAAAGATTTCATGACAAAGACACCAAAAGCAATTGCAACAAAAGCAAAATTTGACAGGTGGGATCTAATTAAGCTTAAGAGCTTCATCACAGCAAGACAAACCATCAACAGAGTAAACAACCTACAGAATAGCAGAAAATATTGGCAAACTATGCATCTGACAAAGGTCTAATATCCAGCATCTATAAGGAACTTAAACAAATTTACAAGAAAAAAAAACCCATTAAAAAGTGGGCAAAGGACATGAACAGACACTTTTCAAAAGAAGACATATGTGCGGCCAACAAGCATATGAAGAAAAGTTTAATATCACAGATCATTAAAGAAATGTAAATAGAAACCACAATGAGATACCATCTCACACCAGTCAGAATGGCTATTACTAAAAAGTAAAAAAAGAACAGATGCTGGTGAGGTTGTGGAGAAAAGGGAACACATACACTGTTGGTGGAAGTGTAAATTAGTTCAACCATTGTGGAAATCCATATGGTGATTCCTCAAAGAGCTAAAAGTAGAACTACCATTCAACCCAGCAATCTCATTAGTGCGTACAGACCCAGAGGAATATAAATCATTCTACCATAAAGACACATACATGCAGATGTTCATTGCAGCACTGTTCACAATAGCAAAGATATGGAATCAACCCAAATGCCCATCAATGACAGATTGGATAAAGAAAATCTGGTACATATACATCATGGAATACTATGCAGTCCTAAAAAGGAATGAGATCATGTCTTTTGCAGAAATGTGGATGGAGCTGGAGGGCATTATACCTAGTAAACTAATGCAGAAACAGAAAACCAAATACTGCATGTTCTCACCTGTAAGTGGAAGCTAAATGATGAGAACTTATGAACACAAAGAAGAAAAACAATAGACACGGGGGTCTACTTGAGGATGGAGGGTGGGAAGTGGGAGAAGAGAAGAAATGATAGCTATTCGGTACTGGACTTCATACCTGGGTGATTGAATAATCTGTACAACAAATTCCCATGACATGGGTTTATCTATATAACAAACCTTCACAGGTACCTCTGAATCTAAAATAAAAGTTAAAAAAGAAGTATTTTCTACAAAGACTAAATAAGTTTACTCCCTACTAGTTGGGTAGGCAAAGCACTGTAATAAACAACTTTTAATTTTCTAAATTAAGTTCCTAAAAAAGAACAAGAACATGATCTTGTTGGCTGATTTAGACTGAACTTAGCTGCAGCAGTTCAGCTTGACTCCATGGGTCTCCTATCCTTCTCCTGGCCAAGCAGGCTAACGCAAGTATGTTTCTCTTTGGCAGAGGCAGAGGTTCAAGAAAGCAAACAAAATTACAGAAGAGCATTTAAGGTTTGCAACCAACATACTATGACTTCTACTTTGTTCCACTGGCCAAAGCAAGTCACAAAGCCAAATGCAAAATCAAGGAGTGCTAGAAACTGCAAAGCCACATGGCAAAGGGTATGGATACAGAGAAGGGTGAAGAATTGTACTACATCTGTCTCCTCACATCTTACATACCCTTGATGTCAGTTGGAGCCTCCATGGTTTGTGTGATCTGGGTAAAATGGTTTTGAACCTTCAGTTACAAAACTTGTAGAAATACAAATCCCTTCTTAGAAGCCAGCAAATTCCTGGACTGTGTATGTTTTCCTGTTCCTTTTTGCCTTTGGCCTTTTGCTTGTATAAATCATTCAAGATGGTGAAACTCAGCTCTTTTTACTTCACAAACATAGTCCATTTGCACAAAGCTCATGTAAGGAGAATTTATTAAAGCACTGGTTGTGGGTCATATTATAGACAAAATAAATCACAATATTTGTTTCTCATTTGGACTTGTTTGAACTTTTCAGGTTAGGAATCACTGGCCAAATTTCAAAAGTTATTATAAACTACAGTAATCAAACAGTTTGGTACTGGCATAAAGATAGATGTATAGCTGAATGGAATAGAATTGAGAGTCCACAAATAAACTCATACATCTATGGTCAATTGATTTCTGACAAGTGTGCCAAGACTATTCAATGGGGAAATAATAATAGTTTTTTTTTGTTTTTTTTTTGAGACGGAGTCTCACTCTGTCGCCCAGGCTGAAGTGCAGTGGCGTCATCTAGGCTCACTGCAAGCTCTGCCTCCCGGGTTCACGCCATTCTCCTGCCTCAGCCTCCTGAGTAGCTGGGACTACAGGCGCCCGCCACCACGCCCAGCTAATTTTTTGTATTTTTTTTAGTAGAGACGGGGTTTCACCGTGTTAGCCAGGATGGTCTCGACCTCCTGACCTCGTGATCCGCCCACCTTGGCCTCCCAAAGTGCTGGGATTACAGGCGTGAGCCACTGCGCCCGGCCAATAATAGTGTTTTGTTTGTTTGTTTGTTTGTTTGTTTGTTTTAAACAAATGCTGCTGGTAACAACTAGATAGCTACATAGAAAAGAATAAAGTTGGGCCCCTACTTCACGCCATACACAAAAATTAATTCAAAATGGATGAAAGACGTAAAAGTAAGAAGTAAAACTATAAAACTCTTAGAAGAAAACATAGATGTAGAAGTAGAAACAATCCAAATGTCCATCAACTGATGAATGGATAAACAAAATGTGTTATATACATCCAATAGAATATTATTTGGCCATAAAAAGGAATGACATACTGATACATGCTACAACATGCATAAACCTTGGAAAAGAAACATTTTGCTGAGTGAAAGAAGCCAAAAGACCACATATTATATAATCGTATTTATTTGCCCAGAGTAGGCAGATTCATAGAGACAGAAAGTAGTTTAGTGATTGCCAAGGGCTGGGGACTGGAGAGAATGGAGATCAGCTTTGTAACGGATATGGAGTTTTTTTTGAGGGGTGATGAAAATGTTCTGGAATTATAAAGTGGTGATGGTTGCACAATATTGTGAATATATCAAAAGCCACTGAATTGTACACTTTCAGATGGTTAAAATGGTGAATTTTACCTCACTAAAAAAATGAGTTTAGGAGGTTAATGTAACCTTGGTGAAACCAAGAACCATTTGGCATAATCGTGGATTTTGTTTTTGTTTTTGTTTTTTGAGACAGAGTCTTGCTCTGTCACTCAGGCTGGAGTGCAGTAGCATGATCATGGCTCACTGCAACCTCTGCCTCCCAGGTTCAAGCAATTCTCATGCCTCAGCCACCTGAGTAGCTGGGATTGTAGGCGCACACCACCATGCCCAGCTATTTTTTGTATTTTCAGTAGAGACAAGGTTTCGCCATGTTACTCAGGCTGGTCTCAAACTCCTGGCCTCAAGTGATCCACCCGCCTTGGCCTCCCAAAGTGCTGAAATTACAGGAGTGAGCCACTGCACCCAGCCAATCACGGTATTTAAAAAAATTAATTTAATAAATGTTCAGTGATTATCTTCAACGTGCTAGGTAGTGAATGAAATACATGCTAATAAGATCAAACCGTAACAGTTGCACCCCAAAATCTTGAGTTTAGAGGAAGAAAGGACTATTAAATAATTAAGTTGCATGTGGTAAATGTAACAGAACTGAGTAAAACTTGATCTAAAAGCACAGAAGAAAGTAAGAACAAGTTTGGGGAGGGGGGAGTTGAGAACGCCCTTCTAGAGGGTATATTTGAATTTGATTTTTAAGAACAGTTTGCTGATTGAGTGGAAGAGAAGCTGGAGAGTAGGTCAACAATGTAAAGAACATGTGCAAAGTCAGGAGATGAAAGAACAAGCCTTATTCCAAGAGTGAATCATCATGCATACCTTGAGGACTTGTAAAACCAAGCTCTACCCAGTCCACACCAACCCAGACACAAATCAAAGACTTCCGAACAGACTCCCAACAGGGGGAAAGGATTTTAAGTCTTGTCAGCTCTTACAAAGCTAAGCTAAGCCATCCAAGTCACAGACTACATGCAATGTATTGCCCCCTAGAGTTGGTTATGATGTTAACAAACATCAAATTGGAAATGAAGTTTAAAGTCACTAGATGGCAGTAGCTACAAAGCAGATATTTGTGTTACTTTATCTTTTCAGTATTCTAGCTTCAGGTGTTGACCACATTTTAGGGCTCAAACCTACAGGAGCTGAGAGCCAAGCCTGAGGGGGTATTGGTCAGTTCCTCAGCCAGCATGCATAGGTTACAGCTGATCACCTTTCCAGGTGCTATATCCATCATCACACTTCTTCCAATTAGTACTTTCACCAAGAACCTGCAATGCTAATTCCTGTTTTTGAGTGCAGGGGAACCTCATTTTCAGAGTATTTACTATTGGAGTACCTATAATTATAAGTTGGGAAGCAAAGGTCATCCCAACACGAAATGTTCACTAACAGAACCTTATAAAGCTAGTCTCCACTCACACCTCCCTCTGGCTTAACACTGGCATCTACTCCCACCCACTATTATTGTCAGGTGTTTTTACTGTGATTATTATGCTGACAAATTGCAAGGTGAAACTGCCAATCTCACAAACATGAAGGATTTCACTAAGATAATGAAAGCAATGGAGGAGGACTGATGGAATAATTATTAGAATGCCTCCAAGAAATGAGGGTCTGGCAGAGTTTGATTACAATTGAAGAAGAGAAAATTAACAAAGATGATGACATAATAGAGTCTTCAAAAGGGGATAATTAGAAATTCAAAGGGTTAGGAGAGGTCCTGGAGAAAAGTGAAGTCCTTGATTATTTTGCAAAATTTACCTTCTTTAAAATCTTGATATGAAGGTCAAATGAGAAATGATGGATGCCATATTTTGCCACCTTACAATTTTGTTTTTTAGAAAAAAAGCACACCAAAATGAGTCTTGATTCAACTTCCTGTCCTAAGAATTCGTCTATAGTTGCAATGATAATCAAAAGTGGTTACATGTAAAAGAAAACAAATGTAGTATTATAATTTTTAGTTCTTTTAAAGCTAAAGCTTCAATCCACACTCTCCCTTACCTCCATTATTTGCTGTAAAATGTTGCTTCCCATTTAAGTGGATTCATGTTAAGTAGACTTTTCCCAGGAATAATTATCCTTAAATAGGCTTTTTTAAAATTATTATTATTATACTTTAAGTTTTAGGGTACATGTGCACAACGTGCAGGTTAGTTACATATGTATACATGTGCCATGCTGGTGTGCTGCACCCATTAACTCGTCATTTAACATTAGGTATATCTCCTAATGCTATCCCTCCCCCCTCCCCCCACCCCACAACAGGCCCCGGTGTGTGATGTTTCCCTTCCTGTGTCCATGTGTTCTCATTGTTCAATTCCCACCTATGAGTGAGAACATGTGGTGTTTGGTTTTTTGTCCTTGTGATAGTTTGCTGAGAATGATGGTTTCCAGCTTCATCCATGTCCCTACAAAGGACATGAACTCATCAGTTTTTATGGCTGCATAGTATTCCATGGTGTATATGTGCCACATTTTCTTAATCCAGTCTATCATTGTTGGACATTTGGGTTGGTTCCAAGTCTTTGCTATTGTGAATAGTGTCGCAATAAACATATGTGTGCATGTGTCTTTATAGCAGTATGATTTATAATCCTTTGGGTATATACCCAGTAATGGATGACTGGGTCAAATGGTATTTCTAGTTGTAGATCCCTGAGGAATCACCACACTGACTTCCACAATGGTTGAACTAGTAACTCCTTAATTCTACCTTATAAGAGCTTACAAAGCCCACTAGACATAAAAGCATCATAGAAGTGCTGCTATGTGTTTGGTTAGTGGAGATTGCAAACCCGATTCCAGACTCACTCATCCAGCTTCTTCCTCCAAGAGGAATGACATTTTCCTATGATGGCTACATCTGCTTGCTTCAAACTTAAATCACAGAAATGCTGGGATGGCTCATAAAAGCTGCCCTCTGGACTTCGTGAGAAATTCAGCTGCAGAGATAACTGTTTGTTCTTCCTTCCCTTAACGTAGTAGTCATATTTCTGAAAAACAGTACATGTAAATATTTATAAAGTGAGTCTCATTCTAATCAGTTTTGGGAGAAGTTCCATGTTTAAAAAGCAAGACTTCTTTTTTATGGGAGGGAGTTGTTAAAGCAAAGAATCCCTCTGTTTTTGGAAGGGGATTATGAAAATCCTTTTCTTCTCATCCTTAAGTTATAGATATTTAATACATTTATTTTTAAAATCGGATTCTCTCCTATCAGTATGCACCTTCATTGTCCCAAGTGAGGATATCTTGAATTAAAAGTATTAATCCATAAACATGTACCTTAACAGGCATTGGTTGGTATTCATGATAAATACTTACAGGTATTATGTGATACTGCAGACGGTGGGGAAAGCCCCATTGTCTAAGGCCTATGCTCCTTTCTGAATCTTTGGAGATGGAAAATTAGAGATGAACATGGAGATTCCACATTCATTTATCTCCATTATTCAAGCACTAACTTAGCCATTCAACAAACATTTACTAAGTGTCTCATTTGTGTTCTATCCACTGTTCTAGGCACATGAGATTGTCAGTGAACAAAACAGATACAGATCCTTGCCCTTGTGTAGCTAACATTCTAGTGGGGGCAGAGGAATACGTATCAAACCTAATAAGTTGTATATGATGTTAAAAGAGAGTAAGTACTATGGAAACGAAAAATAAAAATAAAGCATAGCATGAGGACTGGGATTTCTTTGTGGATTATAATTTAAATAGGGTGACTGGTATAGATGTATGGAGAAAGTGACAGTTGAGCAGAGACTTAAAGGAGATGAGGGAGCTAGGCATTTTCACATCTGGGGACGAGTACTCCAGCAAAGGGGGATGGCCAGGGCCAGAACCCTAAGAGGAGAGCATCCTGGTTTGTCCCAGGAACATCAGGAAGACTGATGTGGTTGAAGTGGAGTAAGTGTAAGTAAGAGAGACCAAAAGCAAGGTCAGAGATTTAATGGGAGTGAAGCAGATAGAACAGGGCTTTGGAGGTCATTGAGGTCACTGTGAAGACTTTGAGAGAAACGGAGAACCATGGGAAGGTTCTGAGCAGAGCAGTGACATGACATGACTTTATTAAAAGATCACTGGACTGCTACGTTGAGAATAGATTAGAGGGGGCAAGGGTGGAAGCAGGGGGATTAGTTAGGAGGCCACTTGTGGTAACTGAGCGGGGAACTGATGGTCATGTAAACCCAGGAGGAGGCAAAGAAAGTAGTAAGATGTGATTGGCGGTGAAGGAAGAATTAACATTTATCCTGTACAGTGGCATGATCAAGTGGCTGCTCACTGCAGCCTTGAACTCCTGGGTTCAAGTGATCCTCCCGTCTCAGCCTCTTGGTAGCCAGGACTACAGGCATGCACCACCATGTCCAGTTGACTCTCCTTCTTGATGGGAGAAACCGCAAATTTACACAACTATAGGGCATGGAAGAATTTGTTGCCATCTTCGCAATATACCGCAGGAGGGAAGACAGTGATTATGGATGCAGATGCTAATAGGTGGGTCAATGCAGTTGTAGTATTATGGGAACATTATCTTCTCAGCACTTTGATCTTCTCAAAAGTAGGGTCTCAAGTTCAAAGTCCACACAAGGCTGATGTTGATTTATTCATTTACAATAAAAGACAACACTGCCAAGATAACTGGGGCCTTATGGCAGCTTCCTAGAGTCTTTAGAAAAATGCTTCCTGGAAGCCACCTAATCACGAAGTCTGGGATTCCTGCAAATGAGGCTAATTGGATAAATGATGGTTGATGTTATGAATCTTGACAGCAAGATACACTCATCCTTGAAAAGGACATTCTTTTCAAGCAGATTGAAATACCTATCTGCTAGGCACTCCCTGCCCTGGATAATGCTACATGGGTGCTTCTGGGCTCTGTCTTTTGACTGTATTTTCTCTGTGAACCAGTGCCTATGTCCATCCACCCTTTCTGTACATTTATATGTGTCTAAGAGTAGGCTTCTATGACAAAATATCACAGGTGGGATGACTGAAAAAAAAATTTATTTCTTATAGTTCTGGAGGCTGGGAAGTCCAAGATCAAGTTGCCATACAATTAAATTCCTGGTGAGGGCCCTCTTCCTATCTTGTAGATGGTCACCTTCTCACTGTGTTCTCACATAGTAGACAGAAAGAGAGAGAGCGCGCGCTCATGCTCTGGTGTCTCTTCATCTTTTGCAAGGGTACCAGCTCTATCAGATTAGAGTCACATTCTTATGACCTTATTCACAGTCCTTATCTCTATATACATCCTTATCTGTACATTGTGGGATTATGGCTTTGTATTGGTCAGGGTTCTTCAGAGAAACAAAATATAGATAGATAGATAGATAGATAGATAGACAGATAGATAGATAGATAGACAATTTATTGTGAGAAATTGGCTCACATTATTATGGAGGCTGAGAAGTTCCACATTCAGCCATCTGCAGGCTGGAGAACCAGGAAAAACTGTGGTGTAATTCTAGTCCAAACCCAAAGGCCTGAGTACCAGGGGAGCCAGTGCTGTAAATTCTAGTCCAAGAGCAGGAGAATATTGAGGTCCCAGCTCAAACAGGCAGGTGGGAAGGAAAAGAGAGGAATTTCTCCTTCCTCTTCCTTTCTGTTCTATTCAGACCCCCAGCAGATTAAATGATGCTCCCTGCCTCCCAACATGGAGGAAGGTGGTCCACTGAGTCCACAATTCAAACACTAATTTCATCCAGGAAACTCCATTCACATTTCTTCTTAAACTTCTTAAATTGGCCGGGTGCCATGGCTCACGCCTGTAATTCCAGCACTTTGGGAGGCCGAGGCAGGTGGATCACAAGGTCAGGGGATGGAGACCATCCTGGCTACCATGGTGAAACCCTGTCTCTACTAAAAATACAAAAAATTAGCTGGGCATGGTGGTGGGTGCCTGTAGTCCCAGGTACTCGGGAGGCTGAGGCAGGAGAATGGCGTGAACCCGGGAGGAGTGAGCCGAGATCGCGCCACTGCACTCCAGCCTGGGCAACAGAGGGAGACTCCAACTCAAAAAAAAAAAAAAAGTTCTTAAATTAAAGCTTCCCTTATATGCTGATATGGGCTTATTTGGGGCCCAGAAGTCACACTAAGTCTTTTCTACCCTTTCCTGTCAAGCTTGTTAGCTTCCCAGGAAGTGTGTCTGTATCTTTGAGGGTGGAGGGTGGGTGAATGTAGATGCGAGGAGGTAGGGAGGTAGAATGAGAGGCAGGGGTGTTTCCCTTGACGGCTTTGTGGGGCTTCTGTGGGTCTTCAGAGACTGGCCTCACATTTCTGGCAGCCTCTCAGCTGCAGACAAATAGCTCCTCTGCTGGCCATGTGAGTCTCTCCCCCAGAGCCCTGTGAGTGTAGGTCCCTCCAGCTTCCATCTGTCTCCAGGTGGATCTTGTGGGCCAAGTCTATTTAAATTGTCTCTCCCCTTTGCCTCCCACTTCGTCCATAGAAACACTCCCCATGCTTTGGCTTGACAAACCCCTCCATGATCCACAGACACTGCAGACTCCAAGGGACTTAGGCCAACTTCCTCAGGAGTGCTCCTTGATGTCCTCTCACTAGGTTTGATGTAGGGGCTTGTAAACCTACATGCTTATCTCTGATGGATATGAGGGCAGAAGTAGGGAGGAATCATAATATACCAACAGTTCTCTCCAAAGAGATCCTCTTTCTCTTTTCCAGCTTGTGGCCTCTTAAACGTCAACAACAAATGGGAAAGTGGCCAAGAGTCTTGGAAACAGTTTTATATAAGTACCCTAGAAATGTCCTAAACATGTTCTGAACATTTCCTATGCTAGTCCAGCATTTCACCTTAAATGTGACGCTCAGTATCCTGGGTGCTCATTTTACCATCCTGTTACAGGTTCCTATACAGGGATCCAGGAGCTTAGCTGGTCCATCGTTCTGCCATGACAATATATAGGAATACTTTATAATTAGCATTAAGAAAAATAAGAATAATTGCAATCAAAGTATATCACTGAGTTAGTTTTTAGTCTTATCTTGTGTCTAGTTTGATTCTTTTCTTTCAGACCCTGAAACAAGGACTTGGATGCACAGAATTTATTTGGGGAGCGATCCCAGGAAGACCAGTTGAGGACAGAGGAGAATGAGGCAGGGAAAGGAGAAAAGTCCATGTAGAGTATGCTAATGAATGGTTACTGCGTGGACAGCTAGGGCTGCACCGCACTGGGACCCTCTAAGAGACTGCATGGAAGATGCTGCAAAATCTTCCCACTAGAGGAAGGCAAGGCTGCTTCCCATGTAATTTGTGGAGAACTTGCCCCCAGTGGTGTTAATTGCAGCCCCCTACTCCAAGTTCCCTGCATGCAGGAGGCAGAAAAGAAGAGAGACACTAGGCACTTGAGGGGTTGGAAGACATCTCCAGTGCTGTGGAACTTAGGTGGGCTGGGATAGGTGGGATATTGGACAGGGCATAAACAGCAGCTGATACCGTTGCACACAGGCCAGGAGAAAAGTGATGAAAAAAGACTGCTTGGGTGTTTCTTTCTTTGAATGTGTAGATTTTCCTATCTCAGACCTCTGTTTCTTCTGCATTTGCAGTGCCTCCCTGTAGTTTTATGAAATTTCAGTGACCAGAAGTTCCTCTTGGCCTGATGTTACGATCAACACATGATTTGTTTCTTATAGTAAAACCAATTTCCGTCCTGTTTAGTATGAAAGTATGTGATTGGAAACTAGAAGTTTTAGAGGAGGAGAAGGGAGCCAAGGCTAGCATAACTCTGAGACATCTGCTATACGACATAACCTGGCCGAGGAGAGTGAGACCCAGCTTTGGCTCAGTGCCTCTCAGTGGCATTTGAGATTGGCTTCTGTTAGGGCTCTTTTTTTTCTGATCCCGGTAGCCTTCATCCTGGATTCTCCAATGAATAAAACTCCCAGAGGCGCTCCAGTGTCTGGCGTATGTTGTCCCTTACAAGGCCCTTCAAAAAGGACACTGTTGTTCTCCCATGGCCACCCCAGAGGAGTCCAGGTGGATTCTCAAGCACTTGGGAGTCACAGTCATCTCAAACAATCACGGTCACAGGTAATCTGAGGCAGAGGAATGCCTCGAGAGAACCACATATTCTTTTCCTCTTATTGCAACCCATTAGGGACCAGTTCTCTGGGGCTGAGTGGGCAGAGTGCAGCATTGGCCATTGCTCCTGAGAATCGGGGATGTCTGTACCTGACCTAGGACTGAGCTGGCAAGTGTGTGTGGTAAGGTAGGAGAGTGGCGTAGGAAGCTCTCAGCCTGGCCCACAGCTGAAGGCTAGGCAGTGAACAAAAGCAAAATGGAAGAGGGAAAGGTAGCCAGTAAAACTCTACCTGCCCTTGATGTATCAGGAAAAAGCACTTGATTAGATGCAGGTCCCAGCTGGGAGATATGATGCTTGGCAAGTTACTTGACCTATCTGTGCATTGGTTTCCTAATCTGTAATATGGTGACCATGCCACCTTCCGGGGGTTGCTGAAAGTATTTGGTGAGACTAAAGGTATGAAAGAGGTTTAGCATGACACACAGGCTGTAAGGGTATTTTCTTTTACTATTTGAAATGAATCAAGTAAAAGCTATAAGGGATTCTTCCTTTTGTTGATACATGAGTCATTCATATAATATGCATGAGCAAGAGAGATGTAATGGGAAGTTGACTGTCAAGGCGGGGAAGGCAGATCCACCAGAGGATGCAGTTTGTTTGTAAAGACAGATAACAGAAATCAGCAGTTATATTTAGTAAAACCATAAGCCAAGGGGAGAGCAGCATGTTGTCTATCAATATTCCGAGGCATAAAAGCACAGACCATTCTTGAGGAGGATTGAGTGTTGAGCTGCACAGATGATGTGGCCATAGCCAATCCTGGATAGACTGAAATCCAGGTCTTTACTCTGTAACTTAATCATGACATCAGTTCATCAGGCCTTCAATGAAAAGCTTCACTGTTAGAATATAGGTGGAATGCAAAGGATGTATTGGACTTCGTTTCTGCACTCAAGAATCTTTGGGAAAGCAGAAGTGTGAAACAACTGGGAGTTATTTGCAATCTAAAGAACAGACTGGCCAGGCATGGTGGCTCATGCCTGTAATCCCAGCACTTTGGGAGGCCGAGATGGGCAGATCACCTGAGGTCAGGAGTTCGAGACCAGCCTGGCCAACATGGTAAAACCCCGTCTCTACTAAAAGTACAAAAATTAGCTGGGCATGGTGGTGCACGCCTGTAATCCCAGCTACTCAGGCAACTGAGGCATGAGAATCACTTGAACCTGGGAGGCAGAGGTTATAGTGAGCCAAGATCACACCACTGCACTCCAGCCTGGGGGATAGAGTGAGACTCTGTCTCAAAAATAAAATACAATAAAATAAATAAATAAAAAATAAAGCACAGACTGCCAATTCAACTGCTTACCAGGACCCAGCAGGTGATGTAGCTAAGCAAGCAGGCCAGTTATAAGAAAAACAACAGCATAGGTGCCATGTAAATGACATTTGACCTTAACATCAACTCCGCTTCCAAATTGTCCAGTGAAAATGGAGGCCTAGGATTGTCAGATCTTTTGGTTTTATCCAAAGTCAGAAATCCAAATTTTTATACAAATTTTGTCAATTTTTGTAAGCTGTCAAGTAACTTTAGGAAATTGCACAACATTATCAGGTCAAACAAAGAGGTCTTCATCTCTCTATGATCGCCGCAAACACACAGTTGTGAGTAGGAAGGTTGGGGAGCTCAGAGACAAAGGAAGAGAGGGTGGGGGTGAGCATAGTGTCCAGAGCCTGAAGGATGGATTCTGTGAGCTGGCAGGAGGGCAGGTCCCCAGCTCCCTCTGGGCGGAGGAAAGAGTCCATAGGCTCATCTTCCCTGTACCCAGTTGCTGCCCAAGGACTGGCCCTGGCTTGGTCTTCTTCTCCTTCTGAGCAACTGTTTCCTTCAGAGAAATGGTGGGGCATGGGGAGGATAGTCTTAATTTGTTTTTTATAAAACAATATTTAGTTGTAAAAGTGATTCAAGGTGAAACTTTCTAACTTTTAGAAAGTATAAAATACTTTTTTCACTTCACTCCCATCCATTTCTAAGAAGTAATCACTGATAACATTTATTTTTCCATATCATCCTGGAAATTTCCTAAGCACAAAAAACCATATACATGATTATTTTTTCCCCCAGGAGACGGAAGAAAGATGTGATTGGCCACTGAATGGGGAGCAGAGTCCCCACTCTGTGCATTTGTGCCTGCAGTGTCTCCTGCTTGGAAGGTACTTCCCTTCCTTCTCATCTCCTTTACTGCCTTGAAAGACACACAGTGTGGTGGTCAGGAACACAGACCCCTGAGTCAGACTTTCTGGCTCCACATCCTGCCTCTACCAATTGCTAGCTCTGACCTGTGCCGAGTTTCTTAACCTTTTCATGCCATGATTTTCTCATCTGTGAAAAGGGGATTGGAAGCAGACTCTATTTCGAAGGGCTGTGGGGAGGAATGAATGTGTTAAAGTATATAAAGGGCTTGCACAGGATTTGGCACAGAGCATGTGGTATGTAAGTGTTTACTATTGTTATTGTTCTCAAAGGCCCAGCACTTGTTTCCTTCCTAGTAGGAAACCATTCTCAGTCATCCCTAATCTTTGCTCCTCTCTCCTCCTCCAATTTACCTCTTTTAATGCTAATTATGCCATCTAAATTGGCACCTAATTATATTGCCTCACATTATCTCAACACCTATCATACATGCAAGCATAATGCTGACTTTTTGAGGGCAGGCGCCATGCCTTTCACTCCTTTGTGCCCACATAGAGGCATTGTGTGGGCAGATTTGGGTCAGGAATGCAGGTGTGAGGGCCTCCATGTCTGTGTTCGGTCTCTGCCCCTTATTGCAGAGGTGAGTGAGATGCAGCAGGGAGCCCGGGGCCCAGCAGTTTCTCCCCTCCAGCACCTCGGATAAGTCGAGATGGAGTGCCTCCCTTGCTCTGAGCTGCTCTTTATATTCCCCAGAAGTCGCTCTGCCAAAATTTAGAGCCAACTGTTTTAGAAACTCTCGGCAGCACCAGGGCCCTAAGGGCAGCAATGCTCTGCACTTCCCCTGATCCCCAGGGAGCCTCTGAGCTCATCTCAGTAAAACTTTAATGCCTGGAAGTCAATTAGAGTGAATTCTCCTGTAATCAAAAGAGGCAATGCTTTTATTGGAAAGGTGCAAACTGGAAGAGAAAGATGACAGCTGTGTGAGCCTCTGGAAAGCTAATGGCTTGGACTGGGAACATTATTTCGACAGAGTCACCCTGTATCTACCAGGCACCAAGATAAAATGAGAGGGGGTGGGGTGGACGGGGGAACGGATTGTAGGGGGCCTTAATGATTATTTTCATAATGTGCTGCAAAGTTCCCAGAGCATGTTCACACATTTGCTCTCCTAAAATCACCTACCAGTTCCACTATGTGGAATTACTCACTAATTCCCATTTTACAGAGGAAAAACTGAAGTTCAGAGAAGTTAAGTATGCAACTGGAGTTGGAACCCTAGCCTCTCCACTTCTTTTCAGAAAGCAGACCTGGCTGGACTGAGGCATGTGGATGAGGAAGAGGAATCCCTGCTCTTTCTAAGCACATTCTTCAAAAGCACCATCTTTTTGTTGCCTGTTGAAGGAATTCTGAAAAGCAGTTAGAGTAAGTCATGTGAAATTTATGACTTGAACATCAGTGGACAGATGCACGGGTTGTACCTAGCTGTTCCAGCTTACTACTGTTGCATAACAGCTCACTCCAAAACTTACTGTCTTTGAACAACCATTTTAGTATACTCACAGATCTGTGGGTTAGGGATTCAGTCAGGGCAGCGGGTTTCTGCTCCATGATGTCTGGGGCCTCAGTTAAAAAAAACTTTTAGGCAGGGGCTGGAATCTTCTAATGGCCCAACTGGCTGGAAGTCCAAGATTGCTCATTGCATGGCTGGAGTTAATGCTGGCTGCTAGGTGGATGCTCAACTAGGGCTGTTGACCAGAGCGCTACTTGTGGTCTCCCCAGCATCGCAGTCTCAGGATGTCTGGAGTTCTTATATGGAGGCTGGCTTTCCCCCAGAGTGAGCATCACAGGAGAACCAGGCAGACTTTTGTTGACCCTTCATCACTTCCACCTTACTCTAATGGTTGCAGCAGTCACAAACCTGCCCAGACTCAAGAGAAGGGACATAGATCCCCACCTCTCAGTGGTGCCAAAGAATATGCAGCCATTGTTTTTAAAAAACCACATACTGCCTTTTTCCTTTATGTCCTTATTCTTTTATTCTCCTATGACCCCATCAGTCCCAACTTTAGGAGTTGTAGTAGGAGTCAGCAGGTGCTGGAATCCCGTCTTGGCTTTGCCACTCACTAGCTATGTGACCTTGGACAAGCCACTTACCCCATCCACATTCCTATTTCCTCATTTATAAAATCAGAGTTGTAATAAAAATAAACTTTTAGATATCTCCTGTCACTTATAAAATATCTTTAAAGCCTAGCAGTCTTATAACACTCTGAACGGAGTTGTTATGAGGGGAGGGAATATTCCCAAGCTGATGGTAGAACTCTTTTGTTGGGCAGAATCCTGGTGACAAGACGAATAAATGAGGCGATGGCTTTCAGAAACAATGGCAGGGAGATGGAGTAAGGGCTGGACAGGGGAAAGATGTGTGCGAGGACTACCTGAGACAGAAAGAGACTGCAAGGTGTGTGGAGGGCAGGCATGAGCTGCAGACGGGGAGAGAACTGTAACAAGGAGGGATGGGGGAGCCCAGAGACTTGTGATGGAGGCCACAGGGTCTGTACTGGCCAGGAGGTGAATGATGGAATTGCCTAGGCTCAGAGAATGAGAGATAGGTGATAAATAAGGAAGGAAGAGTATTTCTCCTTCAGAGCCCTGTGTGGCTCAGCCCAGGGCTAGAGAGGCAAGCAGGGAGACTGGCTGGAAGGATGTTAAGGGCAGGCATCAAGGCTGTGGACTCAGGGGAAGTCACAGGCAGGCAGGGCCAGCTTTATGTGTGTGTAACTGGTGCAGTCACATGGGGCCCTGCATTCAGAAAGCCCAGTGCTTTAATGCTCTGTTGTCACCATTCTAAAATTCTTAATTATTTATGGACAAGGAGCCTCAAATTCCCATTTGCACCGGGCGCCACAAATTATGTAGCTAGTCCTGGAGGCAGGACGGTATGACTGTTTCCCTCACGCTTGATTCTGAGGCTGAACTGCAGACTTTGTGCTCAAATCCTTCCCAGGATGGCAAAGTGAGTTATGTGCAAGCTCTGCAAATGTGGGCTGGAGACAGAAACAGGGCAGTGAAATATTCTGCTGCTGGAGAAGCCAGACAGGTTTGGGATGTGGTCCTTTATTAAGAAAACTTCTCCTCAAGGCTGGGCCTGGAGCAAGAGGGCACCTTGGCTCCCTGAGAGAGCAGCCCCGGGCTCTGTGGCTTCACAGAGCCTGCTCTTTGCATTTTTAAGGTAAGATTCATCAAATTTGATCAACTAGGCTTCACTGAAGTGCCAGTGTCCAGAACGAGTGTGAGGTCGCCTCAGGGATGAAGTTAGACCCCTTCAGGTCACATGGGCAAATGGTGTCTCCTTTGTGTGATGCCTGCTCTTAGGAGAAAAGTCTTGGATCTCAGAGTGTCTTGGGGAGATTACTACTTTCCTCAATACTTGATCCACATTCCTTGAGGAGTCCCTAAGAAGGTTCAGGCACTGAGAGAGAGACAGCCCTGTCCCTGTGGAAGAAGCTGTAAGCTAGAAATATGGGCCCCAGACATGCTTGTGCCATTAGCCAGCCTTGCAAGATGAGTGAATCCTGTAAAGGACAGGACAGGTGTGTGTGTGTGTGTGTGTGTGTGTGTGTGTGTGTGTGAGAGAGAGAGAGAGAGAGAGAGAGAAAGGCACTGGGAGGGAGAGAAAGGGAGGAAGAAGAAAGAGGAGGGAATAGGGGAGAAAGGAGCGATGAAAAGAGGACAGGACAGGACAGGAAAGAGGAGAGATGGATGAATGCCTGTGATGTTAATTTTCCCATCCTCCCTTCCAAAGATACTCAGCTTCTGTCTTTTACTGCGCATTAGTCACTATGTACTGTGTTTGGGGTGGTTTCACATTAAACACTTGTGTGTGTGTGGTAGGCAGAGCCTTGTGTTTCTCAATGGGATGTGTCTCTACTGGTCTTGCTGTAGTTGTCCAGGTGCGGAAAGAAACGGGTAGGGGTACAAAAATGCAGGGGACTGAATTCCACCTTGACCTGTCAAGGGGAAAGTGGTCTCACAGCTGGAAAATGACATGTGGCTCTATAGATCCTTGCTCCAAGAGACTCAGTACAAACCTCAAACACAAAGCTGTGCTCTGCATGGCCAGGCTGCAAAAATCGCAGGGTTAATTGCAGGACTTCCACTTGGTTGTATCAGTATTGTATGGATCTGCCCCATATTTCAATGCCTCCTTGTCCTTTGTTTGTTCCTCTCCAACATGGTTGATCTCTGGCTCATTCCCCAACTCTACTCCCACTCAATACAACAACAACAACAACAACACACACACACAGAGAGAGAGAGAGAAGGAGGGAGGGAGAGATACTTGCATCTTAAACCTGATTAGCAGCCTGGATTGATTTCTTTTTACATCTTCAGTTTCGGGGTTCCCTCTTCTTTCTTGTGGTCACCTCACTGCATCACCGTTCATAAAGCCTGGTGGGCCACTCAGTATGTAAGGCAGAAGCAGGGTCTGTCCAGCTCAGCTCACACTTCAATGGGGAACACCCAGCTCCACTGAAGTCTCCATTCCATGTGTCTGGAATCATTCCCTTTGATCCATTTGTATCTCTCTGAAACTGATCATTCCACTCCTATTCCTGCATATTCTTCAGTTCCTCTTTATTAGACTGGCCTCCCTGACGCATCTGCTGGCTCTGTCGGCACTTCCTTCTGGCAGCAGTGTGGATGGTGTGGTGACGGTCCATTGAAATGGCCTCTAGTGATTCTCAGCTCCTAGTATTCATGCCCATGTGTAGTCTCCTCCCACAATGAAGGCAGCTGATCTGTATAACTAACAGGATATTGTGCAAATCAAAAAGTGTGACTTCCAAAGCTAGACATTGTGGCTTTTGCCTTACTTTCTTACATCACTTGTATAGGACACTCAAACAGACTGTGGAAAGGTCCCGGTAGGGAGAAATGGCAGTTTCCCACCAATGGCCAGTACAACCTTGCCTCATGAGTGAGCCACCTGCAAAGCAGACCCTTTAGTCCCAACCAAGACCAACTAGCTAACATCTTGACTGCAACCTCAGGAGAGATCATGAGCTGGAGGAACCCAGCTAATCCATTCTGGAATTCATGACCCATAGAAACTGTGAGATGGTAAACACTTATGGCTATTTTAAGCCACTAAGTTTTGAGGTCATTTCTTACACAGCAGTAGATGACTAATACTTTAAACAACATGTCTCTTCTAGTTTTCACCATCCCAGCAAATGGCAAATGCATTTATGCTGTTGTTCAGTCCAAAATCCAAGACTCAGCCTTGATTATACTCTTCCCCTCACAATCCACATCAGCAAATTATGTAAGACAGCTTTTTCTTGAAATGGTTTCACAAATCTATCTGCCTTTCTCCATCTTCACTGCCATAGCTCACACCCAAGCCATGGTCACCTCCAGCCTGCACTCCTGCAACAGTGTCCCCACTGATCTTTTCATTTTTACACCTGTCCCTAACAGTTGATTCTTAAGACAGCCAGCAGGCCGGGTGCGGTGGCTCACGCCTGTAATCCCAGCACTTTGGGAGGCCGAGATGGGTGGATCACGAGGTCAGGAGATCGAGACCATCCTGGCTAACACGGTGAAACCCCGTCTCTACTAAAAATACAAAAAAAAATTAGCCGGGCGTAGTGGCGGGTGCCTGTAGTCCCAGCTACTCGGGAGGCTAAGGCAGGAGAATGGCATAAACCCGGGAGGCAGAGCTTGCAGTGAGCTGAGACTGCGCCACTGCACTCCAGCCTGGGCAACAGAGCAAGACTCTGTCTCAAAAAAAAAAAAAAAAAGACAGCCAGCCAGAAAGACATTTTTTTAAAAAATCCGAATATGTCATCCTCTGTTTAAGCCCTCCTGTGGCTTTCATTGTATCACAAAACTGAAATAGTCTGCTGCAGCCTAGTGACCATACATAATCCAGCCCCTGCCTACATCTCTGCCTCATCTCCTACTATGCTTGCTCATTCACTCAACTCTAGTCACACTGGCCTCCTCACTGCCCTTGAATGTGTTTCTGAGTCAAGGTCTTTGCATTTGCTCTTATTTTCTTGGAATGTTCCCTCCCCCAGACTTTCGCGTGCCTTCATTGAAAGCTCAACACGAATTTCAGCCAGGCACAGTGGCTCACGCCTGTAATCCCAGCACGTTGGGAGGCCAAGGTGGGCGGATCACCTGAGGGCAGGAGTTTGAGACCAGCCTGGCCAACATGGTGAAACCCCGTCTCTACTAAAAATACAAAAATTAGCCGGGCATGGTGGCAGGTACCTGTAATCCCAGCTACTTGGGAGGCTGAGGCTGGAGAATTGTTTGAACCTGAGAAGCAGAGGTTGTAGTGAGCCAAGATCATGACATTGCACTCCAGCCTGGGGGACAGGAGTGTGGCTTTGTCTCAAAAAAAAAAAAGCTCAGCACAAATTTCACCTCCTCAGAAAGGCTTTCCTTGACAATTCAATATCAATATCTCCCTTTTACCATCTACCCCCTTGTCCTCACCACTAAGGTGCCATATTGGATTTAGGGTTCTTGGGTTGCAAACAACAGAAACCAGCTCTTTCTTATTTAAACTAAAATAACAATTATGGGAAGGTAGGGGGAGCTCTTTAGATTGAATGCAATGTTGAAGAGCCAGAAGGAGGCAGATACTAGCAGCTCTGAACATGTTGGTCTCCAGATGAATAGGGCACCTTCCTCAGTGGAGGCACCCATTGAAGAATGAGTACATTCCTAGAGAATGTGGTCTAAGAGGATTATGAGTGAAAAGGACCTGATGGTCATGGAGCAAGACTGCTCTGGGATTCCTCCTTTCCTGGTGGTTGCAGAGAAGGAACAGTGGGAAAGAGGGAGGCTGTAGAAGGATGACTGGTGTGGAAACTTTCCCAAAGCAATGGGACTAAAAAGATTTAGAAATGTGATCAGCAGGACTTCATTTTACCCTGTTCTCCTGGGAACAAATCAATGAGGTGATCATTATCTTCACCAGAGGCCCATTTAGAAATTGAACATTTTTAAAAGCACACAGAACAGAAGGATTTGTAATGTGTAAGTTTATCTCTAAGTAATTTCTCTCTCTAACTTCCTGGTGGATGAAACCCAACACAAGTTAGCTTAAGCAAAAAAGGTCTTTGTGTTTTTTGTTTTTTAAATAGAGATGGATAGTTCTTTCGTAAAACCATAGGACTGTCATGATGGTCAAAGGACTAGAACCAGAAACTTAAGAGTCATTAGCAACTCAAAGAGATTCTTTCTTTTTTGGATTTTCTTTCAAGCTCCCTTATGGGGTAGAGGTTGTCATTAACTTATAGATGAGGAAACTGAGACGCAGAGGTTAAGTAACTTGCCTTAGGGTCACACTTGGCTTTACCTTAATGATAGGAGGGTCCTTGTTTGTCTTGAGGGTTTCAGAATTTCCTTGTTCATTTCTCTATTACTTTCTTTCCCCATTCAAGTGAGACTCAAGTTGCTGACACAGGGGAGGTCAGGCCACAGAGGACCCAGTGTCTATTGAAACTCTATTTTATAGGGCACAGTGAGCACCCTTCCTCAGCTCCCAAAGCCTGTTCTTTCTAGAAGCCTTAACTTAACTAGGGGAGTTCAAAGTCATGCACCTTTTGCCTAGGTCTGAATATTGAAGAATGGCCTGACCACTCTGGTGAAGGTGACATGGAGCAAAAAACATCAAAGCTCAGGGGTGAAGAGGAATCATGAAGGCCATCTAATGCAGGGGCCACAAACCCACACGCAGCAGGAACCACTCAGGTACTATAAAGGAAATAAGTAGCACAGTAAGAAGAGTGGTGAGGTCTGTGGCTAATGGTCTCATCTAAAACAGCCTTCCCTATTCAGCTCTGGCTTCTTGCTGACATTTTGGACTCATACTCAACATTGTTAGATTTTCTGAGTTTTCAAGAGAAGCCAGAAGTTTTCCCCGCTACTTTGTATTGTTGTGAAAATTAAATGAGATAACTCACATAAGTTGATTGGAAGATGTGTCTGGCATATGGGGTAAGCTTTCAGTAAGTGTTCATGGCTATAATAACATTTCGCAGATGTGGAAACCAAGGCCCAAAATGGTCTCCCCCAAGATCACATTTATTGGAAGATGTTACATGACAGCCCAGGATCCTGACCCTGGGTCCACAGTTCTTCCTTCCTGGTTTTCCTTTCCTGACCCCCACCCCATCCTTGAGCCATCACCATTGTCACTGTGTAGCATGACACATTTTAACTAACTATATGCTGCTTCACCACTGTATCTTTCATATATTATGTCTGCTGATTCCCTACTTTCAGAGAAATTTTCCTCCCTTAGTAAATGAAACCTATGTCAAAGCTTGTTCCAGTAAAACAATCCACTGGGTTGTTCGTATAAAAGCAATAGCTCTGAAGCAGCTCCCCACCCTGCCTTATTAGCTCGGCAGGGCTGTATTACATAATCTCAGACCTTTCCATTTAAGTCAGGGGCTCACCCACTGTTTACCCAGGGCCCATTAAACCATTAAGAAAAAAGGATGCCTTAGTGGGCCAGGAAGACTTGTGCACTTTGTTGAGAATGAAGCTAATTTCCTCTTGCTCTGTGGAAACAAATGCGCTTTACACCCAGTAAAAGTTCCAGGAATTCTGCATCCTGTAGTGGTCCAGATGTGGTCCCACAGAGTAGGCAGCAGGGACTGTCATTTCCCCCTTAGTACTCCCAGTTCCAAACAGGCCAGGGTTGGCCCAAGTTGGTACTTTCATCTTTTGCTCAATCCCACAGTTCTAAGTTAATGCCATCTCCTTTTGCACTACGTGTCAGCTTCATTCGGCTCACTGGAACACCTGAGGCTGGATGGGGCCACACTTGTCCCTTGTGGTTTTGTTTGTCTGTTTTTGTTTTTTTCTTTTTGCTTTTTGTTTTGTTTTTTTTTTTTGAGACAGAGTCTCACTCTGTTGCTCAGGCTGGAGCACAGTGGCATGACCTTGGGATCTTGGCTCACTGCAACCTCTGCCTCCTGGGTTCAAGTGATTCTCATGTCTCAGTCTCCTGAGTAGCTGGGACTACAGGTGCCTGCCACCATGCCCGGCTAATTTTTGTATTTTTAATAGAACAGGATTTTGCTATGTTGGCCAGGCTGGTCTCAAACTCCTGACCTCAGGTGATCCGCCTGCCTCAGCCTCCCAAAGTGCTGGGATTACAGGAGTGAGCCACTGTGCCAGGCTCTCCCTTATGTTTTTTGAACTGGAATTCTCCCTGTGGATTGCCCTGGTGCTAGATTCATGCTTGGCCTTGGGATGGCTACTATGGCACTTTGTCTAAAAAATTTGCCATAAATCAGATGTCTGCTGCTCTTTCCTGAGACCACGGATGAGGAATACACACACACACACACACACACACACACACAAACACACACACACAACACAGAAACACTGATGCCTAAAGGTACCAGGAAGATGGGCCCCGGAGGCACTGGCCACCTTGGTGCTCAATGTTGCTGCTTTTTCAGTCCTTCTCTCCTCACAGTGCTCTGTTCATATTGGAGCCAAATTCAAGCCATTTTCCAAGTCTGTTTTTCTGAATTACTTGGAAATGTAATTAAAGTACAAAAGAAGGCACTCTGAATTTCTCCAACAGGTCAGGAAGTGACATTCCTGGATAATAAGAATTTCCGTAATACATGGAAAGCTGAACTCAGAGAAGGCTTGTTAAACATGTGGTTGATCAGATTAGGGTTTTTCTGAATTAGGAAGATAAGGAAGAAAACCAAGAACCACAGCATAAACTGTAGCCTTGGAAACTGTGTCATACTAGTGGAAAATGCAGACAGACAGGTAGACATCTACAGAAAGGGCAGACAAAGGATTTCTCCTGAAATTGAAGAAAACCAATTACAGGGTTTGTTCTGCTACCGACAAACAGAGTGAGATACTGTGTCTGGTGTTCTGTGGTATCTCACCCTGGTTTTGATAGACCATTTCTCCACTGTATCAGAAATTTCAGGCTCTGTGTAAGTTGTGGTTTTAAAAAAAGTGTGTCTCTGACTATCTGGTCTCCTTTGGCTCAGCTTCCACCCCCAGTAAGTAAATCTCTGGTTATTAATTTGGTTTCCTTGGTAGCATGATGTTGGGGAAAAGCTGCCCTGGATATCAGTCAGGACTATTTTCTTAAATAAATGAAATGTTTCTGAATCATCAAAGGTGGGGACAAAATTCTGGATCTGACCTGATTTATCTGTAATCCCCTCTCTGCCAGAAGCAACCACCTCCAGAAAACCCAAAAAGCCCCCAGAGGTCTCTCTTGAGCTCATATACACTTGAAACCAGGCTACAGTTTATAACACCTCTTCACATATCTTTCCTTATCCTCCCACTTTTCTGATGATGTTTAGTTTACCATCTCTGTATCACAGACTCAGAGAGGTTCTGTGACTTGCCTGGGCTCCGCAGTAAGAGCGTATTGCAGCTGTGGCTCCATGACCGACATCACTGAATCACAGTTGTCTGCAGTGGTTCTGGGTCTTTTGTTGAATTGCTTCCCCATTAACTTCCCTTCCTGGAGAGATGGTTTTAGAAACCAATTTGCCTCTGGAGGTGATTCCCCTTGTTTCTGCCATTCTTTTCCCTGAGTGCAGTTTTCCATGGTTTTCCCAGGATCCATGTAATGTAAATGATTCTATTCTTTCAATGTGAGTTGGTATTTTTTTTTTTCTCAAAGAAAGCAGAAAGAGATATTTTCATTCACACCTACTGTGAGTTGTGCCTAAGTTGATGCCTCCTCCAGCATTTACGAGCACCCAGCAGCAAGGGTTGTCTGCACCTCTGAGAGCTTCCTCAGCTGTGGGGACTAACACTGAGTCGCTCAGGTTCTCCTTCTGCCTGGTCCCCTGGGCCTGGTGCTGGTGTGGGTGTGATGTGGGCCATACGTGAGCTGCAGGCCTGGGTTGAATCTCAGGGTGACCACAGAACAACAAGCGGCTTTCTCTTCTGTTGAGCAAAGAAGCTGAATGGGCAGGGTGGGGTCTGCACTAAGGGGGTTTTAAATTTTTGCTGGGGAAGCCTTGATGTGATCTGTGGGGAAATGGGAGTTGGGAGACTTCCCAGTTTTTCAGCTAAGAGGCAACCTGCCCATATATGAATTTAGGACTGTGCCTGTTAGAGAATCCATTAGAGAAGACAAAGGCTGGAGGGGTCTGTTAGAATGGTTGAGATGCCAGGGACAAGAGCTTGACTTAGAGATTGGCAGTGGAGATAGAGAGACTTTGGAGAAACACTATGCAGACTTGGCAGAGAAATGATCAAATTTTTTTGGTGTTTTATGAAATGTGAAGTCTAAAAGAATCATGGAAGGCTGTTTTAAACCTTGTTAGTTATATCTTTATTTTTCCATATGGAAGCCCCTGCCTATCTGTCACAGTCTTGTGTGAATGGGATGACACAGATCTGCAAAGGATGGACCATGGAGATGGCAGTATCTGGAGGACTCAGAAGATTCAGAAAGCACTGACTCTCAAAACTTGTGAGCACCATACCCAGCTGTGCCTCCTTGGTCAAAGGAAGCAGTGGTGACCTCACCGGAGAAAGCTTACAATATCTCTCACACCACATAATCAAGTCAGAAACACAGGTGTTGATTAGGGAAGAAAAAAGTTACATCCACATGGAATTGCACTTTACTACTTAGATTTCAAAAATCTGGGAACCATTCAGTCACTCATTCACTCTTTTCTTCATTCAGCAAATACTATTAAATGCCTACAGTGTGTCAGGCACCATGCTAAATTCTGGAAATTCAATGGTGAGCAAAACCAGGAATAGTCATAGCCCTGGTGAATTTACATAACAGAGGCTAATCAATTTCACAAACAAATGCAAAACTGTCCCTGGGAAAAGTGCTATGAAGGAGAGACCCACAGCGCCCTGAGGCCTGAGGTAGAGAGGATTTGGCCCAATTAGAAGTTCTTTAAAGGTTTCCCGAGGCTGACCTTTGAAAGGCTAGAAGGAGGTAAGTAAACATGATGGGGAAGAAGGTTTTAGGTCGAGTGGCATGTGCAAATACCCTGTGGCAGTGACATGGCAAGCACTAAGGACAGAAAGAAGGCTGCTGTGGAAGGGCAAGGCAGAGAGCGGAGGGGCCGAGGCTGGAGGGGACAGGGCCAAAGCACGCTGGGTCCACAAACCACATTAGGGAGCTTTTCTTTATCCTTCCTTATCATGTTTAAATTTAATAAAATCAAATTATCTTCATTTCACTTTATATTACTTTCTGTTTATGAAAAGAGTTATTAATTTTTTTTTTTGAGACAGGGTCTCACTCTGTCATCCTGACTGGAGTGCAGTGGCGTGATCTCGGTTCACCGCAACCTCTGCCTCCCAGGCTCAAGCAATTCTCCTGCCTCAGCCTCCCGAGTAGCTGGGATTACAGGTGTGTGCCACCACGTCCAGCTAATTTTTGTATTTTTAGTAGAAACGAGGTTTCACCATGTTGGCCAGACTGGTCTTGAACTCCTCATCTCAAATTATCCACCCACCTGGGCCTCCCAAAGTTCTGGGATTACAGGTATGAGCTACCGTGCCGAGGAAAAGTGTTATTCATTTTTAATGAACAGGAGTGACATACAGATTTTAAAAAGAATATATCTAAGAATAAAAATAGACTTGATATAAATAAAAATAGTAAGTTAATAGTTATACAGGTGTTCGGTAGAAGTGGCAAAAATGGCAAACCTGGAGCAGAGATGACTGTGGTGGAAGAAGTGTGGGTTCTGCAGGAAGCAGATGTGGTCATGGATCCTGGCCTCTCCACCACCAGCTCTGTGATCTTGGCATTGAGCATCAGTTTTCTTGTCTGTAAAATGGGGATAGTAATACCTGTTGTATGTGGGTAGTTGCAATATTGCAGAAGGTTCCAACAGTGCTTGGCACATCATAGACAATCAGTGAATGTATGTTCTTCTAAAAGGAAAATAATTTTCTGAAAGCATTGAGAATAGTAATATTGGTGGGGAGAGGCTGAAGATGGTCTGACCATTCAAATATTCCTGGTGAGAGATGATGCAGATTTAATATGGGATGGTGGCAAGAAGAGAAAAGTCCATGGAGGAGGTAAACTTGAGCTATGCCTTTGAAAGAATGGCTTATCTGCTGATTAATCAATATGTAGAGAGAAAGAAAAACATGCATTCCAAGTAGAAGTTACAGAGTAAGCTAAGCGCAGAAGGGGAAGCTCCAAGGCATGTTGTTGGGTGATGGAGATGTTCCAATTTGGGTATCAGTGGGAAATGAGTCTGGAAAGGCAGGTGAAGGTAGGGCCATATTCTGCAGCTTTACTTGCAGAGCAAAGAGGTGTGATCAAAACCAGAGAAAACACAAACAACACTAACAGTGGTAATGGCTTGCATTTGTTGAGCACTTATGATGTATCAAGCAATGTTCTAAAGGGTTTTCAAATATTGACTCTTCATTCCCGTATCAACCTCATGACTGCCTACAAATTACTACCATCTACAACTTACAAATGAAGGAACTGAGGCATAGAGGGGTAAAGTGACTTGTTCAGGTGATAGAATTCTTATCCAGTGCCAATGGGGAGCCCTCCGAGTCTTCTGAGCAGCCCTGGTCTCAGATGTGGCGTGTACAGGGCCAGTGGAGCGGGAGGAGGAATAGCAGGCCAACTGGCTAGAGAAGAAACCATGGCAACATTTCAGACAAATTAGGAGGGCTGGACTAGGAAGTCAAGAGTGGAGTGGAAACCCACTCTTTCTCCTTTTTGAGTGATCACAACCTACTCAGCAACAGTAATTTCTTTTTGTTTTCTCTTTAGCTTAACAGAAATACTTGTGGATCCAAATCCATGGTAGGAGGTCTGATTAAGAGGATTTGCAGAGAGGCTTTTGAGAAGTTGGATGCTCACTGCTGGTTAGAAACTACTGCTCTGGAATGAGCCACACTCTGTGCAGTATTTGATATTAAAATATTCTCCTGATTGCTTCTAATTCTACATATAATAATAAATCACTACCTTCTGAGAAGGAAGGCTCTTATTAAGTAAAATGTCTGTCATTATTCAGAGCGTCTACATGGATTTGAATATTGACTGGGTTTGGGTAGGGGGACGGGAGAAAGCTGAATTGCTGGGCATGATGAGCAAGAAGAATTAGAGATCCTGGGTGCAAGTGTGGGAGAGAGAGGGGAAGGGTTAAGGGAGAAGCCAATGAGATTATATGATGCCTGGAGCTTTGGAGTGGGGTGACCAAAGAACTGCTAAGATCAAGTGTGCAATACAGGTTTAGTATCCCTTATCCAAAATACTTGGGACAAGAAGTACCTTGGATTTCAGATTTTTAAAGATTTTGGAATATTTGCAGGCCGGTTGAGCATTCCTAATCTGAAAATATGAAACCTGAAATGTTTCAGTGAGCATTTCCTTTGAATGTCATATCAGTGCTCAAAATGTTGCAGATTTTGGAGCATTGCTGACTTCAGATTTTTTAGATTATGAATGCTCTAACTGTATTTGATTTGAAATTGTTTGTATTTCTGTAATGCAATTTCTGCCATCACCTCCCCAGGCCTTAAGTCTGCTGCATTCAAAAGTGTCTTGTGGGAGGTGTGAGTAGATGTTTTGAGTGTGTAAAAACTAAGAAACAGTCCTCATAAGTATGGAAACTTGGTTTATGACAGTATGTATATTACTGTTCTTTGACTTTCAATATTTCTGCCTTCTTATATTTTAATTGTGTCTCATAACAAGCATGTAACTGGATTGTTATTTTAAATCCAATATGAAAACAATGACACTGGAGAGTTAAGTATATTGAACTTTAAAGTGATTACTGATATATTAAAATATATTTATACTATCTTATTATGCTTATTATGTGTTTTCTCTTTATACTGCATTTTATGGTTAAAAAAATTCTAAACAATTTCCACTCTTTTTTCCTTTTAAAATATTGTGGTAAATACACCTAACATAAAATTTACCATCCTACCATTTTAAAGTGTACCATTCAATATAGCGTTAAGTACATTCACATGTTTGTGAGATCAATCTCCAGAGCTTTTTCATCTTCCCAAATTGAAACTCTATATCCATTAAACAACTCCTCTTTCTCCCCTCCTCCCGGCCCCTGGCTACTACCATTTTACTTTCTGTCTCTATGAATTGCTAGGTATCTCATATAAGTGTAATCATATAATATCTATCTTTTTGTGACTGTATTGTCACTTTACATAATGTTTAACAATCTTCATTCTTGACTTCTTTTCCTTTTCTTACTAAAATTTCCTTCTCGACTTGTTTGGAAAAAGTTATCCACTCTATGTCCACTTGAACAACTTGCTCAGCTTGCTAAAGAAGTTGAACAATTTGTTGAGCAAGTGTTTTAACATGCCTGCACTAAACCAAAACCAATCCAAATATTAATCCTGCTGAATTAGACCAGTACGAGGATCTGAGAATGCTTTAATTCTTGTTAACTTCTCTCAACTTAGATGCTTTTGTTATCCCATATTTTATTTCCAGCTTACCTTCTCACCCCTCGAATTAGACATTATTCTATTAGACATTATTACTATTGTTAATGTTATTATTAACTTCAGAGTCAGAGTTTGCTTAGCTGTATCCTCCTATTCATATCCACCTACGTTTTTACTCACCATCCCTTCATGTGTCTCAGACTTGGCATTTGGAAGAATTTTTCTTCTGCTTGAAGTATATTTTTTAGGATTTTCTTCAGTGAGGATCTTTTAATGGTAAATTTTTCTTAGTTTTTGTCTGAAATTGTCTGTATTTTACTGTCGTTTTTTGAAATAGTTTTTTATCAGCATACAAGTTTAAGTTGACAGTTTTGGGTTTTTTCCTCTCAATATATTGAACATTTTACTCTACTGATTTCTGTATTCTTTTATTGATATTGAGGTATCAGCCAAGAATTAAATTGCCGTTCATTGGTACACGATCTTTATTTTCTCTATGGCAGCTTTCAGAATCTAGTTGCCTTTGATGTTTCAAAATTTCACTATTTTGCACGTAGTTATTGATTTAAAAATTATTTCACTTTGGATTTATTGAGCTTTTTAGATTCAAAGATTGGCATTTCCTAATAATTCTGGAAATTTCTCCATTGTTATAATACACTTCGAATATTGTTTTTATTTTTTTCTATTGTTTCCTTTTAGAAATTCAATTAGACTTGAATTAGGCCTTCTTTTCTTTTCTTTTCTTTTCTTTTTTTTTTTTTTTTTTTGAGACGGAGTCTTACTCTGTTGCCCAGGCTGGAGTGCAGTGGCGCGATCTTGGCTCACTGCAACCTCCGCCTCCCAGGTTCACGCCATTCTCCTGCCTCAGCCTCCCGAGTAGCTGGGACTACAGGCGCCTGCTGCCATGCCTGGCTAATTTTTTGTATTTTTAGTAGAGACGGGGTTTCACCGTGTTAGCCAGGATGGTCTCGATCTCCTGACCTCGTGATCTGCCCGCCTCGGCCTCCCAAAGTGCTGGGATTATAGGCATGAGCCACTGCGCCCGGCCTTGAATTAGGCCTTCTTAATTCATTCTCCATGTCCCAACCCTTCTTACTTATTTTGCATCATTTTGTATTCCTGTGCCATATTTTGGTTTAATTTTGTTGTATTTACCTTTTAGTTTACTAACTTTCTCTTCATATATGTGTAATCTGTTTAACTTGTGCATTACATTTCTAAATCCCAGTTGCTAATTATTTTTATTTCTAGAAATACTGTTTCTTTAATTTTGAAATTTTCTAAGATTATTCTTTATGATCTCTTGTACCCTCATGTTTTTCAGCTTTTCTATTAGTTTTTACATTTTCTATCTGTTAATTCCAGTTCCTAAGCCTTTGTGTTGTCTATTACTTTGGCTCTCACTCATGATGACTTATTTCCTTGTATGTTTTGTGACTTTGATTGTAAGGTGATATTTTTACTAAAATCTTATTTGTGGGAATTGCTTAAGGTCTGGGTCACAGTACAACCCCTTCAGAAAGAATTCCTGTTGGCATCTGCCAGCCTCCTTCTAAAGAGAGATTTTATTTCTTGTTCACCTTACACTGTAGGTGGAGCCCTTTGGTGCTCCAGCTTTACACAATAAACTCCTTTAAAATATTCCACTTTAGATGGTCCCCAGGCTTTCTGTCCTGCCTCAACCTTGTGCAGTCATCCAAGTGGAAGCCTAAGATCTTCAGGGTGGGGCACAGATCCTTCAGGTCAAAGCTGCTTCCAACACTCTCTTCCATCCAGAGGTTTCTGTTTTCTATTTATCTTTAGAGTGCTTAAATCATCAGAGCTTTTTAAATATTCTAATTTTTAAACTTTTAATATTTTATCCAATATTTTAGTTGTTTTACTAGCAAGAATTATTCAAGGTATCTAACTATCCATACTGATAGAACTGTCATTCTAGGCTCTTCTTTAAGCACCACAGTTTTTTAATATAAAAACCATTATCTCATATTACTTTCTTTGTTAGCATTTTGATTTTGCTATATATAATTATATGTGTGTGTGTGTGTGTGTGTGTGTATCTCAACACCATTTATGTGGTGTTACTGTTGACTTCTGACTGCAAGAAGAGACAGTGAGCCTCTAATTAACAGACTTGTGAAAAAGCTTTTTCTCCTGAGATAATATTTATTTATTCAAAAGTGTATTCAAACGAATATAGCAATTAAAAACATTTTCTTGTGATAAAACTGAAGGTTGAGAATAGTTTCTAAACATAAGATTAAATGTAAATTTAAATATTGTTTAGAAAAAGTGACATGGTCTTCAAACTTACACCTATGCTACATCTTATAACTTTTCTTTTTTCTACTTCTATAATTATAAAAATGCCTTTTGATAGTAATTATTAAACTATCTTGTAGACAAGTGGACTTCAACATTTTAATATTGTCTCCTATATAATGTAACTAAAACTCTCCAAGCCTCATTAATTAATTTTCATGTAAACATTTTGTGTGAAATCCTGGTCCGTCACACAGCTCTACATGTTCCTAAATTTCTTTCCTTTGCTGACAATGTTATCAGGCTCACTTTGCCTGCCTCTTCTCCCTTTGGCCACAGGATTATTAATAAAATTCCAAACTCTAACAGATTCTTTGTGTTAAATTAAGTGTTAGAACGACTTTTTTTTTTCTATGCAGCCCATAATAAATTCAATCTACTTGTATCTGTCTTCCCAAGTAAGTGAAGGCAGAAACTGTGTCTTACTCTGTATGTCTCCTTTGACCCCTTTCTCCACTAAGTGCTTTAAAATTTGGTAAAAACTCAGTGTACCTCAGTGTGTCTCAGTGTGTGCGTGTGTGTGTGTTTACATATATATGTATGTGTGTGTGTGTATACATATATATGAAACATAAGGGAAAAAAGAGTCACAATCCAAGTTTTTGAACTGAGATGAAATCTGCTGTTGAAGCCATCTAGCTTTCTTTCAGGTGAGAGACAGCTGGGGCCTGGTTGGTGTTCAAAGTCTGGGGAATCCTTTAGATGACCTCTGGCCACTCAGCTCACCTCTGATTCTCTCTCCCTTGGGCTACCTGGGCTGCCAATGACCCAAGCCTGCTAGGGGACCAGAGCATAGGTAAAAGGACCTGGGTCACCGGAGGAAGCTGGAGGGTGAATGGTGGTTTGTCAGCCCTTGATCATGGCTATGAGGTCCTGGAGAAATGAAAAATCTGAGACTGTAAGGGGGCTTCCAAGGCTCCCCCATCACTCCCCCATCCAGGCAGGCACAGCTCTGAGCTCTTCTCTGCAGCAGGATTTTGTTCCCTCCAATTAACTGTACATAACAACAAGGAGTGAAACCAAGTAATTTAAGAAATAATTTATCATATTCAGTTCACCATTAACAGCCATCTAGTGTTTCCTTTGCCCTCTTAAATGAGTCTTTGTTCTGATGCTCAGCTCTTCTGTGTATTCCATAAGCTTTTAGTGAGTGCTTCTTCCCCCTCCCTACCTCTCTGCCTCCCTCCTTCCTCCTGCCTCCTGCCTTCCTTAAGCTTTGAAGCACAAGTGTCTTTCTGGAAGCAGCTGAGCCTTCTCCCATCCAACATCTTTTGTCCCAGTTAATAAGGAATTGAATATTACTTTATAAGCATGAACTCCAGGCTGGGTGTTGAGACATACAGAGAGTAGGATAGTCTTTGCCCTGAACCAGCTTTCAGCCCACCCAGGAGATGAGGCTCATTCACCAAGAAACAGGGAGGGGAGGAAGGAGCACATAGTATTTGTCAGTGTCATTGGCTGGGCTACTGGGGGCCAAGAAAGGTCAGATCTTGCAGTGAGAAAAGCTCCCTGGAAGAAGAGGACTTGAACCAGTTCTGAATGTTGGTGTGGATTTGGAAAGGAAGTAAAGAAGAGGGCATCTCATACAGGGGTCCAGCAGGAGCACAGATATGGCTGTGGGAATAAGTCTCTGGCATGAGTGCGGGGGAGATGAGGACAGAGAGGTGAGCCTTAGCCAGGCCAGTGCTCAGTTAGTAAGGCCCTTTACCTGCCTGCTTGCTCTTTTGTCTCCACTTTGGGATCACCTGGCCTGTGAGCCTCTTTCCTTACCTCTAGGGTAAAGGGAGTCCAACCATCCAGAAGAAATTAGGTGGTGTCCTTAGTGACGTTTTAGGTTTTAGAGTCTGTTTCTTTCACGTGTCTCTTCTGCTGAGCTCTGTGTATGTGAGCCCAGGAGGTCAAGGCTGCGGGGAGCTATGATTATGCCACTGAGCTCCAACCTGGGCGGCAGACAGAGACCTTGTCTGTTAAAAAAAAAAACAAGAAAAAGAAAAGAAAAAATGTGAGTGTGTAAGTGTATGGGTGAGTGTGAATGCACAGCTGAGCTCTCAGGGACACACATCAGACACTTACGTCTCTGGATTTGAGCCACGGCAACAGGATCTATAGCTTTGAGTTGCTGAGGCTGTGAGACCCTGGACCCTCCACTGGGGCTCTGGTAGCAGCTCTGCCTCTACTTCAAAGCCTGTTAAGCTCCCTGATGGAGGAAGATGGGTCTAGGGATTGGGAGATCAGGTAGTCTGGGCTTTCAGAGGGGCTGAAAGAGCATCCACACCTGCCCCTCCTTTTGAGCAAAGTCCCAAAGCTCTGGGGGCACAATGAAGCCTTCATGGTCAGGGTGTGCTCACGGCCCATGGTGCTGACCTCTTCTCAGAAGGCAACATCATGCGGGGTGTTATAGGGAAGGGGTCTTGCTGGTGTCCAAGGAGCCTAGAGGCTAACAATCTGGATTGCCCAGAGCATGGGTCACAGATGATCCAGGAGAGTGAGCTAAGCAGGGACCCTGAGGGTCTGACTCTCTAGACATCTGTGAGCAGGCACACACACTCACCTCAAGGCCTCTTGAATAGTGTCTGAAAGGCCAGGCCTCAACCAAAAAATTAACTAAGATTTCTAGTATCTATTTTTAATTTCTAAGATTAAATATAAAATTGACAGCAAACTAAAAGAGAAAGTTACCTTTAATTCCAAATTATGGCAATCTAATGAGCTGGTGACATATTTCTTTACTAAAATTTATTTTGGAGAGGGCATATTATTTGTTTCAAAGAAATACTCAGGTAAATTGCTTGATGAGATGGAGAGTAAGATCCCAAGGGCATGCATGCAAAAAATTACAGGGGGTGGCATCTTTAAGATTGGAAACAGTATTGAAATCTGTTTCATTCCTGAGAGGAAAGATGGCAGGAAATTGAGGTGAATAGATCCAATCGAGGGTCCAGTAGGGTTAGAAGGCCAAGAGAGATCCCCCCTCTTGCTATGGGCTGTGCAGTATAACCCTCCTCCGCTCTCTCCCCTACAGAAACACTGGTGAGATCTACGATGCTCACTAATGCTTTCCTGAGAGCAGGCTCTTTGGGGGACCAGAAGCCAGGGGCCGCAAGAGTGGATACAGGTGACAGCAGAGAAACAGGCAGCTAACATCTGCGCTGCAGATAAAAGGGAGCATTCAAAAGATGGCCACAGGGGCAGGCAAGCCTGGAGGCTTTGATTGGGCCACCTTATGTGGGAGGTAGATTGGGGGGTTTGTGTTCTCAATTTTAGAGAGAGAACTGAGCCTTCTTAAGACTAGACTTTGGCATTAAGCAGTTAACTTAAGGTGGAGTGAGGAGCTGATCCTGTGATATCCAATCATGCTGCTTCTCAGCTTGAACTTCGGTTATCAGACACTGTCTCTTTTCTTATGCACATTGTGAATTCGTTTCCAGAAGCTTTTAAATTTGTTCCAGAAATACCAACATGCACTTTCTGCCTAGTCAGGAAAAAACAAAGCAAGCTGAAATGACCAAACACAGGGAGCATCACAAGGCAATCCTCCCTTGACTCTTCAAAGAACACTAAACTGCAGCCCCTAGACCACAGGGTCAAGGATGGCAGCTTCACAGCCAGGTCAGGCATGTGTGTTTCTTCCTGTCACTACAACTCAACTCCCTCACTCCCTGTGTTCCCTAAGGAGGGGCCGTGCAGGCAGCTGATGTCACAGCAGGCCGCTGAGATTTTGTTCAAAGCTTAGACCTGTTCATCCCTCTTATGTGCTTGGTGGTGCTGCCCCTTTAAGATTTTTCTCCTCCTTCCTCCCCAGTAAGGGTAAACCAAGAAGAATGAAGCCAGGGTAAATTGAGAAAATATTTGAAGCCTATTAAGAGTGGCAACAAGTTTATGGTGATTCTTAAGTTAATTATATCCTTTTTGACTTCCAGCCAGTCCCTTCGCTGGGCCTCCATGTAGACTTGGCCACCTATCCTAGCCTCAGTCTGGCAGCATGCCTGCCTGCCTGCCTGCCTGCCTGCCTTGTTCCTTCCCTTCCTCCCTCCAACCACCTCTTCCCTGCACCCTCCTGCACAAATAAGTCAGCAAGCCACTGCAGCTACTACTTGGGGCTCAAATATGGTAGGTAGGGGCTGTGACGGGCATAAAGAATTGGAGTGTGTATGTATTTGTATCTGTGTGTGGGGTAGGGACATGGTAGCTAGTGGGAGACCACATATATAAATACTATTACCACAACCATATGCATTTATTTTCACATGTACTTTACAGTTTATAAAGTGTTAACTCCTGATCATTTAAATACATGAAAACTTTATGTAGTAGATGTTATCAGTGCCATTTTCTAGATGAAGAAACTGAGGCTCAGAAAGTTCAAAAGGAGATCACACAGCTATTAGGTGGCAGAACAAGGTAGGCTTCAGGCCAGGTCTTTGATTCTGACGTGTGTATGTGTGTGCGTGTGTGGGTGTGTATGTGTGTGCTTGTGTGCATGTGTTTGCATATATGTATGCGTGTGCACATGTGTAAGCATATGTGTGTGTGCACGTGTGTGTGCACATGTGTGTTGGGGGGAGGCATGTGTGTTTTCCCTCTACACTACACTGGTTCCCAAATAACAATAAAGTTGGACCTTTGTATAACATTTTAGAATGTATGAAGGGAAGTTTTGGCATACTGCCTCATTTAATTTTTAAAACATTGCTATAATGTTGCTATCCCCATTAGGGTTTTCTTTAGGGATTGCTTCTCCCTGGTCCACCAGGTTGGCAGGGGCAGCTGCCTGACCTCCATCTCTCTGGCCTCTGTTGAGGTTCAGAGTCAGGCCCCTGAGCCAGGTGGGGCCACTCAGTCCCTTCCCTAGGAATTTTGTATCTGGGAATGAGAGAGAGCAGCATGTAAACATGGTGGTTGAGAGTGAACATTTTCTGTCAGGTGTACTAGGATCAGAGAAAACCAGTGAACACTGAGAAAGGAGAGCAAAGAGGCTGTAGACTAGCAACAACTGCAAGAGACAAGGAGACACAGACCTCCCTGTATTTCCTACAGGTCTTCATTCTTCGGTTCTACTCCATGAGGGTCAGAAGCTTCTCTCCCCTTGAATTCTGTGTGACACCCCTGTTCTCTGCCAGCAAGCTTTCTTTTATGCTTATACTAGCTAGGGTTAGCATTCTGTTCCAAAAGAATCCTCAATACTGTATATTAGAATTGGAAGCAGAGTGAACTAAATACTTAGAAAAGGTACAAGGAATGAATAGTGGAAGTCAGAGGATGGAGCAATTTTCACTGTTGCAGGAGCTCTCATGAGTTGGGCGTTGATGCCTTTGCTGAATACTGACATGTGTGAGTAGCCCTTTGATGAGCCCTGGGGAGGGGAAATAAGAATATGCAGGAATCATCTTTTAGGAAGTTGCTCAGTCTAGCAGGTGCTTGTGTATTCCCTGCCACATTCCAGCAGCCCACCTCTGATTCCAGCTAAAGCTGTGGTGGACAGTTCCCTTGCATACTGACAGCATCCCACCTCAAGAGTCTGCCTTGCTTCACTTGGCTTTTCTGTCTCAGTGCTTTCTCCAAAGCCATGGGAGCTCTCTCAGCCCACAAACAAGCATAGCCCAGGGATTTGGAGATGGGAGGGAAATGAACTCCTGAAAATAGAGGGTCTGCTTCCAAGATGACTTACTCATATGGCTGGTAAGCTGGTGCTGGCTATTGACAAGAGGCCTCAGATGCTCCCCACGTGGAATCTCCGTAGGGCTCATTGAGTGTCCTCACAGCATGGCAACTAGCTTCTTCCAGAGTGAGCAATCCAAGACAGCAAGACAAAACTTGCAATGCCCTTTATGACTGAGCCTCAGGAATTACACATTGTCACTTCTCCAATATTCTATTGTTTACACACGTCAGCCCTGTTCAATTTGGGATAGAACCACACAAGAAAGTGAAAATCAGGAGATACGGATCATTGGGCTGCCTTGGAGGCTGGTTACCATGGCATCTCTGACAATAGGGAATGTAAGCCAGAGGATAGATGTTTCAGCCTCCTAATATTCAAGTACATTCTATGTGGTTCCTCAGACAGTCTCTAGAGAGGCTGAGCCACAGTTGGCCATATCAGTAATCATCTCAAGTGCACACCCTTTATTGGCTTCTCCTTCTCAGCTTTCCATTCCTCATTCCTTCAATCCTGTTTCCTGAGATCACTTTCCAAATAAACTCCCACACTGGAGTGCTTGTCTAATGCTTCTGGGGGAACCCAAACCAAAACACAAAGGCAATGTCTAAAATAATTTTGAAACATGAAAGTATGCAATGCACTGCATAAACATGGTCAAGAAAGGCTTCACAGAAGCCAAGGAGAATAATAGATACCAGAGGCTGGGAAGGATGTGGAGGGCAGTGGTAGGAAGAGAGATTGGTCAGTGGGTACAAACATACGGTTAGGTAGAAGGCATAAGTTCTAATGTTCAACAGCAGAGTAGGGTGACTGTAGTTAACAACAATGTATTCTATATTTCAAAGCAGCTAGAAGAGAGAATTTGAAATGTTCCCAACACATACAAATAATAAATATTCAAGGTGATGGATACCGGCCCAGATACCCTGACTTGGTTGCTACACATTCTATGCATGCAACAAAATCAAATATACCCCATAAATGGATAAAATATTGTATAGCAATAAAAATGTACAATCCTTGCTACTCTCTCCTCTTACCTTGCTTCATCTTTTTTTTGTAAAATACTCCTACCTCAAATTACATAATTTATTTGTTTTGTAATGAATGAATGATCTATAATGATAATAATGAACTATGACATTAACAAATGTTAATTTCCTTTGTTATGTGAAACTGATACACAAAATGATGTCCCTCTGGTTCAGATCTCTAAAGTGAAGTCAGGAAGCCATTCTAGGGAGGACTGACGACCTGCAACCTTGCAAACAACAACAACAAAAACCCTCAGAAACTTGCCTCGAATTTTTGGGTTGGGCCAAACAGCCTTGATGGCAACGTTCTGGAAAGCAGCTGAATTTCACCAGCGCTGCAACTTCTGAACAGAAACAACCAATGATCTCAGGTACTAAGCCAGCTGCCTCTACCAGTGATATATATTTTTTCAAAACAACTTGCATAATCATCCTCAGCTTCTTTTTTTTTTAATTTTTTTTAAGGGACAGGGTCTTGTTCTGTCACCTAAGGTGGTGTAAAGTGGCACAATCCTAACTCACTGCAGCCTTCACCTCCAGGGCTCCCATGAGTCTCCTGCCTTAGCCTCCTGAAGTGCTGGGATTGCAGGTGTGCACCACCATACCCAGGCCTCGGCTTCCTTTTAAAAATGCATACTCCCCTCCCTTTCTTTGGAACACAAGCTGACTTCTAGTCGAATCTGTGTCTTCCAAATTGCAATTCTTAAGACTCCAATAAACACCTTGTCATATGAAAAAAAAAGAAAAAGAAAGGCTTCACAGAAGCAGCAGAAATTCAGAGATTGGGAAATGCGTGAGAAGAAAGGCAAGAGGAGAGCACTGCGACTTTAGCAAGACTCAGAGTGGCCACAAGGTCTGGTCAGGGCAGGGAACAGAGAAGAGCAAGATGTGGCTGGAACAGGGGTGGTCAGGATAGGGACAGCTTACCAGGAGGAAACTGGAGCAGACTGTCGATTGTGAAGGCCTTCATGATGGTCAAGATGAGAGGTGAGAAGGGCTTGCACTGGGCGAAGCTGGCTGGAAACAAAAGATGGGAATGAAGAAACCAGACCTTACAAACGTTGTCTTACAGGGGCCTGGCAGGGCCTCCTTCCCAGGACCAGACATACAAGATTGAGGAGCCAGGGCTGGGTCTCAGAAAGGACTATGAGGAGGTTAGCAGTTATTTTATTTATTCACAAACAATTATTAAGCACCTATTAAGTGACATGCACTGTTTTAATCACGGCACGGCAGTGAACAAGATCATGAAACTCTTCTCAATGAGTATGCTTTCTGTAAGGATCTACTAGGAGTCTCCATTAGAACCCTGGAGGAAGTGCTTCCTAGCCACGGATTCTGTGCTTCCTCAGAGCTGTCTCTGAAGAATCAGTCACAGCCAGTTCTTTTGGTTTGCTTACTCTCAGTTTCCCCACACAATGCTCTGTTCACTTTGGCTGTTCACTCTTCTAAGCGGCACTCATCCTACACTGAACGTTGTCCATTGACATCTGCTTATTTGCATGGATGTCAGCAGTGGCCCACATCAGGGAAACAGAAGACTTGGTGGTTATGCCTAAAGTAATCGAGAGCTTGAGACGGTGCCAGTATCATGCCTGCTGTGTGAATCAATACAAATTTAGGTTTGAACTCCTTGGTGGTATGCAAGAGGTATTCAAGGCATCCCTTCAACTTTGCCTCCTCTTCTTCCATGCTCCTCCTTTTGGCAATACCACATCTCCATGAAACCACTAGAGGTTGTCTACACATGCTTGTACCTCCAAGCCTGTGTGCCCTTGCACCTGCTTTTCATGGAAAGCCCATCCCCACTTTCTCCACCTGTTGAGTTCTTAGTCATCCTCTATGCTTCAGTTTAAATCTCACCTCTTCTCGGAAGCCATACCAGAACGAGTTGCTCCCTGTCCCATTCTGTGAAAGCCTCTGTATCTTACTTGCAGCTCCTTGATGATCTCTTGCTTTTTTATGGTTCTTTCTCAGCACACCTGTTCTTTCTCATGCAGCAGATGCATGCTCCTAAAGACCTAAGGTCTTGTTTTAATGTTTTCAGGATACAGCATGGTGTTCTGCAGTAGAGGCGGCTCAATGTCATCTTTGCTAAATGAGCAGATGGGAGGTGTTGCTGCTGCTAAAGCTGATGCACCTTACCTGGCCACTGATGCTGAAGCCAGACTCCTCATCAGACGGCAGAACTGAGACTGGCAGGGTCTTGCTGCCTGCCATCACCAAGGGACGGCAATGTGCTGTGTGGCTCCAAGGATGCAAATGTGGGGCGCCTCTGAACGTGTCTGTTGTTGACATCCTCTTACAATGTGGACCCAGCACAGGTGCTCTGCTCCATTTGTCAGACACATGTTTTAATTTCCCACAGGACAGAAAAGTCCTGAATGCAAACTCCACTCAAGTGACCTGTGTGTGTATTATTCTTTGTCACTTAAGTCTTTACACTTGGAATCATTTGCATTTACCTTAAAGATGAAGCTAGAAAGATTCTTTGAAACTTCAGGAAGTCTGAATGTGACTTAAATGTGACTTAATTGTTCAGAAAAAATTGTTTAATTTTTTAAAATTTTTCTGTAAGTTATTGGGGTACAGGTGGTATTTGGTTACATGAGTAAGTTCTTAAGTGGTGATTTGTGAGATTTTGGTACACATATCACCCGAGCAGTCTACACTGTACCATATTAGTAGTTTTTTAATCCCTTGCCTCTCTCCCACTCTTCCCCCCGACTCCCCGAAGTCATTGTATCATTCTTATGCCTTTGCATCCTCATAGCTTACTCCCACATATCGGTGAGAACATACGATGTTCAGTTTTCAATTCCTGAGTTACTTCACTTGAATAATAGCCTCCAATCTTATCCAGGTCACTGCAAAAGCTGTTAATTCATTCCTTTTTATGTCTGCATAGTGTTCCATTATATATATGTATCTCCATCATATATATATATATCTCCATCATATATATATATCTCCATCATATATATATATATATCTCCATCATATATATATATATATATATCTCCATCATATATATATATATATATATATATCTCCATCATATATATATATATATATATATATATATATATATCCATCAAATAGATATAGTTTCTTTATCCACTTATTGATTGATGGGCATTTAGGTTGTTTCCATGATTTTGCAGTTGTGAATTGTGCTACTACAAACATGGATGTACAGATTATTTTTTTTTTTAATAAAGACTTCTTTTCCTCTGGGTAGATACTCAATAGTGAGATTGCTAGATCAAATAGTAGTTCTACTTTTAGTTCTTTAAGGAATTTCCACACTGTTTTCCACAGTGGCTGTACTAGTTTACATTCCCACCAGCAGTGTAGAAGCATTCCCTGTTCACTGCATCCACGCCAACATCTACTGTTTTTTGATTTTTTAATTATGGCCATTCTTGCAGGAGTAAGGTTGTATCACATTGTAGTTTTGATTTGCTTTTTTCTGATCATTAGTGATGTTGAGCATTTTTTCACGTTTGTTGGCCATTTGTATATCTTTTGAGAATTGTCTATTCATGTCCTTAGCCCACTATTATTATTATTATTATTATTTTATTTTTTATTTTTAGACGGAGTTTCACTCTTTTGCCCAGGCTTGAGTGAAGTGGCATGATATCTGCTCACTGCAACCTCCGCTCCCTGGGTTCAAGTGATTCTTCTGCCTCAGCCTCCTGAGTAGCTGGGATTATAGGCGCCCACCACCATGCCCAGCTAATTTTTGTGTTTTTTGTAGAGATGGGGTTTTGTCATGTTGGCCAAGGTCTTGAACTCCTGACTTCAGGTGATCCATCAGCCTCAGCCTCCCAAAGTGCTAGGATTACAGGTGTGAGCCAACGCATCCAGCCCTTAGCCCACTTTTTGATGGAATTGAAAGAAATCATAGATGACACAAACAAATGGAAACACATCCCATGCTCATGGATGGGTAGAATCAATATTGTGAAAATGACCATACTGCCAAAAGCAATCTACAAATTCAACACAATCCCCATCAAAATATCACCATCATTCTTCACAGAATTAGAAAAAACAATTCTAAAATCCATATGGATCCAAAAAAGAGCCCACACAGCCAAAGCAACACTAAGAAAAAACAACAAATCTGGAGGCGTCACACTACCTGATTTCAAATTATACTATAGGGCCATAGTCACCAAAACAGTGTGGTACTGCTATAAAAATAAGCACATATACCTATGGAACAGAATAGAGAGCCCAGAAATAAACCCAAATACTTACAGCCAACTGATCTTCAACAAAGCAAACAAAAACATAAAGTGGGGAAAGGACAGCCTTTTCAACAAATGGTGCTGGGATAATTGGCAAGCCACATATAGAAGAGTGAAACTTGATCCTCATCTCTTGCCTTATGCAAAAATCAACTCAAGATGGATTAAAGACTTAAACCTAAGGCCTGAAACTATAAAAATTCTAGAAGACAACGTTGGAAAATCCCTTCTAGACATTGGCTTAGGCAAGAATTTCATGACCAAAAACCCAAAAGCAAATGCAATAAAAACAAAGATAAATAGCTGGGACCTAATTAAACTAAAGAGCTTTTCAGCAGAGTAAACAGACAACCCACAGAGTGGGAGAAAATCTTCACCATCTATACATTTGACAAAGGTCTAATATCCAGAATCTACAAAGAACTCAAACAAATCAGTAACAAAAAAAACCCAAACAATCCTATCAGAAAAATAATTTTTTTAAAGAGTCTACATTTCAAAAGGCCAGGGCTCTTTAAGATAATGGATTCGGAGTCCTCTTACCTTTTCAAACACACACGTTGCATTTATGTAAAAAGTGCTTATTAACTCTAAGTACCTCTCTTATTCTTTGGTCTTCTCTTATTCTGGGAGTCACTGTGAAACCAGGCAAGGGCTTAGAATTTTTGATTCCTGCTTCAAAAACCCAAGCCATATGCTCCATGCCAGGCCAGGGGCTGATCCCACGTCTGTGGTTTCAATTCCTCTCCAGAGGACCTGGGTGTTGGCTTAGTAGGGGGAGAAAAGCAACCAGGCATTTTTCCTCTTAAAAATCCACAGATACTTCGATTTAGTGTTTGCTGAGTGTTTTTAGAGCTATTATCACATTTGCTTCTTAACAGTAAAAAGATTTGAAAGAATTATCATATTTAACATGGAGAAAACTAAGGCTCAGGAAACTAAGTGATCTTTCCAATAACATGCAGCTGAGAAGTGGTGGAGCCGAAACCAGTATTCAGCGCCCCTTGTGGCAGGACCAAAATTTCCTGTTTCCCATCCTGCACTCCCGTAAGCACCTACTTCCTTGTAAACACTCACCCTGTACCCTTTATCTCAGCTGACTGTCAGCTAGTCTCCTGAAGGTGACAATAGCTTATGGTGTGATACTTTCCAGGGAGACTTAAATTTTCCCCAGGAATAAAAAGCAAACAAACAAACAACAAAAAAAACACTAAGAGCTTACTTGGGGGAGTTTTGGGTTGGTGACAGTCTGCTGCAGAGTTGTCTGGATGACCAAAAGTTCTCTTGGCATCCCTATGGCCACCACATAAGCATGCATGTTATCAATATTTTTCTAGGTCTGAACCCCAAGGTTAATGGCACAAGAGAAGAGAAAGGAGGAGATGCCAAATGGACACCCTGTAAGCAATTCCATGTTGTGTGGGCCTCAGTGGGTCCTGTGGGGGGTGAGACCCCAGAACACTGGGTTAGGAGGCCTGCAGCTTAAGCTTAATGCGGAAGCACAACCTGGCTTTTCACACAGACTTTTCTGTATTCCCTCACCCACTTGGATCAGGCCACAGAAAAAAAAACAACAACCTGTTTCTTTATTAATGATGCTTTCTGCAGAGTTAGATTAAGCACTGATTAAAGGCAGATGCTTCCAAAGTATAAATGTAAGTACCCTCTCAGTCACTTCTCCGGTTACAGGGTTTCCTACACAATTCTTTAAAATCACTTTGGCTTTCTTCCCATTTGCCTTCCTCCACACTCTCCACCCAGCCTCCAAGCCGCTCCTCCCAGAAGGGCTCCAGGCAGCTGCCAGGAGCAGAAGCTCGAACTCTGCTGAGAGACTTGCTCTGTGGAGAGCTTCAAGAAGTATCGCTGGGATTGCTGTCTGGAGCCACCTTACCAAGAAGTCAGGTAAGTCCTCTGGGCCGGGTGCAGGCCTGTTCTGTTCTTTCAAGTCTGGGACCTGCCACCTGGAACTTGGTTTGTTTTTCTCATCAGGGTAGAGTACAGGCCTTTTGTGATTATTTTCTGATCAAATTAGAAGCAGAGAGCGGGTACGAGATATATGGCTCAGCTGGTGGAGTCCATCGGGTTGTTCTCCCTGCTGTCAAATACACTGAGAGGTCATGGGCTCACAGGGACAGGAGATGGCCAGCTGGCCTAATAGGCGCTTGCAACCCTGGACTTTGTGCCAGCAATTGGACCTTGCTAGAAAAGGTCATCTCAAATCTTGTCTCCAACTGAGGCGATGGTAAAAATCCTCCAAATATTTTCTGAATTCCCCGTGGCCAATTTATTTAATCAGAAATTGACATGCATGATTTCTTTACTGAAGAGCTAGCAAACTAATCTTGGGATTGACTTTGAATTGAGATCAATTTCATTAAACTCTGATCATGTTCGTTTGCTTTCTGATTTTCTTATGGGATCTATGAAGAGGGAAAGAGATATCTTTTTTTTGTAACTTACGTTAATAAATATGGATTATGTGTCACCAAAGTTAAGAACTTGTTCAGGTTACACCTAAAATGAATGAGGAGGTTTTCTGTAGGGCATGTCTACCATTAAGCTGTCTGACTTGGGTGGTGGATGAGAGTGTCATGGTGAGGCCAGTGGAATGCCCGTAGGACTGACATGTGAATGAGGAGGTGGCAGTGGGTTGAGGTCCTGGGAGGCCACATCACACACAGTGAGGCTGCCATAGACGCATACCAGCCCAGTTGGAAGCTTGTGAGGCTTTCTCCTCTTGACTCCTTTCTCCCATCTCCTTGGGGATATCTTAGTTTTAAGTAAGAAGAACTAGGCACGTAGGAGGAATTGCATGGTGGCTAAGAGTATAAGGCCTGGAATGGAATTGTTTCGGCTTGAGATTTTCCAGCACTTACTTATGTGATCATAAGCAAGTTTTCTCAATTTCTGTAAGACCTAATGTCTTCTGCAAAATGGGGATGATGTAATCATGCCCACCTTGTAGATTTCTGGGGGAAATTCTGAAAGATAATCCATTTAAAGCATTTGCCCCTTTGTTTAGCCCATAATTCATAATTCTTATTAACCTCAGTGTGGACCTCTGGCATTCCAGATTGTGTGGACCAGATCTATGCTGAAATGTTCCAGGTGAGCAGTTGGAAACATCTTGCGATTTCCCTTACTGGTTAGGATAAAGTATGAGAATCACAGTATCAGTTTGCTCTTTGCCAAAAGAGAAAGCTAGAAACACCAGGCAAGGAAGGTATAAGGTTAAAGCCTCTGACCTTAAAGAGAAGGCCATAAATAATCCACCTTCATTCTAGATGAACATTTCTTTCAGATATCCCCAAGAATAATATATATCTCATAAAATTGTTTTGAGGGTTAAATGAGATAATGTATGTTAGTTAACACACTCCAAATTTCACCTGGAACAGCATAGACACTATGAAATGGTAGCTTTCTTTATGAAAATGTTCTTGTTATAGGGTTTAGTGAAAAAGTCACCATTTAAAATTGTTATACAGGACAATGACAGTCATATGAAATATATGGACAAAAAGACTACTGCAAAGAGATACACTAAAATGTTAAAACTTGTACATATTAGATGGCTATGGCTTGTGGGTAATAATTTCCTTTTCCTGATTTCTAAATTGTATTTAGTGAATGACTCTATCAGCCAGGGCCCCAGCAGGAAACAGATGGCAAGCTCAAATTGGACATTGTGAGGATATTTTATTAAAGGGACTTTTTACAAAGGTGTGGGCAGAGTACCATAACAGAAGCAGGTGATGGTGCATTTCTCAGGTTGGTGAGAGTGAGGTGCCATTACACCCCACATCAGAAGAGGCAAGGGAAGGGAGGTGCGAGCCCTGTAGATGGGCACCTCACAGGCACTGTGGCCCATGGCCACCATCAGGGGAAAGCTGGAAGAGAAATCCCTGCCCTCACTCTCCCATCATATTCCGGGTCACTTGCTGGATACCTCTCACCAACCAAACCCAGCCATAAGCCAGAGTGTGAGAGATCCCATGGGGGGCTACATGTGGGTCAGCTTTGCATCACTGAGCAGAGTGGGGAAGGATGGAGAGTGAGCTGGAGGGCACAGTGAGGCTATGTGACTTTTATAACTACAGGCGAATTCATAAATAAGAGCCAGGAGTCCGTGTGCAGCCCTCAGTGCTTTCACACTACGTTGCCTATTGTCCAGGCCACCTCCCTCCCTCCTCCCAGCTAAATGACTTCTGATTCCTCGTCACCATGCCCCACTCAGGGCTCCCACAGCACCCAACAATTGCCTCTGGTGCAGACGTACACATGGCATGGTTTCATCCTCCGTCATTTCTTCACCTGGTCTCCACAGATTGGAAGACCCTGGAAGGCTGGTGCTTTATATCCCTTTGCATCCCCAGTGCCCAGCACATGAATGAATGAACCATGGGAGGTCAGGCCTAAGTGCTTCTATAAAGCTTGCAGCTTTGGAAAGTGAGGCCTTAGTCCTCTCTCCTAGGTGAGTGTTTGCTTTCTGTCTATTCGGCAGGAGTGGGCCAGTCTACAGAAGAGCAGTTGCAGAGTTCCCTGTGACAGGTAGCCCTGGCCACCCTGCAAGACTGGCCCCTGGGCTCATGAAGGTCTTGCAGGGCCTCCTCACTGCTCTCCCAGGCTCTGTCATTCCCCACGTCAAGTCGTAACCCGCATGTGGCCGGCCTCCCAGTTTAAGACTGCATGCAAGTTGAGATTCTGCTTGTTTCCTTCATGGCCCAAGGGGATTGGGAGCCTGTCGTGCTTGATATCTTGTCTCTCTAGTTTGAATCAGAAGATGTTTTCATCCCCTGAAGGATTTTCACAATCCTTTTGCAACCTATAAAAGTAACACAAGCACATAATTCAAATAGCTTAGAAGGAGAAAATGTTGAGAAGGATATAACGTTAAAAGTAAAATGTCTCCACTTTCACCTATGCTCAGTCCCACTTTTAACCATTTTAGTGTTTAATTCTGGTCATTTTCTCTCTTTAATTTTTTTTTAAGTTTTATTTTTTTCTTTGAACTACTATGCCCAGGGACTATTTAATTTTCAATTGACAAAATAATCATTGTATATATTTGTAGGGGGTCTCTCTAACTTTAAATTAGCTTACACTGCTATTTCTTGATTTATACAGTTTGAGTAGAAGTTTTTGAATTGTCCCTATGGGAGATGAGGAATTTAGCTTATTGATGGTAATCCTTCTGGGCTCCCCATGATTCTTCCAGTTTTTGTTATCTGTATTTAAAATTTGGTTTTGTACTTATCTGTGTAATTTTAAGGTATAAACTTATTTTTGTATGGCTTGACCAACCTTTCATAGAGTGTCTTGACTCTCTAAATGTTTAAGGTGAGAAAATTGGTATCTTTAATCTTCCCTTCACTTTTTCTCTCCGACTTCAGCTTGTAGTAAAATTTTATAACATTTATAGCATTTGTAATCTACTCTATAATTATAATTAATTCTGCTTTATCTTTAGGATGATTGTGAAAATTAAAAACTAATAGATAACCTGAATTATATCATAATTTTGTAGCTACTATTTTCCGGAACCAAGAACTGTACTATATTTGGACCCATAATAAAGGTAAAGGAATGGACCCTGATGTTACTATCTGCTGCACATTCAAGGTCAAGGTCAAATGAATTATCTTATTTTTCCTGTTATACTGAAGGATGTTCCTTACCAAGGTTCCTGTCAAAATGGCAGGGTATCAGGGTTCAAATCATTTAGTTGGCTTTGTCTATAAACCATTACTTTTGAAGTACGTCTTATTTTGATGGAATTTCTCATTACCTTTCTTTTAACATTTGGAAAAACCATTTTCTGAAACATATTTTTTGTTACATAAAATTTTCTTTATAGTTTAAATATTTTTCCCAGGATTCTCTGACTTTTCTGTCAGGGCAATTGCTTCTTTTTGTTTGTTTGTTTTTGCTTTTTTTTTTGAGACGGAGTCTCCCTCTGTCACCCAGGCTGGAGTACAATGGCTCAGTCTTGGCTCATGGCAACCTCCACCTCCAGGGTTCAAGTGATTCTGCTGCCTCAGCCTCCCAGGTAGCTGGGATTACAGGCACGCACCACCACACCTGGCTGATTTTTGTATTTTTAGTAAAGATGAAGTTTCACCATGTTGGCCAGGGTGGGCTCAAACTCCTGACCTCCTGATCTGCCTGCCTCAGCCTCCCAAAGTGCTGAGATTACAGGCATGAGACACCATACCCGGGCTTTTGTGCCGAACGTGCAGGTTTGTTACATAGGTATACATGTGCCATGGTGGTTGAGCAATTGCTTCTTAAGCCTATTGATGTGTGGTTGACCAGAAATATTTTATTGCACTCTTCGGTTAAGGACATAATGTCTTGGATTCCATGCATCCTGCTTTTCTGAATTCTCTTTTCATTGTTTGGGAGTATATACTCAAGTAATTTTTTTTGTAAAGAGTCATTCAGAATCTGAAAATTTTATCTTCAAATTTGTTAGCAGGACTTGGAAAATAATTGCACTTAGCTAATTTAATTCTTTGATCAATTTTCTAGCAATGCAATCTATTTTCTGCACAGAAAATTTTCAGAATTAAGTATTTCTGTACAAATTTCACCATAAGGGTTTGAGTCATTTCAAATTTTACCAATTACAGCTTGTGCCATATTGATTTTCTATTAATTTATCAATTTTATCTATTTTGTGGATGCAGCCTTGATTTTCACAGTCGAATTTTCCTGAGTTTACTTATTAAAGAATACTTGATTCTTCCATTAATTGTTTTTTCAGTTAATAAGGAAATTTTACTGCATACTGCATGTGGTTTTATTTTGTCAGATTTATTTGAGTTCATAATTTTTATTCAGTTTTCCTTTTCCTGGGTCAATTTTTGCAGTTTTCAATATTACTTTCATTTTTTTTGGGACAGAGTCTCATTCTGTGGCCCAAGCTCAAGTGCAGTAGAGTGATCTCAGCTCACTGCAACCACTACCTCCTGGTTCAAGCGATTCTTGTGCCTCAGCCTCCTGAGTAGGTGGGATTACAGGCACACGCCACCACACCTAGCTAATTTTTCATTTTTAGTAGAGATGGGTTTTCACCATGTTGGCCAGGCTGGTCTCAAACCCCTGGTATCAAGCAATCTGTCTGCCTTGGCCTCCCAGTGGGTGTAAGCCACTGCACCTGGCCTCAATGTTACTTTTCTTTTCTTTTCTTTTTTTGAGACAGAGTCTGGCTGGGTTACCCAGGCTGGAGGGCAGTGGCACAATCTTGGCTCACTGCAACCTCCGCCTCCTGGATTCAACTGATTCTCCTGCTCAGCCTCCCGAGTGGCTGGGATTACAGGTGCATGCCACCATTCCCAGCCAATTTTTGTATTTTTAGTAGAGACAGGGTTTCACCATGTTGGCCAGGCTGGTCTCAAACTCCTGACCTCAGGTAATCCATCTGCCTTAGCCTCCCACAGTGTTAGGATTACAGACATGAGCCACTGTGCCTGGCCAATGTTACTTTTAAGATGTGGTTCTTTAGGTGTGTGTGTGTTTTTTTGTTTTTTTGTTTGTTTGTTTGTTTGTTTTTTTATCATCTATAACAAATTTTACTGTGTACAGTTTCAGGGGTTGTCAGTTTTATTTTGTGTTATATTTATTTTTAGCAAGTTTCTCTTTCTTAAGAACCCAGGCAAAATATCTCCCAGAGTCAAAATGGCAGGGTGAAAGTGTCCAGTTGCTTCTTTAATCGCCCCATTAGGATGGCAGCACCTGCCACTGGACTCCTTGCTGTAACTGAGCATAGGGTCCAGGTTTTACCATCCAGGGTCTTTCACAGCGCATCCATTTTACAGGATTGACTAGCATCCATATTGTGTTCACTGCAAAAGACTTATGCTCTGAATTAAATGTCTTTCTTGAGCTCTAGAGTCAAATGCAGCAGAGTCTCATTATATGCCCACTTCATTCATACAAATTCAATTACACATGTTCATGAGGAGGGGGAAATTGAAATAGTGCGGGGAATTCCATCATCCAGACCTATCAATAATGAGCTTGACTCTGGATGAATGTGGGACAGACAGTGATGAATCTACAGTCCTACATTCAGTTTCAGCTGACATATGGCTCTCACAGTATTATCATTGCTTGCCCTAATCATAGTATACTTGAAGGATCATACATTGCCTTTATCATGGCCCTGAAACACAATCCAACTACTTTGTTTGGGGCTAACCTGAAGAAAGAGTGTCTGGTTCTGGCCCTGGAAGAAAAGCTGGTTGTATTGAACTCGTTTAAGTAATGAATTGGGATGCCTCTTCAGTATGGTGCCTTCCTGAGGGAGTTTCAAGAGAAATTTTGGCTACATTTCTTTGCTTTCACGCTGTTTTCAGAGCCTGACATGTGTGAACTATGATTTCCCTATATTCGAGTGCCTTTTGGTTCTCTCCACTTGCAGGTTCCCCAGGCAGCTTCAGCTTCGTGTGTTGCAAACCAAATTTATTCCCTCGCAGTGCCCTCCTTTTCTTGCACTCTCTGTCTCAGTGAGTGGCCACACTGTCCTCTCATCTGCTCAAGCCAGGAATCTCGGTAAGGACCATCCCTCAAGTCTCTCTCTTCCCATTAATCTCATGTCAAGGCTATTTATTAACTCTCAAATCCATGCATGTCATTAGATCATCCCCTGTAATTTGATTTGCTACAAGAGTTTCCAAGCTCACTTCTCTGATTTTAGCCTCCCCTTTATCTTCCTATCTCAAGCCTTTTCAATCCCCAACAGTTAGAGGGACTTTTTTTTTTTAACTTGTATTTTAAGTTCAGGGGTACACATGTAGGTTTGTTACATAGGTAAACTTGTGTCATGGGGGTTTGTTGTACAGATTATTTCGTCACCCAGGTATTAAGCCTAGCACCCATTACTTATTTTTCCTGATCCTTTCCTTCCTTCCACCCTCCACCTTCCCATGGGCCTCAGTGTGTGTTGTCCCCCTCTATGTGTCCATGAGTTTCTATCATTTAGCTCCCACTTATAAGTGAGAACATGTGGTATTTGGTTTCCTGTTCCTGAGTTAGTTTGCTAAGGGCCTTCCAGCTCCATCCATATCCCTGCCAATTCCCAATAGTTAGAGTGGCTTTTCTTTAAAAAAACAACAACAACAACAAAAAAAAACAAATCTGATAGTGTTTCGCCTCTGCAGTAACAACAACAGCAATGAAAACCCAAACCTTTAGTAATTCCCCATTACCCTCAGGGGAAGTCCATGATCTTTACCAAAGATTACAGGCCTGCCCACTCTCTCCCTCTGCTGAGTAAAGCCCTATTGGCCATTCCACTCCATGAAATCCCCATTCCTGGCAAACAGAACCAGTTGCTGGACATCATGTTCTTTCTCAGCTGAGGGTTCCTGTACACACTATTTGCTCTCCCTGGAGCATCCTAGTGTCCCCCTTTTTCTCTTGTCCTAAGTCTTACATCTCCTTCAGGTCTCAATTTAGACATTAAAGGTTTGGACAACAGTCCCTGATTCCCTGTTGAGACGCCTATCCTATGATGAGACACCTATCCTATGCATAGACATAGCCCCACTACTTCTCTCTGTAGTAGCATTTGTTCTATTTTAGTTTCCTGTCTTTGTCTTTTCTACTACTCCAGGACAGTGTAACTGTTGGACCAGGGACTGTGTTTCTTCACCGTTAGTGCCTAGCACCATGCCTAGAACAGACACAGGGCATATAATTGTTGAAGGAACAAACCAGTGATATGTTGGGTTTCTTACTATAATTTCCTGGAGTGGGTGTAAGAGTCAGCCCTAGATTAGCATCCAGTAAATAAGAAAGAAAGAGGATGGCTGGCATGGGGAAATAGGCATTCAACCTGAATACTACTGCTTCTTTTCAGTGTCTAGTTTGAACCCTGTGGCTGTAGAGAAAGTCCTCAAAGAAGCTATTATCCTATGGTAGAGTAACCCTATTAACAAACCCTTTCTGCTTTTGTGTCCGGAATTGGTGGGTTCTTGGTCTCACTGACTTCAAGAATGAAGCCTCGGACTCTCGCGGTGAGTGTTACGGCTCTTAAGGCAGTGCGTCTGGAGTTGTTCATTCCTCCTGGTGGGCTCGTGGTCTTGCTGGCTTCAAGAGTGAAGCTGCAGACCTTCGTGGTGAGTGTTACAGCTCATAAAAGCAGTGTGGACCCAAAGAGTAAGCAGTAGCAAGATTTATTGCAAAGAGCAAAAGAACAAAGCTTCCACAGTGTGGAAGGGGACCCCAGCGGGTTGCCACTGCTGGCTCCAGCAGCCTGATTTTATTCTCTTATCTGGCCCCACCCACATTCTGCTGATTGGTAGAGCCTAGTGGCCTGTTTTGACAGGGTGCTGATTGGTGCGTTTACATTCCCTGAGCTAGATACAAAGGTTCTCCACGTCCCCATCAGATTAGTTAGATACAGAGTATAGACACAAAGGTTCTCCAAGGCCCCACCAGAGCAGCTAGATACAGAGTGTCGATTGGTGCACTCACAAACCCTGAGCTAGACACAGGGTGCTGATTGGTGTATTTACAATCCCTGAGCTAGATATAAAGACTCTCCACGTCCCCACCAGACTCAGGAGCTCAGCTGGCTTCACCCAGTGGATCCCGCACCGGGGCCGCAGGTGGAGCTGCCTGCCAGTCCTGCGCCATGCGCTCGCACTCCTCAGCCCTTGGGCGGTCGATGGGACTGGGCGCCGTGGAGCAGAGGGCGGTGCTTGTCGGGGAGGCTCCGGCCGCACAGGAGCCCATGGAGGGAGTGGGAGGCTCAGGCATGGCGGGCTGCAGGTCCCAAGCCCTGCCCCGCGGGAAGTCAGCTAAGGCCCGGTGAGAAATCGAGTGCAGCGCCAGTGGGCCGACTCTGCTGGGGGACCCAGTACACCCTCCGCAGCCACTGGCCCGGGTGCCAAGCCCCTCACTGCCCGGGCCGGCAGGGCCAGCCGGCTGCTCCGAGTGCGGCGCCCGCCAAGCCCACGCCCACCCGGAACTCCAGCTGGCCCGCAAGCGCCGGGTGCAGCCCCGGTTCCCGCTCGCGCCTCTCCCTCCACACCTCCCTGCAAGCTGAGGGAGCCGGCTCTGGCCTTGGCCAGCCCAGAAAGGGGCTTCCACAGTGCAGCGGTGGGCTGAAGGGCTCCTCAAGTGCCGCCAAATTGGGAGCCCAGGCAGAGGAGGCGCCTAGAGCGAGCGAGGGCTGTGAGGACTGCCAGCACGCTGTCACCTCTCACTTTCTTAGGGTCGAAGTCCTAGAAGTGAGAGAGCCGGCATGGGGGTCGCAGTTCATGCCTATGTTTATGGCTCTTTTGTTCCCATTTCATCACATTTTAAGAACTTTACTGACTGGATGTGAGAAAAGACCCATGCACTTTCAGTTTTGCTTTTGCAATCCATAACTATGGCCCAGTCAATTCCCTGTTCCTTTTTCTCTTGTTTGGGCCATGTGGCCACTTGCCTGCTACTTGCAGATCCCACTTCAGCAGTTCAGCCGGCTCAGCCTTATTGTCTTGCTTAATGTCTGGGTCTCAGTTTTAGAGACTGGGCTTCTTCTGCTCACTTGTTCCTGAACTCAACTTCCCGCCTTTTGCCAGGTCCTCCAGGAATGATGCCCTGCTTTGGTTTTGTCTATGCCAAAAGTTCCTGCTATACCCACAGTGGTGGTCATCTCTTCTGATCTTCACAGCCAATCAGCTCCCAAGGCCCCTGACCTCAGCTCAGCTTTTGTAGATCCTTATGACACCATCCTTTAAGACTGGAATCCTAGGGCAGGCTGTTTTATTCCCGCCTCCTGAGGCCTTTCTGAGGATCTGTGGCTTGTCTCTGTCCTGAGGGTGAAGATGGATGACAGATGCTACCCAGTAATCTTTCCAGATGAGCGGAATTTCCGCCCCTTCACTTCCGACTCTCTGGCTGCAATTGAGAAGCGGATTGCCATCCAAAAGGAGAAAAAGAAGTCTAAAGACCAGACAGGAGAAGTACCCCAGCCTCGGCCTCAGCTTGACCTAAAGGCCTCCAGGAAGTTGCCCAAGCTCTATGGCGACATTCCTCGTGAGCTCATAGGAAAGCCTCTGGAAGACTTGGACCCATTCTACCGAAATCATAAGGTACTTCATTGGGCGGGGGGGGGGGGTGGGGGTGGGGGTGTTCTAACCATGCAGTTGTAACTGGTGTTACAGGTTCTCCAAACACCACTCTTAGGGTTTATAGCAGGCAGGCTGTGCCTCTTCTTTGCTGTCATCCCCTGGCATTGCCTTGATAGTCCTGAAAACCCCTTTCAGTCCTCATTTTTTCTCTGCAATGCATGTATTAGAGGAGAAGATGAGGATGAGGGACTGCAAAAGGATAAAAGGAAAACAGAGAAAACACAAAATGAAGTCTGGAAAGAGGACTGGACTAGTAGTCCCAGAAGTTAGATACAGGCCATTTCAATTGATTGGCTTTATGACTCTGGGCAAGTCACTTTACTAATCTTCACTTTTAAAATCTGTATAATAGAAATAATGCCTGATGTTCCTACCTTAGAGCATAGACATGCTGGGAAAGCACTTTATCACTATAATGCATTATACTGATACAAAGGATTAATATCATGGTCCAGAAATGCTCATTATAGCAACAAGATTTTACCTTAAAAACTCTTGGATAATAGGCTTTCTAGGCTATTAAATGAGACTAATAGGGCTCAAACCAACAACTGATGCATAGTAGGAGCTCAATAAATGAAACCTAAGAAAATGGTAACCAAGTGGGCACATGCAGATTCTATGTAAACTCAATGCAAATATGTGAAAGCCTTGCTATTTTATCTGCCTGGATGCAGTTCTTGCAGGGAAATTCTAGTAAAGGTTTCTTGAAGGGGCTCCCGAGTGAGGGAATGTAAACTTTGAGCTCCCACATGACTGCTCTAGAGCCTGAGGCTGTGAGCACACTTGGCCCTTTCAGGAAAGGCTCAGAAGATTTTGCCATCATCACCTCGCAGTGTGATCCAGCAGAGGTTGGAAACCCCACCTTGCCATACTGAGGTTAGAGACCTAGGAGGCTGGGAGGTTTGGGGAAGCCCTAGAAAATATGGGATGCTGAGAGCATCTTTGGCTGGCATCCATAAGAAACTGACCTTTCAAAGAAAGATTGCCTGATTTGCATGTACTTCAATTGGGATAGACTTAGAGTTGCCAGGCCAAATGAGGACCACATATACAGAGGAAAGTAGAGTATAAGTAGGAAGGACAAGCAAGGGGGAAAGAATTGAAGGAGCAAAAACACTCCAATGTTTCTCCTTTTTCTGATGCCCCAGGATTCCAGGGCCTTCTTGGAGGTATAGTTGTTGGAGGTGAGTTAACTGTAGAGGTCTCCTTCTGCATCAATGCTGGAGAGGAGACGCATGAGTCAGGCAGCAGTTTGGTGTGCAGCTGACAGTCCGGGAGAACAGGACTATTCCAGCCTGGGTGGTAATTCTAGGACCACCACTTCTCAGCCTGGGTCCTCACTTTAAATAAGAAGACACGATATCTGTTTAGAGCTCTGCACACCCATGATCTCACATGACCAGTGCCCTCAACAGTCATGTGAGGTATGTGTGATCATGATTAGCACTCTACCTTACAGATGAGGAAACCAGAGCCTAGCTGGGAAAGTGGCTTAAGCCAGGTCAAGCAGCCAGTGAGTGGTGGAGCTAGGATGCAAACCCAAGGGTGCTTTTTATCATCACAGGCTACTTCTCTTTGGAAGCCCCATTTTGAAGAGCAACAGGGGAAAGAAGTAGAGAAGTGTCAGCAAGCAGGCAGGAGGAGCTAGTACCTATCATTTTAATCATTAAAACCCTGGCATGTAGAGTTAAATACACCATTAGTTAAAATATTTAAAGCAGTAAGAAGAGGCATCAATAAAATATCAAAATCAAAGGCACAGAAGGAGAGCCATATTGTACCACTTATTAATGTGGGGTGACTCATCTCAAAGAGAGGTTTGTTTCTGCCCCAAAATTGTATGTCTGTTCAAAGGAAAGGCGCAGAATTTCCAAAGCAGGTCTTGGGCTCCTGGCTCATATTTTTAAAAAACCCCGTGGCTCATTTCATTATTATGGGGGCAAAGAAAAATACCCTAGCACAGTTTTCCCTGCAGCCAGATAACCATCAGACCAGTCAATCCCAGCAGCTCATTAAAGGAAGGTTGATGGTTGGCAGTGGCTGACGTTCTGGCACCTGAGCCAAGGTAGCACTCACAGTGCTAACGTTGGGCCTGGGTGCCGAGGTCTGTCTCTCCTGCCTGAGAACATGCTGTATTACATGGCCAAGTAGTACTTTTTGCAAATCTGAAAGGAGCCATCAGTTGGGGAGAAAGGAATGACTCTTACTTTCTGAAGGCTTTTGTAACTGATAGCCATGGGGACAGATATGGGGACAGCTAGATTACAGTTACATGGAAAAAGGGAGGTCTGGAGGTGGATGTTAGAAGCATGTTAGTGACAGGTTGTTGTCCAGGGGCTGCTTCATTCCCAGTGCCCAGGGAGTCATGCTAGGAGAAAATGGGCAGAGGTTCAGTGTTCTTTAATGGGACTCCACTGGGCACTTTGTGGGGGGGCGGGCATAATGTACCATTGGCAAGTTTGTCCTGTTTGGCATCCCTGGGTCTTCCCAGTAAAAGGCCGGTAGAGCCCATAGTCATTACAGCAGACAACCAAAAATACTCACACACATTTCCAAATGCCTTCTGTAGGGGCAATGCCCACCTCCCCTGCTGGTTAAGAACCACAGGGAAATTTGCCCCTATGTCCACAGAGGTAAAGAAAGAGCAAATCCAGGAAACTTGGTGACTTTTTTCTTGAAGATCATCAAGGTTAGAATTGACTGGTTATTTCACACAGCATTTCTCAGACCTGTGGCATAGCAAACATGGACCCTTTAGGTCACTTATTCTAAGATTCATTGCAAAGTTTTCGTTAATAATCAAAATAATTTAAAATAATCTGCTGAATCTAAATGTCCAAGCTCAATTTCTGCCTCTTCAAGTTCTCTTCTAGTCCCTTTCCCCGTTGATACGTACCATGGAGTACAATATTAAGGGTTTTCTTTTCCCCAGTTATTCCTCTATACTCCTAATTTTGGTATTTTCAGGTCCTGTGTTTTCCATCTCTGATTCTTCTGGAGTATCCCATTGGGTAAATATTCCACAGCCCAACAGTTTATGTTATAATTTTCTCTAAATGAATTCATGATAAATATTGTTTTGTCACTGCATTTAATTCCTGTTGTGTATGTGTGTGTTTTCTTGTATTGTTTTTTTTGTTTTGCAGACATTTATGGTGTTAAACAGAAAGAGGACAATCTACCGCTTCAGTGCCAAGCATGCCTTGTTCATTTTTGGGCCTTTCAATTCAATCAGAAGTTTAGCCATTAGAGTCTCAGTCCATTCATATCCTTTCATTGCACCTTTTACTAAGTCCAGATCATTTGAAAAGTGCACGTGCCCCACGGTGTTCATGTTATTGGATGGAAGCAAATAGCTAATTCTTTCTACAAATACTGGCTGAGTGCCTACTGCTGCAGGCAGGGACTGTGCTGGATGTGAGCAAGATGTCGTCTCCTTCTCTGGGGTCCTATGGCCTCAGAAGGGCATAGACTAAAAGGCAGGCAACTTCTTTAGTGAGATTGGTCGTGTGAAAGTGGTAGCAGGGAGAGGCACTGCTGTGCTTTAGAGGCATCAAGGATGGCTTCTTAGAGGAAGGTGCATCTAAGCTGACACCTAAAGAGTTGTAAACTGGCAACCTGTGCAGTATATTGAGTTGATAATGTGTTGTGTTGGACCTACACAGTATTTAAAACTTTGAAAAACACTTTCTAACATGAATACTCCAGATTTCCAGCTTTTCTTGAAAGATGGAAACTGGCAAGGGTAGGTTCCCATTTCTGTTAATACCTGACAAAAATGGGTAGAGTAAGGAATTGCTGCCTCTTTGGAGGGGGCATGTAAGCTCTGTCTCACCACCTCTGCACCCCTCTTGTGGCTGAACACCAGCCCATTTTACCCATTTATATGCCTTTTCAGGCTCTTAAAACTTAGGGTTTGCAATGTCAGTCTTAAAATGTAAAGGCAGGTAGGAATTATTAAGCATTTCTGCTGTATGCCAGGGTTGGGGGAGACACTAGGAAGTTTTAGACAGGGAAATGAGAAAAAGATATGGGTTGGTAGATTTAGTAAAATATTGAGGAGAATGGCAATGAATAACTATTTGGGTTTGGTTCCCTAGAAGCAGAGCCTGATATGGGCATTCTTATTTAAGTGATTTAACAGAGGAGTGCTTTCTGGAGAAGGAGAAAGGGAAGCAGAAGGGGGGAAAACAAAGAGCCAAGCAAGGATATGGTCTCAGCTGAGTCACCTTCATTCTGATCCCACGAAGAACTCTGGAGCATGAATTGCACCACAGAATTGTCCCACTTTGAAGCAAGGGCCTAAGTCAGTCAGACATGTAGAAGGGGGTGTGTAGCTCTCCAAGTGAGGAGGCTGCCATTCAGCAGGGGACAATTCTCCACAGGAGGGGACAGTTGTGAGTTGTTCTCATCCAACATTCACAGTCAGAAGATAGATGCACCTGCAGAAAAGGGGACCATCAGGGGCACCCCCAGTCTTACCCAGTAGCTAATGATGCATGCCATCCTGCAACATATCTGCCTTAATGGATGCTGGCCACATTGTTCAGCATGTTCATTATCGGCACCGTTATCATCAACTGCGTGTTCATGGCTACAGGGCCTGCTAAAAACAGCAACAGTAACAATACTGACATTGCAGAGTAAGTATTTTTCCTTCACTCACCTGTCCTAAGTTTTTAAACAAATATACCTAAGACAGTTAATGATTACACTGGAGAGAAAGAAAAAGTCACTAATAATTCTAACACATATGTTGGCAGAATCAGTTTTATTTTTGACCTTTATTTTTTTACAATTTGTAATGAACAGCACACATATGTTCACATTTTAAGTGGTTTTCTTTGTGTTTACATAAGTTTTATAGGTATCCATTTTGATGGTTATATAATATTTTATCAGGTGAATAAACCATAATGTACTTCACCACTCTAGCATTTTAGTAGATTGTAACATTGTCATAAAAATCTTTTTGCATAAAGCTGTATTTATGTATTTACTTATTCTTTGTTTTTGTTTGTAAAAAATTGTTATGGGAGTTCACTATGCCAAAAATAAAGCTATTCTTTTTTTATTTTTTTTTATTTTTTGAGACAGGGTTTTGCTCTTGTTGCCCAGGCTGGAGTGCAATGGCACTATCTCAGCTCACTGCAACCTCTGCCTCCCAGGTTCAAGCGATTCTCTTCCCTCAGCCTCTCAAGTAGCTGGGATTACAGACGCCTGCCACCGTGCCCAGCCAATTTTTTTGTATTTTTAGTAGAGACAGGGTTTCACCATGTTGGCCAGGCTGGTCTTGAACTCTTGACCTCAGGTGATCTGCCCACCTTGGCCTCCCAAAGTGTTGGGATTACAGGCGTGAGCCACTGCACGCAGCCCTATTCTTAAATTATTATTTTCTTGAGATACACTCTTAGAAATGGATTTTCTAGGCTGGGCGTGGTGGCTCATGCCTGTAATGCCAGCACTTTGGGAGGCCAAGGCGGGTGGATCACGAGGTCAGGAGATCAAGACCATCCTGGCTAACATGGTGAAACCCCATCTCTACTAAAAATACAAAAAATTAGCCAGGCGTGGTGGCGGGTGCCTGTAGTCCCAGCTACTCGGGAGGCTGAGGCAGGAGAATGGCATGAACCTGGGAGGCGGAGCTTGCAGTGAGCCCAGTGAGCCACTGCATTCCAGCCTGGGCAACAGAGTGAGACTCTGTCTCAAAAAAAAAAAAATGGATTTTCTAGATAAAAAGGTACATTTTAATGCTTTTAATGATATATATAGACAAAATGTTTTCCAAAAAGTTTGTATCAATTTGCTCTGCCATCAGCAGTGTATTCTAATAACCAATTATATCACATTCTTGCTAGCATTAAATTTTTTCTTCTCTAATTTATGGAGTTAAAAATATTAGCATTTCTTTAATTTCCAGATGGGTTAGACTTAAAACAATTTTAATTGACACATAATAATTGTACACATTTCAGGGTACATGTGATATTTTGATACATGCATACACTGTGTAATGATCACTTAAGGGTAATTGGGATATCAATCCCAATTGGACATTTATTATTTCCTTGTATTGGAAACATTTCAAATCTTCTCTTCTAGCTATTTTGAAATATACAATAAATTATTATTAACTAAATAGTCATCCCACTGTGCTATTGAACACTAGAATTTATTCTTTCTGTCTGTTTTTTGTACTCATTAATCAACTTCTCTCCATTCCTCACCTCTCACCCAGTCTTTCCCCATCTCTGGTAACCACCATTCCATTCTCTACCTCCATGTGATCCACTTTTTCAGTTCCCATATATGAATGACAACATGAAATATTTGATTTAGACTCTTTTAATGTTTTCATTTCTGAATTGTGTGTTTCCATCTTTGCTTCTGTATCATTTTTATTTCTTTTCTAATCAGTTTGAGTTCTCTGTATAACCAAAATATTAACTTTTTATCATTTGCATTGGCTTTTCAGACATATGAATTAATGTTTTAACTTAAAAGTTCTATATTTGTATAAATATTTTCTTATCAAAAGTTCCAGTTTTTCTAGTTTAACATAATTACTGCTTTAATCTTTCAGGAACATATTGAATGCAAATTGAATAAATGAGACCATTTTTTCTAACTCCTATTTAATTATGCAATATAAACCACTGCAATCGATATATAGACCATTTCAATTACCCCCCAAAACGTCTCATGCCTCTTTGCAGTTAATCCCCGATTCCCACTCCCAACCCCAGACAAACATCGATCTCATTTCTGTCATTCTAGACTTGTTTTGCCTTTTTTAAGAATTTCGTATACATTTCATATGCTATGTATGATACTATATTTTTGTATCTGGTTTCTTTCATTTAGCATAATGCTTTGAGATGCATCCATGTTGTTGTGTATATTTCTACATTTTTTTTTTCTTTTTGTTGCTAAGTTGGATTCCATTGAATGGATATAGTTTTCCCATTTATCTATTGATGCACATTTGCATTATTTCCAGTTTAGGGCTATTATGAATAAAGTTGCTGCGAACACTTCCGTATAAAAATCTTTTGTGGATATTTTTGCATTTCTCTGGGATAAATACCTAGGTGTAATTGCTGGGCCCTGCGATAAGTATATATGTAACTTTCTAATAAACTGCTAAACCTTTTTCAAATTGACAGCATAATTTTACATTCATATCAGCAATATATGAAAGTTTCAAAGTCTTTATTAATTTTTTCATTCAATTTGCTTTGATTTTAATTTGCTCTTCTTTTTCTAGCTTCTTAAGTTGGAAGCTTAAATAGTTGGTTTTAGATTTTTCTTCTTATACAATTGTATAAAGCTATGCATTTCTGTCCAAGAACTGCTTTAGCTGCATTCCACAGATGTCAATACACTGTGTTTTTATTACCTTTTGGTTCAAAATATTCCCTACATTTTCTCATGATTTCTTCTTTGTCCCATATGTCATTTAGAAGTGTGTTTTTTAATATTTCCAAATATTTTATACCTTTCTAGTTGTTTTCTGGTTGTCTGATTATTATCTAATTTCAGTTCAGTTATGATCAGAGAATACACTCTGTAAAATTTCAATCTTTTGAAATAAAGAGAAACATCTTTTATAGTCTATCTTGGGAAATGTTTCACATGCACTTGGAAAGAATGTGGATTCTGCCACATTCTTAAATACTCCTTAAAAGGTCAGTTAAGTTAAGGTGGTTGATAGTGTCATTTAGATCTTTTGTACCTTTACTGATTTTTACTTAGCATTTTTATGAATTACTGAAAGAGAGGCTTGAAATCTCTATCTATGATTGTGGATTTGTCTGTTCTTTCTCTCTTTTTGTCAAATTTGGCTTTGTGTATTTTGAAGCACTATTATCAGGTACATACATATTTACGATGATTATTATTATCCTCCTGATGTATTCATTCTTTTATTATTATGGAATGTCTTCTTTGTCTCTAATAATACTCATTTAAATATTTGTTTTGTCTAATATTAATATAGCTACTTCAGCTTTCTTAAGCTCTTTGTTTGCATGGTATATCTTTTTCCATTCTTTTACTCTCAAACCTTCTGTGTCTTTGTATTTGTAGCGTATATCTTGTAAACAACATATAGTTGGTTTTTGCTTTTTATGCAGTCTATCAATCCAGTCTCTGACTTTTGATGACTAAAGTTCATTTACATTTAATATAGTTATATAATTGGATTTTGCTTTGCTATTTTTCTATTGGTTTTCTATTTATCTCTTTTTTTTTTTGTCATTGTTGTTGTTCCTTTGCTACTCCATTATTTCTCCATTCCTGCTTCCTTTTGTGTTAATCATGTATATTTAGTATTTCATTTTAATCCTCTGCTGGCCTTTTAGCTTTACCTATTTGCATTTTTTAGTGGTTTCTTCACATATTAAACAATGCATTGTTAAATTGGCAAAATAGAGTTAACGTTGAATTCCTTCAAGTGAAACAGGAACCATGCCACAGTTTAGTCCCCTGTTTGTTTTTTATCATATAGTTATGCTAATGTACACAATAAACCCAACAATACAGTTTATCATTTTTGCTTTTAATGGGCACATGCCTTTTAAAGACATTTTTTTTCCTGTAGATCCAAGTTATCTTTTGGTAGTATTTCTTTTTAGCCTGAACAACTTCCTTTAATATATCTTGTGGTTCAGTTCTGTTGGCAACCCATTCTCAGTTTATATTGATCTGAAAATGTCTTTATTTCATACTCATTTATGAAGTAGAGTTTCATTGTATATAGAATCAGTGCTTGACAATTTGTTTTTCTAGCACTTTAAGTATGTCATTTCCATGTTTTATGCCTCCTGTTGCTTAGCTCTCTCTTGCATGCTTCCAGGATTTCCTCCCTAAATTTCCAGCTGCTCTGCCAGCTCTGAACCCCACCCTCGGCCACCTTAAATCTTCAGGACTGCAGCCATTTGCCAGTGTTGGGGTGGGAGTGGGGAAGTTGGAAAACACTCTCAGACCAAAACAGTTAAACATTTTCATAATTCTTATGCATTGCAGGTACCTTCTTTTAAGGGGAAACTCTGCCCCAGTTTCTGCCTCCTTTTGTTTACCTTCCAGGGCCTTCAAATAATTGTCCTTATATATATATTTTCCAGTTTAATACTCATTATCTGTGGGAGGGTTTGCCCAGCTACTTCATGTCTTCATCACAATTGAAGCAGGCATCAATGGTCTCTTAATTTTGCTTATTATTTTTTTCTTTTCCTTTATTAAATTTAACAAACTTTCCTCTATGCCCGTGGATTTTGATTTATAGTTAGAAACACTTTCTCTAGCCTTGAGTTATAAAAGGACTCTCTCATATTTTCTTACAGTGCTTTTATAGTTTCCTTTTTTAAAAATTTAAATCCTTGAATAATTTGGAATTCATTCAAGGGTAGGGTGTCATAAATAGATCTGACTTCATAGTTCCGTCCCAGATGTCTATCCATTTGTCCCAACACCATTTGTTAAATAGTCCACCTCTTATCCTCTGATGTGAAATGTTACTTAGGTATTCAGATCTATTTCTGGACTTTCTTTTCTCTTCCATTGGTCTGCGTTTTCATATGCCAGAACCACACTTTTTAACTATCAAGATTGTCTAATGTTGTAATGTCTAGGAGTGCTAGAGGTTCCTTTTGAGAATTTTTATGGCTCTTGTTGATTTTTTCATGTAAATTTTATAGTCAACTTGGTTAGTTTTATTGACATGATGAAAGGATTTATAAATTAACCTAGAGGAAACTGACATCTTTATGAGGTTGGAACTCATTGAGAACATGACATATTTTTCATTTGTTAAAATCTTCTTTTGTGTTCCTCTAATTGCTTTAAAGTTTTCTTCATACAGATCTTCCACAATTCTTGTTAAATTTGTTTGTGAATTTTACTGTTTTTTGTTGCCATTATAAATGTGGTCTTTTCTTTCATTATGCCTTGTAACTAGTTGCCTTGTTATATAAAACTATATATATATATATATATGTATGTACATCAGTATTATACATATCAATATTTTATATATATATAAAATTGTGTGCTATTTTTGATAAAATTTGTTGTCAGCATTTGTTTACTCTTTTGATGACTTGTATGGCTCCTCCCCATCTTTCCCATGTATTAAATTTTTTTTTTTTTTGAGATGGGGTTTCACTCTTGTCGCTCAGGCTGGAGTGCAATGGCGCGATTTTGGCTCACCACAACCTCCTCCTCCCGGGTTCAAGCGATTCTCCTGACTCAGCCTCCAGAGTAGCTGGGATTACAGGCATGCGCCACCACACCTGGCTAATTTTGTATTTTTAGTAGAGATGGGGTTTCTCCATGTTGGTCAGGCTGATCTCTAACTCCCGACCTCAGATGATCCACCCGCCTCGGCCTCCCAAAGTGCTGGGATTACAGGCAAGAGCCACTGCGCCCGGCCTTGAAATGTTTTTAATAGCATGGAAATGAGGTATTCTGGGAGAAAGAAAGAGAGAATTATCCAGTAAAGTGATTTATATCTGCAAATCTTTTGGAGAGGGATATAAGGAATTAGTGAAATGGGAAGGAATTCATTTATTAATAGCTTTTTCATTTTTCATTGGTAATCTTTTTCAGTTTTAAAATTTCTCTGAATATTTTGCTATATTCTTCTTCTCATTTATCATTTTGTTCATATGTTTTCTTTTTTCTGTGATTAGAATTGCCAGAGGCTTGCCTATTTTTATGTTTTTTTAAACTATATCTTAAATTCCATTTTAAAAACTATTCTATAGTTTTTCTATAACTATGTCTTAAATTCTATTTGTCTTAAATTCTATGTTTTTCTAAAACTATATCTTAAATTCTATTTATGTATTAAATTCTATTTTTATTTTATTAGTATTTTTTGAGACAGAATCTCGCTTTCTTGCCCAGGCTGGAGTGCAGTGGAGCAATCTCTACTCACTGCAGCCTTCGCCTCCTGGATTCAGGAGATTCTTGTGTCTCAGCCTCCCAAGTGACTGGGATTACAGACATGCACCACCACGCCTGGCTAATTTTTGTATTTTTAGTAGAGATGGGGTTTTGCCATGTTGCCCAGGTCTTGAACTCCTGGACTCAAGTGATCCGCCTGCCTAAGCCTCCCAAAGTGCTGAGATTACAGGCATGAGCCACAGCACCTGGCCTTAAATTCTATTTAAAAATATAATATTTTTGGCCGGGCGCCGTGGCTCACCGCCTGTAATCCCAGCGCTTTGGGAGGCCGAGGCGGGCAGATAACCTGAGGTCGGGAGTTCAAGACCAGCCTGACCAACATGGAGAAACCGCGTCTCTACTAAGAATACAAAATTAGCCGGGCATGGTGGCACATGCCTGTAATCCCAGCTACTCAGGAGGCTGAGGCAGGAGAATCGCTTGAACCTGGGAGGCAGAGGTTGCAGAGAGCAGAGATGATGCCATTGAACGCCAGCCTGGGCAACAAGAGCAAAACTCTGTCTCAAAAAAAAAAAAAAAAAAAAAAAAAAAAAAATATATATATATATATATATATATATATATATATATATATATGATATTTTTCCTTCTGCCTTCTTTTATTTTCTTCATTATACATTCAATAGGACATAACATTTTCTAAAATATGAATTTGAATGTTTAGTTCATGCATTTTCCTTCTTTTTTGTTTTTTATTTTATTATTATTATACTTTAAGTTTTAGGGTACATGTGCACAATGTGCAGGTTAGTTACATATGTATACATGTGCCATGCTGGTGTGCTGCACCCATTAACTCGTCAATTAGCATTAGGTATATCTCCTAAAGCTATCCCTCCCCACTCCGCCCACCCCACAACAGTCCCCAGAGTGTGATGTTCCCCTTCCTGTGTCCATGTGTTCTCATTGTTCAATTCCCACCTATGAGTGAGAATATGCGGTGTTTGGTTTTTTGTTCTTGCGATAGTTTACTGAAAATAATGATTTCCAATTTCATCCATGTCCCTACAAAGGACATGAACTCATCATTTTTTATGGCTGCATCGTATTCCATGGTGTATATGTGCCACATTTTCTTAATCCAGTCTATCATTGTTGGACATTTGGGTTGGTTCCAAGTATTTGCTATTGTGAATAGTGCCGCAATAAACATACGTGTGCATGTGTCTTTATAGCAGCATGATTTATAGTCCTTTGGGTATATACCCAGTAATGGGATGGCTGGGTCAAATGGTATTTCTAGTTCTAGGTCCCCGAGGAATCGCCACACTGACTTCCCCAAGGGTTGAACTAGTTTACAGTTTACAGTTCCACCAACAGTGTAAAAGTGTTCCTATTTCTCCACATCCTCTCCAGAACCTGTTGTTTCCTGACTTATTAATGATTGCCATTCTAACTGGTGTGAGATGGTATCTCATTGTGGTTTTGATTTGCATTTCTCTGATGGCCAGTGATGGTGAGCATTTTTTCATGTGTTTTTTGGCTGCATAAATGTCTTCTTTTGAGAAGTGTCTGTTCATGTCCTTCGCCCACTTTTTGATGGGGTTGTTTGTTTTTTTCTTATAAATTTGTTTGAGTTCATTGTAGATTCTGGATATTAGCCCTTTGTCAGATGAGTAGGTTGCGAAAATTTTCTCCCATTTTGTAGGTTGCCTGTTAACTCTGACGGTAGTTTCTTTTGCTGTGCAGAAGCTCTTTAGTTTAATTAGATCCCATTTGTCAATTTTGGCTTTTGTTGCCATTGCTTTTGGTGTTTTAGACATGAAGTCCTTGCCCATGCCTATGTCCTGAATGGTAATGCCTAGGTTTTCTTCTAGGATTTTTATGGTTTTAGGTCTAACGTTTAAGTCTTTAATCCATCTTGAATTAATTTTTGTATAAGGTGTAAGGAAGGGATCCAGTTTCAGCTTTCTACATATGGCTAGCCAGTTTTCCCAGCACCATTTATTAAATAGAGAATCCTTTCCCCATTGCTTGTTTTTGTCAGGTTTGTCAAAGATCAGATAGTTGTAGATATGCGGCGTTGTTTCTGAGGGCTCTGTTCTGTTCCATTGATCTATATCTCTGTTTTGGTACCAGTACCATGCTGTTTTGGTTACTGTAGCCTTGTAGTATAGTTTGAAGTCAGGTAGCGTGATGCCTCCAGCTTTGTTCTTTTGGCTTAGGATTGACTTGGTGATGTGGGCTCTTTTTTGGTTCCATATGAACTTTAAAGTAGTTTTTTCCTATTCTGTGAAGAAAGTCATTGGTAGCTTGATGGGGATGGCATTGAATCTATAACTTACCTTGGGCAGTATGGCCATTTTCACGATACTGATTCTTCCTATCCATGAGCATGGAATGTTCTTCCATTTGTTTGTATCCTCTTTTATTTCATTGAGCAGCGGTTTGTAGTTCTCCTTGAAGAGGTCCTTCACGTCCCTTGTAAGTTGGATTCCTAGGTATTTTATTCTCTTTGAAGCAATTGTGAATGGGAGTTCACTCATGATTTGGCTCTCTGTTTGTCTGTTGTTGGTGTATAAGAATGCTTGTGATTTTTGTACATTGATTTTGTATCCTGAAGACTTTGCTGAAGTTGCTTATCAGCTTAAGGAGATTTTGGGCTGAGACAATGGGGTTTTCTAGATATACAATCATGTCATCTGCAAACAGGGACAATTTGACTTCCTCTTTTCCTAATTGAATACCCTTTATTTCCTTCTCCTGCCTAATTGCCCTGGCCAGAACTTCCAACACTATGTTGAATAGGAGTGGTGAGAGAGGGCATCCCTGTCTTGTGCCAGTTTTCAAAGGGAATGCTTCCAGTTTTTGCCCATTCAATATGATATTGGCTGTGGGTTTGTCAGAGATAGCTCTTATTATTTTGAGATACGTCCCATCAATACCTAATTTATTGAGAGTTTTTAGCATGAAGGGTTGTTGAATTTTGTCAAAGGCCTTTTCTGCATCTATTGAGATAATCATGTGGTTTTTGTCTTTGGTTCTGTTTATATGCTGGATTACATTTATTGATTTGCATATATTGAACCAGCCTTGCATCCCAGGGATGAAGCCCACTTGATCATGGTGGATAAGCTTTTTGATGTGCTGCTGGACTCAGTTTGTCAGTATTTTATTGAGGATTTTTGCATCCAAGTTCATCAAAGATATTGGTCTAAAATTCTCTTTTTTGGTTGTGTCTCTGCCTGGCTTTGGTATCAGGATGCTGCTGGCCTCATAAAATGAGTTAGGGAGGAGTCCCTCTTTTTCTATTGATTGGAATAGTTCAGAAGGAATGGTACCAGTTCCTCCTTGTACCTCTGGTAGAATTTGGCTGTGAATCCATCTGGTCCTGGACTCTTTTTGGTTGGTAAGCTATTGCCACAGTTTCAGAGCCTGTTATTGGTCTATTCAGAGAGTCAACTTCTTCCTGGTTTAGTCTTGGGAGGGTGTATGTGTCGAGGAATTTATCCATTTCTTCTAGATTTTCTAGTTTATTTGCATAGGGGTGTTTGTAGTATTCTCTGATGGTAGTTTGTACTTCTGTGGGATCGGTGGTGATATCCCCTTTATCATTTTTTATTGCTTCTATTTGATTATTCTCTCTTTTCTTCTTTATTAGTCTTGCTAGGGATCTATCAGTTTTGTTGATCCTTTCAAAAAACCAGCTCCTGGATTCATTAATTTTTTGAAGGGTGTTTTGTGTCTCTATTTCCTTCAGTTCTGCTCTGATTTTAGTTATTTCTTGCCTTCTGCTAGCTTTTGAATGTGTTTGCTCTTGCTTTTCTAGTTGTTTTAATTGTGATGTTAGGGTGTCAATTTTGGATCTTTCCTGCTTTCTCTTGTGGGCATTTAGTGCTATAAATTTCCCTCTACACACTGCTTTGAATGTGTCCCAGAGATTCTGGTGTGTTGTGTCTGCTCTCGTTGGTTTCAAAGAACATCTTTATTTCTGCCTTCATTTCGTTATGTACCCAGTAGTCATTCAGGAGCAGGTTGTTCAGTTTCCACGTAGTTGAGCGGTTTTGAGTGAGTTTCTTAATCCTGAGTTCTAGTTTGATTGCACTGTGGTCCGAGAGACAGTTTGTTATAATTTCTGATCTTTTACATTTGCTGAGGAGAGCTTTACTTCCAACTATGTGGTCAATTTTGGAATAGGTGTGGTGTGGTGCTGAAAAAAATGTATATTCTGTTGATTTGGGGTGGAGAGTTCTGTAGATGTCTATTAGGTCCGCTTGGTGCAGAGCTGAGTTCAATTCCTGGGTATCCTTGTTAACTTTCTGTCTCGTTGATCTGTCTAAGGTTGACAGTGGGGTGTTAAAGTCTCCCATTATTATTGTGTGGGAGTCTAAGTCTCTTTGTAGGTCACTCAGGACTTGCTTTATGAATCTGGGTGCTCCTGTATTGGGTGCATATATATTTAGGATAGTTAGCTCTTCTTGTTCAATTGATCCCTTTACCATTATGTAATGGCCTTCTTTGTCTGTTTTGATCTTTGTTGGTTTAAAGTCTGTTTTATCAGAGACTAGGATTGCAACCCCTGCCTTTTTTTGTTTTCCATTTGCTTGGTAGATCTTCCTCCATCCTTTTATTTTGAGCCTATGTGTGTCTCTGCACATGAGATGGGTTTTTTCCTGAATACAGCACACTGATGGGTCTTGACTCTTTATCCAATTTGCCAGTCTGTGTCTTTTAATTGGAGCATTTAGTCCATTTACATTTAAAGTTAATATTGTTATGTGTGAATTTGATCCTGTCATTATGATGTTAGCTGGTTATTTTGCTCATTAGTTGATGCAGTTTCTTCCTAGCCTCAATGGTCTTTACAATTTGGCATGATTTTGCAATGGCTGGTATCGGTTGTTCTTTTCCATGTTTAGTGCTTCCTTCAGGAGCTCTTTTAGGGCAGGCCTGGTGGCGACAAAATCTCTCAGCATTTGCTTGTCTGTAAAGGATTTTATTTCTCCTTCACTTATGAAGCTTAGTTTGTCTGGATATGAAATTCTGGGTTGAAAATTCTTTTCTTTAAGAATGTTGAATATTGGCCCCCACTCTCTTCTGGCTTGTAGAGTTTCTGCCGAGAGGTCTGCTGTTAGTCTGATGGGCTTCCCTTTGTGGGTAACCCGACCTTTCTCTCTGGCTGCGCTTAACATTTTTTCCTTCATTTCAACTTTGGTAAATCTGACAATTATGTGTCTTGGAGTTGCTCTTCTCAAGGAGTATCTTTGTGGCGTTCTCTGTATTTCCTGAATCTGAATGTTGGCCTGCCTTTCTAGATTGGGGAAGTTCTCCTGGATAATATCCTGCAGAGTGTTTTCCAACTTGGTTCCATTCTCCCTGTCACTTTCAGGTACACCAATCAGACGTAGATTTGGTGTTTTCACATAGTCCCATATTTCTTGGAGGCTTTGTTCGTTTCTTTTTATTCTTTTTTCTCTAAACTTCCCTTCTCGCTTCATTTCATTCATTTCATCTTCCATCACTGATACCCTTTCTTCCAGTTGATCACATCAGCTCCTGAGGCTTCTGAATTCTTCACGTAGTTCTCGAGCCTTGGCTTTCAGCTCCATCAGCTCCTTTAAGCACTTCTCTGTATTGGTTATTCTAGTTATACTTTCGTCTAAATTTTTTTCAAAGTTTTCAACTTCTTTGCCTTTGGTTTGAATTTCCTCCTGTAGCTCGGAGTAGTTTGATCGTCTGAAGCCTTCTTCTCTCAACTCGTCAAAGTCATTCTCCGTCCTGCTTTGTTCCGTTGCTGGTGAGGAGCTGCGTTCCTTTGGAGGAGGAGAGGTGCTCTGCCTTTTAGAGTTTCCAGTTTTTCTGCTCTGTTTTTTCCCCATCTTTGTGGTTTTACCTACTTTTGGTCTTTGATGATGGTGATGTACAGATGGGTTTTTGGTGTGGGTGTCCTTTCTGTTTGTTAGTTTTCCTTCTAACAGACAGGACCCTCAGCTGCAGGTCTGTTGGAGTTTGCTAGAGGTCCACTCCAGACCCTGTTTGCCTGGGTACCAGCAGCGGTGGCTGCAGAACAGCGGATTTTTGTGAACCGCGAATGCTGCTGTCTGATCATTTCTCTGGAAGTTTTGTCTCAGAGGAGTACCCGGCCGTGTGAGGTGTCAGTCTGCCCCTACTGGGGGGTGCCTCCCAGTTAGGCTGCTCGGGGGTCAGGGGTCAGGGACCCACTTGAGGAGGCAGTCTGCCTGTTCTCAGATCTCCAGCTGGGTGCTGGGAGAACCACTGCTCTCTTCAAAGCTGTCAGACAGGGACATCTAAGTCTGCAGAGGTTACTGCTGTCTTTTTGTTTGTCTGTGCCCTGCCCCCAGAGGTGGAGCCTACAGAGGCAGGCAGGCCTCCTTGAGCTGTGGTGGGCTCCACCCAGTTGGAGCTTCTCGGCTGCTTTGTTTACCTAAGCAAGCCTGGGCAATGGTGGGTGCCCCTCCCCCAGCCTCCCTGCTGCCTTGCAGTTTGATCTCAGACTGCTGTGCTAGCAATCAGCGAGACTCCGTGGGTGTAGGACCCTCCGAGCCAGGTGCGGGATATAATCTCCTGGTGCGCCATTTTTTAAGCCCGTCGGAAAAGCGCAGTATTGGGGTGGGAGTGACCCGATTTTCCAGGTGCCGTCTCTCACCCCTTTCTTTGACTAGGAAAGGGAACTCCCTGACCCCTTGTGCTTCCCGAGTGAGGCAATGCCTCACCCTGCTTCGGCTCATGCACGGTGCGCTGCACCCACTGTCCTGCATCCACTGTCTGGCACTCCCTAGTGAGATGAACCCGTTACCTCAGATGGAAATGCAGAAATCACCCATCTTCTGCGTCGCTCACGCTGGGAGCTGTAGACTGGAGCTGTTCCTATTCGGCCATCTTGGCTCCAGCCTGACTGCATTTTCCTTCTTGTTGTAAATAATAAAAATATTTATAGGGACAATGCTTAGGGGTACAGCTTTGTCTCTGTCTTGTAGGTTTTAATATGTGGCATTTCAATTTTTAATATTTTCTAAATGTCTTTTGTATTCTTATTTTCCCTTCCTCTTTGGTTCAGTTTCTTGCAGATTCTTCTTTAAGGATGTTTATAGTAACATTTGTGGTATCTGACTTGGCAAGTTGCAAGTATTGTACTACATTTCCCACATTAGTTACCCTTGTAGCTGTACTTTTCCTTTCAGATCCTCTAGTAATTCAAAGAGACCCACTCAGGTTCAGGCAAATATAAGAAGCTTCTTGTGAATGGAATGGCTTATCTAATATTTCTAAAATGACTGGAGCAATGACTTACTGTTTCTAAGGCTTGAGGGACTTGGGCGCAGAGGCAAAAAATCACTCCCGCTAGAGGTATGATGGTGAAAGCTGGCTAGCAGCTGTTTGTACCTCTGGTGGGGAGTAGGACTGGGGACTCCCAGACCTTGCAGGCACTTATTAGGGAATACAACATCATCAGGAAAGGGACTATGTGAACAAGGTTGGATGCTCCAAGGAAAAATGGATTGATGACCCTGGGAGGCTTTCCTCCTGGAATCTGGGCAATGCCCACTCTCGTCATGCTTCTTTAGAACATGTTCTTATTTTCAAATGTTTTCATAGATTTTAAATGGGAATTTGGGAAGGCAGTCTCCAGTCACTTCCACCCTACCTTTTTCCTGGAAGTGTTCTCTAAATCATGTACACATCTATTCTCCTTTACTTGGCTCTAGTGGTTTCTGGGACACCGGTTAGTGGTCAGACTTTGAAAACTGCCCTTTCTTTGACTACAAGGTCTGGTTTGGTCTATATGTCTCTGGAGAATTCTTCTCCCTTCTAGGTGGTGTCTTTGTAGGGACTGTCTGTCTCTGTTGCTGGGTGGAACCTGGAACCTGGTTAAGGCTGGCCAGTGGAGGGGCTGTGCCTTGAGGAGGGCACAGATAGCCCCAGGAATAGGTGCCATCCTGGCAATGTCCTTGGGGAATGTGGTCTCCCCTTTGGAGATTTGGCTGTTGCATGAGGTGCTAACTGAGTGCAGGGGTTGCTACTCGTTGCTTACTGCAGCTTCCCTGGAAGCCTTTGATGAGGAGGGCAGGACCTATGGAGGAGACAGATCAGGAGAGTGCATTGTTTCCACAGCTGCGGTTTGCTCTGCCTAGCCCTTGTGGTGAGATGCAAGGAGCCTTCTTTCTCTATTATGGGAAGGTAATTTGCTCTGAGGCCATTTTCACTATTAAAATACCCATAAGGCAGGGAGGAAAACCCCTCTTTAAGCAGAGAGGCAGGAGTCAAGTGTGGGGAAAGCTGTTGCTCTCCCCTGGAAGTTTTGGATGAACAGTGGATACGTGAATGTGGGGTGGGAGGAGGCTGTTAAAAATGTCTTCATACAAGGAGGCATGTAATTTCCTCCTGGTGGGCATGGTTTTACTCCACATCAGATGTCATTTTGATCTGCCTGTCCCATCAATGGTCAGGCTTCAGCTGGAAAAGAGAGAATGGTGGAAGTAAGAGGTGGGAGACTAGAATGTCAGGCAGAAACAGCAGCGACAGTCTGCTGTCTCATTTGCTTAAGATCTGTATGAAGACTTGAAAAATCCCACAAATCTGCAATTGCAGATTTTTATCAAAGCATCTATAACTTTATAATTTAAAACTGGTATTAAAAGATGTTGCCTTTTTAAACTCTTTTAATGCCTGTTTATATGAGGACATTTTTAACAACCTCCTGCAACCCTACATTCACACACACATATTTTAGGACAGACATTATTTAATCTGATATGCTCATTTGTCACACAAAAGGTGAGCAGCTCAGAAAAAGCCTGAAGCAAGGAGGAGCTCTTGCCTGTAGCAGCCTCATGACCATTTCTGCTCTTGGACTTGGCTGCTTTGAGTTTTTTCAAGTCCTCAAGGCCTTTGTTCTTTAGCTTTCAGGGCTATTATGACTGGATAGTTTACCAGAAAAGGTCCACTTCTTTTACTCTGAACTGATAAGCTGTTTAACTGAATTGCTTGTTTCTGTCCCAAGTGAGCGTGTGTATGTGTTTGTGCTTGCAGACTCAGTATTTTTGCAGCTTGGGATTATAACAAAAGATACGAGATTTTTTTTTTGAGACAGCAGATAAAAAGGGAAATAAATTAGAGAATTATCTTAGTCAATTTTATGTTGTGATAACAAAATACCACAGACTGGATAATTTGTAAAGAATACAGATGTATTTCTTACAGTTCTGGAGACTGGGAAGTCCAAGATCAAAGGGTCTGTATCTGGTGAGGGTCTTCTTGCTGCATCATCCCATGGCAGAAGGCAGAAGGGCAAAAATGTGCACATGAGAGAGCAAGGGTAAAGAGGCCTGAACTCACCTTTTATCAGGAACCCACTCCTGAGATATTGGCATTAATACATCACAAAGGAAGTGTCTTCATGGCTTAATCACCTCCTAAGGGTCCCACCTCTTAATACCATAATAATGCCAATTAAATTTCAACATGACTTTTGGAGGGAACATTCAAACCATAGCAAGGATAGAATATGATGGAAGATTCAGGGAAGAGAAAGGAAGGGCCCAGTTTTTATTAAAATTGTGACAAAGTACACATAACATAAAAGATACCGTCTTAACTATTTTAAGTTTATTGGAATTAAGTGCATTCACAGTGCTGCACAACATTATCATTATTCATCTCCAGAACTCTTTTCATCTTGCAAAACTGAAAGTCTATATCCATGAAATACCAACTCCCCATTTCAATCTTCCCCTCAGCCCCTGCCTCATATAAGTGGATCACACAGTATTTGTCTTTTTATGACTGGATTGTTTCACCTTGCATAATGATTTCAAGGTTTATACATGTTGTAGAATGTGGCAAAATTTTCTTCCTTTTTCAGGCTGATTAATATTCCATCACATGTATATACCACATTTTACTCTGAACTGACAGGTTGTTTGACTGAATTACTTGTTTCAGTCCCAAACATGTGTGTGTGTGTGTGTGTGTGTGTGTGTGTGTGTGTGCGTGCACAGACCCAGTATTTTTGACAGTGTGGGAATATAAAAAAGATGTAAGCTATTTTCTTTTTTTAGGAGATTGTCTACTTATCTGGCAAAGGGCATTTGGGTTGCTTCCACCTCTTTGTTATTATGAACAGTGCTGCTATGATCATGGGTAGGCAAATAAGTTCTTGAGAACCTGCTTTCAATTCTTTTATACATATACCTAGAAGTGGCTTTGCTGGATCATATAGCAGGTCTATTTTTAATTTTTGAGGAGTCTTCATACTGTTTTCCATAGGGATTGCACCATTTTACAATCTCATCAACAGTGCACAAGTGTTCCCATTTCTTCACATCTTCATCAACACTTGTTATTTTAGGTTTTTTAAAAAATAGTAGCCATCCTAATGGGCATGAGGTCATCTCTTTGTGGTTTTGGTTTGCATTTTTCTAATGGTTAGTGATGTTGAGCATCTTTTCATATGCTCGTTGGCCATTTGTATTTCATCTTTGGAGAAATATCTATTCAAATCCTTTGGTCATTTTTTAATTAGGTCATTTAATTTTTTATTGTTGAGTTGTAGGAGTTCTATTTTATTTTATTATTTAATTTAATTTTATTTTACTGTAAGTTCTGGGATACAGGTGCAGAACATGAAGGTTTGTTACATAGCTGTATGTGTGCCATGGTGGTTTGCTTCTCCATCAACCTGTTATCTAGGTTTTAAGCCCCACATGCATTAGGTATTTGTCCTAATCCTCTCCCTCCCCTTGCTCCCCACCCCCAACAGGCCCCAGTGTGTGTTGTTCCCCTCCCTGTGTCCATGTGTTCTTATTGTTCAACTCACACTTAGAGTGAGAACATGCAGTGTTTGGTTTTCTGTTGTCAGAGTTATTTACATATTCTGGATGTTAACCCCTTGTTAGGTATATGACTTTCAAATTTTTCTTCTATGAGTTTTATGTTTTTCAGGTCTTACATTTAGGACTTTAATCCATATTGAGTTAATTTTTTATATGGTGTAAGTAAAGATTCTAACTTCATTTTTTGCAAGTGGAGATTCAGTTTTCCCTTTACCATTTGTTGAAAAGACTGTCCTTTTTCCAAGGACATTGCCAAGACTATTCCATAGTCTTGTCACCCTTGTGGAAAATAATTTGGCCATATATGCAAAAGTTTACTTCTGGGCTCTCTATTCTATTCCGTTGGTCTATATGTGTCTTTATGCTAGTACCACCTTGATATGGTTTGTCTGTGTCCCCACCCAAATCTCATCATGAATTGTAGTACCCATAATCCTAACGTGTGGTAGAGGGCCCTGGTGGGAGATAATTGAGTCACGGCGAGGGTTTCCCCCATGCTATTCTCGTAATAGTGAGTTCTCATGAGATCTGATAGTTTCATTAGGGGCTTTCCCCTTCGCTTCACTCTCATTCTTCTCCTTCCTGCTGCCGTATGAAGAAGGACATGTTTGCTTCCCCTTCCACCATAATGGTAATTTTTCTGAGGCCTCCCCAGCCATGCTGAACTGAACTGTGAGTCAATTAAATCTCTTTCCATGATAAATTACCCTATTTTGATTACTGTAGCTTTGTAATAAATTTCGATATCAGGAAGTGTGAGACCTCACAATTTGTTTTTTTTCAAGATTGTTCTGGCTATTTGGGGTCACTTGAAATTCCATATGAATTTTAGAATGGATTTTTATATTTTTGTAAAAAATGTCATTGGGAGTTTGATAAGGATTGCACTGAATCTGTAGATCACCCTGGGTAGTACGATATCTTAACAATATTAAACCTTCCAATCCATGAACACAGGTATGAAAAAATTCAGCTATTTGCTTGTCATTTACTCTCTTCATTGTTCTGTCACCATTGTCTCCTTCTGTACATCAGAGTGACAGCTCTAGAATGGTGGTGACAAAGTACAACCTCCAGTGCTTGGGTCTCATGTTACCTGAAACTATTCTCAAGAATATGGACATAAAGCTAGGCCTTGAAATGCAGCTTCACAATTTATCTCTGGGCCTGTTTCTCTGAAATTCTAAATACCAGGACTTGCTTAAAAAGCTTGCATTTTTGAACTCTGGTTTGCTGAAGACCAGAATGTTAAATGTCACATTGAAATGGAAAAAAAAATCAAGGCCAGTAAGATAGAAGGGCTCTTTGCTTTTCACATTGTTTATCATGTTTCTTCCTGTTGTAAATGATTTGCTTTTTAGGTGTGTCTTCACTGGGATTTATATTTTTGAAGCTTTGATTAAAATATTGGCAAGAGGTTTCATTCTGGATGAGTTTTCTTTCCTTCGAGATCCATGGAACTGGCTGGACTCCATTGTCATTGGAATAGCGTAAGAATATTAAAGATGTTTTTGAAGAGACTTGGAGTGGGAAAGAAGCCCCTTTGCTTCCATCAGAGCTCTGTGTGGATCCATTTGAGTGGCTGAGTATGGCCTAGTAATGCCTAGAGCTCTGAGTGCTGTGTTGGTTGGCCCTGAACAGCACGTGCAGCCAATTGGCCAGAGGCCCCCACACACAAAGCCATTTCTAGGTCAACACTCAAGTTCGTGTTCCTTCAGCCATTTACTCACCAACACTGGCCTGTTATGGGCCAGGCTCTATGGAAGATACAGGGGTGTGCCAATGAAATTAAAAAAAAAAAAAAAGACATGGTTTTCAATCTTATGAAGCTCACAGTCCAGAGGGGAAAAGTAACAATTAATGGCCCTGAAAATATGGTATGATGAGTACCAGGATAGGGGCTATACATGTATTAAGCTGTCAGAGAATATAGGAAGAACAAAGCAGTCTAAAAAATCTTTGGCTGCTACAAGGTTACAAAGAGCTTTACTCCTGTTTACTTCTAGAAGTTCTGTAGTTTTGGCTTTTATGTTTCAGTCCATGGTCCATTTTGAGTTAATTATCATGTATGGTGTAAGGTGAAGGTTGAAGCTCTTCCTGAAGGAAAGACACTGATTTGGAATCTGAATGATGAAATGGAGTCAGCAAAAGAAAAAATAAGAAATGCAGTGACACATTGCCAGCACAACAATAGTAAACCTGGCATCATTCAATATGTACCAGGCATTATGTTAAGCACTTTGCATATTTTTTCCTATTTAATATTCACAAAAGCCCTTGGAGGTAGGTGCTAGTAATTTCAGAGTTTTACATTTGAAGTTCAAAGATTGTGTGCTCTTCGTTATTGAAAGGTGGTGAAGCACAGTGGTTTAGAGTATGGCTCTGGAGCTACACTGCCTGGCTACACATTCAGGCTTGACCATGTAGTGGCAGGAGACTTTAGTGAAGTGCCTTGGGGCATGGAACTTGTCAGCCACTCAGTAAATATTTGAGAGGACTTCTATTATTCATGGATGTAGCCACAACTACATGAACTATTTCAAGGAGTCTTCATCTGTGTCCACGTATGAAGGTGAACTGAGAACAGCGTCCTCTGCAGTTCATAGCAAGAACAGTGGTATTGCCAGATCCTAAGATAAAGGTGGGGCTGGAAAGGTGAGGCTGTCGATTTCACCTTGGAGGTCACAGGCCTCAGGCTGAGCTTACTTGTGGCTTTTGTGGAGATGTGCAGTGCAGCTGCAGGACTGAGCAAGCCCATGCCTTCCCTGTGCTTTGTCTTGTAGGATTGTGTCATATATTCCAGGAATCACCATCAAACTATTGCCCCTGCGTACCTTCCGTGTGTTCAGAGCTTTGAAAGCAATTTCAGTAGTTTCACGTAAGTCACTCTCACTTTCCACACTGGCTCCTATCTAGAAAGAATGTTAATTTATATTTAAATTTTTTCAAAATGTCATCATGTAAACCAAAAACAAACAAAGCCTGCTTTACAAATTTATTTGATGGTCCAACTGATAATTATTGAGCACCTAATATGTCCAGGCACTGTGCTAACTGCTTGAGATCTAGTAGTAAGCAAATGGATACGGACTCATGGAGTTTTACCTTCTATGGTGGGGGTGGGGAGACAGACACGAAGCAACAACTATAATAAATAAGTACATTATGTAGCATGTGAGCAAGTGCTATGTGCCAGGGAAAATATAAAGAAAAAGTAGACACCATGAGGGCTATGGGAAGTCACAGGGTACAGGGGAAGGAGGTTGCAGTTTTAAACAGAGTGATCACGATAGTTGTCATTGAGGTGAGAGGTGGCAGAGATTTGAAGGTGGCAAGGGAGTGACACAAGCAGATATATGGGAAAGAGTATTCTGAGCATGGGAAACAGCCAGCACAGAGATTGAGGAGTAGCAAGGATGAGGATGGGACTGGAAAGGAGAGGGTGAGAGGCCAGGTAGAGGTGGGATCATAGAAGTGAAGGGGGGGCCGGGTACAGTTGCTCACGCCAGTAATTCTAGCACTTTGGGAGGCCAAGGTGGGGAGATAACTTGAGGCCAGGAGTTTCAGAACAGCCTGGCCAATATGGAAAAGCCTCGTCTCTACAAAAATACAAGAGTTAAGGCCAGGTGCAGTGGCTCACTCCTGTAATCCCAACACTTTGGAAGGCTGAGGCAGGTGGATCACCTGAGGTCAGAAGTTTGGTATCAGCCTGATCAACATGGAGAAACCCCATCTCTACTAAAAATACAAAAGTAATCAGGTGTGGTGGTGCATGCCTGTAATCCCAGCTACTCAGGAGGCTGAGGTGGGAGAATCACTTGAACCTGGGAGAGGGAGGTTGCGGTGAGCCTGGATCGCCCCATTGCACTCCAGCCTGGGCAACAAAAGCAAAACTGTCTCAGAAAAAAAAAAAATTAGTTAGATGTGGTGGTGAGTACCTTTAATCTCAGCTACTCGAGAAGCTGAGGCAGGAGAATTGCTTGAACCTGGGAGGCAGAGGCTGCAGGCTGCAGTGAGCCAAGATTGTGCCATTGCACTCCAGCCTAAGGTCTAAAAAAAAAAAAGGACTGAAGGGGAGTCTTGTAGGCACAGGGAGGATATGCGCTTCACTCTGAAGAAATGGGAGCTGTTGTGTGGAGAATGGAATGTAGGGGAGATGGGAGAAGCAGGAAGACCTCCTGCTACAGGGAGCACAGTGGACTAAAGATCCCGGCTTCCACCTCTCTGGATTCCCCACTGCATTCATCCACATGCCAAGATCATGCCTGCCCTGCACAGTGTGTGTGGGTTCTAGTGCTGGCCCATTCCTGAAGCATATGGGATTCTTCTAATAGGAAACTTTGGCTCAGGGACTCTCCAGTGACCTGGCTGAGACTCCGACAGCTGCACTGCAGTCTGAGGTTCTTCCTATCCAATCCTCCTCCCTTGTCTGTCTCTCAGACATCAAACTTGAGCTGCAGTCTGAAGTTTCTCCCTGCCCACTCCTGCTCCCCCGACTCATCTTTCACAGGCGTCCTCCCAACCCCCACAAATCTCTGGCACATCTGATCTCAGAATGTCTGCTCCTCAAAACCCAAACTGACACAAGAGACCATAATCCAAGCAAGGGATGGCAGTGCTCTCTGATCAGGTAGTGGTAGTGGAGTTGGTAGACACTGGTTTGATTCTGTGTCAATTCAAAGGTAGAAACAATAGCATTTCCTGACTGATCAATTGTATACATGGTGTGAGCAAAAGAGAGGAGTCAAAAATGACTTTTATACCTGATGTCACTGATTGAGACAGAGAAGGCTGTGAGAGGAGCAGGCCTTGGGGTCAGATTACAAGCTAGCTTTGAACATGTTATGTTTGAGATGGCTGTGAGACCACCAAGGGAAAGGATTCAGCAGGAAATTAGGTATATATGAGTCCAGGAGTCCAGGGAGAAGTCAGAGCTAGAGATACCATTTCAGGAATCAAGGGTCTATAGATATTTAAAGCCGTGAGATCTAAAGAGATCACCAAGGGAATAAGCACTGATGGAGAATAGAAGAGGACCAAGGTCTGAGCCCCAGGGTACTGAAACATGAAAGGGAGAAGAGGAGAAACCAGGGAAGGAGATGAGCAGCAGCCACCTGTGAAGTAGGAGGGGAACCAAAGGTGGTCTCCTGGAAGCCAGGTGAGGAAGTCATGTTAGCCCTTCGGATCAGGATGAAGCCAAGGTTGGGTGTGAATATGAATTTCTGTTTATTAAAAATGAGGTTATTATAGCACACCCTTTTCCTCTCCTTCCCCTTTCCTCTCTTTTCTTTACTAAAACAAACAAACAAAACAGTTTATTATCTTCCCTCTCTGGACTCCTTTCCCCCCACCTTCTCCCCTTCCCTTCTTTTCTCTTCTATCAGTGGCTTTGGCAAACTGTAAAAAGACATGGGAACTATTTAGTTGTGCTGATGATATAGACATAAACTATACCGCATGGCCCCAATACCTAAACTCCAGTCCTTTCAAACAGAAGCAGTAGGTTATTTTTTGAAACTTCAGAAAAGCAACTGAATAGTGATAAAGAAACTGGTAGTCAGAGGACACTTTATATACAATTTATCTCTTCTTCTCCTCCTCCTCCTCCTCCTCCTTCTCCTTCTTCTTTTCAAGTAGGACTTTGTTTTCCCAGGTAGATTTAGGAGCTTTCTGCATGAGCTGAGCCCCTTTTATTTTCACATAAGTAAATACACATTCAGGCAGTCATTTAGCAGCTTTCATGTCCCCGTCTTCATCTCCACACAGGTGAATATAGTCTCTATTTTGGCCCATTAAATGCACTGAGATGCCTGGATGCTTTTTGGAAGTAAGGGTGTGAGGCACAATCTTTTATGAGACTATTAAAAAATGATCCAGGAATCACAATCATCACTCATCCACATTTCTTGCTTTGGAGAAGCCTCTTGTTATAGATTAAAATCTGCCTTGGGTGACACTGTAGTAACCTCTGGTTTGCCTTCAATTGGTGATATAGTAAGTGTCCCAGCTTGGCCTCCAGGTTCCTGCTATCTGGTGTTATACTTTGTGGGAAGCCCATCCACTGAGGGCTTGGCCTCCCACTGTATGCTGCCATGTGCTCTCACCTCTATGCTAATCAATTGAAATTTTGTCACTTAGTGTCATTCCATGCCTTTCAATTACATCTGGGAGTTTATCTCTCCAGCTATCTTGAGACTCAGTGGATTGCTGAAGTTGACTTGTTCTTTTTCCAGCTCTGTCCAGTGACATCATATTGGTAGCTTGAAATCTACCATGGTGGTGAGTGGGGATCAGGATCTATACCACAGAATTCAGAAAACAAGGAAACCTGTAAATGCTATAGATCAGGGCTCTCCTGCCTCCTGCTTGAAGAGCCAGTTTTAAATATTTACTAGCATGCCACAAGATTATTTATTTTGTAACTTTGGCAGCTTAACAGTGTGCCATGGACATAGTAGGTGCTTAATAAATACTTCTTGAATGAATGAATGAATGAAAAGAAAACACCCTATTCTAACTGGTAATCTGAGTTTTCCCTCCCAGGATATCCTCATAATTTGGGTCTAGACAAATCTCCTTCATCCCCTATACCCCACAATTTAGCTGTGTCTCATGGTACTCAAGTACTTTGACAGTAGACAGTATCTACTAAATGTTAAATACAGGTCTATCTCATTCTCTAGTGTGGCCCCAGCTTAGGTGGTGCCTTTGCAACTGTCCTCAACCTATGCCTTGAGTCCGTGTGGCATGTTTCTATTCAAAGCCTCTTTGCTTGCTCCTCATAGCAGCACTGAGGCAGGCATAGGGCAGGAATAGAGAGATTGAGTCTCAAACTTGTTGACTGCTTTGATGACACTCAGCTTCCAAGGCACAGAGTTGGAGCACAAACTCAAGGCATCAGAATCATAGGCTAGGCTGGAGTCCAGTTCCAGCCTGCAATTTGACAGTTTCCGAGACTTCAGTTGCTCCTTACTTGGCCTTTGTGAGTGTCTGGCTGAGGGGGATGGGCTTCTCCCCAAGCCTGTCCTCTTTCTCAGGTCTGAAGGTCATCGTGGGGGCCTTGCTACGCTCTGTGAAGAAGCTGGTCAACGTGATTATCCTCACCTTCTTTTGCCTCAGCATCTTTGCCCTGGTAGGTCAGCAGCTCTTCATGGGAAGTCTGAACCTGAAATGCATCTCGAGGGACTGTAAAAATATCAGTAACCCGGAAGCTTATGGTAAATACCCAACCTTTCTTTCACTCCTTGGTTTTTGCATGGTTAACTTTTCCTTATCCTCACTTGTCCTGCCTTCACACTTCCCTTACAGAGTCTCTTAGCAGCAAGGGAGGACTTCATCCATCCAGGGTGCTCCTGTGGGCAGATGCATTTCCTAGAGAATTGCCTCATTCTTTGGCTTCCTATGGAGAAGGAAAGTCTTGAAACCACATCCACAAGAGCAATTCTATGCTGTCCCATCCCTTTGCCATTTAGATCTCTGCCCACTTCTTTGTAATGATTTGCAGAAGTTTTTAGAATGCTTGGATTTGGCTAACAATAATCAGCAGCTTCCCAGCCCCACTCCTCAAGTATTTCTCCAATGACACGTCTTTTTTTTTTTTTTTTTTTTGAGATGGAGTCTAGCTCTGTCACCAGGCCGGAGTGCAGTGACATCACCCCACTGCAACCTCTGCCTCCCAGGTTCAAGTGATTCTCCTGCCTCAGCCTCTCAAGTAGCTGGGATTACAGGCATGTGCCGCCACACCCAGCTAATTTTTGTATTTTTAGTAGAGACGAGGTTTCACCATGTTGGCCAGGATGATCTCCATCTCCTGACCTCGTGATCTGCCCACCTCAGCCTCCCAAAGTGCTGGGATTACAGGCGTGAGCCACCATGCCCGGCCAACAACACTTCTTTCAGTGCCCACCCTCTCCATGCTGAGGTTGACCCTACACCTACTCCATGTGTCATGAATCTCATGTGACTACACTCTCTTGATGTCTCTCATGGGATGGGTCTGTGTCCAGCTTCCCCCAGGGAGGATCTTCGGTTCAGTATTATTTAAGAGAGGCAAAGTGGTGGTGGTGATGTCACTGCTTCCTCCTCCAACTTCTCCTTCCTTCTTCTTTTCCCTCCTTCCTTCTTACTCCTTCCAGAGGTCTTGGGCTCCAGTTTCTCTCTGGACACACCTCCTTTAATCATTTTAGAAGATGTAGAAACATCCATTTTCAAGCATAATCTGCATACTTACTATTCTCTTTCCTTTCAATGTTTTTTTTAAAATCTGAATTTATGACTTTTTCCTCTCTCAGACCATTGCTTTGAAAAGAAAGAAAATTCACCTGAATTCAAAATGTGTGGCATCTGGATGGGTAACAGGTAAGAGGTTTATAATCATTTTCCTCCCAAGAAGAGTACCTCTAGACCTTTTAGAATGGTGTGGCAAACAGTCTTTAATGACTGGTGGACACAGTGATGATAGTTCTCACATAATTATTTCATGTGTCTAAACATGTTTAGACTTGTGTTATTAAATTAAAAAATCATTTCCTGGTGTTTAAGGCAGCTTTCCTCCCTAGTTATGTTAAATTGGAAGCTTATAAGAAACCTACTGAAACAGTGATATTTCAACTTTATGGAGTAGGTATTCAAGACTTTCAAAACTGAGAAGGGATGTTATGACTGAGAGCCCTGTGAGGCCCTTGTTTCCTGTTCAGTGGCATTGCCCTGCTGCAAGAGTATCTGAGCATGCTTCTTCTCTTTGTTGACCTGTTGACAACTATTGCCTCAAATTACAAACACAGTTGAACATACATCCACTTACACTTGCCCCAACAGCTGCTGGCCCTCTGCTCCAATGGGGAAACTCTTTTTTCCTTCAGGTTAGCGGTGCTTTCTATTGTGAAAGATTCAATTCAGTGAAGATTTATTGAGTGTATTTCAAATTAAGATAATATGCAAGGTACTCTGATGAAATAGATGACATTCATTCCTAAATTACAAATAGATAACAAGAATCTACAGAGTGCCAAGCCCTGAGTTTGCCTCAAGGAATGCAATTGTGAACAAGGCAGCTCCACGTTTTTGGATTTGATGTCTTCTAGGGAAGACAGATGCACAGAAAATGCAGTTATGTGTTGCATAATGATATTTAGATTGATAATGGATGATATATATGATACTGGCCCCATAAAATTATAATACTATATTTTTACAGTGCCTTTTCTGTGTATACACAAATTATTACCATTGTGCTACAGTTGCCTACAGTATTCAGTATAGTAACATGCTGTACAAGTTTGTAGCCTAGGAACAATAGGCTATGCCACATAGTCTAGGTGTGTAGTAGGCTATACCATCTAGGCTTGTGTGTACACTCTATGATGTTTATACAACAAAATTGCCTAACTACACATTTCTTAGAATGTATTCCTGCTGTTGAGCAATGCATGATTACTAGAAAGTGTGATGAGTGTTATAAGGGTGATGTGCAGGTGCTGAGAGGTATGATGGGGTTGTGACCTTGTCTGGAGAATTAGGGAAGGCTTCTCTCATTCCATTTGCAAGACACGATAGGCTTTAATCTAATATGAAGCTTACTGAGCTTTCTAGAATGATTCCCAACAGCACACACTGCATTGATATTGTTGAGGATCATTCTAGAAAGAAAAACTGTCTTCCATGAAACCGGTCCCTGTTGCCAGAAAGCTCCCCAACATTTTGGCACCAGGGACTGATTTCATGGAAGATAATTTTTTCGTGGGCAGGAAGTGGGGGTGGTTTTAGAATGAAACTGTTCTACCTCAGATCATCAGGCATTAGTTAGATTCTCATAAGGAGCGTGCAACCTAGATCCCTTGCATGCGCAGTTCACAATAGGGTTCACACTCTTATGAAAATCTAATGCTTACCACTGATGTGACAGGAGGTGGAGATCAGGTGTAATGCTCACTCGCCTGCTGCTCACTTGCTGTACAGCCTAGTTCCTAGCAGGCCATGAACCAGTACTGCTCTGGGGCCCGGGTTTGGGGATCCCTGTCTTAAAGGGAGCCCGACAGCTGCTGCATATAGCACTTCTTTTACCCCTCACACAGGCAGACAGGTGTGGTTACCATAGGCAGAATCCAACGTGGGGTGTATAACCTAGACAGGCAGAAGCAGCAGCCTTGTTTCCAACTAGTCCTTTTTTTTTTTCCCAAGTCTTTTGCCTCCAAAATCTCTTATTACAATACTATACTGCTATAAAAAGTCCAAAAAACTATTTTAGCTGTTGAAAACTCAAATAACATCAGACACAAAATGAATCAAGTGTGATGTGTATATGACAATAGAGAGTGGTGGGGAAAGTAGAGAGGCAGAGGACACATACCATGCTTAACAGCAGTCAAACTTGGGTATTTTTTTTATTTCAGTAGGTTTTGGGGGAACAGGTGGTACTTGGTTACATGAATAAGTTCTTTAGTGGTAATTTCTGAGATTTTGGTGCACAAACTGGTCTTCTTTTTAGCTTTTATTTTAAGTTCAGGGGTACATATGCAGGTTTGTTATATAGGTAAATTTGTGTACAGATTATTTCATCACCCAGGTATTAAATCTAGTACCCATTAGTTATTTTTCCTGATTCTCTTCCTTCTCTCAACCTCCACCATCCAATAGGTCCCAGTATCTATTGTTCTCCACTGTGTGTCCATGTGTTCTCATCATTTATCTCTCATTTACAACTAAGAACATGTAGGATTTGGTTTTTCTGTTCTTGCATTAGTTTGTTAAGGTTAATAGCCTCCAGCTCCATCCATGTTCTTGCAAAGTAATAGAACTCATTCTTTTTATGGCTGCATAGTATTCCATGGCACATATGCACCACATTAGCTTTATCCAGTCTGTCATTGTTGGGCATTCAGGTTGCCTCCATGTCTTTGCTCTTGTGAATAGTGTGACAATGAACTTTCACTTGCATGTGTCTTTATGATACAATGATTTATATTCCTTTGGGTATATACCCAGTAATGGGCTTGCCAGGTCAAATGGTAGTTCTGTTTTTAGGTCTTTGAGGAATTGCCACAGTTTTCCACAATGGTTGAACTAATTTACACTCCCACCAACGGTGGATAAATGTTCCTTTTTCTCCGCATCCATGCCAGCATCTGTTATTTTTTGACTTTTTAGTAATAGCCATTCTGACTGGTGTGAGATGGTATCTCATTGTGGTTTTGATTTGTATTTCTCTAATGATCAATGATGTACAACTGGTCTTTATAGGGCTCTTGTCTCTAAGTTTATGTGCCAGCACATCTCTCTCAGTCTAGGTACAATATGAATGCTCCAGAGTTTTGTGGTAAACCAACTCCTAGTACACAGCATTCCACAGTGATCACAACATGCTTGCTTCTGAGGAGATGGCACTCTGAGAAGGCAGGTCTGTGATCATCTTTCCAGGCAGGCTTTGGTCTTTTCAGGGCCCAGGCTAGTCTTCACCCTCCAGTCACTGCTTCCTCCCCTGCTGACTAATTCACCGTGACTACAACTCAGATCTGAAGTCTAAGTAGGAGGTTCCAGTAGATAAAGAGTGAACAATTCCAGACAGTAGGCACAGCAAGGGTGAGCATAAGGCCTTGGAGCACAAGAGCATATAGGGATTGACAAGAAGCCCAGCAACTTTTTGGGCAGACAGGCAAGAGAGCAGGAAGGAACAGAGACAAGAGCCAACCATGAAGGACGTGATAGCTCATCAGTGCCAACGATTTTGGTCTTGATCACAAAGGAAGCAGGAGACATGGAAAGGTTTTAGGGCAGGCAGATGACTGGGCAGATTAGACATATTTTAAAAGCCACTATGGTTTCTGTATAGAGAATGGATGCATAGAGTAGATGAGGAAGCCAATTACAAGACTGTGGTAGAAAGAATAAGGATCATGAAGATGTACAGTGGTGATGAAGAAAGCTGGATGGATGCATTCCAGAGACGTTTAGGAGACAGAAAGACTAGGACATATCAATATTAGCCTTGAATGTCAATGGGCTAAATGCCCCACTTAAAAGGCACACAATGGCAAGCTGGATAAAAAAGCAAGACCCAATGGTATGCTGTCTTCAAAAGACTCATCTTACATGTAATGACACACATAGGCTCAAAATAAAAGAAATGGAGGAAAATATACCAAGCAAATGGAAATCAGAAAAAAAGCAGAAGTTGCAATCTTAATTTCAGACAAAACAGACTTTAAACCAACAAAGATAAAAAATAGATAAAGAAGGGCATTACATAATGGTAAAATGTTCAATTCAACAAGAAGACCTAACTAATCTAAAGGTATATGCGCCCAAGACAGGAGCACCCAGATTCAAAAGGCAAGTTCTTAGAGACCTACAAAGAGACTTAGACTCCCACACAATAATAGTGGGAGACTTCAACACAGCACTGACAGTATTAGACAGATCACTGGGGCAGAAAATTAACCAAGATATTCAGGACCTGAAGTCAACATTGGACCAAATGGACCTGTTAGACCTCTACAGAACTCTCCACCCCAAAACAACAGAATATACATTCTTCTCATCACCACATGGCCCATACTCTAAAACTGACCACATAATGGAACATAAAACAAGCTTCAGCAAATGCAAAAGAACCAAAATTTTACCAAACACACTCTCGGACCACAGCACAATAAAAATAGAAGAAAAGACTAAAAAAATCACTTAAAACCATGCAATTACATGGAAATTAAACAACATGCCTCTGAATGACTTTTGGGTAAATAATGAAATTAAAGCAGAAATCAAGAAGTTTTTTGGAACTAATGAGAACAAAGATACAACATACCAGAATCTCTGGGACACAGCTAAGGCAGTGTTAAGAGAAAATTCATAGCACTAAACGCCCACATCAAAAACTTAGAAATAACTTAAACAATGTCACATCACAATGGAAAGAGTTAGAGAAGCAAGAGCAAAGCTAGCAGAAGACAAAAAATAAGGAAATCCAAATAAACACAATTAGAAATAACAAAGGGGATGTTACCACTGACCCCACAGAAATAAAAATAACCATTAAAAACTGCTAAAAACACCTCTAAGCACACAAACTAAAAATACCTGGACACAAACACCCTGCCAAGACTGAACTGGGAAGAAACTGATTCCCTGAATAGACCAATAACAAGCTCCAAAATTGAATCTATAATAAATAGCCTACCAACCAAAAAAATCCTGAGACCAGATGGATCCATAGCTGAATTCTACTAGATGTACAAAGAGCAGGTACCATTCCTACAGAAACTATTCCAAAAAATTGAGGAGCAGAGACTCCTCCCCAAATCATTCAATGAGACCACCATCGTCCTGATACCAAAACCTGGCAGAGGCACAAAAAAAGAAAACTTTAGGTCAATATCCTTGATGAACATTGATGCAAAAATCCTCAACAAAATACTTGCAAACCTAATCCAGCAGCACATTAAAAAGCTAATCCACCACAATCAAGTAGGCTTCATCCTTGGGATGCATGGTTGGTTCAACATATGCAAATCAATAAATGTGATTCATCAGAACTAAAGTAAAAAAACACATGAATATTTCAATAGTTGCAGAAAAGGCTTTTGATAAACTCAACATCCATTCATGTTCAAAACTCTCAATACACTAGATATTGAAGGAACATACCTCAAAATAATAAGAGCCATCTATGACAAACCTACAGCCAACATCATACTGAATGGGGAAAAGCTGGAAGCATTCTCCTTGAAAAGTAGCACAAGACAGGATACCCTCTCTCACCACTCCTATTCAACATAGTATTGGGAGTCCTGGACAGAGCAATCAGGAAGAAAAAGAAATAAAGGGCATCCAAATAGGAAGAGAAGAAGTCAAACTATTCCTGTTTGCAGATAACATGAATCTATATCTAGAAAACCCCATAATCTCAGCTCAAAAGCTCCTTCAGCTGATAAACAACTTCAGCAAAGTTTCAAGACACAAAATCAATGTACGAAAACCACTAGCATTCCTGTATACCAACAGCCAAGCCGAGAGCCAAATCAGGAATGCAATCCTATTTACTATTGTGACAAAATAATAAAATACATAGGAATACAGCCAACAGGGAGGTGAAAGATCTCTACAATGAGAATTGCAAAATGCTGCTCAAAGAAATTAAAAATGACACAAACAAATGGAAGAACATCTCATGCTCATGGATAGGAAGAATCAATATCATTAAAATGGATATACTGCCTAGAGCAATTTACAGATTCAGTGCTATTCCTATGAAATTACCAATGACATTCTTGACAGAATTTAAAAAATGCTGTTTTAAAATTTATATGGAATCAAGAAAGAGCCCAAATACCCAAGGCAATCCTAAGTAAAAAGTATAAAGCTGGAGGCATCACGTTTCCCAACTTCAAAATATACAACAGGGCTACAGTAACCAAAACAGCATGGTACTGATACAAAAACAGTCATATAGATCAATGTACAGAATAGAGAGCCCAGAAATAAGGCTGCACACCTACAACCATCTGATCTTGAACAAAGCTGACAAAACAAGCAATGAGGAAAACACCCTATTCAATAAATGGTGCTGGAATAACTGGCTAGCTATATGCAGAAGATTGAAACTGGACTCCTTTCTTACACCATATACAAAAATCAACTCAAGATGGATTAAAGACTTAAATGTAAATCCCCAAACTATAAAAACTCTGGAAGACAACCTATGCAATACCATTCTGGACATAGAAATGGGCAAATATTTCATGATGAAGATGCCAAAAGCAATCAGAATGAAACCAAAATTTGACAAATGGGATCTAACTAAACTTAAGAGCTTCTGCACAGAAAACAAAAACAAACAAAAACCAAAAAACTATTAACAGAGTAAACAGACAACCTACAGAATGGGAGAAAATATTTGCAAACTATGCATCTGTTAAAGGTCTGATATTCAGCATCTATAAGGAAATTAAATTTACAATAAGAAAACAACTCCACTGAAAAGTGGGCAAAGGACATGAATAGACTTTTTTTTTAAAGAAGACTTACATGCAGCCAACGAGCATATGATAAAAAGCTCAACATCACTGACCATTAGACAAATGCAAATCAGAACCACAATAAGGTACTATTTCACACCAGTCAGAATGGCTATCATTAGAGTCAAAAAATAACAGACGCTGGCAATGTTGTGGAGAAAAGGGAACACATACACTGTTAGTAGAAGTGTAAATTAGTTCAACCATTATGGAAAGCAGTGTGGCAATTCCTCAAAGACCTAAAACAGAACTACTGTTGCTGGATTCATCCCAGCAATCGCATTACTGGGTAGGTACCCAGAGGAATATAAATCATTCTACTGTAAAGATACACACACATGCATGTTCATTGCAGCACTGTTCACTATAGCAAAGACATGGAAGCAACCTGAATGCCTATCAGTGACAAACTGGATAAAGAAAATGTGGTACACATACATGATGGAATACTATGCAGCCATAAAAAAGCAAGAGATTATGTCTTTTGCGGGAGCATGGATGGAGTTAGAGGCCATTAGCCTTAGCAAACTAAAGCAGGAAACAGAAAACCAAATACTGCATGTTCTCACTTGTAAGTGGGAGTTAAATGATGAGAACTCACGGACATAGAAAAGAACAACAGCTACTGGGACCTACTTGAGGATGAAGGGTAGGAGCAGCAAGAGGAGCAGAAAAAATAACTGTTGGGTACTAGGCTTAGTACCTAGGTGATGAAATAATCTGTACAACAAGCCCCTGTGACATGAGTTTACCTATATAACAAACCTGCACATGTACGCCAGAACCTAAAATAATAGGTAAAAATAAATAAATAGAAAGAAAAAAATTTGGAGATTGAAGAGGGGATGTTGGTGTGTATTTGTGCATACAAAGCCATGTGTAAGAGAGTGGCGGGAAGTGCAAAGGAGAGAAAACTGTTACAGATGCTTCTCATATCAGTGTGAGTGAGTGATAATGTCATTAGCTGAGATGGGGATGCTGGCGGAGAGGCTTAATCACCTGTATAAGTTGATGAGAGGGTGCACCCAGAGAGGAGGAGATTGAACAAAACAGGCTTATATTTTGAATGGTGACCAAGAAATGAGGGAGATTAAATATGGTAGGTCCATCCTCAGCAGACTCCTGGAAGTTAGAGGGCACTGGGACTTCACAGAATTTCCTCCAGGTCTGGTGAGAAAGAGGGCACAATGGATGCCCTCCTCCTCAGTCAACCTAAAGCAAAACCTACCACTCACAAATTCCCACTCTGCCCACCAGGCAAATCCCAATCAGCTTGTCAGGTCCTCTGATTAAAACACATGAACAGCTCAGGCTCACCAGGCATCTGAAGAAAATCTTTGGTAAAAAGGAGGCCAAGATAAAGCCACAGAAAATGTGGCCATGAACAAAACAAGAGAACCAGAAAGGGCTCTGAAAACTTTGAATAGTGTCCTTGGTGAAATTAAAAGAGATATTATATACATAAAACAAAAAGCAGCTTGTTGTGAAAAAAGAACAGCAAAAAAAGAAACTTATTAGAAATTAAACATTATTACACAAAAATCAACATTAGAACTAAAAGATAAAGTTGACGAAATAGCCCCGAAAGTAGGAAAAAGAGAACAGAAAATTTGAGAGTAAATGTCAATTCAAAAGTCCCAACTTTTGACTAAGTAGGAATTCTACAACTAGAGCACTGATTAAACAAAAGGGAGGAAATTAGTGAAGAAATGATGCAGAGAATTTACCTGGGACTAAAGATGCAAGTCCCTCAGTGCTCCAGAAAGTACCCAACACAGTGAATGAGAAAGGACCATGCCAAGGACATTATCATGGCATTTCAGAACTTTTTGGAAAAAGATTTTAAAACTAATGGGCAAAAGAAGGTCACCCAAAAAGGAACAAAAATCAAACTGGCATAAGAATTCTTAATAGCAACACAGGATAATAACTGAGCAGTGCTTTCATATTGCTAAGGAAAAACTTCCAACTCAGAATTCTATTTCTGGCCAAACTACCAATTGATTGTGAAAATGGAATAAATATATATTCATATATGCAAAGATTACACAATCTTCTTAAGAAGCTAATTGACAAGTGCTCCAGAAGAATGAGGGAGTAAAACATAAAAAAGCAACATGAAAAAGCCAAGAAAAAATGTCTACCATAGCAAGAAGTTAATCAACACGAACTACAATTGATAAATCAAATATCAGTGTAAGCACTATTTAGATATACGGAGGTAGAAGAGTTAACAGTTGTTGAATTTGGGGTGTATAAATGACAGTTAAAGAATTATACAATTGATTTCATTATAAGCTTTTTGGTGCATGTAATTTTTAAGCCATGTGCATGTATTACTTTGATTAAAATACTATTTATTAAAAAACTAAGAAATACATACCCTTAGTACATCTTATAGATACACTCAATAATTTGTGTTTTGGTAATATGTGAAAAGACCTATGTTCAAAGATATTCATTGCCCAAATGTTTGTAAGAGTGAAGGACTGTCAATTACTGAAACCTAAATATTCATCATTAGCAGAGCAGTTAAATAAATCATAGAACTATAGACATGAAAAGAAATAAGATATCTCCCTGTATGGTGATATGAAAAGAGCTCTGAACTATATTGTTCCATTAAAAAAAGCAAGGTGCAGGAGAGTGCAAAGCATGTTCCCATTTTTGTGTATTATAAAAGTTGTGTGTAGATATAGATGTGCTGTATAGTCATAGCAAACTTCTGGAAATTTACAAAAGTAACTGTTAACTATTGCCTCTAAGAAGTGGGATCAGGAAACTGGGAAGAGAGGAAGACTTAATATTCATTGTATGTGCTTTTATACTATTCATTGTTCACGTGTCACTGTACTCAATTTTTCAATGAAAAACTATCTTATATGAATTTATTAATCAGTTCATTAGCAAAAGAGTCTTGTCAGACAGTGCAGTGGGCCACTTTACAAATACTCCCTTCCTCTAGGGCTCCTGGTGTGATCCCACAGCCCTTGGAAAAACCAGAGTCGTTGGAAGGAAAAAGAAGCTTGGCTGTGGCGTACATAATTATTTCTCTGTTTGTTTCCAATATCTAGTGCCTGTTCCATACAATATGAATGTAAGCACACCAAAATTAATCCTGACTATAATTATACGAATTTTGACAACTTTGGCTGGTCTTTTCTTGCCATGTTCCGGCTGATGACCCAAGATTCCTGGGAGAAGCTTTATCAACAGGTTATCTATTTATAGTCTCTCTTTTTCCTCTCTCCCTCCCTCCATCCTTTTCCTTCCCCCTCTATCACTTACCTATTTATTTACCATTTATTTATAACTACCATTCATCCCCCACTTTTATCATCTGTCTCATCTTTAACAGTTGTACTGTTAAATTCTGCCTTACTAATTCTGTTAGAAACTTCAAGAAAATTGGCCAGGCACGCTGACTCCCGCCTGTAATCCTAGCACTTTGGAAGGCTGAGGCTTGAGGTCAGGAGTTTGAGACCAGCCTGGCCAACATGGTGAAACCCCAACTCTACTAAAAATACAAAAATTAGCAGGGCATGGTGACAGGTGCCTGTAATCCCCACTACTTGGAAAGATGAGGCAGGAGAATCACTTGAACCTAGGAGGCGGAGGTTGCAATGAGCCGAGATCACACCACTGCACTCCAGCCTGGGTGATAGAGTGAAACTCCGTCTCAAAAAAAAAAAAAAAAAGAAACTTCAAGAAAATTTTAAATGCAATATTTGGAAGAAGACTCCAAAGAACCCCTCCTCTTCCTAGAAATGTTAGCCCCCTCCAGATTCCCTACTGCCCTATCTCTCTTGCCACTTTTATTTTAAAAATGCAGATACTCTTGAGAGAGTTATAGATAGTAAAGTCACTGAAACTTCCATGTGAAGGTGTGGATAGTATCTCCCCACTGAGAGATAGGGCATCAGGAATCCCTGGAGTATTAGGGAAGCTATATGGTCTGTGGTCAACTGAGCCCACCAGTGCTGGGGGAAGACCAGTTGTCTGCTACTGTGTGGTTTTTGCTTGAGGTGATGGTCACTTTCCTGTGGAAGAAGGTTTGATATTCAAGAACATGCTCTGTCCTTTGCAGACCCTGCGTACTACTGGGCTCTACTCAGTCTTCTTCTTCATTGTGGTCATTTTCCTGGGCTCCTTCTACCTGATTAACTTAACCCTGGCTGTTGTTACCATGGCATATGAGGAGCAGAACAAGAATGTAGCTGCAGAGATAGAGGCCAAGGAAAAGATGTTTCAGGAAGCCCAGCAGCTGTTAAAGGAGGAAAAGGAGGTAGGGACATGGGGTCAGACAGTGGGATCTGCTCTGGGGAGGGGAAGGGGTCCCCAGAGGCAATGTGACCTGAGACTCAAGGCTGCCACCCTTGGCCTGGTCTCAGTGCTTTCTCTACTGGTGCTTTTCTGAGAATATAAGTCCCTCGAAGAATGGCTGTGCTGCTATCTTTCACAAAATTGTCCAGGCACCAGGCCCTTCAAAACGGGGAACGCTTGGTCTTGATGCTTTTTGACCTTCTGAAGTCTAAGCCTTCTAAGACATGCCCTAAATTACTGACTAGACGATACAACATAAGTATATGTAAATCCAGGCTGTGCTCCAGGCTTTCTTTTGGAAATCTGGAGATGTTTGTGTTCGGCGCCTTTGCTTGAGGTGGACTCTAGAATAATGTTCACCTCTCCCTGTCTGCAATCCTTGTCTTATTTATAGGCCATTCTAATAGTTTCCTTGGAATCTTTACATTCTTCCAGCTCAAGTCTCAGATTTTCAGGACAGGGACCATGTTTTATACTCGCACTGATCCTCTATAAGATTTGTCAGAAGGATGCCCATCGTAAGTGCTTAACATCTGCACTATCAGGCATAAGTATTTATTGAGTGCCTAGCGCATACTGGACACTGTGCTAAGGGGCAGTGACACAGAGATATGAAAGAGTCAATGCTGCTTTTGGTGGCTGCAATTTCTGTGCAAAAACAGGACATGTTTCCCCAGATAAATAACAGAGCTAGCGTAGTCCAGGTAGATGATGAGCAATTTAAATGATACAGAGCTACCAGAAGAGAGATTTTCACCACTCTCAGGTCGGGGTCATTTGCAATGTTTCATGAGGAGGTGTAATCTGTTCTTTAATTGCTTTTGTTCAATTTGAAGGCTCTGGTTGCCATGGGAATTGACAGAAGTTCACTTACTTCCCTTGAAACATCATATTTTACCCCAAAAAAGAGAAAGCTCTTTGGTAATAAGAAAAGGAAGTCCTTCTTTTTGAGAGAGTCTGGGAAAGACCAGCCTCCTGGGTCAGATTCTGATGAAGATTGCCAAAAAAAGGTAAGTCTTTTCCAGGGAATTAATGATACCATATTGCTGTCCAGGGGGACAGGTCCAATTGCCAATCAAATTGAAATAATTCATTTATTCAGTTACTCATTTATTCATTCATCCATTTGCACATACTTTCATGCATCCATGTGTCTTTTCAATTATCCATTTATTTGTAAACATCAATTTAGAGTGTTTACAGTGTTTACTATCTTCTTGGCACTGGGATAGGTGCTAGGGATACATGTTTTATACTCCACAGAGTGTACGGCTAATGATGAAGATATACTGATAAGAAGGCAGTTATGAGTCAGTGTGATGACTGATGTGCTGATTGCTGTGGGAGAACAGAGGAGGAACTATGTGTCAGTGTGGGCTCCCTCTGAAGCAAACCCAAAGACATTACAATGCAAGTAGATTATTTGGGAAGTGATCCCAGGAAGCACTGGGAAAGGAGGGAAGAAGTGCTATATGGAATGGAAGGTAACCAATGAAGATGCATTATCAAGCCAGTTACCACTGAAGCCAGGTAGTTGGAGTTTAATCCTTCCAAAGTAAGGGCATCAAAGTGTGTGTGTGTGTGTGTGTGTGTGTGTGTGTATATATAGATATATACACACACACACACACACACACACACACACACATATATGTTGGTATATATATACCAACTTTGGACCATCATAGATTAAAGATTGCTGAAGACAGAAGACAATAATTTCCCTCTAATTTCCTACTTGCTGTGCACTAAGGAAGACAGGATTTGAATCATTAGAGAAAGTCCTCAAGTAAGGACATATGGGTGGGAAAACCAACAGCATCCAGAATTCATGGGGCCTGGGGGAAAAGCAATGGAAAAGGGTCCCCAGAAGATGCAGTGTGTCAGCTGAAAGGATGAATTCACCAGTAAAAGGAAAAAGAGAGCATTACCTGCAGAGAGAATAGAATGTGCAAAAGCCTAGAAGCGAAGGCAAGCAGGAGAACATGACCCATTAGAAAACTTGCCAGTGTGTGTGTATGCGCGTGCACGCACGCTCATGCATGCACATGTGTGATGAGGCTGGGGGAGGGTGGGTGGCACAAGGCTATAGTGATCAGTTGGGGGATCACAAAAGACCTCGAAAACAAAGCTAGAGAGTTTACCCTTTTCAATGAGGGCTAAGGGTAAAGAGCATTGAAAGGTTTATATAAGAGAGGGATATGACTGGATTTATGAAATTCTGGATGCATTGAAGACAGGGGATTGGAGGAGGGCAAAACTGGAGGCGACCAGTTAAGAGGCTGTTGCAGTAACCAAGTAAGAGGTGCCTGTGGCTTAAACCAGGGTTAGGGAAGTGAGGATGAAGAGCAATTAACAGACGACCGTGATCTGGAGAAGATAAAATTTAGCAGTTGACTTGATGGACAGTGTGGGGATAAGACCTGGTTTCCGACATGATTAGCTAACTTGATGGAGGGTAATTTATGGAGACAGGAAAGGTACACATTTTGGGAGTGGAAAGATGGCTCATTCAGTTTTGAATGTGCCAATTTCCAGATGCTTATGGGACCTCCAAGCAGGGATGTTGATTAGGCAGCGTGATGTGCAGAAATGAAGCTGGTGGTGGGGGAGGGATGGGCAGCAGAAAAAGTTATTCTTATCATTAAGGAGGGGGATGTTCAGACATATTTTAATTGTCCAGAGAAAAGTCAGAAGAGAGGAAGATGCTAAAGATACAGGTAAAGATGGCAAGAGCCACTTTCCTGAGATAGAGGGAGATGTAGTAGGTAGAAGGTGGATATGTATGCCTGATAATGTGGTGGGGAAAGGGAATTGAGAGGCCTTTGCAGAAGTAGGTAGAAGGATCCCATCCACTGCTATGATCAGTTCTCTGCTGTAGTAATAGGGAGAGATCTCATAGAAAGACTATCTAGATTGGCTTATCACAAAAAAGATAGTTCCCTCTGGGGCTCTGGTGAGTCGGAACCCTTGGAAAATAAGCCACTAGGAAAACCCAAATTTTCTGGATAGCTGGAGGTTTGCACTGTTTAATTCCAGTAACTTTAGAATTGTAGGTAGATGTGAGAGAGTGAGCTAGCCCTTGGGCCCAGCTTGAGAGTGTGTTTGAGGTTTAGGATCTAGATTTTGTGATATTTAGTGGGACTGTTCTTTTTAGTTACCAACCGTTTTAAAAACCGTATAGGCGGTTGTTCACTTCACAACTGCAGCTAGCACTTCACAATCTGGCTCCAGTCCACCTTTCTAAATTTATACTCCACTTCTTACCTTTAAACATTGTTTACAAATTGGATTTTGTATTGCTTTCATACCCGGAACCATTGCTTACTAGTTTTTGTAAAATTTTGTTTGCTCTTTGTTGGCAGTGAATGAAACACAGAGAAAGTAAAATGTCTGTAGGTAGGACTCTAGAAATGTGCATGCATAGGAAATATGAATGATCAAACCAGATTTCTCTTATTTGTTAAACATGAAATAAGAAAACTGAATATTTGGCATGCTGTAAAGACGAGGTGAGTAGACCTATAGAAAATGTTGAGCACTTTCATTACATGTAGCATTGGAACAAAGTAGTTTGTTAAGTTTTGAGGAGAGGCAGCCCCTGTCTTTAGAAGGTGCCCTATGCCTTCTCTTACAGCCACAGCTCCTAGAGCAAACCAAACGACTGTCCCAGAATCTATCACTGGACCACTTTGATGAGCATGGAGATCCTCTCCAAAGGCAGAGAGCACTGAGTGCTGTCAGCATCCTCACCATCACCATGAAGGGTAAGTTCCACATCCCAATCCAAGGGAAAGTCTACTTCAGTGATGTCCTTCCATTCTTCTTCTTCCCAATCCCCTAGAAGCCCTCTGCAAAGGAGGCTGTTTTGGAACCAACCCACTGTACCATCCTGCAAAGAGTGACTTCCTTTGCCTCTTTGGAGCATGTAAACAAAGTGGCTCACAAGAAGCAGACCTTCCCTGTGGGCCCACTCTAAACTGGCACCTGGGTAGAGGTGGAAGCTGGCTAGACTTGGGATGGGACTTCAGACAAAATGCATAAACAGGGCCTCAAACCAGGCCTGGGAGTCACAAGAGATCCAAGTGACAACAATAGTCAGTCAAAGAACAGAAGACTTTGAAGTCTCCAGGAGGTGGCAGTTGTTATTGAAGTTAGAGTCAGAAACCCCACATGGGCAATAGAAGACCTATGTAGAAAGGCTGGAGCCATCTGATGGACCAGATTAATAGCAGGTAACAGGACCCCACCCCAGGGGTTGGTGTTCAGGAGCAGGATTTACTCCCTGCAAGGGGGGTCAAATAGGTCCTCTAGCACTTTTAAGCCTACTGCATCATCTCGTTTGCCCTGCATGTGTCCCTGCAGCGGTGCCAGGGAAATCAGGGATGGTCTGAACTCAACTAGAGGATAGAGTCCCTTTTACTGTTTCAGTGCTTATAGATGCCCCTTCCCTTGAGCCCTGGTTGCCCCTTTTGCCTCTGTTACAGCTGACCTTATGGTCTGTCTTGAGTGGACATAACTTGTGCCTGTATCTATCTCTCTCTTGGATTCACAGCCAGCCAATGTTGATTTCCACATCTATATATCTAACATCAAAGCTCAGCTCCTGGATGCTCAGTAAGAGTGTAAATATTTGATGGACTTGACTGTACCGCATGCTAGTTGTATGTGGAACATTGTCTCTTCTGCACTAAGATTGGTGGAAAAACCTTTCTGACTACACAAATCAAAACATTTCACAACTGATCATGTATCAGGAGGCCCTGGGGAAGAGGGAGGAAGGAATGCACTCAGGCAAAGGGCATCTGGATTGCTTCAGAGCTAACTCCTCAACCTCTCGCTCATTCTCCTCCAGAACAAGAAAAATCACAAGAGCCTTGTCTCCCTTGTGGAGAAAACCTGGCATCCAAGTACCTCGTGTGGAACTGTTGCCCCCAGTGGCTGTGCGTTAAGAAGGTCCTGAGAACTGTGATGACTGACCCGTTTACTGAGCTGGCCATCACCATCTGCATCATCATCAACACTGTCTTCTTGGCCATGGAGCATCACAAGATGGAGGCCAGTTTTGAGAAGATGTTGAATATAGGGAATTTGGTAACATTACACTTTTTAAAAATAAAAAACATATTTCATACTTTAAAGTATAACTTTTTCAAAGTCTAAACATTTTGTGAATGAGCTAACCTAACCTAGGTTTTTGGTCCCCTTCAGTGGAGTGAGGGAAAAGATGGCTGTTACGGTTTTACTTTTACCCGGTTCATTTCAGAAACTGTCCATGTGTCCTGAGTTGGCCCTCTGGTATGTTCAGGTATCTCTTTAGCCATTCAGTGGTAAGCCAGATACAAGCAGACATCCTAAAAGTTCAGCTCTCTGAGATAATCAAGAAAATGTTAACCATATCCAGAGAACCGTGGTAATGGCTGTTGTGGTCCCAGTGATATTCATGACATCATTTGTCACAAAATAATGTGACTACTATTACTAGGTGTTATTCTCCCTGGAAAGATGAATCAGGGCCTGTCAGCTGTGGAAGTTTCACTTTTTTGGAAGGGGTTGTTTGGGGGTTGGTCAGGCTGGGGTGGGGTGAATTTCCAGACTTGAGCCTGCTTCAATATGTTTCTCATTGGATAGATCTAGTCTCAGTTAAATTGGGAAAACTAAGGGGAGCAGACTTTTCAAGGACTGTTCACTTCAGTTTATGGTTCTTGTGGAAGGCATTTTTCTCAAGGAAAAATTAGTCCCTCGAATATCAGAAACAACAAATAATTGCCCACGGGATGATCTACCCTAATTAGCTGATGGATTAATGAGCTAAAAACCTTACCAGAATGTCTAGCCTTTTCTTCTTAAACTTTTGTTTTATCTTTCTAATTTAAAAAATAATAAATGCTGTTTTATTTTTTAAAAATAAGGAAAAATATAAATAAGGGAAATAGAAGAAATTCATGTCCCATGTACCTGCTGACAAAGATGATCATTTTTAGCATTGCAGAATATTTGCAAGCTTTATGTAAGCATGTATGTATGTGTGTATGTATTTTTATTTAGTGTTATTTTTTCTCCTTTTTTGGCATTTTTTTTTTTGTGATGTCTTTTTACATGTCTTTAAAAAATTTGTTTTACATTGTTAAGAACCCACTGCAGCCGAGCACAGTGGCTCACGCCTGTAATCCCAACACTTTGGGAGGCCGAGGCAGGCAGATCATGAGGTCAGGAGATCAAGACCATCCTGGCTAACACGGTGAAACCCCATCTCTACTAAAAATACAAAAATTTAGCCGGGCATGGTGGCAGGCGCCTGTAGTCCCAACTACTCAGGAGGCTGAGGCTGGAGAATGGTGTGAACCAGGGAGGCGGATCTTGCAGTGAGCCGAGATCGTGCCACTGCACTCCAGCCTGGGTGACAAAGTGAGACTCCATCTCAAAAAAAAAAAAAGAACCCACTGCACTAGAGTCAGGTACCTGTCATCCTTAGTTCCACATCCCTCCACAAGGAGCAGTGATACAGTGGAACTGTAGTATAAAACCAGGGTGGTTCTCCTCACAGGCAGTCTGCACATAGCACATAAATTCCTTTCTCCATGCTGCCTTTGGGAATAAATGCTTTGTGGGTGTGAATGGGTTAGACTAGATTCCATGCTGCTTGACAAACCTAACACATAGTTGCTTGTAACAGATCAGGGTCTCCTGGCCATGTATTCAGCTATCCTCTGCTGAGGCATCTCAGAAATGAGCTGAAATTGTTTCAGTTGAAGGCAGCAAGCTGTGTCTATAGGGGCATGGTCAGCAGACTCCACCTTTTAGCACCTCCTGGTGGAATGGAGTTACTGAATAAGTTGTAGAGAATACTCAAAAACCCAGAGTCATCTCTGTGGACAGGGCTTCCCAATTGCAGTGGTGATCTGTTTTCATCTGCTGGTCCAAATTTAGAAAATGAGAAAAACCCCCATCTCAGATTTACCACTGACTAGACATCCTGAGTGTGGAGGTGAAGCTACATTTTGCAGTTGGAAACTGAGTGATTGACATTCTTCTTCACTTCCTCCAGAGCAGGAGGAGCCACAGGGCCACAGGGACATTGTTGTTTTCCAAGTACACAGGCAGCAGCTGCACCCTAGCTCCTAAAAATTGGCAGGAAATATGTAGAACCATACACATAGCTTGTGTTTCCATTCCATGGGCCTACTCCCTGGACATACAATACCAAAATGGCAGCCACACTATTTACTGCTCCCATGGTAGTAGTGGTGGAGAGAAGCCTTGGAGTCTTAAGTTCCAAGGAGCACATCAAAACTTCCCTCCTCTGATGCATGGGCCAGGATTAAGCCACTCTGTAGAGTTCTGCAGGACTGGACTAGAAAATTAACTCTCTAGGGTAGAGATTGCTCTAATCAGAGGGATACACTGAATGCCAAGAAGCCATAAAGAAAAGTTGGATTGAATTGACAAAACAATGGTCCCAAGGTATCTGGTGATGCTGTAGAGCTTGATGCCTAAAGCCTAAAGGAGATACAAGAAGGAGGAGTGAGTCAAAAGAGGTGGGGATGACTACACAATTATCTAGGACAGGCATCACTGTATGCTTTTAGATACTGGTGGTGACACTGAGCAGGAGTAGATGGCAGTATTTAAAGGGGGAATATGAAAATAAACTTGAATTTTCTTTGTAACTCTTGATTTATTTTTATTTTTCTACCCTGGATTTATCTTTGCTATCCTTTTGTCTTTAACTTTTGCCATTTTATTTCAGGCATTTTTAAAAATAAATAGTAAATCATTGAATCATTTATAAAAATAGATAATCCATTATTTTTAATAATCGAATTTAGTCGTTTATAGGTTCCCCCCAGAATTGTAGTAGACAGTTTTATAACAATCCTTGTAAAGACTTTAATCCTTTTAATATTACCTTATTATTTTTGTATTCTTGCTTTTTTCATTTCTATTTATTTGTGTTTGTATGTGATAAGACTGTGCTGTTTGCCGTGAAGAAATTATTTGCTTTATTTTTTGCAAAGATATGGAAGACAGATTTATTTTTTAATTGGCTACTACATTCAACATTTTTACATATTTCTTAAGCTTGTATTTATCTGATTATTGAAGACAAAGACAAAACTATTTTGCCCATGGAAAATACAAAATTCAGTACTTTTTGTAATTCCTGCCTCTCCTTTTTATTCTTTGATATTTTGTTCTGGAAATGTGAGCCCTGCATTCTGAATGAGTTTTAGGATTATATTCTGATTCACTAATTCTCCTTTCAACCATAACAAATTTAAGGCTTATCCCATATATTGAGTTGCTCAAAGACTTTTTTTTTTTTTTTTTGCCCCTGGAAGTGTTTTCTAATTCTATGATCTGTGCCCCTTTTTTGTTTTTATTTTTAATTTTTCTGATCAAGGTGTTGAAATTAGGTGGTCAGGTGAACTCCTCCTGGATTCTAGTTTATGGGGGATAATTATCCTTAGTTTTCAGGGCTATTGTTTACATTCCTTCTCTCCCTATTTTAATTGTTTTAATTGGTATTCTAAAGAGAATTCAGAGGAGAAATTGCCTGACACTCTGTCACCCTGCCATCTACCAGTAATACCATTTTGCTTTATCTTCAACAGAATGAGAAATAATATTCATTTTCCATTCTGGTGTCTGTGAGCTTGGTTACATTGCTCTGGGCACCATGGAGAGGGATGGAGAGAGGAGCAAAGTCATAGTGAGGTTCATGCTACAATAGTAAATATTTCTATTGCATGGACTTTAGGGTATAGTGTGTCAATCATGAGAATACTTTTCATTTCATTGTAACCTCTGTACTTCCCTTGGGCCATTCTTAAAAGTGTTATCTCCGCAGCTTCCTTCTCTCATTCTTCTTTGTCCCACTCTAGGTTTTCACTAGCATTTTTATAGCAGAAATGTGCCTAAAAATCATTGCGCTCGATCCCTACCACTACTTTCGCCGAGGCTGGAACATTTTTGACAGCATTGTTGCTCTTCTGAGTTTTGCAGATGTAATGAACTGTGTACTTCAAAAGAGAAGCTGGCCATTCTTGCGTTCCTTCAGAGTGGTAAGGCACTTTCTTATTTTACTGCATAAACGTAGCTGCCTAAGTGGAAAAAACGTTTTGAGTGAGTTCAGTGGTTATCTTGTACTAAACTTTAATTTATCTTACCTTAACCCCAGAACCAAAACTGCACTCCTCTTCCTGCACAGGTCTTTAATAGTCTTGCAAGTCCCTGGGGGGACTTCGCTTAACTGAACCCTTATACCCTTAGCCCATTCCTGCCAGAGATGACCCTTTAGGCAACTGGGTACAAAATTGTGTCTCCCAGTGTGAGGACTCTGTTCCTTGCTCTGTGCACAACCCTTCCGACACTCTTTTTTTCCCATGGAGCTGTGAGGCAATAAATAAATAAGGGAAAATATTCCTATCTTTCAGGTCATATTGGGCTCGCCAAGGGGGGCAAAGACTATAGAATGCCGGGGAGGAATGCAGGGGAGCTGATGGCAGGTGCTATCTATCTCACAAGTTTCCTTCTCACTGCTGCCAGTGCTACATTTCTGTTCTGTAGTCTTTGCCTGCTATCCAGTTTGGAAGCATTCTGGAAACCTTTACAAAGTACCTAATATAAACTGACATGAGGGAAGGCACAAAGGATGAGGAAATCATTGTCTTTGAGAAGGTTGCAGCACAGGAGTGATACAAGACTGGGCTACATGCACAGTACAGTGTGACAGAGCCCAGGAAAGGTATAGACAGAGGACTACAGAGAAATCCAATCTGAGAAGGGGAACTAGAAAACCTCCAAGGTGGGATTTTGTCCCCTTTCAAAGATATTTACCTTTTTTTTTCAGATAGGATTTTTAAGCCTATAGAGTAAGACACCTCATTCAGTTACCTAAATGTACATTTTATATTTTTTATACTTGGGATATAGTAAGAGGTTACACTGCTCAAAGTCAGGTGTTATTAAGCTTTCCTACTAATGTTTTATTAGCACTCAGGTAAGCAAAATTGCATTTGCTTTATCATTGTTTAGGCTTATTACAGCCAGGCTCTAATGCACGGAAATCTGTGGCATTGTCTCTGTATGAGAATGGAACCACAGGTTTTTCCTGGGATGCTCCTAGCTCCCCTTTGAGTAGACAATGACAGTCCTCTTCAAGCAGAAGCCTTACTGACCTGCAACATTTCCATCCCCAAATAGGGGATGTGCTTAACAAAATTGTACTTTGGAGTAAAACCGTCAGTTTATATCAAAAGTTAATATAAGAAACAACCTATAAAACAAGTTGCTATGTTTTCTCTAAGGTTGTTTCCTATAAAGTCCGTGAAGATCTAGGATAAAATTTCTCTGTGGAAAAAGTATACAAGTCTTGAATAGCTGGTTGCCTTTTCTCTCCTGACTACAAATGCCATATTACTCTAATCATTCTTATGAGGCTTAGATTCAGACTCGTGGCCTGAATTATATAATGCAGAAGTTAGCAAACTTTTTCTGTAAAGGGCCACATGGTAAATGTTTTCAGCCTTACAGGCTGTGTGGTCTGTGTGGCAACCGTTAAACTTTGCCATTGTAGCACAAAAGAAGCCATAGACTTTCAAAAACCAGTGAGCATGGCTATGTTCCAATAAACTTTATTTATGGATGCTGAAACTTGAACTTCATATGATTTTAATGCATCATGAAATATCCTTTTGATTATTGTTATTTTCTTTTTTGAGACAGAGTTTGGCTCTGTTGCCCAGGCTGGAGTACAGTGGCGTGATCTCAGCTCACTGCAACCTCTGCCTCCCAGGCTCAAGCCATCCTCCCTCGTCAGCCTCCCGAGTAGCTGGGACTACAGACGCACACCACCACGCCTGGCTAATTTTTGTATTTTTTGTAGAGATGGGGGTTTCACCATGTTGCCCAGGCTGGTCTTGAACTCTCCTGTGCTCAAGCGATCACCCACCTCAGTCTCCCAAAGTGCTGGGATTACAGATGAGAGCCACTGTGCCTGGCCTGATTATTTTTCAATCATTTAAATGTGGAAAAGTATTCTTGTCTCTGAGGTCATACAAAAATAGGCAATGGACTGTATTTGGCTCTCAGGCCAGAGTTCGCTGACGCTTGGTATATTACATATAATTCCAAAATATTCATTTTATATAATAATTATGTAGCTCAGTCACCATGCTGATCCCAAAGTCCTTAATGATTAAAAAACTAAAACAAAATATTTCCTTTTTTTTTTTTTTTTATGAGATGGAGTCTTGCTCTGTCTCCAGGCTGGAGTGCAATGGCGCAATCTCAGCTCACTGCAACCTCTGACTCACAGGTTCAAGCGATTCCCCTGCCTCAGCCTCCCGAGTAGCTGGGACTACAGGCATGCGCCACCATGCCCAGCTAATTTTTTTGTATTTTAGTAGAGACGGGGTTTCACCATGTTGGCCAGGATGGTCTCAATCTCCTGACCTTGTGATCCACCCGCCTTGGCCTCCCAAAGTGCTGGGATTACAGGCGTGAGCCACTGTGCCCGGCCAATGTTTCCATTTTCAAATAAGAAAGTAGATACAGGTGAGCATTAGATTATGACAGCGATCTGATGGCTATGTTCAGGATAGATTTAACTTTGAAGAGAGTTTTGGATGTCATAAGTTTGGGTATATGTCATTTGCTTTATAGATGAGCAGATGGAGTTTGTCCTTAACTGGCTTTTCTTCCATTTTTGTTTGTTGTCTTTTTCTACAGCTCAGGGTCTTCAAGTTAGCCAAATCCTGGCCAACTTTGAACACACTAATTAAGATAATCGGCAACTCTGTCGGAGCCCTTGGAAGCCTGACTGTGGTCCTGGTCATTGTGATCTTTATTTTCTCAGTAGTTGGCATGCAGCTTTTTGGCCGTAGCTTCAATTCCCAAAAGAGTCCAAAACTCTGTAACCCGACAGGCCCGACAGTCTCATGTTTACGGCACTGGCACATGGGGGATTTCTGGCACTCCTTCCTAGTGGTATTCCGCATCCTCTGCGGGGAATGGATCGAAAATATGTGGGAATGTATGCAAGAAGCGAATGCATCATCATCATTGTGTGTTATTGTCTTCATATTGATCACGGTGATAGGAAAACTTGTGGTATGTGTCTTAGATTTTTTTCAAAAAAAAAAAAAAGATCCTACATGCCTCTCAAATGCATTACTTCATTTGCAAAACTTTACTAGTAAAAATTATTATTCTAAATATAATGCCAAATAAATATTTGAAATATTCATTCAAATTTTGTTTGAGAAAAGTATGATAAGCATGAAAAAACCTCTTTGACACATATTACTCATTTGACTGATGCCCCCAAATTTATTTTATTCCAGATGATTATTCTAAGACAATAGTATTCTCTTCCCCAGTGATTGGCTGAAATAGGAGTTAGTGAGTTAATTTGGTCAATAGGATGTAAAGAGATGTCCACTGGAGCAATTTGGGAACAATCTTTTGTTCTTAAGAAATATGTGTTTTTAAAAAATGATCGTTTTACTTCCTCTGGGCTTTTTTATGACTGTGACCCCTGGAAAAGCCAGATCATGAGCTTAGAGCTGTGGTGGAATTGCCCACAGGAATATGGATCTGACATCCAGGACTGCTGTGCAATCCTCTCCTGTTTGCACGAATTGAGAGATGGTGTACTTTGTGCAGTGTCTTTAGGTCCCTGTTCCCCTAACTTCAATGAGGTATTGGGGCCTAGCCAGAGGGGTTTGGACCAAACCTGCAAACATTATGCAACCATGAGAAGAGCCAGCCTAAAACAAAGCCAACACTGAGGCAGGTAGAGTGAAAAGAGAGAACAAACCTGTATTCATGTCATAATTGGCCTGCTGTTCTATTTTCGAACTTCTTGTTATGCTACAGATTTTTGTTGTATAAGCTGGCTTGAGTCTGTTACTTGCAGCTGGAAGCATAGATATTTATGAGGAGGCTAATTAAGTGCACTTCATTGCCTTACTGCACAAGATCTTCAGGATCAAGTTGGGGTTATAGTGCAATATAATTAACTCTCTACACACGATAGCTTTATCCTAAGTACCTAATAAATGGTGTGCCTAGACACTAAGTGATACATACAAAAGCTCAGAAGAACAGGGCATCACCAGTGGGAGTGGGAGGAGAGCACCGAGAAAGGATTCGTGGAAGATTACAGAACTTGAGAAGACCACTTATATGGTAAGGAGGACTTAGACAGATAGAGGAGAGCTTAAGCAAAGATCCAGAGGTGGGAATTCTCACAGTGCAGCTGAGGAACTGTGACTAGACCCATTTACACCCACCAGGCACTTCTCTCCAAAGGCTGTCTATTGTCGAGCTGAAGAGAGCCACAAACAAAGGAATTTGAGGAGGTAAAGATGATGAATTAGAGAGTGTGTAATTATGAGCAAAGAACCCAGGTAGGAAGCTATTGGGATTATGTGAATTTGAAGTGATATGTGGTTCAACGAAAGAGTTGCATATTTGGTCCAACTCGCTTGGCTTGGCCCCAGTACGTTACTAAGGTTAGGGCAACAGGACCTAAAGAAACTGTAAAGTACATCATCTCACAAATATTCAAATAAGAAAGGACTGTACATTGGGCTTGAATATCAGATTCATATCCTTGTGGGAAATTCCAGCAAAAATCAAAGCTCACTATCCAGCTGTTCCTCAAGAAATGTACTCTCAATTTTGCCATATGGTTATCCCATTCTGCTTTACCCTGGTAAGGGTCTACTCATCCATATTATTTATATGTAGGGAAAGTGGACTTGGCTATTTGCACCCTTTAATTTCAATTTTTATTCTGTCTTACTGTTTCTATTTCTTTCTCAATCTTTTATTTATTGGATAGATGAGCTTTCTTAGGAGACAGTGGGACATAAAACTCTAATTTGATTCTGTTTTTAGTCTTGGGGAAAAGTTGTCCTGGAAACCCACTATATCTTTTCCTTTGCTAAACTTTCCTTTCTTCTTGCTACCCACCCCATTCCCAGGTGCTCAACCTCTTCATTGCCTTACTGCTCAATTCCTTTAGCAATGAGGAAAGAAATGGAAACTTAGAAGGAGAGGCCAGGAAAACTAAAGTCCAGTTAGCACTGGATCGATTCCGCCGGGCTTTTTGTTTTGTGAGACACACTCTTGAGCATTTCTGTCACAAGTGGTGCAGGAAGCAAAACTTACCACAGCAAAAAGAGGTGGCAGGAGGCTGTGCTGCACAAAGCAAAGACATCATTCCCCTGGTCATGGAGATGAAAAGGGGCTCAGAGACCCAGGAGGAGCTTGGTATACTAACCTCTGTACCAAAGACCCTGGGCGTCAGGCATGATTGGACTTGGTTGGCACCACTTGCGGAGGAGGAAGATGACGTTGAATTTTCTGGTGAAGATAATGCACAGCGCATCACACAACCTGAGCCTGAACAACAGGTATGAAGGTTCACACATAGACTTAAAGGTCATACAAAGCTGGAGTTATCACAGGGCACTGGTAGCCTGCCCTTTTCTAGGCACTATGCAAGGATAATAAGGGTACAAAACGTGGCTGCCCTTTGATACCCATGTGCACATCTCAGGACAGGTTCTTTATTGTGGTCCTGCAGGTGTGGCACAGATAGGAGGTGTCAGAAGAGTTCAGAGGGGAGCAAAATCAGAGTGGGCTGGGATGACAGGGGGAGTTCCTTTGGTTGAACTCTACAAGAAATGTAGAATTTGGACTGGCTGAAAAGTGAGGAAAAGGGGATTGGGAAGTAAACTGAATAGCATGTTTTGTTTGTTGGTTGGTTTGTTTGTTTTAGAAAAAAAAGGCAGTGCTGGGAACAAACTCAGTTTCTGCAGAGACCAATCTTGTGGGTGAGGAGTGGTGGGAGATGAGGGCTGTCAGGGAGTGTGAGGGTAATGGATATTGTATTAGTCTATTCAGGCTGCTATAACAAAATATTATAGACTGGGTAACTTCTAAACAAGAGAAATTTATTTCTCGCAGCTCTGAAGGCTGGGAAGTTTCAGATCAAGGCAGTGACAGATTTGATGTCTGAGGAGGGCCTGTTTACTGACTCATATTTGATAGCTATAAATTTCTCTCTAACCAATGTTTAGCTATATCAAATACATTTTATTTTCATTTTTATTTTCTATATATTTAATTATATTTTATTTTATCTTATTTTCTAATTCTTCTTATGATTTCTTCTTTGACCCACTGCTTATTTAAAAATGTGTTGTTTAATATTTATAAATATCTCAAATTTCTATTTGTTATTAATTTCGAATTTCACTCCATTGTGATCAGAGAACATACTTTGTACAATTTCAGCCCTTTTAAATTTTTGAGGCTTGTTTTGTGGCATAGTGTATTGTCTATCCTGGAAATGTTCCATGTGTACCTGACAAGAATGTGTATTCTGCCATTTGGAATTAAGTGTTCTATAGATGTCTGCTAGGTTTAACTGGCTTATAGTTTTGTTCAAATCTTCCATTTCCCTGTTGATCTTCTATCTAGTTGTTATTCATTCATTTCTGAAAATAAGGTATTGAGATCTCCAATGTTTATTGTGAATTGTCTGTTTCTTCCAACAGTTATGTCAATTTTCATTTCATATATTTTGGGTCTCTTCTGTTAGGTGTGTATATATGTTTATAAATGCTATATCTTCCCAATATTTTGGTTCTTTTATCATTATAAAATGTCCCTCTTTATCTCTAGTAAGTTTTTTGTTTTTAAATCTATTTTGTCTGATGTTAATAGAGTCATCCCAGCTTCTTTTATGGTTGCTGTTTGCATAACATGTCTTTTTCCATCCTTTTATTTTCAATCTATTTATATCTTTGAACCCAAAATGTGTCCTCTGCAGACAGTGTATAATTGGATCTTGTTTTCTTATCTATTCTGGCAATCTCTGCCTTCTGATTGGATTGGTTAAACCATTCATATTTAATGCTGTTGTTAATTCAGTTTATTTACTTCTCATATTTTCCTGTTTGTCTTCTATATGTCTTCCATGTTTTTTCCTTTATTATTTCTCTACTGCTTCACTTGCATTAAGTAAATATTTTCTAGTATAACATTTTAATAACTTTAGTTTTTTCAAAATCTTTTTGAATTATTTCCTTATTTGGGTACTCTAAAATTTGACATATACATCTAACTCATCAGAGTCTATCTCAGATTTATATTAATTCCAGTGAGCTATAGAAATATTACTCATATATAGCTCTATTTCCTCTCTCCTGTTTTTGTATTGTTTTAAATTCTACATATTATATTCATATATGTTAAAACCCAAACAACTTTTTTTTATTATTGCTTAATATAACTAGATGTCTACTGAAGGAGCTGAGAAAATAAAAGAAAATAAGTGTATATTTATAAGATTTATTTTAATAAACTTCTTAGTTACTCTTGGCTGTCTTCATTTGTTCCTGTGACTGTGAGTTACCTGCAGGTGTGATTTTCTTACTCCAATGCAACTTTGCTCCCACCCATATCCTTTGTGCTCTTATTAGCAAATATATTTTATTTCTATATGTTACATACCCAGCAACACAATTTTAAACATATTGTTTTACACAATTGCTTTTGAAATCAGCTAAAAGAAGAAAGGAAAAGAAATATATATTTTTTATCATACTTGTGTGTTGTATTACCATTTAGGGTCACTTGTTTTTTGCCTGTAGGATGTCCTTTAGTATTCTTTATAAGGTAGGCGAACTACCAAAGAATTCTCTGTGTTTTTCTGGGAATGTGATTATTTCATCTTCATTTTTGAAAGATAGCCTCACTAGATATAAAAATCTTGGTTCACTGTTGTTTTTTCTTTCAGCACTTTGAATATATCATATCACTGCCTTTTGGTCTCCATTATTTCTAATGCAAGGTCAGTGTTAATTTTATCAATGTCACCTTGTACATGATGAACCACTTTTCTCTTGCTACTTTCAAGATTTTCTCTTTTCTTTGTCTTTCAGCACTTTTACTATGATATGTCTAGGTGTGGATCTCTTTGTGTTTTTTCTACTTGGGGTTTCATTGGGCTTCTTAGATGTGGAGTGCTAGGATTTGAATGTGTCCTCTAAAGTTTATATGTTGGAGAATTAATTCCCAAAGTAACAATGTTGAGAGGTAAGACCTTTAATAGGTGATTAGATTATGAGGACTCTGGTCTCATGAATGGATTAATGCTGTTATTGTGGGAGTAGTTTAGTTACTGTGGAAGTGGGTTCCTAATAAAAGAATGAGTTTGCTGCCTTCCCTCCTTTCTCTTTCTTGCCATGTGGTGATGCCTTCTGCCATGTTATGATGCAGCAGGAAGTCCTTCACAAGATACTGGCCTGTTGATCTTGGTCTTCCCAGCCTCCAGAACTGTAGGAAATACATATCTGTTCTTTATAAATTACTAATTTCAGGAATTCTATTATAGCAGCATAAATTGGACTAAGACGTGTAGATTAATGTTTTCGATCAATTTTGAGGAGTCTTCAGCCATTACTTATTTAAGTATTTTTTCTGTTCCTTTCTCTCTTTCCTTTCTGGTTGGTGTGCTTAATGGTGCACCACATTTCTCTGAGGCTCTTTTTATTTTTCTTTCTTTTGTTTTCTCTGTGCTCTTTAGATTGCACAGTCTCTGTTGATTCATCTTTAAATTCACTGGTTCTTTCTTCAAATGTACTGTTGGTCTCTCTAGTGACTTTTTCATTTCAGTTATGATAATTTTCAACTCCAAAGTTTCTATTTGGTTCTTTTCAAAATATAATTTCTATTGATATTTTGTATTTGATTGTATATGGTCATAGTATCTTTTATTTCCTTAAGCATTGTACCTTTTAATTCTTTAAATATATTTATAATGGCTTCTTTGCATTCTTTTTCTATTAGCTCTGACATCTTGACCCTTTCATGTGCAGTTTCTGTTACTGACTGTTTTCCCCTGTGTGCGTCACACTTTCTTGTTTTTTGCACATTTCATATTTTTGTTTTGTTTTGAATTGGACATTTTAAGTAACATATTGTGGAAACTCTATAACTGATTCACTTTTCTCCTCTCTGAAGCTTCTTTATTAAATGGTAATCTGGCTAGACTATTTTAGTGGAATCTGCTCCCTCTCCAACCTATCCCCCTCCATTCACACACAATGTGAAAGCTTTGGTGTCACTCCTAGGAGAGTACATCCTTGGATGTGCACACGGTCAGTGTAGGATGACTGTTGTTTCAGCAAGGCTATCTTTGTCTCCTTTTGTGATCTCTCTGTTAAGCTGTCTGCCTCTTTTGGTATTACACTTCGATTTTAGGCTCAACTAATTGCTGGATAATTGCTCTATTTTCCTTGACAATGCCATGGGGCATAAATTGCTCAACTGTCTGATTCAATTAAATTCAGGAAGTGATAGCTTTTAAGCGCAGTCTTTGAGATTTGTTTTGACCCCAGGGGGACTCTCCTTAGCCATCACTTTCCGTAGTTCTTTGTGGTGAATTTGCTGACCTATGTTTTAGTTTCTTGCCTTTAATGAAGGAGAGCTACCAATCTCTTCTTATTTGCTTATGATCAAAATATCCAATATCCATTGTTTTCAAGAACACTCTTAGACTTATACTTCCCCACACCACTTTGTTTCAAATAAAGTCAGTTCTATGGAGAGCTTCAGAGCTCTTTTTTCTTATGAATTACCTCCCACTCTGGGCAAACTCTTTTAAGCACAATTCCAGGCACTTGGGCAGGGGCAGTAGCCTCTCAACTTCTCAGTTTCCTTCTTCCTTAATCCTCCCCACCCCCAGAGCTTTTGCCCTACAAGTAAGCTGGAATGAGGATGATTCTAGTATTCTTGGGCTGCCGCTTCTGGGATAAAGTCTCTGCCCTATGAGTGGAGGGCTAGATGGAAAAAGGGAGCCAACTTTTTGGCCACACTCACCAGAAATTTAGAGGCCTTAACTCAGAGTTGGAAGAGATAAGAAATGCTGATGGCCTGCAGCTGCTGCTGCTTTTTTTTTTTTCCATAACTCATGCATTTTTATTGGTAGGCATTTCATGGTGGTGTAATCATTTATGCATTGGAAAATGGGATTGTTTTTGATGATACTAAACAGCATTTATTTCTTTATTTTATTTTATTTTATTTTATTTTATTTTATTTTATTTTATTTTATTTTATTTTATTTTATTTTTTTGAGATGGAGTCTCGCTCTGTCGCCCAGGCTGGAGTGCAGTGGCATGATCTCCGCTCACTGCAAGCTCTGGCTCCCGGGTTCCTGCCATTCTCCTGCCTCAGCCTCCCGAGTAGCTGGGATGACAGGCGCCGGCCACCACACTCGGCTGATTTTTTTGTATTTTTAGTAGAGATGGGGTTTCACCATGTTAGCCAGGATGGTCTCGATCTCCTGACCTCGTGATCTGCTCTCCTCGGCCTCCCAAAGTGCTGGGATTACAGGCGTGAGCCACCGCGCCCGGCCAGCATTTCTTTATTTCAAATGCATTGAATGACCACCATGTGACAGGCCTTGCACTAAAATAAAATAAGTATGCAATAAGTAATTTTTTTTTTGAGGCGGAGTTTTGCTCTTGCCACCCAGGCTGGAGTGCAACGGCACAATCTCATCTCACTGCAACCTCTGCTTGCCGAGTTCAAGCGATTCTCCTGCCTCAGCCTCCCAAGTAGCTGGGATTACAGGTGTGTGCCACCATGCCTGGCTAATTTGGTATTTTTAGTAGAGATGGGGTTTCACCATATTGGCCAGCCTGGTCTTGAACTCTGGACCTCAGGTGATCCGCCCACCTCAGCCTCCCAAAGTGCAGGAATTACAGGCATAAGCCACCGTGCCTGGCCTGCAATAGGTAATTTAACATGTAGGCTGTATTTTTTTTAATGTAAGCATTTAAAAAGATTTTCCCCTTATGCAGATATCATTGATGTGCCTTTCCATTCAAAAGGCTCAATATCTTTTTTTTCAATTTCATTAAAAAAAATTTAATTTCAGTAGTTTTTGGGGAATAAGTGGTTTTTGGTTACATGGATAAGTTCTTTAGCAGTGATTTGTGAGATTTTGGTGCACCCATCACCACATCCCTTGATTGAGAGCTAGGGTAGAGGGAGCCCTATCTTCTTGGCCACCTTGGTCTAGAGTGGAGCCTCCATAAAACTTGGCTGGAAGGGATGGGGGGAGAGGTCAGATCATGGCTTAAGTGTCATCAATTTCTGCTGTTCTTACTGAATTTTAGTAGATTTTCTTGAACAAATGTTTCTTCATTTGCTGTGCACTCTCAGAATAATTTCTAGAGACTTTAAATTATTTTTAAAACAGTTTTCACCACTTATGCTTATTTCCCTAGGGAGAACGTCCGCAGAGATTATCATGCTATCATCCAGGAAGTGAAACTCTATGTAACTTCTTTATTAAATTCTATATGTATTAATTTAAAGACATTTTCAGATTATTATGTAACTTTCATCTTTTTCTCAAGTGAATTCACCTCCTAGTTGTTAATTTTAGGAAGTCTACTGATTTTATGTTTGTTTCCTCATATATTTTGGAATGTTAGCTTAAAAGCTCATCTTTAGTGGGAAGATCTGTCATTCTCTTTGCAGTCTAAGTTCTATGATTGTCTGTAATAAATCCTTCTGTGGCATCCATTTCAGATCCATGTCTTCTATCACCAGCTTTGGGTTGTTGTCTAATAATGATACAAGTCATATTGCAGATCCAGTCACTGAACCAGTGGGTACTTTTGCCCAGGTCCCATTTCTGAGGTTGTACTTCTTCCTGTCTCCCTACGTATGCAGCTTTATACAATTGTAATCATAAGCGTTTGCTGCGACATTTGTGTTTTTTGGCTTTCTCTCTTAAGTGCAAAAACTTTACCTCAGCCCACAGTTTCAAGCCTTAAATATAGCTCTGGTTCCCTTCCTCATCTAGGGTACTTTTAGACACCATTACCTGCTATCTTATTTAAATTCTTACTACTTTATATTTCTTTTCTGTGTCTAGTCCACAGACAGGTTACCCCTTTTTGTATGTGTATGTTTGTGAGGTATATTCGTGGCTATATTTGTATGTGTGTGTATTTTTACATATGCTATTACATGTGTGGAGAAATGTTTCTGAATCATGACCTTATAATGTCAGAGTTGCAAGAGTCTTCACATAGATGTTAGGATAAAACATTCACCCAAGATGTGACTGTAACCAGCAAAAGGATCCGTCCGGCTGCTAGCTGCTTATGAAAAGAATTCAAAATAATAACAAATTATGATAAGAAAGAGCAATATTCTCTTATTATCTGTGCCAGCAAGGGGAAGAGCAGAGACCCATTCTACTCTTCAATTTGTGGAAGGAATGCGGGGGTTTTTATTTTATTTTATTTTTTATTTTTTTATTTTATCATTATTATACTTTAAGTTTTAGGGTACATGTGCACAACGTGCAGGTTTGTTACATATGTATACATATGCCATGTTGGTGTGCTGCACGCATTAACTCGTCATTTAGCATTAGGTATATCTCCTAATGCTATCCCTCCCCCCTCCCCCCACCCCACAACAGTCCCGGAATGCGGGGGTTTTTAAAGAAAGGGTTTGAGATGCAGAATAGGCAAGAGGGGCTAGGAGGTGCCAGGTGGTGTGACTTGCTCCAGTGGCCCCTCTTGAATTATTGTCCCATGTGGTGAAGGGGCTGGTGCCATCATGGATCCTGCCAGGTTATAAATTAGTTGCAGTCAATCTTGTAGTCACTCTACAGCCTGAAGTAGGTTCTGTTCTTGAAGTAATCTTGTTGGGGAGAGAATTCTAGAGGTACCTGGTCCCTATCAGGATCTGACTCTCGAAGCTTCTAAGAAAACATATGACCACATAAAAGAACATGGCGTGTACTTAAAAAGCATTTAGGTAAATAAATGTGCATAAGGTATGGGAATATAGTATGGGAAAGGAAAGGCAGTGGAGGCTCACAGCACATTCCAAGGCTGTATTTCAAGATAAGAGGTAACACATATGCAGGTTGTCTCAAAGTTGTATCTTGAGACTTGGAGGGGAAAGAGGAAGAGGAAAAGAAGAAAAAAATGTTTAAAACACAGTTCGAGGCTCAGCTGCCAAGCTGCTTGGTTACATGACTGTACACATCCTTATTAGATATTCCTGTAGGTCATCAGAACAAATTTATTTTTCAGTTTTATGTAGTGATATGTTTTATTATTTTTCTTTATGTCTTTTAGTTTCCTGTTTTGCTAAGGAAACTCTCTGTACCCCACATGATAGCAAGTTATTTTTCAAATTTTTCTTTTAAAATGTTTACCCATTTATTTTTACATCAGAATGTCATAAGATTATATATTTTATTTTTACTATATTATGGCATTGTGTACCATTTATTAAATAATTTATTATCTAGCCATTGAATTGAAAGAGCACATTTAAAATATATTAAATCCCCATGTAAATTATATTAAATCTCCATGTAAGTTTTATTTCTGAATTACTTGCGGAGTTTTGTACCAGAACCATACTGTTTTGATTATGTATCTTTGTAACAAGTTCAGTATCTGTTTCCTCTAGTAGTTTTCCCAGAATTATATTATGTTGAGTTTTTCCAGGAGCAGTTTCTAAAGAGAAAAAAGAGTAATAATGTCAAAGGCTTATTCTCATGACAAAGAGAAAACCAAATAGCATTCAAACTTCTTTCATCTTAAGTGACATGTCCAGGAGGAATATTAATTCTATTCTGGGCTCTCTGTGTTAGGCCTATGAGCTCCATCAGGAGAACAAGAAGCCCACGAGCCAGAGAGTTCAAAGTGTGGAAATTGACATGTTCTCTGAAGATGAGCCTCATCTGACCATACAGGATCCCCGAAAGGTAATTTTCCTAGGATGTTGTCAGAGGAACTTGTGGCTCATCCACACACCTTCTCCAGGATAGTTATTATGGAAAAATGGCACAATTAATGCAGAGAAAATTGCAAGAATCGAGTTTTGAGCAAAAGTCTAGGCCAGGTTTCTCAACTTTACTAGTATGACATTTGAAGCAGGACAATTATTTGTCATGGTGAGCTTTTCTGTGAATTGTAAGATGTTTATCCATATCCTTGGCCTCTATGCATTTGATGCCAGTAGCATCCGCCAGTTAAGGTAATGAAAAATGTCTCTAGACATTGCCAAAATGTCTCCTGGAGGGCCAAAGAAATAAGAACCACTGGTCTAGGCCTATTATTCCAGGAGGTGAGACAGTGGAAAATTATAGTCTCAGTAAAGTAGCCTTCTTCTCATCACATAATTGGAGTTAGGCAGCCTATCAGGGTTATGATCTGTAGGGAGAAAACGTGGAGGTACTGTATCTTCATATGCATTGCTATTCCTCAGCTATAGAGATGAGCTAGAGAGTTCTCTTCTGAAGTCAGGCTGGTCATAGCACTTAGAAAAGGACCCAGCAGGAGGGGTGTTTCTTGACACCTCTCATCCTAGAAACCTTTGCCTAGTTCATTTCATCCTTAAAAAATCAGACAATGAGAAACTCCGTACTACTATGGTGAAAGAAGGTCTTAGTAAAAGGCACCCCCTTCGTTTTGTTCTGATGTGCAGAAGTCTGATGTTACCAGTATACTATCAGAATGTAGCACCATTGATCTTCAGGATGGCTTTGGATGGTTACCTGAGATGGTTCCCAAAAAGCAACCAGAGAGATGTTTGCCCAAAGGTAAGTGGCAGTATTTCTGCATCCAGTTCACAGAATCTTTGGATGGGGTTTCTGTTCTTCTTTGAAGCTCTGTGGTTTTAGTAGATATCATCTTTCTACTTCTATTGGAGACAAAAGCAATGAGAGGGCACCCGTAGATTCTTGAGGCGATTGTCGGATCTAGGCAGAGGGGATTTCAGGAAATTCTTGCTTTAATTGGGCTCCTCTCACATGGCCCAAAATGCCAGGTAAACACTCTGGAAAACTCTCTTAGAAAGCCCACTGGGCCAATATGTCTGCCACTTTCTATGGTTCCCAGGGCATTCAATGTCAGGGTGTATTTGAGGTGAAAGACCAAGAAAAGAGTTTAGACATTGTAGTCAGGATCTTTAGCTTAGAAGCCAGACTGCCTGAGCTCAAATTCTGGCCTTGCCACTTATGAGCTGTGTGACTTGTTCAATTTAGTTAACCTCTCTGTGCTTTATTTCTAAAATGAGGGTAATAATAGTATCCAAAGCAAAGAGTTGTTGTGACTATTAAATGAGTGAATATAAATCACTTAGAAGAGCATCTGGAACAAAAATAAGCAATCAATAAATGCAGGCTTTCCTAATTCCTTGAGTGGATATAGTGGCTTTTTCCTATAGGCCTTTACTATTTGTTATATTCATTGTAGTGAACTTATTTGCACTGGTTTCCCCCATGAGGTCCTTAAAAACAAAGGCAGTGACTTCATCAGCATTGTATCTCTAGTGTAAGAATAGAAGCCGGCCCAGAAATGGGTTCAACAAATGTTGATAAATAAATAAGTGAAACAAATTAATGAATGAATCTAAAAAAATTATCTATAAGTTTAGGATTAAATTGGGTCCAGAAGCAACACAAATAACAGGTTTCAAACTCACATTCCAGGTTGCTTAACAGCTCCAAAGCTGGACAGGAGTTGGATTAAGGATTTCCAGTAGATTGCAGTTCTCCTCATTTATGTTTGCACTGGCTCTTGAGGTGTGCATATGATGTCAACAGTGGAGATGAGAAAGAAAGGTGGTTTTATCAAAGAAGGGAGGAGTGGGATAAAAGCCAGGAAAAAAGTGTAGTCTTTTAGGAAGATGAACCTACTGATGTTTTTGGAAGAAGAAAAGAGGCAGAGTGAAGAGAGCCCATAGTGGTTTAAGAAGATGAGGAAAGGAGCAGAATGTTATAATCATCATGAATAAGGATCAGCAGAATTTGTACAAGGGGAGGAGGAGAAAAGGTGGAAAGGGCAATGTGGTCTATATTGAAGGCCTGTGTGTGTTCAGAACAAATGCTCAGCTCTTTGTAAACGTCTCGACATTTGATCAAATTCTTTCGTGTATGACCTGAGAGGTTCACAAAGCCTGTGGCCATCCTACCTCATTCCCTGGAGTCCTCCAGACATGATCTCTTTATGATTACCAAAAAAATTGCTGCATAACAAACAACTACAAAACCTCAGTGGCATAAAATAGTAAACATGTGCCTGCAGGATTCAGCTGATCTTGATTGGCTTCATTCATGCAAGTGTTATCTAGCCTGGGCTCAACAGGGCAACATGGCTCTACTCCACATGTCTATCATCCTCCTTCCAGACCCAATGGGGTAGCCTGAATTTGCCTTTTTTTATGGAGATGGCACAAGACAGCAAGTGGAAGCATGCAAGGCTTTTCAAGACCTGGGCTCAGAACTGGCACAGTGTGACTTCCATTCCACTCTATTGGCTAAAGCAAGTCACATGGCAGGGACCAGATTTAAGATGTTAGAAAAAGATGCTCTACTTCTTTAATGGGAGCAACTGCAGGTCGCATGGCAAGGGGCATGAACACAGAAAGGGGTGAAGAGTTGCATTTTAATGCAGTTTATTACAGACACTAATGATAGTGCTACCATTAATTCCTTTCAGGCTTTGGTTGCTGCTTTCCATGCTGTAGCGTGGACAAGAGAAAGCCTCCCTGGGTCATTTGGTGGAACCTGCGGAAAACCTGCTACCAAATAGTGAAACACAGCTGGTTTGAGAGCTTTATTATCTTTGTGATTCTGCTGAGCAGTGGGGCACTGGTAAATCATCATTGTCTTGTGGAGACATTGGGCATCAGGGCAGCTGGGGAAGCTGCACTCTGACTTGGCTTCTCGTGGGACTGTGAATATGGGAGACCAGACAGAAGTGGTCTCTGATGCTGCTGGTTCCCGCAGTGGGCAGGGTTTTGCACAGCTTCTGAAATCGTGCTCAACTGGGATATCACCAAGCAAAGATGCTTTATCTGTGTGGAAGACTAACTAAAACCAGCACTTTAAAGTGGCCACTAGAGTCTGGTCCTTGATCATCTACCTCTCATTTTTGGGGGATTTCTAGACATTTTCACTGTATCCTACATAGTTCTTCCTCTAGACAGCAGTGCTTCTACTCTCCCTGTTACCATAAGCCATAGTGCTGTTTTCTGAAAGGTAAAATATTATGGGAGGGAGTTACAGGGACCAGATTAGGATATAATAAGTTGCCTTGGTATTTTCTGTCATTCATGATCCCTTGAAAGAAAGGACAAGGAGATGTTGCTTTATATGCATGGTCAAAGTGTGGTATGAGTCCCAATGAGATTTAGAAATAACTCTGAACCCATCAGCTTCTATAGCCATAGAGCTATCCACTCCTTTATGCTCTCTCTCCACACCTTCTGGTCCTTCTTGTCTCCCTTTCTCCTCCCTGCTAGGGAGGGATAGTATCTTTTCTCTTATCACCTGCATATTTCGCCCTCTCCTTTTCTATTTTCTGCTTTTTTCTATCATGCATCTTCCCTTAAAATGATCATACAGTAATGTGGAGCTAAATAATAGGGAACCAAATTCTCTTACTGTTTGACATAACAAAGTTATGAGTTTGTTATGAGAGTTTGGTTCCATATTACTAAACCCAGGAGCCTTGGGTTCTCCCCTGCTAAGAGTGACAGAACATTTCACAGTGAATCACTAGCAAGTGGAAAAAGACAAGGAAATGTCTTGCTCCTACACCCCATAGCTTCTGGTTAGTGTTTTACACTTGTGTGATCTCTAGGTGAAAAGAGATGAATACATACCAGAGCCCACCGGGGACTGTGATCAACATACATGTCCATTTGTCTACTTACTACAGTGTAAATTATTCTTCAAATAGAAAAGCAGATTTCTCTAAAACCATCCCAGAGAATTCCCTTAATAAATTTTTATTGTTAATCTTGGGTCTAGGGTTACCTGTAGACTTTCTGGTGACTACATTTTCACTGGCTGTCTACTGTTACTCAAGTGTAGGGTTTCTTGTATTTATTCCACAAATGGTACTTATGATATAGGCAGTGGGAAAGCAGTGACAGTGCCAAAAGGCCACAGCAAAAATGCCCCATGGTGCCATAAAAAGAAAATGTATGATCAGAAATGTAGCAGAGGGCACACAACTCCAGTTCTTATCTGCCTTCGGAAAGGCAGGTGTAGGCTGGGCAGAGCAAAGCTGAACACACAATGCAGAGGGTGCCAGGGGAAGGACCCAGCCCATATTTCTCTGTACATATTTGTAGAGAATGAGAACAAGAGACATCAAGTTGTTTGCCACTATATGTGTCTATCAGCAGCAGCAGCAGCATCACCTGGAAGCTTGTTAGAAACGCAGAGTATTACATTGTAACAAGCAGTCCATTGTAACAAGTTCCCTAGGTGATTTGGGGTTCATTAGAGTTTGAGAAACTCTGGTCTAGGCAACTATGTAATAATAAGAGCTTCCTGTGTCAGAAAATGGCCTAGATATAATGTGGAAGCCTCTGAAGCTCAATTGCAGGTATAAGCGTGCTCATCCATTGAGCTAACTCAGATCTGCTGAACCAGCTTACTGGTAAGCTTCCCAAATAAGGGAGGAAATGAGCACCCAATACCATTCAGATTTGTTTATCCTCAAGAGGCAAACAAACGAAGTCCCTGACCTCCAGGAGCCTGAAGTCTAGTAGGAAAGACAGCTGGAGTGATTATAGACCAGAAAGTATAGATCAAGATAGATAGAACAATTAAGTGGTCTACTCAGGGAAGCAGTGGGTGACATGGGAGCATGTAGGATGGGAACCTAACCCAATCCTGCTGGAACGGGACAGTTTCCTATAGAAAATATCAGCTAAGCTGAAATCTTAAAGCTGAAGAGCTGAAAGAGCAGAGGATGAGATAGAGGGCCTTCTTCAGCCAGAAACCAATTTGGCAATTGGAAGTGAGACTGTTTTACTCTTTTGCATTCTTTTTTTCACCCCAGGACTTTGGAGCTGTGGGCTTACCCTAGTCTCCAACAGCAAGGATGATTCCCTTCCTGCCTTCAATGTTGACGTAAATTTCATGGGCAGCTTTAGTAACAGGCCGTCTTCCTTTCTTTCATTCTCAGTAACTCTGTAAAGGCCAAAAGGACAGCTTATACGCTAGTTATATAGACCCTGTAGAATCACATACAGTTTGCGTGAGGGAAGTGTTTGGATGTAGCATTAAAAAGGGTCTCTCTGAAAGCCAGGATCTCTTTTTCATAATTACAAATAACAATGTTTAATATTCAAAGTAATTTACACTGGGAGCTTTAGCCTAGAGTGTTCCAAATTTTGTTAATGTCATGGCACACATAAGAAATGACACTATTTGTAGGGAATGGTAAGGTAAATGGATAAGGCTGTTTGTAGGGATAGATGAGGGGCATCAGGGTTGGCAGGATTTAGAGAACGGGCTAAGGCACTTGGACTTAATGTTATAAGCAATAAAGAGACACTGAATTAATCCACCAAGGCAATTGGGAGGATGAGAGATGGTCTATGCCACTGGGTGGTCCTGGGAATGTTGGCAAGACATATTTGGCAGGAGTTGAAAAGATGAGGAAGCCCAGGAAATAATGTGCTGATCCATTAGGAAGATGTTTTAATATTCAGGGGACCAGTAATAAGCAGTTGAGGAACTATTGTGACAACAGAAGAAAGAAGATTTTCCTTCTTCCATTTTTACTTACTCAAGGAATGGATTCCATTGGAAAAGTTTAGCCTTAATATCTTTTGAGCAGAACCTCATTACGAAGAGAGATACCAGTTTTTATTCATATAAGGAAGAAAAACAAAAAGTAAAGTTACCAAGGAGTTCTTTGCAAATATTCAACCTGGCCTATGGCTATGCTTTTTCATTTCAGATATTTGAAGATGTTCACCTTGAGAACCAACCCAAAATCCAAGAATTACTAAATTGTACTGACATTATTTTTACACATATTTTTATCCTGGAGATGGTACTAAAATGGGTAGCCTTCGGATTTGGAAAGTATTTCACCAGTGCCTGGTGCTGCCTTGATTTCATCATTGTGATTGTAAGTTTACCATCTCTGTGTCCCACACAGGCTGGGGTAGTGGTTAAGGCAGGGATCATATGGAGGCTGCTTTTCCTGTGTGCCGCATATGGATGTCTGTCTAAAATAGTTTTTCTTGTTATCATTGCCTCTTCACAGTACTTGTAAGTAGTTGTCATTTGTCTGTAAGCAGTTTAGCCTTTCCTAGGTCCCGCTCATCATACACTACACTTTATATGCTCACCACTACAACCTTTCCCATGATGGGATTCATTCACTTCTCTCCATAAGCACTGTTTATGTATAATATGTACCTAGAATAACTTTCAGTATCCTCGATTTTTTCTTCTTCCAACTTTCTATTTCTTTTCAAGACTTCTCAAAGCTGGTCAGCAGCCAATAGACTAGGCTAATATCCATCTTAATTGTCAAGCAGCATAAGAGGATTGTTCACATACAGTCTCTCATTTAATATGCATGACAATGTTCTGAATTAAGCAGCATTGTATGACACCTCCCACACTGTATACAAGGAAACCTGAAGCTCAGAGGATTATCAATTTGTTTCAGGTCATAGAGCTGATAAGTGGTGAAATTGGGATTCACGTGTCTAGCTGTATGACACAAAAGCTAATAATAGTATTAGTGGATCACATTTATTGAGTGCTTTCTCTGTATCAAGTACTCTTCCATATGCTCCAAATGCCTTCTCTCTTTTAGTTGTCATAGCCACTCTGTGGCAGGTGCTACTATTTTTGTATATTCAGAGAAAGAAAGTAAGTCATAGAGAGGCTAAGAAACATGTTCAGGATTGCCCAGCTAGAAGTGGTGGAGGTGAGATACAAACCTCGTAAGCCTCACTCCAAAGCTCTTGATTTAACATTACATCCTTTTTTTAAGATTAATTTTATGTTTACTGATACATAGTAGATGGACATATTTTCAGGATACATGTGATTATGTAATACCTTTATATAATTAAAACTGGTGCAACCTAGTAAGTCTCACTCCAGGGCCCTTGATTTTAACATTACCTCTTTCCATCATGATGTAATTAGTTAAACTTTGTCCCTGCTATGCAAGGAAGTAGATAAGACAAATATCTGAGCATAAACCATGTGGTCAGGAAACCCCACTGGAGAACCATAATGTTGTTGGTTAGCACAAATAGACCATGTGTTCATTTAATATGGACATCAATATTCTGAGTTAATCAGTATTACATGACATCTACCACATTACTAACAAGAAAACCAGAGGCTCAGAGACAAGGAAACAGAAGCTCATTGTGGTTCAGGCATTTTAGAAAGGTATAAATGCCATAGAAACTACAACAGGATTCAAAGATGGGAATAAAAACATCCACGTTTGTCAGTCCTATTAATTTCTAGAGAGCAAATAACTCTGTACGTATTATCTTAATAGATTATAGTAAAAAGAAAACCCTAAAAACTGTGTGAACAGATGATTGTTATCTCCATTATAGGGAACTCTGTTTTACCGGATACAAGCCCTACATTTAGGAGCCTGGGTCCTAAAGCTAATTGGTCTACCCTCTTTTTGTGTAACCTTAAGCAAAACATTTCCCCTCTTTTGACAATAATTTTCTCACAGGTAAAAATGAGGATGTGGACTATAAATTGCCCAAATTCACTGAATACATAATAGAAAGCTAGTGATAGTTTCACTAGAAATCTAGTGATCGCCATTAAAAATATCAAAACAGTTGTCCAAAGCCACACTGTCAAAAAAGGGTACCAGGCTGAGATGGGTGGGTTTATTTATTTATTTATTTATTTATTATATTTCAATAGGCTTTCAGGGAACAGGTGGTGTTTGGTTACCTGAATAAGTTATTTAGCGGTGATTTCTGAGATTTTGGTGCCCCATCGCCCGATCAGTGTACACTGTACCTAATGTAGTCTTTTATCCCTCACACCCTCATTTCCCCTGAGTCCCCAGAGTCCATTGTATTATTCTTACAACTTTGTGTCCTCTTAGCTTAGGTCTCTCTTATGAGTAAGAACATAAAATGTTTGGTTTTCCATTCCTGAGTTACTTCACTTAGAATAATAGTCTCCAATTCCATCCAGGTTGCTGTGAAAGCCACTATTTTGGTCCTTTTTATGGCTGAGTAGTATTCCATGGTGTATGTATATAGTATATACCAAAGACTATATATATATGGTATATACACCATATATATACCATATATATAGTATATACACCATATATATACCATATATATAGTATATACACCATATATATACCATATATATAGTATATACACCATATATATACCATATATATAGTATATACACCATATATATACCATATATATAGTATATACACCATATATATACCATATATATAGTATATACACCATATATATACCATATATATAGTATATACACCATATATATACCATATATATAGTATATACACCATATATATACCATATATATAGTATATACACCATATATATACCATATATATAGTATATACACCATATATATACCATATATATAGTATATACACCATATATATACCATATATATAGTATATACACCATATATATACCATATATATAGTATATACACCATATATATACCATATATATAGTATATACACCATATATATACCATATATAGTATATACACCATATATATACCATATATATAGTATATACACCATATATATACCATATATATAGTATATACACCATATATATACCATATATATAGTATATACACCATATATATACCATATATATAGTATATACACCATATATATACCATATATATAGTATATACACCATATATATACCATATATATAGTATATACACCATATATATAGTATATACACCATATATATACCATATATATAGTATATACACCATATATATACCATATATATAGTATATACACCATATATATACCATATATATACACCATATGTCTCTTTCTCTCTCTATATATATATCACATTTTCTTTATCCACTGGTTGATTGATGGGCATTTGGGCTGAATCCATATTTTTGCAATTGCGAATTGTGCTGCTATAAACGTGTGTGCAAGTGTCTTTTTCATATAATGATTTCCTTTCTTCTGAGTAGATACACATTAGTGGGATTGCTGGATCAAATGACAGATCTACTTTTAGTTCTTTAAGGAATCTCCACATTGTTTTCCATAGTGGTTGTACTAGTTTACATTCCCACCAGCAGTGTAGAAGTGTTCTCTTTTCACCACATCCACGCCAACATCTATCATTTTTTGATTAGTGCCATTGTTGCAGGAGTAAGGTGGTATCACATTGTGGTTATGATTTGTATTTCCCTGATAATTAGTGATGTTGAACATTTTTTCCTATGTTTGTTGGCCATTTGTAAATCTTCTTTTGAGAATTGTCCATTCATGTCCTTTGCCCACTTTTGGATAGAATTATTTGTTTTTTTACTTGCTGATTTGATTGAGTTCTTTGTAGATTCTGGATATTAGTCCTTAGTCAGATGTATAGATTGCAAAGATTTTCACCCACTCTGTGGATGTCTGTTTACTGTGCTGATTGTTTCTTTTGCTGTGCAGAAGCTTTTTAGTTTTAAGTTCCATCTATTCATCTTTGTTTTTGTTGCATTTGCTTTTGGGTTCTTGGTCATGAAGTCTTTGCCTAAGCCAATGTCTAGAAGAGTTTTTCCCATGTTATCTTCTAGAATTTGTATGGTTTCAGGTCTTAGACTTAAATCCCTGATCCCTCTTGAGTTGATTTTCATATAAGATGAGAGATGAGGATCCAGTTTCATTCTCTTACCTGTAGCTATCCAGTTATCCCAGCACCATTTGTTGAATAGGGTGCTCTTTTCCCAATTTATGTTTTTGTTTGCTTTGTCGAAGATCGGTTGGCTGTAGGTATTTGGCTTTATTTCTGGGTTCTTTATTCTGTTCAATTGGTCTGTGTGCCTATTTTTATACCAGTACCATGCTGTTTTGGTGCCTATGGCCTTATAGTACAGTTAGAGGTCTGAAAATGTGATGTCTCCAGATTTGTTCTTTTTGGTTAGTCTTGCTTTGGGTATGCAGGCTCTTTTTTGGTTCCATGTAAATTTTAAGATTGTTTTTTCTAGTTCTGTGAAGAATGATAGTGGTATTTTGATGGGAATTGCATTGAATTTGTAGATCGCTTTTGGTAGTAGGGTCATTTTCACAATGTTGATTCTACCCATCCATGAACATGAGATGTGTTTTCATTTGTTTGTGTCATTGATGATTTCTTTCAGCAGTGTTTTGTAGTTTTCTTTGTAGAAGTCTTTCACTTCCTTGGTTAGGTATATTCCTAAGTATTTTATTTTATTTTATTTTCAGCTAGTGTAAAAGGGGTTGAGTTCTTGACTTGTTTCTCAGCTTGGTCACTGTTGGTGTATCACAGTGCTACTGATTTGTGTACATTGATTTTGTATCCTGAAACTTTGCTGAATTCATTTGCCAGTTCTAGGAGTTTTTTGGATGACTCTAGGATTTTCTATGTATACAATCATATCATCAAGAGGCCCAGATGGTTTTGCAGGTAAGTTTTACCAAACTTCCAAGGAAGAATTAATCTCATCTTATTCAAATTGTTACAAAGAATAGACAAAAGAAGGAAAGCTTGCAAATTTATTTAATGAGATAAACATAATATTGATAATAAATGAATAGAACAGAAATGAATCAAATAAGAAAATAATCTTACAATTATATATCTTTGCAAATCACAGATAAAGCACTCAACAAATGTGGTTTACTATTACTATTATTAGCCTTGACATCATGCAGACTGTGGTGTGAATCTGAAATTCACCACTTATCAGCTGTATGACCTGAAACAAGTTGCTGATCCTTTGAGCTTCAGGTTTCCTCATCTATAATATGGTAGATGTTGCAAAGTGCTGCTTAGCTTGGGATATTGTTGTACAGATTAAATGAGAGAATGTATGTGAACAGTTCTATAATATTTATTGTCAATCAAGATTATATAAAATTACCATCATAATTTTTATTAGAAAAGCATAAACCACAAAAAGATACACAATTCAACTACATCAAAATGTAGTAAAACTTTTATTTTTGTATTCAACAATACTCTAATTACAGTTACAAACCAACTAGAACCTGGGAGACAGTATTTTCCACAACAGATCATTATTATTCACAACATATACAAATTTCCTACAGATTCACAGGAAAAAACAACCCAGAGTAAGAATGGGAGAAGTATACAAACAGCCAATTCACAAAAGGAATAAACGTATGATGAAATATACACTAGTTCTATCACCAGTTAGCACAGAAGTGCATATTAAAATGAGAGGCCTCTTTTTACTCATTAGATTGGAAAACAAAATATATTGTTTTGAAACATGGTCTCACTCTGTCATCCAGGCTTGAGTGCAGTGGCAACCTCTGCCTCCCAAGCTCAATTGATCCTTTTGCCTCAGACTCCTAAGTAGCTGGGACTACAGGCGCCCACCACCATGCCCAGCTAATTTTTGTATTTTTTATGGAGACAGGGTTTTACCATGTTGCCCAGGCTGGTCTCAGACTCCTGAGCTCAAGCTATCTGCCTGCCTCAGCCTCCCAAAGTGCTGGGATTACAGGCTTGAGCGACTGTGCCCAGCCATGGCAAAAATTTTAAAGTTGGATAACATCGATATTTAGAAGGATATAGGAAAATGCCATGGCAAAAATTTTAAAGTTGGATAACATCGATATTTAGAAGGATATAGGAAAATGCGATCTCAAACCACTGCTAATAATTTAATTGGTACAGCCACTGTAGGGAATATTTCGCACTATATTAAGTAAAAATCACAAATGACCCAACTCACAATCCACAAATATCACTTGTTATAGATCCAAGGAGAACTCTTGCATATGTACCCAAGAAAAATGCACACATCTGCCCAGTGTACTGTTGTGCATAATACTGTCCAGTGTACTGTTTTGCATAATAGGAAAGAAATGGAAATAACCTAGGTATTCACCAAGGAGGAATGGATCCGTAAAACATGAAGATTTATATGCTGTACTATTCCTCAACAGTTACAAGGAGCAAACCATAAGAATATAATCAACATGATGATTTCAAAAACAGTGCAGAGTGATAAATGCAAGTTAGATTTTAAAAATAAGATAAAACTAGTAGAAGACTTCTCACTTGAAGAGTACAGTATGGTGGGAAAGAATGTGGGTGTTTCTATGTGTCTCACTGATACCTGCAAGTCTGATGGAACAGAAACTTGGGTAAGGTTTAAGGTAAAGAGGTGTATAAGGTCTCTGTAGGAACATCCCTTCTCACCAACTATGACAATGATTTGGTAAAACAGAAGAATTGCTAAACTTTGCCATCTGTTTTCATCTGGCTAGGAATAAGTGGAGTATTTGCGAGAAAGCTACTTAATAACTTAATAACTTAAATAACTCTCCAAAAGTGGTGCCATTGTAAACAAAAAGCCCACTAAAAACATTATAAATACACTGTAAATTGATTATAAATTTCAAAATCTTAATATTCTGTCATATTAACTCAATTTCTCTTCACTACTACAATGAGGTTGGCAAGATTTGTGAGGAATGTTTTTAGGTAATAGTGAACTCTGACATCAGCTTAGTCAGGACTATCCTGATTCACTTCCTATCCAGCTGAGCAACTCTTCTTCCAAGCTGAGCCTCTGAAAACTCTCCATAATAAGAATGGCTGAAGATCTGCAGCAAGCAGATTCAACTCAAGCTCAGCATTGATTCCATTGTGATAATAGAAGCAAATCCTAATTCCTCATATGAAAGCCAATACCTTCTCGAATTGTCCTCTACTGAGCATCTGTAAATATTGTTAAGATTTAATTTGGTATACTTAACAGAGCTTTCTAATACTCAGTTCTGTCCTATTGAGAAGAAGCATATTGGGAGAGAAAATAGCATTTAATTCCCCAATAAGGAGCTATTTGGATTAGGGGAAATATTAGCAAATAATTTATTTTTTCCATGTAACTTTTTATTTTGATATCATTTCAAACTAAGAAAAATGTTGCAGGAAATAGTATAATGAAATCCACATATTCTTTCTTCAGGTTCACCAATTATTGTCACCCATCTGCTTTGTCATTTTTTTCTCTCTTTTTTTCCCCCTAAACTGCTTGAGATTAAGTTGCAAGCATCAAACCTATTACCCCTAAACATGTCAATGTATATTTCCTATCAAGGACAATGTCTCACATGATTACAATACAGTGATCAAAGTTAGAAATTTAACATTGATTCAATTAAAATCCACATCCATTTTCAAATTTTTCAAATTCACCATAAAGATCTTTGTTATGGCAATTGACTATCATAATAAATTTCAATTGACTGCCATAACAAGATTCTTTATGGTTAATTCCCTTTATGCATCCACCTCCTACCCCCACTCCAATCCAGGATCCAATTCAGCACCCCAGATTACATGTGATTGTTATATCTCTTTGCTTTCCTTTAATTCACAACAATTTCTCGGATTTTCTATGTCTTTCACTAAACAAATAACGTGAGTGCATTGTTCCCACGTTTATGGACTGTAGCTTTGGTAGATAAGGAGAAAAATGGACTTTCCAGCTGGACACCAAGTCAGGTACATTATCTGTGGCCTCTCTTCCCATCAGGTCTCTGTGACCACCCTCATTAACTTAATGGAATTGAAGTCCTTCCGGACTCTACGAGCACTGAGGCCTCTTCGTGCGCTGTCCCAGTTTGAAGGAATGAAGGTACATTCTGCAGAAGAATGGGTAGAAGTTCAGTTAACAGAGAAAGGTGGAAAGACCAACAGTTCTTTTTGGGCTGAGATTTCCTTAAATTGCCAAGCTTTTCCTGGGTTACTTCCCAGCCTGCCCAGTGCTTAGAATTTGAGGGGTAGAGAAAAGCCTAAGATATACTTTCTACCCTAAAAGCTTCTGTGACAGCCAAGATGAGCTGTAGCTTTGCCTCAGAATCCTGGGGTAGGTGTCCATAAGTCTCTAACACTGTCATCACCAGGGCACTTCTCAAGGTATCCTCAGTGGCAACAGAGAGGACCCATTATGTAGGGAGCTGAGAGCAGGGCTTGTCATGGGGATGGGGCACATGTATGTGGAGATTAAGGACAGAGCTCCAAGAGATCAAGCCCTGCACATCAGGCCCATGCTGAGAAGTTGAAGAGCCTGGTGCATCCTACCCATCTGTTATGGTTTTCTTTGCTTTTGTTTCCATAAGGTGGTGGTCAATGCTCTCATAGGTGCCATACCTGCCATTCTGAATGTTTTGCTTGTCTGCCTCATTTTCTGGCTCGTATTTTGTATTCTGGGAGTATACTTCTTTTCTGGAAAATTTGGGAAATGCATTAATGGAACAGACTCAGTTATAAATTATACCATCATTACAAATAAAAGTCAATGTGAAAGTGGCAATTTCTCTTGGATCAACCAGAAAGTCAACTTTGACAATGTGGGAAATGCTTACCTCGCTCTGCTGCAAGTGGTAAGTACAGTCAGTATGTTTTTCACTCTGAGGAGAAAAACCTTCAGAGAATCATGAATTGTTTCTCAGCTAATAAAAATGCAGTGACTCCATTGTGATAATAGAAGCAAATCCTAATTCCTTATATGAAAGCCAATGCCTTCTGGAATTGTCCTCTACTGAGCATCTGCAACTTCATTGACTGCTGAGCCTCAGCTTCCTAGTGATGCCCCTTTAAGGATCTGTACATCTCACCTTGTCCTGTATGGCACCTTGCTGGCTCTCCACATCTCCAGGCAGAGAGGAGTGGAGCCTCAGGTGTAGGTCATGACACTTTGAACAGTTCCCTGTTTAAAGCACAGTTGCCAGGTCTTGAACAGGCAGTGCAAATACATATGGCATCAGAAAAGAACCCTTTAACTCTTAGCCAGTCTCTTTTCAGCTGTTGGGCCACAGCTTCAGCCTCTCTGGTAACTTTTAAGGTGGAAATTTCTTGTTTTTAAACTTTGTATCTTGTACAAATGAAGAAGAAGAAAAAAATCCAAGACACACACCCTTGAGTTCCCTTCTACTGTTCTTTTATTTGAGCATCCTGTCCTAGAAGGTTGGGGTATCATCTTATATATTCAGCCCACTGGGCCTCACCTGCTTTTCCATGCCATGTATCTGTTGATGGCAAGTCTACATTTGTATTATTCATGTTTTTCTGCTTTTGTTGCAGGCAACATTTAAGGGCTGGATGGATATTATATATGCAGCTGTTGATTCCACAGAGGTGAGTCAGTGTTCTACCATGTTCTGGAGTGTTATGGTCAAGTCAGAGATATCATGACTACATGGACAGTCCAGAACTGGCGTCATAGTTCCAGCAGCTGGGGTTCTCTGCCTTGTTTTCTTTGGAACAAAACACTATGAGATACCACTGCCTAATACAAAGGATTCTTATGCATCCTCTAGTGAGTATCTGATACCCCAGTATTCTCTGAAGTCCAGTCTTCTTTCTCCATGGTGGCCAAGGAAAAACCACTCATACAGGAGATGGAGCCAGAAGTGGCAGAATCACAGGATGCCTTGATTTTCTTCTTCCCTCTTCTCCAAATGGTTGGATAGTCAGAAACCAAATTTCAAAGAGTATCTGTTTTAGATTGTGGGAAACCTTAAGACTGCACTAAATTTGCAAGGGAGACCCTCGCATGGCTCCAGACTCCCTAGTGATGGCCAACTGTTGAATTTTAGAGTTTCTAGTGATGACCAGCTGTTGAATTTTAGTTAAAGAAAAGATAATCACAGATTCCCAAAGTTGGAATTGCACTCAGTAATCTAGCCTAGTTTCTATTTTCCAGCTTGGAAAGTTGAGGGATAAAAAGAAAGAGTTTCCCAAAGCCATAGAGTAAGCAGATGGTTGGCTCAAGAATGGAGTCAATGGCAGAAATTATTGTTTCCTATTATAGCACATGTGTGTGTTTCGACCTATTTGGGAGTCTGCAGAGTTGATGCCTAACACCTAAAAAGTATTCAGTACCTGTGAGCTGGTACAGACTGAGTATCCCTTATCTGAAATGCTTGGGACCAGAAGTGTTTCGGATTTTGGAGTTTGTAAGATTTGGGAATATTTGCATAATACTTACAGTTGAGCATCCGTGATCTGAAAATCCAAAACGCCACAGTGAGCATTTCCTTTAAGCATGACCTTTGCATGTTATGTCAGCATTCAAAAAGTTTCAGATTTTGGAGCACTTGAGACTTCGGATTTTCAGATTAGGGATACTCAGCCTGTAGTAGCAGTAGAAGTGGTTTGATTAGTGTTATAGCAGCACCGAGGGATAAGAATTAATCTTTATGGCCATTCCAGTTGTCATTATAAATTCACAGATTGTCATTATAAGTTAATATACAGATGATGCATAGCAACAAATCTGAGTTTGCTTAATTCTGGGTGTGTCAATAAAGTCAACTTTCTGGAAAGACAAAGGTAACAGTAGATACTTAACTGTTTATAACAATTATAGTTTACATTGTAATATTTATATATACAATGTAATTTTATAATTATATATACAACATAATTTTATAATTACAATTTATAGCAAAGGAAATATTTTAAAAATACTAATGTACTCATTTCTTTCGTCTTTTCGAGTACATGACCTTCACTCTAGTTTGGCTTTGACATCCATCTGTGCGGAGGTGGAGATGGGGAGTGGGGAGGAAAGGTTTTGCAGATGTGTAGTAGACAAGGTGTGTGGCTTGCAAATGCTCCAAGAGTGAGTGACAGGTGGGTGGAAGTGTGTGGAGGGGTGCCTGTTTTGATGCCGGTCCTGATATGTACTGGTTGTTGTATGCTGGCTTCTAGCTTGATGACTCTTGTCTATATAGTCACCCAGCACTCTGCTGGCCTCAAATATTGAAGTTGTGGTTGTTGAAACTGTGAGCGTTTTCCCCGTCATCTCCTCCTGGCCTTAAATACTGGTACTCTGCCATATCCTCCCCATGGTCCCTGGCAGTCTACTCCCATCCCTTGCTGCAAGGCCCAACATGACAGGCCCATGGCTATCAACTCCGTGTCCAAGCCACATGAGAACTGAGAGGTTCAAGAGACTTCTCTCTGTTCAATTATGTTACTCAAATCTCTTAAGTCAGCCTGCCTTCCTGATATATCTCAGGCCTTCCCAGTAGTAATTCCTTCCAGGAAATGCAGAAGTAAAGCAAGAATACCCTCTTTGCCTTCCATGTTTCCCTCAATTTACTGCATTCCAACCCCCCTTTCCAGACCCAAAGAGGGATAATCAGGACACACATCTTGCAGCTCTGATTTTCTGTCTCTGTTTATTTTTCCTACATTTCCTATGAACAAATTGGGTGAGCTTTGATAATTTCATCTTCTTGTCTAAATCTCCCTCCAATAAAACTCTCCACCTTCAAACCTTTGATTTAACAAAGAGGGACATGAAGGAGTACAGACATTCCTATATCTCAAAGCAGTAACCTAACATGCAAGACTATTAGCCCACTTGGCAATTTTATTTTAAATGTCTAATGCTAAATATTCTTTCCATTACGTTGTTTCTGTACTAATGTCTACCTTTTGTTCAAATAAATGGATGCCTCAAGCAAACTTGGACTAAAGTCAGGTAGTCTTCATAGCAAAAGAGAGAAATAATGTTTTCAAATAATTACCTTCATTACACTAGTCTACATTGTGAGTGTTGAATAACAAATACCATAAATGCATTAAACATTAGTCAGAGCTATCAGCACTTATATCTTTGATGTGATAGAGGGAAAAAAAGTGAAATCTTTTTGCCACCTGCCTGAAAGTGCTTGAAGCCAATAACAATGCAAAGGACTTGGATGAAAGGGCTCTTAGGTGATTTGGGTTGTATCTTAGACTAGGAGAGCTTGGTTGGAGTCCATTTGTGTCCATTTTAGAGCTCGATCATTTATTCATTCATTTAGATATTTATTCCATGTGTATCAAAAATCTACATATCAGAAGGTATGCTAGGCACTAGGAAGTTAAGAGTGAAAGGACATTACCACATATTAAGTAAAGCAGTGGGCTCTATATGGGGGTCATAGTAGTTCAACAACACTTAGTAGTTTAGTCACCTCTGCCCAAGGTGAACGTGCCCCTCCTCTGGTGGCCTCACCTCCAGTCAGGTTCCCTCCAGTTACATACCCATATGGACATTCCATATGGATGACTTTTTAAAAAGACAAATGTGATCATACCACTCATCTCCCTTACAGTCCCTCAATGATTCTCCTTTGCTTAGAATAAAAAGCCCGATTTTCCATCACCCCAGGTCCCCGCCACATGCCATCACTCAAGCTGAGCTGCAAAAACTGAAAGACAGGCTCCCAACAGGGGCTATGGCTGTTAGGAAGAGGCTATGTAGTCAATGTTGCTGCTAAGAAACACCTTGGTCTTCTAGATAAGGTAGTTAGAATGCTTATATTTTTCTCCAGTAATTGTTTTTTTCTCTTATTAAAAAAATTTCTAACAGAAAGAACAACAGCCAGAGTTTGAGAGCAATTCACTCGGTTACATTTACTTCGTAGTCTTTATCATCTTTGGCTCATTCTTCACTCTGAATCTCTTCATTGGCGTTATCATTGACAACTTCAACCAACAGCAGAAAAAGATAAGTATCTGGGTTGTCTTGATTTGGTAATTTTATCTCTGTCCTCCAAATGCATTAACAAAACATAATTCTGGCCTAGAATGTTATACAAAGTAGCCTTTATGATCTGCACAATAACAAGGAGGGAGCCTCCCATGTCTGCCTGGAGATGATCCTCAAAGATGAGGCTGAAAGAAGACTGAAAACATCTGGGTTTAATTAAGTCATTACTTTTATTCTCTTTTACCTTCTTAATCAATGGACATTGCTACTATTGAGATGAAACCCATTAATAACTGAACCCTAATAGAACAACAACCACCAGGATTAGTATTTATTAAATATGACACTAGGGTCATATTTTAATAACCTTTCAAATGCACTTTATTATCCACTATAAAACTAATATACTCTCCTTTTCCTGCCAGTGTGTCCTGGCCCCCAGCACCCAAGCCTCAGCAGATCTATCCACCCTACTCGGAAAGAAGATGATTGGGGAAGAGGCAGGGCTAGGGAGGTTTTCTTCCCTATGCATTGTAATAAACACATGTTTATTTTGCTGATTCTAAAATCCACAGGAGCTTTGTAGTGAATGTGGAAAATCAAGATAAAAAGAAAATTTAAATCACCCAAAGGTGGCCACCAAATGATAACCACTTTAGACCATGCCTCTTATGATTTTGATATAATCCATTCCAGTCACTTCGTATTACTTTTACACAGTTAGGATTACCTTATATTTTTAATTTTGTAGTTTTGACCTCATTAGTTATAAGCTTATGTCATAAAATTAACTTTGCTATAAGAATTCTCAGAGCCTCTGGCAGGGCGTGGTGGCTCATGCGTGTAATCCCAGCACTTTGGGAGGCCAAGGCGGGGAAATCACTTGAGGTCAGGAGTTCGAGACCAGCCTGGCCAACATGGTGAAACCCAGTCTCTACTAAAAATACAAAAAATTAACCAGCTGTGGTGGTACACGCCTGTAATCCCAGCTACTTGGGAGGCTGAGGCAGGAGAATTGCTTGAACCTGGGAGGCAGAGGTTGCAGTAAGCCGAGATCGCTCCACTGCATTCCAGCCTGGGCAACAGAGCGAGACTCCATCTCAAAGAAGGAAAAAGAGAAAAAAAAAAAAAAGGAATTCTCAGGGCTGAATTACATTGCATATTATGGATAGACCATAATTTATCCTGATCATTCCCCTCTTTGGACATTTATAGGTTGTTTTTAAATTTCTTGCTCTTCTAAAACAATTATGACCATTTTTAAAATTCTGTGTATCTCTGATTATTTCTTCAGCATAAATTCCTAGAATTACAATATTAAAAGCATTGAAGACATATTGTCAAAATACCTTCCAGAAATGCTGTGCTAGGTACCCTTATTCTGCAGAATATGAAAATGCATGGTTACTGAGATCTCATCATTCTAATTGTTATATATTTATTATCTTTTTTAGACTGGTGGGGAAAGTATTATCTCATTGTTTTATATTTATTTATTTGATCATTAGTGAGGTTACACACTTTTTCACAGGTTGATGGCCACAAGTATTTCTCCTTTAAGAGTTTTTTATTTATATCATTTGTCTATTTTTAAGTCTGAGATTGCATTTTTATATAAGTCCAATTTGTGACATGCATCTTATATTTTTGTAATAACATATTTAACTTATAGACATTAGTATTTTTCAGAGTCAAACTCCCAATCTTGTTATTTTTGGCTTTTTTTTAATTGTACTTATGAACTAAAGGCATTTCTCAATCCCCAAATCAAGTAACTAAATATTCTCCTTTGGTTTTCCTAATTGTTTTATGGCTTTCTTTTATTTTTCCTCTGGACTCTCATAATTCATCCAAAATGTACCTTGATACCAATTAGCCTTCTTAGCATCTGCTGGGAAAGTTGTTCCCTGTTGTTACACAAACTGTATTGCTTCTGCTACTCAGGAGTGTGTGATGTAGCATCCTCTCTGTAATATGCATCTTGATTGCTATCAATACCTGCAATTTGGATGTCAGTCTTTGTGATTTTAGATTTAAGCTTACATTAGAAATCATCGTTTTGAACAATCCACTATATCCTTTTGTTTTGTCTTGTTTTACTTTTTATTACAGAAAATCTCAAACATGCATAAGAGTGTACTAGAATTAACCTAAAATACCCATCACCTAGCACAACATTTATTGACTTAAGAATGTGCTTGTTCTAAGCCATATACGCCCTTACTCAACTCTGCCACCAGATTTTTTTTTATGGAGCAAACCACAGACATCACATCATTTGATTCATAAATATTTTAGAACACATCTCTTTTTAAACATAACCACAATTCCATTAGTACACCAAAAAGTTTAATGTGAGTTCTTTAAATTCATCAAATACCGAGTCTATTTTCAAATTGGTCTGAGCCTTTAATTTAAAAGAAAAATGTTTATTTATTAATTCTGTGTTTCATTTGCTTATTTGTTTCTGTTGAAGCTTTTTGTTTGTTTGTTTTCAAATCAGGATTCAAATACATAAGGTCTTTCCATTTGACAACTTTCTTGTTCTCTGAAATGCCACGATGTTCCAAGTTTAGGTTGTACCCTTCCTGCCCTAGTTCTGTAATCAGCTATTTCTCTAAAAACTGTTTGTTTCTTTGTGGGAAACGGTTTCCAAGACCACAGTCTAGAATGCTCATTGTCATTGTTTCTAAGCCTTTCTAGTGGACAGAGTTGCTTAAAATTCAGGACTACAAGGAAATATATAAGTGGAAATTTGCATACTGATTACTCAAATTCAGGACTACAAAGTTTTCACTTAACATCTATATCTCCCCCTTTCCACACTGAGAAACCTTATTCTCAAAGGCAAAGATGATAGAATTTAAAATTTCCACAATTACTCATTTTCTTTATCTCACAACACACATACACACACTACAGTCTCAGAATAGTGGTATTAATACTACTATGACATATATGATTACTAAAAGACTAATTTCTTCCCAGCATCCCAGAACAACTTGATTAATTTTTAGGTTGACTTCTAGGGCTACATATTTTTATCTGTGCTGGTGGAGTAAAGTCAAACCCCAAACCCTCATCAAAGTAAGCCTGAAGTCACAAATGATCAGGGAAGACTGGCTTTTTACTCATAGTCTGGATTGAGACAATTTTCTGGTTGTCTTCCATTACCAACAGACAGATTCGGGTTTTTTTCTTTACCCTTCTGTTGGCCACCTTTGGATAGTCCCATATTCTTGCAAAGACATCTGTGCCTCTCCTGTCTTTGCGTAGGCCTTATTTCCCATTACCCCCTTACATTTACTAAAAACTGAGATTCTAGTTTACAGAGATTAGTAAATGTTCTAAGACCAGCCATGGCTTTGGGCTAATTTACTAGTCTATCTTTTTGATCTCTCAATTTTCAGACCCCCAATTTTTTTCTTACTTTTATGCCAGTTCAGCTTTACATTTTAAAAGAATTCTGTTCTAGTTTATCTAGCCTTTCTAAATATTTTGCCCCCAAATTTCCAGATATGAGAATCCTAGTTCATTTTTCTATTCTTTCTTGCTCAGTAGTGAAAATAGTTAGAACTTTTTTTTTTCCCTGAGAGTGGCTCTGAACAGATTTTATGCAGCTTTGTTAGTAGTGTTATGTGTATTCATTATTTAAGAGAAATTCAATTGCCCTTTATGAGATGTTTGTCTAAATTTTTGTACTAATTTCTATTTTTGTTGCATCATGGTTTGATTTATGCAAGCTGAAATATATCAAATTTTTGTAAAGATTCTGTGTATATTTGCGAAGATTTGTAACCTTTCTGTTCTAAAAAGTGAAAAATAACTGATAAAGGTAACTTTATTTCTCCTGTATACCTTAACTTAAATCTTGTTTCTTTACAGCATTTCGCTATGGTCCAGTCTCTTAAGCTTACCATTGAAATTTTAAGAATTGTTAATAGAAATGTAATGTAACTTTAAAATTGTGTCAAAAAATTCAGAACTAGATTAAAAAAAAAACTGTTAAAGGTAATTAGCTCTTATCTTCTCCATATACTTAGGTGGCCAAGACATTTTTATGACAGAAGAACAGAAGAAATACTATAATGCAATGAAAAAATTAGGATCCAAAAAACCTCAAAAACCCATTCCACGGCCTCTGGTGAGAGCAATTGAATGACTGTAAATATGTAGAACAGTTGAGTTACTGTGAGGAACTCAAATTTCCGTAATGCCATCCTTCTTTATTCTTAAAATTTGCAGACATTAAGGACTCAACAGAAGTCAAGACATATTCAAACACTTAGGAAAATTAGATACTCAAACTCAAAAGTAAGAGCCTGGACAACAACTTAAATTTATTTTTGAGTGAGCCAGGCAATATGTGCTTAAGTAAATACTTATTGCGACCATGTGAACTTAGTGGTTTGTTTGAACTTAATTTTGACCAGTTTATTTTATTTTATTTCAGTAGTTTTTGGGGAACAGGTGGTTTTTGGTTCCATGTGTAAGTTCTTTAGTGGTGATTTCTGAGAGTTTGGTGCACCTGTCACCCAAGCAGTGTACACTGTACCCAGTGTGTAGTCTTGTATTCCTCACCCTCTTCCCACCCATCTCCTTGATTCCCTGAAGTCCATTATATCATTCTTATGCCTTTATGTCCTCACAGCTTAGGTCCTACTTATAAGTGAGAACATACAATACTTGATTTTCCATTCCTGAGTTACTTCACTTAGAATAATGGTCTCCAACTCCATCCAGGTTGCTGCAAAGGCCATTATTTCATTCCTTTTTATGGCTGACTAGTATTCCATGGTGTAGATATACCACATTTTCTTTATCTGTTCTTTGGTTGGCAGGCATTTAGGTTGGTTTCACATTTTTGCCGTTGCGAATTGTGCTGCTACAAACATGTGGTATGTGTAAGTGTCTTTTTCATATAGTAATTTCTTTTCCTTTGGGTAGGTACCTAGTAGTGAGATTGCTGAATCCAATAGTAGTTCTACTTTTGGATCTTTAAGGAATTTCCATACTGGTTTTCATAATGGTTATACTAGTTTATATTCCCACCAACAGTGTAAAAGTGTTCCCTTTTCACCACATCCATGCCAACATCTATTATTTTTTTGATTTTTAAATTATGATAATTCTTGCAGGAGTAAGGTGGCATCCCATTGTGGTTTTAATTTGTATTTCCCTGATAATTAGTGATGTTGAGCATTTTTTTTCTATGTTTCTTGGCCATTTGTAAATCTTCTTTTGAGAATTGTCTGATTATGTCTTTTGCCTACTTTTGGATAGAATTGTTTTTGTCTTGATGATTTGTTTGAGTTCCTTGTAGATCCTGAAAATTAGTCTTTTGTCAGATGCATAGTTTGTGAATATTTTCTCCCACCTGGTGAGTTGTCTCTTTACTCTGCTGATTATTTATTTTGCCGTGCAGAAGATTTTTAGTTTAATTAGGTCTCATTTATTTATTTTTGTTTTTGTTGCATTTGCATTTGGGTTCTTGGTCATGAATTCTTTGCCTAAGCCAATATCTGGAAGAGTTTTCTTGATGTTATATTCTATAATTTGTATGGTTTCAGGTCTTAGAGTTAAGTCTGATCCATCTTGAGTTGATTTTTGTACCAGGTGAGAGATGAGGATCTGGCTTCATTCTTCTACATGCAAATTGCCAATTATCCCAACACAATTTGTGGGATAGGGTGTCCTTTCCCCAGTTTATGTTTGTTTGCTTTGCCAAAGATCAATTGGCTGTAACTATTTGGCTTTTTTGGGGGGTTCTCTATTCTGTTCCATTGGTCTACATGCCTGTTTTTATACCAGTACCATGCTGTTTCAGTAACTATGGCCTTGTAGTATAGTTTAAAGTCAGGTAATGTGATGCCTCCAAATTTGTTCTTTTTGCTTAGTCTTGCTTTGGCTATGCAGGCTCTTTTTTGGTTCCATATGAATTTTAAGATTTTTTTTTCTAGTCCTGTGAAGGATGACGGTGGTATTTTGTTGGGAATTGCACTGAGTCTGTAGATTGCTTTTGACAGTATGGTCATTTTCACAATGTTAATTCTACCTATCCATGAGCAGGGGATGTGTATCCATTTGTTTGTGTCATTAATGATTTTTTTCAGCAGTGTTTTGTAGTTTTCCCTGTAGAGATCTTTCATCTCCTTGGTTGGGTATATTTCTAAGTATTTTATTTTTTTCTGCAGCTGTTGTAAAATAAATTGAATTCTTGATTTGTTTCTCAGCTTGGTTGTTGTTGGTGTATAGCAGTGCTACTGTTTTATGTACATTGATTTTGTATCCTGAAACTTTACTGAATTTATTTATCAGATCTAGGAGCTTTTTGGATGAGTCTTTAGGGTTTTCTAAGTATACAGTCATAGCCTTGGCAAATAGCAATAGTTTGACTTCCTCTTTTCCAATTTGAATACTCTTTATTTCTTTCTCTTATCTGATTGCTCTGGCTAGGACTTCTGAGTGCTATGTTGAATAGAAGTGGTGAAAGTGGGCATCCTTATCTTGTCCCAGTTGTCATAGGGAATGCTTTCAACCATTACCTGTTCAGTATGATGTTGGCTGTGGGTTTGTCATAAATGGCTTTTACTACCTTGTGCTATGTTCCTTCTATGCCAGTTTTGCTGAGGGTTTTATCATAAAGAGATGCTGAATTTTGTCAAATGCTTTTTCTGTGTCTGTTGAGATGATCATATGATTTTTGTTTTTAATTCTGTTTATGTGATGTATCACATTTATTGACTTGCGTATGTTAAACCATCCCTGCATTCCTGGTATAAAACCTGCTTGATCATGGTGGATTTTCTTTTTGATATGCTGTTGGATTTAGTTAGCTAGTATTTTTTGAGTATTTTTGCACCTATAGTCATCAGGAATATTGGTCTGTAGTTTTCTTTTTTGTTGTGTCCTTTCCTGGTTTTGGTATTAGGGTGATACTGGCTTCATAGAATGATTTAGAGAGGATTCCCTCTTTCTCTATCTTTTAGTGTTAGTGTAACCACCCTTGCCCCCTGCCTAGTCAGAGCCAATTTATCAAGATGGGGGAATTGCAATGGAGAAAGAGTAATTCACACAGAGCTGGCTGTGTGGGAGATGGGAGTTTTATTATTACTCAAATCAGTCTCCCCGAGCATTCAGGGATCAGAGGTTTTTAAAGATAATTTGGTGGGTAGGGGCTAGGGAAATGGGGAGTGCTAATTGGTCAGGTTTGATATGGAATCATAGGGGGTCGAAGTGAGGTTTTCTTGCTATCTTCTGTTCCTGGGTGGAATGGCAGAACTGGTTGAGGCAGATTATGGGTCTGGGTGGTGTCAGCTGATCCATCCAGTGCAAGGTCTGCAAAATATCTCAAGCACTGATCTTAGGTTTTACAGTACTGTACTGATGTTATCCCCAGGAGCAATTTGAGGAGGTTCAGACTCTTGGAGCCCAGGGGCTGCATGACCCCTAAACCTTAATTTCTAATCTTGTAGCTAATTTGTTAGTCCTGCAAAGGCAGACTGGTCCCCAGGCAAGAGCAGGGGTCATTTTGGGAAAGATCTATTATCAATTTTGTTTCAAAGTCAAGCCATGAACTGAATTCCTTCCCAAAGTTAGTTCAGCCTATGCCCAGGAATGAACAAGGACAGCTTAAAGGTTAGAAGCAGATGGAGTCCATTAGGTGTGATTTCTTTCACTATCATAATTTCCTCAGTTATAATTTTGCAAATGCGGTTCCATAAGTAGGACTGGTACCAATTCTTCTTTAAATGTCTGATAGAATTCAGCTGTTAATCCATCTGGTCCTGGACTTTTTTTTGTTGGTAATTTTTTTATTACTGTTTCAATCTTGCTACTTTTTGTTGGTCTGTTCAGAGTTTCTATTTCTTCCTGATTTAATCTAGGATGGTTGTATATTTCCAGGAATTTATCCGTTTCCTCTGGATTTTCTAATTTGTGCATGTATGTGTTTGTAGTAGCCTTGAATGATCTTTCGTATTTCTGTGGTATCAGTTGTACTATCTCCTGTATCATTTTTAATTGAGCTTATTTTGATCTCTCTTCTTTTCTTGGTTAATCTCACTAATGGTCTATCATTTTTATCTTTCCAAATAACCAGCTTTTTGTTTCATTTACCATTTGTATTTTTTTTGTTTCAGTTTAATTTATTTCTGCTTGATCTTTGTTATTTATTTTCTTCTGCTGGGTTTGGATTTGCCTTTGGCTTGTTTTTCTTTCTCTAATTCCTTGAGATCTGACCTTAGATTGTCTGTGAGTGCTCTTTCAGACATTATGATGTACGCATTTAATGCTACAAACTTTCCTCTTAGCACCACTTTTGCTGTATCTCAGTGGTTTTCATAAGTTGTGTCACTGTTATCATTCAGTTCAAAGAATTTTTAAATTTCCATCTTGATTTCATTGTTAACCCAAAGATCATTCAAGAGGAGATTATTTAATTTCCATGTATTTGTATAGTTTTGAAGGTTCCTTTTGGAGTTAATTTCCAGTTTTTTTCCACTGTGGTCTGAGAGGATACTTGATATGATTTCGATTTTCTTAAATTTATTATGACTTGTTTTGTGATCTATCATATGGTCTATCTCCATGTGATATGGAGAATGCTCCATGTGCTGATGAATAGAATGTATATTCTGCAGTTGTTGGGTAGAATGTTCTGTAAATATCTGTTAATTTCATTTGTTCTAGGGTATAGTTTAAGTCCATTGTTTCTTTGTTTAATTTCTGTCTTGATTACCCGTCTAGTGCTGTCAGTGGAATACTGAAGTCTCCCAGTATTATTGTGTTGCCTCATTACTTAGGTCTAATAGTGATTGTTTTATGAATTTGGGAGCTCCAGTGTTAGGTACACATATATTTAGGACTGTGATGTTTTCCTGTTGGACTAATCATTTTATCATTATATAATGTCCCTCTTTGTCTTTTTTAACTTTTGTTGCTTTAAAGTCTGTTTTGTCTGATGTAAGAATAGCTACTCTTGCTCACTTTTCATTTCCATTTGCATGGAATGTCTTTTTCCACCCTTTACCTTAAGTTTATATGAGTCCTTATGTGTTAGGTGAGTCTCTTGAAGACAGTAGATGCTTGGTTTGTATCCATTCTACAATTCTATGTCTTTTAAATGGAGCGTTTAGGCCATTTACATTCTACGTTAGTATTGAGATGTGAAGTACTGTTCTATTCATCATGTTAGTTGTTGCCTAAATACTTTGTTGGGTTTTTTAAAATTATGTTGTTGTTTTATAGGCCCCGTGAGAATTATGCTTTAAGGAGGTTTTGTTTGTTTGTTTGTTTTGTTTTGTTTTGGTGTATTTCAAGGTTTGTTTCATAATTTAGAACTCCTTTTTGCATTTCTTGCAGTGTTGGTTTGGTGGTGATGAATTCTCTCAGCATTTATTTGTCTGAAAAAGACTTTATCTCTCCCTCTTTTTATGAAGCTTAGTTTTACTGGATACAAAATTCTTGGCTGACAATTATATTGTTTATGGAGGCTAAAGATAGGACCCCAATTCCTTCCAGCTGGTAAGGTTTCTGCTGAGAAGTTAACTGTTAATCTGATAGGTTTTCCTTTATAGGTTATCTAATTCTTTTGTCTCACAGCTCTTAAGATTCTTTCCTTCATCTTGACTTTAGATAACTTGATGACTATGTGCCTAGGTGATAATCTTTTTGTGATGAACTTCCCAGAAGTTCTTCGAGCTTCTTATTTGGTTGTCTAGATTTCTAACAAGGCCAGGAAAGTTTTCCTCAATTATTTCTTCAGATAAGTTTTATGAACTTTAGATTTCTTCATCAGGAAGACCAATTATTCTTAGGTTTAGCCATTTAACATAATCCCAAATTTCTTGGAGGCTTCATTCATTTTTTAAACTTTTTTCTTTGTCTTTGTCTGATTGGCTTTTAATTCAAAAGCTTTGTCTTTGAGCTCTAAAGTTCTTCTACTTGTCCTAGTCTATTGTTGAAACTTACCATGGCACTTTGCATTTCCGTAGGTGTTTCTTTCATTTCCAGAAGTTGTGAGTATTTTTTCTTTATGATATCTATTTCTCTGGAAAATTTTCTTATCCATATCTTGTATTGTTGTTTAAATTTCTTTAAGTGGGTTTTCACCTTTCTTTGGTATCTCCTTGATTAGCTTAATAATAAATCTTCTGAATTCTTTATCTGGAAATTCAGAGATTTCTTCTTGGTTTGGATCCATTGCTGAGAAGCTAGTATGATCTTTTGGAGGTGTTATAGAACCTATTTTGTCATATTACCAGAATTACTTTTCTGGTTCCTTTTCACTTGGGTAGACTATTACTTAAAATTGTTCTTGGATTTATTTTTAATTGAACTGTGTTTTTTAAATTTAAAATATTTTCCCTCTTTAACATCAGGACAGTGTGTATTTTAGCCTAATTTGATTATTGGTGCTTGTAGGAGTAAAGACTCTGTATGAGATCCTTAGTTATAAAGAGTCATTGTGCACTGGCTTTCCCTGATGCTGGTTGTAGTAGTTACTGTCTTAGTGTGCTGGCAAGTTCACTGTCTCCTATGGAGTTGGAATGGCAGGGATCTCTTGCAGCTTATCTGGTTCTCTCATGGTGTACATTTTTATTTATTTATTTATTTATTTTTTCCCAGTGTTTTATTTACTGACTTGATGATTCAGGCTTCAGGCCAATAGAGAAGGTATCCCTGAGTAGGCATTGGCTATGGCTAAGGCAGGTGGGTAAATGTAATACCCAACAGTGGGCTGAGGTCCCAGCCTTGATGAAGGTGGCTGGGAGACCTCTCAGTTAGATGCGCTGAGGTTTTATCAGGGTGAAGAGTAGAAGCTACCTCAGCTCCTCTGCCAGGTCAGCCAGAAAGCTATTCACCTCACAGCCTCACTCCTATCCCAGTGTTTTGGCTGTTCAGATCAGACAGCCACCTCTTTTCATCTGTAGGAATGTTGATGTTCCAAGTAGGGAGGAACTGTGACTCTGCCTCTCACACAGCCTGAATCTAGGGTGTGCTCCTTCTCTGGGGCCGCACTCACCCTGGATTGTTCCAGACAGGCTGTCTATAGATGCCTCCATACTGTGTTCCTGTGGGGGAAGCCCCAGCTGTGTCTGCAGTGAAGTGCCAGAGGAAAACAAGGACCTCTTTTCTAAGGCCCTTCACAATCACAGAGGATGCCTGCCCATTGGGCTAGAGGTGCAGACTTTCCCTACTGTGCCAGCACTGCAATTGTGTTTCTGCTGTGAGAAACTACCCACCAGCAGAAAGATCTGGAACTCAAGACCTGCTCTTCAGATTCTTTTGTCCCACAGGGTGATCCCCTGATGTGGTGCACTCCCCCTTCCCTAGGGATGGGGCTTCCTGAAAGCCAGACTGCAGTATTGTTATTGCTCTTCTGGTTCTAGCCACCTGGCAGGGCTACTAGGCTCTGGGGTGGTGCTGGGGAATGTTTGCAAAGAGTCCTGTGATGTGATCTGTTTTCAGGTTTCCCAGCTGTGGATACCAGCACCTGCTCTGGTGGAAGTGGCAGGAGAGTGAAGTAGACTCTGTGAGAGTCCTTGGCTGTAGATACATTTAGTATGCTGGCTTTCTCAAATGCTGGTTATGCTAGCAGTGAAGTTGTCACGTGGACAGACTCAGGACCTCTGGTTAGTCAGGATGTTGCAGGCAGTAGAATTAGCTGTCGTTTTCTCCTTCCTGGGATCAGGGCTATTCTGTCATGAATTGCAGTCATGTCCTGAGTTGGTTGACCTCCAGCCAGGAGGTGGTGCTTTCAAGAGAGCACCACTGTGCTATTAGCAGTGGGATATACGCTTGCCCTAAGTTGGCCAGGGGAGGTATTCTGACTTTCAGGAGACAGGCAGAGCCATAAAACTCCCAAGGGTTTATGTCTTTTGTGTTCAGCTACTAGGACAGGTAGAGAAAAACCATCAGGTGAGGGCAGGGTTAGGCAGGTCCAAGTGCAGACTCTCCTTGAGTGGGGCTTGCCATAACCACTGTGGGGGATGAGGAAGTGGTCCTCAGGCCAATGAGGTTATGTTCCAGAGGGGATTATGGCTACCTCTGCTGTGCAGTATAGATCACCAGAGAAGTGGGGGATAGCCAGTAGTGAAAGGCCTCGCCCAGCTCCCACACAGTTGGTGAGGCTGGTCTTGCTCCTGCAGTACCGTGCTAACTGCACCAAGTTTAGATCCAGGCAGCCTACTCAGGGATCTCAGACCTGCCCCAGGCCATAAGCTTCCCTGCTGACAAAGCAAGCATGGCTTTCAGGCCACATCCCTCCCTGTCTGCCCACAATGTCAGCAGCTCCTGCACTCGTATCTGCAGCAACTCCCGTTAGCCCCCTGGATTCTGCTCAAGGAAGTTTGTGCCCAGTCGAAATTATCACAGAATCTAGTTGGAAGTTTCTTTCACCCTATGGCCCCTCCTTTTATTTGGCTGGCTGCCTTCTCAGAAGACCCCTGTGAGATACAGTCAGGAATGGCATTCCAGGGCCCAAGCTGGAGACTGGGAGTACCTTCAAGGTTCCTGTTGCTTCTTCTACTTTTGCACTTCATGCAGCTCCCTAAAGTCATTTCAGCTCTAGGTAAGGTTACAACCTTCTCTCGTGATCTGCATTTTCAGATTCCCCAGTGGGGATGTGTGTTTGGAGGCAGGTTTTCCCCCCTCTCACTCACACTTTGGGAACTCACGGCTTTTCACCTGTCTCGTGCAGTCTGCAGTGGCATGTCACTTCTTTCAAAGGATCTGTGAATTCTTCTGGTTTTCCTGTTACGTTCCTGCGGTGGTTCTTGAAGCAAAAGTCCACAGTGTGAGTCTCCACACACTGTTCTGTCCATCCAAGTGCGAGATGCACGTTAGCCCTGCCTCCTATCTCCCATCTTCCTGTTTTTGCTTTTTTCAATTTTGATGAGTTTAAAATGTACTTGTAATACTTTTTACCAGTTTTTATTAGTGTGAGGTTAAGGTCATGCATACTTACTTCCACTTTACAAGTATTTATGATAAACTTTGTATATCAGGGATTGACAGACTTTTCCTTAAAGGCCCAGATAGTAAATATTTCAGTCTTTGCTGGCTATATGTCTCTGTCATAGTACTCAACTCTGCCATTGTGGTACAGAAGCAGCCATAGACAATATAGAACAAATAAACATGCCTGTATTCCAACACAACTTTATTTAGGGACATGGAAATTTGGATTTTATATAATTATCATATGTCGCAAAACTTTATTCTTCTTTTGATTTTTTTTTTCACCAAACATTTAAAAATGTAAAACCCATTCTGAGCTCATGGGCTGTACAATAACAGATAGGTCACTGGATTTGTCCTATAGGCCATGGTTTGCTGATCCCTGTGCTCTATGAATCCTGCTTTATCAGGTACTATGGGGCAAGATAGAAGTAGCATCCAGGGCAGCTCTGTGCTTGCAGTCTAATTGAGGAGCTGAGATGTTGTATACATACTTTAGAGCATTGGGTTATAAAGTAGTACAATAGGCACAACAGAGTTGGTAGCTCTGACAAGTGAGTTTGAATGCTCCATAGCAGAGCAGGTCAGTGGAGGCTGAAAAGTCAGGGAAAGCAGGATGAAAGAAGGGCTTGCAATCGGAAGCATGCAGATAATTTGGAGGTTTCCATTTGAACATGAGATCGCAAATGATGAATGCAGTCTACTTACTGCTATTCTCGGCACCCAGAATAGGGCCTGGCATAAAATGTGTTCTCAGTAATTATTTATTGAACAAAAAAATATGTTTTAAGGCACAAACAGAGTCCATCACACTAAAATGAAGTATTTTTGATGCACTAAAAAAGTCAATGAATGTCAGGGCCAAGGATTTAGAATTTATCTTTTATATAGTGAGAGATTTTTGACCACAGGGTTAATGATAAAATTATATTTGGGGAGGTTTAATCTGCCAGCGGTTTATGGGACTTCAGTTTACCTAAATTGAATCTAGCTTTTAAATACCAATCTCACTTTCTAGTACTAATTTCACTTTAAAATTCTTACTTGAACTTGAGCCAACAACAAGAAAAGAGAGAATTTTTGTTTACATATGCATGCTATACAACCACTGACTCATTATCAGTTGGTCTTGGGTTTGGCATTAACTAAAAGAGTCACAAGACACAATATGTTCTGACATATTTATCAGTTTATTTCAAGCAACACAGCACACAGCCCAACAAAAGTTGCAACACATAGATGCACTGCACAGAGCATGCTAGGCTGCAAGAGATGAACTGAAAGTGGGTGCAGACAACATTAACATAGGAAAGCTGTCACCTCCATTCCTTAGCCATCTTTTATAGCATGCTTATCACATGGCTTATCTGGAAGTAGGTGCAAAATCACAGCTCTCCCTGTGTAGCTACAACTCACCAATCAAGCCTTCAATGAATGATTCTGGTAATCAAATACAATCTCACCACCTAACACTGCACGTTTATCTTGACTTTTATATTCCAGATTAGTGTCGCATGAGATAAATCCAACATCATATCACCAGAAGTCCCTGAGTCTGGGCTTAGACTTTAAATCAACAGTTAGCCATTGACCCACAACTTTATCTCCCCAGAGATTTTTTTTCCATCTCTAAAATCCAAATATTAGCTTTTGACCCTCGAAACAAACGAAGAGCAATTGCATAGGTGGAAAACATAGCTGTTTTAGCCTGAGCATTGATGCATTTCATTTCCAGTAATAGAACAAGGGGTTTGGAATCACTTCGATTTCTCCTGAAGCATCTTCACAGGGTGGCTTCATTTCTTGGTTTAAAATTCATACTGAGGTATAGGAGTCACACTGCGTTCTGAAGTGACATAGAATGCTTTTTTTGATCATCCAACACTTTAGGTAATCCAACACTTTAGGTAATTTATGCTCTTAATCTCCTCTATTTGTCTAGATGTTAGAGTTAACTATAAAACCAATACTCACCCTCCCTCATATTTCTTTTTGCCCTTCATTCCGCTTCCCTGGAGTGCACCTTTTCTCCAGCTCCTTTCTGACTTCCCAAATTCATGCTTAAATAGGAAAGGCACTTGACTTTCTAGTGTCTTCTCCTGGCTCTTTGATAAAAGCCTTGGGGCTCCCAGCACATGGTTCGAAAGTCACAACTGAAATGTAGTGTCCTCCAGTGTTGTCCCTACCCTCCTTCCTCTCATTGCCCTTGCTCTCCCCAAGTGATATATAATTCACTCCCGTGGTTTTAATTCATATCAGTATTAATGTCATCTGTATTCTAGCTTCTGTACCTGCACTCCAAACTCATACTTCTACCTGCCCATTGCCCTTGGACCCCCCACTGGCACCTCAACTCAACCTGCTCAGGTCAGATCTTATCATCTCTCTTTAATATTCCTCATCCTCTGTTCTCTGGCTGGTTAGATGGTTTTATCAACCGGAAACTATATTCTCAGTCTTAACTTTCTCAAAGCCCACTACATTTGAATTCTCTGACGGTTCTTGCTTCCACCTCACATTAGCTCTTAAGCCTATATGCTTTTATCTTTATCTGCTGTCACCACCACAAGCCAACATCATCTTTGCCTGGATTATATAACAGATCCCTTGGGTGTCTAAAGATGTATTCTTAGGAGTATGTGAGTTCTCTAAAGATAATAGTGTATGCCACTTTGATTAGGTGATAATATAATATAAAACAATATGTACACAGATTGTAAAGCAACCAACGTATAGTCAAGAATGTTATAAAATTTCAATGTCTGAATTTGTATTTAGGAATAGTTTTCCACAAAGTGAAGAACAAAGTAGTGCTTCACAGCAGTTGTATTAAAGAAAATAATGGAATAATTGAGTAATTTCACTGCATATGGTAGACTTGGCATGCAAACTTGAGTTAGGACCTGTACCTGAACAATCAGCATATACTCACTTTTTGGGCAGTATGGCCATCTATATATAAACCACATGTAAATTCACCCTCAGTTATAGTATAAATTAATCATTTTTTTCTATTTTCAGTTTTAGTAATTATTGGATTATAATCTCATCTATTAGCTTTATCTTCAAGTGAACAAGAATTTTAAAATTGGCATTGAAGAATTATTTGAATACAGAATTTTGGTTAAGTTCTGATTATTGTGAATTGGCAAATGGAGCATTGAAGATACTAATTCCATTTTGTCCAACATACTTATGTGAGCAGGTATTCTCTGCACTAATATTGTTGAAGTAAGAATACAGAAACAGATAAAATATAGATACCAAGATTCATCTTTTTATTATTAAATCCAACATGCACTGTTTTATTTCAGCAAAGCACATCATCAATCACATCAAAGTTATGTTGTTACTAAGACTTTTTAATATTTTTTGTTTTAAAATGGAATTAAAGCTATAAGCCCAAGCACTTAAAACCAGTTACTAATTACATTTTAATGAAAATATATAAGGCAAGCCTGGGGATTTATAAGAATTTCTTGCCCTTTGAAAAGGGTCTGTGTATTTTTCAAGGAACTGCTTTAATTGTAAGGAAAAACAAATTCTGTTGTATTTATGTTCTTTTTATTGTATGTAATTTTATTCTTGCATTCAAAATGATTTATAATTTCTTTTTTTTCTCAGAACAAATGTCAAGGTCTCGTGTTCGACATAGTCACAAGCCAGATCTTTGACATCATCATCATAAGTCTCATTATCCTAAACATGATTAGCATGATGGCTGAATCATACAACCAACCCAAAGCCATGAAATCCATCCTTGACCATCTCAACTGGGTCTTTGTGGTCATCTTTACGTTAGAATGTCTCATCAAAATCTTTGCTTTGAGGCAATACTACTTCACCAATGGCTGGAATTTATTTGACTGTGTGGTCGTGCTTCTTTCCATTGTTAGTAAGTAAAATCAGCAGTCAGAGGGACTTTAAGAACCAGAAGTAAGTTTGTAAATCTTATCATTTTTTGAAGTTTGTTCAAACTATCCACAAAGCAGAAAACTGGGCCAAGTGTACTTTCTGAAAGAATAGACAGGGGTACTAATGCCATTCTCTACTGGGAAGTTGCTAGGAGATAGAGAGTAATTTCTGTTCCCTTAACTCACTACACAACTGAAATAGAGTTCAATAATCATGCAGCTAATGTATTCAATGGAAATAGACAAAATTAAAATGACTCAGAAGTTTTTGTGGTGGTAACCTGATTTATTCAGATAATTGAGTCAAAGTTCTACCTTTCCTGTGCAACTATAAGCCCTATGAGCATTTTTTAGTTTTAAGGATTTACTGCCCATGTTTTTTCCTTTGTTCAAAATCCACATGGGTGCCAGATCACAATTATTGTGCCCCTGTGGCACTGCTGTGCCCCCTTTCAACCCCTATACAAGGCCCCATGGCCCACTCTAGATTGGGCTTTCAAGAGTATATCATTCAGACAATCAAAGCTTTTTTTCTATTCTATATCCCATGTTAACTTAAACCACAGTGTGAACTGTGCTTGTCTCAGATTCTTTGACCCCGCTTACCAACCAGCCTCATTCTCTAATCAGTATATTTTTCCTAATCACACGCAGGGTTAACTAAAAGGCTTATAAAAGAATACAAAAGAAAGAAGGTTATTACCATACTCCTTCTTATAAAACACACACATACACACATCAACTTTAAAATTAAATTCTTCATGGCTAAACCATAAGTGCTTACTCTGGGTTTTTGAAGTCTGGTTTTAATTAAACTGTTAACTTGACATTTTATAATTATGTAAAACTGTCCAGGAGCCCTTCTCATAGTTCAAAACACAATGAAGACAAAGAAAACTGATTTTCCAAATGGAAGCTTTTTTGCGATCTCAGAAAGAATGCATCAAACAGATATATTGGATCAAGATATTTTGGTTCCTAATGCTACTGCAGCATTGCAGATGTTTCAGAGAACAACAACAAATATGCTACAGTTCATAGTGTGTTCTGGTTTCTAAGCCATGATGTTAATGTAGATAAAGCTTATCAATAGATTCTTCCATGAGTTTACAGTTAAGTAGACCTTTAATTTTTATTAGTCAATTCCAATCACAAGTCTTGGTGAAATTGACAGCAGCAAAAAAAAAAAAAAAAAAAAAAAAAAGGGCTAGAAAATGGTGGTCAGATGTCTGGGGAGGCCCTCTAAGAACTCAAAGAGCCCTTCCTCTGATGAGAAAAGAGAAGCTCATTCATTCCAACAGCTCCTTCCATGCAGTGCCAGGCATCATGCACTTTGCGGAAATGTTTCTGACTTTTGTCCTTTGAACAACTGCTTGGCAATTGCAGTTATACATGCTGTATGGCATTTGCCCCAGTGGATGAGAAAATCTACATATTAAGCCAAATAATACTCAGCGGTAGGATTAATCCATATATTAATCCTACTTACTAATGTGGACAGAGTTTTATATGCCTTTGCCAATATTTCTGCCGTCCAACGCTTTAGCCTCAGTACTTTTCCAAGCTCTTTCCTAAGTTTTTGGAGAAATGCAAAATGAGTGTGAGTTGAAATGAATCTCTCTCTAGGAGTTAACAATCTAGTTGAGGTATTACGGCTTACTCGTCTTAAAGTGCCAAAAAAAGATAGGGAAATTAATTGAACACCAAATCACATGGTGCAAAGCAGAAATGAGCTCAGAGAAAGAACAGATTACTATGGGCTTGATCAGCCCAAGAAATATTCATAGAGGAGGTAGATCTTAAATGATGGGCCTCCTCCAGTTGTTGCTGAATTGGCACTTAAGAAACTTTACATCTTTCCAGGGTTGACTTTCCAATTAAAGTATGAATTAAACTTCTTTGGCACAATTGGGTAGTCAGTGAAGTATATAATCAACTAGTTCTCTTTAGTCATTAGGTGACAGCAGAGCATTCTGCTGCCCATGAACCCTAATAGACCCCTAGTGACCTTACAGGACACTCAAGGTCATTAGGGGTCATGGGCACTCAAATACTGCCCATGACCCCTAACAACCCTAGAAGACTCTCAAAGCAAGAACAAGGCCATGTCTACACAAGACAAGCATGTTCCAACCATTCTATAATGTTTAGGCCAAAATGTGAATTGTCTTAAATCCTTGTATCACTTGCCTGCAGAGCAGGCAGGGCGACATTTTAGGTCAAATATTCAGCTGTTTGATCAAACCTCTGAAATGACATTTATGGGGTTTGCAGCAACAGAGAAAGTATCTCCAAATTGTGTCCCTTCAGCTTTTTGAGTTTGGATCTCAGAAGTCCTTGGAATGAGGATGACAATTATGAAAGATCCATGGGCAGCTTCAGCCTAAAGGTGAGCATTCCAATGCTACCATTTCCCTCTAGCCCTACAGACATTGTGGCTCTTTCAGCAGATAAGCTGTCCTCACTTGTAGTAGGGCTGTATTTAAATTCTTCTACACACAAATGTAGAAGAACTGTATGGCCCTTGGAAACTATTTTCCAAATTAAGACACAGATAGGTATTTTCCCTGATAGTGGTAAAAGAAATTCTTAGTTTTGTACATAAGCTACAAAGTATTGATAAAAAGTTGGCCCCCATAGGATTCTGAGGCAGGAGACAGGCTGGATCTGAAACCAGTGTGCCTTCTGGAAACTTATTTACTTTTCTCCTTCTCCTGAGGTACAATGATTTCTACCTTGGAAAATCAGGAGCACATTCCTTTCCCTCCGACGCTCTTCAGAATTGTCCGCTTGGCTCGGATTGGCCGAATCCTGAGGCTTGTCCGGGCTGCACGAGGAATCAGGACTCTCCTCTTTGCTCTGATGATGTCGCTTCCTTCTCTGTTCAACATTGGTCTTCTACTCTTTCTGATTATGTTTATCTATGCCATTCTGGGTATGAACTGGTTTTCCAAAGTGAATCCAGAGTCTGGAATCGATGACATATTCAACTTCAAGACTTTTGCCAGCAGCATGCTCTGTCTCTTCCAGATAAGCACATCAGCAGGTTGGGATTCCCTGCTCAGCCCCATGCTGCGATCAAAAGAATCATGTAACTCTTCCTCAGAAAACTGCCACCTCCCTGGCATAGCCACATCCTACTTTGTCAGTTACATTATCATCTCCTTTCTCATTGTTGTCAACATGTACATTGCTGTGATTTTAGAGAACTTCAATACAGCCACTGAAGAAAGTGAGGACCCTTTGGGTGAAGATGACTTTGACATATTTTATGAAGTGTGGGAAAAGTTTGACCCAGAAGCAACACAATTTATCAAATATTCTGCCCTTTCTGACTTTGCTGATGCCTTGCCTGAGCCTTTGCGTGTCGCAAAGCCAAATAAATATCAATTTCTAGTAATGGACTTGCCCATGGTGAGTGAAGATCGCCTCCACTGCATGGATATTCTTTTCGCCTTCACCGCTAGGGTACTCGGTGGCTCTGATGGCCTAGATAGTATGAAAGCAATGATGGAAGAGAAGTTCATGGAAGCCAATCCTCTCAAGAAGTTGTATGAACCCATAGTCACCACCACCAAGAGAAAGGAAGAGGAAAGAGGTGCTGCTATTATTCAAAAGGCCTTTCGAAAGTACATGATGAAGGTGACCAAGGGTGACCAAGGTGACCAAAATGACTTGGAAAACGGGCCTCATTCACCACTCCAGACTCTTTGCAATGGAGACTTGTCTAGCTTTGGGGTGGCCAAGGGCAAGGTCCACTGTGACTGAGCCCTCACCTCCACGCCTACCTCATAGCTTCACAGCCTTGCCTTCAGCCTCTGAGCTCCAGGGGTCAGCAGCTTAGTGTATCAACAGGGAGTGGATTCACCAAATTAGCCATTCCATTTTCTTTTCTGGCTAAAATAAATGATATTTCAATTTCATTTTAAATAATACTTACAGAGATATAAGATAAGGCTACTTGACAACCAGTGGTACTATTATAATAAGGAAGAAGACACCAGGAAGGACTGTAAAAGGACATACCAATTTTAGGATTGAAATAGTTCAGGCCGGGCGCAGTGGCTCATGCCTGTAATCCCAGCACTTTGAGAGGCCAAGGCAGGTGGATCACGAGGTCAAGAGATCGAGACCATCCTGGCCAACATGATGAAACTCCGTCTCTACTAAAAATACAAAAATTAGCTGGGCATGGTGGCGTGCGCCTGTAGTCCCAGCTACTTGGGAGGCTGAGGCAGGAGAATCGCTTAAACCTGGGAGACGGAGGTTGCAGTGAGCCAAGATCGTGCCACTGCACTCCAGCCTGGTGACAGAGTGAGACTCTGTTTCAAAAAAGAAAAGAAAAGAAACATGGTTCAAATTATATCTAAACAAAAAAGAATAAGAAACAAAAAACACATTAAAATTTTAAGTTGTATTTTCTATGTTTCTAGATACATCATTTTTGTTTGATATTTTCCTGATGCAAGTATGTGGTTTATCACATGTAGCTCTTTTGCATGCTAAATGAAAATTCAAAACTTGCCAATAAATGAATAGCTTATTGCAGACATTTTTTACCAACATTAATTATTTTGGGTTTGTTTAAAACCTAGAGGCACAATCTTGACTTGTCAATTACTACCCTTTCACAAGCTACCATCTCAGATATATATATATATATAAATTCAATAAAGCTTTCTGTTTGTGTTCCTTTCAGGTAGTACACTAATATTCCCCTTTTGTTCAGTGGTTGTGTGAGTAGTGGTTTAAATGTGGTGCTTTGCTTGCAATTAAAGACTAGAACCAGTGGTGTATCTGACAAGTGTTTAACAACTGACTGTTCAGGAAAAAGAAAGCCATGCTTTATAGCATTCACTAATCTCTGTGGTGTGAGTACTCCCATTATGGCTGATTTCAAGCTATCAACATGTTACTGGACGTGGAGTTGAGAAGAGATGCTCATAATAAGTTCTTGAGAGCTGGCTCAAGCTGACTGCAGCACATCACTTGCTGAAACTGAAAAGAGAGCCCCACTTGGCTGGTTAAGATATTTGCAGTGGGCACCTTGGACAGAGAGAGTACCCTCTTAGCAACACGTGGGGCACGGGGTGAGAGATCCATAGACATACTGCTTAACCAGTGATCTTAGCCATTTGATGAGCCCTATTTACAGTTTTGGCTGAATGTCTGTTTCAAAGAAACACCCAGACCTATCAAAAGGGCTTGGGAGCAGGAGGAGCCCAGGAGTTCCCTAAAAACTGGAGATGCCAAGAGGTCAAACAGGCATTAGGCTTTCAGTCCCCCAAAAGGCTGGGCGAGGGGCAAAGAACCTACATTGTGATCATTGAGGAGTGGAGGAAAACCTCATAGAGATAGCCCTGGAACCCTGTATCTCAGACAGGTGAGAAGAACTGATGTGTCTGTCAGCAGCCTGGAGTCTGAGGTCGGGCCCTCTGACCTGCCCCACACTGCCCAGCAAAGGGAATGGCAGCACTGGATCCTGTGGTGGGCTGAGAGGTGATTATTTTCAGTGTGTAAGATCTTACCATGACTTGATGTATTCATTTCAAGGGCCTGAGTTTTGTAGGCAGCCTTGTGCTCTGAAGCATTGGTAAAAATAGTGATAATATCATTATCTAATATTTATTTAGTGGTTTCTGTGCATCAGGCACTGGCTAAGCATTTGTCATGAATGATCTCTTTTGTACCTCGTACCAACCCAATGAGGAAGATATACCCCATTTAAAAAGGAGAAAACTGAGGCTCAGAGAAGTTGAGTGACCTGCATACAGTCATGCACCTGGTGGAGCCCGAGCCTGTGTGCCATGATGGGAAGGGGAAGTGGGTGGGCTCAGGACCAGGGAAGCTTTGAGATGGGCTACCAGGGCTCCTGTGCAGGACTGGGAGGGCCTTGTGGAAATCACTAGTTACAAAGTCATGGCCACATTCTCCTTGAGGTACTGGAAGTAACCTATGGCTCCTTTAAAAGAAGCTCTGATTATGAACCTTAGGTGTTTTATAGATTCCCTATCAAGTTTCTAAAAAAAAAAAAAAGATGGCTCGTCATCATTTCAAGAAGGGTACCTTTTGGCTAGAGGTAGGGGGAGGATCTGGAAGGACATGGTCTTGCCCATTCCAGACTGCCATGCAGGAGCTTGAATGTGATCTGTTTTGTATAGAAGCTTCACCCTCAGAATATGTGGAACAAAATAAAAATAATAATAAAACAGGCTTCACCCTCCTCCCTTCCATGCACACCTGTATACCCTGACATGCTTCTGTTTAACCAGGGCTGGTTTCCAGGGGCCACCTCCTAGGGAGAAAACAAGATCTGCTTAGCTTTATCAAAAGGTTGGACCACTCTACCTTCACTAGATGGCAGCAAATGTCCAACATGTTCTTTTCGGAGAGGGCTGCACATCATCTGTACACAGGCCTGGCACTTAGAAAGCCATAGGGTTGAAGGGAGAAGAGCCCAGGCAGGATATGGTGAATTATCTAAACCCTGGATGGGTGATAGAAAGCTCATAGTAATATCCCTAGAAATATTGCTCACTGCGAGAGGATCCAGGACACCCTCAGGAGGCAGAGATGTTGGTGTGAGCTCTGTTTCCCTGGGACATACTGAGTTTCCACTGCAAACAGCCCTCCAGGCACATGAATCCAGTCCCCTTATTCTCTGAGTTTTCTTTACTCTAGGTAGATCAGCCCCCGTGCAATTCATCTGGCAGACATGTTCCAAGGATGAATGCAGTGTATTTTGTGTAAACTGCTTCTAACCAAATAGACTATAGGACTATAGTCTCAAGAGCATATTTGCTCTTTGGCAGGAGAATTGGATGAGTGTCCATGCAATAATAATGCAATACAACATAACAAGTGTAATAAACCAGAAACATGCCTCTGCTCTGAGGACATGAATGAAGCAAGCTCACAGAAAGACCTCCTGAGAGAGGAGCATCTGAGATGGATGCGCTTGACAGGTATGTAGGATTTTGACAGGTGAACCTGGTTTTGGAGGGTGTTTGAAGTCGGGGAGACAGTACAGGCAGCTCAATGGCAACTAGAAAGTGTGAGGAAGTATGAATTACCCAACTGACTGGACATGGAGTATAGGGAGTGGAGCAGCAGCAACTGAATCTTAGACACAGACATTTGTGGAGAGCCTCAAATGCCAGAGTGAGGAGTTCTAGCGTATTTTGATAATAAGAAGGCATTGAAGGTGTTTTAGCAGGGAAGAAAAATAACTGGATAGAATGTGCAAGGTGGAATGGAGAAAAACAAGGTCTGATCCTGGTAGGGAAGAGGCACTGAGCCAGGAAGGAGGTGAGGGCAATGCGGTGTGATTCCAAGATGCTTGTGCCAGCTGCCTGACCATGAGGGAGGACAAGATAGATGACAGTAAAGGGTACTAAGTTAATAGCATAGGAGGAGCAAGGGTTGGAGTTTGTTTGTTTGTTTTAATGGCTGAGGAAGAACATCTAAAATGTAATTCAATTTTAAATATTTTGAAAGTTTAAGATGTCAGGTCTAACTGACAATGCCCAGCCAAGACTTGAACTTGAGGACAAGGTGTGGACAGGAGTCTTCGGTGCAAAGGTGATGTCTGAAACCCCAGGAGCAGACATCATGGGAGAGAGAGAGTACACCCAGCTCTAGAAGCAGGCAAGGGACTTGCCCTGAGGGTATGTTTTCAGGGAATGAAGGTGAAGAGGAGTGAGACAGTTCAGAGAAGAATGTGGGGTAGTAGGTGACAGTAAATACCATGACATGTAATGTGAGAACAGAGCAGGCTTCCTTGGAGAAATTGGGTCAACAAGATGAGATACACAGTCCCACCTTTTCATCCCTTCCACCAAGCAGCATGCAGGATCCAGGAAAGAATCCCACCCCTTATTGCTCTACCTTTTTATAGGGCGAAGATGAGAGCTTGCCTTATAAACAATTGGGCCAGGGAGCCAGCTATTCCAGGGAGCAGTCTTGGAATGTCAGTTTCTAACACCCAATGCCCTTGGGGATCCGAAATCCTGTATAGCTACTCCTGCTCAAGGAGGGTAAGCCACTGATTCCAGATTGCTTGTTGCCTGGCAACCCAGATAGAACCTCCGGGGTCATTGAATGGGCAATCCTGTCCCTTGATACACAAGGAGTAATCAAAGTAGCACTGAGAAAACAAGAGCTAACATTTATTGAGCACTTACTCTGGGCCAGGTAACCACTTTACCAGCCTTACCTCTTCACAATATCTCTATTAGGTAGAAACTATTTGTAACCTTCATTATACAGATGAGGAAACTAAGGCATGTAGAGGAAATAAGAGGCTTCTTCGAGAGCCAGTAAGAGGTTTTGTCAGGATTCAAACCCAAGCATTCTGGCTCTAGGTCTCAAGCTATCAACCACTATACTGCACTGCCTCTCAGACAAAAAGAGACAATGTGCTTGATGTTAAACAGAAGGTACAGGGTTTTCTTGCTAGTGTCTGTGAACCTTTTGCATCCATTTCTTTTTCTCTCAAAGTAATGCATGTTTTTAAAGTTGTCTTTACAATGTGGAAACTCACACTGGGGAGATGCTGTGCTCCCTCTCCAAATTTAATATACTCAGTTCTGTAGATGTATTTGGTCCCCTAATATTTTGACAGAGCTTCCATCCTTTTTCTATTCTCTCCCTTCTTCAGGCAATCTATGGTTAATCTATCTCTTCTAAATATGGTTAATCTATCTCTTCTAAAACCAGGTGCCCAGGTTTTAGAAGAGCAGGGAGCAATGGAACATCTTTTCCTTTTGGACAATAGACTTCTATTAATGTAGACTACAACTGTACTAGTCTGACTGTAGTGCTACCAAGAGGTATCCTGGGGGTACTAATTTAGCTTCCTTTAATCTGCACCAATCCCCCAATTCAAGATACTCTGAATGAGCATACAGGCTAAGTAAAAACACTGTGTCATTGGTGCCAGTGCAGCTTCAAGTTCCCCTGCCCCCTTTCCATACTCTAAGTTCTTCCTATATTTTAAGTATAGGAGGTATATTGGAGCTATAGGACTATAGGAAATATACCTGGAGCCAAATCATGCTGATGGCTCATATTCTATTGATTCATGAGCCCTAGTTAGACTTCTACGCAGTTTTTCTCCTAAATTAATGTTTTAAAGAGCAATACTTGAAAAAAAAATTGCTTTGGATCTAAGTGAAGGTCTCAGTAATGTTCTGGATCATCCATTTTCACATTGAAGTTTGAAAAGAGAGGTTTCTACTATTCCATGGGAGGGCACCAAAGCCTCAAGGGATGGACCACTAATCAGGGGAGACATCAAGTGAGGGAAACGCCCTGCCTGGAGTTGGGAGTGACCACTCCAGGACTGAGTGAAAATATAAAAAGGTATAGGAGACTTGAACAAAACTATCAGCCAACTTGCTCTGATTTTTATAGAACTCAGTAAGAACAAAATACACATTATTTTTAAGTACTTATAGAACATTTACCAAGATGGGACTATAAAATGTCTCAATAAATTTTAAATATTCAAATCCTAAAAATATGTTTTCAATCACAATGGAATTGAATTAGAAATCTATAACAGAAAGATACCTGAAAAATCCCTAAAGCTGCTTTGGAAACTAAAAACATGCTCCTAATCAGAAGATAATTAATAATAAAGATAAGAGAGAAATTAATGAAATGGAATGCAGAAAAATAATAAAGAGAATCAATAAAACCAAAAGCTGGCTCTTTGGGCTGATCAATAAACTGAAAAATTTCCAGCTAAAAAAGGAAGAGTTATAAATGACCAATACCAGGAATGAGAATAGAATGAATCCCTTATTATCGTGTTGTTGTAGAATCACCCACTAATTCTATAGACAATAAATTCTACAGAAAATAACATGATAAGGGATTATCACAAACAATTTTATTCTGATAAACTCAACAACTTAGATGAAGTGAATAAATTCCACAAGAGACATAAACTAGCCTCACTCAAGAAGAAATAACTTGAATAGTACTATATCTAGGTTAAAAATTGAGCTTTTAGTTAAAATTCTTTCCACAAAGAAAACTCCAGGAAAGGAAAAAATAATTCAATTTCTACACAACTTTGCAAAACATTGAAGCAGTAGAAATATTTCCAATTGACTCTATGAGGTCCTGGTATAAAAACCAGACAAAGACGTATCAAGAAAAGGAAACTACAAACCAATAAGCTTCATGAACATAGATCCAAAGATATTTTACAAAATTTAGCAAATCAAATCCAGAAATATGTTTTTAAAAATACATTACAACAAATGGGATTTATCCCAGAAATACATGAATGGTCGGAAGTTGAAAATCAATCAGTGTAATGCACCATACTGATGAACTAAAAAAGAAAAATCATATGACTATCTCAAAAGATGGAAAAAAAGTCATTTATCAAAATTTAACGTTCATTCCTGATTTTTTTAAAAAAATGCTCTAAGATTCCAGCAAATTGGGCATAAAAGGGAATTTCCTCAACCTGACGAAGAGCATAAAATAAAGGAGAGCTAACTACATAATGGTATACTTTCCCCCAAAGATCTGAAACAAGGCAAGGAAGGCTGCTCATGAAACTTCTACTCAACATTGTATAGAAAATCCTAAGCAGGAAAATAAGGCAAGAAAAAGTAAAAGACATCCAGATACATTGGAAAATAAGTAAGACTGTCTTTGTTGGCAAATGACATAATTGACTACATAGAAATTCCTATGGAATCTACAAAAAAGGTGAGGTTAGGGAGGCAGCAGGATACAAAATCATTATTTTAAAATCAATTGTATTTCTATATGCTAGCAAAGAGCAACTGTAAGTTAAAACTTAAAATACTATTTACAATAGCATGGGGAAATATGAAATACTTAGAAATAAATTTGACAACTAAGGTGCAAGACCTGTGTACTGAAAACTACAAAACATTTTGAGAAATTTAAATAGATCTAAATAGTTAAAGAAGATAATACTATGGTCATGGATCAGAAGACTCAATATTGTTAAGACATAACTTTTCCCCAAAGCAATCCTAAAGTCCCTGAAAGTTTTTTGTAGAAATTAATAAGCTGATTCTAAAATTTATATGAAAATACAAAAGACCTAGAATAGCGAAAATAACAGAAAAAGAAGAAAAAAGTTGGAGTGGTCAACACTACCTGATTTCAAGAAATGTTCTATAGCTATAGTAATCAAGATGGTGTATTAGTGGCATAAATATAGATAAATAGCTCAATGGAACAGAACAGAACAGAACAGAACAGAACAGAATCCAGAAAAGAAATAGAACCACACATATATGTTCAATTGATACGTAACAAAGATGTCAAGGAGATTCAATGAGGAAACCATTTCCAAAAAATGTTTCTAGAATAACTGGGTACTCAGGTACAACAAAAACAACAAAAACGAACATTGATTCTTACCTCACACCATATACAAAAATTAACCAAAATAGAACATAGACATAAATGTGAGCTAAACTAAAAATTTCTACAAGAAAACATAGGAGAATGATCTTGGGTTGGCAAAGATTTCTTAAGTACAACATATAAAGTACTAATTTTTGAAGAAGAAAAACAATAAAGTGGACTTTAGAGAAAAGAAAGAAAAAATTGACACTATCAAGTTTTGTTGAGGATATTGAGTAACTGGAACTGTCATATATTGCTGGTAGAAACATAAAATAGCTAGCCACTTTAGGAAACAGTTTCCTTATTTCTTGTAAAGTTAAGCGTACACCTACCAACCACACAACTCAGCCATTCCACTCCCAGGTATTTACCCAATAGAAATGAAAACATGCCTACACAAAGACTTGTGCACAAACACTAATAGTAGCTTTATTTTTAATGACCCAAGCTGCAAACAACCCAAATATCTATCAACAGGTGAATGGATAAATGAATTGTGGTATATCCATCCAATGCTATACTACCTAGTAAACACAAAGGAATGAACTATTGATAGTTGATAGCAATAACAGGAATGATTCTCAAACGAATTATGCTGAGTGAAAGAAACTAGACAAAAACAAGTATAAACTGAGTGATTGCATGTATCTAAAATTCTAAAAAATGTAAACTAAACAGTAATGACAAGTAAACCCATGGTAAGCTGGGGGTGAGAGTGGGATTGATAAGAAAGAAGGATAGAGAGGCAGGAGGAAGCTTTTGAGGATGTTGATATGTTTGCTATCTTGTTCATGGTAATGATTTCTCAAGTGAATAATATGGGTCACAATTTATCAAGTTGTATGCTTTAAATGTGTGCAGTTCACAGTATGTCAGCTTCAACAAACTTGTAACAAAAAGCCTGCCCTTGAGGTTTGGGGGTTTAAATGGAAGTCTCAGTAAACCTCAGCATCCCTCATTTTAGCTCTGAAGTCAAACTGAGGGGCTGCAGCTGTTCCAGGGATGGCTGCTATGTCTTGGCACCTGCCCACCTAAGAATGAAGATAATGCCCTCATTAGGGAATGGCCACACTCAGAAAGCTTCAACACATCATCTGGCTCAGCTCATTACACAGAGGAGAACACTGATGTCCAGAGATTGGTAGTGATTGAAACAAGGTTCATGATTGATGGCAGGACAGATTCAGGGACAAACCAGTGAGCAAGATTGGTCAGGAGAGGAGAGGGCTGTGTCCTAGGAGGAGGGACTGAGCTCTCTGTCTCCTCTTCCCTACCCCTGCAGTAGTCTCTCTCTACACAGAGCATGACTGCTTGACGGCTGTTGGGTGGGTGGTCTAAACCCCTGTCCTCTTTCCACCCAGCGTTGGAGAGGACAAGTTGGGCACTGAACACTCTGCTTCCTAGCCTGCACCATCTCCCGGGACCTCACCTCTCTTCTCCCTCCCAGGAGAGGGCCACATCCTGTAGCCAGGAGGAGGGGCTTTCCATACAGACACTGCCCCATGAGGCAGGAAACGCCAGGCACTTTCCCTCTCCCTACAGACCTTGTGTGAGCTCATTCTGGTAAAAGTTTAATGCCTAAAAGTCAATTACACTTAAGAATGCTCTGATGAGCCCAACAGCAGCCTTTTCTCAGAGCCACTGGGGCCTGAAGCTACTTTCCTGCTCCCTCCCTTCAATGCTGAGAAAACCTCCCTGCCTTCCTCACAGTCCCTGCTTTCCCACCAACTTGCTATGTGACCGTCACCAAGACCCATCCCCTCTCTAGGCCCGATTTTGATATTAATAAAACGGAAGGGCTGACTCAAATGCTCTCTGAGGTGTGTGCTCTGCTTGTTCATCCTCAAGAGCCCTTACCTCTGGGTGAGCAGAGCAAGAAGAGGGGACACGCACCGGGTTGGAGGTCTGTAAAGGAATGGCCAAGGGCAGAAATGCCAAAAACCAGAGGTGTTGGAAAAGACAGAGAAATACTTGACGGGTTTATGCTCATTTAGACAGTAAACATGTTACAATCAATGTGCAAATAATTATGCAAAAGTACAGGACAAGTTATAGTGACCTGGCCTCCTTTCCTTTATGACATCCAACTCCACCTGCCATCACGGACTTTTCATCAGCCGGCCCAGATGTGCCACGGCTGGCCTCGGGCATAGGATAAATGGCTCAGGCAGCCCCCAGGGAGAGAAAGAATGAGGCCACTTGTGTCTTCTTTTGCAGGCCATGATGGACATTTTCCCTCTAATCCACCAAACTCATTACTTCCCATTCAGTCTCTGCCAGCCCCCAGGCTGTTCTTTGCATAATCCCTGTGTTTCCTGCCTCCACATCCTCCTCACAACAATCCCCTCCACTGGAATGTCCTCTGCTTCTCGATTCCTTCTCATTGAATCCCAGTGCAGCTCTGGACTCAATCTGGGGAAGCTTCTCTGCCTAACTTCATTCCAAGCTAAGTACCACTCCTGTCATCCCTCAAGTTCTCCATAGCCTTTTGCTATGCAGAGAACAGCTTTCAGACAAAGGTGTGGAGGATGTTCTGTCTGGGAACATGGGCTTAGTGTGCTGATCTGTCCCCTGCCCCCCACCCCACCACTGGAACCCAACAAAGCATGCCAAACCACAGATTAAATGCTGGTGGTGCTGAGAGATTTGTTCCGAATCCAAAATGGCAGCTCTTTTTTAGCCAGGGGCACCCTTCCCCGTGGGATATAGAGCCTGTTTCTGCCCTGGTTCAGGCTGCTTTAGTGTGTGAAACATGGGTTCTCCCTATTTCAAGACCGAACTCCCTCATTTGACTCTCATTGGGCCATCCTTCTCTGCTTTAGTTAAAATTATTTCCTTTGCTGTCTGTTTTAGCCAGAGGTGATATTTAAAAATATTTAATCTCTGGTGAGGCTTGGGCACTGACCAAACAGAATGGAATGTCACTGAGTGCGAGAGGGTCCTTGGAGATTGGCCAAAAGGAAGGCAGTGGGTGGCTGGATTAGAGATGTAGCTGGGTGTCGCCCTTTAGAGGTTGGATCCCAGGACATTTTAGGGGTGAGGGCATAGGGAACAGTTAGGGGTGCTGGTTAGAATCCATTTACCCACACTCCCACCTCAGATTCATTATCTGTTTTTCTCTTCCTTGACCTGTATCCAGAGAGACAGATCCTTTCAGGCTGCATCAGCTGGACTTCCTTGCTGACTGACTTCCAGTTGGGTTAAGTCAATGGGAGGCACCAGCAAGAGATAGAAGGAAAGGAAGAGAAGCAGTCAGGGTTTTTCTTCCCTGCTTCCTCCCTGCTCCAGGCTGTGTTTCTAGCAGTGGCTATATTCCTCCAGTGCTACAAATCCTGTCCTGCACTCCTTTTCCATTGTTCCAGCTTTCCTGGGCTCTAGCAATGCTGTCTTCCTTTTCCCCTTCCAGTCTAAGGATGGAAATGGTTTCCTGCTATTGCTAGTCTCTGAGTGCCTAACATCCTTAACTCCTGGATAGCCAGCCTTTGGGATGGCCCCTGCTGGTCTTTGCCTCCTGCTATTTATCCCTTTGAATAGTCTCTCCCACATCATCCCTGGTTTGTTTTGTATGCCTTGGTTTGAGGCAGACAGCAGTAGTAATGGGGGTGTCAGACTGAGACTTGTGTCTTGACTGCCCTCTGGCTTGCTTTCTCTTGGATCATTCACTCTGGGGAAGGCAGGCCACCAGGTTGCGAGTAGCCCTATGGAGAGGCCCCCATGGCAAAAAAAAATGAAGCCTAACTAATAGCCAGCAAGGAACTGCAATTTGTTAACAATTCCGAGCTTGGAAACAGCTCCTGCAGCCCCCGGGCAAGTCTTGAGATGAAGAGATGACTGTAGCCCCTGCAGACAGCTTGACGACAACCTTGTGAGGGAGACCCTGTGCCAGAACCACCCAGCTAAGTCACTCTCAAATTCTCACTTCTTGGAAACTGTGAGAGATAATAAATATTTGTTGCTTTAAGCTGCAATGTATTGGGGTGATTTGTTACATAGCATAGATAATTAATGTAACTCCATCTATACTTCTGGAAATAGTCACTTTACTAAAGTTTCTTGAACCATCTGAGACAGATTCTGCTTTCTGATTAATACTGAGGCTCACTGTGGCTGCCACTTAACCAGTGCTATGGAAAAAGTTCTATATTTTAACAATGCTGTGGTTGCACTGGTATGTTCCCTCTGAATATCTTCTGACCCATCACTTGGAAATCAGGGAAGTCCAGGGTAGAGCCCCCAATCTCAATGAGATCTTGGATGGGGCAGAGCCCAGGGATTGAGGAGGGAATAGGAAAAAAGGATTACAGGAGAAAAGGAAGAAGGGAAGTACAAGGGAGGCAGATAGGGAGCTAGATGGCAGAATAAAAGATTCGGGCCTGAGTTAGTCCACAAGAAATTAGGAGAGGTATCTTCCAGAACTCCACCTGCTCTGCAATAAACCCTACCCAACTTGTCCAGTGGGATGGAGATGAGAGCTAGAGAGAGTCCAATACAGGTAATAGTCCTTAGACTGATAGTTCTGTGTGGGTAATTTAGCATTATTTCTAGATGAGTTTTCCTTGAGGCATCAAATCCTGACTCTCCTCAGCTCTCAGCCTCACGTGTTGTTCATCTCTACAAGCCAGCATGCCAGCAGTCCCTGGGGCCCCACTGAGAAGCCCCTGCCTAGAGGAGATGGACAGCATCCTCCATCGTGGGCGGGGCACTTTCCTCTCTGCAGTTGGCCGGGGCCAGCAGCCAGGCATTACTGCGCAGGGGGCCCCTTTGTATGGCTGTGCGGCCTCAGAGTGCCCTCTGTGAGTCATTTCCTGTTATTCTCATCGAAGAAGTCCTGCCATTCTTTAGAGCAAAATTTGACATTTTTACAGGACTTACTTCTGCGGCCTTTTGGTCAAGAGAAAAAGGCAGGGATCCTTTCATTTATATTTACAAAGCCATTAATTGGCTTCTTTATAAAATTAGACTCCATTATAAACTCAACTGGAGTGGGAGCATAGCTTTATTTAGTCCAAAACATCAAACAGTTTTAAAGGATTCTTTTTTAACAACCAAGTGTTCAGTGGCAAGTCGACTGGAGAAGTAAGCTCCACTTCCTTCTGCTGCTGAAAATGCAGGTTATATATATATATATATATATATTTTAATTATACTTCAAGTTCTAGGGTACATATGCACAACGTGCAGGTTTGTTACATATGTACACATATGCCATGTTGGTGTGCTGCACCCATTAACTCATCATTTACATCAGGTATATCTCCTAATGCTATCCCTCCCCCTCCCCCCACCCCACGACAGGCCCCGGTGTGTGATGTTCCCCTTCCTATGTCCAAGTGTTCTCATTGTTCAATTCCCACCTATGAGTGAGAACATGCAGTGTTTGGTTTTTTTGTCCTTGCGATAGTTTGCTGAGAATGATGGTTTCCAGCTTCATCCATGTCCCTACAAAGGACATGAAATCATCCTTTTTATGGCTGCATAGTATTCCATGGTGTATATGTGCTGCGTTTTCTTAATCCAGTCTATCATTGATGGACATTTGGGTTGGTTCCAAGTCTTCGCTACTGTGAATAGTGCCGCAATAAACATACATGTGCATGTGTTTTTATAGCAGCATGATTTATAATCCTTTGGGTATATACCCAGCAATAGGATGGCTGGGTCAAATGGTATTTCTAGTTCTAGATCCTTGAGGAATTGCCACACTGTCTTCCACAATGGTTGAACTAGTTTACAGTCCCACCAATGGTGTAAAAGTGTTCCTATTTCTTCACATCCTCTCCAGCACCTGTTGTTTCCTGACTTTTTAATGATCGCCATTCTAACTGGTATAAGATGATATCTCATTATGGTTTTGATTTGCATTTCTCTGATGGCCAGTGATCATGAGCATTTTTTCTTGTGTCTATTGGCTGAAAAATGCAGGTGATATTGACTCTGGTGTGTCCACTGCTCATGGATGCACCTCAGGTGTGCCCACCCAACCTGGAGAGAGAGAAGGGAAGATGGAAGGCACAATCGACAGCCATCCCCAGGGCCCTGCCTGCAGCTCCTGCTTCTGTCTAAAGCTACCCATCTAGCTCCAGAAAACTGCCAGAGGAGGAATATCCCAAGCCTGATCCCCACTCCAGACCAAGCCCAGGCATGGACAGTACCAGCGGTGTGGCTCACCACACTCGCTGCTCCCTGACCCTGTAGTCGGCCAGGCACTGAGTCTTCACAGAGAGTTTATCTCCACTCAACCTATGTCATGAAGCTGCAAGAATCAGTCATTTCCCATCACCCACATCATAGTCTGGGAACTTGGAACCAGTCGCCTAACTTACTTTGATTTCTGTTACTCCAGGGCACACAGAGCATTGAATGCAGGATTTTTCAAGTTTTAATATATAGATGCATCACCAGGGAGCCTGCAAAAATGCAGACTCTTACTCAGTCACTCTGGGGTGGGGCCTGAGTGCATTTCTAACAAGGTGATGCTGATGCTGCTGGTCCAAAACCATAATTTATGGAGCAGGAATCTGAGTCAGACCCCTCATGTTACAGGTGGGAAGACTGAGCCGAGAGCAGGAGAATGGCTTTCTCGTGATACTTAAATCAGGCTGGAGGAAGTGTTTCAGGTAGTCTCACCTACCTTCTGTCACCTCACTCATGATACAGACCCCCAGCTCTTTAGGGAAGTGCTTCTCAAACTTTAATGTGCACATGAATTACCCAGGATCTCGTGAAAACACAGATCTGATTCAGTAGATCTGTGGTGAGCCCAGAATCTTAATTTTGTCACAGCTCTCAGGTGGTGCCAATGCTGTTGGTACATGGATCTCATTTGAGTAATAAGGTTCCGGACAATGGCAGTGCTATGGTTTGAATGTTTGTCCCCTCCAAAGCTTGTGTTGAAATTTAGTTGCTATTGTAACAGTTTTAAAAGGCATACCTTTGAGAGGTGGTTAGGCCCTGAGGGCTCTGCCCTCATAGGTGGGATTAATGCCCTTACAAAAGGGTGAATTCAGCCCCCTTTTGCCTTTCTCTGTCTTTGCCTTCTCACCATGTGATGATACAGAAAGAAAGCCCTCACCAGATGACAACATTTTAATCTTGGATTTCCCAGCCTCCAGAGCTGTGGTGAAATAAATTTGTTCTTTATGAAGTACTCACTCTTGGGTATTCTGTTATAGCAGCACAAAACAAACTAAGATAGGCAGTAAGAGCATTGACTTGGTGACATCAGGAAGCATCAGTCGTTTATGACTGGCTGTTACATGCATTCACTTCCCTGAGGCTCACAGCTGCCATGGGGCACAGCCAAGCCAAAGGTGTTGATTTCCCCCATACCTAGTTGGTTTCCTACCTGAGGTCAGCCCAGAGAGGAGCTGTGCTCTTAAGGCTGCTGTTGAAAAGAGAAAAAAGTTTAGAATAGTGACAGACTTTAAGATTTCTGATAGTGGAAGTCACGTACAGCTTAGTTTCTGTGGAAATGCTTTCCAGGGTTGTCTTTAGCTACAGAGACCAAAGCTAGAGCAAGGCAAAGTAAAGCTGTGGCAAAGATGGGGGTGAGTGTGCTTAATATACATTCCCCCCTTTTTCTTATTAAAAGAAATCTGAGTTTACTGGAGGCATCGAAGTACCCAGCTTTTAAAAACTGCCATTTCTATTCTCCCTTGAAGCTAGGAATAGACTTTCACTAAGTTCTGGCCAATTAATTATAAGTGGACATTGCTGGATGAGGCTTCCAGAAAAGATCCTCAAAAGAGGAAGAAAAATCACTTGGTATATGCCTTTTTATCCTTCACCATCTCTTCCTTCTTGCTGCCTGGAATGCAGATGTGAAGGTGGGGCTCCAATAGCCATCTTGTGTCTATGAGGCACTCTGAAGAACAGAAGCTGTATCTTAAAGATGGCAGAGTCAAAAGATGGAAACAACATGAGTACAGATGGAATCATGGATCTGCTGCATTAACCCTGAACCACCTACTTCTGCGTATCACATTATGTTACAGTAAAAGAGACCCACATATTCTTTAAGCCACTCTTCTGTGAGTCTCTGTTTCAAGCAGTTGTGGGGAACTTCTAACTGATTCTGTCATCCATCCTGAAAAGTGATGCAACAATACATTTATGTATTCCATTCCCAGAATGAAATAATGGAATTGAAATTGGATTTAAAATGACCAAAAGTGGACAAATTTGTGTGGAATGAGCTAGAGAGAGTGCCACTGTATCTATGAGTGGGTGTGTGCAGCCTGCTTCCAGGCCTACAACATCCTCATTGCAAGGACCCTTTATTGCCCCCTTTGTGTGTAAACTATGGCAAACAGAGGCTGCTTGGGTCTCACATCCATTCTACCAAATAGCAGCAGGGTGACCATGGACCCAGTTGTCAATCCCTCTTAGGCTCTAGTTATCTAAAAAAATGGAGAGGCCAGGTGCGGTGGCTCACGCCTGTAATCCCAGCACTTTGGGAAGCTGAGGCAGACAGATCACAAGGTCAGGAGATTGAGACCATCCTAGCCAACATGGTGAAACCCCGTCTCTACTAAAAATACAAAAAATTAGCAGGACATGATGGCGGGCATCTGTAATCCCAGATACTAGGGAGGCTGAGGCAGGAGAATTGCTTGAACCTAGGAGGTGGAGGTTGCAGTGAGCTGAGATCGTGCCACTGCACTCTGGCCTGGTGACAGAGCAAGACTCCATCTCAAAAAAAAAAGAAAAGAAAAGGAGACTGTAATGAAAAATGCTTATTTCTTAGGGTTGCTGTGATCCTTAAATGAGACACAGCTCAATTAGCATTGATTACTATTACTATTTATTAAATATTTATTGTACGTATATTTACTAAATTTTGAAGAGCCGAGATGGGGACACAAAGATGACAAAAGAGTAGCCCTATTCCCTCAAGGACCTCCCAATTTCATTCCTTGAAGAGAGTTCTTCCATGCCTTTGTCAGGAAGACATTTAGATGCTGCCAAAGAAACAACCCAGAAGGTGAGGCTCTATCCTAGGACTCAGCCTCTGCAAGCCTGTAGGCGGACATTCTACCAGGAGTAAGTTCTAAATGGATTTCTCCAGGACACCCAACAGTGTGCAGAGAACTGGCTGCCTCAGCATCTTGCTTGATCTTTCTCTTGAAAAGTGTGTCTCTAACGCAATTTTCTCAGCATTAAAATATGAAAGATAAAGCCACTTATCTCCCAGGGCTTCAGGGAGAACTCAGTGAGGGCTTGCAGGTCAAGGGGCCAGGTGTGCTGCCAGCCGTCGAGTCCATGACTGTCCCTCCCTCATGGGGTTCACCTGCTGGTCCCGTCCTCATTCAGATCCCTTCTCTACACCGCTATGCTGAGGGGTCCAGCTGCCAGCCCCATGCGCTGCTTTGCAGAGGACTGCTCATGTGGGACGGGAGTATCCTTCCTGGTGCTGGGTGTGGAGTTGTGGGAGGAGGAGGAGTCCCATGGGTAATTACAGCAAACCTCCACTTATCCAAATAAATGAGTCAGGACTCTGCAAGGCAGGGAGGGCAGCAGCTCCCTCCGAGGTCTGCCTGTATGAGGCCTGTCTGTGCTCAGCCCAGGACTTGCCTCAGAGAAAGAACTGGAGGAAGTGAGCCTTTCTTCCCCTCTCTCTTTTGAGAGCTGACTGGTCTGCCCTCAATTCCTGGTAGCTGCCCCTCTGCCACCAGCCTGAATCAGGAAGGTGGGGAGGGGAGAATGTGGCTTAGGGGCCAGAGTCAGGCAGGAAAGGGGTCCTGACAACAGACTCCTTCTCACTCTCCTTCTCCTCTCACTTCAGAGCTGTGGCCCACAGGACACAGGCATACTTGCTTTTTACCAGATGACTGGCTCCCAGCTGATGGGGTAAGTGTTCATGGATAAGTTCAGGGGAAGGCCTGGAACTCATTTAGAAAATTTTATCAGAGGAACCTGGGAGCCACCATTGCCCCTCCCTACCACTGAGCCACCCACTGATCTTTGGGTGAACACTGTAAATCCCAGCCCCCCACATGCCATACATTGAGCCCCTCCTCTGCACCCCCAGCCCAGCCATCCTCATTCTGGGAATTAATAAGATAATCCCGTAAGGCTCTTTATGAATGACAAGAACCAGTGTCAGCTGGTATCATTCATAGCATTAGTGTGATTCTCCCTGGCTCTCATCATCCTTTGTGGCCTCACCCTTCCTCCATAGCCCAGAACAGCTTACTGCAGAAGGCCATTGCTGATGAAGGAACCCAGCGCCACATCCAGATGCCCTGCCCGCTCTTCCTGTGCTGCGGCATGCCCAGGTCAGGATGCACAGCTCCTGTGTCTCAGAGAAATGCACTAAGTGCCTTTCCTAATGGTTCATGGACTCTCCCCAGAGCATAGTAGGTTTAGTGCTGCTGACGTAGTCTCTGGATCTTCTCCCTCCACTCTGTCGTCTGCCAGCATTCCCTTTGTGGACACCCATTACCATTCCAAGCTTGGTGGGAGAATGCTTAGGCTGGGAGGTGAGAAAGCTGCTTCCCCAAGATGCATGCCAGAGCTCTAAGTTGGGTTTTTTTTCCTCTATGTCCTGGAAGAATATGCCTCACAATGTTAGCAGCAGTTACCTTGGAGTGGTTTTGGTAGTGGGGTGTGTGTGTGTGTGTGTGTGTGTGTGTGTGTGTGTGTGTGTTTTCCTAGGGTTTCTAGATGTTCCAGATGTAATGTTAGTTTTCTGATATCTGATAATTTTTAAGGTTAACAAAACCAAATAAATTACAAGATTTGGTTAAAGCAGAGGAACCAGACCACGCCAGATGAGAATGAGAGGAGCAGCGCCAGAATGGGAGACCTGGGTCTCAGAATCTGTTCCTGCCCTGGCATGGACTTACTGTGTGACCTTAGGCAAGTCCTTTCCCCTTTCTGACCCTCTGATTCTCATCTGTGAAACAAGAAAGCCAATGAGATGAGCTCTGTGGTCTTTCCCAGTGCTGACATTCTTTGATCTACTCAACCTGTGGAGACACTCTAGATCTCTTTTGGCCCTGTTACTTTGCAGATGGTTAAGAAATATGCCCACTAGCTCTTTCCTGCCTTCCAGGGCTGAGTGATGCCACATACCACACACTGAGTCCCTAAGACCAGAACACTGCAAGGAATTTGATAAGGGTAAACCATTAAATTCCACAGGGCAGTGGTCCTGAAACTTCAGTAGGCATCAAAACACCCAGCTTTAGTACTCTGTTCTTCCCCAAGCCCATCCCCAGGGAGGGACAATATTGCTCCATCACAGGCCTACTGGACACAGACTGTGTGGATACTCCCAGAGCAGGAAGGTGTGGAGTTGGACTCTCTTGGACCAAGGATGAAGTTGACGTTGCCTGGAAGAAGAAAGGGGACCTTCTTGATTGGCAGAGACCTCAATATTTTGTGCATCCTGTTAAATTTGGCTGGGGAGAAATTCTGAGCTAGGCATAGTGGGAAAGTTTAAGGAAAATTGCAGAACCAGAGGAACATGGCCTCTTGATATAAAAGGGAAGCTGGGTTGCAGGCCCCAGGTGTCCCAGCCAGAAAAAAAAAAAGATGTCTTGCCAAGCAGAGTGCCAAGCAGTAACCTACTGCCTTCAAGAAACCATGCAGGCTTGGACAATGGGCATGTCCACTGTGACTGGGATACCAGAGCACCTTCCCCAAGTGTTTCAGAACTAGTAAGGCAGGCCTGGAAAGCTTTGTTTGCTTCTGAGAGGAGGTGGAGAGAGGAAGAGCTCCAGGGATGACTGAGATGTTCTCATCCCCTGGAGGAATGAGGGCTCAGAGAGACATTTAGTTTAATTTTATAAAAATAAAGTAACGTAGCATTTCTAGCACCAGAGCATTGTGGTGAAGTAAAATCCCTACTTTCTACACACAGATCTTCAGATGATCTGAGGCAGGCTGGCAGCATGGTATCCAGTCATCTCCTTGCACAAGATCCTTCACCAGGGTTTTGGTCCCCGTCACTGAACATCCCCTACCACCCTCAGCCAGGTGTGCAGGTCCCACTCTCCTAAAGGAGTGGTATACCACTAAGGACTGAATTGTGTCCTGCCAAAATTCGTAGATGGAAGCCTAAACCCCAGTGTAACAGGACTTGGAAATGAGGCCTTCAGGAGGTAGTTAAGGTTAAATGAGGCCTTAAGGTTGAGGCCCTAATCTGATAGGATTGGTTATCTTAGAAGAGGAAGAGAGATCTCTCTTCCATGCAGTCTGTGGTATTTTGTTTGGGCAGTACACAAGCTGCAATGCTTGACCCTCTATATCAGAATTACCCAGAGTACTTGTAAAAAATGTAGAATCTTGGAATCAACTTCAAACTTTCCAAAAAAGCAAAAAGGAAAAAAAACAATAAGATCTTAGGAATGGGACTCCGGAATATGCATTTTAGGATCACCCCAGGCAATTTCTGAAGTTTGACAGGCACTCATTTCTAGGTCTCCCTTTCTCCCCTCCCCACCCTGCAGACCCCAAGGAGTCCAGACACAACTCTGCCCCTTCCAGGAAAGTTCCAGCCCACCCTGGTCCCCTCCAGGAAGATCCCTGGATGGATGTTCTGCTCTGAGTGCCAGGAAGTGCACCTAGGGAGAGCAGAGACGTTTGCTGTGTGCAGTCATCTCTGACAGTGACAGGGGTTGTGGGCAGGTGCACACTTCCATGCCACCACAGTGGTTTCTCAAAAGACACCTTTCCCACATAGCTGCCATCTCCCTTCCAGCACTCTGTCCTTTATTGGCCACAGTCACAGACAGATTGTTCTGGACTTACAGGTGTCAAGTGCATGAGCCTTCCTAGCCAAACTGTGAGCTCTTTGAGGGGGAGGCCATCTGACTGCCCTCTCCCGGAATGCCAGCTCCACATATAACCTCTATTACTGAGAAACACAGTCCCAGCCGGTTCACTGCCCTAGCCTTATGGCCAGCACCTGCCTTCATCTCTCAAGTGGTTGATTCATGAGTCAGGAGAGTACCATCTCTGGCCTGGGGGAACAGGCACCTCAGGGCTCCCCTCAGAAAACTCTCCTCCAAGAGAACAGACTCCTAACCAGTCCCCCCACCCAGTTTTTCATCTTATTTTACTTATCAAAGTAATATCTTCCACTGTAGAAAACCTGGAAAGTACAGGAAATTAACTGCATTATTAAAAGTACATTTTAAACTCTCCTCTGCCAATTTCAGCTTCATTTGTTCATTCATTCAATCATTCATCCAGCAAATATTTGAACTAACAGTTCTCTACCCAAATAAGCATTAGAGAGGGAGAAAATACAGGTCGCAGAGCAATTTTCACCCTGTGTGGAAATGCTAACATCATTTTTGATTTAAGATATGTAGTTCATTTCAATTAAATATATATTATATTGAAATGCTCCTCGGACTCGTATTTCATCTTGAATTGAAATATCCATTAACATCCATTCCGTATTTCCTCTGTCCATTTAGATTAATTCCAAGCTCCTGATTCTCTTGGGCATGGCATAGCTCTTAGAACACACCCCACTTCTTTCAGCCCATCTCTCAGTTTTTCCTCCAGCTGAGGGCTAAGAGGTTTGAGATCTCAAATGTTTTCTCTTCTTCTAAAAGCCTTTCTGTCCAGCTTGTGCTGATCCACATCAGGCAAGACATTTTACTTTGAACATCTCTCTGTAAAATGAAATGCTATTGTCTAAGAATGGTGCCTACAGATTTCACTGCCATTGCTGATTTAAGCATCTTTTCTTCTACCTATTTTTTTCTTACTTTGAAATTACGAAAACAGATATCAATTATGACTGTAAAACAATTGTCATTTTAATGAAAGTGAATCCATTTGGAAGATAATGTGAGCAACACTGCATCTCTCACAGCAGCACAACCCCCATCCAATCCTATTAGAACTAGGAGCCTGGGGTACAAAACAAAATCACAACTCTTTTAGTATTCAGATCAGTATGACTTCAAGCTCTGTTCTGTTCATTGTGAGGGTGTTCCTCTTCTCCAGAGCTACCTGCTCTACAGAGTTCACGAATCTTGATGATTCACTGAACTTGGTCCATCCATGTGATGGTAATTTGGAACCCCAGGGGTCAAGATATCAATTTGCTGTGTTATTACTCTGTTAAACCCTTTCCTCCCAAATGACTTCATGACCCCTATACAGAGTGTCCCTCTTTCATTCCAGAAACTTTCCTGTCTCAGGGGTTTGGGATGGGAGGTGGTTCAATGAATCTCATGCCTACAGAACCCCAGGCCTTCCAAACAAATATCATATTATACTTTCTTCCAGAACAATGGTTGTTCAAGATCCTGAAGGGTCTCAGGACCCTTTGCAACTGTGCCTCCAATGAGTGCCCCTTTGCGACTATGCCTCTTCCCCCTTAAATCAGACCTCTGACAGCATCCATGGAGACCTTTCTAAATCATGAATCCAGCCCCACTGCTGCCTTCCCTGCATAGAATGACCCCCTCTTTCCCTATGGATACAACCCCAGCTTCACAATTTCCGCAGTTTGGATCTCCTGCCCATCCCCCAGCCATGCTTCCCCCTTCCTCCCTTTCTACTTCACCTCATACTCTGTGACGTCACAGAGGATGTTCTTTCCTCCAGTGTTTGCAGGAGCCCCTTCCTCTGCGTGGAGTGAAGCTCCCTCCTATTCTGAAACTTCCCCAGAATTGATGGATCCCTCCTCTGTTTCTTGCTCTGAGTTCCACTGTTGCCAGGCCATACTGTGTTGTAATTTTCAGCTCTATGGCCTGTCTTTCTCGCCTCTCCCTAAGGATGGTGACTGCACTTCAGCCATCTTGGTGTCTCTAGGCTCTGGCACAGAGGGAATGCTCCAGTCATGAAACAGAAAGCCCCATAGTCCCAAGTTCTCAAATCTACCTTTTGTTGGGGCGGGGAAGGTTTGAGAGGCTAGTGCGCCCAAAACTCAGTCTTTCTTCCAAAGGCTCTGAGCCCAGGAGGAGCTACCAGAACTACGGAGCAGTTTTAATTTGGGTATCTGACCACAGGCAGCATGTGCCCACAGCCGTCCCCATGGGAACCATGTCAGGCGAAGCTCCGACTCCGAGTGAGCAGCCTGCCTCAGCCCTGCACTCCCTCCTGCCTACTGCAGCCCCAGGGCCCAGCAGGACACCCACAGCCCCCACCTCAGGGGCCCACAGGGGCTGCAGCTGCAGGGATCTGGGTGGGCAGGTTGCCATGGAAACCAAGCTGCTCATCTCTCCCTGGTGTCTGGAGTTCTGACAGGAAGGCCAGGCTCCACCAACGCATCCTCATTCCTGGGCTCCTCCTCGACCTCTCAGCCCGTGTCCAGGGCACATCATGAACACAGAGATGGATTAAGAGTCTGAGAGGTACAGGGAAAGCAGAGGAACCAAGAAACTGGCCATGATTCTCTCCCTGCCACCTCATCAGGCCACTGCCACAGTTCCCGGTGCAGGTTACCACCTGAAAGGAGTTGACTTACCCAACGGGTAGTAACCAAAGAAGGCCAGAGTCACATTTGGGAAATTTTGGTATCAGGAGCCTTGGACCAGGAGATCTTATTCTGACCTCATTCTGATATTTCATAGCCTGACGTCAACGGTGAAGCCTCTCAACCTCTCTAAGCCCAGTTTCTCCACGTATAAAGTAAGGACCGTTTTATCCACCAGATTTTCACTGGGTTTTATTACTCAAAGATAAATTGCAAGCTACAAAGACTGTGTGTGTATAAGGGATTGTTATTATCCAGGTTAAAACATAACCTGTATTCAAAAGAATTCGATCAATGCACATGTGACAAAAGCTGATGAATTATTAAAAGGAGCAATTCCTGGATTCCTCTCCTAAGTCTTAGCTCAGAACCTCTCTACCTAGCTAGGCCTGGTGCTAAGGGCTGGAGATCTAGAAACAAGGCACGGGTCCTGCTCTGGAGGAACTCCTGGCCTCATAGAAGTGTTGTTTGTTGACCTACTGTGTGCCTAGCACTGTGAAGCATGCCAGAATAGACATGGTCACACTTTTCTTAAGGAGCCCAAATAAAACTTTTCAGGGAGATGAACACAAGACATACACCTATGAAACAGAGAAGGAAGATTGTAACTTATCTGGGAAGAAGGCTCTAATGCATGTCTCCAGTAGGTACAGGAAGATTCCTGTACTATAGCATGGAAAGAGGAGATTGAGTCAAAGGGGCAAACACTAGTCTACATTATAAAAGTCTCTGGTTGGCTAGAGAAGAAAAAATTTTTGCAAAATATGTTGCCTTCTGAGGAATAATTATTGTCTTTTAATATGCATTTGTTAATTCATCTAATTGCATATTTTGTCTCTCCCTCCCTTCAGAATGTAAGTTCCATGCGTGCAGAACTTCATCATCTTTTCATTTTCATATCTTCAGCCATGAGCATAGATTTTCATTAAGCAGATTTTCATTAAGCACTACCTAAATAATTACATAGTAGGGACAATAGGCATTCAACAAATTGCCTGAAGAAGTGCTTTCTATCCACAGTGACATAAGTACTTCTTCTTTTATTTTTCCCCCAAAACTCCTATTGCAGTTGGTAGCACAGTAAAATCCTGCCATGATGCCCTATGTGGGGCCCAAAAAGTTCATTTGCGGAGAGTATGTGTTGCATTGTCATGAGGTCCATGAAGTGACTAGGCTGTGCCAACCACCAAGGATGAGAGCCAATTACCAACTGCTATCTGTGTGAGTTTGTGTTATTCTAGGAAATGTCACTGCAAGAGGCATTAACGTGGTCATTTTCAGAATTAGTTGTTCAGTCTTTGTTTCCCTACTAGACTGTGAGCTCCTCACACATGGGCTGTGCTCAATAAATAAGTATCGAGTGAATGAATAAATGAGTTCATAGGAGAGTAGAACATGAGTATTCCACCTTGGTTTGGAGGGTCAGGGAATGTTTAGTTTGAGGAGAGAAGGATGACTCAAAATTGGTAAGTGAAGGGAAGGGAATAAATGGGATGTGAGAAAACAAGCAAGAACATTTACAAAGACTCTGAACTGGAAGAGTGTGGTGTGTTCAAGCATCTGAGAGCAGCCCAATATCACTGGGGTATGAAAGAATGGGTAAGGTGGGGCATTGTTAAAGACAGATCATGGAGAACTCATAAACTACTTCTGGGATTGGGGACTTCATTGTAACAGCAGTGGGCAGGCACTTGAAGGTTCTCAGTAGAGGTGTCTTCTGACAAGATGTTCATTTTCATAAAGAACAGTCTGGAGAATGTGCTGCAGAGTGGTGAAATGATAGGGGGAAACCTGCTGGGCGTTCACCAATGTCATCTAGGAGAGAAGATAGTGATGTATCGTGTTGGTGGCCAGGGAGGTAGAATCAGGGAGTTTCTAGGAGTTCAAGTTAAAGGACTTGGTAGGGAATGGAGGTAGGGGTGAGGAATAGGAGGGACTCATGCATAACCTCTAGACTTCTGGCTTGAGTGTCCAGGTAGACGGTGACTGAGGAGGATCTCTGAAGGAGAATCATTTTGGAGTGGGGCATGAGAACAGAAATATCTAGCTCAGTTTTAAACATACTCAACCGGAGATGCTTATGAGATACCCATAAATGGAGATTTGAGACTTTGCTACATTCACGGATATATGAGTCCAGAATGTAGGGGAGAGATTTGTATTGGAGATAAGGGCTTAGATGCCATTTAGGTATAAGGTAATTGAAGCTATAGGAGAGAATGAAATCACCAAAAAGAGGGCCTAGGACAATACCTAAAGCAATGTCAAGATTCAATAGTCAGATGATGGAGAACCAGCTATGGAGGCTGAAGAGGATCCTCTGCCAATAAAAGCCAAGGGAAGGGCTTGCTTCTGCAAGGTGAATGTGGCCAATTATGCTGAACACCAATGATAAGGATCAACTGAGAAGATTCATGAGTCTACAGGGAAAAAATGGAAATCCCTCAGGATTATGGGGGGGGTCCCATCTTGGTCCCCCATGAAAATTTCTTCCTTCCTTGGATATACCCATTCCTCTCCCTCTTCCAGCTTTCTCCCTCTGGATAGGAATTCAAGAGTCAGATTATTTCCCCCTTTAACTGGAGTTTGGAGGGGGTGAGAGGAGTAAGTAGCTGGTGTCACTACGAGGTCCCTTGAAATAATTTTCATCATGATACATTATCACTGCTATAGACACTTCCTGTTGTTTCCTAAAACAGGAAGCTGGGCCCTTCAGAAATGGGCCTCCTTCCACCTCCGACAGGCTCACTAAAGTGGACCAAATACCCCCCAGCCTAGATATCATCAGAATGTTAAACACCCACCTCCTTTGCTCTTTTGTACCTTAAACGAACCACTTCTGGATAGCTTAAAGAGATTCATCATTTAAGATTTGGCCTCCTATCCAGCAGTAGATCATTGGGAAAGAAGGTTTAATTAGGGCTGCCTATGACATTTTACATACACAGCCTTGGAACCTACGACAGAACACTAGGTATCACCATGAATAACTGGCACTAAAGGAATTAGGCCACTTGCATGGGTGCTCAATGAATCCAGAGCTTCCCTACCCTCCCTGTATGCCACCACTCTTCCATCTGCTATCATGCTTACTTTAATATCTTTAAAAATATATAACATTTTAGGCTGGGGACTGTGGCTCACGCCTATAATCCCAATACTTTGGGAGGCCGAGGCAAGTGGATCACCTGAGGTCAGGAATTCGAGACCAGCCTGGCCAACATGGCGAAACCCCATTTCTACTAAAAATAAAAAAATTAGCCGGGCATGGTGGTGCGTGCCTGTAATCCCGGCTACTCGGGAGGCTGAGGCACAAGAATCACTTGAACCCTGAAGGCAGAGGTTGCAGTGAGCCGAGATTGCACCACTGCACTCCAGCCTAGGCGACAGAGTGAGACTCCATCTCTAAATAAATAAATATAAAAAATATATAACATTTTATTTTGAAATAGTTTGAAAGGCTTTTGAAAGACTCTCAAAAGGTTGCAAAAATAGTATTGTTTCCATGTACTGTTTACCCACCTTTCCCCAATTATAATATCTTCTATAATCATAGCACGTTGTATAAACCAGTATACAATGATATGTATACCGCCATAAATTGATATGGCTACATATTTTTTAACTCAGTATTTTTAACTCAGGTATAAGCTTTATTTAGAGTGCACCAGCTTTACATGTACTTTCTTTTTATTAGTCTTATTCTTATTTTGGAGGGTCTAGAGTTCCATGTAATTTTAATACAGTTTTTTTTTTGTAATTAAGATGTAAGTCCCACACCACAAAATTTATCATTTTAAGGTGTACGGTTCAGTGGTTTTTAATATATTCACAAAGTAGTGCAACCATCACCACTATCTAATTCCAGACATTTTTATCACTGTAAAAAGAAACCCCATACCCATTAGCACTCACTTCTTTTCCTCCCCTTCCTTGGCAACCACTAGTCTATTTTCTGTCTATGAAAGGACATTTCATATAAATGGAATCATAAAATATGAGGCCTTTTGTGTTTGACTTCTTTTACTTAACATACTATTTTTTAAATTTTATTTATTTATTTATTTATTTTATTATGCTTTAAGTTCTAGGGTACATGTGCACAATGTGCAGGTTTGCTACATATGTATACATGTGCCATACTTAACATACTATTTTTAAGCTTTGTCCAGGTTGTAGCACTTATTAGTACTTTCTCTTTTTTTTTTTTTTTTTTTTTTTTTAGACAAAGTCTTGCTCTGTCACCCAGGTTGGAGTGCAATGGCCCAACCTTGGCTCACTGCAACCTCCACCTCCCGGGTTCAAGCAATTCTCTTGCCTCAGCCTCCTGAGTAGCTGGGACTACAGGGGCACGGCACCATGCCCGGCTAATTTTTTGTATTTTAGTAGAGAGCAGGTTTCACCATGTTGCCTAGGCTGATCTCGAACTCCTGACCTCAGGCAATCTGCCCGCCTTGGCCTCCCAAATTGCTAGGATTACAGGCATGAGCCACGGCCCCCGGCCAGTAGTTTATTTCTTTTTATGGCTGAACAATATTCTAGCAATGTATTTTTGAATGAGTATCCAGTGCAGAGCTGAGAGAGTTTCTTCCAGTGAGACATCTAAAGTTCCCTGGAATGGCTCTTTTCACTCTGTCAGATGCACCCCCCCGACTCTAACCAGCATCCATAAGTGGTCCAAGAATAAGGAGGGGAGTTGTGGGTGTTGAAATGAAGTTCCAGTAGGTGACTTTCCCCATGTGCCTTCCCTCTCTGTGCCCTAAGCTTCCACTCTGCCTCAGATGGTGAAGGCATTTGGCACAGACCTTGCACACCAAAGAGCAAAAGTATTTCCATCCAAAGGGAACCACCATAAAAACAGCCATATTGCAGTGGCTCACACTTGTAATTCCAACACTTTGGGAGACAGGTGAGACGACTGCTTGAAGCCAGGAGTTCAAGTCCAGCCTGGGCAACAAATCGAGACCTCCATCTCTATCAAAAAAAAAAAAAACTTAAGAAATTAGCTGGGCATGGTGGTCCACGCCTATAGTCCCAGCTGCTTAGGAGACTGAGGAGGGGTATCACTTAAGCCCAAGGATTCGAGACTTCAGTGAGCTATGATAATGCCACTGCCCTCCAGCCCAGGAGACAGAGCAAAACCCCAACAACAACAACAACAAAAACACCAACAACAATATTGGCAGCTTCTCCTGAACCATCAATCTGCAAGTATATTCAGATGAACCCTGTGGTAATTAGTTGCAGGAGGGAAAAGATCACATCATACCAATAGTGTGGTAAGACTTCTGAACATCCACAAGGAAAGAGATGGTTAATGATTTTTATGACATTTCTAAGTTCAAACCCAACTACAAAACCAGAAGGCAGCTAAGAGGTCTCCTTGAACAATGTGTTTATTTCACAGGTGGAGAAAATGAGATCCAGAGAAATTAAGACACAAAACTTACCAGTGGCAGCACTGACCCTCCATGACAAACTCCACAGCTATTTCCCCTAACAATGCCCTTCTGAGAACTCTGAAGCCCTAGTTCTAGGATGGGAGGAAGAGAGATAGCAAGTGGAAAGGGTGGTTCCAAAAACCAGAGAGAAGCCCTTTTCTAGCTGTGCAGATTCATTTGAGGGAAGATGACAGGGCTTAATGTATGTCCAGGGGCACTCAGGGGATACCCTCTGAAGGAAGGATTCCCTTCTCCCAGTCAACACTCCCAGCAATTACTCCTTCTTACTCGCCAGACCAAGGGGGGCAGAAATCCTGACAGAGCCCTCACCATGCTCTTTAAATTTTCTGAAATTGCCAAGTTTAATATGGAGAGAAGTTTAAAAAAAAGGGAGAAGAAAAAAAAAATTAGAATTACCCATAATTCTACTACACACATACAAACACTCAAACTTTGAGTGTCTTTCCTTCCACACAGTATTCTCTGCATGTACGCAGAATTTTGTTTTCGTAAAGTTAGAATCAACAAAGTGTCACAATTCAGTTTTCATGTAACAGCCTAGTGTTAATGCCTTTGCATGAGCATCACAATTTAAAAACACTTTGTTACAGAAAATTTCAAGAATATACCAAAGTAGAAAAAAATATATAATAAATTCTTACCTACTCCAATTCTACAATTATCTACTCAGAGCCAATAAATCATTTTGCAGCAAATTCCAGACCTCAAGTCATTCCACCCATAAATATTTCAGAACCATCATCTTTCGAGGCAGTTCAGTTTTCATTGTGTGGATAGACCGACAGCAGAAGCACCTTAAAAAGCTTGCCGGGGTTGGGGAAGCATCCTCCTCCTCCTCCTCCTCTCTACCTTCCATGGAGCTCTCTCCCATACCCTCTGACCTCTACCCTTTCTGCTGAGCTGTGCCTTGGAGCAGGGATGTGGCTGTCCTTGGCTTGTCCCCTCACAAATTGCAGTCCCTTCAGGAAAAGGCCAAGGCTTCACAAGAATGGAACCCTGACCCAGAGAAGCTGTTTTTTTGCTTGACTTGAGAGGTTTTGAGTAAACAGAGTTGTAATGTAATAAAGCACCAAGCCAGTTTCCTCCTCTATTAACTGGCATTGAGAGACAAGATGAATCAAGCAGCTGCAGGGGAGCTGGCTTGGCCTGGGACCCCTTGCAGCACCTCCTCCACCTACCCCTCCCTTTTGGTCCTATGGCCCTGTGGACAGGTTATTTTCTCCTGCTCTTTGTTTTGTTTAATCTCATCGGAGGTTTCAGATCTTTTTTTTTTTTTTGTAATTTCATTTCAAACTATTATTTTATAAGACCTGGCCTATTACTGAGTATGCAGGCAGAATATGAAAATTACTCCAAAACTTTTTTAAATGAAATTTTCAAGATGCAAAAAGTGAAACTTTAAAATTTCAGTGGAAGAAGGGGAACAAAAACATTTTAATAAATGAGAGTGTTTATTCCAGAATGGGAATATAGAGACAAGGAAGGTACCATGTGAATGGGTGCACCTCGCTCTCTGGGGTCAATGATAGGAAACAGCCTGTCCCACAGTCAAGGCAGCCTTGCCCAGGCTATGAGTCTATTGTGGATGCTGGAGCATTGTTATCTAAGTGCAGCCTCTTTGCTTCCTCAGGTTTCAGCATTTCCCATGAGATCATTTAAAATCACATTTGCTATTTTACCATCTAATCACACATAAGCCTCTCCCCACACTCCCCCCGCCCTGTTTCCATCCAAGGAGTGCACTTTCTGGAGCACCAGCAACCAGGGTGGAACTCGTGACGGGAAATGGGAATGGCACCCAAGAAAGCATGATTTCTGTAGTTTCGTGAATGATAGCAAGGCTCCCATCAGACAAGCTGAGCCACTGTCACTGAGGAGGACAAACGAGTGCAAGTCTTTGCAGAGCTTGGCATCTCAGACTTGCCTCTCATTTCTTGCTTCACACACTAGCCTCTTGGCTAGAGAACAGACATCAGATGGAGTTTCTTCTGGCTATGCCTGAATGTTAAGCTGAACGTATGTTCCAGGAGCTCGTGGTCTCCAGTAGAGGCAATCTGGGATAGAAGAGAAGATATTTCTTACGTAGAAGACAAGCAAGATTGAGCAGCAAAGGTTTGGCTGTGCGACTTTGTTAGTCTGTGGCTAACAGTGTAAAGATATGTGCTTGGGTATTTTGAGGGGGATTACAGATTTTATTCATAAACCAAAAACAAAGCATGTTTTGTGGGATGTTTTAATATATGACCTTCCTCAAACACCCATAGTTCTTGGAAAAATACTATTAATCTATATGCATAGAAGACTCCCACTGCATCTCTTCCTCTGAAGGATAAGGGTGAAAATATAGCTAAATCCAAAAGCTATCAATTTCTACATGCTACATCAACGTCAAGTTTATACTCTTCAAAGAGTTGTGTTGATATAAAAAGATGTTTTATTAGCAGATGTGATTTCAGACATTTAACAAAAACTGTGATAACAGAGGTCAAATGTCCTGGTAGTATTGACGAAGTTGTTAAAACTAAACAAAAAGGGGCACAGAAAGCAAAGAATGCATGGTCTCCGGGTCAGTGGTGATACACAGCTTCAGCAAGACGTTTTGTCCTAAACTCAAGGCAACAAGTTATCTTGTTAGAGAAGTAAGGATCAGGATCAGAGCAGTGGATTTCATTCTTAGTCACACATCAGAATAAAGTGGAGAACTTTTTAGAAACACAGACTCTTGGACCCCACTCCAGGCCTATTGACTCTGAATGTCAAGGGGGTGAGAGTCAGAAATCTGTATTTTTCAAATGCTCTCCAGAAAATTCAGATGGACAACAAGGTTGAGAAACTTTTGTTTTCAGATATTGTGATGAAAAAAGACAAGCCCAGGTATCCAAGGGTATTATTCAGCCTTCAGTGTAGCATTTATACACGTTCAGAGAGGTGACAACAGGCAAGACCAAAGCCACCTAATCTTTGTTTTTAACCCCAAATCTGTAATCCAGAATGCCTCATTCAGAAATTTCTGTGGTTCTGGCTTTGTTTGGCTTTTTTTCCCCCATAGCTCTAGCACACTTAGTGTAAATTTGATTCTTGATCATGATTTTGATCTTTGAGATTACCTGATTAGATTTGTGCCAGAAAAGAGAAAACACTTGCTATGATTTTAAAACGTAGTTTGAATCAGCTTTACTGGACTTGCAAAATGAAGCAGGGAGAAGCAACCACGTGTATATATTTTAAGTAACAGAAGCCAAAGGTTGGGCTTTCTAGCCACATGTTGTGGAAGGAAGTTTGACACAGATAAATGAATTGCTTTTAAACTGGTGGAAATTTTTGGTTTGAAATGGCATAAAGTTGGTTTGAAATGTTAGGAAGGTTTTAGAGTGGCCTTAAAAAGTAATTTCCTAGTTCCCTGTCCACTTAGTCAAATAATGGTAGTGATAATAGTAATAATAAATGAGCATATAAATTGAAACATTAGCATGTTTTTGCCCCAAGCATATGAAAGAGCACATACCTACAAGGATAATTTTTGAGATAACAATCATCAGAAGGAAATGAAAAAGAAACCTGAGAATGGTCTGTAATGGTAAATGGTAGTAAAGGGTCTTTCACAAATAAATATTGCCAAGAAAATGTTAAACCAGGAGGAGAAACCCACTAATTACTGACTCTGGGCATGTGCAGTCATGTATTCCCTTCTGTCAGCACCCAATCAAGTCAAGAAGGCTCTTAAGACCTTCAGCTTTTTTTGTGAGTGTCAGCCCCAAGATTCCCCTTAGCTCCCCCTCTCTCAGAATACAGACCAGCCCTATGGTCCCCAGATACAAAGTGATACTGTGAGCTTAGTGTCCCCAACTCCTGAGCCCATGAGTGAAACACTGTCCCTGCCCCCTCTTAAATTGCTGTATTCTTTCTCATTCAGTTTGCATCCACCAGGCTCTCCCTTTCTGCACAATCACTTTCTGCCCAAATCTTACCTGCCTTTCCAACTCCTGGATAGATCTCATTCTCTCACAAGGCATAGTGCCTTCCCTCTCTTCCTCTGCTCCCACCTCACTTCTTAATTTGTGTTTATTTACATGGTGCATGTCTCATTTTAGAGTGCCGCCTGTATGTATCTCTCTCCCCACCAGAGTGTGAGTTTATGAGGGTCTCCCTCTCCTTGACTTCTATACCCCATCAAAACTTTGCACATATTAGCAGCCCAGTAAGTGCTTACTGAATAAAAATCATGGCTTGGTGTCATGGATCATATGGGAATAAGATTCGAATGTGACAGCACTTTCTCTCACCCTTCTCACTAAGCAAATACGTTCTGTCCCTTGCCTGCCAGCATTAATTCTGAGAGGCTTAGAACTATTAATATTTGTCCTTAGAATGTCACTTTGGTCCATCTTGCTCATTAGATCCCATGGTCACTCTTCTTACCTTGGTATTTATATATTGTGCTTTTCTCTGTTCTCCAAAGATATCTAGAGCCATGTTTTATGAACTAGTTCATGAGGGTAGGAAGGAGTCAGAGTGGCCATGGCCAGTTATAGAGTACAGTGGCTAAGAGCATAGGCCTTGTGAACTCAGCTGGACCTTGGTTAGGGTCCGTTTCATCAATTGTGACATGGCCATAATAATACCTATGTCACAAGACGACTGTAAATATTAAACAGGGGATGCACAAAAAGGTTAGCCTAGTCTATTATCTCCTATTCCTATTATCATTTAGTCTGATACACTCATTTTATATATAAAGAAACTGAGACGCGGAGTTTCAGTTTTAGTGATTTATTCAAGGCCATGTAGCTGGTTACTGGCACAAGGAACAGGAAGCCCACTCCCCTGCCCACAATGTGAGGTGACAAGAGGGAGTCCTATTGGAGACACTTTGTTCATACTCTGTAGGGAGGAGCCGAGGTACTCAAAGCCTAGAATGAATTCATCAGCAGGTGTGAGCTTGACTTGCATTAGGCACAATCCTTTGGGAGATAAGGTGGAATAGTAATTATTATTATGATTATTTTAAGGTGCTCACAGAGCTGACCAGCAGCAAAAATCAGAGAATGCTTCAGAAAAAGGGGAATTGAGGGAGGTTGTGAATAACAGGTAGACTTATTTATTTATTTATTTATTTGAGACAGGGTCTCACTCCAACACCCAGGCTGGAGTGCAGTGGCACAATCTCAGCTCACTGCAGCCTTGACCTCCAGGGCTCAGGTGATCCTCCTACCTCAGCTCCTGAGTAGCTGGGATTACAGGTGGCCTCCACCACACTTGGAAAAATTTTGTGGTTTTGGTAGAGACAGGGTCTCGCCATGTTGCCCAGGCTGGTCTCGAACTCCTTGGCTCAAGTGGTCCTCCTACTGCAGCCTCCCAAAATGATGGGATTACAGGTGTGAGCTACCATGCCCAGCGGTGGGTAGACTTTAGATAGATAGAAGAGAGGAGAGGTTTCTGTGCCCAGAGTGCAGTGACAGGAAGAGAATCAGAAACATCTAGCAAGTGCTGACTCTGACAACAGAAAACGAACAGTAGTTCCCTCCAGGCAGGAGAGGGGTAGCCACTGGGAAGGGGCATGGGAGAGTCTTCTCGTTTTCTACATCTTTGTCTTGGGGGTAGTTACACAGGTGTTTGCATATGTTTTTTAAAAAGCATCAAACTGTAAACTTCAGATGAATGAACTTGGTGTACTTTGCGTATGTATTCCTCAATTAAAAAAAAAATCACCAGTACTACCACTCCCCAAGAATGATGTGTTAATATTTTTATTCATTACCTACTGAGCAGAAGAGATAAGAACATTGCCTTAGGTCTCCAATAGGCTATGACCTTCACTAAGTTAGCCTCAAGGCTTTAGTGGCTTCTCTGCAGAAATGGGTTAATTATAGGATATGCTCCTATGATTGTGTGAGGATAAAATGACAGTGTTCATAAAATACTTAGCACTATGCCCAAAATATAGAAAGCAAGCAAGAAGATACTTTTATTAGTAAGACAATCATCTTTTTTGTTCAATTTTTAAACACATAAAGCTGTGATCACATTTTTTAAAAGCGCTGGCTGCCTTGGTGGATGGTCATAGGCTAAGCATGGGACAGCAGCACTCAGGCTGCCAGCTGCCCTGGAGCTTATTGGCAGTCACCATGGATCAAGGTGCTCAGGAAGTATTGATTGGTTGCCTGGCTCATTGCCCCACCGTAAACCAAGTGAGCGGCAGGGGGCTCGGGACATCCTGGTTGGCCCGCTGGTTCAGTGGCTGGCCAGGGACTGGTCAGACACCTCACTGTTTCCCCTGCTCCAGTATATTCCAGTTGTAGCTTTGTGGGAAATCAGTATGAGAGGAGGAAAAAGGGAATCCTGGGGAAATTGATAGCCTTGGCCCTGGACAGTAGAAAGTCCTGGAAAATCTGGGTTGTTGTCCAGCTCTGCCTCTTATTAGCTGGAGTCCCAGGCAAGATCCATTACCTAGTCTCAAATTCTGCAACTGTTGGTTGGAAGAGTTGCACATTAGGAAGACTGTATGTTTTGATGCTAAATCAGACAAAGTGGGTAGCACTTCTGAGTCAACTACTTAATTATATTACTTTGGGAGATAATAGTATTAATAGCAAGATTAATTTATTGCTTCCTTTGTTCTTGAGCACTATATATCGTTTTTACACTCATTTAATTTAATTTTCATGACTACTTCATAGTTCTATTTTTTTTTTTTTTGAGATGGAGTCTCACTCTGTTGCCCAGGCTGGAGTGCAGTGGTACAATATCGGCTCACTGCAACCTCCACCTTCCAGGTTCAAGCAATTCTCCTGCCTCAGCCTCCTGAGTAGCTGGGATTACAGGTTCACGCCACCATGCCTGGCTAATTTTTGTATCTTTATTAGAAATGGGGTTTCATCATGTTGGCTAGGCTGGTCTTGAACTTCTGACCTCAAGTGAGCCAGCTGCCTTGGCCTCCCAAAGTGCTGGGATTACAGGCGTGAGCCACCGTGCCTGGACTGTAGTTCTATTATTACGATTATTTTGTAGATGAGAAAACTAAGGCACACAGGAGTTAAGTAATCTTCTAATAGTCCCACAACTGGTAATTTGTAGAGTGGGGATTTAAGCATGGAAAGTATGGCTCCAGTATCCAAGATTATAATCACTACCCTATCCTCTTGAAACATAAGTTTCTTAACCAATGGAAAATATTTTGCTCTGTTGGAGAAAAGATGTGATAAGTGTAAAAATGTGTAGAAAAAAATTGAGAGGACTCAAACTTTAGATGCAATCAAATGCATTTTGAAAAATCTGAAACAGTAAGCATATGCTACAATGTTTGCAAAATGCGACTATTTCACTGAGATCTCATTTTTACCTAATGAGACTATTTCATGAAAACATTCAACAAACCTGCTTGGGGTATGTGCTATGTGCTGTTTGCTGCCAGGCACCAGGGGCACAGAGCTATAGACAGAATGATTTTCATGTCTGCCCTCATAGAACTTATAGAACTTACAGTCTAGTGGGGCAGACAGATATTAAACAAATACACAAATAAATATAATTTTAAACTGTGATAAGTGCCAGGAAAGAAATAAACTAGATTCTTTGGGAGATCTTGGGGCCACCTAATTTAGACAGACAAGACCAAGAAAGGCCTCCCTGATGAAGTGACATTTAAGCTTTAGCCTAAAAGGAGATACAATATTTTTGTCCAAATTTGCCATCTAGAAGCAGAATTTGAGGACCAAATCAGAATGTGACTTGTGAACAAAAGACAGATTCCTTCAATGTCAGAACTGCACAGCAACACTGAATTTCCTGCGTATCCTTTGCTTCCCTGGAATAAACTGAAGGGCTGCGTTATACTGGTTGGCATTTACATAATGTTCACAGTGCTCTTGCTTAGAACCTTGCCCAAAACCCATTTCTACCTGTCAATTTTTATTATAATTTGCGTATTTTTTCTTTAGAAACTTAGAGAAAAAAGGGGGATTATTGTTCATGATAAACACTTTGGCTCTGAAATAATTAATGTTTAAGAAGATTAACAACCATACAGTTGCTTTATGAGCAGGGGCTCATGCTTTTGGTAGGTGTTCAACCAAGTTCCCAGTGGGGAACTTCAGTCTGGGCATGTATTTGTGTATTTTTCAGTGTCCCAAAGCCCAGAGTGCAATGTGTATGTGGCATTCATATTGTGACAAACACAGTCATAAAAACACTCTACCTACAGCTTCCTAGGAAGCCTTCACTAGCTTCTCTAATCTAGGTTGATCCATCCCTTCTTTAATACCTTGAGTCACTTATCTTTATTACTTAAAATTCCATGGTTGGAACCATATAATATAGCCCTTATTTATTTTTATTATGATTTCCTTGTTGCTAGGGCTTCTTTTCTCCCTGAGTAGACTCAGAGGCCTCGAAAATAAGGAACACGGCTTCTTGTCAAGATAGAAGGGCCTCATTATACACCTAGACCAATCCTCTCATTGTACAAATGAGAAAACTAAGATCCAGAAGAGAAGATGCCCAAAGACTGAACATGGGGTTTATTACAGACCTGTGTCTGGGACTCAAGTCTACTAACCACTAACCCATTGCTTTTCCCACTACACCACATCATCTTCCACAGCACCTAATTGTGATAAATACACAGTAGGCTATTGGCAACTACTGATAATGAAAGCATTTTAAAATATTCAACAGAATGAGAAAGAGCTGTCTTGCCATCTAACCCCATAACCTCCTGCAGCTCCGCTGGCACTTCCAGGCTATGACAGTTTCAAGAGAGAAGCCCCTGAATCTTAAAAACTCAAGGCCATGTCCACATTTGATTGAAGTCAAGAACACACAGATCTGTTGTTTCTCATTTTCTAGGAAGTCAAGAACAAAGTGTCTATGAAGAGTAGTCTTCTAATTCCTCCAAAAGTTGCATTCAGAAAGCAACTAAACAGACCAATCACATTTGGGAGAAATACTTCTGCCAGGTGTGTGATCCAACCCAGTCCTGATGTTTGCTACTGCAAAGTCAACCTGTCTGCATGGAACCTGCCTGGCCTCTAATATGACAAAGTCTTAGTTTTCTCACAAGATCATAATCAGAATGAATCAGAGCCATAACATTATTTCCAGGTTCATAAAGCACCAGAGTTTGCAGAGGTCACCTCAGAGCACTTCTTCATCTTCCTGTGTAGTAACTGCCTCTCAAAGACAAAAACAACAACAACAAAAACACGTCCAACATCAGAAAGCAAGTTGGCAGAACATCCAGGGCTACCTAACCCCAGAACCCCTCATTTACAAATCATAGTTCTTTTCACTGCATTCCAATGACTCCTTCTTAATAAATGTCACTGAGTTTCCCTTCAGTCATTGCCCCATTTTAGTTTTCTTGCCTTGATATTTCAGCATCAAGCTCCTCTTTCTTCACAAGAGAAGGCCAGTCATCCTCAGCGTCTTTGGGGCATGGGAACAATCTCTTTAATTCTAAGGTCAAACTAGGCACACTGACAGCAGAAATTCTAAACTTATCAGTCACAGTGCACATTCATGACGATTCTCTAAAGTAGTCTGTCTCTGAGAAAGCCATCATCATTCATTCATTTGTTCTTTCACTCCACAAATATTTATCAAACACTTACATGTGTCACATTGTTTTAGATGCTGAGGATACAGCAGAGGAAGATATGAACATGGTCTGTGGCTCAGGAAGCTTACTTTCTAACATAGGAACAGAGACATTGAACAGATAATTATCAAAATAAATGGCCTCCAGGAAATACTGGTTCCTATGCAAATGAATAACAAAGAAAACTTGTCCAGTTCAGACAGTCAGGAATGGTTGTTCTGAAAAACTGACACTTAACTAAACTGAAAGAAGAAAGAAGTCACCCAGGGGAAAGAAGGACAAAAGCATTGCTGAGAGAGAGAGAAAAAAGCATGTGTGAAAAGACCAAAGCAGAAAGCAAGCTGGTGGGTTTTAGTAAGTGAAAGAAGACCAGGGTAACTACTAGGGGGGAAACAAGGAAAAGGGTGATGTACAAGGAGGTGATGGGCAGGGACCAGATCATGCCAGGCCTTATGTGCCATGTGAATGAATGAAAGACATTCACACGGGGTGAATGTGAATGTCTAAACCCAAAGAGGTTGAGAAGCCTTTGAAAGGTATCATCAGAGAAGTGATATGATCAGATTTGCAGTTTTAAAAGATTATGTTGGTTGCTATGAAAGTAGGCAAAAAAGAATATGGGAGAGACCAGTTAATGAGCAAGTCTCTGGTAAGAGACCAGATAAGAAATGGTTGTGACTTGGTGGTTGGCGCACATGTGAAGAGGTGGGGAGAGGGAGAGTCTACATGTTTATGATGTGAGCAACTGCGTGCTTGATGGTGCTGTTTAACTAAATAGGGAATATAAAAGAAGCAACCAATTTATAGGGGAGAGATACCCAGAAAGAACAGGTGGATAGTCAGGTCTGGAACAGAAAAGAGGTTTGACTGGGAGTTAAGACCATGAGAGGAGATTATACTTTGATGCAAGGGGATATAAAAGAGGACTAGGACAGAATCCCAAGAAGTTCTGATATTTAATGACCTCCAGTATGTAGAAGCCTTCAGTGAAGCCTCATATGGAACAGAGAGAGGATTTCAAGAAAAATAGAGCGGCCAGTCATGTCAAATCCTGCTGGGACGTCAAGTCAGTAGAAGTATAAAAGTTTATCTGGAATTGTCAGCCTGGAGGTCATTTGCATCTTAGCAAAAGCTTTGGTAAAGAAAACTGGGAGAGACATATTACAGTGCTTTGAAGTGCAAAAACATGCATTGATGTATTTTTCATGTATGACCTTTGTGACATTACATCACCTAATTAAACCTGTGACCTCAGCATCCCTAGAAAACCTTAATCAGTTATTAAATTGATTACCCAAATTCTACTGTCCACCAAAACTTTATAAATGGCAAATAATTATCTACATTAGTGACTTTAGTATTCTTCCTGAATCAAAACTATACTTCATCCTTAAAAATATTTGGCTTACTTAAATATAACTGGTAATATTAATCCACAGCTTTAAAAACTGTAAGAACTCACACTGTTTTCCAGGCCTCTTCCTCCAAGAATTCGAAAGGAATCCTGTGATATCTGTTAAGGATATAATAGGACGAAAATTTGGGGTAAAGGGGAAATTCGAAATAGGAGAAAGGAACACGGCTTCTTGTCAAGATAGAAGGGATTATACACCCAGACCAATCCCCTCATTGTACAAATGAGAAAACTTTTATTTGGGGCAGCTGAACCATATTCAAAAGTATTTACAAACTAAATAAAGTGGAACATTGTAAATTCTTTATATTTAATTTAATTTAATTGCAAATGATCTCACATGTTTGTTTTGTTTATACACTGAGAGCTAGTGGTGTGGAATTGAAATAGGCTAAGTGGCTATTGGCTATTAAATCACATATGTAATGGAAATATTAAGGTCTATATTATGCATTTGTCTATAATTTACCTTACATAATGCTTCCATATACATTATTTGATTTTCCTACAGTGTCAGATAAGTAGGGCCGAGGTAATCATCTCCAGTTTACAAATTACAGAAATGAGGGTCAAAGAATTCAAAAGACCCAGATAGCATCAGAACTCATGCTTCCTGTCTTCGAGTCCAGTGGCTATTTCAACAAAACCACACTATCTCTCTGGTTTTTTAAAATTATTATAACTCAAGGTTTCTGTAGCTGACTCAATCCACCATCCTGAGTTTTTTGGTTCACAACACTTTCAGATCATGTGATAAGGAACTTCTTTTCTTCCTTTGACACAAAAATTTATTCCTTCTTTCTGATCCCATTCTCAATGGGTTGGAAGAGATGATACGGAGGTAAAGACTCAGGAGAAGTTAAGATTTATCCTCCTCATCTTCGTTTGGATCTCCATTCTGGTGGGCAGAGCTGTTTTAAGTGCCCTATTAGGCACTTTCTTCTCCAAACTCCAGCTTTCTTTCTTGAATTACGCTCTTCTTCCCTTTTAGCACCAATATAAATGCACCTATTCTCAGCATTTCAGCCTGACACTCTCATTCAGCACTACAAACAGATCAATCATTCACCAAGCCCCACAGAAAGCCAGTCCCATTCAGCTCTCACCCATTCCTTCCTCTCTTGTTCAGTACCACGGTCAGCTCAAATCCAGACTAGGCGCTCACTAGCTATTTCAGAACCATGGATAGCGCACGCACTTTCGTCCGCCCTGTAAATTACTTTGGTCCTGCTCCAACAACAGATTACCTAGCTATTATCTCTGAGATCATTCATAGGTGATTCAGTTAAGCAAGGATTTCCCTAACCCCATTCTTTGTTATCAGAGGCAACTCAGGATTATTCAACTTCAAAGGTAGCTAAGTGCTATTTTTCCAGTGTCACAGATTGCTGAGACTAGGTCTCGAAGGACTGGGCAGGATCATGTAGAGTGAGGTCTGGTCTCACTTTCGTCACCACAAACAGCTTATCACACTTTCTTAGTGGCTTATCTATTTCAAATGCTATATCTTTCCTAGACAGCTTACTCATATGTCCGGTGTCCTGTTGCTCCCATCAGATGTCTAAAGATTAAAATTTTTGAGGCAATGGACAGCTTAGCTTGACACATATCAGTATCACTGGCTGTATGAAATGCTTACATCTTGGAGACAATCTTCTTAAAGTCTTGACCAGTCTGGTCACATCTGCAAAACCAGGGACATTTAATCTCATGCTCACGTTGCCATGGAGAGCCCAGCAATATCTTCAGTGCTAAAGCTAGCTTGGTTATTTGTTCCATGTATTAGAGAACCTAATCACACTCTCAGCACCATGCATAACACAGTTTCACTCAGACATAACAGTAGTTCAGTTAGTATTTCTCAGCACCAGCTCAGTCACACTTTCACCCAGTGCTATGAAAGGTCCAACCACATTCTCAGTCCTAGTAACATCCTTACAATATGCTCCTTATTCTGCCAAGCAGCTAAGTCATACCATGCAGATAATGAACCTGAAACAGTTCATTATCATGGCCTGTTCTTTTGGTATCTCTTATAATTAGCTTAGTCATGTTTGCAGTCACAACAATATCCCAAACACCCTCTTCCAGCAATTGAGAAATCTAGTCACATCCTCTCCACTCCACGGTACTTATTCACACTCCCTCTGAGTCTACATGACTAAAATCATTCCCACAACTAGAACAAGACTCAGCAGTTCTTGAAACTTTTCTTTCTGCTGTTTCTATGACACTGACATATCCTTTTTCTTCTCCTTCATTTTTGGCTACCGCATCTTTGTAATATTCAGTGCCATTCCGCCCCCACAACCCTCCTGGTTTCAGCCTTTATTGTTCCCCTCTCACTTTGGAGAACGACTTTTATCCAGATCTTGGTGGATTTTAGTAAGTTGTTATTGAACATAAGACACTTGTCTTTTCAGTAACCTGGATTATGGTCAGTTTCTATCCACCCTGGACTCACAATTCAGCTACATGTGCTTCCTCTTCCCTGTGTTCCCTAAACTCAATTTCGGTGTCAGGTGAAAAGCTCTTTTTATAAATATCTGATACATACCCATCCAGATTTCTTGAATATTTATTTATTCAACAAATAACTGTTGATTACCTAAAATGTACTAAACATTATTCTCAGTGTTTGGGGTTCAACAGCTAAGCAAATAGACAAAATCTATGCTTTCATGGGGAAAACATTCTAGCTGAAGGAGATAAATAATGAACAAAAATGTAAACTATTAGGTCGTAAAAGTGTTATGAAGAAAAATGAAGAGAGAGTTAAAGGAGTACAAAGTGGCCAGGGGCTGCTGTTTGGGAAAGGATGGTCGGGGAGTCTTCTTTAGCAAGGTAATAGTTGAATGAGCTATGTAATTATAAACATGAAGAGAATATGAGCAGAGAAAAGAACAAGTTGAAAAACAGAGGCAATATTGTGCTTGGTGTGTTCAAGAAACAGCCAGGGAAGTCTGTGAGACTCGGTTCCAATGAACAAGCAAGAGAATTATATGAAGTGAGTTCAGAGATGAAGTTATGGGAACACACTACAGGGTATATTTCAAAAGTGCCATTCTGATTGCTACAGAAACTATAGGCTTCAAGTGGTTGAGAGAATGCTAGCAGTGAGATAAGTTAAGAAGATATAATAGCAGTCCAATCAAGAGCTGATGGTGGATTGGACTGTGGCAGCAGCAATGGAAGTGGGTGATAGTGGCTTGGGCTACATGGTTAGCAGTGGCTGTGATGAGAATTAGACAGCTATACTTCAGAATCAGAGTTTTCTGAGAGACTGGATGTGAGATTTGAGGGAGAGAAGTAATGGGTAATTTAAAAGGTTTTGTTTTTTTTATATACTTTAAGTTCTAGGGTACATGCGCACAATGTGCAGGTTTGTTACATATGTATACATGCGTCATGTTGGTGTGCTGCACCCATTAACTCGTCATTTACATTAGGTATATCTCCTAATGCTATCCCTCCCCCCTCCCCCCACCTCACGACAGGCCCAGTGTGTGATGTTCCCCTTCCTGTGTCCATGTGTTCTCATTTTTCAATTCCCACCTATGAGTGAGAACATGCAGTGTTTGGTTTTTTGTCCTTGCGATAGTTTGCTGAGAATGATGGTTTCCAGCTTCATCCATGTCCCTACAAAGGACATGAAATCATCCTTTTTTATGGCTGCATAGTATTCTGTGGTGTATATGTGCCACATTTTCTTAATCCAGTCTATCATTGTTGGACATTTGGGTTGGTTCCAAGTCTTTGCTATTGTGAATAGTGCTGCAATAAACATATGTGTGCATGTGTCTTTATAGCAGCATGATTTATAATCCTTTGGGTATATACCCAGTAATGGGATGCCTGGGTCAAATGGTATTTCTAGTTTTAGATCCTTGAGGAATTGCCACACTGTCTTCCACAATGGTTGAACTAGTTTACAGTCCCACCAACAGTGTAAAATTTTTCCTATTTCTCCACATCCTCTCCAGCACCTGTTTTTTCCTGACTTTTTAATGATTGCCATTCTAACTGGCATGAGATGATATCTCATTGTGGTTTTGATTTGCATTTCTCTGATGGCCAGTGATGATGAGCATTTTTTCATGTGCCTGTTTGCTGCATAAATGTCTTCTTTTGAGAAGTATCTGTTCATATCCTTTGCCCACTTTTTGATGGGGTTGTTTGTTTTTTTCTTGTAAATTTGTTGGAGTTCTTTGTAGATTCTGGATATTAGCCCTTTATCAGATGAGTAGATTGCAAAAATTTTCTCCCATTCTGTAGGTTGCCTGTTCACTCTGATGGTAGTTTCTTTTGCTGTGCAGAAGCTCTTTAGTTTAATTAGATCCCATTTGTCAATTTTGGCTTTTGTTGCCATTGCTTTTGGTGTTTTAGACATGAAGTCCTTGCCCATGCCTATGTCCTAAATGGTATTGCCTAGGTTTTCTTCTAGGATTTTTATGGTTTTAGGTCTAACATTTAAGTATTTAATCCATCTAGAATTAATTTTTGTATAAAGTGTAAGGAAGGGATCCAGTTTCAGCTTTCTACATATGGCTAGCCTGTTTTCCCAGCAACATTTATTAAATAGAGACTCCTTTCAATAATGGGTAATTAAAAAGTTTTAAGGCTTGGGACCTAAGTTACTAGAATAATGAAGTTACAATGTGTTAAAACGGGAGAAGGCTAAGGAAACAGTATATTGGGAGTTAAATATTATAATTTCACTTTATACTTCTGTCAGACATCTGGGTGGAAGGTGATGAATAGACGGCTGAATACAAGAATTTGGAATGCAAGTGAAAGACTTGGGCTAGAGATATAAATTTAATGTTTCAAATGTGGCCACAGACTACTTAGGTTGTCTTCATAACTTCAGCCCTTTTCTCCTCTGAAAAGTAAGGGTCTGGGAAGCTGGCCAGATTAGTTGACTGAGGCCCAGAGCTATATTTAAGCTCCCAAAGGTTATGGACCTATAGTTCGTGTACTGCTATATCTCCAGAGTGTAAAAAAGTGTCTGGCACAAGGGAGGAAGATTTGAGGAAGCATAAAGGAAGACTCCTAAGTTTCTATCTTGGAAAAATGGCTATGAAGTTTATTGAGATAGGGAACACAGAGGGGAGAGAAGCTTGATTTTGGTGGAGGAAGATGATGAGATCATGGAAGACAATGATTTTGAGGTGTTTATGGAGCATTAAAGGGGATATGTCCAAAGACAGTGGGTTAGCATGACTGGAACTCAGAAGAAAGGTCTAGATTTTGGAGTCACCTACATGAAAATGCTAACCGTAGTTGTATATAAGTAGATAAGAGCAACCACGGGAAGTATGAGAAGGTACAATCCTACACAGGTAAAATCTTACACTTTTGCTTACTAATTAAGTTCTGGAAAAACTATAATTACCTGTTTATCCACATCATATCTACTATACAGAGTCAAATGCTACATTAGTAGGGAAAGACCTCTATTGGGTTCTTAAGACCTCAGTGAGTTACAGGACAAAAAGGCTGTTCTCAGAGGCCCCTTGAAATCTCACCAAATCTGAACACATTCAGATCAGTTGCTGCCTCTCTCAAGTCCCAGAACTCTCCAATGGTGCCCCAATCAGTAGCATTCCAGACCTGCTGTAGTCAGCCAGACCTGCCCCAGAGATTGTAAAGCTCTGAATCTGGAATCAAAAGACTCAGAGATAAGCTTGTTCAGTCCAATTAACATCTTTATATCACAGTAAGCACAGACCTTCATTGGTTCTTAGTTTTCTCTTATTTAAGAGAATGCCTTTGACCTACTGTACAGGATTTCTGTGGAGACAAAAAGGGATAATTATGCAGAAGCACTTTGTAAACTCACTGTACATAATGAGGTGCTGTTGTTACTGTTGTGAATCGAGGATTTGAGTAATTCACCTCATGAGGCTTAGTCATTTCTGTGATCAGACTCAATTAGCACACACTCAGGAGATAGCGAGTTTATGATTGTTGTGTAATCAGAGAAACATCCTGCTAAGATCTACAAAATCTGGTCGGAAGAACCCTCTGTCTTGCCTTGCCCACTGTAATCTCAGGGAGACCCTCACTGTCACCCTTATTCACACCAGCCTCTACCAAGCAGCTCTGAGTCAGCTGGTTCTCCCAGAACATAGGTCTTAATCAAAGACCAACCATAGCTATTTCCATCACTATCGAAATGGCAAATGTGAAACACCTGTTATCTGTTCAATCACATTTAGTCTTCTTCTTAGAAACTGCTCACTCATCAGATCTCAGAAATTCAAGTCAAGGTGCTACTATAGCCTATGAAGAAGAGACCCAGTGGGTCCTCTTGTAGCCCAGAAATCTCAAAAACAGGGTAAATATCTACAGAAACTTGATCCTCAGAAATAACCAAATTCCACTCTGTTCTCATTCCCTGGATGTAAGCTTCCTGAAGTTCCTGGCCAGGAGTTGCCCTGATTCTGACAACAAAAGGCAGGAAGTCCTAAGGACTGCCCCAAAAAAACCTCTGGGGAGTCAGAGTTTCCTAGAACGAATAAGAATACCTGCCACTTGGTGCCAGGTCTCTTTTTCCAAAACTCCCTAATACTGGCTTCTGACCTCCAAAATCCAGAAAGATTTTCATCCAGGCCCTAAGACTGTGGGAGTAGATCATGGCTTCACCAGATTCTATAACCTTGTCCTGTTTCACCTCACAGTTGCAGAGAATTTCAGTGCTTCTCAAAGGGACAACACCTTTGGAAGCTTCAGTTATGAGTCTGTTAAAAATGGGGCCCCCTGGGCCTCACCTCAGACCTACTGACTGAGAATCTTTTCAGGTGGAGTCCAGGAATCTGCATCTTAGTCCAATTCTCCCCTGTGATGGTGACACAGCTAGCTCAGCACCAGACTGTGGACTGGCATGTGAAGTTCACTGTACTAGAGAAGCTGGAAGAGCTGTTATCCACAAAGCCAGTGGTTACTGCAGAGAACTAAGAACATCAATGTCTGTTGTAGGAGCTTTGGTTCTAGCTTCTCTAAAGCAAGCAGAAAAAAATCCACATAGATACTGCTTTACCCATCTGTGATGGCAAACCATCCTGTTTACCTCCAGACTAGCTCTAGGGCTGACAAACTTTCTGAGAATAGTGTAACCCATAAAGAACTTAGAAAGTCAATGGACTGCCTTTTAGGGGTTGCCTGGACCATGATGGACCAGGGATCCCAGAGACCCTTTCTGGAAGCATTAGAGAACATATCTTAGGACAAGATTTTGCAAGCTTATAGGACCAGCGAACAATTTTAAAATCATCATGCACTGTTAAGTCATCAGTTGGCCCTCAGGAGATGCAAGACACACTTGAAGTAAAGTAACACAGCCAACATGGTTCCATGAATAAATCACCTGAAAAAATTATCAAAACCTTAATCATATGATTTTTTTAAAGAAAAACTTTATATGAGAAGCAAAAGTAACCAATTAGGGAAATTAAATAATTTGTTTTATTAAGAATAAAAAACTGCAATTATGCTGCCAAACTGTAGAGCATCAGGCAGAAGCACGTTCTCAATTAGCAAGTACAGCCATGTATTCAAGGAGCTGGGACTTCTCCTCTATCTCCCTGCCACGTTCAAGATTGGCTGTCACTTCTTAAAAGCATACCATTACATAATAAAAAGAACAATAAAACATGTTAGTGTCTTCTATACTTTTCAACAAATGTATTACAAAGGGGAAAATTTTACCTACATTATTTTTCCCAGAGGACACTTGTTTACAAATTCTGCAGAACACATTGGGGAAAATGCAAGGTTAGACAGTCCTCTCTGAAGGCTCTGAGCCAATACCCCTATAACTGATCAGTCAATGTGAGTGATGGGGGACTGCCTGTGAGAGGAATTTCTGTAGGCCTGGGTCTGGCCCTCAGGATCTGGGGCCAGAGAGGGAAGGAAAGCATTGGCCCTATAGCTAATCTGTTCTGCCATCACTCAGGTTAGTATTCAGAGATCCTACAGGTTCTGGGAGACATGGGATCTTTAGAGAAGAACAATAGAGAAAGAACCCCTCCCACCTGATATTAAGAAGGCAAAAGGGGCTGGGCACAGTGGCTCATGCCAGAATCCTAGCACTTTGGGAGGCTGAGGTGGGAAGATTGCTTGAGCCCAGGAGTTTGAGACCAGCCTGGGGAACATGGAAAAACCCCATCAAAAATATGAAGATTAGCCAGGCGTGGTGGCACATACCTGTAGTTCCACTACTTGGGAGGCTGAGGTGGGAGGATCACTTGAACATGGGAGGTCAAGGCTGCAATGAGCTGTGATTGTGCCACTGCACTCCAGCCTGGACAACAGAGTGAGAACTTGTCTCAAAAAAAAAAAAAAAAAAAAAGGAGGCAAGGGGAACCAAATATCGCTGTTGGTTCATCTTGGGAGGGCTGAATGCCCACCGAATAGAAAGGCTTGCTTAGCAGGAACAGCTATTAAACTTAAGGGAATATACCTGCAAAAACTCATGCAGACTGTTTGAAAGCCAGGGCCGAGCTTGGAGCTAAACTAGAATAGATATTTCTTGGATTGTCTCCTCCTCAGCCATTAATCCAAGAAGTGAGTATCAGGCCCAGACTAATCCTATAACACATACATTTGATATGGCTACCTCACAAAGGATGTGCTTTCCCCACTACATTCAACTAGACTCTAAAATAGGGATTCCCAATTAAGGTTGCAAGGACTATAGCCGTCACTATCTGCACCTTGCTCATTTCCCAGGGATCTAGACCAGAGGTCACCAGCAGACACTTCCTACATGTGACTTCCTGCCTCTGTCTGCCCAGGGCTTTCTCTGGCCACTGAAGTAAGTTCTGTAGAGTTAAAATCCCAGGACAACCGTCAACCAATAAGGGACAGGACTGGTAGATAAAACCCTAGTATCCTTACCCCTCAGTGAAACAATTCTGAGCCCAGTTTGCCCATAAGAGTAAATGGCTCATAAAAATACTGCTTTCTTCTTCTTATGTTACTTTTCCTCTCTTCTATGACATTCCTAGAAATAGCTCTCAGATAAACTACTTGCACCCCAATAGTTTTCTCAGAATGTCATGTAAAGACACTGGGTAATAGATGGGAATATAGAGAACCACTTCAATCAAGGGATCCCAAGTCCAGAGCTATCACTTCTGATGGGAAAGTCTTAAAAGAAGGACTGGTCCCTCATACCTACATCACATCACTACAAATTCCCACCCCAATGTTGAAAACAATTTTGTCCTTAGCTGGAGGGATTTATGGTAGCCCAGAATAATTATGGTCATTTGGCATGAAGTCAGTCTCATAGCTGAGTCTGCTTTGACCTCAAGCTCCAGCTCCAGGACCTGGAATTCTGGCTTAGTCCTGTTCTCAATCCTCAACATTGCATTCCAGTGTCACTGAGAGAATTCTTGCATTGTTACTAAACAACTGAGTCCTGGGATTCAAATTTGGTTCCAAACTATAAGTATCTCTTCTCCCCTAGACAAGGAAGAGAAAGTTAACTTAATCTTTGTTTCTCAGAAGGGAAGAATTAAAGACACTGAAGTCAACAGTGTTTGAATGGTCATTGCATAAATACACCATGTTAATCAGAATTTGGGCACACAACACATAGAACTTCTAAGTTAGAAGAAAATAGAAGACAGATGTTCAATTATGTAATGTAGGTTGACTTTGAAAAGTTCCGTAAGAAACAGATCAACTACAAATAGGCAGGAGGAGAGGAAGAGGGTGAGGGAAAGCTCTCAGAAGAAAGTAATGGAGGACATTAAGGAAGAGGAATGGTGTCAGAGCAGTGAGTGCTCCTCCCAGGACTTCAATGCATGGAAGGACTGGTGACAACCAGCAGAGCCTCCTACATATGGGTATTGGGTACCAGAGCTGCCTCTAGGGCTGGTGACAATAAGCAGTGTCTATATCACAGAGGTATTGGATTCAAGAAATACCTCTAGGTATGGTGGGAGCAAGCAGGATCTCCATCATAGGGGTATTTGATTTAAGCACTGCCTCTGCCACCATCTGCTTGACTTTGGGGTGTGTGAGCTTTAAAATGTCAATAGACTCAATAATCTCTTTGGTTCCTTATATTCCTATTATTGGATCTGTGATTTTTGCTGCATTTTTCTGAACAAAATGTTCTTTAGTTTTTCAGCTATTAAGTTTCGCCATTATCTCTATTCATGCAACAACTATCTATTCTGTATCTAGTTAGTTCCAGGCACTGTACTAGGTTCTGGAAAATCAATGCTGAACAAAATAGATGTGAGTCCAGCTCTCACTGAGCTTACAATTTGGTAGAAACAATAGAAAGGCAAACAGAAATTACAAATCAGATGTTTATAGAGAAAGTGCAGAGAGTTATGGGAACATGAAACAGGAATCCTAACATAGACTTCATATAGGTCAGAAATGGAAGAAATTGTCTCAAAGCCAAGAGTACAAGAATAAGAGAGGATTAGCCAGACAAAATAAAGTGGAAAGATAATTTTAGGCAAAGGAAGGGGAATATGGAAAAGCCTTAACATAAAAAAGAATGGGTCAAATTCAAGGATAAACTTATAAAAGTAGTGTGGCTGGGGACTACCATGCTGGAGAGGTCAGCGCACAGTTTGGGTTATCTTGAGTGCTATGGAGAGCTTTAGAATGATTTTAAATAAAGATATCACATAACCAGATTTTCATTTTAGAAATATCATTTGGCCACTGTTGGAGAATAGGTTAGAAAGGACTAAAGGGGAATCAAAATGACACATACGAGGCCAGTGAGATGACAGTGATTGGACCAGCAGTATGATGGAGAGGTTAGAGAGATATGAAGAGAAGATATTAAGGAGGCAGAAGCAACAGCACTAGATGTTTGATTGTATGTGGAATGAAATAGAAAGAGCATAATTATGGTACCCAGGTTGTGGACAGACACAGAAACAGGCTATTTGGGGCTAATGGCAGTAAAAAGACATAGAAGAGAGGCAGGTATTAGAAAGAAGTGAGGAGATAATTATGAGTTTAGTTTGGGGCATGCTGAGCTTGAGGTGCTCATGAGACACTGAAGTGGAGAGATCAAATGAAGATCTGAGCCCCATGGACTTCTGAGAGCTACAGATAAAGACTCAGTCATCTGCATATAAATGAGAAGTGAAGATATGGGAATGATGAGATGTTTCCAAGAGATTGTGGCAAACATACCTGAGTTTAAGTACCGTTCTGCCACTCATTAGTAATGTGATCTTGGAAATTTTAACTTTGCTGCTCTGGTATCTTATTTATATATTAGAGATAATACTTCACAGGTACAGTGATAGTTAATGTAATAATGCATGAAAATTGCTTAATCCAGAGTCTGAAATACAGTGGAATCTCAGTAAATGCTAGCGCTGTTGAAGTTGTTACTATTGTTATTATTCTGAAAACAAAAGATAGAGTGCCATTATTCACAATCATGTATGGGAAAAGCTGAGAAAGGAGAGACTGAGAAGGAGAAGAGAGAAAGTTAGGAAAACCAAGAGAGTGTCATGGTAGCCAAAATATACAGTATTTTAAGGAGGAAATTGTCAAAACAGCCAATAGGACCATCAAGATAAGAACTGAGATGGGCCTGGACAATATAGTGGTACACTGCCTACAAAAAAATTTTTTCAAAACTAGCCGAGTGTGGTGACATGTGCCTATAGCCCAGCTATTCGGGAGGCTGAGGTGGGAGAATTGCTTGAGCCCAGGAGACAGAGGTTGCAGTGAGCAGAGATTGCACCACTGCACTCTAGTCCGGGTGACAGTGATACCCTGTCTCAAAAAAAAAAAAAGAAAAAGAAAAAGAAAAAAACAAAAAAGACAAGAACTGAGAAGGGCCCCCTGACTTTAGCCACAAGGCAATCTCTTGTATCCCTGCAAGGAAGCATTTTAGTGAGATAGGAGGGCAAAATCCAAGCTTCAAAGACTGAAAAGTGACTGGAAACAGTGAGTAGAAGTAAGTCCTTTATTAAAAGCCAATAGAGAACAGGAGAGAGGAGGGAAGACCTGGATGGGCTCTGCATCAAGGGAAAGTTTTTAAAGTTGGAGGAAAGTTAAGCATCTTTAAATGCTGATAGGAAAGAGCTGGCAGACAAGGAGAGAGAAAAAAATGAGGTAGATATGAGATAAGATCCTAAGCAGAGGGAAAGGAATGGTCCTTAGAATGTAGGAAGATACCTCTCATGTTGTAAGAGAAGGGAAGGAGGAAAGAAGGCTGCAGACACAGGTGAGTTGGAGGTTTGATGGTATGAAGTTGGCAGAGTTCTGTTTTTCTCCATGAACTAGGAAATATGGTCATTGGCTTACTGCAAGGGAAGACAGGGAATAGTGAGAAAAGAGTGTATTTGAAACCTCAGACTAGAAGAAACTGCTGACTAGGGATACCATATGATTCCCAGGCAATACTGAGGTTCCCCATAACCCCTCAGCAGTTCAGGGGAACTGTTCTAGATTGACTTAGCCTTGGGATTTAGGATAAGGGTGAGGGAGTGGCAAAATTGTGGACCACAGGTCTAATCTGGTTATGGGGAAAAGTGTTCAGCCACAGACTGAACCTGGAGGTCCCAGAGAAATTGGAGGTCCCAATGAAATTCTCCAATAATCTGGAGTTCTCCAGTAACTTGGAGGTCCAAATGAAATTCAAACAGGTGGAGAAATGTTGACAATGTCAATAAATAAAAGATTGTGATAAGAAAGTAGCATGAGACTTAAGATAAAGTAGACTATAAACCAAAGTCTTTGATGAATATGGGAGAGTGCCTGGAACTCAGTGGTCCTGGAAATGAGGAGAGAGGGCAGCATGGCTAAATCTGGTGGTGGTGGTAGGATGGTACAAAGTGGTGAAGAAGCAATGACATAGAAGCACATGGGGAGCAAAGACATAACCCTGAGGCACCTGGAGGAGGGTTGAATAAACAGCCTCCCCTGAATGCCTTGCAGGGGAATGGGTTCCTGGGAGGAGCCAAGTGTGAGTTCAGGGAGGGGCCAGATATGAGGGTGGGAGAAGGGCTGTTCTGACAATCAAGATGGGACAGATGAGAGGGACAGGGCCAGTGGGCAAGCTGTCACCTCTCTGTGGTTATGTCCACTCTTATAAGAGTATAAATACTTCCTGAAGAAGAATGAGAAGATGGAATTCCCCATTGGATCCCTCGAAACTAACAACTTCCGTCGCTTTACTCCGGAGTCACTGGTGGAGATAGAGAAGCAAATTGCTGCCAAGCAGGGAACAAAGAAAGCCAGAGAGAAGCATAGGGAGCAGAAGGACCAAGAAGAGAAGCCTCGGCCCCAGCTGGACTTGAAAGCCTGCAACCAGCTGCCCAAGTTCTATGGTGAGCTCCCAGCAGAACTGATCGGGGAGCCCCTGGAGGATCTAGATCCGTTCTACAGCACACACCGGGTAAGAGCTACTAGTAGGAATGTCTGCTCTCAGCTCTTGGAGAGGAAGTCTCGGTCCCACCCAGCCCAGAAAGTCCTCCTTGGCCCTGGGTGATGTGGCAGTCTGCTAAAGATTCCGTTAACAACCAAAAAAAATATATATATATATCTCTAACTTATTTGATGATCTCTTTGAATTTTTATGACATTTATGATAGAAACTAACTAAACCCACATCTTCAAAAGCAGATAACTGCTGCAGAGCTTTCAGGGAAAGTTGGCTGTTCCCTTGGATGACCTCTGGCCTGGGGCCTCCAGAGGAGTTGGGTCTCTTTGCAGGTGGAGAGCAGACATCTTGAGGTTGGGGGAGGAGCATGGCGGTGAGGACAGAAAGCAGGATGAATTTAAGCCAGTGGTCCTCAACTATGATCTTGGAACCCCTGGTGTCCCCAAAACTGTTTTAGTGGGTTTATAAAATGAAAACTATTGTATAACAATACTTGGATGTAATTTGTCTTTTTCACACACTTTCTCTTATGATCATACATTGGTGAATATAGAGGCTATTGATGGGGGATGATGTCATCACTCTAAAAGCTACTGGAATGTGTGCCTGTATATTCCCGTGTTTTAAAATTTCCTGAGTTTTGAATTTCTAATATGAGATATATATACACACACATATGATGTATATATGTGTGTATACATCTATACACTATATATATACATACAACTATGTATATACATACAACTAGACCATGTAGCTAGTTATGTATATATAGGTATATAAGCATATATACATATATATTAATTTCTAATATGATATACATATATCTGGCATAAACAAAAAGGTATCAACATAAACAAAAGTTATTTGGGGTCCTCAATAAGGTTTGAGAGTAATAATCCCTGAAATCAAAAAGTTTGAGAATCAGTAGTTTAAACAAGAGCTTCTTCATGACAATTATCTCACCTGTGTTGTATTTTTGATGTTCTACGAGCCAAAAAATGGTGAATGCATGTTTGGGAGTTAGGAGGACAGGAATCAGCCATCTCAAATATGGCTAGCAGAGTAAATAAAAAGGCACTGAATATCTTTCTTCCTCCTCTCCCATGCCAAGAGTTCATATCCTCCTAAATCCTCAGAGGGAGAAACCAGGAGAGGATTTAAGAGACAGAGATGTAGAAGGTGGAGACAGAAGAAACATTACAAAACAAGGATGGTTCTCTTGTCAGAAGAGAAATTAAATGCAACCATAACTTCACCATCCTGTTGCCAGAGTCCTCCCCTGGGCATAACACCTCTTACCAGCCTGAGGATTGGCTGTCTGTCCATTAAAGTACCCTCAGTGGGCTCATCTTGGTGCACTGTCAGTCCCAGAGATGAGGATCTTGCTGAGAGGGTGAGGATATGGCTTTTAGTCCTTGATCCTCTCTGCCTCTCTGTACCTGCATTTGACTCTCATTGACCTGTAGTTCCCAGAGCCCTTCTTGCTCATAAGCCTGAGATAATGCCTCTCATGTTTAAAAACATGGTTGTATAAGGAATCTTGTTTCTCATTGGAGGTCCACTTTCTGTTTTGTTTTGTTTCAGACATTTATGGTGCTGAACAAAGGGAGGACCATTTCCCGGTTTAGTGCCACTCGGGCCCTGTGGCTATTCAGTCCTTTCAACCTGATCAGAAGAACGGCCATCAAAGTGTCTGTCCACTCATATCCTTTGCACGATTGCCTCTTCCACGTGTTACAATTAGACCTTGCCTACTGTGTCCAGTACCTTCTTTAGAGGTTAGCAACAGAGCCCTTATCCAATTGAATCCCAAAAGTACAATGAGGTCATTAGATTGAAAAAATGGCTTGGGCCTTTAATGTGTCCCACACCCCAAAGCAGTCCCAAGACACAGAAGAAGTGTTTATGCAACACACAGGTGGTTTGGATTCACCTCAGACTAATCTAGACACACCTGTGGATGCACAACTTGAAAAACATCCTCTTTATGAGGGGAGGTTTGCTGATGCCCCCAGACACATTCTCACCACGGTGTGTGGTCCGCTTTCCCCACAACACAACAGGCAGTAAGAGGGCCCAAGCCTTCTTTGGGCAGATGAGATAGGCATGAGTTGTTGCTCTGTGCCATAGCCATGCTGAGAAGTGGCTGCTTACTGGGCAAAAGAGCAGCACCTCCCAGAGGGCAAGGAAAACAGACCATGATGGGAAGAGCACACATAGTCTCAATGGGACCTCATTGGTCATGGGGCACTGTTAACATCACAAATTACTCAAAAACTACTAGCAGGTTTAAAATGTCAATAATCTGATGTTCATGCCATACAAGACTGTAATGATTAGAGACACATTGGTCAAATGTCTACTATATGAATTGTTTTAGGTAATGTCAGAAGCTGCTTTCAGGGGATTTTGCAAGGCAAGCCAAACTAGTAGAAAAAAGATACTTTGGTTTGGTTTCCTAAGATCTTCCTGGGTGATCCTAATGGAAAGATCCTAATGACCTAAGATCCTTGGTCATCGGAAGGATTGGAAGTTCTTTATGACAAATTTAGCCCTGGCTTGCAGGAGGTTGATGTACAAGAATACACCTGCCTCAGTTGCCTGACAAATGGTAACCAGCCTTTTCTTAGAAGGCTTCAGTAAAAAAGAGTTCTACCCTGCTCCCTAACTCTGAGGCAGATTGTTGGATTTCTGGACAGTTGTCATTGAGCTGGTAACCTTGGCACAGTCATCTATCTGCACACTCAACATGAAGCTGCACAGCTTGATGAAGTTGCATTACGTTTTCTCTTTTTACATTTTTTTCTTTCTGGCTGGCCAGCAAGAATTACGTTTTCTGAGCTGAATCTTGAATTTTCAGATTCTACAGAAGGATATTTAATGACAATACAGTCTCTCACTTGCTAAATACTTCCTAAGTGTCAATACCATCATCAGTTCAAAAGCCTCTGAAGTAGAGATTACCATCCCCATTTTACAGATAATGAAACTGACACACAGAGGCATTAAGTAAATTATCCAAGACCATGTAGCTAGTTAAGAAGTCCAGCCTGCATCCTGCGTAGAGCAGTATCTACAGTGAGGAAGTAGGGTGGAAAGTAATCAGGGTAATTATTCTCTCAATGTGTCGTCTCTGCTTGGGTAGTTGTTGCTTTTTCAAAATATATACAATTACATGGAAATTACAAATAAAGAGAAATCACAAACATACAAACTCCTCTTTATGGATTCTGGTTGAATTACATCTGGATAAGTAAGAAACAGCTAATTAGAAATAAAATCCCCTAAAAAGAACCAAGTGACCAGTGAATATTCTCTTCATCTTGAGATTTGATGAGTAAATAATTGCTTGGTAGAGTCACAGCTGGACAGAAAAGCTGTTGAGGGGGTCTCTTCCTCACAAAAGTCTGCATTTAAATCTCATAAATTTGGTAACTCCAGCCCCAAAAGATACTAGAATTCTCAGGGCCCTATTATTAATATTTCACCAAAAATATAATTCTAATCACATTTGCTATGAATGTTTTCATAACTAATATTATACATAAGATATATTACTTTTAAATATTTGTAGAATTGGAGACACGATTTTAGTTTAATCCTTGGATTAACATTTCCCCCCATGTGAGCATATTTCTTAATTTAATTGTAAGTCAGCAGGAAAATGTGGTTTAATTAATAGAATTTTCCTTTTCATAATAGATGTGTTCCTAAGTAACTGTAAAACTAGACACATCAAGGCATTTACAGAAAACTAAAATACATTTAAATACTTCTGCTCAAATTGAAAAATGAGTGTTGTACTCTCTCTGTAGGTCAAGTTTATCTTCAAGTTTTATTTTTCCTTAGGAAGCACTGTTGGGAGCCCAGCTATTCCTAAGAAAAATGTCCAAGTGGGAACAATTTACCTTTAGATTCTCCCCACCAACATTTCTTCCCTTCTATTTTCCCCTTCCACCCACCTTCCTTTCAATGTCTCCCTCCCCTTTTGATAATCCCTTTGCCCATAGTCTGCTGTCAATATTCTCCACTCTAGCTATTCAGAGTTCTCCACTCCAGCCTAATCCTACTTGGGGTTTTCTTCCTGAGCCAGTATTTCATTTCCCTGTGCCTGCCTCCACCGTTCCTACCCAGAAGACCATTTCCTCGGTGGAACTGATCTCAACTAAGTTACCCAAACAATCTGATGAAACTAATTCCCATGAAAGTTTGTACCTCTTCACTTATCTCCAAGTTTCTAACTTTTCTTTGTCTTTTAGAATAAAAAAGACATTTGCCAGATGAAATTTCAGGCCATTTTGTATACTGAAATGAAGGCTTCGGGGCAGAAGGACATTTTGGAAAAGGGAGTCTGTTTCCTTCTATCTTGCTCAGAGTTTGTTATCAAACAGATAAGAGTTCACATCTCTGCAGCATGGTTGACTAGCTGCATGACCTGAGAAAAGTTATTTAACTTTTATTTTTTGTCAGCCTGTTTCTCAGCTTCAAAATGTAGATATTTATACCCACCTGTAGATCAGTTGTATTAGAAGTAACATGGACAAAGTACTCAGCCTAGCTTAGGCACTCAGTAAATGTTAGTGGTTATTATGTGACAAGATCATAAAGCTAATATTGGCTAAGATTTATGAATGTAATCATTCAGCATCAAGGTGATCCTAGATGACATCACAGAGACTTGGTGATCTCAGCTTTTCCTTAACACAGGCCTTTCAGGTGGTTCAGTTTATTTATTACGGTCACTATTTTGGTTAATTGTGTGTGCATGACCCGAACTGACCTTCCAGAGAAAATTGAGTGAGTAGATTTGCTATCATTATTGTACCATCTCTTTTTGCTTTCTTTTCTTCCTTCACTTGGCAGTCTTTGTCTTTTATTTATCCTGCCATGCCTCATGTGGGTAATGCTGAATCTCATTGTCTATATGTCTTTGTAATAACCAGGTCTCTCCTTCTGTGAGATTTGTTTCATAAACATACATGATTTTCAGTTTCAAAGAGATACAGATTAGTGGTTCTCAACTTTGGCTGCATATTGCAATTTTTGGGGAGATTTTTTAAATGCCTGAGTCCCAGCCCCAGAAAGTCTAAGGTGGCCTGGGAAGATGAGTCTCCTCGCCCCCACCCCCCCCCAACACACACACACTCACTCACCTGCTAGATGCACACACAAATGTATGCCTTAGAGAAGGTATGCTTTTGAGAAGGCCTGCTATGAAAGAGAGACAGGAGCAAAACTGAGACAGAACTAAGAACAAATGGCTCTGGAGTATATTTAGAAAATAACTCATAAATGAAGCTGTTTAAGTTATCATGCTTCATATGCCTCAAAGTAACCTTAGTATTCCTGAAGTTATTCTATTTCCCTAGGTTAGTGGGTGAAACCCCTATAGTTTCAGAATCTGGGAGTTTTCCAAAAACATTCCATATCCACACATCTGGGAGGGATGCTTCCACTCCAGCTTGAACCTAACATACCTTTGGTTATAATAACAGGTGCTTTGCAGAGCTTTCTTTTTTTTTTTTTTTTTTTTTTTGCTAATCATAACAGTAATGCATGCCACAACAGAAAATACGTTATATTTTTATTAATAGATTAAAGGAAAAGGATCACATAGTCTTCTTAATTGATGCTAAAATCATTTGATAAAGTTTAATTTCCATTTATAATTTTAAATTCTTAGAAAAGTTGAAATAGAAGGGAATAAATGTGGCACATATACACCATGGAATGCTATGCAGTCATAAAAAAGGATGAGTTCATGTCCTTTGCAGGGACATGGATGAAGCTGGAAACCATCATTCTCAGCAAACTAACACAAGAACAGAAAACCAAACACCGTATGTTCTCACTCATAAGTGGGAGTTGAACAATGAGAACACATGGACACAGGGAGGGGAACACACTGGGGCCTGTTGAGGGGTGGGGGGCTAGGGGAGGGATAGCATTAGGAGAAATACCTAATGTAAATGACGGGTTGAAGGGTGCAGCAAACCACCATGGCACGGGTACACCTATGTAACAAACCGGCACGTTCTGCACATGTACCCCAGAACTTAAAGTATAATAATTTTAAAAAGGGGATTGCATCACTCTGATAAAGGGTATTCATTGTTTTAAAGTATCAAGCGTCATACTTAATTGTGAACATGGAAAGCTTTCCCTTTGAGATCAAAAGAAAAAAAAACCAAAGATGTCTGTTCTTCTCAGTTCCACTTTGTAAAGGAGGTCTCAGCCAGCATAGTAAAGCAAAGAAAAAAAAAGTGCAAGAAGAAAAAAGTACCGAAGATGTAATTTACAGATAATAAGATTGTATACATAAAATATCCAACATAACCTAGAGATAAACAGTAAGAATTAATAAAAGAGTATAGTAAGGTAGCTGGGTACAAATTAACATACATAAATCAATTGTGTATAGACACTAGCAACAAACAGAAAATAGTTTTTAAAAATACCATTTACACTGGCATTTTAAAATGTCAAGTATCTAGGAATAAGATTATCAAAGTATAAGTGAGATCTCTATAAGGAAAATTATAATAAGTATTGTGTAAAGTTTTTAAAGAAAACCAAATCAGTGGGGAGACATGTTCTCAGATTCAAAGTCTCAATATTGTAAAGACTCCCAAAAATGATTAATAAATTTAATATGATCCTCAAATCAATATTTCAACAGGCTTCTTTTGGTATTACTTGACAAACTTTAAACTTTAAATTTTCTTCCTCAAAAGTTTACATGAAATTTTAAAGAGCAAATTATAGCCAAGAAACTTTTGAGGAAGAAATACAAAGTGGGAGAACTCATTCTACTGGATGTCGAGATTTACTATAAAGCTCTAATTGAAGCAGTGTGCCATTGGTGTAAGATTGGTCAGAATAATGTAACAGCATAGACAGTCCATAAACAGACCAACACATATGTAAACATCTAATGTGTGAAAAGGTGGCACCCCAGAACAGCAGGGAAAAGGCGGTCTTCAAAAAATGATGCTGAAGAATTAGGAATCTCACTGGAAAAACTACATTAAACATCCAACTTTGCACCACACACAAGAATCAATTCTAGGTGGATCAACACCTCACTTGCTTTGTGAAATGCAAATATATAAAGCCCTTTTTTAAATTTTACTTTAAGTTCTGGGGTACATGTGCAGAAAGTGCAGGTTTGTTACATAGGTATACACATGTCATGGTGGTTTGCTGCACCCATCAACCCATCATCTACATTAGGTATTTCTCCTAATGCTATCCCTCCCCTAGCCCCCAACCCCTCAACAGGCCCTGGTGTGTGATGTCCCCCTCCCTGTATCCACGTGCTCTCATTGTTCATCTCCCACCTATGAGTGAGAACATGCGGTGTTTGGTTTTCTGTTCTTATGTCAGTTTGCTGAGAATGATGGTTTCCAGCTTCATCCATGTCCCTGCAAAGAACATGAACTCACCCTTTTTTATGGCTGCATAGTATTCCATGGTGTATATGTGCCATATTTTCTTTATCCAGTCTATCACTGATGGGCGTTTGGGTTAGTTCCAAGTCTTTGCTATTGTCAATAGTGCCACAATAAACATACGCATGCTTGTATCTTTATAGTAGAATAATTTATAATCCTTTGGGTATATACCCAGTAATGGAATTGCTGGGTCAAATGGTGTTTCTGGTTCTAGATCCTTGAGGAATCACCACACTGTCTTCCACAATGGTTGAACTAATTTACACTCCCACCAACAGTGTAAAAGCATTCCTATCTCTCCACATCCTCTCCAGCATCTGTTGTTTCCTGACTTTTTAATGATCTCCATTCTAACTGGTATGAGACTCCATCTCATTGTGGTTTTGACTGGCATTTCTCTAATGACCAGTGATGATGAGCTTTTTATCATATGTTTATTGGCTGCATAAATGTCTTCTTTTGAGAAGTGTCTGTTCATATCCTTTGCCCACTTTTTGATGGAGTTGTTTTTTCTTGTAAATTTGTTTAAGTTTTTTGTAGATTCTGGATATTAGCCCTTTGTCAGATTGATAGATTGCAAAAATTTTCTCCCATTCTGTAGGTTACCTATTCACTCTGATGATAGTTTCTTTTGCTGTGCAGAAGCTCTTTAGTTTAATTGGATTCCATTTGTCAATTTTGGCTTTTGTCACCATTGCTTTTGATGTGTTAGTCATAAAGCCTTTGCCCATGCCTATGTCCTGAAGGGTATTGCCTAGGTTTTCTTCTAGGGTTTTTATGGTTTTAGGTCTTATGTTTAAGTCTTTAATCTATCTTGAGTTAATTTTTGTGTAAGGTATAAGGAAGGGATCTAGTTTCAATTTTCTGCCTAAGGCTAGCCAGTTTTCCCCACACCATTTATTAAATAGGGAATCCTTTCCCCATTGCTTGCTTTTGTCAAGTTTGTCAAAGATCAGATGGTTGTAGATATGCGGTGTTACTTCTGAGGCCTCTGTTCTGTTCCATTGGTCTAGATATCTGTTTTGGTACCAGTACCTCGCTGTTTTGGTTACTGTAGCTTTGTAGTATAGCTTGAAGTCAGGTAGCGTGATGCCTCCAACTTTCTTCTTTTTGCTTAGAATTGTCTTGACTATGCGGGCTCTTTTTTGTTCCACATGAAATTTAAAGTAGATTTTTCTAATTCTGTGAAGAAAGTCAGTGGTAGCTTGATGGGGATAACATTGAATCTATAAATTACTTTGGGCAGTATGGCCATTTTCACAATATTGATTTTTCCTATCCATGAGCATGGAATGTTTTTCCATTTATTTGTGTCCTCTCTTATTTCCTTGAGCAGTGATTTTTAGTTCTCCTTGAAGAGGTCCTTCACATCCCTTGTAAGTTGTATTTCTAGATATTTTATTCTCTTTGTTGCAATTGTGAATGGGAGTTCACTCATGATTTGGCTCTCGGTTTGTCTGTTATTGGTGTATGGGAATGCTTGTGATTTTTGCACATTGATTTTGTATCCTGAGACTTTGCTGAAGTTGCTTATCAGCTTAAGGAGATTTTGGGCTGAGATGATGGGGTTTTCTAAATATACAGTCATGTCATCTGCAAACAGAGACAATTTGACTTCCTCTTTTCCTATTTGAATACCCCTTATTTCTTTCTCTTGCCTGATCGCCCTGGCCAGAACTTCCAATACTATGTTGAATAAGAGTGGTGAGATAGGGCATTCTTGTCTTGTGCTGGTTTTCAAAGGAAATGCTTCCAGTTTTTGCCCATTCAGTATGATATTGGCTGGGGGCTTGTCATAAATAGTTCTTATTATTTTGAGATACATTCCATCAATACCTAGTTTATTGAGAGCTTTTAGCATGAATGGGTGTTGAATTTTGTCGAAGACCTTTTCTGCATCTATTGAGATAATCACGTGGTTTTTGTCATTGGTTCTGTTTGTGTGATGGATTACGTTTATTGACTTGCGTATGTTGAACCAGCTTTGATCCCAGGTATGAAGCCGACTTGATCGTGGTGGATAAGCTTTTTGAAAGGAAAAAACAAAGAGGAATATCTTTATGACCTCAGACTAAGAAAAACTTTATTACATATGACACAAGAAGCACTAACTATACAGGAAAAAACTGATACATTTTAGTATACTATAATTAAGAATGTTCATCAGAAGACAACTTTAAGAGCATGAAAAAGCAAGTGCTTATATTCAGAGTAATGAACTCTACAAATCAATTAGAAAAATGTCAGAACAACCACTTGTAAAATAGCACAAAATTTGAATAGGCACTTTACAAAAGTGGAAATCCAAATGGCCATAAACATATGAAAGTATTCTTAACCTTTTTTTAAATCAAAGAGTTGCAAATTAAAATCACACTGAGATTTTATTACATGTTCATCATAGAAGGGAAATTTTTTAAAGTGTCACAATACCAAGTATTGGGAATGACATGGAGCAACAGAAACTCACACACTGCTGGTGGGAGTGTAAATTTGGACAACCTCTTTGGAAAGCAAGGGGTATTATCTAGTAAAGGTGTAAGCATACATATGCTGTATTCTTCTATTACACCCTTAGGTACCTATGTTTAACAGAAATATGTACTTGTGGACACCAGATTACAGCTACAAGAAAGTTTATGAACATTTGCCCATAAAAACCCCAAACCGGAAACCACTCAAATGTCCATAAACTTTGAGTACATTAACTATTTCTGTTATATTCTAAAATGAGAAAACTTACAGCAATAAAAATTAATAAACTTTAGTGCTGCACAACAATAAGGATGAGTCTTAAGAAAGTAATATTGAACAAAAAAAGCCAAATGCAAAGGATTACATAAACAAGGTTCATTTATATAAAGTTTGAAATCAAGCAAAACTAAACTATTTTGTTTAGGAATGCATACTTATGAAGTAAAAAGCATCAATAAAGTAAGGCAAGAAAAAGTACCAAAAATTAGGAGAATAGTGGCCTCCAGGGCAGAAGAGGGAGGATGTAATTGGGAAGGAGCTGGTGAAGTGCTGGTCACGTTCCATTTTATGGCATGGGTAGTTGTCACACAAGCTGCTATGGAGTGAATTTTGTCCCCTCAAAATTCAAATGTTGAAACAAACCCCCCATGTTGCTATGTTGGAGATTGGGCCTCTAAGGAGGTGATTGGGTTAAATGAAGTCACAAGAGTAGAGCCCTTAAGTGGTAGAACTGGTGTCCTTATAAGAGAAAGAGACAGCTTTCTCCCCTTTGTGTGAGAACACAAGGACAAGGTAGACATCTATAAGCTAGAAAGAGAGTCTTTCCCAGACCCAACTATGCTGACATCCCAATCTCAGGCTTCAACCTCCAGATTTGTGAGAAAATAAATTTCTGTTGCATAAGCCACCCAGTCTATGGTATTTTGTTAAGGCAACAAAGGCTGACTAATACACAAACATTTGTTTTAAAATAATTAATTTATGTTTTATGTACATTTTTATTATGCATGTTACATATCATAATAAAAACCCAATAATTTTTTAAAATAAATGACCATTGCAAAAAATGCAGAACACTGAAAATATAAATCAGAAGATGGTTACTAAGTAGAGAAATCACAAAATCATGAAATTATATTTAATATTGTTGAGATCATATAGCATGTAAAATGTCTATGCTTCTTTTGGAGTTTTAATGTAAAACATTTTTTTGCAAAATGAGTTATTTGGGAGTTATTTGGAGATTGTGGTTAAATATGGAAGATAGAATGCATATGTTTTACCCCACCCTCTCAAAATGCCAATAGAATGACAGCACGGGGGAAAGAACAGTATAAATATACAAGAACAAAGAGAAAGAGAATGGAAAACACAGAGGACAAATGATGTCAAAACACTTGGAAGACCAAAAGTGGGTGGAGAAGTGGTAAATCACTTAGCAGATCAGGGTTTGTTAAACCACGGTGCCTCCAGAGGGGGATAAAAATGAGAATAAAGGCATTTTACCGCCCCCGCTGCCCAACAAGCCCCAGAGGCCCTGCAAGTGTTGACATGATACAAATAGCAAGAAATGGAAGCAGAAAGAGGAAAGAACATGTGAGCAGAGTATGTTCACTTACTGCTGCTTCTATAATAACAAGAAGTTAAAGAGTATTATTTAAAGTTGACAAATAAAGAAATGGACAAAATAATTACACTTGACAGTACAAAGGTAAGCACAAAAAGATATTATTAAATACAGTCAGATAATGGATAAAACAGAGAGGAAAGGAATCACCAAATGGAAATGAGAGATTTTGATTAAAGAAATAGTACACTAAGGACAATGTATTACACGGTTTTAATTATAATTATAAATTTATAATAAGTTTTTACTTATAAAGACAACCACTAGGATAAAGATACAAACTCTTTAGTAATCTATATATTTGTAACAAATAATATGACAAACTCTAAATACTGGAAGAATTGTACATCAAAAAATAAAAAGCAAATAAGAGATGCCAAATAATGAAAAGGTACAAAAGTAATTGGGGTTTCAGACCATAAATATTAAATCATTATAACTAGGCTCAAACACATCTTTATTAATCAAAGTAGGAACCATTACAATCAACACATTTTTGCCAATGAGAAATGAGTTTGTTTATTCCTGTAGCATAAAAATCCATGCTTTGGGATTCAATGAACTCTTGGAAGGCATTTTCTGCATCCCGCTGGTTATGGAAGTGTTTCACCTGCAAAAAGTTGTTCAGATGCTTGAAGAAGTGGTAGTTGGTTGGTGAGAGGTCAGGTGAATATGGTGGATGAGGCAAAACTTCATAGCCCAATTCATTCAACTTTTGAAGTAACTGTTGGTTGTGTGACATGCAGTCGGTTGTTGTGGAGAAGAATTGGGCCCTTTCTGTTGACCAATGCCAGCTGCAGGCCTTGCAGTTTTCTGTGCATCTCATCGATTTGCTGAACATATTTCTCAGATGTAATGGCTTTGCTGGGATTCAGAAAGCTGTAGTAGATCAGACCGGCAGCAGACCACCAAGCAGTGACCACGACTTTTTTTGGTGCAAGTTGGGTTTTGGGAAGTGCTTTGGAGCTTCTTCTCAGTCCAGCCACCAAGCTGGTCATTGCCAGTTGTCAAGTAAAATTCACTTTTTATCGCACATCACAATCTGATTAAGAAATAGTTCATTTTTGTTGCATAGAATAAGAGACGACAACACTTCAAAATGACGATTTTTTAAACATTTTTCCTTAGCTTATGAGGCACCCATTTATGGAGCTGTTTCACCTTTCCAATTTGCTTCAACTGCCGAATGACCGTAGAATGGTCAACGATGAGTTCTTCCTCAGCTTCTTGTGCAGTTGTAAGAGGATCAACTTCGATGATTGCTCTCAATTGGTCATTGTCAACTTCCAATGGCCAGCCACTACTCTCCTCATCTTCAAGGTTCTCATCTCCTTTGCAAAACTTCTTGAACCACCACTGCACTGTACCTTTGTTAGCAATCCCTGGGCCAAATGCGTTGTTGATGTTGAGTTGTCTCTGCTGCTTTACAACCCATTTTGAACTCAAATAAGAAAATCGCTCGAATTTGCTTTTTGTATAACATAATTTCCATAGTCTAAAATAAATATAAAATAAACAGCAAGTAATAAGTCATTAGCAAAAAAAAAAGTGAGAAATGCACATTAAAATGATGTATAACATGGTCACATTTATTTAAGAATGTATTCCAATATCAAACGGCAAATTTCAACAATGCAAAAACCACAATTACTTTTGTACCAACCTAATATTTTAAAAACTAAATACGTCATATGAAATAATATAAACAAGCTAAGACTAAGCAAATCTGTCATGTCACTAAATATAAATGGATTTTACTCACCTATTTTTAAAAATGCCTATTACATTACAAAGCAATACCCAACTCTATGTTGAATAAAAAAAATACTCCTCACGGTGATACAGAAAGGCTAAAATTATAGAATTCAAAAGACATAAGCAAAGGCAAACAAAGAAAGCAGGATCCATGATTTTAATATCAGAGAAAGTGGAATCTCGGTCAAAAAGCATGAAATAGGACAAAAATTGCACAGACATATTAATATTAAAGACGATAGTAATCTATATCTTTGCAACAAATAAGATGGCAACAATATTTATAAATCAGAAATTATTAGAGTAGGAGGATAAATAAAAACATTGTAGGAATAGAAATTTTCAATTAATTTTAGCCAATAACAGATCAAATGTATTAAAAAGTATGTAAAATTATAGATGACCTAGTAATATAATTAATATAATGTATCTGATTAATATATAGCAAACTACCTTCCCTAACAATAGAAAATGCACCTCCTTTTCAAAAAACCAAACATATCAAACCAAATATTAAGCCATGACAAAAACCTCAATAAGCTCCAGAAAGTGGAAATAATATAGAAAACATTCTCTGATCATAATGAAATAGAGTTAAAAAAAATAACCAAATTTAATGAAATGAGAGGACTTTCCACTTGATAATTTTTAAAAATCTCTCTTAAAGAATTCTTGGACAAAAGACAAACTATAAACTAAAATTATATAATTTCGAGGGAAGGAAAGATAAAAAACAGTTTAATCAGAACCTAGAGAGTGCAGTTAAAGACATACATATTCAGGGAATAAGTCACAGCATGGAAGCATAGAATATTTATATCAGTAAAAGCTGAAAAGAAATTATTTAAAGACCTAACAAAACTAGAAAAAGGATAACAAATGAAAGAAAGAAGTTAATAATTATAAAAAGCAATAAATTACAAAATAGAAAAACAGTAGATCTAATAAATCCAAATGCTGTTGTAAAAATATGCACAAGACCTTTATACTAAAAAATAATACAGCATTATTGAGAGAAATTTTAAAGTACCTAAATGAATTAAAGGATGTCTCATGTGACTGGATTAGAAGATTCATAATTGTTAGAATGTCAGTGCTGCCCAAATTAGTCTATAAATTCAATGACATCCCCAAAAAAATCCCAGCAGCAGCTGTTTTATAGAAATTAGCTGAACAGATTTCATTTGCATGGATGAAGTGAAGTTTATTTAACTATTTTCCTATTGATAGACATTCACATTTATCATAATTAACATAATCCTCATATTTTGCCACCACATATTAATTTTTTGGTGAGTATCCTTACACATGTATCTTTGTACACATAATATGAGTAAAATTAAGGATGAATTTCTAGAAGTAGAATTGCCAGGTCAAAGGGGTGTACATTTTAATTTTTGAGATATTGCCAAATCGTCTTCCAAAGTTGGATCCTTTCCATTCCCAGTAATTATCAAATCCATTCTTTAGGAGATTTTGTATTAACTGAACTGTTGACATAATTCCCTTTATATGCACACTATGAAAAGTATAACATATACAAATCTACCTATATGGTCACAATCCTGGGAATTTATGTGACAGGTATTGGATGATGTTCAGCATCCTTGGCCTCGTGGAAATAATCAGACTAGATTTTCTTTTTGAAATGCAAATTGATAATAGCCATTAGTTGTTTCCTATGTTGCTGAGAACCCAGAGGAAGATAATAAATGTCCTTGGGATAGACTGGGGCTCCAAAGATCATGCTGTATACTTTTGAAAAAGCATTAAATTGTAGCCAGTGAGGAATCAGAAACCAATCTTATTGCCATGTTCTTAACACAATCTTTTTCCTTATCTTCCCTCCCTTCCATTATTCCTTGCTGAAACATTAGCTTTGCACAATTACCTGCTGATAATGGTAGCTCTATGTCTTTCTGCGTGCCTGCCTATCTGTCTGCTTGTGGAAAGATAAAGATAGATATTCCATTTTCTAATCCCCTCTTTTGCTTGGGAAGAAACTAGAGGTTCTTCCTCAGATTGGGCACCAGAAGGTAAAGAGAGCAGGGGGTCAAAAATTGTTAAGAAGGGCAAGACTAGAACTTTCCTACTCTCCCCATGCCCTGGTTTCAGAGAATCATTGAAGGGGCTCTTTGATGACCCTAGGACACTCACCTCTAAGCATAACAATATTCTGGAAAACCTTTGACAAATTATAGCAATTTGGTTGTAGAGAAGATAAATGTTTTCTCACCTGGCAAAGAACATGTGAAATGAAGCTGAATCTACTGCAAACGGGGAAGTGGGTGTTTAACACTGCATGCATAAAGTATTGATTTGTATCTTTTCAAATTTATGGAACTGTTATCATTTTATATGTGTGCTTTATCTGATGTTTTAAAATTATGTTTTTGGGATTTGCCCAAATGGATACATGTAGACCTAATTCATTCATTTTTTATTGCCATATAGTATTCCATAAAGATATTATCCTGTGTTTTCTCCTCAAAGTTACAGTTTTCCTTTCTACATTTAGGTATTTCAATCTCCTAGAATTTATTTTTGTATGTGTGTGGTATGAGATAGGCTTCCAATATTTTTCCATATGGATTATTCCAACATTTTTTTCAATACATCATTTCCCAAGTGGTTCCTACCACTGCTTCTGCCATGCACCAGATTCCCATGTCTACTGAATCTGTTTCTCCCAGTAATCTCATTGTCACATCCTGAGTCAACACCACGTGGATTTAAATGCTCTATAGTAAGATTTGACCTGGTCGATTCACATGCCCCTCCTTATTTGTCTTCTTGAAAATTATTTTGGTTCTTGTTTCTTTACTTTTCCATATCAGTTTAAGGGTCACATTTTCCAGCTCTTTTCTTACAACTCTGTGGAAACTTTGTTTGGTAATGCACTGAATTGATTTATCACCACAGGAAGAATCGCCACATTTACAATACGAAGCCTTCCCACACATCAGTATGGCAGATCTCTTAATTTATACAGGTCTTCTTTAATATTTTTCTACATTTTATAATGTCTTTTTCCTAGGTACATTGCAATTTTGGTTGCCCTATTGAATACTTATTATTGCTAAACTGTCTTAATATTATTAATTTCTATATAGTGATTTTGCATCCAGCAACCCTGCTGAGCTCCTTAAAGTTAAATTTTTCTGTAGATTCCCTTGGACTTCCTATTTAGACAGTTATATTATCTGCAAATAATGACAAACTTGTTTCTTCCTTTATGATTCTTATACCACTTTTTTATTTTTCCTGTCTTATTGAATTGGCCGGGACCTTCAACAAGATGGTAATTCAAAGCTATGACAGTGAGCATATTTATTTTGCTCTTGATTTTAAAGTGTGTGCTTCTAATGTTTCACTATTATGATGTTTATGAGAGTCTCATAATTACTTTTTATATCAATTTTTTCCATTTCTTGTTTGTTGAGACTTTCATCATGAATGGGTGTTGGCTTCTATCAGTATTTTTATATTTATTGAGGTTATCATATAGTCTTTCATCTGTTAGTATAGTAAATCTGTAAACTAACAGGTTTGTTAGTCTATTTTTAATGGTTCCAGCTGATCATTTTGCTGGATTCAATTAGGTGTATTTCATTTTATCTATTTTGCTAAATGAGGCTGGCCTGTAATCTTCTTTCATAAACTGTCCCTTTGGGATGTTCCAACTCTCTCCTCAATTGTCCCTGGGAACTCCAACTTATTCTTACTTTGTTTAGCAGAGCAATTCATCTCTCTCCATCTCCTACAATGTTTCTCAACAAGTGATCTAAGGATCTCTATGCACATATAATTTTAAAATCTAACATGTAAGATTAATTATTATATTCATAGAATTTCTAACTTTTTATGTTTTCAAAAACAGTGTATGTGCTTCAAAAACTGATTTCATTCATAATGGTTAACATGGAGTTAATCATAGGCAGTTTATCTTGACTAATGTATTTTATTGTCACCTGACAGTTATTTACACTTGTCAGACTTGCATTTGCCATTATTACTGTCGCTTTGCATAATATCACAATTCAAAAAAAAGAGTCATCACTTCGAAAGTGGTTTTCTGAAGCATAACAATAATGATAAAAATAGAAATATAAATCCTACAATGTGAAATAAGGTCACAATGTAAGTAATGAATGGCCTCCATTGTAAAAATACAAAGCATGAATCTGTTTGTCATGAGACAAGTGGATAATGGATGTGGATAATCTCCCAAAACCAGACAAAAATATATAAGAAAATGGGAGCCATGACAATGAATAATGATAATTGAATTTTATTGGACCAATGATCCTTTTGTCCTAGTACCCAATTTATTATCTGCTAACGTTTTTGTCAAGTAATGATATAAAGCTATCAAAACTTCCATATTATTTTCCAATAAAGTTTATCAACCCCACTTTTAAACCAATTGAATATCTCTACTACAAGCACAAAATAAGGCTTTCCCAGTATAAAATTGTGAAAATTTTATGTTAAAGGTTGAGAAGACAACAAAACTATAGAGTCATCATTCATCCTCATATCAAAAATAAGCACAATTGCACTCCTGCTGGTAAGATACAAAACCAGTTTCCAAATCAATTACAAATATTGTGGTTGGAGAAGAAACAAGAAAAACAATTGGTATAATTCCTTAATTAGAAGTATTGCATTCCTTATAATGTGACTGGCATTTAAAGTCAATGACTGTTAGGTATACGAGCAGACATTTTATTTTATAGTTGAACAAAACTATGAATAAGTAAGTTGTCAGCATATCTTCACTATATATATGGGAAAGACTCAGTGACTTTTTGTTCTATTTATCATGAAGCTAATTTTAAAAGAAGAGCTCTCTGGTTTAATTAAAAATTAGTTTGAACCTATGAAACAGACTTTAAAAGGTATGTTGGCTTATGCACTAATGTTTGTAGCAGCGTTATTCACAATAGCCAAATATGTCCATCAACAGATGAATGGATAAAAAATGTAGTATATATGTAAACAATTGAATATCATTCAGTTTTAAAAATGAATGAGATTCTGATACATGCCACAACATTGACAAAGCATTGTGCTAAGTAAAATAACTCAAACGCAAAAGAACAAATGTTGCATGATTCCACCTTTAGTAGGTACCTAGAACAGGCAAATTCATGGAGACAGAAAGTAGAATGGAAGTTGCCAGAGAGGGGGAATGGGGAGTTATTATTTAATGGGTACATTTCTGTTCGGGATTATAAAAAAGTTTGGAAACAGATAGTGGTGATAGTTCCACAATACTGAATGTACTTAATGCCACTAAATTGTGTACTTAAAAATGGTGAAAGTGGTAAATTTTATGTTATGTATATTATGCATATTTTACCAAAACTTTTTTTTAAAAGAGGAAAGGTGTTAAATTGCCATTGAAGAAACTCCAGCCACATGGTCAGCAAGGAAAGGTATCACTATCCAGATAGAAGATGCTGCTCCCAGATCCCAATGCTAGTGCATACCTTATTCACGGAACGCAGCTGGGGGTCTGTAATATGCCTCCAGATTCTGATTTGCTGTTGAGGTACACAGTGGAAATTGTGAATACAAACTGATTGTGGTCACTTAGTGTACATCTCTTTGGCCTACTGGGCTGAAATGAAAAGTGAGTAAGAGAGGCTGCTCTCCCACACTGAATTGCTTTGGCTGGCAAATGGGAAGGGCTTACACAGAGTTTTAAAAATAAGGAATGAAATGTTTTAAATTACCATTTTTATGAATACAAGTTGGGTATCTCAGTGATCCATTCAGAATTTGAATATTATGAATCTTTGTTTTCAGAGCCTGAATATCGGGATTTGTAACAATCAGACATCAGTGGTGCAAGTGGCTCAACGGCTGAGAACTTGACTTTTTCCCAATACCCAATGATTTTCTTCATTCACCAGAAAAAGCACTTAGGAAATAACACATTGGGCTTATTAAAAATTACATCTGAATGCTGCAACCCAACATCAAGAAATACCTTGCAGAGCCAAATACCACCAAAGAGAGGATGCAACTCCATTAGCTGCTGTTGAGCTGGGGCACTTGCCTTCTGGTGAAGCACTGAAAATAGTCTTTAGAGAGCACTCTCTCCATAATTTCTGGGTCTGTGTTTGATTTGACAAACCAGAAATATCCATCAAAGCTTCCCAACAACCTATAATTCTGAGTTAAGATTTTCTAATTTAGAAAACATAAAGAGTGTGGGGGGGAAACCAACAAGATATGGAAGCTGACAGCTCAAGCAGCTATGCAACCAGATATAGATTCCTAAATGATTTCAAACACGATTTCTCCTCTCACAGATGTGAAAAAAAATTATTCACTTTTTAACTTGACTTTTACTTTTATTTAAGACATATATGTTCATAATTTAAAAGGTCACAGAGTTTTATAAAGATTCTGACAAAAAAAACAGCAATTTCATTTTTCTCATCTCTTCTTTCCAGAGGCCACCACTTTTAGCTTTTTTTACCTGTGTCTTCTGATACCTCCCTATCTCCAATAATATACTCATAATACTAATTTTTAATTTTTCAATTTCTGATGTTATTTATTGGCTTCCTATTATGAGAAAAAACTTAAGGCCACATCCACAAACTCATTTCCTCTCACCCTCATCTTCCTGTTACAGTTATATTGTAATCTTCAGTTAGATCATCAGATAATATATCCATTGTATGACTACATATATAATTACATTACATTGCTAAGTAAACACTGTTTACAGCTGTGTCATGCAGTGTACTTTGACTATATTTCCTTTTTGCACAATGTTTTTGCTTTCCTTGGAGTTAATAAGGATTTTATTTTTTTGTTTGCTCAGTTTTCTATTTATCCCTAATTTGTTCCCAAACTCTTCTCCAGATGTTTAATTGTTGCTTCAATTTATTTGCACACATCAGGTGCATGTGTATCATTTTTTTCCTATGGGAATCACAGCTAGAGTACTTCATCTTCTGCCTCATTCTGACCTAGATGTTTTCTAGGCCTGATGCACAGCTGTTTTCTAGAGATTTTTTCTTCTTCATTCTTTTTTTGGATTCCTTTTGCCTCTTCCCTGGATCGCATATATGTTTCTTGTTTGAATGGAGCATATCCTCTAGTAACATTTTTTTTTAAGACAAAGTCTCTCTATGCTGCCCAGGCTGTTGGCCTCAAACTCCTGGGTTCAAGTGATCCTCCTGCCTCAACCTCCCAAGTAGTTAGGACTACAGGTACATACCACCATGCCCAGCTTCTAGTAACTTTATTAGAAGGGTAACTAAGAAGTACATTTCCCAAGACTTCATATATTCTACCTTCTTTGACAGTTTGGCTAGGGAAAGACTTCTGTATTAGAAATTATTTCCCTCTTAATTTTGAAGGCCTTGCTCATTGTCTTCTAATTTCTTTCTAGACCTCCTATTAGTCAAACAATATACCTCCTAGTCTGATTCTCTAATTTTCAAACTTTTTATCACTTCCTATCCATTTCTGCTTTTTTGTTCCACTTCCTGTGAGATTTCCAAAACTTTATTTACAAGTCCGCCTATTAGTGTTTTACTTTTGCTATCATATTTTTGTTTTCAAAATTCCATTTTGTCTTTGAAGGTACTTTTTACATCCTTCTGCTCTTGTTCTATACGTGGAGCCTCTTCTCACCTCTTAACTCTCTAAAAATATTAGTACAGGTTTTTTTTTTTTTGTTTTTGTTTTTGTTGTTGTTGTTGTTGCTGTTGTTGTTGTTGTTTTGGAGACGAAGTCTTGCTCTGTCACCCAGACTGGAGTGCAGTGACGCGATCTAGGCTCACTGCAAGCTCCGCCTCCCGGGTTCACGCCATTCTCCCGCCTCAGCCTCCGGAGTAGCTGGAACTACAGGTGCCCGCCAAGGCGCCCGGCTAATTTTTTGTATTTTTAGTAGAGACGGGGTTTCACCGCGTTAGCCAGGATGGTCTCGATCTCCTGACCTCGTAATCTGCCCGCCTCGGCCTCCCAAAGTGCTGCGATTACAGGCGTGAGCCACAGCGCCTGGCCAATACAGTTTTATTTCTCTAACTCTTCTTCTGCCCTCTTTATTGTCTCTTTTTCTTTTCTTTTCTTTTCTTTTTTTTTTTTTTTTCAGTTGTTTGGTTGCTTTGGTTTCTGGTGTTAGAAGCATCCTTCAAATTCCTGATGCTCCTTGGCTGGCTGTTCATGTTAAAAGTGCAGCATCTTCATGGGCTCTAAACCAGATTATCTTCTGGAAACTTAACGAGGAGCAGAAGTGAATAGGGAGGGGAGTTGTTTGCCTTTCAGTAGGTAAACTTTTCTTTATATGCATTTTTCAGTATGCAACTGTTTCCCTCTTCTTCAACTCTTAAGAAAATGAGCATCCAATCCATTTCTGGAGCAGAAACAGTTTCTCATTGAATGGATGGCATAAAGCAGCATCTAGAAAGCTCAACTGGTTCCTGTAAAAAACTTTCAAGCAATTCTTTCAGCCCTACTTATCACCCTCCCCCAAACCTTGCTTTCAGAGATACTTAGCATCTCTAAGTTCCAAGCAGTTCTGGGGCTCTGCAGCATAGCTTGGCTTGCTTCTGGGTATTCCCTGCTTCAGCCAGTTTTCAGCTTTCTTAGGTCTGCTCTGTCAGTTACCACTCATCAGTCTGCACTCCAGTTTCTAAAAACTGGGAGTTTTTAGATGAGCCTCCAGCTTCTTGCAGGATAGGGAGGCCCTGGCAGACATAAACAGGAGAATCCTTGCTCTTCACCCGCTACTGCCCTCTGCCTAACCCCAGAACAGCAGAAGCTGCTGGCTGTCCCAGCCACACACATCCCTCCCCACTCCATCTATTTGTGTGGCCCTTCTTTTTCCCTCAGTCTGTGTCTTGTTTCCTCTCCTTACCTTCTTCCCCCTCATCACCTTGGTGATATTCTTTGCATGTTTTTTCTTGGAGCAGTCAGAGCAGGTCATCCCTCCCTCCTGGAAGAAGGAACCCCCTGAGTACACTCCATGGCACAGTTGACACTCCTTTTCTACCCTCCTTCCCAGATATGTCTTCACTGTCATTTACACCTTTGAAGCCTTGATAAAGATACTGGCAAGAGGATTTTGTCTAAATGAGTTCACGTACCTGAGAGATCCTTGGAACTGGCTGGATTTTAGCGTCATTACCCTGGCGTGAGTATATCTCTATGCAGATCTGCATGTGTGATAGGAGAGGGGACAAAATGGTGGGTAGGAGACAGGGCTAACATGCAGGTCCCACTTGGACAGAGTGTGGAGACTCACACCATGAACGTTTGCTCCAAGAACCACTGCAGGAATATACCAGGAGAACTGAAAGAATTCATAGATCCTTTTAAATAAGTGGCACACTGCTGGAAATTCTGCAAGACAGGTGAAAAACTGTGAGCTCCCAAAGTGTGAGGGGGGGAAACCTGCCTCCAAACATACATCCCAACTGGGTAATCTGAAAATCCAGATCACAGGAGAAGAATTTACCCTTACCTGGAATGTAAATAAATTTAGGAAGCCACACAAAATATAAAAGTAGAAACAGCAAAGGGAAGTGCCTTGTAGGCACTCCCAGTCTCCAGCTTGAGACCAGGGAATCCATCCCTGACTATGTCTCACAGGCACCCTTGGGGAAGGCAGCCAGTGGAATCAGGGAGGGGTCACAGGATGAAAGAAGTTTCAACTAAAATTAGTAATAATTTCAACTGGGCACAAATTTTCTTGAGCAGAATCCAGGGGGCAAATGGGAACTGCAAGCAGACAGTGAGGGATGCGGTCCAAAAGTCATGCTTTCTTTCTCAGTGGGGAAGCTCACAGCCTGGGGCAAGGTCTGAGTAGGGCACTGCAGGAGCAAGACCAGCCTCACCAACTACATGAGAGCTAGGTGAGGCCTCTCACTAGCAGCTATCCCCCACTTCCCTGGAGAACTCTATGGCACAGCAGAGGCAGCCAAAATTCCCTCTGGAACACAACCCCACTGGCCTGAGAACCAACCCCCATCCACCACAGTGGCCACAGCAATCCCTACCCAAGAAGGGTCTGAGTCTAGACTCACCTACCCCTGCCCCCACCTGATGGTATTTCCCTACCTGCCTTGGTAGCTGAACACAAAACCCAGAAACTCTCGGAAGCTTTATGGCCCTGCTCATCACCTAAGAAACTAAAATATTTACCCTGGCCAACTTAGGGTGAGCTTAGATCCCCCTTCTACTAATGCACTAGTGCTCTCTTGAAAGCATCACCTACCGGCTGGAGGTCAAACAGCTCAGGCCATTAAAGCAACTCATGACAGAATAACTTTGATCCCAGGAAAAAGAAAACAACAACCAGTTGCACTGCCTGCAACATCCTGGCTAACCAGACGTCCTGAGTCTGTCCATATGACAACTTCACTGCTAACATAACTAGCATTCAAGAAAGCCAGCACACTAAATCTATCTACAGCCTAGGACTCTCACAGACTCTACTTCATTCCTCTGCCACCTTCACCAGAACAGATGCTGATATCCATGGCTGGGAGACTTCAAGATCAATCACATCACAGGACTCTTGCAGGCATTTCCCAGTACTACCCCAGAGCCTGGTAGCCCCTCTGTGTGGCTAGGCCCAGAAGAACAATAACGATCACTGCAGTCCAGCTCTCAGGAAGCCCCATCCCCAGGGGATTGGGGAGAGCACCACATCAAGAGATCACCCATGAAACAAAAGAATCTGCACAACAGCCATTCAGTTCCAGATCTTTTCTCTGAAATAGTCTACTCAAATGAGAAGGAACCAGAAAAGCAATTCTGGTAATATGACAAAAGAGGGTTCAATAACACCCCTCAAAAGATCAAACTAGCTCCCCAACAATGGATCCAAACTAAGAAGAAATCTCTGAATTGCCAGATAAAGAATTCAGGGCTGGGCACAGTAGCTCACGCCTGTAATCTCAGCACTTTGGGAGGCCAAGGTGGGCAGATCACCTGAGGTCAGAAGTTCAAGACCAGCCTGAAGCCAACATGGAGAAACCCCGTCTCTACTAAAAAATACAAAATTAGCTAGATGTGGTGGTGCATGCCTGTAATCCCAGCTACTCAGGAGACTGAGGCAGGAGAATTGCTTGAACCTGGGAGGCAGAGGTTGCGGTGAGCTGAGATCGCGCCATTGCACTCCAGCCTGGGCAACAAGAGTGAAAATCCATCTCAAAAAAAAAAAAAAAAGAATTCAGAAGGCTGATTATTAAGTGATTCAAGGAGACACCAGAGAAAGATAAAAACCAACTTAAAGAAATTTTTAAAACAACAAGATATGGATGGAAAATTCTCCAGAGAAATAGATATAAAGAAAAAACAATCACAACTTCTGGAAATGGAAGACTCACTTAGAGAAATACAAAATGCAGTGGAAAGTTTCAACAATAGACTAGAACAAGTAGAAGAAAGAACTTCAGAGCTCGAAGACAAAGCTTTTAATAGACCCAAACTAAGACACACAAAAAGAAAGAATTTTTAAAAAAATGACAAATCGGCCAATAAATTTGGAATCATGTGAAACAACCAAACCTAAGAATAATGGGTGTTCCCAAGGAAGAATAGAAATCTAAAAGTTTGGAAAACTTATTTGAGGGAATAATTGAGGAAAACTTCCCTGGCCTTGTTAGAAATATAGATATCCAAATACAAGAAGCTCAAAGAATACCTCTGAAATGTGTCACAAAAAAGATCATCACCTAGGCAAATAGACATCAGGTTATCTAAAGTCAAGACAAAGAAAAGAATCTTAAGAGCTGTGAGACAAAAGCCTCAGATAACCTATAAAGGAAAGGTTATCTGATTTACATAAGATTAACAGCAGATTTCTCAACTGAAACCTTGCAAGCCAGAAGGGATTAGGGTCCCATCTTTAGCCTCCTGAAACAAAATAATTGCCAGCCAAGAATATTGTATGAAGAGAAACTAAGCTTCATAAGTGAAGACAAGATAAAGTTTTTTTCAGACAAACAAATGGTGAGAGAATTTTCCACTACCAAGCCAGCACTACAAGAAATGCTAAAAGGAATTCTAAATCTTGAAATAAAACCTTAAAATACACCAAAATAGAACCTCCTTAAAGCATAAATATCAAAGGACCTATAAAACAATAACACAATAAAAAAAGGAATTAAGGCAATAACTAGCATAATGAATAGAAGAGTACCTCACATCTCAATACTGATGTTGAGTGTAAATGCCCTAAATGATCCACTTAAAATATACAGAAGGGCAGAAAGGAAAAAAAAAATCCACCAACCAAGTATCTACTGTCTTCAAGAGACTCACCTAACACATAAGGAGCCACATAAACTTAAGGTAAAGAGATGGGAAAAGATATTCCATGCAAATGGAAACCAAAAGCAAGCAGGAGTAGCTATTCTTATATCAGAGAAAACAGACCTTAAAGCAACAACAGTTAAAAAAAGACAAAGAGGGACATATATAATGATAAAATAATTGGTCTAATGGAAAAATATCATAATCCTAAATACATATGCACCTAACACTGGAGCTCCCAAATTTATAAAACAATTACTACTAGACCTAAGAAATGAAATAGACAGCAATATAATAATAGTGGGGGATCAATATTCCACTGACAGCACTAGACAGGTCATCAAGACAGAAAGTCAACAAAGAAACAATGAACTTAAACTGTAACCTAGAACAAATGGACTTAACAGATATTTAAAAAACATTCTACCAAACAACTGCAGAATATACATTCTTTTCATCAGCACATGGAATATTCTCTAAGATAGACCACGTGATAGATAACATAACAAATCTCAATAAATTTAAGAAAATAGAAATTATGTCAGGTATCCTCTCAGAGCACAGTCGAATAAACCTCGGAGTTAACTCCAAAAGAAACCCTCAAAACTATACAAATACATGAAAACTAAACAATCTGCTCTTGAATGATCTTTGGGTCAACAATGAAATCAAGATGGAAGTTTAAAAATTTTTTGAACTGAATGATAATAGTCACACAACTTATCAAAACCTCTGGGATACAGCTAAAGCAGTGCTAAGAGGAAAGCTCATAGCATTAAATACCTACATCAAAAAGTATGAAAGAGGACAAATAGATAATCTAAGGTCACACCTCAAGGAATTAGAGAAACAAGAACAAAACAGACCCAAACCAAGCAGAAGAAAAGGAATAACAAAGATCAGGGCAGTACTAAATGAAATTCAAATAAAAATAATAATAATACAAAAGATAAGTGAAACAAAAAGCGGGTTCTTTAAAAAGATATAGAAAATTGATTGACCATTGGCAAGATTAACCAAGAAAAGAAGAGAGAAGATCCAAATAAGCTCAATTAGAAATAAAATGGGAGATATTACAACTGATACCACAGAAATACAAAAAAAAAATCATTCAAGGCTACTATGAACACCTTTATTTGCACAAACTAGAAAATTTAGAGGAGATGAATAAATTCCTGGAAATATACAACTGTCTTAGATTAAATCAGAAAGTAATAGAAACTCTAAACAGACCAATAACAAGTAGCGAGATTGAAACAGTAATTCAAAAATTGCCAAGGAAAAAAAGTCCAGGAGCAGACTGGATTCACAGCTGAATTCTATCAGACATTCAAAGAAGAATTGGTACCAATTTTATTGAAACTATTCCAAAAGATGCAGAAAGAGGGAATCCTCCTAAATCATTTTATGAAGCCAGTATCACCCTAATACCAAAACCAGAAAAGGACTTTTAAAAAAGAACTACAGACAATATCCCTGATGAACATAGATGCAAAAATCCTCAACAAAATGCTAGCTAATTGAATCCAACACATATCCAAAAGATAACACACCATGATCAAGGGGGTTTCATACCAGGGAGGTAGGGATGATTTAACATACACAAGTCAATAAATGCTGCACGTCACATAAACAGAATTAAAAACAAAAATCATATGATCATCTCAATAGGTGCAGGAAAAGCATTTGACAAAATCCAGCATCCCATTATGATTAAAACCCTCAACCAAATTGGCATAGAAGGGACATACTCCAAGGTAATAAAAGCCATCTATGACAAATCCACAGCCAACATTATACCAAACAGGGAAAAGTTGAAAGCATTCCCCCTGAGAACTGAAACAAGACAAGGATGCCCACTTTCACCATTTCTATCCAACATAGTACTGGAAGTCCTAGCCAGAGCAATCAGACAAGAGAAATAAATAAAGGGAATCCAAATCAGTAAAGGGGAAGTCAAACTGTTGCTGTTCACCAATGATATGATCGTATGCCTAGGAAACCCTAAAGACTCATCCAAAAAGCTCCTAGATCTAATAAATGAATTCAGTAAAGTTTCAGGATACAAAAACAATGTATACAAATCAGCAGCACTACTGTACACCACCAGAAACCAAGCTGAGGAACAAATCAAGAACTCAATCCCTTTTACAACAGCTGCAAAAAAAAAACAAAAATAAAAACAAAAAAATCTTAGGAATATACCTAACCAAAAAGGTGAAAGATTTCTACAAGGAAAACTACAAAACACTGCTAAAATAAATCACAGATGACACAAACAAATGGGAACACATCCCATGCTCATGGATGGATAAAATCAATATTGTGAAAATGACCTTACTGCCAAAAGCAATATACAGATTCAATACAATTTCCATTGAAGTACCACATCATTCTTCACAGAAATAGAAATAACAACCCTAAAATTCATAGGGAACCAAAAAGGAATCCACATAGCCAAAGCAAGACTAAGCAAGAATAACAAATCTGGAGGCATCACCTTAGCTGATTTCAAACTATACTACAAGGCTATAGTATAGCCTGTACCAAAACAGCATGATACTGGTATAAAAATAAGCACATAGACCAATGGAAAAGAATAGAGAACTCAGAAATAAAGCCAAATACTTACAAGCAACTGATCTTTGAAAAAGCAAACAAAAACGTAAGTGGGGAAAGGACACCCTATTCAACAAATGGTGCTGGGATAATTAGCAAGCCACATGTGGAAGAAAGAAACTGAATCTTCATCTCTCACCTTATACAAAAATCAATTCAAGATGGATAAAAGGCTTAAATCTAAGACCTGAAATTATAAAAAATTCTAGAAGATAACATTGGAAAAACTCTTCTAGACATTGGCTTAGGCAAAACGTTCCTGACCAAGGACCCAAAGCAAATCCAACAAAAACAAAAATAAATAGATGGGATCTAATTAAACTAAAAAGCTGTTGCACAGCAAGAGAAATAATCATCCAAGTAAACAGACAACCCATAGGATGAGAGAAAAATCTTTGTTATCTATGCTTCCAGCAAAAGACTAATATCCAGCATCTATAAGAAACACAAATAAATCAGCAAGAAAACAAACAAATAATCCCATCCAAAAGTGGGCAAAGGACAAGAATACGCAATTCTCAAAAGAAGATATATAAATGGCCAATGAACAGGAAAAAAAAATGCTCAACATCATTAATTATCAGGGAAATGCAAATTAAAACCACAATGAGATACCACCTTACTCCTGCAAGAATGGCCATAACCAAAAAATAATAGATGTTGGCATGGATGTAATGAAAAGGAAACAATTTTACACTGCTGGTGGGAATGTAAACTAGTACAACCACTAAGGAAAACGTTATGGAGATTCCTTAAAGAACTAAAAGTAGAACTACCATTTGGTCCAGCAATCCCACTACTGGGTATCTACCCAGAGGAAAATAAGCCATTATTAAAAAGACACTTGCATATGCATGCTTATAGCAGCACAGTTTACAACTGCAAAAATATGGAACCAGCCTAAATGCCCATCAACCAACAAGTGCATAAAGAAAATATGGTGTATGCATACCATGGAATACTACTCAGTTGTAAAAAGGAATGAAATAATGGCATTGGCAGCAAGCTGGATGGAGTTGGAGACTATTATTCTAAATGAAGTAACTCAGGAATAGAAAGTCAAGCATCATGTGTTCTTAATTACAAGCAGGAGCTAAGCTGTGAGGATGCAAAGGCATAACAATGACATAATGGACTTTGGGGACTTGGGAGGAAAGGTGAGACGAAGGTAAGGGATAAGAGACTACACACTGGGTACAGTGTACACTGCTCGGGTGATGGTGCACCAAAATCTCAGAAATCAGCGTTAAAGAATTTTTCTGTGCAACCCAACACCACCTGTTTCCCAAAACTATTGAAATACAAATAAAGAACTTATTCATGTAACCAAAAACCACCTGTTCCCTCAAAACTATTGAAATAAAATAAAATAAAAAGATTTGCATGGGTGTCCATGTGGGGCTTATGGGTGTATCCAGGCTCACACTCTGAAGAAGGTTCTTCATCTCAGTTCAGCTTCCTCATTTGGAATTGTATGGCCTGGGGTTCTTGCCACAGAGTACCGCTTCGGGGGTTGCTTTCCAAGATTAGTCCCATGCCCATGAGGAGATGTCAGAGACCTCAAATCTGAGATAACAGTTAGCCTGTCACAGTGGATCAGAAAAGGCCCAGCCTTGTACCCCCCTGACATGGCGGTCTCCTTCTGAGAAATCAGTGTCTGAGGAGACTGGTTGGTCAAACTCCTGTGTTTGAAGATCCGTCCACATGCAGTGTTGCCTAGATCACAATGCATCTTCTCAAAGGGTCCACTCTGAAAGATGTTGCAATAATGAAATCAGTGTCAGTGTCAGTCTATAGATGGCAGTGTCACTAGATTCTAAGTGTCCATTCTGCATCCTTTCTAGGCTAATGATACCCCAGGTTATCCTTATTTATGCTGCATGCATCCCCAGGACCCTTGCTTGCAGAGATGCTGACTAACTTCTGGTCCTACAGATATGTTGGCACAGCAATAGATCTCCGTGGGATCTCAGGCCTGCGGACATTCAGAGTTCTTAGAGCATTAAAAACAGTTTCTGTGATCCCAGGTGAGCATTTATTCACAGAGCATATGTTGGTTTTCACAGCCTAACTCCCTTCTCTAATTTTCACAAGAACCCTGTAAGGTTCCAGGGCAAAGACTATTGTCCCCACTTACAAGACAAAGGAACTGAGGCCTGGAGTATAGGAAACATAAACCCAAGGCCTCTTCACTAGTAAGAGACAGTGTGACCTGGAAGCCTATTGTCCCAACTCCTAGGCCAGTGCTCTTCCCACATACCACATGGCCTCACAATCAATACGTAACAGGAGGGGCATGTCTTCACTTTCTGTTCTGGTTGTGGGATTCAGGCAAGACCCCTCAGTTGAATTTTTATTTATACCTTAAACTAAAGGATTAAACTTGGAAATGGGGAGGAAGGGAGAAAGCAGTCCCAGTATCTTCACTGTTTCCGTAGGTCTAAAATCCTGTCTTTAGACACCCAGAGGAAAAAAGAATTAGGCAATTCTTGATTACTGAGAATTCAGAAACAAAAGTAGTCCATCAAAGCTCATTGTGTGGGGCCTCTAAGATCTCCACTGTCACCAGTAGCCCAGCGACTACTCTTCAGCCCCCATGAGGTTGATGGTGAGGATGGGGAGGCCAGAGACAAGGCAAACTTTCTGAAATGGGACTTGATGCTTCCCCTCTGTGGCCTGATAGGTTCTCTCCTCTCACCCCAAGAATTCGTTCTCTTATCTGTAAACAGAAACACCCATTCTAGAGTGGAAGTCTTTTCTACCATTTCTTGTCTGGCTCTGCAGGGAAAGATAGGAAACTCTCTGCCAATTCCCACTGGACACACCTCTTGAAGAGAGCCCTGGTCCTGCCCCTTCATATCTCTCTCACTTACTCTCAACTGGGAAGACCCTGAGTCTTATTTGCAAGACCTGGTCTGTCCATACTGTCTCTTCTGCCTCATCTCTCACCTCTCCTCACATCTCACCATGCTCTGGAATCCACCTACGGTTCTGCAAATACTCCACACCATTGCTCACCTCCCAGCCTTCTACTGTGCTGCCCCTTCTTCTGGGATATCCTTCCTCCTCTCTTTACTCAACTCACACTCATTCCTCAGGGCTCTGCCAAGGTTTTACCTCCTCCCTGGTTTTCCCACCTTCCTCACACTCCACCCACCCCATTCCCACCTCTGGAACTTCAGTTAAGGGCTGCTCCCCTGTGTGCCCATCTGCTCAGTAATGCTACAGACTTTCCCCTCAATTGTCAGACAACGGCACTCGACATGCTGCTGCCTTAGCCATCACTCAGCTCCCAGTCCAGGGACTGACACATGTAGTGCTCAGTGGATTATTTGCTGACCAAAATGACTAACCAAAAATAAATCCTAGATTGCTTCCCTGGTCAGAGCTCTTTCTGCTACCTGCGAAGCTGCTCTCCCAAAGAAGTTGATTTTACTTACCAGAGCAACAAATCATCCCTCCTTAAACAAGCAGGTGTATCCTTCTTTGCTGCCAGCTGTGCTTGGCACAAGTTCTATTTATGCCCCAGTGACTGTCTCAGTGTTTCTTATAGTCTCTTTCTATTGCTAAACTCACCTCTCTGTTTCTCTGTGTCTCTTTCTTTTTCTTTCTCTTGGTCTATTTTTGTTTCACTCTATCTCTCTTGCATCTCTCTCTCTCTCTCTTTCTCTCTCTCTCTCTCTCTCTCTCTCTCACACACACACACACACACACACTCACACACAGTGAGGTTCATGTGTCCCAAGTCTCAAGCTGCCTCCCAGATGCATGCAGAAAGACAGATGCCAAATTACTGGGGTGAAGTTAGTAGCTTCATGCCTAGCACAGTGCCTGGAAAAAGTAGGTACTCAGCATAAATTATTTAAATTGAATTGCTAGTGTCAGGAATTTTATTAGCCTCAAGATGATAAAAAATGCATTGCCTGGGTCTCAGTTGCATCGTCTTTATAATGAGAATAGCCCCTGACTCTCTGCCTGCCTCTCAGAGTAAATGCAAGCTTCGGATGAGAAAGGTCTTGGAACTGCCCTGGAGTGTGTACATACTTCACTCCTGTATGTAGAGATGAAGGAGGATGGCTAAGATGAAGAAGTGTGCTCCGTGTGTGCTACCTCATCCATGTGGTCATACCACTGTCATCTTCCCGCAGGCCTGAAGGTCATTGTGGGGGCCCTGATTCACTCAGTGAAGAAACTGGCTGATGTGACCATCCTCACCATCTTCTGCCTAAGTGTTTTTGCCTTGGTGGGGCTGCAACTCTTCAAGGGCAACCTCAAAAATAAATGTGTCAAGAATGACATGGCTGTCAATGAGACAACCAACTACTCATCTCACAGAAAACGTGAGTGGAGTCTCTTCCATAGGGACCAAGGTCTGGTTGGACCCTTGGTATCATATAGGGACAGGGGATATGGAGCCCCTGTGTGTGTGTATAGACATATATTTTGACTCCCCTTTCCTGCCAAAATGGTTCTCTTGAGTTGTGTTTTACTTTTGGGTATTCTATTTCCTGTTGCTCAGCATCCCTCTTGCAAGGAAATGAGCCATAAATCTAGAGGCAAGTCATTCTACCTCTGCTGGGGGAGATTGAGAGCCGAAGTCACTGCTTAGCTCTTCTCTTTTCAGATGTGACTTTACAACTTCCATGTGGCCCAGCATGCCCACTGAGTACATGTAGCCAAAGGAGCTCACTTTGGAAGACTTGGGAATATTGCATTCACCACACAAGGCTTGGGTTGGAGGGTTCAGAACCATCTGTGAGGCTTTCTTTTCTTCCTTTCTTCAGCAGATATCTACATAAATAAGCGAGGCACTTCTGACCCCTTACTGTGTGGCAATGGATCTGACTCAGGGTGAGTTCCCAACTTATGACAAAGCACGAGTGCCCAACAATTCCTTCTCCATCTTGTCCTTGGCATATTATGGGCACAGATGGGGTTGCAGGTCCTGGGAAAGATGTATAAATAAATAAATCATGGCCTTTGCCAACCCAGAGCTCATGGGGAGGGAATGTATGAGTTAGCTTTCGCTGTGTAACAAATGACCCCAAAATTTTGTGAATTAAAACAACAATGTATTTAATTCATGATTCTGTGCATCAGCATTTTGGACTGGGATCAGATGGGCATTGGGTGACATTGACTAGGCTCATTCATGCATATGCAGACAGCATATTAACTTGGAGATGGCTGGTCTAGGACGTCCTGTCTCTGCTCATGTGGCCTCTCACCCCCAAACAGGTTAGCCTGGGCCTGTTCTCATGGCAGTGTTCCCAGAAAAACAGTGGAAGTTTGCAAGGCTTCTTCAGGCCTAGGCTTAGAACCAACACAATGTACCTTTTGTACATTCTGATACATTCTTGACTAAAGCAAGTTGCAGTCCAGTAGAGATCCAAGAGACAGAGAAATAGACTTCATCACTCAATGGAAAGAGCTGAAAAGTCACATTGGAAAGGGTGTGGATACATAGAGACAAGAATTATAGCCATTTTAATAAATAATCTACCCCAGGAAGGAACCAATACTTATTTGTG